>NC_000005.10:1260000-2510000 GCF_000001405.40 Homo sapiens | reverse complement strand
TAAACTCATGATAATATCTTTTGAAGATTTACATCATGCCTTAGTTCTGAAGAGGTAGCAAGGAGCTGCCCTGGCCCTGAATTGAGCTGTGTGAGAGCCAGAGGCCCCCAAAAAGGACAAGTCGGGGGGTTGCTTCCCAGCAGGTGCAGGGAAGGCTCCTCTGTGCTAAGAGAGTGACTGCCAAGAAGACAGGGCAAGCATGGGTGGCCTCGGAGCAGGTGGACAGTCTCTGCAGAGGTTCCACCTTCTCGGGAGTACAGGAAGCAAGGCCATCAGCTGAGAGCAGGAGGGGTAGGCAGGCGTGGGAGGAGAAGGTATGAAACCATCCTCTAGGCCCTGCGGCTTGGGGTAGGGGAGAAGGGGTTGGGTTGATGGAGTGAGGTGCAGGCTGCATTGCCAAGAGAACCCCAGGCTCAGAGAAGATGGTCCTCCTGGAAGCTGGAGCTATCAGCACGATTGTGTCCAGGGTCTAGTACACAGACTTGGAGCAGGCATTTTGGGTGTGTGCTGGGAGGGAGCTCACATCGAGAACAGCATCAATGAGGTGATGGGGGCTGGGGCAAGGGGCAGTGAGCCGACGGGAGTGTCCATGAATTGAAGAACCCAGTGGGGCTGCAGCTTTGGAGCTGAGGGTCCTGAGGGCATGAACAGAGAAAGGACGAGCAGGTGGTTGGTGAGTGGAGACCACGAGTGGTTCCCGATTTCTTAGGACCACAGGGGTGAGTGCTGAGTGGGGTGGGAGGGTCTCGGGAGGAGAGAAGGGTCATGGGCCCCATTGTTGGAATCACAGGACCAGGCTGGAGAGATGGGCAGTCCGGGCCTCTTGTGTCAGTGCAGGCCAAGCCTGTCATGACATAGATGCTAACGGGAGCAAAGCCTGAGTGTGGTAAAGTGGAGGCAGACAGATGGGAATGAAAGCATAGGATGGAAATCCTCAGAAAAAGAGAAAGAATTATAAAAATCCAGGACTCTCAAGTCCCAGGCTATGCCAGCCTCCATCCCATGAATCAGAAGTGAAACCACCAGCCAGGCGAGGTTGGTTTATGAAAACAGAGTCCTCCAATCCAAACCTGCGTAACTGGACATAGTAAGAAATCACTGACCCCTTTCCCATCAAGCCTCGCTCACTTTGGGACCTGCTAGAATGAGGGCCTTGACTCAGCACGGGTGCACTTTGATGATGAGATTTGTGATGAGTGGATGCAAAGCTCGGGACTGACGCCGTCCGTGTCTCCCTGGACAAGTGAACCCAAGCCCCAGCGACCCATGTCCGGGGGCAGCAGGGGGTGGGGGGTCTGGAAAACCAGAGAGGAGGCGCTGCCGTCCAGCAGTCACTGAGGGAGGGGGAGGCCAGAGTGACCCGGGCCTGGAACAAGGATGGGACCCAGTGACACCAGGCTCCTGAGTGTCGGGGATGTATTTCCCATGTACTAAGTGTCAGGCTTCTCAGTATGGAGATGCTTTAAAAAGCTCAGGAGAAAACTCAAAGCCACAGTTAATTTTTTAGTGGCTATCCCCTTACTATTAAACATCCATAGGGTGTAGCCTGAGTTTTAAAACTAGAATAATAATCAAAAAAACTAAAACCTGGTCCCTATTTACAGATTGATACTGACTTACGTGAGACTGATTAAAATGCTATAATCTTTTGTCTGTTGGGCAAAGATTATACATTATTTGTAGGTAGTTCTTATTCTCTTTCTGATTGAAAACTTGAGTCTGTCTACAAATCATAGTTAAAATGCATATTGTTAGAATACGATAATTGTTGATTTTGCAATTTGTCTTTGTTCCCCATTTTCTTATGCCTTCATCCTGTTTATTAATTTATTATTCAGTCATTTATTAAACCTGTTGAATTTTCTATTCCCCCAGGGGAAAAAAATCACAGAGGTAGATGGTTTCTCTCCTAAAGTTGTGAAATAACAACAAAGTCCTGGGTGTGCTCTTGTGACATTGCCTCATGGTGACTAAGGACCGTCAGTGCCTGAGGTCAGCCCACGGGACAGGATCTAATGGCCCTAAGAAGCATTTTGTTGTCAGCTATGGTGTCAGTTTACCGCCTCTCTCCAGAGTGTTCTGCAAGAAAGAGGACTGTAGCAGAGTAGAAAGGGCCAAGGAAGGTCCACTCTGAAGGCAGGAGGCCACGTGCCTGTCCCGGGGATCCCAGAGCCAGGACTGTAGTCAGAGACCATTCAGGCTGGACTGAATGGCCACGCTGAGGCTCCAAATGAGATCTGGAGCTTTAGGAGAATGGAAATATTACATGCCTACAATTTTAGTGTGGGACTGAATGTGCACTTCCTTTGTGACACCCTCTGTTACTAACACCATGGCACCCTTCTAGCTTATTTGGGAATGATTCCTGTGCACAGGGTGGATACACTGGGTGACCGGTAGCATCTAGTATGTCACTGAAATTGTACATAAGCTGGTATTTTCATTTGGAAAATCCAGACTTTGTACGAGTCATAGTATACAGTTTTAAAGAAGAGGACCAGTTCCAACTTGTAAAAGCAAAAGTGAGCTTAGTTAAGGCTGTTAGTAGCCCCCATGACTTCAGGACAAGTAAGACCCAGATGTAGGTGCCAAGAACAGCATTTGGAGGTGACACCCAGCCACTGGGCAAGAGTCCTCTGGTGGCTCACACCTGTAATCCCAGCACTTTTGGAGGCCAAGGCAGGTGGATCACCTGAGGTCAGGAGTTCGAGACTAGACTGGCCAATATGGCTTAACCCAGTCTCTACTAAAAATACAAAAATTAGCCAGGTGCGGTGGTGCGCACCTGAAATGCCATCTACTCGGGAGGCTGAGGGAGGAGAATCATTTGAACCCGGGAGGCAGAGGTTGCAGTGAGTCGAGATTGTGCCACTGCACTCCAGCCTGGGCAACAGGGCAAGACTCCATCTCAAAAAAGTAAATAAAGAGTCTTCTGTCCGCATCCCCGAAACTGCCCTGGCTGCTGGTCCTGCCCTCGTGGGCTGAGTGCAAGATCCTCCAGGTGGCTGTTCCCGGAGAGCAGGTGTTCCTGGGGGACAGATGCCTTATCTTATCTTCCCAGATCACCCCCTGGCACACTGAGACAGCGTCCTATGCACTTCTGCATGGGAGTCCCCAGCTGCACATCCGCTCTGCTGTGGAAGGAAACCATGCTTACAGCTGGAGAAGCCCTGGTCACTCCGATGTGGGCTGGCGCTCTGCCCTGCCCCTCTGGTCATCCAGGGAGGTTTGTCTAGTCACTGTTTCAGCACCCCAACACAAAACCCAGGTTATTGTTAAAAGACGCATATCTGGCTGGGCGTGGTGGCTCATGCCTATAATCCCAGCACTTTGGGAGACTGAGGCAGGTGGATTGCTTGATCCCAGGAGTTTGACACCAGCCTGGGCAACATGGTGAAACCCCGTCTCTACAAAAAAATATAAAAAGTAGCTGGGCTTGGGTGGCATGTGCCTGCCATCTCAGCTACTGGGGAGGTTGAAGCTGGAGGATCATCTGAGCCCAAGGAGGTCAAGGCTGCTGTGAGCCAAGATAGTGCCACTGCATTCCAGCCTGGGTGGCAGAGTGAGACCCTGTCTCAAAAAGAATGCACATTTTATTTTTTAAAGTTTCCTCATTATTGGACAAAACATTCAGAGAGTGGGCTGTCATACTGCAGGGGAGACTGTGGCACGGAATTTGCTACTAACGCTTTGCCAGCATTCATCCAATATTCAGTATCAATGTCACCAGGATGAGAGGCGAGATGTAATGGGAATTACAACTGAGTGTTTTTTTTCTTTAAATGCACTTTTTGATGAGTGATACATGTTTGAGCATGGGTTATTTTAAAATCACAGTGTATTTTCATCAAAAGGGCTAAACCAAGAGTATGAGATCCCCAGCTCTGAGGGAGAGAGTATAAATGTTTATGAAAGTGTGTGTGTGTCTCTAAGTTGCCCTGTCTTTGTCTGCTATATAAGTGTAGCTCAACAGGCTAAATAGGTATTTCTGAATTTGTTTCTAAATAGAATACACTTAATATCTCTTTATTTGCACAATATTTTGGGTAATCTCATTATTGCCTGGACTATCATGAATAAACTGGAACCAATTAGATGATGTAAAAGGAGGAAGATCCTTGGAAGGCCTTGATCAGAGCATTTTTATAAAAATGCTTACATTTGGCAGCCTTGCTGACCCATCCAGTGATTTGCATTATAATAGTTACACTATAAGTATGCATTCTTCTCTGTCACTATGATGTAGAAGATTTAATACCACAGTGAGCGTGACATATCTGAAACTGTAAGAGACGCTGTTGAAAACAGAGTCATTTCTGAAGGTTTTATAAATGCCTTATGGTCCATTTATTTAAATATTGTCAATATACAACCAGAAGCTCATTTGGTAAAATTTTACAGTGTTGCCTCCTTCTTTCCCATCATTTTTCATCTTTAAGTTGTGGCTGCTCTTTGTGAGGTACGGGAGTATAGCTTGCTGCAAACCCAGTATTTCCATATTCTCAACAACCCGGCCCTGCACAGTGGAAGCCCCACAAACATCTCCCCACCTGGAGGTGAGGAGGGGAGCAGCAGGGCTCACCATCTGAGGCCCGCACACCTGCATCCATGAAAAGCCTCCTCCCGCTCCTCAGCTTCTCTGATTGGCTGAAAGTGACATCACAGAAGCCCAGAGCCAGCGTTTTGGGCAAGCCCAGGTGCTACACAGTGTCGAGTCGTGATACGCACCTCGTTCGTCTTTCAGAGTCTGCCTGGTAAAAAGTTCAAAGTTAAGAACAGATAAATAGAATGCACCCAAAATGAGCAGCTATTAATCCCCACAATCTAAAAAGGCCACCTGCAGGACAGCAGAGGGCTGCCCCTGGGCACTCATCAGAGTGTGGTGCTGACTTGAAGAGGGTGTCATTTTACTGATGGTTATTTGCCCAAGTGAAAATCAGAGGTATCAGTGGTCCCTTTAGGGGTATCTAGTTACAGGGATATTTACTCTCTCACCTTATTTATACAGAGTTTTGCCACAATGGTTCTAATATTTTTAGTTGGAACGTGTTGGAGAACAAGAACATTTGGTGGTGTATTAGTCCATTTTCACACTGCTGATAAGGACATACCCAAGACTGGGTAATTTATAAGAGAAAGAGGTTTAATTGACTCACAGTTCCACATGACGAGGGAGGCCTCACAATCATGGCGGAAGATGAAGGAAGAGCAAAGGGATGTCTTACATGGCAAAGAGGTAATTTGTGCAGGGAAACTCCCCTTTATAAAACCATCAGATCCCCCTGAGACTTATTAACTACCACAAGAACATTACAGGAAAGACCTGCCCTCATGATTCAATCACCTCCAACCAGGTCCCTCCCATGACACGTGGGGATTATGGGAGCTACAGTTTGAGATTTGGGTGGGGACACAGCCAAACCATATCAGGGGAAGTTGATATTTTGCTAGGAATCTATGTGGAATTCACTGTTACTTCAGCATCATCCTTCAAACATGGCATCTCAGCCCAATTGTGTTGCTATAACAAAATGCCACAGACTGAGTATAAAAGAAGGAAATGGATTTCTCATTGGTTGGGAAGGTGGAGAGTCCAAGGTCACAGAACCAGAAGGTTCAATGTCTGGCGATGATGTCATCTCCTGACATCCTCACATGATACAGAGGGTGGAAGGGAAAAAGGCACTAGGGTTTCCCTCCATCCTCTTTTATGAAGCCACTTATCCCATGCATGAGAGCTCCACCCTCATGAGCAACCATCTCCTAAAGCTCCACCTCTTAATACCATTGGCGATTAAGTTTCAACATGAATTTTGGGAGATACATTCAGATCATAGAACAGCCTCTAATTTCTTCCATATATAATTTAAATTGGTATTATCCAATCATATCAGTGACATTTATTCAACTGGCTTCTTAATTTTGCTCAACAAACATTTATCAACACCTAAACAATACTTACCAGACATTCTACCAGGTCACTGGAATAAAGATGATAGCACACCTAGGAATTAGCCATCTGTCAAGCGAAGGTTGCTTGCATCACTGCAGTACCAAGCAGGCCAGGCATTGCCACTCAGCTTACTATACACAGCCACTTTTCATCTCTGTTCTACAGATAGTGTAGCAGTCAGGATCAGCTAGGTGTGCTGCAGTAACAAGCATGGTAAAGCTTCCTTTCCTGTTGCAACACTGTCATTTGTGGGCTGTGGTCTCCCCAGGAGGGCTCCCTCCACAGGCTGGCCCTGCACTGCAGGTTGCATTGTCTCAGGGCAGCTTTCTGTCTGTGTGCCCTTCCCCAGTGTCAAAGCCAGGAAAAGCGTGGGTTAGCAAATAAAATAATGACAATGAAACTCTTCTCCTCAGAAGTGATCCATGGTACTTTGACTCCCATTTTATTGGCTTAACCAAGTCACATGATTATGACTATCTTCAAAGGGAGTGAGGAGGTGCCCTCTTCCCTTCACAGCTGCAAGAAGAAGAGACCCTGCCCTAGTGGCTCAGTCTAGTGATGGAGACCTTGAATGTGAGGTACTCACATGCCATTTTATTGAACATGAGTGACAGGCAGCTCACACTCTGAGTAAGTGACAATGCTGAGCTTGAACTCAGGCAGCCTTGCTACGGAACTGTCCACATGGCTGGATTGCTGTGTGTGGCATTGCCTCCGGAAACCACAGAGGAGTCCGGGGTTTCTAGGGGAAGCCCAGGTACCCTTCAATGTGGCAGTGGCCATGGCCCCACAGAGGCAGGGGAGGGAATTAGAGGAGGGGCTTGAGAGCTGTGCTCAGTGCAGGGCAGTACAGATGGAGGTGCAGGTGGAGTGTGGGTGTCTTCCTGGCCAAATGCAGCTGAACCCCTGGCTGCAACATGCCCATCTGTGGGGAGGCCCTCTGCTGGGCGCTAGCCTCTGATTGACTGTTGTAGCAGCCTTGGCTAATTGAACTAGTTGACACGTTTCTATTCTTCCTTAAAACGCCTTGGCAAAGCAGAAGGCATACCTGTGACTTGGGGGTGGGTTTACTTTTTCAGGCTTCTTTGAGGCTGCAGGGGACAGTTGTCCCTGAGAAGCCAGACAACGTGTTAAATTTTTTATGAGGTTGGAATTTTTTACCTCATTCATATCATTTGGCTAGTTTTAATAATTATATGTTTTCAATGTTTTCTATATTTGTTATAGGGTTTAAAACAATAATGCTTAAAATTTCAGCTTAAAATCTGCCAGCCATGATTCTTGAATCTGGGTCATTCCTGTAGACTCTCCTCTTCATCTGAATTGACTTTTATTACAATGTTTCTAAATACGTACAAATAGGATGGTGGGTACAAGTGTCTCATGCTTGTATCATCCATACAACCATAAAACTAAAACTGATTTTTAAATTAAACATAAGCAAAATTTCAAATCCTATATAATTCAAACTGCAACATAAATTTAATGTGACAGATGAGGTTGTTTTGCTGAAACACAATTGGAGAAGGACAGGAAGGTCAGCCTAACCCACAATCTTGTATTAGTTGTCCACAGTGCCTGTAATCACACATTAGAGAGTAATTCAACCAACATTCAAATATCCCAGGAGGGGTAACATGTCAACTCATTTTCATCAATCAATGTCTCTGCTTTGTGGTTCTGTGAAAACCCAGGGTCCTCTGGTTCCACAAATGTTTGATTCTGCTTTTACCCTAAAAAGTATGTTTTTAAACTCAAATATTAGACAAATACACAAACCAATGCATTGTAAACAAGACAGAACCCAGTGGAGACCCTGACAAGTCACTGAGGAGCTCTGGTAGTCTGCTTTTTTGGAATATACCATTGACATGTTTAGACTTGGCCAGTTGGTCATGAAGGCTGGTGCTCCCCCTGGTCATTTTTAAATCAAAGCCTGTGTGTGTGTGTATCTGTTGTGTGTATCTGTTAGTGTAAAATTGCATGTGAGTCCCATGGCACCTCATAGTTGCAAAAAATAAGGTAACACATCCCCAGTAGTACAGTACACGTTCATTAATATTTGGAAGTTTTAGTGTCTCTTATCTGACTTTTAATAAGCTGAATAACCTCATTTAGACAACTCAAGGTCAAAATGTCATAATGCTTAGACCCATGCTTTGGGCCAGGGAAGAAATGGGAATTCAAGAAACAAATCAACCCAGATTCTGGTTGTTTTGAAACTCTGAGTAAATACCTGAACGAGGTCAAGATTGAAGTATCTGAGATTTATTAAAATGACATTGGATACTATTTAAGCCACATTTGATAAATATTTTATATGAAAGAATGAAGATTCAAACTGACTGTGGAAATATATGTCAAATTCATGGACTCTCTCTAAATCACGTACGCAGAAAACACAAGATGTGGTTTGGTGTTATTGGGTATCCTTAGCATTTTAACTTTGAAATAGCAATACCTTTTCATTTTTAAGCTTCTACAATAATTCAGCTGAAACACAACTTCAATCTGCAAGTCAAGCAATTAGAAAAGTTGCTACCAATTGTAGCTGCTTAGTTTTATAAGTCAGAAGATCCTTGATGCTTTGCAAGCTGAAGAAATTATCAAAAAACTGAGTAATAAGGCAAATTTGAGTCTAACAAATAACCTAATTAAAGTTTGTATTAATCAAAACCTCCCAATCTTCTGATTGATTTTTGCTACGTGTAAATATAAATTTGAGCATATCAAATTAATTCATACGACTCAAACACTACTTTTCTCTCCTTTTTATATCATGGAGCTTTAAGAAAAAATAATTTTAAGAAAGTTATACTGAAAAAAAGTTTGAAATATATTGAAATAATGTCTTTTGAAAAGCATGGACAGGGATTTGAGAAATAAAGTTAAAAATAAAAAGTGAAGTCATTTTGGCTACAGAAAAGGAAACAGGCACAGAATATTACAGAGAGAGCAAGTTTAAGGATGGGGAACCAGGAGCTTCTCTGAGACAGCCCTGGGTCGTGGGACCCCTGGATGGGGTGTTGTGATCTGAATGTCTGCATCCTCCTTAAATTTCTGTGTTGAAATCCTAATCCCCAAGGTGACAGTATTACGATAGGTTCTTTTGGGAGGTAATTAGGATGATGGTGAAGCCCTCATGACAGGATTAGCGCCCTTATGAGAAGAGACCCCAGAGAGCTCCCTGTCACTTCCCCTGGGAGGACATGAGAAGACACAGCCTATGAACCAGGAAGTGATCCTCAGCAGACACTGAATCTGCCAGTGCCTGGATCATAGATTTCCCAGCCTGCAGAACACTGAGCAACACGTTTCTGTTGTTTAAAAGACACTCAGTAGATGGTGTTTTGATGTAACAGGCTAAACCAACTAAGACAGGGATGAGAAAGGCAGCAGCATCAGCATGGGAAACCCACCGTACCCTCTTCCTGAGGGTGTTGAGATGCCTCAACCTGGTTTGCTATTGAAGTTTTAAAATTTGAGATTTTAAAATCTCATGAGATTCATGAACTCCACATTTACTTTATGCAGTGCAGTACTGATATTAGTGATGTGCTATTGAGAGAATGTTAGACAGAAAATACATCATGAGTGAATTGACTCCACCTTTGGAATGCAGTGGTGTTTGATAGGACCACTATTAAAATAAGTCCTCACATTAACAAGTAAATAGGCAAAAACAGATAAGTAGATGCTAACAATATATTTCAAAAATAAATGTTAATTACTAATCAAAAATTCTCTTAGTAATCTACAAATGGAAATTACAATCTTTGTATATGGTTTTCAAGATCTCATCTAAAACAGTCAAGGTCAGACTTGGAGTTGAAACAAGAGAAATTTATGTTAACTTTAAGAACAATAAGTGATCTTGGTTAATATTATCTTTTCTTGTCAGTTCAAGCCAATGCAATAAGGCAAGAAAAATATAAGATTTATGAATAATGGAGGTTATAAAAACAACATTTTCAGTATTTGCAGAAGATAAAAATGTCTACCTGGAAATTCAAAAGATTTAACTGAAAAACTATTGGAACTAATAGGATAGGTGGTTTGTTACAATACACACAAAATGTACACTCTATATATCAACAGACACATGCAATCTTTGGAAAAAGAGATATGATTTGTAAAGAGGTGCATTCACACACATGTGCATGTACATGGGAAAAAATACAGAGATAAATGTAAAATTAACCCTACTAATGCACATAAAAGAATACCATATGTGAAAAGATGTGAATAAGCTAATGAGTAGAACTCTCAGTATTATGATATGTCAATTTTTATAAATTAGTTAATAAGTGCTAGTTCAACATAAATTTTGTCTAAATCTTCTAAAATTTACTTAAAAGAATAAATATATGACAAATTTTCATTTTAAAATGCCAAGTCATAGAGCATCTTACAAAGGCATACCAATCGAAAAATGGTGAGCCCAGAGGCAGACTCAACTCTGAGTAAGAATATTGTATATTGTAATTCAGCATTGCAGATCATAGGAAACCATGCACTATTTACAAAATGGTTTTGAGCTACTGTTTAACCATTTAGAAAAAAAAGTTAAATAGTTAAATGACATTAAGAAAAATTGTAGAAGGTACTTATATATAAATTATACATTTATTAATTAAAATACTGCAGAAAAACACTGTGCAACAGAAATATAATATAAGTCACATATGCAATTTAAATTTTGTAATAGCCAAATTAAAAAAGTACAAGTAAACAGGTGAAATCGATTTTAATAATACATTTTATTTATTCCAATAGATCCAAAATTATCATTTTAACAGGTACTCAATATAAAAATTGAATTTTTCCACTCTTTTTTTCATACTAAGATTTTGCAATTTAGTGTGCACATCTCACTTTGGAGCAGTCATATTTTAAGTGTTCAATAATTACATTGTATCAGGCAGTGGAAGCCAGAAGATAAAAACAAGTGAGAATTTATGTTTATAATTTCCTATAAAGTCCTCCTAAGCATAACGCCAAAGGAAAAAAAAAACCACAAAATAAAGATTAAACTATGTGTCCATAGAGTATAAAAATCATCTTTATATTAAAATAGTTATTAAAAACACAAATATTTATCAGAACAAGAAACACTTTGATAGAAAAATGAACAAAGATCTCCCAGCAATTCACAAAAGTCAAACACAAACACTCAATGAGCAAAGAAAATAGAAAGAACAAAAAACACTAGAGACGTCATGCAATTCAAACATTGGACGTTGTTTTAAGAAATCAGATTACTGGAATAAATATTAGAAGTGCCGGCTCTCTCAGGCAGTTTTGCAGCTTTCCTGCTGGGGTTGGGAGAGATGCGGAGAGAGCCTCTTCTCAGCATGGGTTCGGATCCCAGGGTCAGCACTTGTATCTGGGTTACCTTACACGAATTAGTTAATCCCTCAGATCCTCTATTGCTTCATTTGTAAAACGAGAATGAGAATAAAGCTTGCTCCGCTTGGCTACTGTAAAGATTAAATAAGACTGTGTGTATAGAAGCTAGAATGCAATAACCAAGAAATAAATCTCACCTCATTACCAGAGACAGTGTTTTTTCGGATAACAAACATACATTGAGAACAACTATTTGTAAATTACAATTATTTATATAATGACTTAGCTGAGTAATCTTTGTTGTGTAGTACACTGCTCATTTTCTGTAGGTAACATAATTTAATTGGAAAAATAAGTGTGGATTGCATCCTCTTATCTCTCTCCAGGTTTTTCCGGCCACTATTTGTGATTACATACAGTTTTAGAGAAGTGTAGACTCTTCAAATTACCCATTGTGAACTAACAATGCACTTACAGAGCCTGCCTTCATCCATCCAATGTCACATATCTGCCCTGTGTGTGTTTGAGTTCATCTTTTGGCTAAAGACTAGTTATAGGTGGCTGACCCTGGAACATAGTATGATCAGTACAGAGATTTCTGAGAAGCATGTTTATATTTGTGTTTATATAGAACTGTGCTACTTTCATTCCCTCTTCAGTGGAATATCACAGCTGCCCTGTGAAGGAAACAATGCAGGCAGTGGTCCATTTCCAAGACAAAGTGCCTTGAACTGGCTTAGGTCAGCAAACTACAGAAGAAATAGGATACACTAGGCCCATGCTTGGATCACCGATGCCTGCTTGTCAGCCTCCCCGTCCCCACCTGCCCCCCTCCCCACTTGTTTCCCTCACCCGAACCAAAGAAGTTTAGTCTAAGTTAAAAGTTTACTAGCCTGCAAAATAGCTCATTTTTTCTGTTCTTATCAGCCTGCCCAGCTACTTAGGTTGTAAGTTCTCCGAGTCTCTGAGTCCATTCTTTGGGTTTAAATGACTATGTTTGTTTCTCACACTGGGAATGATAATGTGCTGGAATATTAAACATGTTTGAATTCCAGACAATGCACAATTAACTATAAAACTTGCAATTTAATTATTCTTCTATCATGACATAATTTTAGAACTGAGAGGACTCAGAAAATGTTTAGTCTGAAAATATCTTTTTAAAACAAACCTGGAAGCAGGGGCTGGGAAAACAAGTCTGTGAATGAACTGAGCCCAACCCAGGACTTCCCCATCCCAGCAGCAATTCTTCGTGGCACCTTGCTGTGTAGAGTTTTCTAAAGTTAACAAACTGCAAAGCTTCACAATGGAAATGTCATTTTACTGTATGCTTAATAAATTGTGCTTTTTTGATGGAAACATTTGCCTCTGGGGTCTTTAGTCTAAACACACACAGAGACGGGCACATGCTCACACATGCACACACGTGCGCACACACACACTAACATGTCTGCACTCCGTCAGGTGGAACCTGCATTTGTCTGAGGAATGGCGAGCTTTTAAGCCTGCAGGATTACAGAATGCCTGGATCCTGACAGTGGCTGGAACTGAAATTACTACCTTGCAGATGTCCACATTTGGTTAAGTCTCCAAATTAACTGCTTCAAATAAGAACTTAATTTCGGTTTAATAGGACAGCCAGTGTGTGCTAATTAAAGACAGAATGATTCTTGAAAAGGCATTTACTGAGTGCTTAACAACGATGTAATAGAAGCGGACCAGCTGCATACTGTGGTCGCTGAACTTCCACAACCGGGTTCTTACTGATCAATTGGAGTTTACTCATCAGGAAAGACCTATCCTGGCAAATCTCAATCACTCCACAGGGCAGAATTTCTGGCCACTGCAGGTAGATGCTTAGGTTTAATTGTTTCACGGCACGTCTTGGGATTCAGGAGGTTTTCCTCCCATAAATCAATGATTCTTTTGACTGCTTCAGATTCTTTGCTAACTCTGATTTTTTTCATTTTGTCTGAATCCATTAATAAGTCCTTTCATTTTATGCTGGCTTATATATATTTTTAGTTTACATTGAAAATTTCAAATTAAAATATTTAAGTCGTTTTCTATTTTTACCAGAAAGATATTTTTATCCATTATACAAAAGCCCATGTTGAAAAAGGTGGATGCAACTTGTAAAGTACATTGAAATGGTTAAACATTTTTGGTTTAATAAAAAATTATGGAGTCACCAAATCAGAGCAGAGCTGTCTTAGTCTGATCACGCTGCTGTAACAAAAACACCACGGAATGGGAAGCTTCAACAGCCAAGCGCATGTCCCAGGGCTCTGGAAGCTGGGAGTCGGAGACCAGGGTGCTGGCAGGGCGAGTTCCACAGAGGGCCTCCTCCTGGCTCAGAGGTGGCCTCCTGCAGGCTGTGTCCTTACATGGCAGAGAATATGGAAGCTCCCTGGGTCTCTTCTTATAAGGACACCGATCAATCACATCGCATAGTTCTCGCTCTCACGACCTCATCTAACACTGGTTACCTCCTGCAGGCCCCACCTCCAGATCCCATGACATTGAGAGCTAGGGCTTAAACACAGGAATTGTGGAGAAACACAGTTCACTCTGTATCCACAGTGGTTGCCAGGAAAAATGAAAGTGCTTTTATGGAAAGTAAAGGAATGAGAGAAAAAACATAAATACAGCACCATAATTCCCCAATCTCCACTGAATTTTCCCGTAGCTGGTTTCATAGAATATTCCTGGATAGAATGTGCCCTCCCCAGTTCTGGGAATGTATGAATACCGAAACCGGCTCCAGATATATACAGATATTTTAAGTAACAACAAACGTTCTTCATTTATATAATAACTACACCCGGTACTTTGGCTTTGCAGAGCAAGGAGAAATCACCACCAACAATTGCTGTTCTATTCTTTTGCTTGGATTCAGGACAGACACTTCTGCCCTGCTCTGACGCGTCCAGGAGCTGCTTCATCCTTCTGATGGGCCTGCCTTGGCCTGGGTCTCCTGGGTTCCGAAATCTTTAGTTTGCCCTTCTAGATGACCGCAGGCCAACTCTGGGTGTCCCCAAGGATCCTCTCTCCACAGAGACCACCTGCCCCAGGGAGGGCCCACAGCATCCTCAGATCCCACAGGACAGTGGTCATCAGAGGTTGGTTTGCTTCATTAGAGGTGGCACCCAGGCTCCTCCTGGAGGGACCTTCACTTCCTGATCCTTCCCAGCACTCTGCGCTTTGGACTCCCACACCTCTGATTCCCGCTGGCACGGGGGCTCCATTTGCTGGGTACCCTCCCTTGGGTGAGGCTGGTGCTGCAGCCAATAGGATGTTGAACACCCCACACAGGGGAGAACTGGCGCTGGCCATGGAAGGGCAGCCAGGAAAACCTTGGAGCTGGGAGACTCCTAAAAAGTGAGCAGATGGGAACACCATCCAGGAAAACAGGCACATCCCAAAAACTCGTGTAAGGGGAGATCAAGGATGTCAAATCCAGGTTACTGGTGCTCAATCATCCCAGGAAAAATGGAGACAGTGCACCGTGTCCTCCTGCCCAGCCTCAGCACTGCACTGGTGGGCTTAGCAGCTCTCTAGCGACCACGTGGTTCATCGCAAGCATTTCAGAGGGTAGCTGAAACTCCGAAACACGGCTTCTCTTTTGGCCTGGCAAAAGAGACTTTTGACTTGGACCGGATAGCAAGGACGGCATGCTGGTTTCCTTCAACCTTCTTCATAAGCACACAAACACTTATTTTCCATACTTAATTTCCCAGTATGTTTGTTTTTACCTTAGGACTTTACTTTTACCTTAGAACTTCACCTACCTCAGGATCATCCAGCACCCGTGAGTGGTCACCCACCCAGACACCACAGCAGCTGTGTCTTGTTTCACGTGGAAGTGGGCGTCCTCTTCTGAGGGACACCGTGAAAGGCAAGGGCCTCTCCTAGGAGAAGAGCTTTCAAATTCAGGGCTGTGGTTTTCCTCAACAGTAACCATGATGTCAAAAACCAGCCCTTTTGACAGCTATGTTCTGATTGTAAAAATCACTAAACTCTAATGATAATGACATATTTAGGCCAGACATCTTTCAAAAATAAATGCTTTGGAAAATGCCTAATTGTTGACTATTCCAAATGCCACTTGCATCTTAGCAAACTTGTATAAATGTAATCCCATGTATAGAATTTTAAAAATTATGTGGTAATTTTTCAAGTAGCATTTGAATATTTTTTAAATAATTAAATAGGAATGGTAGAGGTGATTTGTTCTTTAGAAAGAATTACATCTCTATTCATCTTTTTTTAAAAACTAATTTCACCTAACAAATCCTGATGGGGTGAGGGTGGGATTTGAATTGTAAGTGTTGGCATCTCTGAGTGAAATATATTACACTGGACGCTTCAATCTCCATCATAATTGTGTCACATCTCACCAGGATTTTCATAATGCACCATGTGTGATGGCTGCTGGGAAGCAGATGTAGGTGCCAGGCAGAGCAAAAGGTGTGAGCACTTATTATTTCCCAAATTCAATAAAGGGGTAAGAAGATTTATGATAAAAGAATGGCTTCAGGTTCATACTACCTACATAGTGAAACCATGGACTTTTCACCCACATTGACGTGAACCAGGACAGCAGGCACAAAAGGGTCAAAATAATAATAATAATAATAATTCACATGCATAGCACATGCTTTGAGGGGGGCCCTTTGCTAGCCACTTTATATACGTGAAGTCCTCAGTTCTCACAGGGACCCTAAGAGGAAGGTTCAGTCATGAGCACCTTTGGCTTAAAGATGAGGAAATTGGGGTTCAGAGAGGTCAAGCGACTGGCGAGGGTAACGGGGCTGGAGCCTGGAAGACCATCTCCACATCCAGCTGCACCTGAGGGTAAGCATCCTGGGCTCCATGTGAACTGCCTCTCCCATAGCACCAGGAGCAGGTGCACACATGCCTAGAAACACAGGCACAAGCATGCATGTGTGCACATACTCACGCAGGTGCTTGCATACATGCATGAGCACACATGTATGCAAGTGCAAGTACGCACACAAGCACATGAGTGCACACAGGCACTAACATGCGCACACCCACTCAAGTGTGTATGGATGTATTTGAATGCACAGTCAGGCGCTGACATCTATACCCAAAAGCATTGCATGTATCCAAAGACAGGCACACAAAGCATGCACACGTGCACATGCAAATGAGCATACATGCACACACGAACACAGGTGCATACCCAAACAGGCACATGTGCACACATGATCCCATAACAGAGATATACACATGTATTCAGGTGCACGCTCACAGAGGTACTTGTGTGTACACATCCAAACCTATGCACACACCTATGTGCAGGCAGTCGGTGCACACACACATATGAGCACTGTCAACATGAAGGACAGCTCTGGGAAGTGTGGCTGAGAAGCTGAATGTGGCAAATGAGAAGATCCATGGAACATGAAATGTTATTTCACCTTTAAACTGAATTGTAGGGGTCCAGGCATTTGTGAAGGGCTGACCTCTCAGACCCCTCATCATATCACCACCCATAGTCTCCGGTCAATTAGGATCCCAGCCGGCATGGTGGCCTCACCATCACCCTCTGTCAGCCGGGCTCTGAGAAGAGGGCTCTTTCTCCGAACAGAGTGCTCAGCCATCCTCTGGCCTCTCCTTGTTTATCAAGATGTTCCTTTTGCCCAATGCCGTGACCCATTGATACGCAGATGGAGGTGGAGGAAGACGTGCGTCTTCGTCTGAAGGGCCCTGCCCAGCCATTCCAGAACCCACCACCACACCACAGACAGCTGCTCCTTCCAGGGCTGTGAGCTGGTCCTAGGGAGAGAACAAAGTGCCCTCACTCAACAGGACCCTGATGAAGAGAAAGGCTCTGTCTTTGCAGGGATGGCCTCAAACCTCCTCCTGCCTGATCTCCCTGTGTCCAGCAGCAGCGTGGTCCCTGCAGCCTCTTCCTTCTGGCCTGGATCTTGACTCTGGCCTCCACCACACCAGGTCATGCCACTCGGCCCCACTCGGCCCCACAAAGCCCCACAGCTCTCCTTGTGGTCTAGACATTGCATGCTTATCTTGGCATTGGCTTCTGATAAATTCTGTGGTTTGAAGCGTCTGCCTCTCCCAGAGGCTGGTGCCCCTAGTTCTGCACAACCAGCAGAATAAGCCGGCTTTGTGGACATGTCTCTTCGTTCAACTTATTTGGGTGAGTTTGCAGGTGGGTGATTGCACAGACGAGTGTCTCCTTGGCCCTGTCTCAGGTGTGGGACCCACAGAGGTGATCATCCCTCCTGTTTTTGTTACTATCATCTTCTTGACTAACTAGCCATTTCTATATGCAAACCAGCCAATAACCAGTTTACGATTGATTAGATAGACTGGGAATTTTTATCAGGTGAGAGACAGGCTGGAGGTGGGTCTCAACTATGGTGTGGTCATCTCGAAAATATATACAAACAATTCAATGATGAGCTTAACATTTTTGACCTTTTTGTTTTTAATTAAACAAAATGAATTAGCTTCATAAAGAAGTTTTGCTATTTTTTCAACTTGAGTGAAGATATTAAATATTAATATAAATTCATCTTTAAAAATTGTACATATTTATCAGTGCACTTATTTTTGAATTCTGTTGCAGCTCAATCCACTTATTTTATTTATTTATTTATTTATTTATTTATTTATTTATTTATTTGAGATGGCATCTCACTCTGTCATCTAGGCTGGAGTGCAGTGGTGCAGTCTCATTTCACTGCAACCTCCTCCTCCTGGGTTCAAATGATTCTCCCGCCTCAGCCTCCCAAGTAGTTGAGATTACAGGCATATGCCACCACAACAGGCTACTTTTGTGTTTTTTTTGTTGTTGGTGGTGGTGGTGGTGGTTTCTCTTTTTTTTTGTATTTTTAGTACAGACAGGGTTTCATCACGTTGGCCAGGCTAATCTTGAACTCTTGACCTCAGGTGAGCCACTTTGCCCAGCCTCAATTCACTTTTTTTAAAATCAAGTTGCATACTATCTGAAATAATGACATACACTTTTCTTGCCTTCTTATCATTGGAATCTGCCGATTTGTGTTAGATGGAGAAGGTATGGAACATACAGATAAAGACAGCAGATGGTAAATTGCTACCCTCTTCGTGACGACCTTTCCTGCAAACTCTGCAAGACTTCATGCCCCTCATTCCTAAGGGCACAGAAGCAAAATTCAACAGAAGAACATGTGGTGGCCATTCACGGGTGAGTGCTCCTGGCATTCTGAGACCTCGTCTACCATCCTAAAGATACAGTCCACGGTGAGTGCTCCTGGCATTCTGAGACCTCGTCTACCATCCTAAAGATAAAGTCCACGGTGAGTGAGCCTGGCATTCCGAGACCTCGTCTACCATCCTAAAGATAAAGTCCACGGTGAGTGAGCCTGGCATTCTGAGACCTCGTCTACCATCCTAAAGGTAAAGTCCACGGTGAGTGAGCCTGGCATTCTGAGACCTCGTCTACCATCCTAAAGATACAGTCCACGGTGAGTGCTCCTGGCATTCTGAGACCTCGTCTACCATCCTAAAGATACAGTCCACGGTGAGTGCTCCTGGCATTCTGAGACCTCGTCTACCATCCTAAAGGTAAAGTCCACGGTGAGTGCTCCTGGCATTCTGAGACCTCGTCTACCATCCTAAAGGTAAAGTCCACGGTGAGTGCTCCTGGCATTCTGAGACCTCGTCTACCATCCTAAAGATAATGTCCACGGTGAGTGCTCCTGGCATTCTGAGACCTCGTCTACCATCCTAAAGATAATGTCCACGGTGAGTGCTCCTGGCATTCCGAGACCTCGTCTACCATCCTAAAGATAAAGTCCACGGTGAGTGAGCCTGGCATTCTGAGACCTCGTCTACCATCCTAAAGATAAAGTCCACGGTGAGTGCTCCTGGCATTCCGAGACCTCGTCTACCATCCTAAAGATAATGTCCACGGTGAGTGCTCCTGGCATTCTGAGACCTCGTCTACCATCCTAAAGATAATGTCCACGGTGAGTGCTCCTGGCATTCCGAGACCTCGTCTACCATCCTAAAGATAAAGTCCACGGTGAGTGAGCCTGGCATTCTGAGACCTCGTCTACCATCCTAAAGATAAAGTCCACGGTGAGTGAGCCTGGCATTCCGAGACCTCGTCTACCATCCTAAAGATAAAGTCCACGGTGAGTGAGCCTGGCATTCCGAGACCTCGTCTACCATCCTAAAGGTAAAGTCCACGGTGAGTGCGCCTGGCATTCTGAGACCTCGTCTACCATCCTAAAGATAATGTCCACGGTGAGTGAGCCTGGCATTCTGAGACCTCGTCTACCATCCTAAAGATAAAGTCTGCAGTGAGGGCACCTAGGATTCTGAGACCATGTCTACCACCCTAAAGATAAAGTCCACGGTGAGTGAGCCTGGGATTCTGAGACCACATCTGCCATCCTAAAGATAATGTCCATGGTGAGTGCGCCTAGCATTCTGAGACTACATCCACCATCCTAAAGATAACGTCCTACCTCATTCTTGATTTCTATGTAATGCC
This sequence comes from Homo sapiens, assembly GCF_000001405.40. NCBI lineage: Eukaryota > Metazoa > Chordata > Mammalia > Primates > Hominidae > Homo > Homo sapiens. Next base: position 2,490,165 of record NC_000005.10, on the reverse strand, counting down.
CTCACACTTTATCTTCATCTAATAATCAGTAAATTTTAAATAGAATTAAATTTCATTGAGGAACAATCTTCAGAACTAAAACAAAAAATGTAATCTTTCTCCTTGTGTCTTATGGCTTAGAATGTTGGAAAATGCTTTGAGCACAATTTAATGAGAAGCATGAGGCACTCTAGAGGATTTCAGAAGAAAAGTTTATATTTAGAAATGCAAAATGTTTCCTTTATTTTGGAGTGTAGAAGGGACTCAGCAATTACAATGGGCGTTTGAATGCTGTTGTCAGCCAACTCCTGTGTGTTCCATGAAGAAGACTTGGGGCTAATGAGAACATTTGTTTTCAGAACAGAATCCACTAAATGGTTTGAAAGAGCCATTTCCCCTGACAGTTGTGAAAGTGGAAGCTGATTGGTAGAAATTTTCCTCTGGCCTCCTACTTATCACCTAGCCAGAGCGTTTACCGTTATGTCTGCCTTTACTTTCAACATAAGGAGTTTAGGTTTGTTTTCTTTTTCTGCATCAGAGACAGAAGCTGTGAGAGGCAATTGAGCAACTTCATGCTCGACAGCCTGGGCTGCCAGGGAGCTGCATTGGCACTTCTGCAAGGAACTGGGGCACACGCAGCTGGACCTCAACATTAATTCTTCAATAATCCATGACACGCCTATGAAACTTTAATGGCGAGTTCGAAAGTAATGGCATGGCTGCCATGTCCCCTGATTGTTCATAGAGCAAGTTGCCTGGAAATATTGTGGACGCTCCGTTGGAACCCACCATCACCGGCTGAAAGGAACGCGAAAGATGAGTTTAGAAAATGCTGTACTGTCTGCTAGTCACTGAGAACAAAGCAGAAACATCACCTGGAAAGCACTAAAGTTAATGAAAACATGACATGTGTGGCCATAATCATTTAATTTTCTGTCCTCCATCCCCCACTCACCTTAAATACAAATATCACAAGGTCTTTAGACTGTTTGCACATTTGGATAGTTTCGATAGAGAAGGAAAAGGAATAGGCACATTCTGAGTCGTTCCAGAAATAAGAAATAGGCCCAACAGCTGCCATAAAAAGGCAAATCTGGTCGCTTGTAAGAAAGACTTTTCTAATAAAGTCATTTATGAAGTAAGAAATGCCTCATGGGATAGTAAATGCTGAGATCAAAGCTGAAACAATTGCTATGGAGGATGTGGAATCAGATGATGCAGCTCCTGAGGAGCTGGTCCAGATGACCAGGAGTCCTCCAGCCACTCAGCTGGGCCTGGCTGGCTGATCGGAACCCAGCGCTGTTTGTTCCAAGGCTACACTGGCCACTGCAGGTGCAACTGCCGAGCCAGGGCTGATCTGGAGACACCTCTGGGTGCGGCGGGTGGAGGCGGCTCTGCAAAAACAACTCTCTGCCGTTGCCCAGGTAAGAATTGTGGCAAGGAAAAGGCAAAAGGGCGCCAGAGACTTGCAGGTGGCACCAACTCCCCATTGAGCTCGGCAGGCACAGCACCTGGTTGAGACTGCTTTCAGGAGCACAAGGAAATGCTTGCATGTCTTTCAGAATCAAAGGAGAGAATGAACTTCTAAGTCAAATAAAATGTTTTAATATGTAATATTAATATATTTGTGTTTATACCAATGCAGCTGAAAAATACAATTTTTTATTTGTATTTTATTTGTTTTATGGAGGGAGGGATCCATGAGAGCAGAAGCCTCAAGTGTGAAGGAGTACTGCCCTGTCTGCTTGGGGTCTCAGGGGTCTCTGGGGGTCCAGGGGCCCCAGGTCTTGGAGTCTTTGGGTCTCAGAATCTCAGGGGTCTCTAGGGTCTCATTATCTCTAGGTTTTCAGAGTCTCTAGGGTCTTGGGGTCTCCAGGGTCAGGGTGTGTTGGAGGCACAAGGAGTCCCAGAAGAGCTCCCTCAAGTCCTCAGAATGACAGGGGCCCTCTGGCTGCCCTCAGGCCCTTTGGAACCTGCTGGAGGCTCAGCCTGGTCCTGTGCAATGACCTTATGTTTCTAGAACAGATTTTCTTCAAACACATATTGTCTTTAACAAATATTGGTGCAGAAACAGCCTCCGCTCTGTGTCCACGGAAGAACATCTCCTGATTCTGCACGGAGACACAGGCAGAGCCAACACCTGGTGTCCCATGTGGGCTGCAGACCCACCCTTGACTCTGAATGCTCAGGGCCAGATTCACCCACGTGTTGTTTGCATACTCTCACTAGGGTACCAGGCCCAAATGCAGGAAAACATCTCATAATTCATGTTTCCAATCATTACATCAGTCATCCCAGCGCAGCCAGGCAATCTGACTTGAACCAGCAATAATTTTGCTGAGAGCACTGGGACACCATATTTTCACTCCATCGATATTTCCTGTGCCCTGCAAAGTTGGCCCAGGGGTGAGATGCCAGGGTGCCCTGAGGTGCCCAGCCTGGGCAGCCACGTGCTCCACTAGTCATATCTGCCTCAGCATCCCAGCGTGCTCACCTAGCAATGCCTGCCACAGCAAACAAGCCTGCCAAGCTAGTCATGCCCACTCTCACCTGAACAACCTCAACCTGCAATGTCTTCCAGGCCTGGAACTTGCTGTCCTCCTTCCCACTCCACAGGTGTCACTCCTCCACAGGTGTCCCTGCCTCCCCCCTGCAGGAGTCCCTATGCCACCTGCAAGTATCCCTGTCTCCCCAGAAGGTTTCTCTGTCCCCCTTTTTTACAAATGTCCCTGTCTTCACCATAGGAATCCCTGTCCCTACACAGATGTCCCTGCCTCCTCACTAGATGTCCCTGCCCTCTCCCCAGACAGGTATCCCTGTGCCCACCACAGGTGTCCCTGTCTCTCTCCTGTAGGTGTCCCTGCCCCCTCTGCTAAGAGGAGCTCCATTCAAGGGAGGGGGAGAGACAGCCCAGGACCCACCACCAGCCAGAATCTGTTTCCTGCTGGGCTGATCACAAGTTCAATGTTTTAATTATTTTTAACAATTTCATTTATATCCTTGATAGTAGCCCTTTGTTCAAAAAAATGTATCACAAACATCACATCCCATTCTATTGCTTGCTTTTCTACTTTCTTAGTATCCACATACACCTATAAATATATGTGGGGTGTGTGTATTTTAATTGTTGTCAGTTGCTAATATATAGGAATATAAGTGGTCTTTGCATGACGATTTCGTACATAGTGATTTTCTCAATCTCCTTTTTTTTTACTTTTTTTGAGACAGAGCCTCGCACTGTTGCCCAAGCTGAAGTGCAGCAGCGCTATCTCAGCTCACTGCAACCTCCGCCTCCCGGGTTCAAGCAATTCTTCTGCCTCAGTCTCCCGAGTAGCTGGGACTATAAGTGCCCACGGTCATGCCCCACTACTTTTTGTATTTTTAGTAGCGATGGGGTTTAGCCATGTTGGCCAGGCTGGTCTCGACCTCCTGACCTCAAGCAATCCACCCATCTTGGCCTCCTGTAGTGCTGGGATTACAAGCATGGGCCACCACTCCTGGCCTCAATCTACTTTATAATTTTAAAAATAGTTTTGGATTATTTATATATGTGATTATGTCATTTACAAAAACAATTTTATTTCTTCTTTTTGATTCTCTATATTTTATTTTGCTGAGTGTGCACATGTGCATATATTTGTATTCTCATTTCTCGTGTCAGAGGAAAGATTTCAATATTTCATCTTTACATATGATGTTAGCTATAGGTTGTTTTAAAAATGCTCTTTGTCAGAATTTTTTTTTAAGTTTCCTTCTATATCTTAATTGCTGGAATTTGTAGAATCTATAGCAAAGAGAATTTAAGCTTTTCACATGCTATATTTACTACTTGTAAGATGTTTAAAAATTATCTTTTTTACTTTGTTGAAGCAGTATTATGTACTGAATGACTTTCAAATGTGAAATTCAATCTGCTCTCCTTGAAACAAACTAAACTTTATTGTGACATTTTCTCATTTTTCATATATTGATGGATTTACTCAGAAAACTATCAGGGCCTAGAGATTTCTTCATTGGAAAATTTTTACTTATGTATTTAATTTCATAATACATTCAGGGATATTACAGTGTTCTATTTCTTCTTGTGTCACTTTCAGAAAGTTGTGTTTTTCTAGTCATTTAGCCATTTCATTTAAGTTTTCAAATTCATTGCCATACCTTGTCCACAATTCCCTCATATTAGCTTTCAATGTCTGTAGGGTCTATAGTGATATCACATTTTTCACAGATATTGGTTTCATGGCCTTCTCTTTCTCTCTCTCTCTCTCTCTCTGCATCCTCTCCCCCTTATGATCTGTCTTGCCAAGTTATTAATTTTATTAGTTTATTCAAACTAATTATTTTTATTATATTATTGGGTTGCATTTTGCTACTTTTAGCTCATACTTTTATTATGGGCCATTTTTTTTACTGTGCCTTAATCTTTTAAATTTCTCAATGCATGAATTATGAAAAATACATTTAATGCAATAACTTTTCTTGAGACAAAATGTTAGGTACATTACAGAAGTTTTCATATAAGAGTTTTTATTTTGATTATTTTAAAATATTTTAAAATTGATGTTATGATTAATTCCTTGACATCATTTATGTAGAGGTGCATTCCTTTAGTTTGAAATATATAGGTATTTTCTACCATTTGACCCAGCAATCCCATTACTGGGTATATACCCAAAGGATTATCATTCATGCTACTATAAAGACACATGCACATGTATGTTTATTGCGACACTATTCACAATAGCAAAGACTTGGAACCAACCCAAATGTCCATCAATGATAGACTGGATTAAGAAAATGTGGCACATATACCCCATGGAATACCATGCAGCCATAAAAAAGGATGAGTTAATGTCCTTTGTAAGGACATGGATGAAGCTGGAAACCATCATTCTCAGCAAACTATCTCAAGGACAAAAAACCAAACACCGCATGTTCTCACTCATAGGTGGAAATTGAACAATGAGAACACTTGGACACAGGGTGGGGAACATCACACACCATGGCCGGTCATGGGCGGAATGGGGAGGGACAGCATTAGGAGAAATACTTAATGTAAATGACGAGTTAATGGGTGCAGCACACCAACATGGCACATGTATACATATGTAACAAACCTGCACGTTGTGCACATGTACCCCAGAACTTAAAGTATAATAAAAACAAACAAAAAAAGCAACTACTATTCCCCCAAATGCAAATATGCGGACATTTTCTAAATTTATTAATCCTTACAGACAAAAGAATGTAATAAAATTTCTAGCAAGATAAAAAAAAAGAAATGTATAGGTATTTTCTAGTTTATTTTTCTTATTTTGAGTTTTGGCTTGCTTCCACTGACATCAAAATTTATACTGTGAATGATTTCAGGCCTGTGAAATTTGTTGAATCTTGTTTTAGGGCCTAGAAGATGGCCAATTTTTTGAGTGCTGTATCATCCCTCAAAAGAATGCTTATTCTGTAGTTATTAGCTGTGGTGTTCTATGTATGTTAATTGGGACATACTTAGTAATCATTTTATTCAAATCTTCTTCATCTGCACTGGTTTATGCCTGCTCTATTAATTTTTGTGAAGTGTGCTAAATTATCCAAATATAGTCAAGCGTGGTGGCTCATGTCTGCAATCCCAGCACTTTGGGAAGCCGAGGCAGGCAGATGACCTGAGGTCAGGAGTTGAGAGCAGCCTGATCAACATGATGAAATCCTGTCTTTAGTAAAACTATAGAAAATTAGCTGAGCATGGTGGTGAACGCCTGTAATCCCAGCTACTCAGGAGGCTGAGGCAGGAGAGTAGCTTGAACCTGGGAGGCAGAGGTTGCAATAAGCCAAGATCGCACCACTGCACCCCTGTGCAACAACAGTGAAACTCCGTCTCAAAAAAAAAATTACGCAAATATAATTTTGCAGTTTTAAATTTCACCTTTAAAGTTTCTCACTTTGTCATCTATATACTGAATCTCAAGTATATAAAAGCATTGGAAAGTAATCTGTTTTTTTAACTTATTCTTCCAGTCTCTGCCTTTAAGTAAAGGGGTTAATCAATTTATTATTAATGTAATTACTAATAAGGCAGGATTTTCACCTGTCACTTTGCTATTATTTTCTATATTTCTTGTATCTTTTAATTCCTCTATTCCTCCCTTATTGCCTTCTCTTGTGTTAAGTAGGTATTTTAATATCCTTGTAATATCTTTGGAGTTCTTTTCTTTTGTGGTTCACCTGAGGATTATAATTGACATCTTAATTTATAACAATTTAGTTTATTTTAATATTAATTTAACCACAATAGTATATAAAAACTTTGCTTCTATATAGCTCCATTCCTCTCTTCCTCCTCTTTTGTGTTGTTATAAATTACATATTTATACATAATTAATTGTATGTAATAAATTAAGGCCTTAAACATTGTAAATCCAGCAACACATATTTGTAATTTTTGCATTACATAGGTTTTTAACCAAATAAGAGAAAAAGGGAGTTATAAAATGTCTTACACAGTTCAGGCTTCTATAATGAGATACCATGGACTGGGTGGTTTATAAAACCACAGACAGAAATTTGTTTTTCATAGTCTTGGAGGCTGAAAACGTGAGATCAGGGTGCCAGCATGGTCAGGTTCTGGTGAGGGCCCTCTTCTGTGTTGCAGACACACAACTTCTATCTGTATATTCACATGACAGATACAGAAAAAGGGAGCTCTCTGGGCTTTCCTTTATAAGGGCACTAACCTCAATTATGAGGGCTCCAATATCATGACCTAATACCTTTCAATATATGAATTTTGGAGGGACATAGACATTCAGATATATATATTATATATAATATATATGTAATATAATATAAATATATATCTGAATATACATGTATATATATACACATTCAGCATATATATATATATACAGTGTGTATGTATATATATATATATATATGCTGAATGTATCTTCAATTTCTTTACTCATGGATTTGCGTTTACTTTCTAACATCTCTTCACTTAATCTTAAAAATCTCCTTTTAGTTATTTATTATAGATCAGATTTGACAGTAACAGTTCTTTTTAAAGTTTTTATTTATTTGGGAATACTGCAACTTCTTCATTTTTAAAGGACAGTACTTCAGGGTATAGAATTCTTGGATTGATAATGTTTTGACTATGTCATTCCACTGTCTTCTAGCCTCCATTGTCTGTAAAAAGAAATTAGCTGTTAATCTTATTGATAATACCTTATGCATGATTAGTTTCTTCTCTGTTGCCACTGAAAGCAGCAACTCTGTCTTTGACTCTCAACAATTTAATTATAATATGTCTTGGTTGGCTCTCTGAGTTTATTCTACATGGAAGTCATTTAATATTTTTAGACATTTAGATTAATGTTTTTCATTAAATTTGGGAAGTTTTTAACCATTATTTTCTAAAATAACCTTTTTTTTCTCCTTTCTTTATCTCCTATCCTTCTAAAAATCCATTATGCATATGTTAGTGTGCTTGACGGTGTACCACAGGTCTCTGAGGCTCTGTTCATTTATCTTCACATTTTCTGCTCTCTGTTTCTCACTGGACAATTCCAAATGACCTTTCTTCAAATTTGCAGATTCCTGCTCAAATCCAATGTTGAGCTACTACAGTAAAATCTTCATTTCGTTTATTGTAGTATTTAACTCAAAAACTTCTACAAAAAAATTTCCTTTTTGTATCTTGTATTTTTTTATGTACTCTCTATTGGTGAGTATCTTCATACTTCCATTTAGTTATTTAGCCATGGCTCCCTTTAGATCTTTGGACATATTTAAAACAATTTTTTAAAATGCTTTGGCTGTTATTTCTAACATCTGAATTCTTTAAGGACAATTTCTATTTACTGCACTTGACCTCACTCCCCCTCTCTGTTTGGCCCACACCTCCTTGTTTATTTGTATGTCTCATATTTGTTGTTGCTAAAAATTGAAAATTTCTAATATGTAATGTGGCAACTCTGGTGATTAAATTCTCCTCACTTGCAGGGTTTTAGGTTGATGTTCTTTGTTGTTTTGTTTTAGTTTGCTTATTTACTAATTAATTATGTAAGTCTCTTTTCATTATGTGTGGCCACTGAAGTCTCTACACAGTTTGATGGTCAGCTAATGAGAAGACAGGTATTTTCTTAGATGCCTGAAACCAATAAGTCTACCAGTCTTTGCTGAAGGACTTTGTGTGCAGATTGGGGAACACCTTTAATACATAGTGAGCCAGGAAACACTCTGCCTTTTTCTTTACATCCTGCTTGTACACAGCCTCAAGATTAGCTAGAGGTGACAGCTTAATGCCTTCTTTGCTCTTTCTTAAGCATCAACACAGCCCTACATACTCACATGTCCTTCTAGGTTCCCAGGAATACTGTGCAGTTTCTGAAGCTGCACTGATACTGCATTTTCTAGCTGTTCCTTTTTAGTTGTTTGATTAGCTTATTGGTTAGCCTAACTGTTGCCCCCACTGTTATCTGCTGCCTCAAGCAACCTCAATGTTCAACAATTGATTGTAATTGTTTTTGACATACATCACTGTAGGAAAGGCTGTTCTTCTGAGTGAGCTTTATGTGATGTCAAAAGTAAGTACAGTCTCATGAGTGAGTCTTCCCAGGATCTACCAGACAGGTCAAATAATGCCAGTTCTTTGCTTTGAAGGGTCTCCAGCCCAATTATTTCCTCCACAGTGGCTTTTAAGATTCCACTGTGATTGTAGGCTATGGGTTTTTAAACCTACCTAGAGCTGGGAAGGAGAAAATGTGAATAGGAAAAAGTAAAATGCCATAAAACTCCTGCTTACTGAGATTCATTGTTTTTTTTTCTTAAATAAACACTCTTTGGATTGCTTTAAAGCTTTAATTTTCAGAGCTTTGAAAAAGTTGATTCTGACAAATTTCACACTGTTCTGCTTAGCGTATGTGTGAGAAAATTTTCAGAGGTCCTTACTTTGCTATTTTCACTGACGTCTAGTTTCCTAACTTGGCTTTTAAAAGTTATGTCCCATGGCACAGAATTCTAGTTTGGGAGTTGTTTTAGTTTCAGCATTTTCAATATGCCGTATGTCATATTTTGGCTTCCATTGTTGAGAAGTCAGCCATGGGTCTTACTGTCTTCGTTTTGCACTTTTGCAATAGGGGTGACCTTTTTGGTCTGGATTTTAAAACTATTTCTTCTTTGTTGTTGTTGCCACAGCTGCTGTTGTTGATGGTGGTTGGGGTTCTCTCTTCTACTAGATATTTGAATTTTTCATTGTCACAATGACGGGAATCATTACTGGCATTTTCTTGGCAAACACTGGGAATTCACAACTTCTGTGATGCATGGGGCAGTCCTGCGAGCTACCAAAGGATTTCAATCCATTTCAGTGGTGTCAGTGGTGCCTCGCTGAGGAGTCATGACAAGGGAGGGTTAAGTGACTGGAGAGAAACCCGCCCCACATCATGGCTTCCAAGCTGTGGTATCCCACGTTTAGGACCCTCCACTGCTGGGGCAGAGAGTCACAACTTTTACCTTTCATGGATGACATGATCTCAGAAACTAAAAAGGTCCAAGTCTCCTGGAGAACGTCCTCAGAGATGCCTACAACTACGTATCTGGGGAAGCCCCCATGGGGTCCCTGACTCAGAGAGCAAAGTGTAGAACTGAAATTGAGATGTATTTTCCTTTAGAAATTGGCAGTCAGATGGAGTGAGTTGTAGAATCCTTGTTTCACAGGAAGAAGCACATCATTCGTTCAAGTCAGTAAGCAGCTTCAGTTTTGAGGTGTTGAGATGGCTCTCACTGTGAAGATGCTGAGGGCTTGGGTCTAGAATTCAGGAAAACATGTTTTTCCAGTCTTGTTTTTCAGAAGTCAACAGTTCAGGTGAAATAGAGATAGTATGATTCTACCTATGCCTGTGAAATAAAGAATAAGACTTAAACGGCCCATTCATGGTTTTTCATCAGCCACTCTCTCCTTTTTATTTCCATCTAGGCAAAGATGGACACCTTCATGTACATTTTTCAATTTGAAGACTTCATAAGGCATCAAGTCCTGAAAGAGAAAGAGCTCATAAAAATCATCTCATGCCTATTAAAAGTTCTAATTATTAACTCGGGGTCAATTTACTTCCTCCTTGTGAAATCTAGTATCTGGCTAAATAGGAGTTTGGATGAGCAGGTCTTTTTGTCTGTTATGGTAGCAATACTTTTATTTTCATGTCAACCCTCTCCTTTGCTGTCCCTCTCTAAGTAGAGAACATCTAGGATGCATAAAGTTCTCTCACAAATGCAATTCTGCAAGGGAAAAAGAAAATAAAGATAATTCCTGTGTAGCCAATATACAAACAGAGAATTCATGTTCATGCATCCTTGCCTGATGGGGTTTTGTAGATAAATTCTTGGGGACATAAAAGTGCCCAGTGGATTATTTGAGACTGATAAGTGTGCGGTTTTACTGCAGCCTAAGGGCCCACCGCATATCTCGTGTTATCTCAAGGGAATGATGCACTCTGAATTGTTGATCTTCACAGACTAGATCTATTTCCTCTGTGTTCTATAAAGTCAACTGATCACAGCACGCTAGGGTGCTGCTCCCAAATAAATGTCTTCAGTTTCTGATATCTGAGCCTGTCCCCTAAAACTCACCACACTCCCTCTCATTCTTCCCCGAGGATTCTCAGTGTCTGGAGACTTAATTCCTGCCGATTTTTTAGAAGAATAAAAGCCATATTTTATGTCCTGCAAGACAGTGTATCAAGAGCAACTGCTAGAGAAAAGGGCAGCTTTTGTAACTCCAGAATGCTCTAAAAATCTGCATAGGTAATTAGATTCTGCTGCTCCAAGAACAACAAGACCATTTAACGTGGAGGACAAGGGCTTTAAATAATAGAAACTCCTATTAGGTGAATTTATGAGGAAACTGTGAAAAGTTATAACAATAATGTGTACCCTTCAATATATTCTACTCAGTGAATATGTAAGTGGTCCTGAATCATTTATGCCAACATGCAGGAAACTGATAAATTTTGAACAAATTTAATTGAAATCACCCCTGGAGTGAGTGTGAAGGCAGGATTAAATTTAATGGCCTCACGGAGTGTCAAAGCCCAAGACTGCTCCCTTCTGAAGTTGATTTCTTTTCCTAAATAAAAGATTCCAAACCTCAATCAGGAATGAATGTGAGTTTAATCACATCTGAGAAATGAAAAGCATGTTACTCTGCCATGTAATGAGACTTAAAGAAGATGTTTAACCAGACAGACCACAAAGTTGAGCTTCCCTCTAATACCAGGATACGGAGAAACCCCTGCCCTCCTGGGAACAGATGCTGTTGTCCTGGCACCGTCCCCTGGGGTGTCTTTTTTGGGGGCACCCTTGCATTTGGAGGGTGTGTCCCCAGGCATGACGTTCGCTCTCCAGGAAGGCATCCCCGCTGGGCACAGCCTCAGGCTTATTCAGAAAGTGCCATCTGCCCAACTCAGAAGTTACAAATCCTGGCCAGGTGCGATGACTCACGCCTGTAATCCCAACACTTTGGGAAGCGGAGACAGACAGATCACTAGGTCAGGAGTTCGAGACCAGCCTGGCCAACATGGTGAAACCCTGTCTCTGCTAAAAATACAAAAATTAGCCAGGCATGGTGGAGGGCGCCTGTAGCCCTAGCTACTTGGGAGGCTGAGCCAGGAGAATTGCTTGAACCCCGCAGGCGGAGGTTGCAGTGAGCAGAAATCGTGCAGCTGCACCCCAGCCTGGGCGACAGAGCGAGACTCCATCTCAAAAAAAAAAAAAAAAAAGTTACAAATCCTCAACTGACGCCTCAGGGACCGCACGTGAGCAGACAGGGCCGGCTCTTCCAAGTCACAGAAAGCTCGGGTGGCGTGAACTCCCTGAAACACAAGCACTCCCCCATGTCAGGAGCCCCGTGTGTTCGGTGTGTTCTTGTAGAATCAACCTCGGCTGGAGAGGGGCTTTCTAACTCCTCCAAGGTCGTTTGTAGAGAGCTATAGGTTTGCTGAGCGGCCTCCATCTCCCGCAGGGAGTATTAGCATGTCCCAGGAGAATTGGGTTCCACTAGCCCACCAGACTGTCTCTGGAGCTTCACTGGGGGAAGACCGCATTTTCCTTCTGCCTCTCAGAGGCCTAGGGGTGGTGGAGAAAGAGGGTCCGCCCCAGCCTGCTGATGGCTGAGAGGCCCAGGGCCCTGCTTTGTCATCATCTGAGCCTCTCAGCTGGATGCCTGGGAGAACAGGAAGGGACAGGAAGTTTGTTCATTCAACTTATATTTTTGAGTAATTTTAATAATAGCGGATCTATGCTTCCTAGTCCAGTTCCACGGGGTCAGTGGGGGCCAGGCCAGCATCTACAAGGAGTCCAGGGTAAGGTGCCCAGGGGAGATGCCAAGGGAGGTGCCCAGGAGGAGGTGCCCAGGAGGAAGTACCTGCGAGAGATGCCTAGGGGGAGGGTCTCAGGGGGAGGTGCCATGGAAGGTACCTCTGACAAGGTGTGGAGAAGCTCCCCCTCCCTCACCCGCAGAAGTCCTTGCACCATCCATCAGAGTCAGAGGAGTTGGCCTCGTGGGATGATGGATTTACAATCCTGAAAAATGTAACTCTGTTAACAGAACTACGAACATCATAGCCATCACTTCTTTCCATGTGAAATGGCCGATCTAGGAAAGAGCTCCCACATGTCAGCCAGAGATTTCCATAAATACAATCTACAATCTAATTTCTATAGAAATGATCGTAGAAGAGAGTTTAAAAATAAAAACCAAAACCAACAACCACATCAACTCAAAGACTGAAAAGCCCACTGCCGCTGCTGTTGGAGGAGATGACAGAGGTGGTTCTAGGAGGGACTCCAGCCCTCGCCCCACAGGTGTCTGAGAGGCTCAAGGTCTCAAGGAAGCAGCGGAGAGACGATGGAACTGGGTCCAGATGCCTCCTCCAGGCAGGCAGCACCCGGAGGCAGGAGGGGCTGGGCTTCCTGATAGGAAAGTACTCATTTGGCCCCAGGTGAGCTGAGGTCACCCATGTGCCTGAGACAGGGCCAGCTACCTCCTCCACCACAATCAAGTGATTGTAAGAATGAAATATGAAGAACAACCCAACTTCTGGGTGAAGAGCTGTAGACAGATCTCAGCTCTACAGAAAAATAGAAAAAAAAAAAAAAAAGAGGTACAATCCTTTCTACTTCCCCACAATTTTTATCTTCTGCAGTTTGTATTTCTATTGCACGGATACTGCCCAATAAATAAAAATCCCTTTCTCTCTCCCCCTCCTTCTCTGATCTGTCTTCCTCTTTATCCCTCCCTCCCTCTCATTTCTCTCTCCTCCCTGTAAATATTTCTCTCTGCTTGCCCTGTCCGCACAGTGAACATCTTGATGCAGAGGAAGTCCAGGAGGTACCTAGGCGGAGTGTTTTCCATCCTGAGTCTAGCGGTCCCGGCCTGTTGCAGGGAAGCCATGTAAGAAAATGGAAGGTGAGAAAACCCGCAAAGCACTCATCTGAACGCATAGTGCAGATTAGAGCTGGCGGTTCTGCACCCTCCTTCCATAACCAGGCTGGGCTCCGCCCAACTCCACTCACTGGAGCTTGTCCTTGGAGCCCAGAGCCTTCATTTTCACTTCATTTCCAAATATAAAGCCGTCAGCTGCGTCAGGCACTTTGATTTCTCTGGATGTCAGGCTTGATTTTCAAATGTAAATGTGCCCCAGGTTAGTCTTAGTAAGTTACCTGGCCTGGGACCAGGAGCACACCTGTCAGGTGCGGCCCCCTGACCTTCCACCTTCTTGTAATCTTTCATGTTTCCCATCAAAGACACCCTCCCGCCAGCCCGGAGCTGAATGCAGAATTATTCTCAAAGGAATTTATGACAAATACAATAATTCCTTTTAATGCAGGGATTGCTTTATCCACCAGCACATTAAGTATAGTACAGCACCAGGAAACAGCCATTATGTCTACAATTACCATATCATAGTTAGACAACACAATTCATCCTATAATTGGAGTGAGGAATACACAGTTTCCTCAGCACAGCGCCTCTGATGCGACCCTAGAACGTGGGTACAAAGTGCTCAGCCAGGACCCAGGGTTTTCTTTCTGGGTGGTTCACATCTTAGAGGCTGTTTGTGGTATTGCAATGTCTTTACCAGACCCCCTCTGCTTCTGCTGAGTTTTCCTTGGTATCTGACTTTTAGGTTATACCAGTCTGATTTCTACATCAGAAGCTAGAGGCTTCAGGAGTGATGGGAACACATCTGATGCAGCTGTGCCTTTCTTCCTCTCAGGCTGGCACCCTCTTCTCTGTGACAACGGAACCACTCCTGGGAACTTCCACCTGCCCCTGGGACTGCGCTTGAAGTTCTCACACTCCCCCCACCCAACAGCGTAAGAACAAATCTGAAAACTTGAAGTCGGCCACCTACAGAAGAGAGGCCAGTCGGGTGCTACATGATGATGGAATGGCATTTTGTAACTTCCCTTTTCTCACAAAAATATGTGACACGTGCATCTCCATGCCCTGGTTTCTTCCAGAACCTCTCTGAATGTCTGTGCAGGATCCCGCTGTACAAGTGGTCCTCTGTGTCACCAGCCTGTGATGATGGGACTTATCAATGGTGCTATGGACAGAACGCTGCCCCCCTCACATCTCTATGTTGAAGCCCTACCCCACAATGGGGTGGTATTTGGAGATGGGACCTGTGGGCGATAGGGTAGTTTAGATGAGGTCCTGAGGTAGGGCCTCCAGGTGGGATTTGTGACCTTAGAGGAGAGACACCATTCTCTGCCATTCAAGGACAGCAGAGAAGGTGGCCGTCCATAGCCTGGCAGTGGGTCCTCCCCAGCCCCTGACCAGGCTGGCATCTTGATCTTGGACTTCCAGCCTCCAGAACCATGAGAAAATGAATCCCATTGTTGAAGCCACCCAGGCTATGGATTTCACTACGGTGGACCAAGCAGACTCATACAGGGGGATTTCAGTTTTATGATTACGAGAAATGGCTCAGTGGATGTGTAACCTGCTTTTCTAGTTTGAATATGTCAGGAGCATTTTTTTCTGACAATTAATTACACTTAAATATGAGATTTTAAGTGTTCTGATTATGAAAGCAACGGTTGCAGCAATTTCAAAAATTAATAAAAGTATTTCTTAAAAGAAAACTAAAAATAACTCATAGTCTTACTTCCCAGATTTATTTCAATGTGTTACAGTAGTTTTCTCCCTAGACTTTTTCTTTGTAAATAGGTATGTAGGTAGAGAGATGATAGCTAATTTGTGATTTTCTCTTATAAGTTTGGGATCATTAGATCACTTTTTTAAAATTCTACTTTTTACATGTTTATAATATGAGAAAGTTTGCTTGCCATTATATAGCATTTTGTAATAAGGACACGCCATGCTATGATTATTTTCCTTACAACAGGTCCTGTTCACACTTTTACTGTTATAAACTACACTATAATGGACATGTGTGTGCATAAATCCTCTTGGCATTTCTAATTATTTTCATAGGCTGTATTTCATAGGAAGTGATTTCTAAATGTAACCAAATAAACTGATCTAACAGCATTTTAAGCATATGCATTATTTTCTATCCTCCAAGAATGAAAGCCATGTAGAGCAATTTAATGGTCCGATAGCACCGAGCCAACATCCAGGCTTTACTGGAGTTAAGCACAGCTTCTTCCACCTTCTCACTCCTTCCAGACACGTAGATGGTATATACGGTATATGCTTTAAAATCAAAGGAAAATAATAGTGGATTTGCAGAACTTGATCCGGGCTAATCTTGTCTGTTTCTCGGGCAAGACTAACTACAAAACCAAAAACAAACAGACAAACGAAAATAAGATATAACCGTAAAACATTTGTTTTAGGACTTTGACAAGTTTGTAAATGAAGAATTGTGGCTACAGTGAAAGCTAAGAGGAAAGAGAATCTAATTCCACAAGAGGTGCAAGGAATACCTTTTTGGGTCCTTTAGTAAAAATAGCTGGAATTGTGGGTACAACTGCTGGAGAATCTCCAGCGTGAATTACATTTATCAGCATAGCCCTCCCAGGTGATTTATGCAGGAGACTTTGTTCTTTGGGAAAGTTACAATGAGGAACATGTTCCAAACAGGCACAGCGATCCCCTCCCTATCTTCATTTGCTGTTGGCCAGGAAAAATCCAGGGTCCCTGAGTTCCCATTGTCATGTGTTCACTCACTGTTTTGGAAGTTGATTTTAAGATGATTTTCTGCATAGCATGATGAAATGGAAGTAGCCCTTGGCTGTTGCATTTGGCAAAAGAGAGGATTTGGCTAACGAAGGTCAATGGTAAAGGTGATTTTTTCACCTGGAAGAAAATTCTGGTGAGGTGGTTTCTCCCAGAAGTTATCTCCAGGGACTGTAAGTGAAGGGGCCACAGGGAGTGAAAGCCACAGATAAAAATCAGTGCAGTGAAAGGTTTGATAAATGTCTTTTCTGTCTTTATTGTACAACTGCAAATCCATCTCTACATGAAAAATAGACCATCTCTTTGAAAATATTCAAAGACATTCTTTCCACATTCTGAAGCTGTTTATGAAAGATCTCTGTTAATACGTGCTTATGGGAGTGGCATTTTACCAGAGGCTTTATGTTTAATATTTCAAATATATAGGAGTAATATTAAAAGACAGGTTGTCTGAGTATGTGTTAGTTATTACATAAGGTTGGACTCTCCAACAACCCTGCATTATTTGGGTGAGAGCCTAAGGTTTATGGCTGAAGATAATGTAATGTGGTATAGAGGTTTAGGAATGAAAATATGAAAGGCTTATGACTTTTAAGACCATCTATGTTAATGATTCTTTAGCAAAACTGTTTTCATCTACAAATGCACATAGTGTTTATTCTTACCTTTGATTTTATTTAAAGAGTCTGTAGATTTTATTTCACATCAGATGACTCTGACAAGTTTATGCTAGCTAAGTATGCAATTAGATGTGATTCCAATCTTTCTAATTAATTGAGTTACCATCAGGGTAAGAGTAATGTTGTAAAAATATGTGTATGTGGGCGGTGTTCCCTTGGGCAAGGTAACATGCACGCAAGACGAAACCATGATCAAAAAGAAAGAAACATTTAACTTAAAATTAAAAGTACACATTGCATTGTTGAATAGAAAGAATAAAAATCATATACATCTTGCATTCTCTGCAAATGTATTTATGTTTATTAGGTATGACTTTGCCTAGAGTAATCTCAAATAGAAACATGCTCTGTTTTGGGATCATTTACTGTCTTCACCCCTTTGACTTCAGGGAATGAGTTAGACAGCGTGAAACTCTGGGCAGTGGGAGTGCGGGCTGGACTCAGCCCAGTGCCCTGTTTTCTCTCCAGGCATGAAGCGCATAGCTTCTATGGTTTTTCTCAAAACTCCATTTTTCAAAAGCTAAAAAGCTTGTGTAAACACATGCTAACCATCTACTTGCAGGCGGTTGGCTTTGCATATATGCACAGACATGAACCCGTCAGCAGCCAGAGAAGACCTTGGAGATGATTTCTTTATTTTTATTCACTGTGATGTATTGGCTTATTGTTGTTGGGTCCATACCACACCTAGACACAATTTTAAAATATTTTAAAAGTACTCTTTTTTCTTTTTCTTTTTTTTTTTTTTGAGACAGACTTTCTCTGTCATCCAGACTGGAGTGCAGTGGCACGATCTCGGCTCACTTCAGGCTCCTCCTCCCAGGTTCACGCCATTCTCCTGCCTCAGCCTCCCAAGTAGCTGGGACTACAGGCGCCTGCCACCATGCCTGGCTAAGTTTTTGTATTTTTAGTAGAGACGGGGTTTCACTGTGTTACCCAGGATGGTCTCGATCTCCTGACCTCATGATCCACCTGTCTTGGCCTCCCAAAGTGCTGAGATTACAGGCAGGAGCCACCGCGCCCGGCCACTTTTTTCATTTTTGTAGTTTCTAGGCAGGCAGTTAATCAGGTATGGAATACGTCTGTTGTGTGTTTGTAAAAATCATATGTAATTGACAGTGTTGACACCGAATGTTTACTGCGCTGTTAGTGTGGGCTGGTGTTTTACGTACATTGTCACACCTAATCATAGCAGTGGCTCGGCCAGACAGGCACTATTATCATTGACTCTATTTTACAGATGAGGCCATTGAGGCTTCAGGAGTTTAGGTGAGTTTTCCAGAGTCCCTAGAACTAGGGAGTAAAAGCAGGACTTTGGCATGATCTAGAGCTACTGCCCTTGCCAGCCTCACTAGGCTAGCATTGCTCAGCCCGAAACTGTGGATATTTGGGGACATGCTTTTCTTGTGGGAGGGAGTTGTCCTATGTATTTTGGGTTGTTTAGCAACATCCTGGACTCTGTCTACTAAATGTCAGTAGTAGCCACCAGTTGTGACAATGAAAAACGTCTGCCAACCGCACCAAATGTGCCCTGGAGCAAAGCCACCTGGGTTGAGATTAGGTGGGTGCCTTCTCTCCTCTGCTGATGTGGCAGCTCTTATCTCTGACCCAGGGCTCCTCCTTCCCAGCCCTGACCTTTGGCCTGGTCACTAGGGCCTCATGTAACCCTGCCTTCCTTCCACTGTCCCCAAGGGGTGGCCAGGCCTTCTGGGAGCCACAGAAGAGCTGGTGGGGCTGAAGTTCTCACCAATGGGAGGGTTCCAGCCAGAGTCCACTGGGCCAGAGACTGCACCAGTGATATGATAATTCCAAAGCATTGAGCTTTGTGGGAAAGAACAGCCAGGAACATTTGGATCAATGATCTGAACAGAGATACAGAACCAGCATGCCTTGAAGTAGGATGGCTTGTTCCCTGACAAGGTGCTGGGGGACAGAGCCCAGCCTTCCCCCAACCCCCCAGCCAGTAGTTGCTTGCACTGCCCTCAGGGGCTGGCACCCCCCTCCTGGCTGAACCCATCTTGGGGTGGCCTTGCTGAGCTTGACCTCCATAACACTCATCAAGCTTATTCAGAAAAGACAAGGAAACCACCGTCTTGCTGGAGGATGGGCAATGTCTTCTTCCTTCAGGGCACTCAGCTGCACAGAACCTTAGAGATTCTGAGAACATTCCTCAATCCCAGGGATCTCCTTTTGCACACCATGATGGCCCGAATTTCTGAGATGGAAGATGGCCTAACTAGCTAGAGGAGAAAAACATCTGTCCACGGACCAGGAACATCTCCAGCATGGGAGCCATCGGAGCCAGAGGTATGATGTGGTTTGGCTGTGTCCCCACCCAAATCCCATCTTGAATTGTATCTCCCACAATTCCCACATGGTTGGGAGGGACCCGGTGGGAGGTGATTGAATCATGGTGGTGGGTCTTTCCTGTGCTGTTCTTGTAACAGTAAGTCTCACGAGATCTGATGGTTTTATAATGGGGGGTTCCCCTGCACAAGCTCTCTCTCTTTGCCTGCCGCCATCCATGTAAGACATGACTTGTTCCTCCTTGCCTTTCACCATGATTGTGAGGTCTCCCCAGCCAGGTAGAACTGTAAGTCCATTAAACCTCTTTCTTTTGTAAATCGCCCAGTCTCTGGTATGTCTTTATCAGGAGTGTGAAAACAGACTAATACAAGGTGCAAAGGGAAAGTCAGTCAAAGAGCCCCAGAGAAGCAGAGGGGCAGAAAGAGATGCTGGGGAAGGAGGAAGTTTGGAGAGGCAGAATCAGGTCCTTCAGACACAGCAGTGAGGCTGCAGGGGACAGCGCGGTGCCCTTTCCAGACAAACACTGCCAGCACTCTTGGCATGTATTGCTTTTTAATATGTTTTAATTTCCAAAAACTATGTTGGGAGTACCAGCTACTTTTGTTTTAATTTTTCATTTGGCAGTTCTGGCCCCCTTCTCCTCATCAGTCAACAATGACAAAGCCATCAGTAGGCTTCACAGTAATTAAGTTCTGATTAATTCCAGAACTGTTCTCAATGGGGTTCACTCAGACTTAGCTCCTTCTCTCAGTCAAGAAAACCGAGGCAGGTGGGGCTCAGCAACTCGCTCAAGGTCACAACATGCCAGGCGGGCAGGGCCAGGTCTACGGGCTGCCAGCTTCCCCAGGTGATGGCTCAGCTCACCGAACCCACCCGAATCAATTATTTTTAAAACATACATTTCCATTTAGTGATTCATGCTGGGTCTAATTCACTTGCTATTTAATGTCACTTAGAATCGTCCAGGGACTAAAACAGCCCCACAGAGAACAGGTTTTAAAAGTATATTTTAAAGATAAAGATGGGGCTTTAATATTCTACAGGATTTCAAATCCCTGGACAAAGAATGTCAGCTTAAATTTAAAAGAAGCCCTCTAATATATGTCTCTGAAAAAGAAAAAGGCAGCATGTGCCTTCGAGGGAGCAGGGGACTCACCTTTTTCAAATTACAGTTTTCAAGTCTGATACAGCCAGATAATCATCAGCGGCTCAAATAAAATCATTATTTTGTCAGAGAGAAAAAGCATGTTCAAGGGGAAAATTAATGACAGCGGAGAAAGAACAAAGTTGAGTCCTAACAGGGAGGCTTCTGCTAAGATTAAAGGAGGGTTTGCGCTTCCCTCAGCTTCAGGTGTTACTCAAAAATCACTGTAAAGGTTGCATAAAAATCTTGTCTTGACAAAAGCGGGGATTGGGCAACCTTTTCATGAGAAATGTGAAACTTCGTTTCACCCACCCCCCATCATAACTTCAGATGTTTGGGTACATCTATTTTTTTTTTCAGGCTGTTAGTTCTCACTTTTAATCTTAAGTATCACAGCATTATTTTAACCTAGGGGCAGAATCAGAAGTAAAAATTATGGTGACCCCAGAATAGCATCCCCTCCTGGGGGAAAAGTCATTCTTGATGATTTAGAAAGAAATTTAAAGAGGCATCTAAGCCTTTTAAACCCAAATTCAAAGCGCAAACTTGGAAGCAGGGTGTCCACATTTTGGCAACCAGCTTCTCACTATAACATCAACCGATTTTAATTTGGTGCCTGTGGGATGGGAGGGAGGGCTGCATGTCTCCCCCAGGTGTGGTGTTTTCCCAGGAACCTAAACCCACCCATGGTCCATCTGGATGCCAGCAGGCTGGAGCCCGCACTCCTGCAAGGATCCACGGAGGCTGCAGTTTGTCTCTGGAAGGCTGCGTTCATTATCCCAGCCACACTGTCACCATCTCCAGGCTCTCCTTCCTTCCACAGGTGGCTGGGACTGCAGGGTTAGGCTTGGACCCCACTGCTTTGAAAGCTGGAGGAGGAGTCCACAGGTCTAGGCTGGAGGGGATGGAGGAGAGAGAGGCCTGGCTGGTGGCAAGAGGAGGCTTTGGAGTGTCTGACGCTGCCTTGGTTGTCCCAGGCATGCTCCTGTTAGCCAGTCCTCTGCTCAGTTGAAATCTCATGGTGGCAGCACACTCAGACATTTGTATGGTCACTACTGGATGGTCACTGTGTCTCTTTTATTTATTTGGTTTTCTCTCAAGAGGGTTTGGTTGCAGAAAGAGATGGCCCGCAGGGAATGTTCTCTTTCAGGGCCTCACTCAAGCAAAACCTGCCTTTTCCAAATCTCACTTCTGTGTGTTCCTCAGAGGTCATTAACCAGTGGGAAGTTCTAATAAGAGAGTAATTTTAATCCTTGCTTGTATACTAAGATTTGGGGAGAGAAAGAGTATCTAATATTCGAGTCTGTAAGTGCACCTCACTTGAATAAAATAAAATTATTAATATTATTACTATAAGATTAACAAAGTGGACACTGTTACTGACAAGCGTGTGAATTGTTCCATTTTCTTCACTAGATTCAGGGATTTGGCCACTATGCCTCTTGTAGATGAAGCTGTTTTGCATAGCCTAAATTTCCAAACTTTTGATTGTTGATAATGTGGGAATGTTTATTCTAAGTCATTTCTAGGGAGTTCTGCATCTAGGGGACTGAATGAGAGTGTGAGAACTTATGTTTCTTCTGTACTGGAAGGCCTGGTGGGCCCCACACACCCACATGCATTCAGAGAATTAACACGCAAAACAGAGACGCTTCACAAAAGCACACCCGCTTCATTCTAGGGCACAATTTGTACACTTTGGTTGAGGGTCACTTCATGCTTCTGTTGGGAAAGGCAGATTTACAAAGTGACAACATAGAACCTTGTTTATATTTCTGTCATGAAAGTTAACACCTGCATTCAGGTCCCGGAAATATCAGTCAGGGGCTGGATTTTATTTCTATACAGAGGAACAATGGATGAACAGCTGGGCAGATGACTGCTCCAGCAGCCCCCAAGAGAAGGATGAAGAGGAGGCAGGGGTGCCTGAATCATTCCGCATCCCCCCATGCAGGACCTGGACAGCCCACCTCTGTCCCTGCCGTCCTCAGGGTCTGTTGGGGGCAGCAGGGAGCAGAGCGTGGGGGCCAAGGGTAGGGAAACCCATGACCCTCATGGCTGCTATTGATGGCACAACAGACAGGTGTCTTTTCAACAAGAGATCATAAGTATAGGCATAGTTCATATCTACTAAGTGTCTTCTAAAAGGAAAAAAAAAACCCTTTAATTTCAAACCATATTTGAAACCTAGTTTCAGTTACATATTCTTAATTCAGATGGGAACAAAATAGCGAGAGTTGGATATCAGCCTAAAGACAGGACGCATGCTTGCACTGGAGAAATTTTACTTCTCGTGAAAGATTTTGGCATTTATAAAGAACAGAGAGAAGTGGGGGCAGGAGAGAGAGCACACTTCTTGCAAACAAGTAATGAGCTTGAAATGGACATAGAGATCAATGGTATGCAAAATACTGCCAGAAGTCTAGAGTGTACCCCAAGGCTTCCTGCTGGGACCTGGGGTGCTTCACCTGGGACCAACACTTCCCATATCTCAGCCCCGTTAAAACAGCTTTTCTGACCTGCTGCGTTTGAAAATGGGAGCTCAGAGGAGGCGCCGGTGGTTAATCACACTCTCTGCTCTCAGAATAGCAAATGAAAAAGACGAGGGAGAGAACAGATGTGCAAGCCAGAAACGGAGAAGTTAAACCAAAGAAAAGAGGCACCTGGGAAAGACAGGCCTGTTCCAGAAAGTGTTGGCTCAAGAGTTTCTACAGGACAGAGAAAGAACTGCTGCCGAACTCACTGAACACCACTGAGAGCCAACAACACCACGGGTGAGTGTGTGTAAATCTCTCCAGTCAGGAGCAGGAGCGCCCTGTGCTCTCAGAGAACTGCTGGGGGGACCAGCACCCCAGGATGGGCACCCACACCCTCTCAATGTCACGTGGGGTCTGAAGACAGTGCACCCACACGCCATCCACACAGACTGTCCTGAATCTTTAAACCTTCCATCACTGAATTCTACACAGCCCCCTTGCCCATGAGCAGCCCCCGGTTCTGAATGAGGTTAACCTCATTCCTGCACGCACCCGTTTTTTTAGGGGATTATTGTCTGGCCGAGGACTTATGACCAATATTCTAGCTAATTCAACATATTTCTCCCAGGCTTCTGTGTGATATTTTGCTTGGAACTCACACCTAACCAAGTCTGAGAAGTGGTGTGTAGAGACGCTGCTTGAGTTTTGCAAAGCAGCGGTAATCGCCACTGGTTCCGACTGGGTGACGGCTGTGCTTAGGCCCTGGAGCGGGCCTTGGCAGGCATGTTTACCTTCTGGGTAAACACAAACATTATAGCATTGTCAGGACGATGAATAGAGCTTTTGTGAGAGCGTTATGGGTATTACAGTATTTAAAGGAGACACCTCTTACTCAAAGATAGCTTTAAATGGATTTAAAGTGCATTGCTTGACAGATTGTTATTATAGGAGGATCTGGTTAAATCTCCCACACTTTTAGGAACTCTGCCTCCCAAGAGGTTGCTTTTCAGTGTGCCCCTTCTGTAGGAGTGCAGGAGGCCACAGAGAAGGCGGAGGAGAAAGACCCATCTGTCCTCTGTCCAGCATTTTCGTAGCTATAGGACCGAGTTTAAAAATCGAGGCAGTAGCTTTGGAGCAATTGATTTTATGACTCACAAGTGGGCCCACAATCCCTGCACACCAGAAAGAGGACGTACTTGGGGGAAAGAACACACCGCAAGGGTGAGGGAGGGCCATGTCCCCACCCAGGGACAATGTGGGGCAGTCTGAGAAAAACGCGGTGTGGTCTGCAGGCGCCGTGTACGGAAGACACGTGAACGGGAAAGGCAACCTGCGTCTGGGAGGTCTCCAGGCAGCAGGACGTGAGAAATACTGAAGGCTTTTTCCAGGGCAGTGCTCAATGGTTCAGGGGTTGGACAACCAAATAGAAACTTTGAGGGAAGATTTTCAAACACCTGAATTCTTTAACTGAATAGAAGAGAAAAAAGTACTGTCTTCCTTCCTCTAACATTTCCAGAAAGGACCAAAGATTGGCTGCCACAGGCCGCATTTTCAAGATCGGTTAGCTGTGTCTCTAGAGTTCTAGAATAATCTACCTGTGTGTCTTGCCGAAGCAGCTCAGTGGCCTGGCTGCTCCTTCCTATTCCCCACGTTTCTTATCTCCCAGTAGAGTAAGGTGTGGATTGAATCAATCCTGTATTTACTGAGGATCAACTAGGTGTCACTGTAGTAGCAGGGGAAAACAACCAAGGCTGAGTCGAGCACCTGCTCAGGATTGGGGGCTGGGCTGGGGCTGAGAGGAGGAGGTGGTGAAGAGGAGGTTTAAGACGGGTTATCATTTATCCCGCCAATCCGCTGATCTTGCTAATATGGTCAGAACAGGCAGGCTGCTCCGTGACTGAGGTTCGTCTACACATAGACGAAGCCAAGCTCCACCCAGGCAGCCCACAGAGTCCTGGCTCACACGCTCACCTCCTCCTGACCTAGGCAGCCCACGTGCCACCCAGCCACCTGTTTAAATTACAGACTTTGAAATATTTATTCTATATGGTTATGAAACCTTGATACTGTATACAACATTTGATCTTGTTCTTAAAAAGAAAAAAGAATAAAAGGATTAGAGAGGAATGGAATTGCATCCTAGACAGCTTCGTTTAGGAAGGTAATAACCAGTGAGGCTGTTTCCACACCACTCTCTGTCCGTATTCGAGATCCCGTCACCACCCCCAGCTCCTATAACAGGATCGGGTTAATGAGGAGGAGCTGTGAGGTTTGTGTTTTCAGTGCATGCACTGTCAGGCAAAGGAGGACTGATTCAGAGCAGAGAACCCCAAATAGGCCCAGCTCAAGACAAATGAAGGGTTGGATGGTGGGGGTTGGTCGTGGGGAGTGGGGGGTATGACAAGAAGAAAATAAACAAATCAACAATTTGGCATAAAATGTATAAATGCAGTTTGATTTATAAACTGAAAGGGTAATAAAATATCATCAGGGCAAAGCAATAGTATTTAAACGTTTGCAAGGGACACAAGCCCTTCCAAACAAATGCATGACAGCAGCGTGCATCTGTGGGAAGAGCATGCCGGAGGTCAACAGACCCCTAGTGTGTGGCCTCGTCCAGGCTCTGCTGTCCCCACTGAGGGGTCTCTTCTCCAAGGTCATAGCGCTCTGAGAAAAGCTTTGCGCCATCTAATAGAAATCACAACAGGAAGGAAAAGGAGACATAGCAGCCTCTAACAGTGGCCCGTCCATAACAGTCACCCACCAAGTGGTTGAAATCCAGCAACTCAGAGGAAGAAATCCACATTTCGTATGTAATTGGATGGCTGCTACAGCCCATTTTTGAAGAAGCAGGACAGGGGCAGGGCCCCCTGGGCCACAATGGAAGCTGGGTCCCTGCTTCTCATGAAGGGCTCTGACTGTGCCCTCCCTGCACCCTCCACCTGCATCTCTTGATCCCCCGCTCTGCTGCAGCCATGGTGCACACACAGGCCAATGAACATGTGGGTTTGCACTCACGTCCACGGAGGGCATGTGGGCTCCGTGGTCCCAAGCGTCCGGGCTCAGCGTGCACAGCCCCGCCAGGCCACCTGCATGGAGGGCTGGAACAGCAGGGACCCATAGCCTCGCAGCTCTGGAGCCCTGAAGCCTGAGAGGCAGGTTTTGGCAGGCAGGCTCCTTCCTCCTGAGGCTGTGAGGAAGAAACTCTCCTGGGACCCTCTCCTACCTTCTAGTGGATTCCTGCAATCATTGCTGTTCCTTGGCTTGTGGAAGCCTCACCTCACCTCTGCTCCATCTTCACAGTGCTCTCCCGTGTGTGTCTGTCTCTGTGCCCAAGTCCCCCTTTTGATAAGGACATCGATCATGTGGATTAGGTCCACCCACTCTAGTATGACCTCATCTTAACTAATGACATCTGCAATGACCCTATTTCCTTTATTTTTGAAGTTTTATTTTCAATTAACAAATAAAAATTGTACATATTTATGGGGCACACATTGTGTAATGATCAAATCCAGGGAATTATCATCCATCCCTTATTTGTGTTGAGAACACTCAAAATCCTTTCCAGCCATATTCTGAAATACATAGTACATCATTGCTAACTCTAGTTACCCCACTGTGCAATGGAACCCCAGAACTTATTCCTCCCTTCTAACTTTGTATCCACTGACCAACCCCTCTCTGCCACCCACCACTCCACCAGCCTCTGGTCCCTACTGTTCTTCTTCTACTTCTAGGAGATCAACTTTTTTAGATCCCACATAAAAGTGAAATCACAAGGCATTTGCCTTTCTGAGACTGAAAAGCAAATACTTAACATAAAGTCTTCCAGGTTCATCCACGTTGCTGTAATGCCAAGATTTTATTCTTTTCATGGCTGAATACTATTCCACCGTGTACATACAGCACATGTGCTTTATCCATTCATTGTAGATCGGCCTTTAGGGGGACACCATGTCTTGACTATTGCGAGTGCAGGTGATAGTCTTTTGATAGAGTCCTTTTGAAATACTGATTGCCTTTCCTTTGGATAAATACCCAGCAGTGGGATTTTTTAGTAGCTCGATTTTTAGTGTTTTGAGGAAATTCTGCACTACTCTCCTCAGTGGTTGTACTAGTTTATGTTCCCACCAACAGCGTGTAAGTGTTCCTCTTTCTCCACATCCTCACCAACACGTGTTATCTTTTGTGCGACAACCCTACTTCTAAGTATGGCTGCATTCTGAGGTACTGGGGGTTACAATTTTCTCATGAATGTTTTGGGGAAGCAAGTCAACCTGTAACACTCGGGTGCATTTAAAGACTGCCAAAACACTCAGTCTCCCAAATGTATAATATTTTAATGCAATATTTTAAAATGTCTAAATTAATGCAAAATATCCATGATGGACAAAAATATAAGAACGTGGCATAAATACAGGATCCAAATTGCTGATTTTTTCACCTTGACTTCAGGCTTCCTTGTGACTCAGTGCAGGACTGTCATGGATCCTGTTTGTATTGAAAAACTTGATACTTTGTTGATAATGGACTTTTGTTTGCATTAATTTTTTTTTAATATGGCACTGAATGTGATTTATCTCATGGCCGGGTGTGTCATGTCCCTTGCCTGTGCCTGAGGTGGGCACCTGCTAGCTTTCCCCAGTCCTGGCTTCTCTAGGGTTCAGTCTGATGGAGACAAAAGTCAGTAAAACTATCGAGGAAGCCGTGTCAGGGCTTGTCTGTCCCATGGATAATGGTGTTTCCAAGCATCCCCAAGATCTATGTCTGAAGACCCCTCACCCAAGGGTCGGAGTCTGCCCAGCAGCCAGAGTCAGAAACTGACTGTGTGCCCACTAAGTCCCCAGTAGAGGGGCCAGGGAGAGAAAGAGCATGTCCTGGAGACAGGCCAGACCCTAAACTGATGTGTTGAGAACACGGGGACAGGAGAATATTCTTGGCACCGTCCACTCCCCAGCCCCAAACCATTCTCCCTGCAAGCAGCAGGTAAGAAGAACAAGTGCCCACAGGGGCTGGCCTCTCCTTCCTTTCCGTTTTCTTCTCTAACCTGCCCAGGTTGGGCCTGGGGGAAGGGAGGAGGCCAGGCCCCAGGTGCCGACTGAAGGTGATGGAGTCATTTGCATGGCAGCCTCTCCTTGACCCCAGCTCCCGCTGGGCCTGAATCCTCACCTCTCCTCTGTCCTCGAGGTGGTAACACTAGCCCTCTCGCTCTACCCGGGTGACCCTCCGGCCGGGATCGCTGGCATCCGAATGATCCTGGCTCCCTGATTTTCCTGAAACCACACGAGCTCCCTGCCTTGGAGCAAGCCTGCCCTGCTCTTGATGTTTAATGGGGCTATTGGTGATAAAACTTGTACCATGATTAAAGCAATGATTGTATCTTCTGTGCTCAGCACAGCACCTCTTCATGCATTAGTAATACAGGCATTCAATAAAGCCTCATCTGCCTTCCGCTGACAATTGTTTAACTTTTCTCTACACCGCGAGGCTTGTGTTCCTCCTGCAGGATGACAAAGCTTGCTGCAAGGCGGGGAGACACTCCCATTGAATCTGGACTTTAATTATGGATGCCCTGCGTGGCATATTCTTCTCCGTGTGTTTCTTCCCTCCAACAACACCGATTTAAGTCAATAATCAAAGAAGGGTGGAGAGAAATGTTGTGTAAGTCCAGCCAGAGATGGCTCCTCATACCTGGCTGACTCAGTGTCCTTGTCATCCTCCCGCAGGATACTCATTCAAAGATTTGCCATCACAGCTGCCCCCGAAGGCCTGTGCCGACCATGTCAGAAGATGGTTCTCCTCTCTATTGCCCATGCTTTAAAAAGTAAGTTGCTGCAATCCAAAGCTAAACTTGCATTCAACTATCAGAGTTCCTCAAGCAAAGTTAGGATCGCAGCCACCTTTGCAATGAGCTGCAGGTGCTCCCTGCCTGATTTTGACCATTCTTTGTGTGTTTCCAAGCTGCAGAGTGGGACAAGCTTAGAGAGGGCTTCCCCCGAGGTTCCTGAGTGAGAAATGGTGTTTTCTTGGCATGTTGAGAGATAGTTTCTCCCTGCTTTCATCATATATCTGTTTAGCTCATGCTAACAGATTGAGTTGCATGGCACAGAAGGATGTCACTTTTTTTTTTTTTTTTTTTTGAGCTGGAGTCTGGCTCTGTCGCCCAGGCTGGAGTGCAGTGGCACAATCTCTGCTCACTGCAAGCTCTGCCTCCCGGGTTCACACTATTCTCCTGCCTCAGCCTCCGGAGTAGCTGGGACTACAGGTGCCCACCACCACGCCTGGCTAATTTTTTGCATTTTTAGTAGAGATGGGGTTTCACCATGTTAGCCAGGATGGTCTCAATCTCCTGACCTCGTGATCCTCCCGCCTTGGCCTCCCAAAGTGCTGGGATTACAGGCATGAGCCACTGCGCCCAGCCAGAAGGATGTCACTTCTAACAGGGACATAGCAAACCAGCTCAAGAGATCCCTGAATTCTTCCATCAGTGAACAGAGGATCGGGTGGTCATTCCACAGTCTCAAAGACAAGCCTAGCTCTGCATTCTGACATTCTGGTGTCCAAGCCTCGGGTTTTATCTTATTGTAAAGATAATAATTTCAGTCCATCTGGTGGGAGTGGCTATTGATTACATCATGCACGTGAGCCTCTAATTTGTAATATTCTGGGTGGAGCAAGCAAAGCGGCCACGGGCCGAAACCCTTCTCTGGGTACTCTTGCTCTAAACGTCGAAGCATCACCCAACCCTACCCTGTTTGTGTGGAGGAGGGTCCCTGCATCTATAGGGGCACCTGCTCACTACAGCCAGGTGAAGCGAGTCATGGAGAGAGATGAAGTCCATGTTCATCCGTTGGAAGGAAGGCATCACCTTCTTTTCCTAACCTGCACCTATCATACCCCCTTTCCATTATGAAGTGGTGGCTGTAGATGGCCCAAAGGCCAGTCATGTGCCAGCCCTCCGGCCCCAACAGGTGCTCACACACCCACACAAGCATGCACACCCATGCACACACACGTGCAGAACCCTTCACACAGGCACATACATGTACACACACACACACATGCACCCTTCTCCACACAGGCACACACAGCCACACACACACACATCAACACCCCTCCACAAGATATGCACAGGCATATACATATACACACACACATACATCCACACCTCTTCACACAGACACGCACAGGCACATACATGTACACACCCACACATGCATGCACACTTCTCCACACAGGCACACACACACATACATCCATACCCTTCCACACAGATATGCAGAGGCATATACATGCACACACAAACACACACATCCACACCCCTCCACACAGGCATGCACAGGCACATACATGCACATGCTCACTTGTCACAGAAAGACTCTGGCTCTGCAGACCCCGCAGGGCTCCAGGAGGGCTCCTGATCCTCCTTGCTTCATTCCCCCACAAGGCCACTCTGCCCCACTGCAAGAGGTCACATCCAGTTCATCACTCGTTTAGAAATTTTTCTTTTCTGTAAAGAGGCAGAGCCATACATTTAATAAGGAAACATAGGACTCTACATTTGTAGAAGTGTCTGAAGTTTTTAATGAAAACGTTTCTACTAGCTCAGGATGCAAAAAAGATTTCCAAACGTCCTCTCTGATATGCATATTTTTCATGCTCAGGATGGTTTCTCAGAGGCTGTGTGAGCTCCCCTTCTTTGTTTCTAGAATGTTTAGTGGATGTGTGTCAAAGTAGTAGCAAGAATGACAATGGACAAACTTGTGGTTTTTTAAAAATGGACAAACTTGTGGTTTTTAATTGTCGTTTCTGAGATACTGGAGCAATAAATCTGGCTGCCATGAGCAGTGATTCTGCAGCAAATTTCCCACTTTTGTTGTTGAAAGCTGATCCCTCTGCTTCAGCTGTGCTAGAGCTGAACTGTAAAAATCTTGGAAAACTTTGCCAACATTACTCATAATAGGCAGCTAGATTTTTTTTTATCATTTCCAGGTGCATCTCGGGGATAAGAGAGTTCTAATGGACCTAAATTGGCTGTGTGATCCAAACCCCAGAAGTTTTACTCACACATTTCAAAGAGATACTGCTTTGGAGTCTTACAGGAAGATGATATGTTCCCAAATCAAGCATACTGATCTGCAGGACCACTCAACACATTTCCCGTAAATGCTTGAAAACTATTTTCTTCCAACTAGTCTTATCTCAGTTATCATTATCTTATTCCAAACTCAGGGATGAGATGCCCCTGCCACCAACCAGAAGGACTTGCAGCATTAGGCTACACGTGCTCTACAATGTGCTGAGGATGCAAGATCCAATTTAAGGACCTGCAGCAGGTGCCCCTCACCACCAACAGACCCCAAGGCCCTGCCAGTACCTTGGGTTCAGGGCACAGTCTCATTCAGGGTACAACTGTTTTCCTCCTTGGGCAGACATGATGTTGACGGCCCATATTTTAGACAGAGCAGTTTCCTAACAGAAAACTTTAAAAGACTGAAGTTTAAGAAGAAATCAGCTTCTCATGAAAATGCTTACTAATACAGTTCCCTCAAACCAGAAAACATTGTGTGTGCGTGTGTGTGTGTGTGTGTGTGTGTGTGTGTGTGTGTGCGTGTGTTTAATTAGGATCTATTTAGGACAAGAAAGTTGGGATCTTTATTTTGACCTTGGACCTGGGAGCAGATGGACACCACTCACCACTGAAGAGATTGTACATTTCACTTCAGATCCTTAGGACTATGAACACTGGGACAAAAAGTGCATCAGTATATGGCCAAATAAGAAGAGGTGGGGAATCAGTGAGGTGCCCCTCACTGAGCTCATTTTCCTGAGTTCAGAACCTTGTGGAATTTCTCATAGGCTCACCCAGGTTCATCCTGATGAATTTCTTCCCAAGGGACCCATCCTACAGAGCCCTGGCCCAGCTGTCACCTCCTCCTTAAAGCACTTTCAAAAGCTCCTGGTCTTTTGAAGTGACATATATTCTGGCTCTTGAAGCCTTTCTACCCATCCTCTATTTACCTAGGTGCACTCCCCACTACGGGCCCATGCCAGATTCCTGTTTTCCGGCATTCTGGTGTGAGGAGTTCATGCACATCATGTCTACATCCTCCTTCTGGCCTGGAGGATTCCATGCTGTTGTTCTCAGTGTCTAGACTCAGTGCCACCTGCACTTGATTATATTCTCTCTTCATTTCTGTCCAGGTATCCTGCACGTATGGAATCCCCAACTCCAACCCAAGGAGAGCCCTTTCGGTACCCTCTTTGAGCTCTTAAAGGCAGGGAGTGGGCTTCATGCTTCATTGGTGCCTGCTGTACCCAGCAAAGGTCTGGACACATATTAATCAGTCCAGAAATGGCTGTTGGCTTTGAATCTGCCCAGGGAAGAGGGGCCACCCTTCTGGCCAGAATCCTCTAGATCCAGAACCCTCACCCCCCAGGGACGTATGGGTTCTGGCCCTTTCCACCTGGCGAGATTCCTGGCAATGTGGAGCAGGTGATGATGATGCCGGAGCAGAACAGTAGAGCCTCCAGCCGGGTGGTGGATCCCACATCAGGGTGAGATACGCTGACCAGGGCTGGAGATGCTATTACTCGGACTCTACCAGAAAGGAGCAGGATTCCCTGCTGGGCTTTCTTTCCCAGCCGAGTGAAGCAAGCTCAGGACACCTGCTCATGGCCATGTGAAGGTGATAAGGGATGCCAGATGTGACAAGGTCTGTGTCCCAATCAGCATGGCCAGAGCGGGGGCTGACCTTGAAGTGGTGTCTTAGAGGGACCCCACTCCTCTACAAACGAGCATAGATTTTTAATAACCCATGCTCTGAGAGGGCCTTCGGAAACATATCCTTGAAATACACTACCATTGTCTGTTTACTCTGAAGACTTAAGGACCAGAACCAAGATCTAATCAAAATTTGAATCTCCCTTAAACACCTTTCAAAATCTCCAGGCATCTGGATACTCCTTGGCTGAGCTTTGTATTCCACTTCTGAGTCTAGCTGAAAATTAAACGTGATGCTCACAAGCAGCCTGGCTTGGTCCCTTTGGGTCACAGATCAATAGCGCTTTGCATCTGACCTTTATGATTGCACTCAGGCTGTTTATTCTTTTTGACACACATTAAAAATATTACAAAGAATGTAGTTAGAATATTTAAAAAGCCTAAGGAATCTGTTTTCGCTTTACATGAGCAAGCCTGGTAAACAAATGAGCTTCTCTAGACAGGTGAACATCCATTGAGATTGTTTCTTGGAGTTTAAGGTACATGATTGAAGGCTTACATCCCTTTTCTCTTCTAAATTTCATTGGGTTGAGAGGAACAATCATTGCCTCTAAAGTACTTGGAAAGGGCCATGAATAAAGATGGATGAAAAGGAGTGTGTTCATTTTCATGCATCCTACTGGTTTTTGCTGCAGAATTACTGATTTACTTTTTGAACTTGAACGAATTTAATGCAAGATAACGATTTATATATAGACTGGTGAGAAAGATAAGCTGACTATAAAAAGCAAAGGTAAAAGCCATTCTTTTTAGAGATGGGTCATTCATGGACTGGCAGCCCCTGAGGAACTGTAGGTAGAAGTCCCAGCGGTGGGGAGTCAGCCGCCCGGCCCTGCAGGGATACCCTCGGACACACTGCACAGGAGGCTCTGCTCTCTGTTCTCTGAAATGCAATTTATCTTATGCACACACACACAAACACACACACACACACAGAGAGAGAGAGAGAAATACACAGGCACTCACATGGAGAAGCCCCTCAATCCATATAAGCACACAGATGACATCCAACAATTTCCAGAGTGACCTGATTGGAGAGGGAAGGCGTCACTGCAGTGCTCATGGCAGTTGGCAGCTGCAATGTCAGCTTAGTTGTAGCTGTCTCTCCTGGCTGACATCTGGACCACACGGAGACAGGCATCTCTCATTAGCTGAGATGACCTTGTCTTTACCTGGCCAGAGGGAAGACTTCCTGAGAATGGTGAGAAAAGTCTCACTCCCACTTTGGGCCATGGGAGGTGCTGGATGTTGAGCTGAGTGCTGGCCGGGCCTTCTTATAAATTCTGAATATTTACCTAGCCCCATCCTGGAGCTGGGAGTTATCACTTACATATTGCAGTGCCCCCACCATTGAAAAGACATGGCTGCTTCAGCCAGCTTCGGGTCTTCAGGCATTGGTCTAAACATAGGAAGGACTCCTCAGTCCAGCTTTGTGTTATGAATCTGGGTCTAGTTGAAAATTAAACTTGATGCCCAGGAGCGGCCTGGCTTGGTCCCTTTGGGACTTTGCACCTGGCCTTTGCTGGAGCTCTCAGGATGCTGACTTCTTTTGACACACATTTTTTAAAAAGCACCAAATGCAATCACAATATTGCGATCAAGCTTTAATTTATTCTATAAGACAATGTTGTAATCAATACTGTAAGCACACACCTTGTTTTCTGTGTGAGCTGGGAGAATGATGTCCATTCATGCAATTTGGATTGATTTGGCTGGGAAGAAGATATGCTTTCCAGACTCTGCAAAGGGGAGACCAGGGTTCTGCTTGAGAGTCCAGAAATCTTTCTTCTGAAGCATGAATGAGCAACTGCTCAGCATTCGGGCTACCCTCCTGTTCCCCTTGGAGTAACTGGGAGCTCAAGGGACACCAGGACAAAAGCCAGTGGCCACTGAGCTCCCGAGACTGTCATCATAGCCGCTGCTAAAAGCCTCTCTTTGCTGATTACTACAGCAGGGAAGCTTAATCTTTGGACCATTGGAAGGCAGCACTTCTCTGAGGATTGTTGCAAGTAAAAGGAAAACAAACAAACAAAAAACAGCAGAGGGGCATATTGAACCCAGTGCCTCAGAGTCCTCATATCAGACTCTTGAGTGTTTGGTGTGGTGGTGTAGCCTGGAGTATTTGGTGGAGCCTCATCAGGCCACGTGGGGAAGCAGGACCCCAACTGTGCTTGCCACTCTGCTTTACGGCTCCATCATCTGGAAGGCAGCTATGCTCACCACTGTACCACCAATGCCTGGCTCCATCATGTGTGAAGAGAAGGCCCCGCAAGTTTCCTGGAGTGGGCCCAGTCTCTGATGAAGAAATGGGGCAGCCCACATAACGGAGCTACAGTATGATTGCTGGGGGTCAAAGCCTGATGAAAGATGGTCGCACTGCAGTTTATGCTGGAAGAAATGCTAGCCAGGGATCACACATCTCTTCGTGGATAGAGCTAAGTCCCTTATGCTTTTAAGAGGAAATTTTAAAACTGATTTTTTCAGAGGTTTGGCCAAAGACAAATTATTTGGAGAATAGAGCCAAGGAATCATGCTGTTCGAGTATCCAAGAGACTGCGTTTTCAATGAGTTCAATTTGGAAGATGTTATTTGAGTATCCAAGAGACCACATTATCAATGAGTTCAATTTGGAAGAATTAATAATGACATGTTTATGTGTGTGTGTTTGTGTGTGTGTCTGTGTGTGTGTGTATTTCTTTATGTCTGTGTGCATGTCTGTGTGTGTCTATGTATGTGTTTGTGTGTGTGTCTACATGTTTGTATGTGTTTCTGCCTGTGTCTGTGTGTATTCCTGCCTGTGTCTGTGTGTGTGTCTATGTGTGTTTGTGTGTGCGCTTTTGTGTGTGTGTCTGAGTGTGTCTGTGTGTATCTGTGTCCGTGTGTGTCGTCCGTGTGTGTCTGTGTCTGTGTGTATGTCTGCCTGTGTCTGTGTGTGTGCCTGTGTGTGTTTGTGTGTGTGTCTGTGTGTGTCTGGGTCTGTGTGTGTCTGTGTCTGCCTGTGTCTGTGTCTGTGTGTGTTTGTGTGTGCTTTTGCATTTGTGTCTAAGTGTGTCTGTGTGTATCTGTGTCTGTGTGTGTCATCCGTGTGTGTCTGTGTCTGTGTATGTATTTGTGTGTATGTCTGCCTGTGTCTGTGTGCCTGTGTGTGTCTGTGTGTGTCTGTGCCTGTGTGTGTTTGTGTGTGTGTCTCTGTGTGTCTGGGTCTGTGTGTGTCTGTGTCTGCCTGTGTCTGTGTCTGTGTGTGTTTGTGTGTGCTTTTGCATTTGTGTCTAAGTGTGTCTGTGTGTATCTGTGTCTGTGTGTGTCGTCCGTGTGTGTCTGTGTCTGTGTATGTATTTGTGTGTATGTCTGCCTGTGTCTGTGTGCCTGTGTGTGTCTGTGTGTGTCTGTGTCTGTGTGTCTGTGTGTGTGTGTCTGTGTGTGTTTGTGTGTGTGTGTGTCTTCTATTCAATCAATGAGATGTGTCTTCGATATGACCCTGTCTCCGTGGGGCCACCCACACTCTCATGTTGAACTACAGGACACAGGCTTGACTGTCTCCATCACCAGGGAGAGAGAGTTGATGTGACAGACCCCACAGTGACCTCTTCCATGCAACATGAGACAGACAACCAGATGGGCTGGGCCCCACCATGGTTATTTCATTTTAAGAGTCCCCATTTGTGTTAACTTCCTTCCTGCATTTTATTTATTAAATAAAGAGAGAGAATTTTTTGTTCTGTTTGTTATTTACTGGATTCCTTGCCAATTCAATAGTGAGATGGAAAACCGGTGTCTTGTTCAGCCTCCTGTGAGTGAGAAATTGTCTATTTATGGAAAAATACATATTTTTTTCTTCTAGTAAAGAACACATTCGAGGAATTTCAGCAGCAGAATGCCCCTGTCCATTCAAGAGTGCCCATATGCAATGCTCTCACCTTCTATTCTGTCCTAGGTTCTATTGTTTCCTTTATCTTCCCAATAATGCTAAGCCCACCCATAAAATAATGGAAACCTGATAGAGTGCTTCAAGTTATAAAGAGAAGCTCCAGAGTAGTGGGCCTGTCTTGGACTGGATCCCATGAAAATTAAATACCAAGTTGACAAAATGATCTCATTAGTGGGTCGATTTAACTATGTGGTAGTCCCTGGCTTAGATCCCTGAAGAGAGTATTCAAAAGTGGTTTGAGTGTATTTTGTTTCTTAGAAAATTGAATTAATCAAGTGACAATACATTTGTTAGAAATGAGTACAAGTTATTAAAAATATTCAACGAGGATTTATTGTGTGCCAATTGTGAGCCAGGCATGTCTGGGTGGTGGGGATGCTGCTGTGAACATGGTGGGCCGAGTCCCAGACCTCATAAGCCTTATCACCAAGTGTCATTTATTTTCCATTTAGAGTAATTTATCTCCGTAACTTCTTTATTACCAGTTCTTTATTGAGTTCCTATGGTTATTATATTTTAAATTATAAAAAACAATAAAATTTAGCCATACTAACTTGGTGTTACTGCTTGCTTGATGGCTTAGGAGGCCAATCTATGCCTTGGCAATGGCTACAGAAATTTATCTTGCTTCTCAGTGCATCTAATATTCTAAGGGGTGGACCTCTTGATGAAAATCTGATGCAAGTTAAATTTGTAAAACAAGCATTAAGTTTTTTTGTGTTCTATTAAAACATTAAATGTAGTATTTCTTTAAACAATGTCTTAGATTGGATTAGTGTATGATTAAATTTGTATAAATTTATATAAATAGACTAATCAGGATTCCACAAAGACTGTTAAAGCCTCTTCCACTGTCTGACGGGGTGAATGTATCCAGGTCTGTGTGACCCGTGGAGTGGTGTAGAAATGGGGCAGCTCATTGCCATGAGCATTTACCGGTTTATCCAACCTGGGGTTGCTGTGACAACGCGTCCCCAAAGGCCAACTGTCTCCAAAATACCCAGGACCTTGTCTTGGAAGTCATAGGATGGTCAACCATCACTTCATGCTCAGAGCCAAGAGGCTTCTCAGTGCCAAACCTGGGAAAGTCCCAGGCAAACTGGTCAAGCTGATCCCTCTACGTACCTCACACTCGGCTCCTCAAGTAAGTCAAGGAAGCAGCCTGGCCTCAAGAGGGAGCAAATCCCCTTTTCAGTGGGAGGAGGGGTAAAAATGTGATCATCTCAACCACACACAACATGAAGGAAGTCCTGATAGCATGGGAACATATGGAGAAGAAGACACATAGTTGCAGAGATACCATTCTCCCCAAACTACTCCCTAAACTTAATGCAATTACAGTTCAAATCTCTACACTGTCCATTGTGGAAGATTAAAGTTCAAAAACAGCCAATAGAAGGATGGACATATTTCCTAACACTCTAAAGTGGAAGAGCAATGACAGAGTAAAGACAGATGAAATTATTACATCGCGTTTAAAACATTCATTACTCATATGGGAAAGTTTGGTGGGGTTAAATTCTTACCTTACACCATACATGAAACTGTACCATAAGACCTCAGTGTCAAAAGCAACATCTTAAAACATTTTGAAGATGATGTAGGTGGTCACTTTTATTATTTGGGGCTAAAAAATTATTCCTTCAAAAAGACACAAATGCAGGAGGAGTAAAGAAAAACAAACTTCATTACACTAACATTAAAGACTGGGCAAAAAAAAAGCACCATTAACAAGGAGATAAGACAAGTCATTAACTTGTATTGTAGTTAAGTAAGTGAAGGATTGGTTTCATGAATTAAAGAGAAGTCTTTAAATATATGTAATCTTACAGGACTATATATAAGGGAATATACACAAAGAAATAGATGACAAAGCAAAGAATTAACATATAGAATTTACAGAAAAGGACATTGGAATGATTCAGATAAATGAAAATTAAGGTATCAGACCATGCTCATTAGTTTGGCAAAAATGTTTTAAGTCTGACTCTAGGAAGTTTGGTTGAGAAAGTAGAGAATTTAGGCATCTCATACTCTGCTGGTGAGGGTAGAGTGTGAATTAATAAAATAACTTCAGAGGCAAACATGGTGAAGCTGAGGACATCTCTATGTATGAGTCCATTTCTAGGTAGGTGTCCTAAGAATGTTGATTTCAATATTGTTTCAGATAAGAAAAAAAAACAGAAACAATGTAAATATGTAGCACAAAAGAGAGCAGGTAAATAAATCATGCCAAATTCATGAATGGAGCACTGCACAGGAGTTTAAATCATGGACTTCATCTGAAGCAGGGATCTGCAGACTATAGCTCACAAACCAAATCTGGCCAGCTGCCTGCTTTTGTAAATAAAGTTTGGCTGGAACCCAGCCAAGCCCATTGGGTTATGTATTATCAATGGCTACTTTCACATGACAAGGATACAGTTGAGTAGTTGCCCACACAGCCTAAAACATCTATTATCTGCCTCTTTACAGAAAAAGTCTAAGGCAATATTTCAGAACCTAACATGGTACAACAACTCCAAAGCAAGTTGCAGAAAGAGATCTGCAGTGCAATGCCATGTTGATCTAAAGTGTAACAATATGTGAAATAGTACTCTCTATTGTTTATGGATAAACAGATGTGTAGCAAAAGTTAAAAGGAAAAAAATGCCACAGGACAATTAACACCAAATCTTCGGTGCAGGTGCTTCTGGTGAAGGAGAAAGGGGAATCCAGTGGGAGAGGCACACTCAGGGAGGGACACACTCAGGGTGCTGGCATTGGCTTAGTCATTTTTCTATTTCTTTAAAAATGATCTGGACAATACGACTACATTCTAGGATTTGAGACCGATGTGGGTTTGGGTGTAACACATTCACTACGTTGTTCTCTACACATTTCAGGAGAAAATGAACTAGCAGAGGACGGTGGGAGAAGCTTAGGGCTGGGTGTAAGCAACCTGCACCCTCCTCAGGAGAGAGGCAATGGCAGAAGGCGACCAGGGAGGTCTTGGGGTCCCCAGCTCCTCCACCCCTGCTTTATTTTATTTCACTAGAGTAAGTTTCAAAGGCTTTTCAGACATAAGAAACATACGGAAATAGGTAACAACGTAAAATCAGCATAAACTGGATTAAAACTTCTAAAACAGATGGTGGGTCCCCATTGAAAGTGTCAATGAACACTTTAGGGGTGTCAAAGAAAAAACTAAAAGTGGAGACCACAGTTTGCATAGAGCCTCAAGACCAACTGCCCATTGCCACATAGCCCAAACTTAAGTCATCCTGATTTCCCCCAAATTTAAGCTCTAATCATAAACAAAACATGAAACATAAGCTTTACATCCTTGTCAGCATGATTCAGTAACATTAAGCCAATCAACTATAGACATATTAGCTTGAACAGTTTTTTTTGCCTTTAAGAAGAATGTCAGTGTGTAACAGCCAATGACAAAAAGTTCCAAATACCTCTTCCAGCTGTTCTGTGACCACTCTAAGTGGAGCTTCTTACCACTTTTGATGGCAAATCTCTGGTTTTGCAAACTGTTCTTTTGTATACACAATAAACTACATGTTTTAATTTTAATGGGATTACGTTTTTGACAGGGCTAAAACTTGCTGGAAAAATGACCTACATCCAAATCCAGCATATCTTGGTAATTAGGTATCTCTCCTTTGTCATACAGAATAGTACACATTTCACGTCTGGGATTATTTTGCAGTGGAAGGTAGGCATATCAAGAGGTAGCTTGAGAAATTCAGGCACAAGAGCTGGGTCCTCTTGGTTCCTAAGGGTTGCAGCCTTGGGTTCCCGAATTGCTGCAGGTTGAGACAGAAATCAGGGTCCAGGCGGTCTATTAGGCAGTGCTCTTGGGTTGGCCCCTGTGAGAAGTGGGACAACATAGATTACGCAAAGAGGAGGTGGTTGCAGGGCTGTCTCCATGGAGGCCTGGACCCACCCCTGGGCAGCTCCCAAGTGAGATGGCTCTGTAGACTCTTCTCAGGGTGGGGCTGGGTCACCGGTTGCCCCTAGAGGGAGGTGTGATTTTGGGCGGAACAGGCACTTCCCCTGAGGTGGCCACTGAGGAAGGCTGCCACAGAAGGCTGTCTGCTGGCCTCACTCCCAGCAGCTAAGGAGATGCCTTTTCCATCGTTAAAGGTAGATCCAGGTGACGCCTCCACTGTCACCTACACTCGTCTTTTATAAACAATGACTTTCCGGGTTAACAAAATCCCAGAGCACTTTATACACTTTAAAGACACATGATTACTGACCTTCGGTAAAGCTGCGGTTACCTAAAGCCAATGTTCCTCTAGTTCAGCATCTTCTGGACTATTTTATTAGGGGTTCGATTTTGCTTTATTGAGCTTTATTGGGTAAGCTGTTGTTTGGAAGTAATTTTGATTATTAGAGAAGTTAGACGGAGTTCATATCTTCCTTCCTTGAGGGTCTGCAGGATTCAATTGTATT
Organism: Homo sapiens; assembly: GCF_000001405.40. Classification (NCBI taxonomy): domain Eukaryota; kingdom Metazoa; phylum Chordata; class Mammalia; order Primates; family Hominidae; genus Homo; species Homo sapiens. The sequence continues at coordinate 2,449,207 of NC_000005.10, read as the reverse complement.
CCATCTCGTCCAGCTCAAGTACTGTGCATTTATTATGACCAGGCAGGCTTCCCACTGTGCCAGCTGAGCCAAAACCGGGGTAGCAAGGTGCCCTCCTGAAGGTATTGTATCCTCCCTGGGCTCACAGGACTAAAATTCAGCATCACGAAAAGGGGCTTTGAAAGGAGGCTAGCCTTGATTTCTCAAAAGACTAGTATCTCTTAGCCTCTCAAAAATTGAAGTTTTCTCACCAGAAAAATATGGAGTCGCTGCTTCTTCCATCATGGAAGGGTTGTTCAGATCAAATTAGATTTCACATTTTACAAATTAAATGCCTGCTAAGAAGTAGGTACTAAATTGGGCCAGGTGTGGTGGCTCATGCCTGTAATTTCAGCACTTTGGGAGGCGGAGGCAGGCAGATCACTTGAGGTCAGGAGTTCGAGACTAGCCTGGCCAACATGGTGAAACCCCGTCTCTATTAAAAATGCAAAAACTAACTGGGTGTGGTGGTGGGTGCCTGTAATCCCAGCTACTCGGGAGGCTGAGGCAGGAGGATCACCTGAACCTGAGAGGTGAAGGTTGCAGTGAGCAGAGGTTGCACGACTGCACTCCAGCATAGGCCATAGAATAAGACTCAGTCTCAAAGTAAAAAAAAAAAGACATAGGTGCTAAATTAATATAAGTTTTGTTTCATCCTATTCCCTTAAAATTCTACTGGATCTCCCTCTCTCATTTGACATAGGTAATCAATTTCTCTCACGTTACTTACTAAATAAATCTTTCCCCAAATAATTGGATATGTTGCTTCAAGTTTCACATAAAGCACTTATACACCCTAGGCTCAGCCTCCGGTTTTCTATTCTGTTCTGTTGACCTGCTTGTCTACACCTGTACCAGCACCACATCCAACCCACATCCAATCCCTTTTGCTTCCAGCTGGTTCTGTGACAAGCCATAAACTCTGTTTTGAGGTTGGTGACCTCAACAGTCTTGACCTTGAGCTCGCCTGTGCTCTGAGCTTCTGGGTCCACTTTGCTGATCCTCTGATCTGCATTCTCCCTGCTGTTTCTACTTTCTGTTCTCTTTGTGTTTCCGGAGACATTCATGGGAGATCTCTGGTTTGTTTCCCTGCAATGGGTCACTCATGCATGGCACTGTGCTGGTGATGACAAGTGAGATGTCTGAAGATGCAAAAGCGGTTTTTTGTTTGTTTGTTTGTTTCCACATCTTCATGGTTCTCCAGTGCATTCCCCGCAAAATCTCTCCAAAGCTTCACCATTTCGATCAAGCTGTCTCATGCTCTCTCTCTTCAACTGTGGCCTTCAGTTTTGTTAAGAAAATCAAGTTCACTTTTGTCCTCCATGTGTCAAGGTCTCTGCCATTTTTCTCAGTGGTTCTCCTGCACCCTCCCTGGTCCTCCTGTGCCCTCCCGGCCTCACACCTCCTCCTCCTCTCTGTGATCCGAGACCCACACGCCCTCCTTGCCTGGGGAGCAGATCCTTGCTGAGGTCCTTGGGAGGATGGCTCCATGGAAAGGCCTCTTCCTACATTCAACTCCATTTTTCCCCATTCTCCTCATCTTCAAAAGCCGCACATGATCCTCCTGCCTTCTATCATAGAGCTCTGTCTCTTTCCTTTACAGACGAACGGCCGCAGTTTAATGATCTGATAAACAAATTCCTCTCCAACTTCTGATTTTCTGTGACACATCTTGCCCTTTCTGAGCTGTCATCTGTATGGAGACCTGCGGCCCTGCCCTGACTTCATCCCCCTTGCTCTTTCTCTAGCACTGCTAGCTACTGGGGCAAACTTTGCCTGTGACAACACTCTTCCCCTGACCCCCAGGCCAACCCCAGATAAATCCATTCTTCTGGCTCCTTAATCCTAAACAGACAGGTTTGTCACCTGCATTTTCTTCTGATCTAAATTCACGTAGGTGTTGCCATTGCTTGTGTGATTCTCCACCTAACCCTGCTTTTACTTCAGCTCCAAGAGAATGATTCTCCCACCTTCATGCAACAGCTTGAGCACAATTATTCTTAGGTTTATATTTCCATTCCTGGTCTCACTCCTGTCTTCAGGTTCTTTATTTGCAACACCTCTTGAACAGTGGTATTCGACGCCACGACTCAAAGTTAGCCTGTGAAAACCGAATAGAGCTCTCTACCCATGTGTCCTGCCGATGACCCGTTCCCATTTCCTTTCCTGGGAATGCTGTCCCAGGGTGCAGAATTGAGGCCTCGTCTCTAATATTGGGCTTCTTCCCCAGACAAGCTCTCCCTCCCCCAACAATGTGAATGTCCAGGAGCAAGAGATGATATTCCTTTTCATTTCCATGTATAAAAAGGGTTTTATGTGGCCGGGCGTGGCCGCTCACATCTCACAGCACTTTAGGAGGCAGAGGCGGGCGGATCACCTGAGGTCAGGAGTTCGAGACCAGCCTGACCAATATGATGAAACCCCGTCTCTACTAAAAATACAAAAATTAGCCGGGCGTAGTGGCGGGCACCTGTAATTCCAGCTACTTGGGAGGCTGAGACAGGAGAATCACTTGAACCTGGGAAGCGGAGTTGCAGTGAGCTGAGATCATGCTATTGCACTCCAGCCTGGGCAACAAGATCAAAACTCCATCTCAGAAAAAAATTTAAAAAAAGGCTTTATGCCTAGAAATATCGTTTTTTTTTTTTTTTTTTTTTTTGAGATGGAGTCTTGCTCTGTCACCCAGGCTGGAAGGCTGGAGTGCAGTGGCATGATCTAGGCTCACCGCAAGCTCCGCCTCCCGGATTCACGCCATTCTCCTGCCTCAGCCTCCCGAGTCGCTGGGACTACAGGCACCCGCCACCACGCCTGGCTAATTTTTTGTATTTTTAGTAGAGACAGGGTTTCACCGTGTTAGCCAGGATGGTCTCGATCTCCTGACCTCATGATCCACCTGCCTTGGCCTGCCAAAGTGCTGGGATTACAGGCGTGAGCCACCGCACCCAGCATATGCATAGAAATATCTTATAAATTTTGAGTTTCCTGTTGAATTACCTCACTCATTAAATCATCAAATTTTGTTATATCTTCTTTTCCACTTTGATGGCCTCTCTAGTTCCATTGAAAATACAAAACACTTTCTGTTAAGTTTTTAATTCAGTGTCTGTGTGTCTGCATGTGTGTGTTTGTGTGTGTGGATTTTCCTGTAAGGACGTTGTGATTATGTGTTTCTATATAATTCATTGTGACACTGAACTCATCCACTGCCCCAGCCTATTGTGAACTGCTTAAGCCTCTTAGTAACCACTCTTTGGCAGTTCTATGTCATCTGAGTGTCTGCTTGAGATGGCAGCAATTTCATTATCCAAGGCATTGATTCATCTTTTAGACAAATAACCTGGGACGGGGCCTGAGAACGGCACTGGCAATTCTGTTCCAGGTTGGCATGGGTCCACTGGTTCATACACTTGATTTGGTCGAATGATGTGCAGAAATGCAGATCTCCCAGCAATCAAAGACACTATTTATTAAAAGCTGATTGTGTTGACACTTTCCTGTATTATTGAATCCTTACAGCAACTGATGTCATGGATATTTTTATCCTCTTTAAATGGAGCAGGATGCTCAGAAAGGACTCTTAGATAATACTGTGGACTATCTGAGACTTCCACTCACTTTCATAATATTCCCTCTGCTTGAATCAATTATACTAATCACTTGTGTTTAGTCAAAGTTTCCTAAAACCACTGCACACATGTGCACCAAAATTGCACCAGCATAGAACTCGCTGCCTCCCCAATATTTATCCCTGCTTAGCCTTGCTGTGTGATACTTTAAGGAAGCCCTCTATTCGCACAGTCTCTGCTTCAAGCTCTGTAAAAAAGAATAGATAAGATTATATTCTACAGGTGTTATGGGATTTAATGAGATCGTTTATATAAAGCATTTGCATCACTGCCTATGGTATAGATGTTCAATAAGAGCGATCACTTACCCTTTCCCTGCCTCCCTCCATGGCTGTTATAACTACTGCCTGGGAAGTTCATTTGCTGACAAATCATCCATTAAACTGTAGCATTGATTTGCTCTTATACTGAAATCTTATTAAAGCATTTTATTATTATCTGGGGTTTTTTTCCAAATACTTACTCTCTTGACAACTAGATTGAAAGCTTCTAAGAAGCAAGAGGAAGTCAAGATGTGGTAGGGCCCCTGAAAGTACAGAAGTATAGCTCAGTGCTTCCCATGGTGATGTCCAGATTCCCAGCCTTGATGTGCAAAATGATACCAGTTGTGTGTGTGTGTGTGTGTGTGTGTGTGTGTGTGAGCGTGTATGTGTCTTGTTTGCTCTGAAATACCCTCTTGAAGACCAATTATGGGATTACAGGTAATTTGCATTTAATTATTCATTCTTTCTATAATTTTCCAATTTTACATCAACGTTATTTTTATAATTATAATGAATAAATGCATCCTACTTAATGGCATGGAAAAAACATAAAATTCGCTGATCGGGTCTTTTAATGTTAATTTGTTGATTCCTAATTTAAGGTCTAGCTATGCAACATGGCTGACTCTATTTGCAGATGAAAAGATGGAGACAAGAGGGTAAAATGCAGCACCCCAGCCACAGCACTCCATAAATAAATGTTGATTTGTGACAGCACATACTGACAATCCCCAAAATTGAAAGCAGAAAGGAAAAGAACAGCATTCTCTGCACTCTTGATCCTGGCTGCTCTCCCCTCTCTCTCTCTTAGTCCTGTTTTAGGTGTCCCATGAACAGCCGATAGCTTGCTAACTGTTTTAGGTGTCCCGTGAATGGCCGATAGCTTGCTAACTATTTTAGGTGTCCCGTGAGTGGCCGATAGCTTGCTAACTATTTTAGGTGTCCTGTGAACCGCCAATAGCTTGCTAAGCCCTGAAGAGGAAAGAGATGGGATCATTGATCTTGGTTAGGGCCAGCTCCTCGCTAACACAGGGCCACTTTCCCATGGCACCTTGCCCTCTCGACACAGAGAGATCCTTCTGATGCCAAAGAGAAGATCCAACACATACATAATTTAAATGTTTAAAATTCTAAAATAAATGTATTTATCCATTTTGACAAGAGTACAGAGAGAACATTCCCAGATATTTTATTTTTAAAAACTTCATTCTCGAATATGTCTGCATTGCTAAGCCCCAGACTTCTTTATGACTATCATGATGAATTGTTCTAGATCTCAACATGAAAGGTTTAAAGTCACAGAAGAAGTTGGTTTCCTCCTGGGATGCATTCTGAAAAAGCATAGGTGTGGGTCTGCTGGGAAGAGAAAGGAAAAGGAAAGGGAGGAAGCTGAAGTGAAGGCTGAGAGCAGCAGGCTACGGGATGCTTGTCTCACTCAAGTAGCAAAAGCTGACTGTTGCTGTTCTCATTGACCCTAGTGAAGATTGCCAATCCATAAATTAATGGGCCTGTTTCAAGAATCAGCATCAGAAAAATGACCTCAATGGACACCGGGGCTTACTGTCTTCCCTACCTATCAGCAGCGGACAGTTTTTCGTAACAGTCCTTTCCTTCTTTGGGAAAGAGTACAAATGAAACATAACTTCTGATAAAAATCTGTGTGAGTTTATGGGTTATGGTTCACATCACAGATTTTCAGGTTTATTTTCTAACTTACAATGCATTGATGAATCTTAATAGAAAGGAAACAAAAAGTGTTTTCCTTGTCTTTGTGGCTTCTAGACCATAAACTTTTGGAGGATGAAAGGTAGCCAGGCTCCCAGCAATTGTACAAGATATGAACCAGGTTGGAAGGGATTCCTACTCCAACAAACAAAATGCACAGATAAATTATTCCTTAAGATTTATTTCTGTCCAAACTTAGGTGGGACTTCTTGTTCTAAATTCAGTTCCCTGATCTCAGGGTAAGTTGTCTGTTTTCCCAAAGTTGCCTTTTGTTGTTTCTGGTAAAAATGTGATGCAGACGCCCAAGTTCTGGGGCTCCACTGTGAGTGCACGCTATGAGAAGGACGGGAGAGGAAGCGGCTCAGCAGCTGGGGGCGGCCAGAGCCCAGGTGTGGCGGAGTGCGGGTCTGTTAGGAGGCACAGCACCATCCCCAGGACGCACCAACGCCATGGGCGGAGGGCTGCTGTCTTCTTCTGCGAGTGAGAGCAGACTAAAGCCTGGTGAGGTGATCACATTTCTCTGTCTGACTCCCATTCCAGAATATACTCTTGAATGAGCAAGAAGGAGGTCGGAGGAAAGCCTCATGCCTGTAGCTGCCTGCGGGCAGCGAGGAGCGTCTTCCCGGGCTGCTGAGCTGTGATGCCTTCCAGCAGCCACGTGGCTCCTCCTCCCCTGGCCATCCCAGGGGATTCCTTGGGTTTCATCCACGTCCGGGAGCTCTCGTGGCACCGAGCCCACCAGCCGGTTCTGAGCTGGAGGTCCCGTCGCAGCTGGGTAGCCGAGGCATCCGAAACCCTTCCGTGGGAGAGAGAGGACCCACAGTCTGCATCTCCACAGAGAGGGTCCTGTGTTCTGACGCTTCGAAACCGCCTCTGAAACTTGCACCATTGACAAGGGAGGAGGTCTTGGCAGAGACTCCTGGGCCATGTACTTTTGAATAATTGCCAGTTTTCATTGGCAAGAGTATTATCCCATGACATTTACATGCATGTGTGTGATGATTTGTGAGACAATGTGTTTATATAATTAAATAATCGTACATGCATATATGTATGTTTATGCCTTTTTGTGATGAATCTCTGCTCATTTCCTTTTCTGAGGTTTGGGTAGATGTCCCATGCTGCCTTTTTGATTCTGGACACTTAGTCTGTGAACCCAGAGATTGTCAGCTGGATGACAGGAACGCGAAGGAATACCCCTCACTGCTGCACAGCAAGGCTGCCTCCCACAAGGACCATGGCCCTGCTGTCACTGCCTCATCTTGTGGGTGAGTCCTAAACCTATGGACTGGCGGGCTGTGGACAGGTGAGACCTTCTGTGGGCTGAGCTGGTGTGGTGGCCTCTCAAGTAGCCAAGGCCCCACCCTTCCTGTCTCCTGTACCTTCATCCCGTCCAGGAAGAGCCACAGCCGTGGCTCTGAGGCCTGGAAGCCATACACAGCTCCACACGCGGGTATCAGTGACTCCAAGTCTCAGTGCTACTGGGCACTGGCGTTATTTCTCACCTTTCAAAATCCTTGAGAGCCTTTGTGTATTTCACTTCAAATAGAGACTAATTTCTAACCTGTGTTGACTGTGGGGTGGCCCTGAGCCATGTGCTTGGTCCTGTGGAAAGCATCTGGGTCCCGAGTGGACATTTCTTCATTTATGAAGACAAGGGCCATGGCATGGTGAGGGTGGCAGCCTGGCACCCCTGTGACCACTGCCCCGGGCTCCTTTCTCTCTGTTGACCTGCTGGCTCGCACCTCCTGACCTGTGACACCTTCCAATTGTTATCTAATCAATTCAGCTGAAATTAAAAAGCTGTATTTGTATTTGCTCTAACACCCTTGGCGCAGTGTTGGAGGCTGTGACCTTTCTATATTGGCGTCTGGCTGCTGACGGCGCACTGCAGCCAGATTGCTTTGCTAATAAATAATGACGCACCCTCTGAGGTCAGGGAGGGCTGCTGGGCCAAGCAGGGCCTGCCCCCACCAAGAGCCCGCCTCCTGAGAGGTCCTTGAATGGAAATTGCCGCTCACACTTGCTCAGGAAGCACACTTTATTTTCTTTACTTTCAGTGCATTCATCTGATTTGCAAGAGGTTGATTTTTATTTTGTTTTTATTGTGGTAAAATGCACATAACAGAAAAATGACCATTTGAACCAGTTTCAGGTATACACTGCCATGGCATTAAATTCATTCAAAATATTGGGTTAACCATCACCACTATTTCCAGAACTTTTTCATGATCCCAAACAAAAACTTTATATCCATTAAACAATAAGTCCCCACCTGCTCCTTCCACAGCCCCCGGAAGTCTGTGTTCTGCCTCTGGCTCTGAGAATTGGCCCTCTGACTATTTCCTACATGTGGACTCATACATCTGACCTTCTGTTCCGGCTTCTTTCACTTAGCGTAGCACTGCAGGGTTCATCCATGTTTAGGCATGAATCAGTGCTTCCTACGCGGGAGTTGACTTTTAGCATCTTCACTCTTTATGCCACATACAAATAAGTTAAGAATTTGGAAAACATTTCAGAATCAAACTAAAACACCCATAGAAAGCACACTTCTCTGAAAATAGAAAGAAGTCTCACCTGCTTTGAAACTCAGAAAATTAAAAAGGCCACTTGAAAGAAATGCCTGAAAATTAACATTGAGTTTGCTCTACTGAGTATTTCAAAGACTCAGCAATTGATCATCTAGCATTGTGTTGGAATACAGTGAATCATGGCTTTGTGAAACTGCTTCACTTTACAAACTCGAGCAAGCATTTAATTATAGGATACAAGAAAATGAAAATACACCTAAATTATTATAATACATGAGGATGATAAGTAGCCAATTTAAAAATATATGTATGATTTGGTATTTATTTTAAACTTAGAAAATTTATGAAAAAAGTGAGAGCCTGATAGAATTCACATGTTGACTAGATACTTTGTTTCTGATTTCATGTTTTCTGGTGCCTATCCCAAACCAGTTGCTGCATTCACACTGCCTCAAGACACTACAGCCCAATCTCTGAGGTCCCAGAAGATCTAGGAAAGAAGTGGGTGTGAAGCCACAGGAACAGAGGCCAGATCTGCCTGCTCTGCCCCTCTCTGAGGTCTCAGGGTTAAACCAAGGATCTGGTACTGGCAGGTGAGGTTTGAATATAACAACTGAAGGGACTGAGAAGGCAGGTGGCCTAGGGAGGTGCCTCTGTGTGGAGCCATCCTAAAAATCTTGGCACCTGGAAGAGACAGTACCACTCAGAGGGCATCCTGATGGCTGGCCACAGTGACCCAAGGCACACATCTTCAGCATCCATCCCCCGAGTTTGGCCCCTTTCTGCACCATGCCCATCAACTCCTTAGCCTGAATTATGTGATCCTCAAGGCTCTCCTAGTACTTAGTGTTCTAGTTTGTCTCTTCCTGGGGTACATATCAAGACAATGATAATAACTTAGTGATAATGATGGTGATGACAATGAGTTGATGTTGATGATGATGATGATAGTGATGTGATGGTAATGGTGATGGTGATGATGAGCATGGTGATAATAATGATGGTGATGGTGATAAGAATGAGGATGATGATGATGGTGATAGTATTGATGATAATTATGATGATGGTGATGGTGATGATAATGATGATGGTGATGGTGATGATGATAGGGATGCTAATCATGGGCATGGTGATTGCAATGATGATGACGGTGATGGTGATGGTGATAATGATGATGATGATGGTGACGGTGATGATAATTATGGTGATGATGATAGGGATGATGATGATAGTGATGGTTAGGATAATGGTGGTGATAGTGATGGTAATGGTGGTGATGGAGATAATAATGATGATAGTGATGGTGTGGTGATGACAATGATGTTGATGGTGATGATAATGATAATGATGATGATTGTGATGGTGTTGATGATGATCGTGATAGTGAAGATGATGATAATGACAGTGGTGATGGTGATAATGGTGATGATAATGATGGTTATGGTAATGGTAATGTTAATGGTGGTGATGGTGTGGTGATGACAATGATGATGATGTTGATAGTGATTATAGGATGATGATTATGGTGATGGTGGTGATGGTGATAATGGTGACAATGGTAAGAGAAATAACTTCAATTTATTGAATTCCTACTAGATACTGGGCACTGTAAGATTTCTCTGCATTCTTTGCTCAAAGTAAAAAGCAGCACTGTTATCCCTGCATGAGGACACAGGTCAGCAAGATGAGGCTGTTAGTGGGAGTGGCGGGCACCTACTCCCACTAACACCTAGTGGGAGTGGCACCTAGTGGGAGTGGCAGAACTGGCTGACACTTGCTATCAGGTGTCACTTGCTATCTACAAAGCTTTTTCTCTTCCCAGTGTTTGATGTTGGTTGATAGAAAAACCCCCTTGTGAGCTTCTCCCTCTCTTCTTTAAAACACTCAAGATGTGCCAATTGGTGAGAGCGGTACAATCTTGCAACCACAGATTCTACATTTGACCTATTACATAAGGAGATTTCCTCTTTTAAAGGTACGTTTCTCACCTATAGTGTATTCTCTCCAGGTGCTGTCTAAACATGGGTTACTTTCCTATCACCCCGATCCGCATCTCTAACTTCTTTCTGAGTGCCACAGCTCTAGTTAACTCATTTTGCTTATACTTCTTATGGAGAACCAACAGCTGTAGAATTCAAAGGGAGCCAAAATTTCAGGTGGGATGTATAAAGATTGTAGGTTATTAAGACAGATTGAAATGGAGGGTTTTCTATTGCCTTGTCTCACATTATTTTTAATAAGTGGACACTAAGAATTCTTTATTTTAGGCCAATATCTCTTGTAAATTTGGAAAATAATTGAAAAAAGTGGATTATAAAGAAGCCTAGAAAAAATAGAGAAAGAATTAAATGTCCATGAAGAGACAATTATTTACTTTCATGCTTCATTAAAGCAAATAAAATTTTCAAAGCACTTTCCACATTTGATTACAGTGTCAAAATACAACTTAAGACATTTTCTTCACTTGAACATTACATGACACCCTCACCCCAGCTAATGTATGCACATAATTGTGTAGATAAGCAAAAGAAGTAAGTTATTATGTTTTAATGGGACAACTGACTTATTTCTATTATTTCACCAGAAGATTTCATTCAAAATTACACGAAAATACAAATCTTCAATTATCATGTTAAATACTTCTTGATGGAGAATAATACTTTATTTTTTTTGAAAATCTGATACCTGTATTTTTATGTGCATTTACTACACATATAAAATTGACTTTTCTCACTCCATACCACTGACTTTTATTATGACTTTAGATGAGTGACAACTCTAGTTGAATGCCAGCTGATTAGATTATCAGCAGTAAGTATAAAAAAATACAGTGAGGTCTGATGCTATGAAGAAGCAGAGGTGAAGAACACAGAGGGTAACAGATGTTCCCAAAGTATGAAAAGTAGAGCATAAAGAAAAGATTATTGGAAGTGATAGCCATTCTCTATGGCTGGTTGACCTGCCGAATCTCCTTAGCCACTATATTCAGGACACCGGGATGCTGAGTTGCAAGGTGGAAGGACGGTTATGTTTCTATAGCACTTTACCAGGCTGCAAAGTGACCAGACTACTCTTCAGCTTCTAAGGTATTAGATGGCAGAAGGCTTCTCTTGTATCCCCACAGAGCTCAGGAAAATGATGAACACGTAATAGATAATTCTTATATGACCTCTGATTTTTAATTTGCCTCAAAATGATGATATTTAGAAGTCTGCATGCAACAAAACTATGTCATTTTCCTTAAACCTATGCACATTATCACGGTGTGGAAGGCTGGCACATGCTTTTATAAATGCAGAACATCAACTGGCCCTTCTCCTTCTGTCTTTGCTGGTTTCACAAGTGGGCCCTCAAAGAATTTTCTGATTTTTTAACAATCTCTTCCATAAATATCAAAATATTATTTTTATCCTGAACATTCAGTAACTTTACATCATAGAAAAGTATTGAATAAAGTGGACGTTTTGGCAAATTAAAAATATCCCTATTCATTTAGGAATTTGGCAGGAGAAATCTTACTTTGTACATTAAAATTTCCTCCCTGAGTTTCCACCGAAAAGAAAATATGCTCTTTCTCGTTTTTGTTTTTGTTTTTCTTACTCCAGGAAAACAAAAATTTATTTATTATTTATTTATTTATTTATTGAAAATATCTGTGTATTTCACTTTGTCCTGCTGTTGAAAGGACACTTTAAAGCCTGTCATGTCAGATAAAAGCTCTGGGCTTGCCCACGACAGAGTGAAGAGACTGGTTTGCCTATAATGTTGAAGCAAATATTTGCAGGGAAAGAATTGAGAGATGAGGCTGAAAACGACATTAGAGTGGCTTCTCTTTCAACGTGGATGAGTGAAAACCTAACACCAGCTATAAATTCTGGATAAACTACAGAGACAGCTGTCTGGACCCATTTGGAGACTGAACAATGCCCAGGATATAATCCAAAATTACTCAACATAAGAAGACTCAGGAAAATATGACCCAGTATAAAGGGAAAAGCAAAAAACAGATCCCAAACCCAAGACGATTCTGAGTTTGGGCATCTTCAAAAAGGGCTTCAAAACTCTACTGTTACTATGCTCATAAGGATAAAGAAAAATATTTTTGTGATTAATACAAAGATAGAAAATTTTACAAGTAAAATTGAAGATATCTATAAAATTTTATAGATACTTTATAATTTTAAAAAATCTGAAATTTAGGCCGGGCGCGGTGGCTCACGCCTGTAATCCCAGCACTTTGGGAGGCCGAGGCGGGTGGATCACGAGGTCAGGAGATAGAGACCATCCTGGCTAACACGGTGAAACCCCGTCTCTACTAAAAATACAAAAAATTAGCCGGGCGAGGTGGCGGGCGCCTGTAGTCCCAGCTACTCGGGAGGCTGAGGCAGGAGAATGGCGTGAACCCCAGGGGGCAGAGCCTGCAGTGAGCCGAGATTGCGCCACTGCGCTCCAGCCTGGGCGACAGCGAGACTCCGTCTCAAAAAAAAAAAAAATCTGAAATTTAAAAAATATCACCAGAAATTGAAAGACTCATTGGCTTTGAAAATAGATCAATAAAGTCATCTAATATAAATAAGAGAGAACTACAGGTAACTGGAATCCCAGAAGAGGAGGAAAGAGAGAATGGAAGGGAAAAATAAATATTTGAAATTTAACTGAAAATTAGGGATAATGACTTGATTTTTTGTGTATAATCTCAGATGCTGAAATGGAAGGTCTTTTAGGAATTTTGAACTCTGGGGTATTTTAGAATAATAGCCAGACACACACTAAGTAAGGAAGACCACAGAGACATAGAGACCATGGGGAAGCTGTTGCAGTTTTCTATATGATAATGGTAAGGCAAAAACTAGCACATTGTTGATGAAAATTGAGATAAAGACACTATTTGAGAGACTCTTCCTATTGAGTGTCAGGACAGGATTGCTGTTAAGGGAATGAACTAGTTAAGAATAACTTGGAAGCTTCTGCAGTGGGTGAATGGAGAATGACACTCCTACATGAAATTGTGCATGTTATGGGCTAGCCCATGCCATGGAGTAGACAGGACCATAGGAAAGTGTTGCTTGGAAATGCCCTCATCTCACTCTCCTACCTCATTTACAAAATAGAGCTCTTTAGAACCTTATTTTGCATTTCTAGAACTTAACTGTGTGCTCAAAGGATGGTTTGTTCTCACTAGTGATGGTTCAAATAAGGTGATGTGGCTCTAAAGATAATGACTGTATCCTTGGGCAAGACTTAAACAGTTAATTGTGGACAAGGGTCACTCAAGCTATTGAGCTTCCATATTCTGTAACACAGCCAAGCTAGAGAGGACAGGAAGGGAATGGACCTTGCAGCTTATGTGACAGGGCATACCAGCTTCAGGATGGTTACCTTTTGAGGCAAACAGAGTGTTATGTGGTCAGCACACCTGGGCCAGAATGTAGGCGGCAGAGTGTCTAGAAGGACACTAGAGAAATGGCAGTGAAGTATCCAGGGGCCAGGGGGTGAATGGTCCTCCCATGAGTCTGGGCCAGTCTGAGCAGTACAGGGAACTGGAGACAGATGTCAAGGACATGTTTTCAGAGGCTGTCTCTCAGGTTGTGTCACAGAAAAAGAGACTCTGACCAGAGCTGGAGGGGGCAGTTCCATGGGTGAAAGCAGAAAGGACTTGAGGTTCAATTGAGCTGAGAATGGGAGGGGAGAAGTTTAGGTCCACAGGAAAGCAAAGGCCCAGGAGCATGGGCTCTGGTGGGATGGAGAAGGCAACAGCTTGAATCAACAGGAGTGACTGTTGATGACCTGTGAATGGAAAACGTCACCAAGGAAGGCCAAAAGAATTTGGGGCTCTCTGTGAATCTGAACATTCAGTAGCAGTTAACATTGCAAGGTTACAGTGCTGAGCATGTTTACCCGTCCACTTCCAACAAGAATGAGGGACCACCCCCACCCACCACCAGGAAGGTTTCTGGTGCCCTGCCAGGGCCCCAAAGTGAAGTGCTCACCCCTCAGTACTAACTGGAAAAGGCCCAGCTGAGAGCCTGAGGGAGGTGACTGCATGCCCCAGCCTTCTGCAGCACCCACACCTCATGTCCTGCTTGAGTGGCGGTGGGCTGACTGCCGAGGTTATTGCGGCGGCAGGCTCTGAAGCCAAGGAGGGTCCCTCGGAGCAGGTGGATATGCCAGGGCACTTCCACTCAGAGGCCCACAGTTTGCACAGGGATCTCCCACCCACCCTCACTGGGATGCGTTTCCGGCTGCTGAGGGGTCCGAACTGCCTTTTCCAAGGAGGTTTAAGGAACCCTCTGTCTTTAGATTCCTCCAGCACCTGACCAGCCTCCAAGTGTCAAATCAAAATCAGAGAAGCAAACAAACCATGCATGTTGCTCACATCCACTTTTGGGTCATTTTTCTTCAGTCTCCTGTGTTGGTTTCCCTATGCATGCCTTTGCCCCCCAAAACCATTCAGATGTAGTTACTTTGATGAGAACAGTCAGAAAATCAAATGCAGTCAGGATTTTAAAATGATCCTTCTACCTACCATAAACAGGTGTAAATACAAGCACATTCAGAGTGCTACACAGGTGTATATTTTGATTTTTAGAATTTACATTTGAGGGCTGGGCACAGTGGCTCACACCTGTAATCCCAGAACTTTGGAAGGCTGAGGCAGGTGGATCACTTGAGGTCAGGAGTTTGAAACCAGCCTGGCCAACACGGTGAAACCTCATCTCTACTAAAAATAAAATTAGCCAGATGTGGTGACGTACTCCTGTAGTCTCAGCTATTTGGGAGGCTGAGGCATGAGAATCACTTGAACCCAGGAGGTGGAGTTTGCAGTCAGCCATGATTGTGCCACTGCACTCCAGCCTGAGCAACAGAGTGAGATTCTGTCTCAAAAAAAAAAAAGAATTTACATTTGAGTTTTGATTCTGTTTAACACAATTTTATTCTATCCAATTTGGGGGAGTGTATTAATGTCATAAAGCAAGATATTGGTGACAAAGTGGGGTGAATGCATGACTCAGGGAAGCCAGTTAGGACAGTCCCCTAATGCTGTGCTGCTTATCCTCTGAGGGTCTAAAACGTGTGAGGATTGACATGTGGTCTCTGGAGCACAGGCAATAGGAACAGGTGCACCCAGGCAGCAGTGCACATCCTGCCTTGGGCTTTCTAACAGCAAGTTGAATTGTTCATATTTGGATTAATATGTGCCTGAGATGCATTTTATTAGAAATATTTTCATCTTCTGTGGTAGATCCATCAAATTGAAGTTAATTGACCAAACAATGCTAATGATTAGTTATTCCCAATTGCTACTTCACATATTAAGAATTAGGTGAATGGAAAGCTCTGCAAAAAGCATTATTATGAATGAGGAAACACTTAATAATAAAATATGGCCAATCTGATTTGCAATACCCATCATCTCACCATCTCACCAACAAATGTTCATTAAATGTTCAAAAGAACACACTTCATTGTGGGTTGTGTATTAAGAATGTGCTGTTCTCCAGACAAAGGTGAGGCAGAGAAGTGGAAAAATTTCCCGTGAGCACTCAGAAAAGAATGAGAACATTGAGTTTAATGATGGAGAATTATAAGCAAAGTCTGCATGTAGAGGAGAAAAAGTGCAAGAATAAAAATTGCCTTGTGTTGGAAAGAAATTTGTTATTGCCCTGACGAGATTAACTGCGGTAATTGGCACTGTTTCTTTTTTTTAACATATTGTGCAGCCCTGCAGAGGCGGTGGTAATAAATAATGTGCACTTAGCTGCTCCATTGGTCATTCGTAGCCGTATCACAGCCACCTCCCCCATTCAGGGAAGATAAATGTGATTTAAATTAATAGCCAGTCCTAAATAACTCCTCAGCTGGTAAACGGCCCATTTATCAGGCCCAGACAGGCAGTGTCCTTTGATTCATGTCCCCCCCTTACAATGTGAAGGGTGCATACAAAAATTGTTATTACTTTTTAATAAAGTGTAGCAGTCAGTCTTCAGTCATTTATCAGAAACGGTGGCATTCTGACAAACAGAAATATCTTAGCAGTGGATGAATGAGAGGGATAAAGGACACATTTCTCAACAAAAATAATCACTGCCTAAATAATCTCATAAAAGTCAGTTTTTAAGTACCTTGAAATAAATGTATTCAGAAAGATACAGCCCTTGCGTATTGTAGAACTGAAACCTAAACAAACTATTTTAATATTCACCTTCGCAGAGAGGAATGGCTTTGTTATTGTGGCCACCTCTTTGTGTGGTAAGGATTCTAATGCATGCAGAACCAGTTGCAGACTACAGTCGCAAAAGAGCCACCTACACCCTTCCACCACCAACGGGGAGTAAGCAGAAATCTCATGACTGTGCAGCAGAGACCTGCAGGCAGAAATCAAATGCTAGGAACAGGTGATGAGAATGGAGAATGTGTGACAACTTCCCACATTTTTAACACTGAAACTCTGTTGTTATTTTTAATATTCTCCTCTTTAATATTTTTCACAACAGCAGTGCACTTGATTAGATCTTGATTTTTTTTGCAGCTGACGACTCTCAGATTCCCATGCTTTTGAAAATATACTTGCAATTACCCACATAATTGGATTGGTCAGCAAAAATTACGAAGGAAGCTCAAAGCCTTCTCTCCACTGAAATCCTTTCTCTCTTAATTAAATAACAAGTACAGAGTCTCCAGTGTCAGCAGGTCGTCCTTTCAAAGACGTCGGGCAGGTCAGAAGGCTGCTGAATGCCGATGGCTTCCTCAGCCATCTCCTTTGTGCCCCTGGATATCAGGCAAAACTTGAGGCCTCCCCACCGCTGCTTTTTGCTACACATAACCACTGCAGTGGCAGGAACCTTGGCCAAATCGACTTTTGTAGGGCACACAGCAACCACAACCAACGAGTTAGCAACATCAGAAAGGCTTAGGAGTGGAATGTTCTTTGCAATTTGTAGCGCTTGAACTGTGATACCATTTCCAAGCCTCACTAAAGTGTGACTTTCCAATGAATTGACATATCTTAAAGAAGGGATGCCTGGAAATCAATTTAACTCTTAAGAGAAACTTGAGTGTCTCCCCTTCCTACACTGTCTTGCTCCTTTTCTTACGTCAGTCTAGATATAAAGGATTTTACCTCTCTGGATTAGTTCAAATTTTTACATTTTAATTCCTTAAAAGATATTGAAATCTCTATTTGATAGGCATTGTTAAATGAATTAACATTAATGAATGTGTCAGGAGGTCAGAACAGTGTCTGGCAAATACCACACAATTGTTGGACATCACTCTTGAGGCTAATGCACTCACGCACTGCTAATGTAAGAAAATGGAGCAAAAGGTGATGTCGATGAAATAAACAAAAGTAAAAATAATTGAAAAGGTCATGCATACCCTTCAGAGGATTTGGGGTTTTAAAACAAATTTCCTCTGGCTGATGTTGCCAAAAGCCATAACCAGGCAGACTGAGCAACTTGAGCCATGTCACCGTTTTCATAGATGTTTATTCCACTGAAGAGTATGGCTTCATTCTGGATACAGGGGTCACTTAGTCTGTCCTTAGTCATTTGTGTATCCTGTGAATTTTCAGGTCTACGATATCAGCTCACCACACACAAAAAATGCCAAGGTTGGCACTACAACTCAGTGTCACCAAAACAAAAATAGGCATTTTGGCTGCAATGGCAAAAAAAAAAAAAATTGTGTTTTAGTAATGCATATATTCTCACTCCTAAACTTGACTAAAAAAATATGTTATGATCTCCCATGGTTCAGGCTCCATTTACAAGGAAGGGCTGCATTTTGCAACTTTTCTAGATGTGGGTGTTCCTGGGAAGCCAGTGGCTCAATCCAGTAATAAATATTAAAAGTTTCCTTCCAGCTGCATTAGTGTGAGTCCTGGATCTTCAGAAGCAGCATCACCTTGCAATATATGGATTGTCAGATCAGGCACACATTTGCAACATGTTCTGCTATTTCTGTGGAAGAATATGATTCTTAGCTATTCAATTAAGGGGAGTTTTAAGGGAAAGAGTTCTTGTGGGGGGGAAAAGGAACAGCTTGCTGCTGGTGCTGTCAGAGCTATATTTGATTTCTTTTTCTAAAACCAGTTTCTTCATATTTTCATTCGAATTATATTTTCTGTCTAGGGATTAGTGTTTTAATTTTTACACCCCAGTCCCTCACTACCGTTGGTTATAGCAAGAGAATCTCTGGCCACCAGTTGGTCTGTTGCACGTAAACAGGATGTGGGAATGAGTCAAGGTGCAGGAGAGCCTGTCCTCTGTCCCTAATGCAGTTCTTAGATGCCTAAATAATGTGAATTTTAAAGACAGAGACACTTTGCTTGCACATTTTCTGGAAAGTGAGCAGGCAGCTCAGCCACCAGTGTTAGACTCAGGGACCTCCTCCATCAGTTCCGTGGTAGAGAATGGAGCACTTCCGAACCCCCCAGAGGATTGGCTGCCCTGCGCTTCCTACACAGGTAATAGTCAATCCATTAACCTTTGCTTCCAGCTTGACCCACAGCCTCACACAGCTCCCACACCCCTCTTTTAATACTTTCCCCTTAATAGTTGCTCACCCGCAGCTGGAAAGGGCAGAGCAGCTCCTTGCGACATCGTCTGTGCCCTACAGTAATAAGCTTTGGCTCCCCTTCTTCCCACCTCCTGCCTCACTCTAGTGTCAGCGACCATTTTTCTTTCTTTCTTTCTTTTTTTTAAAGAAGCTAATCTAAAAAGAGCTGTGGAGGCAGAGGTCATGTTAAACTGTAACGCAAATGTTATTCCTCGATTATCTGGCTGGGGTAAATGTCAACTGCTTGAGGCTAAAGCAATTGGAGAGCGTGTGCGCAGCTTGAGGCTGGGCTGGGGCCTGGGTTGCACTGGCAGCCTTGCTTCCCCAGTTGTTCCCTCCTCGCGTGTGGCCCAGCCTGACCAGCTGGGGCTGGGCCAGGTCGCTGCATTTTCTTCTCACCCTGAACCTTTGCCTGCGTGCACCTGTCTTTAATAAACACCTCTGGTAAGTTAAGGCTGTCCCCTGAATGTCACGCGTCCTCTTGGAGAACAGGATAGCCTTTAATAACAAAGGCTGTGTGTGCTCCACCCCCACACGCATGCTGCATGCAGATACCGGGGTTTTCCTACAGAGGTTAAACGCCAGACACTGAATGTGTTCTGCAGACTAAAAAATATTGGTACACTAAGTTAGAGTAAAGCCTTAATATTTCATACGAACATGTATATTTTACATTCCAAAAAAAAAAGATAGAAAAATAGGGGAATTCGAAAATGTCTGTGTGCCCGGCTAGGCCGCTGATGGATGGGGGAAAAGCTAAAAAGGAGAAGGAGCCAACCCTCTCTTTAGGACAATGAGGTGGGATCCTGCCCTCCAGGGTTGCACCCTGAGCCTGGGCTTCTCCACAGCATCCATTCTCCTCCTCTCCCCTACAAGGTGGGGAAGAAGCTGGCCTTAATCTCAGTGAAGAAAGCTTTCCAGTTAGGGGCCCCGCACTGTCTTGAAGCCCACATTTTTAATGTTCCTGGTGGGGAGGGCACAGAGCACCCCCTTGTTGCCCACAGTCGGCGCTGGGGTGGGAAGGGGAGCTCAGAGCCACCCAGGAGTGCAGAAACGGGAGGAGGATCCCTTCCACCAGTCTGAAGGGAGCCCTGGATAGGGATACATCACAGTCGGTCACCAGTGTGGATGCAGATTTAGGTTTCACTTTTGCTCTCTTTCTTTTTTCTTTCCTTTTTAAATTTATTTTTTGTTCCATTTCCCTGGGTGACAGGTGAATCTTACTACCCTCTAATTTCAAGTGTAGGGATGTATGTATTTGTAATTTAAAGCCAGCAGTGGCAGGTCACATGCTGTCCAAATGACAGGGCACGAATAGCAGCTAATGCCTCTGCTCACCCAGGAGGCGGGCAGCTGGCAGGGCCAGTGCACGGGCCCCTGGGTTCACGGGGAGCCTGAGAAGTGCTCCTGGTGAAAGTGAAGGTGAAGGTGCTCCCCAGATCTCGCTTCAGACCCAGGCTGTCCAGTCGTGGCACTCCCCTGCAGAACCCCTGATGAGGACCCTCTTCAAAGTGGCTTCCCCTTGGCAGAGGTCCTGGAGAATTCTGGAGGAGATAGGCAGGCCCCAGGGAAGACAGTTGTCTGGGGGCAGAAGGCTTACATGTGAGATTAAGAAAACCCACCATGGAGATGATCCCATTCGGCTGCTATGAATCCCCAGATTTCCCCCTTCCAACACATCCCAGACCCTTGGGAACAGCCGGCGAAGGGCCTGCCAGTCCTCCTCACCCTCCCTCGCCATGTTCCATGGGATGACTTCTGGATCTCAGTTACATGGGAACAAAATGGTCTAAACCAGTATTTCTCAGATTATCTGTGGAGAAAGTCCGTGTGTGTGTGTGTGTGTGGTGTGTGTGTGTGTGTGTGTGTGTATGTTTAGTTATTTTCCAACTGATGTGTATGAACACTTTTTTAAAATATTTTTTAAAATTCCTAGTATGAGGAAATTTTACACTCATAAAATTCCATACTCAAATGCATTTTAGTATTAGATTCAACAGACATAAAACTGTCCTGTCCAGTTGTTAAAAAGTACTTTCCAGTGCTTCAGTCCTGTTTCTATGCTCATCTCCTACGAGTCAGTAACAAACAGTTGTCAGAAGAGTTTGCACTCTCCCCAGATGACGTGCATGTCTTTAAGCAAGATTTATTCATCTAGAAAAGACAAGCAAAAACAAGATGCTGGTAGAAAATAATGGTAACCATAAAACCTGTAGTTCACTGAGCGTGCACTGTGCCTCAGCTCTGGCAAAGATGGTTTCCTGTTGAGTCTGCATAAAGCATGAGAATTTTTAAATTGACTGCTGCACTATTTCAGATGCCAAAGCTAAGGCGTAAGGCAGGCTTGCCTGCCCAGGGTGAGTACAGAGTGAGGGCAAAGCAAAGGCACGCTTAGGAGCATGTCCCTGGTCCTGGTCAGTGCCCTCCTGGGGGATGGGAGTCATGGGGGTGGCCCTGTCCCTGGGGGAGCCAGGCCACACAGATGACTGCTTTCCCCAAGAAAAAATCCACAGTTTTCCTTTCCTACTCTTGCACTGGTGTAGACAAGGCATGGTTTACCTAATATTCAAAAGAAAGAATAAAGCGATACATCAAATTTTTTTAATTCAGAATAAAAATTGCACATATATGCCACTATTTTTTAGATGCTGAGATAAATATGGCTTAAATGGAAACTGATGAGTTATGTGTTTCTCTGTTCAGTGAATATTAGATATTTGCACATTAAAATATAGAGGAATAATTTAAATCTAATTCTAGCTCTTTCAAATGTTTAATTGTATTCTAATTTTATGATAATAAATTAAAAGGTTATCATGTGTTGATGTAACATCTTCCTTCAAAAGAATTCCATGCATTTGTTGAAGAAAAAAATGGGCTTTGCTAGCTTCCTATAACATATTTTGGTGAGATCATCATAGATGAATTATTTCCCATAGTAATTAGCATAAAGGGTACTGCCCAGGGACACTGACTATTTTAAAGCATTATTTATATTGCTCTATTTCTAACAGGACTTTGCAGATATTTATGAAACTCCAACATTTGTATTGCTTCTTTTTATCTTTCTGTTCACCCGGCCCTGTTACAGCCTAATTGAAATACAATAATTATAAATGGGCTTAGTTCCTCGATTTAATTTCCTTGCAAGCAGTGTCATTTATTTTTCTTTGGCTTTGTTAACATGCTTTAATTAAAAGATTTAACAAAGCTAAGAAAACAAAATGCCATTGGGGGCATTGCACCCTGGGTTCCTTCTGCAAAACAACACTATTTGGCTGTGTTCAAGTTCGTCTTCTAAAGGGTAAGAGAGGGAAGTCCTCATGTACAGAATGAATAAAGCCACTGCCTTACAAGCCCCATATACGCAGAGCATTGATTAGTTACAGAGGCAGGAACAGCACAGTTACAGAGGCAGGAACGGCACAGAGCTCAGGAGTATGAGCCACCTTTGTAGCTAACACTGCCACAGCCACAATGTATGTCTTTGGGTGGGTAGTTAATTCAACTGAGCCTCCATTTCCTCATCTCTTAAATGGGCGCTGATATCTGTACCAGGCAGCTAGTGTGAGTAATACGTGTGTTATTCTGACAAAGTTCCTATTAGCAGAATTCTCCGGGGCAAGGTGGGTAGTTAATCGCCAGCAAATGTGTTTCCCAAATTTGGATAAATAATTTAATCTACAAAATTAAGTGTATTATTATAATGTCAATAAAACATTTTAAAATATGTTTCTACATCTCTTACAATGCTAATGATCAGCTAATACTAAAAACAATTTTAAGTTGATTTTACAAATATCTTGTCTGAATACAAAATGCCTTACTGCAGTTCTTGATTGTTTAGGTACGTGGCTGGATTTGCTTTGCTCAAGTCTACAAATCAATTTAGAAGCACCCTAATCCTCCCCGGGATGACAAACAAGAAGAAGCAACACAGAACACCAGTGAGAAAACAGCCCTGAGGTCAGGAAACCATGCTAAGTCTGCTACCAATCAGTAACATGAACTTGAAAAGTCACTTAAACTCTGTGGGCTTCAGTCTCCCCTGTGAAATAGGTAGGTGGGACTTGATCAACTTGCAGGAAAGGAAGTCTTTCCAGCACAGAGAAATGGGGGTGGCTTTGCCAGCATAGCCCACACAGCCACGCATCTCATGGTGTTCAACCTTCCAGCACTCAGAATCCCCTTGTTACATGAATACCTGGGTTATCAGCAAAATATGAGCCAATAACTTGCTAATAACAGAAGAGTCACTTTTGAGGTATCAGTCATAAATATGTATGATTGCTTAAAAAGCCATGAGTCACTCAAGATGAGGAACAATGGGAAATAAACATCAATATAAGGCATAGTGTTTGCAATTAAAGCTCCTTTTCTCTAGCTCAGGAAGCAGCCGTCAAATTCAATCTTAGCCAACATACTCATACCTGCAAATGGAATTTAGGCATGCTGCATACTAGCATGGGCTGAGCTTGGGGTTAGGAATCACAAAATAACCATGACTGGCTTGGCTGCACTCACCTCCTTGATCTTGAGCAAGGGCCTTAGCCACTCTGAGTCTCACCTGCATCACCTTTCAATGGACGTGATAAGGTAATAAGCGTTTTGACATTTTCAGAGACAAACAAGATAATATGCGCAAAGATGTTTTGAGAACAGTAATATGCTTTGCAAATGTTAGTCTTTTAGTTAGCATTTTATTTCAAATTGTAAATTATATTATGATTGAAGAAAACTTTTTGGTGGAAGTTGAGCTTGAATTGGGTTCTGAAGGATGACTAAAATTCAGATAAGTAGAGATGACTCTAAGGTGGGGAATTTACTCTGGGGAGTTTGGGGACCAGCCAGGCCCCTGCCTGCGGGGAACAGACACTGGGTGCTGGAAGAAGTGTAAGTGGTGGGTATTAAAGGCAAGCAAGGGTTGGTGGCCTTGGGAGCTGAGTGTGCTTGCTAATACATTAGGTGAGTACCACCATCCCACAGCTGTATGACAACTCCCACTTATACCATGCATTCAATAGTTTACCAATCACATGTTACAAAAAAAAGACCATTTAGGGATAATTACTATCATGAAAAATGCCAGGAATATCTCTAAATATCTCAAAAATGCCCGTGCCACAGTGGCACAGCAGGGGATATTCTACTGTGCTGGTATCCACCTCGTAGCCTTCTGTGCATTGCCACAAGGGGCTCTGAGCACCCAGGAATTTCCAGGTGACATGGACTTCAGTATTTTAAGTGGTATTTGTGAGCAGTCAACATCACGTATCATTTTCCTTTCTATGAATCAGAAAGCAAAGAACATACTGTTGCTACAAAACTTAGGAGGAAAATGCGAACATTTCTATTACTCAACAGTGTGGATACAATATGTGGTCCTAAAAGGGAAGACAGTTAGGTGTGAAAAACATCACCATCCTGATTAGATTCTGGATTCCATGCAAAATGATTTCCTGAAACACATGGATTTGGAAGTTTTTGCAGCATCCATGAAAAGGCACTTGGTAAAACTAACAGCTAACTTATTGAATTTTTTTAAACAATTGAAAGTTACTTGATATTCTTTTGATAGCTTCTACCATTGTCATATACTTTCTATTATTGCACAGATACAGCATGATCTCTTTAATATGCTGTGTTGCCTGATAAATTATGCCACTGTTTGTTGGCTGTGGATGTTGCCTTTTATTCATTTTTTTCATGGTCTCAGGAAGGAAAATGAAACAAAACAAAAGAATGCTCTGATGAAAACAAATTAATTCTAGTTTTATTCATCCAACAAATGTTTATTGAGGGACCAGTTCATGCCAGGTGGTTATGGGTAAAGACTATTTGAGGGCCCTGAGTTTTTCAGGGACAGAAAGGAGGGGCTAAGGCTCAGTACCAAGCCAATAGCCCAGGATTGAAGTGCTGAGAAAGATGGTCACAAAGGTGTGAGCCTTTGTGAGAGAAAAAAACTCAACAGTAAATTTTAATATGGAGAAAATAGGATGCTCCAATTACAGAAAAAAATAAAGTTGACTTTAAAGCAATTTGTTTAAGAAATTGAAAATTGATGCTATCAATAGAATGAAATAATTGGTTAATATAATAGCCTTTGTATGGAATGTGTTAAGTTTATTTATCCATAAGTCATTTTTAGAAAGCCCTTTATGTGCCAAGTGATAAAAAGAAAAAATCAAAGTAAAAATATTAGTCCTCAATTTGTCTAGTGGGCCAGACAAAGTAACTGTAAAAAATAGTAGGATAAGTTGTGTAAAAGCAGTACTTAGAAAAAATTCTACCACAACAAAAGTGATAAAAAATGATACAAAGAAATATAGCAAAAAATACAATCCATTCAAATAGAATAGGAAATGTTCAAATAGTATACATATAATTCATATAAATAAATATGTAATATAAATAAAACATATAAACAAGTACTATAAATATAACTTGTAAAACATATATCTTATTATATTTCATGTTTATAATGCATATCTATATATAATCCATAACAAGAGTAAGAAATAGGAGAGAGAGGACCCAAAAACAGAGGGGAAAAAAACAAACAATAATAAAATGGTAGATAGAAACCCAACCATATTGATAATTACACTAAATGTAAATGGTCTAAAAGGCAGAGATTATCAAATTGCATCTAATTTAAAGATATTCAGTTCCAGGCTCTTTCAGTAAACCCATTTTAATGATAAAAACACAGTAAGTTTGTAAAAATATTTTTTAAAATTCTATTTAGACACTAATTGAAAGAAACGTGGAGTAGCTATATTAAGGTCAAAGCACAATTTGAAACAATAAATATTGCTGAGATAAAAAGGATATTACGTAGTGATAAGCAGGTCAATTTGCCAAGAGGACATAACCATTCTAAGTGTGTCTGCACCTAACAACAGAGATTCAAAATACATAAAGTAAAAACTTATAGAATTTTAAGAAAAAAATTGATAAATCTATAATTATAGTTGGAGACCTCAACATCCCCTTGGCAATTAGACAGAACTAGTATTTAGAGCAAGCAGACAAATGCAGAAATAACTCATGAGGATCTGAACTACATTATCAAAAAACCTGACATAACTGACATTTGAAGATGACTTCATCCAACAATAGTAGGATATATATTCTTTTCAGGTGTACACTGAACATTCACCAAGATACATGATATTCTGCAATGAACCATACAACTAATTTAGAATAATTGAAATTAAACAAAGTGTATCTTAAACCATAATGGAATTAAATTAGAGATCAATAAAATAAATTATTAGGAACCACCCTTAGATATTTGATAAAGAAAAGACTTCTAAGTAATTTGTGGGTCAAAGAGAAAATCATAACAGAGATTAGAAACAAGTTTTTAAATAAATAAAAAAATTTTTAAAATATTAAAGTTTGTGGGATGCAGCTAACACCTACATAAAAGAAAGTTTGTAGCATTAAAATGTTTCTATTCAAAAAGGAGAATATGTCAAATCCATGATCTAAGCTTCTAGTAAATTAAAACCAAAGCAAGCAGGAAGAAGAAACTAACAATAAGACCAGAATATGGTGGAATTGAAAACAGAAAAATAATAGAAATAAAATATTTTTTAAAAAAGACAAATAAAATTGACAAATCTCTGGCCAGATTGGCTAAGAATAAGAAAGAATTACCAGTACAGGAATAAAAGGGTGGCATTACTATAAATCCTACTAAAATTAAAAGGATAATAAGGAAATTTAACAATTTATTCATAAACTTGACAATTTATATAAATGAAATATATAAATTCCTTGAAAAATGCATGCTACAAAAGCTGATTCCAGAAGAAACAGATAACTTAAATAATCACATTGTGTTAAAGAGACATTGGTTTTGTATTTGACAACATTCCTACAAAGAAAACTCCATGCCCATATTAGACCAAACATTTAAGGAAGAAAAACTACTGATTGGGCACAAACTTCTCTAGACAATTGGAAGGAGGGATCAATTCACAATTCAACTCATGTGGCTGGCATTACCTGATACAAACACCAGAGAAAGACATTACTCTGAAATTATAGACCAATATTACTCATGAATATAGATGCAAAAACCCTCCACAAAGTTTAAGCAAGTCAAATCTATCAAGATAGAAAGAGAATAATAAAACAAGGTCAAATGACATTTATTCCAGGAATGCAAAGCTGGTTCAACATTCAAAAATCAATTCATGTAATTCATCATATTCACAGACTGAAAAAGAAAAACCATTTCAATCATAAGACAAAATCCAGTGACTAATTCTGTTAAAAAACTCTCAGCAAATTTCTTAACCTTAGGGATGCCTTAATCTATCAGATGTCTTATTAATGCCATCTTTAAAAAATTCTTCAGCTAACATTATACTTAATAATGCTTTCTCCCTAAGATTGAGAACAGACAAGAATGTCTACAACCTTTACTCCTTTTCAACATTGTACTCAAGGTTCTAGCAAGTGTAGAAGATCAAGGAATAGAAGCAAGACATTCAAAAATAAAATAAAGAAATAAATTAGTTCTATTCCCAAAGTGAAGGAGAAAATTGTATAAGCCATAGAGACAGGTGAATGCTTTCCAATGGAAGGAAAACCAGAGCTGAGATTAGAAAGCAGGGTTGAGATTTGTTATCAGACCACAGGAGAGAAACAACCTTTAAGTGGATAAAAGAACAAGGAGAGATCCTGGCGTATTCAGGATCTGAGATGATTGCAGAGTCCAGTTCCTGTGGAAGAGGGAGTGGTGGGGAAGAGGTGCCACAGCTGGACAGGGTCCTTCCTGCATGAGCACTGCAGGCTCTGGACCATGTGTGGCAGATGCAAGACCATGGCATGTGGGGGAGAGTGAGGGTGGCCCCTGGGGTGCTGGTCCTGATTTTCTTGACACAGAATGTGCTCTTTTGGGTAGTTTTTTCCCCCTTTTCTGAATTTCTTCCCAGTTTTTAAAAATCAAGAAATTTCACACCAAATAGTGGGATTTCTAGTAGATGGAAGGAGAAGTGAGTTTACATCTCTGCATGAATAGAGTCCACTGGCAGGTGCCGGGAAATGCATTTCCCGTAACCAGATGACACCAGCTGCTGTTCCCTGTGGAACTCTGCACTGAGTGTGGGGTGTGGGCAGATTGGAGTGGCTGGAGGCTGGATGCAAGGGCCAGGAGGCCTGGGAAATGATGAGCCTGGACACTGCGTGGGTGCAGTTGAGGAGGCAGGTGAAGAGACCCCAGGAGCCAGATTCACCACGTGGTGCTGGCTGCCAGGAGAAGAGTGATGAGGTACGCTGGGCTGACCTCAGGGTTCAGGGTTTGAGGTTGTTGCTCGCACTGATCCTCGTGACATTGCTGTCACCATCTTCACTTCTAACCACTCTCCTCACTTCTAACACATATTTTTAATACAAATTTTCATCATTAAAATAATTAACTTGCCATGCTCTTGCAAATACAGTACAGCTGTTAAAGAGGAGAATGGTTGTATTTGTAGGGTAGAGAAAGCTTTGTTGGATAACTGTAGACCACGGTTTCCATGGGATGATGTAGAAGTGGTATAGAGTGAAGAGATACTGAAGCAAAGCTCTATGTGGACACCTGGCATTTCCACCGTAGCTCAAGAACACAGAAAATCCTTCTCCCTTTTACAGTAATAACCAATGGAAAGCTCACTCTGTGCCTGCCAATTTTCTAAGTATGATATATGTTTTAACTCTTTTAGTTCTCACAATTGCTGTGTCATTATTCCCATTTTCCAGACGAAGGAATGGGGTCCAGAGTGTTGAAATTGCTTGCCCGGAGAAGGAGAAAGTGCCCCACAGAGCTAGAGTTGAACACAGGCCATCTGAACCCTGAGCCTTAGCTCCTGACTGCCGCAAGCATTGTTTTGATGCTATGCTTTGGAGAATGTACTTTTAGGGCAAGATCCATCAAACTAATTCAATGTCTTTGTCTAATTTTCATAGAGCAAAGATGGTTCGTTTTCTGTTTCTTGAAATTATTTCATTAGAGTTAATGATCTTTCATGTGCAGTGGCACGATCTTGGCTCACTGCAACCTCTGCCTCCTGAATTCAAGTAATTCTCTTGCCTCAGCCTCCTGAGTAGTTGGGGTTACAGGTGCCCACCACCACACCTAGCTAATTTTTGTATTTTTAGTAGAGACAAGGTTTTGCCATGTTGACTAGGCTGGCCTCCAACTCCTGACCTCAGGTGATCCGCCTGCCTCAGCCTCCCAAAGTGCTGGGATTAAAGGCATGAGCCACTGCTCCCAATCCCATGTAATTTTTTTTTAAACAGCTGTTTCAGTTTTTTGTTGTTGTTGTTGTTTGTTTATTTATTTGTTTTTTGTCATTAGTTTTAACAAGATCAGTTTTTCCTGGAGTCAAGTTTGCTGTTACAAAATTTATCAGAAAGATTTCACTATTTGGCCATGTTTTAGTCAATGATAAATTTTAAGGTATGATTTTATCCAATGTCAGTTCTGTTTTTCTTGGTTATTAACATCTATAATGTTTATTATGATTTGCCTTATTTCTTACTTAATACATTAGAAAATTCGGAGCAGTTCTTCCCATGGATCTCAGATTTCCTCTGACGAGCAACGGGTGAAGCGTCTTAACCTCAGGGTTGAATGAAGTCTCTAGGCATGAGGGCAGAATCATGGGTCACAGCTCTGTTTTCAGCCTTAGACTTCCATAGGCCATCTTCCCCTGTTAGTTGTGTTAGTTTTCTTTTGTATGCTCCCTCCAATTCCTTAGAAGACTTTTGTTTTATTTTGTTTTAAATGCAAGATAGGGGATCAAAAGGCTCGCGAGTCATTACAACATATGGAAGAAAACCTTAAATTAAGAGCACTGAAAACCAAACAACCAATGTACACTCGGCATTCTGAGAAGACCTCTTCTCTCTCCGGAAATTTCCCTCCTTTTTTAAATTTTATTTTATTCTTTGGAGACTGAATCTGACTTTGTAGCCCAGGCTGGAGTGTAGTGGCGCAATCTTGGCTCACTGCAGCCTCTGCCTCCCGGGTGCAAGTGATTCTCCCGCCTCCGCCTCTGGAGTAGCTGGGATTACAGGCGTGCACCACCACGCCCGGCGAATTTTTGTATTTTTAGCAGAGATGGGGGTTTCCCTATGTTGGCCAGGCTGGTCTTGAACTCCTAACTTCAAGTGATCCTCCTGCCTCGGCCTCCCAAAGTGCTGGGATTACAGGTGTGAGCCACCACGCCCAGCCAGAAACTTCCCTTCTCCCTCCCCTTTCCCCAGAGTTTGCTCAGGGCCCTGGAGCACCAGCCCCACTCACACTTAGCAACACTCATATTTAGTGCTCTTCTCATCCTTTTAAATATACCTGCTTGATTCTAAATTAAATATGCGAAAAATTGGGGTTGCAGATCAATTAACTTGTATATGTCTTTAAAAAATTGTGAAGAATACATGGCTCTCCTCAGAATAGCCCCTCCCAGATCTCTCCATTGGCAGGTTGTCCCGTGCAGACAATATGAAGATGAAGATGACGATTATGATGATGGGCGCCTAATAGCATTTCCTGCTCCCAAGCAGCTTTCGGAAGCTTGCTTTGAGTTCTTGACCTTTACGAAAAAGCAAACAGTTGTATGCTTAGGACAGGTTTTTCAGTGTGTTTAAGGCTTGTGATGACATGTTATTAGAGTATGCTTTTTTCAGGTGGCCAGGACCAGAGATAGTGAATGGGGCTTACTGTCTGAGCGCCTGAGGAAATCCAAGGGCAGCCAGCCTCCCAGAAGGCGTCCAGCCTGGCGCTGGAGCAGACGAGAGGTCCTGTGTTGTTGCTAAAACTCCCCAGCAGGACGGGAGACGCCGCGGCCCTCGTTCAGTCCTCTAGTCGGGGCGGCACCTTCTGCTCAGCTTTGGAGACGCTACTCAGTTCTTTCTGTTCTGCCCCCACCTGTCTATGATGCTCAAGTGCGCGAAGCTTCTCTCTGCTCTATTTATCTTAAATGAACTCAGCTCTTGGTGCAGCATCCATCCCAGCCGTGCATTAGGAACTTCCTTCTCTCTCTCGCGTTGCTCAGGAAGCTTGGGGATGGGTCTTTGTCGTTCAAAGCCCCTTGGGGAGTTGTGTCTGGTTTTCAGCTGCTCATGCCAGGGCCTCATGCTCTATCCCAAAGCTGGGCCTCTGCCGCTGGCCATTCTGCCTCCTGGTGAGTGACTAAGCCAACAGGAGTGCCACTGGCAAGCCCAAAGCAGTGACACTTAGCATTTTGCTCTGTCCCATGCATGCACCAGCGATTCTGGAGCCCTGGTTCCTTGGGGGGCTGTTGGGACTGACTGGCAGGTCTCTGCTGCAGGAGGGACCCACCCCACCTCCAGGCCCCAGCATCACAGGCCTAGCCTTTCCTTAGCCCTGCACCTCAGCTCCCAAAATGCCATACCATCAAGCCTGTTTAGCTCTTGTGCCCAGAACCCAGGCTTCAAAACCTCATGTGTCCCCATACTCCCATGGGGTAAGGAAGACCGCAGCATCCAAGTCGGCAGTGCTGTTGTCCTGAACTGGTCTGTAGGAAGATAAGGCGGCTATATTTCAGTTGGCTTAGGAGTAGGTTGTGCCAGCACCCCTTAATGCGTTGTGTATGTAACGGCTTTCTTTCAAGCTCCCTAAAATACTGAACTGGCTGTCCAGCCCCCATCACATAGATGTACCCTGGCAGGCTTCCACCCCTGGTACCCTCTTGAGCCCAGTGCATAGAGTCAGATGGGAAACGACCCTCTGGTCACTGCAGCCCAGGAGACAGAACTTGGAACTTCTCGAAAGGGGGCTCTGGACATGGCACAAGATAAAGAACCTGGACAGGTCCTAGGTTTATCGAATTATCAAGTTCTTTTCAAATAATTGACTTGGAGGTGTTTGTTCTGTTTTCTTTCTGAATTTAACAGTGAATGACACACCCAAGCTGGACCAAGGGTTGGGCAGTTTCAAATGCAGGA
This sequence comes from Homo sapiens, assembly GCF_000001405.40. NCBI lineage: Eukaryota > Metazoa > Chordata > Mammalia > Primates > Hominidae > Homo > Homo sapiens. The sequence goes on along the minus strand of NC_000005.10, from coordinate 2,417,512 downwards.
GCCGGCCATGCCAGCCCTCCCAGCCTGCCTGAGGAGCACAGCCAGCAAAGTGCTGGGGCGAGGGGCAGTTAGGGGCAGGGAGGCGGATGGGCTGTTGCCAAGTGATGCTCACCAACACCGGGGTGTCTTTCTAGCAGATAATTCTGGAGGGCAGGGCTCAGTAATTGAGGCCCAGGAGCTCGCACAGAAAGCGGCTGCCTTTATGCCTACGCTGGTTCTCCTGAGCTCTGCTGTCTCACCACGACCACCACAGCATGGTGGTCTTTGAGAATGTTGAAACATCTAGACTAATACTGAAACGGGAGGAGTTCCCTTATCCCCTTGCAGGGCAGGCAACAGGGGTGTGGCTTGCTTCTACCTTGCCCCACTGCTCAAACCCCTAGGGGGAGGGTGCACATGGGCAGGTGTGGGGAGTGTTTTTGGGCTTCGACCCCCACAGCAGAGTCTAGGGTTGAGTGTTTACAGCTTCCAAAGCCCCAGTGGGTGTGTGTTACAGTCTGCTCTTTCAGCTCTACCATCTGCAGGCGACTTGTGTCAATCAGCTCAGTTAGACCCTTTGCCTTATGGCAGGGACAGAGAGCTTTCTGTATCCCAGGTTCTTGCCTTAATGTACCAGAAAAATTGGATCACATGTGAGAGCTTGGAGGATGGGTGCAACATTTTATTGAGTGGTGGAGGTAGCTCTCAGCGAGGTGGATAGGGAACCAGAAGGGGGATGGAGTGGGAAGGTGGTCTTCCCCTGGAGTCAAGTTGCCCAGTGGCCAAACTCTCCTCTAACTTCCCCCCAACAGAATTCCATATTGTCCTGGTGGCGGTGGCCTGCCGGTGTCTGCCAGTGTGTGCCAGTGTCTGTTCTTCTGCTCCTCCCGACGTCCAGACGCTTGTGTCTGTGCCTTCAAGGGTCTCAGGTTTCTATGGGCACAGGATGCAGGGCATGGCAGGCCAGTGTAGTTTTGGAAAATGCAACATTTGGGCAGGAAAACAGGAGTGCCTGTTCTCACTTAGGTCCATGGGCACAGGCCTGAGGGTGGAGCTTTCTCTCCAGGGACTCTGCCCTTCTCTACCCAGCACTTCCCGGCCCCTCCCGGGAAGCTCTTTCTCTTGTCTGCCTGCAGACATCTACCTCCTCCACATTTGATGAAAATGATGAAGATACATTAATGAGAGGCAGGGAGTGATCTCCACACTCATTTCACAGAGCAGACATTCAGAGAGGCCTCAGAGACATCGATTCCACTCTCCCCAAATTCACACTCCCCGTAACACTGAGAACTGAGGAAACTGAGGTGCAGGGAAAGGTAATGATCCCATCGTTCTTTGTTTGACAGTTGTGGGAGAGGATCAATAAAGTCCTGTTTATAAAGGAGCTGAGTTCCTTAGAGGATGGTGGTTATAAATATCAGGGTGTGTGTAATCAGCTCAGTGTGGAGAGGGGGCCTTGTATTTACCCAGGAGAGCGGGAGGAGGCTCAACCTCTTGCAGCCCTGAAATATCCTTTCTCCGCACACACGCAACACTTTCCAATCATCACGAACTGCCCCCGCCGACGGGGCCTGGCACGAGTAATGAGAAGGCGGTGTCTGAGTGACAGCAGGATGCCCGGGAAAGGGGAGCCCCGCATGGGGCCTGGCAGGGCGCCCCCGCGCGGTGATTCAGGGAGAGCTTCGCGGAGGGAAGTGGCAGCAGGTGCCTCAGCCAGACTCCCTGCAGCCAGCCCTGAGCTACTCCGTGGCGCCCCGAGACTCCCCGCTTTGCCAGCGAGAGCCCAGCATTAGAGACACGGTCCATGCAGCAGGGACCTGGTGATGGACTGCTCACCACCTGCTCAGTGAAAACCCAAAAGAGGTTTAGCGTAAAGAATTAAATTGCAGAAAATGCACAGTCATTTCAATTCTCAAGTTGAGGAGCAACAAGAAGACAGGCTGCATCGACAAAAGACGCAGATGTTTCCCAAGGTTTAGGTTTTATCCCATTCCCAGTGGCACACGCGTGGTGTTCTGTAGCTTATGAATGGGAGTGTGTGGAGACCCTCAAATACAGCCACGAGCTCGGCTCTCATCACACAGGTTTCTGGGTGGCACCCCCATCATGCGTGGTCAAATCAAGATGAACGGGACAGCCCAGCTCACCTGCACACACCTGGAAATCATGCTTACAAGCTGTCACATGGGGAAGAAAGTGCTGGTTGACAGTCTCCCTGTGTAATCCTTAGAAATGGTAAACTCTTCTTCAAGAACCCTGGCACCATTCTAAATATTCATATGGGGATCATTTAAAAATTACTTTTAAACAACTTTAGATTTGCTAAATGATAGCCGTGAACAAACACTATTCATTATTTGGAAAATATATTTTTCCCGTAAGTCCCCTGTAAAACATATTTTCTATCAGAACAGTTTCAAATCCTATACTCCTGGAGTCACCTGTTTTAAGCTACGTTTTTATTCTGTTGCATCAAAATAAAGTAACCAAATCCAAAGTTAAATCTCCGATCATTGCCCACAACAGCCCCAGCAATTCCCATAGAAAGTTGTCTGCCCTTTTTTCTATAAAGTAGGGAGTGATATTCTCCAAGTGCCTACGCAACTTTCTATGGAAATCCAGAGCTGAAGATGGGATTCAGCTTGTCAACGCCATAAAAGGAAACAGGAAAAGGCCATTTAAAATACCATGTACTGGGCTAAAGAAAATACAAATATTTTCCCATTATTAGAAGAGGATTAAGAAAACTCTAGAAAATAATGACAGTATCATTTCAACATATATTTAACATGCTCTAAAATGTATTTTTAAAAATGAATGCCTCCTCCTAAAAAACAAACAATAACAATAACACCAAAACAAAACAAAACAAATGAAAACAACAAGAATAAGCAAGAAGCGGCAGTGGAAAGGAACAGACAACTCCACATGAGCCAGGAAGACTGAGCTATGCTGCGGATCTACATTGGAGCATGTAACATGGAAGCCCCCAGACTGCGTCCGCAAACATGGATTTGCCTCTCCTAGGTATTTCCTGCACTTCCCTCTTTCTGCCTGGCTCATTTCACTCAGCATCGTGTCCTCAGGGTCCATCTGTGTTGTAGCATGAGGCAGAATTTCCTAACTTTGTAAGGCTGAATCGTATTCCCTCCTGTGGATGGACCCCAGTATGTAACCACTCATTCGTCCCTGGGCCGATGTGACTTTTAACAGGCACTCTAGGCCAGCAGCTGTGGCTCATGCCTGTAATCCCAGCACTTTTGGAGGCTGAGGTGGGCGGATCATGAGGTAAGGAGATCAAGACCATCCTGGCCAACATGGTGAAACTCGATCTCTACAAAAAAAAAAAAAAAAAAGTTAGCCAGTTGTGGTGGCACATGCCTGTAGTTCCAGCTACTTGGGAGGCTGAGGCAGGGGAATTACTTGAACCTGAGAGGCTGAGGTTACAGTGAGTGGAGATCACGCCACTGCACTCCAGCCTGTCGACAGAGCAAGACTCCATCTCAAAAAAAGAAAAAAGAGAAAAAATAACAGGAACTCTATGACCGATTGTAACCAGCAGCCTTACTTGGCCTCAGGTCACTCTTCAAGGATGTTTCCCACCTCCCAGTTACTCTTCTATCCCCGAAGCGTGCCCCCAGCACTGCCTCACTGCGGCTTCAGTGAGCCACCAACGCCCCTTGATGTCAGCATCTTTGTGCAATTCAGGTGGATTTTTCCTGGCCTCTTGCACCCCCTGGCACTGTCAGTGCCCCTGATTTCTTCCCCAGCTGGCACCCAATCCTGCTCCAGATTAATCCCCACATCAAGTGCCCTGTGCTCATTCTGTCTCTGCAGCACTGGGTCACACCCTGTTCTGTAGCCTGGTCTCTGATCTTTATGACTGAGCAAACCCACCTCTCCCTAGCCCACAGTGGTCACCTGTGGGGGAATCAATCTACTGGGCTTTGTAGACACCCAGGTCTTCTTGAACAGAACCCCTGCCCTGCCCATATCTACTCTGGGCAGTGGAGGCTGTCCCTCCAAGCAGGCGTTCAGATGAGCAACAGTTCAGCAGCTGGAGATGCTGTCAAGGGCAAACCATGGACGTGGCTCCAGGGAGGGTGAGGGGCCAGAGCTTTCCAAAGTTCTGCGGCACAGGTGTTCCGAGCATCTGGTCCTGGGGCATCAGCATTGTCTCCATGGGGTGCTGAGGACCCTGCTCCTGGCTCCATGAAAGCCAACCCATTCTCTGACCATCTCTGGCACTCTGTCAATGGACTAGACTAATAGTGTGATTTACTTCTGTCTTAAGCTAGCTGGGGTGTTTCCTGCTGAAGCTGCCACAATGAATGCAGATAGGCATGAGGAGAGAGCACAGGCAGCAGACCTTGGCAGGAATGGGAGCTTTGGGCAGGCTCTCGGGCCTGGGCAGGCAGGGGACTGTTGAGGACCCAAAGGTGGGCACCAGAAGGCCGTGGTCCACAGAAGCTGAACAGCCTCCTAGATTTTACCCTCCGGCCACCTGAAATGACTTGCCCATCAAAGACAAGGCGTTGGCATCAGGTAGAATAAAGGACACAGAGATTTAGGGCTGTAGGGCTGCACGACTTGAAGAGAAGGGCGTCCTCAAAATGCCCTCTATCTGGCTTGGGTGGGGTTAGGGAACGTAGGACCATCCAGACTGGGCCTGGGTGTCCCAGCCCTCTCTCAGCCTCATGCTGAGGGAGCTCAGCATAGCTTTGCAGGCGCTGAACAGCACTGGCAGTGGCACTAGAAGTCTGCCAGGACTCTTCTGTGAGCATCAGAACCCTGGTCAAAAGAGAGTGGGAGCCCAGAGGGAAAGGTAATAAGCAGGAATATTTGGGTACTCAGAGAGCCCTCAAGCCCCCAGCCCCAGGGACCCCTTCTGCAGGGGAGGCAGCCTCCCCCCTGCTTCTGGTCCAGCCATTCCTGCCTTGCTTCCTGGCCCTGTTAGGATTTGTGTGAGACGTTTGCTTTTGTAGGGATGCCAGCTCTATACGTGTTCTTTGTGGCCAAACATGCAAACTGAACCAAACCTCAGTGTGCCTTGGGACAGTAATTTGCAAGATCTTCACAATTTATCTCAGCGAAACCTTGGAGAGTCAATGTTGAAATGAGTTAGGAAAACAAGCAAAAATAAAATAATCTTAGATTGGGTTGAATTTATTAACGCATTTGTGCATCTACCAAAAAATTCTAGGTGCAGTTACTAAGTTTCGACACTAGGTACGATGTTGTCTCTTGCGTAGTTGATTGAACAGAAACTTGCCAGTGGCCTATCTTGAAGCAAATTTGAAAAACAATTCTTGGAATATTACAGGGGTAGAAACCCAGATCTCAGCAGATGAGGGCGACAGATGAGATTTGTTACCACGGCTGCTCCTCACTTCTGACTGTGCTCCCGGTACGTCCTTTCCGGGGATGAGGTGGCCGCCATCATGGCTGAGGCTCCAGAAACTCTGAGACGGACTCCTACTAATTGCCTCTCAGCTTGGAGATGAAGTGAGGAGGCGCCCTGGGAAGGGCCCCTGGTTTCCATGAGAATGGCCGAATCCGGCCAGAGCGAGGCCCTGTGGCAGCAGCTATCTGCAGGCAGTTGGGCAGGTTGATAACCAGATCTCCTCCCATACCATCCGCGAGGGGCCACTGGATCCTGGTCTCCTCGGGAGTGAAAGAGAGGCCTGCTCTCCGGTCCAGCATCCTGCACCCAGGGCTGCCAGAAGATACTCTGAGAAGGAGTCCAGTCAAAAAATGGAAGAGCTCTTCTCAGTCACCCAGTTTCTGCTTCTGCACCCACTTTGGTGATTGGTCTCTATTCACCTCCCAGAGATTCTCAAATTCCGTTCCTTGTGCCAGGGCCAGGGCCAGACAGAGCTTCACCAGTGAGGAAAATGAGGAAGATGAGGTGTGCGTTGCACGGAGGAAAAGGCACTTATTACAAGTGAATGTCTTTTAGTCTTGGGTTCCGTCTCCATGCTACATTTTTGTTATGGAGTCCCTTATCTACTTATGAATAAATGGTGGTTTATTTTATCATCACAGGGCAAGAAAATAATGGCAAATCTATTTTGAACTTCAAAAAGTTTTCGAAATTCTATTTGTCAAGGAAATTTGAAAGATAGAAACCATTAATTTGGAAAAAAAAAAAAAAGGAAAATATGATTGTCACTAGTCTAGCAAAGAATAAAAAGAAAATCAAGCTTCCCCAGGTTGCTGAAAACAATATCCCTGAAGCTGCACATTTCCAAGTTCCGGGCTCCCCATGCTGTCGTGAAGCTGTGTTTGACCGGATTTGCCTCTCTCATCCCTAATGACCTAGAGCCACACTTTGCCTTGTGGGAGCTACCCTGGCTCACAGAAGCAGTGCGCATGAGTCTGGATCTCTGCATTGTGGGTCACAGTCACCCGGGGCGTTGGAAAGGACTACAAGCCGGATCCCCAGCTTCCATTCTCTGGAGCCAGCATCACCCCCAGGCTTGAGGCCCCTTTGCCTTATTTCATAGTTGACTATCTTTAAAATGGATAGAGTTAACACTGTGAAGTAAGTAGGAAATTCACAATAAAAGAAAAGGGAGGGAGAGTCCTGCAAAGCCAGAAAAATAAAAATACTTCTAACCAGGATGACACTGGGAATTTTATTCAACAGGTGCCTTTTGCAGAGATGTAAAAGCAGCTTCCCAGTTGCTTGTGATTCTTCTGAGAGTTGGTTGCATTTCCATTCACAAATGCGCCATCAGCCTGCAGGAAAGGGCCCTTGGCATTTAGGGTAGGAGGGCACACTTAGCTTCTGAGGAGGGGAAAGGTGCTCCCATCCCTGCCCTTCTGTGGCTGAGCTGGGCTCCTCCACGGGCAGGACCCAAGGCTGGGTGGACAGAGCTCAGTGAGCACCACTGGGGCTGAGGATCTGCACAACCTTGGGGTCGGAGGACTTGCCACCCATAGACTGTCAGCCTCTGGAACCTCTGCAGGGGGCCGTGTCTCCAGGGCACACGTGTGCTCAGCGCATTCCCTGCCTGCACTCCTGCTCCCCAAGAAATCTGATGCCCAGGCCATGGGGCAGCTGGCAGCTGCAGCCCTGGAGTAACGACATCACCATGTCTGTTTTTCCTGGTCTGCTGACCACCTTGAACCAACCGCCACCAAGCACCAGGGCCAGGATCGGCCCAGAGACAGAAGGGGTCACAGACACGGGGCTGTGTGGACAGGATGCTGAACACCGTCCACCAACAGAACAGCTCAGACAAGGCCTCTGAGTCAGTCAAATCTTCTCTACAATGTGGTCCACAGACAATGCATGGGCTCTGTGTGTCTACAATGAGCAGCTTTTGTGAATTTTGCTCTTACAAATAACATGAATAACTAGAGCCCGTCTTCTACTGCTTTCATTTTCTGCCGAGATTTTAAAGGATTCACCTTAAAATTTGAAAAAAAAAATTTTGTTATCAGAAATAACTCATACTCTATTGACCTAGGATGTCTGAGGCTGCTTTTGGGCTGCCATTCAGGGGCTCTTGTAGATTGAGCAGTTCCCAGACACACATGGCTCACTCTTCTCACTTCCCTGGGAAGATGGGAAAAGAGCCTGGGAAATTCTCACCCTCTATGTCCTTTAGGGTCCTATGAACAGTCTGTCCTCGTTCAGTCATTGTCAGTATGTAAAGTAACTTTGGTAACTGGAAAGTTTGCAATGGGGTCAAGTCACCACAGTAAATATCTACACTACCCCCCAACATGGCACCAAACACTGACTCCTACCACGTTTGTATCGATACCACTCCATTGGATAAAGCCGTGAATTTGCAGTTTTCCTTCCTAGGAAATGAGAATGAGATCTGTTCTGCAGGGTTATAGTGAAGCTCAGGGTAATTTAACAAACCTAAAAATCAGACTCCTACTAGATTATTTAGAACTCAGGAATACGTGCCACACAACATAGTTTGTTTTGCACAAATATCAGCCAAAATCCACATGTTGGAGGCTACAAACCTGGGGTCCTTGTTCTTTCCTTCAGCAAAAGCCTAAGGAGGACATCTGGTCTCTACATGCAAAATCAGAGACTGACAGGACTCATGCAAGATCAGAGACTGACAGGACTCGTGCAAGACCAGAGACTGACAGGACTCATGCAAGATCAGAGACTGACAGGACTCAGCCATCTTCATACATGATTGAAAAGACATTTTAAGTGAGGTTCAAGGGCTGTTTAGGGCTTCACCTGACATCTTACAAAAAACATTTATTCCTTGGGATTCACCTACAGCTTTTAAGGTCCTGATTGACCCCAGGGCAGAAACACCTGGCCCAAGTGACCTTCTTGGACACACCAAGGTTTGGCCAGGGTGACCTATAGGAAGGCTGGACTCTGGGCCAGGCTGCAGAGAGCAAAGGGAACCAAGGAGAGGCCAGACAGTCTCAGACTCTTGAAATCCAGCCACCTCCTCTCCACAGCTAGGAAATGATTCTCAGGCTCCTAGGCTCTTTGCAGAATACTAAACACCACCAAACACTGCATGTTAGTGAGTGGACAGACAGGCTCAAGAATTTGTGCTTTGTAAAACCAGTCTTGCTTGGCAATAGAGTATTAAAAGCACTAGGAGGTTTTAATTAGATTTCTGGATTTCAAACCCTAGCATGCAATATAGGCTTTATGAACAGAGAGATGAGTAATCATTTCAACATGAAGTCTGGGGTGGAAAGAATGGATTCAATCACTTCCTTAATCAGACATCTTCAGGGTTCAAACCACACTCAGGGTGGCTAGGAGATTTTATCCCACATTCCCTGTACGAGAGACTGAAATGGTGAGCAGGAAATTGAACTGTTCTTATACAGGAAATAACAGCACTCTGTCAAAATCTACAGAAGAAACATGTGTTCAAATTTTCTGTCAATGCCCAACATATCAAATCAGGGAGCAAGAGGGGGGTAAAATTACAGGAGTCATGGTCCTATCAGCTCAGGGCAGCATCCTGCAGCATGGGGTCAGCAGTTGAGTGTCCTGGATTTGCAGAAATGGGCTGGATGAATGCAGAGGTTTCTCCCATAAACATGTATACAACCTATAAAACTTGCACATACATTATGTGCATGTATATGTAATACATAGTACAATATATAACATGCAATGCATAATAGAATGCATTGACTATAATGCCATATATTTGTATGTAATTTCTGCAATTTTAAGCCAGTTCTTGTTGCTTCCCTTTATCTGGAGCTCTTCCTTTATTTGGGTTGTAAATCATGAATAACTATTGGCTATGGCTATTGTTTTGCACAAGCTGAGAAATATTCCACTGTATTGCACTGTTTTTAGTATCTCGCACTCATCAGTTGATGGACGCTTAGGTAGTTTCCATGTCTCGGCTATTGTGAAAAATGCTGCAATGAACATGTGGTCATGGATAGCTTTCATTTCCCTTGGGTATATACCCAGAAGAGGGATTTCTGTGTCAGGTGGTAGTCCTATTTTGTAATTTATTCAGGAATCTTCATACTATTTTTGTTAATAGTGGCTACACCAATCTACATTCCCACATACAGTATATAAGTGGTCCTGTTTCTCCACGCCCTCACCAACACCTTTTATCCCATCTTTTCTGTAACAACCATTCTAACTGGACTGAGGGGGTATCTCATCGTGGTTATGATTTGCATCTCCCTGATGATTAGTGATGTTGAGCAACTTTTCATGTACCTGTTGGCCATTTTTATGTCTTCTTTGGAGAAATATCTATTCAGGCCCTTTGCCTAGCATGATGTAGGAAAATGATCCCTTTAATCTCAGTCTATCTGAGTCATTTTGTTTAAGTCGGTTTATTACCGTCAACTCTTAGTTGGGTCTTGTTTTCTTATTTACTCTGACAATCTCTTTCTTTCATTGTATTTATACCATAGAAATTTAAAATAATTATTGATTCATTTGTATTCGTATCAGCCATATTTGTAACTTTTCTGGATTTGCATTTGTCATTTGTTTCTGCCCCACACCCCCTTTTCTGCCTTCTCTGGCAGAAGTACTGTAAGATTATATTCTATTTCCTCTCTTAGCATTCAGTTCTCTTAAAAATATTTACTGTGCTGGGTATGGTGGCTCACGCCTATAATCCTAGCACTTTGGGAGGCCGAGGAGGGTGTATCACTTGAGGTCAGGAGTTCAAGACCAGCCTGGCCAACATGGTGAAACCCCATCACTATAAATAAACAAATAAATAAATAAATATTAGCTGGGTGTGGTGACCTGCACCTGTAATCCCAGCTACTCGGGCGGCTGAGGCATGAGAACTGCTTGAACCTGGGAAGTGAGGTTGCATTGAGCCGAGATCACACCACTGTACTCCAGCTTGGGCAATAGAGTGAAATTGTGTCTCAAAAAAAAAAAAATGACTAGCTGTCCCAGACTTTTCTCAAGGGCATGTTAACTAATGTAAGTCTACTTTGGAACACCACTATGCCTTCTTTTTATTTTTTATTTTTTGAGAGATTTGTAGTTTGATTTAGTCTCACTCAGACTAATTCTGCTTTTGCTGCCTTTGCTTTTGGTGTCATATCCATGGGATCAATCCCAACAAAGGAAACAATCAGCAGAGTGAAAAGGCAACCTACACAATGGGAGAACATATCTGCAAACCATGCACTGAGCAAGGGAATAATTTTCTAAATAATGGCCAGATGTGGGGGCTTACACCCATCTCAACACTTTGGTAGGCTGAGGAAGGTGGATTGCTTGAGGTCAGGAGTTCAAGACCAGACTGGCCAACATGGTGAAACTCTGTCTGTGCTAAAAATACAAAAATTAGCCAGGCACAGTGGTGCACATCTGTAATCCCAGCTACTTGGGAGGCTGAGGCAGGAGAATCACTTGAGCCTGGGAGGCAGAGGTTGCAGTGAGCCGAGATCATGCCTCTTCACTCCAGCCTGGGCAACAGAGGGAGAATCTGTCTCAAAAAAAAAAAAAAAAAAGTCAAAAGATATGAGGAACCCCTGCAACTCAATAGCAAAATAAGTAAGAACCCATTTAAAAAATGGACTGCAGACCTGAATAGACATTTCTCCAAAGAAGATATACAAAAAGCCAGCAGGTACAGGAGGTCCTCACTTAGTGTCATCAATAGATTCTTAGAAAATGCAACTTTAAAAAACAATGCCTAATGAAGCCAATCTTACCACAGGCTAATTGATGTAAAGCAGGGTTAAGTTCCTACAGCATATTTCCTGTCACTAAAACCATCATCAAACTGCTAAAGACCAAAACACTTATAATATTAAGCATTGAAATAAACGTGAGCTGTACATACATTTGAGAAATATTAATAAAAACAGGATAATGATTTACCCAATTATTTCAGTTCAGGGTTGCAGGGAGACAGAGTATATCCCAACAGCTCAGGGCACAAGGCAAAAACGAACCCAGAACCATGAGGGAATCTTTCTCATGTTTTTCTTGTGAGAACCTAATGTGGTTTGGGTCCGTGTCCCCACCCAAATCCCACATTGAATTGTGATTCCCAGTATTGGAGGAGGGACCTGGTGGGAGGTGGCTGGGTCATGGGGGTGGATATCTCCCTTGCTGTTCTCACAATAGTGAGCAAGTTCTCACCCCCTCTCTCTCTTCCTCCTGCCTGACCGTGTAAAATGTGCCTGCTTCCCCTTCGTCTTCCACCATGATTTTAAGTTTCCTGAGGCACCCCCAGCCATGCTCCCTGTACAGCTTGCAGAACTGTGAGCCAATTAAACCTCTTTTCTTTATAGATCACCCAGTTTTAGGTATTTCTTTATAGCAGTGCAAAAATGGAATAATAAAGAACCTAATGAGGTTGCTGGAGGTAAAAATCATTAAAATGTGGGGTCTCCTCAAGACTGCAGTCCTCCAGGAGCTTCTCACTCTCAGCTTCCATAAATTCACCATAATTTGTATTTACAAGTTTCTACAGTTGATGGATCCTGGGGCCCCTGCTCCAGGTAAGCCCATCTCAGCTGGACTTCCTGTATGTGCTGTCTCTTTACAAATGTACTTTACTGATGAGTCTAAAGAAAGTCACTGATTTTCAGTTTGTTCAGATTTTCTTGCTGTAGGGATGGGAGTGAAAGCTTACATACTCTTAATGTGTTGGTGCAGAGGCCGGAAGTTCACATGTATCTATGTTCATCTTCCTAAGTCACTGAAATAAAGGGAAGCACAAATCAGTAATGAAAATACAGACAGTCCCCAATTTATGAAGGTTGGATTTAGAATTTTTCAACTTGACAATTGTGCAAAAGCAATACACATTCATTAGAAACCGTACTTCAAACACTCATGCAACCATTTTCTTTTTCACTTTTAGCCCGGTATTCAATGAATTAAATGAGATATTCAACACTATTACAAAGTCGGCTTTGTGTTAGATGATTGCCCAACTGTAGTGTTCTTAGCATGGTTAGGTAGGCTAGACTATGCTAGGCTATGATGTTCAGTAGGTTGGGCTTATTAAATGCATTTCTACTTGGGATATTTTCAACTTACGAATGAGTTTATCGAGAGGTAGCCTCATGGTAAGTCAAGGAGCATCTGTGTACACAAACTTGTAATTAGCATGATATATACACACACACCCCACATTAAGCTGCCCAAATAGCTCAAGTACCTCCACTATCTGTCCACACTCACCTGTTTCCTTGGCCTATACCAGTTCTCATCAGATCATCATATAGGGCCCTCAAATGACACCCCCAAAGTCCAGAAGCCACTAGCACTCTCTCCTCTGCACAGAAAGGCAACTCTAAACTTTTCTAGGGTTGAGCTGTGGAGGTCTGGCTTGGCCTTTAAGATTTATCTAAAGTTATTTTCTCTGTGAAAGCTAACACTTAAATAGATTGAAATTCATTTATTTGTGCATTCTGTTAACAAGCCATCTCAAAGGCCTCACAATGGCTCAGGACTGAATTCATTTTTGGGAAGCCCCTGGTCCTAGCTCCACATTCCACAGATGTGGAAGTCTTGATACCTGGGATGGCATTGAATGTATTAGTCCTTGTTTTCTTTCTTTCTTTCTTTTTTTTAAGTCTCACTCTGTCACCAGGCTAGAGTGCAGTGGCGCAATCTCGACTCACTGCAACCTCCACCTCCCAGGCTCAAGCGATTCTCCAGCCTTAGCCTCCGGAGTAGCTGGGACTACAGACGTGTGCCACCATGCCCAGCTAATTTTTGTATTTTTAGTAGAGATGGGGTTTCACGATGTTGGCCAGGCTGGTCTCGATCTCTTGACCTCATGATATGCCCGCCTCAGCCTCCCAAAGTGCTGGAATTACAGATGTGAGCCACTGCACCTGGCCGTCCTTGTGTTTTAATGATGTTTCCATCCATTTGGCCACTCCTGGAAGCTAGGACCTACATTGTTACTTGTCCTTGTGTCCCTCAAGCACCTCTGTGAGCCCCCTCAGGGTTGCCCGATTGGTTCAGTAAACACTTTATTCTGGGAGGTTCAATTCCACCACTGACAAATGCTTTGATAGCTGAACAAGAAGCCCAAATGGGAGATGTGGGCATGGGGAAACTGGGTTGACTTGGGCTGCAATGGGCCTCAAGCTGAATGCACATGCATTCAAAACCTATTTTGATATTTAGTGTATTTTTAATAATTTAGAGCCTTATTAGTGTTTCTAGTCCAAAATGCAGAAAGCAAGTGCAACAATTTCTTGTAATTTTTGGTCAAAATTTGGTTGGATTAAGGATCAGATACTATTTTTGTACAACTGAAATACTTTCTGAAAGGTTAGCTGAAATGTTCCCCCACCCCAACTAAAAACTAGATATCTTAGGAAACATCAAAGGTAGGTGAACGTGTTGTGCTATTACTTCAAAACTGTAAGAAGTGGGATTGTTAAAGAAATGAAGAGAGAAGTAATAGAAGTTGCTGTTGCCATGGCTGTGGTGGCATCAGAGACTACACAGGAATACTCCAAGAAGGTCTAGAGAAGGGTGAGGTGCTATGTGGGGAAAGGAGAGGGAAGGAGAAGCACCAGGCCCTCCTCAGCCCCAGCCTATGCCCTGGCTGCCCCCTACAGCCCAGGGGCAGTGGCCTGGGCTTTGTGCCCTCATTTCTGTTTCATGGAAGGAATGTCTCAATGAAGCCCAAACTTTTGTTTCTAATAGTTGTTTGTTTGTAATAGTATTTCTTCATATTAAACTTGTTTAAAAAAATCACTGGGACACACTCGGGACTTATGAAGGCTCTGGGAAGATGCACAGATGTTCTTTCTTCTCAGGGCTTGCAGGGATGAAGTGTGTTCCCCTGTGGATTTAAAAGGTGACCCACTGGCTTACTGTCTGCAGTATCAGTTAAGCACATAACTGTGATTATGTATTAGACTGTTTTCATGCTGCTGATAAAGACATATCCAAGACTGGGCAATTTACAAAAGGAAGAGGTTTAGTTGGACTTACTGTTCCATGTGACTGAGGAGGCTGCACAATCATGGTGGAAGGCAAAAGGCATGTCTCACGTGGTAGCAGACAAGAGAAGAAGAGAACTTGTGCAGGGAAATTCCCCTTTATAAAACCATCAGATCTCATGAGACTTATTCACTATCATGAGAATAGCATGGGAAAGACTGGCCCCCATGATTCAATTACCTCCTACCGGGTCCCTCCCACAACATGTGGGAATTGTGGGAGCTACACTGCAAGTTGAGATTTGGATGGGGACACAGACAAAGGTTATTGTTCCATCACTGGCCCCTCCCAAATCTCGTGTCCTCACATTTCAAAACCAATCACGACTTCCCAACAGTCCCTCAAAATCTTAACTCAGCATTAACTCAAAAGTCCACAGCCCAAAGTCTCATCTGAGAGAAGGCAAGTCTCTTCTGCCTATGAGTCTGTAAAATCAAAAAGCAAGTTAGTTACTTCCTAGATAAAATGGGGGTACAGGCATTGGGTAAATACAGCCATTCCAAATGGGAGAAATTGGCCAAAACAAAGGGTCCACAGGCCCTATGAAAGTCCAAAATCCAGCCAGGCAGTCAAGATGCCAAATGATCTCCTTTGACTCCATGTCTCACATGCAGGTCATGCTGCTGCAAGAGGTGGTTTCCCGTGGTCTTGGGAAGCTCCATCCCTGTGGCTTTGCAGGGTACAGCCTCCCTCCTGGCTACTTTCACAGGCTGGCATTGAGTTTCTGAGGTTTTTCCAGGCACACAGTGCAAGCTGTCAGTGGATCTGCCATTCTGGGGTCTGGAAGATGGTGACCCTCTTCTCAGAACTTCACTAGGCAGTGCCCCAGTGTTGACTCTGTGTGGGGGTGCTCACCCCACATTTCCCTTCTGCACTGCCTTAGCAGAGGTTCTCCCTGACTGCCCTGACTCTTCAGCAAACCTTTGCCTGGATATCCAGGCATTTCCATACATCCTCTGAAATCTAGGCAGAGATTTCCAAGCCTCAATTCTTGATTTCTGTGCACCCACAGGCTCAACACCATGTGGAAGATGCCAAGGCTTGGGGCTTGCACCCTCTGAAGCCACAGCATGAGCTGTACCTTGGCCCTTTTAGTCATAGCTGGAGTGGCTGGGATGCAGGGTGCTAAGTCCCTAGGCTGAACAGAGCATGGGGACCTTGGTCCTGGCCCATGAAACCATTTTTCCTCCCAGGCCTCTGGGCCTATGATGCGAGGGGCTGCTGCAAAGTCTCTGACATGCCCCGGAGACATTTTCTTCATTGTCTTGGTGATTAACCTTCAACTCCTCGTTACTTATGCAAATTTCTGCAGCCTGCTTGAATTTCTCATCAGAAAATGGAATTTTCTTTTCTATTGCATTGTCAGCCTGCAAATTTTCCAAACCTTTTGCTCTGTTTCCTTTTTAAAACTGAACGCCTTTAACAGCACCCAAGTCACCTCTTGAATGCTTTGCTGCTTAGAAATTTCTTCCACCAGATACCCTAAATCATCTCTCAAGGTCAAAGTTTCACAAATCTCTAGGGCAGGGGCAAAATGCCACCAATCTCTTTGCTAAAACATAATCAGAATCACTTTTGCTCCAGTTCCCAGCAAGTTTCCCTTTTTTTTTTTTTAGATGGGGTCTTGCTCTGTCACCCAGGCTGGAGTGCAGTGGTACAATCTCGGCTCACTGCAAGCTCTGCCTCCCGGGTTCACACCATTCTCCTGCCTCAGCCTCCCGAGTCGCTGGGACTACAGGTGCCTGCCACCACACCCGGCTAATTGTTTGTATTTTTAGTAGAGACGGGGTTTCACCATGTTAGCCAGGATGGTCTTGATCTTCTGACCTTGTGATCTGCCTGCCTCGGCCTCCCAAAGTGCTGGGATTCCCAGTAAGTTTCTTATCTCCATATGAGACCAGCCTCGATTTTACTGTCCATATCTTTATCAGCATTTTGGTCAAAGCCATTCAACAAGTCTCTAGGGGGTTCCAAACTCCCACATTTTCCTGTCTTGTTTTGAGCCCTCCAAATCGTTCCAACCTCTGCCTGTTACCCAGTTCCAAAGTTGCTTCCACATTTTTGGGTATCTTTTCAGCAGCACCCCACTCCCAATACCAATTTACCGTATTAGTCCATTTTCACACTGCCAGTAAAGACATACCCAAGACTGGGCAATTCACAAAAGAAAGATGTTTAATGGACTCACAGTTCCACATGGCTAGGGAGGCCTCATAGTCATAGCAGAAGGCAAAAGGCACGTCTCACATGGCAGCAGACAAGAGAAGAAGAGAACTTGTACAGGAAAACTCTACTTTATAAAACCATCAGGTCTCATGAGATTTATTCACTATCATGAGAATAGCACAGGAAAGACCAGCCCCCATGATTTGGCTACCTCCTACCGGGTCCCTCCCACGTGTGGGAATTGTGGGACCTACAATTCAAGATGAGATTTGGGTGGGGACACAGCCAAACCATATCAGATCATGAAACCTAAATGCTTGTTTGTTGGATGATCCACCCATTTCCTTCCTCAGCTGGTGTCACATCACTGGGGGCAGCCCTAGTTGTACAAGTTGTGAGTTGCCTCAGACTTGCAATAATTCTAATTCATGTAAGTGAAGAAAACATTGAATGCCTGTGTGCTCTGACCCTGCAATGTAAGTGCCTCACCTCTGTTAACCGGAGAGTAGCAGGGCTGCAGCAGGCAGCTGGTCTCTGGACAGCAGTCAGGGTCCTGGTCCTCTGGTTCACCCCTACCCAGCTGAGCAGCTGGACCCCATGTTTCTCCAAAAACGTTGTTGCTCCCAGGTTTGGTGGGGAGCAGGAACCTAGGCTGCAGCTCCTTCAGGCCCTTGTGTGTTTCACTGAACCCATAAACATAAACAATTCTTTCAGAGCCGTATCTGAGGATCAGAAACATGAGCCACCTCTTTTAAATGAACGTATCTTTCAGTAGCAAAAAGGAAAAGTTTTGAAAGAAAGGAGGAAATAATTGGCAGTCTTATCTCAAATTAGCATGGGGTAGCGTGTCATGGGCTGATTCTTACTAAAACGTGTCCCCAAGGCTAACATCACTCTCCAGCCACGTGCCATCTCACGAGAGCCAAGTCATGCTGACACTCTGCTTGCAGGCCTGCTTGTGGGTGGGGCGATGGCTGGAGCTGGCAGAAGAGCATGGCCCAGGCCTGAGGTTGACTCTGTGAGGTGGGGGGGACCTGGGCAGAGGCAGGGTTCCGCAGAAGCCCCAGTAGCCTGGGCCTGCTTCAGGCAAGAGCTCACTGGCACACATGTGTTTTTGAGTGTGGGTGCACCTCCATAAAAATGCTGGCTTTCTCTGGAAAGCATCTTATTTTCTTGGTAAATACTCATGTATTTGGGGACCAAAATATCTGATTTATAGACACTGTATATATAGATAAAAAGTGAAAAACTGTGTTTGTGGAGTGGGAGGGGAAGGGAGAAAGACAGAGCGAGGGGCAGGAGGTTTTCCAACAACACTTAAAAGAAGTCAAGGTGGGGACTCTGCAGAGGGGAGATGGATTTTGTTTACTCTCTACCTATTTCTTCTTTCTCTTTAATATTTTCCCTCCAGAAGGATGGGTTCCCCTGAGGATGTTATATTTAGAAAAGCAGTTGGAATGAGAGGGTTACCTTTCAAATCCTCCAGCTAGTTGATCAAATAGAGCCTCCTTGTTTCTAGCTCTGAGGCACAATTATGTGTAAGCAGGACCCCCTCTGAGAATTCAATTCAGTGAGAACCCAAAACTGGAGCTGGCATGGGAGCCCATTTGTGTCTTAGCTAACATAATTATTCCAACAGTAATCCTCTGCTAACACATCTGTCCTTTCTCTCTGTGCGCAGAATAGGAAATCATACACTGTGCGTGGAAGTTGTTTCAGCTGTGTGCATGTCTGTGTTTTGCTAGCAGAACGATTCCTTTGGATGGAAGTTTCCTTTATAGCACAGTGAAACCTTCAGCTTGTGGCGGAGCAGCCCTGATCACCCCTCTGACTCTGGCAGGGTGGAGAAGCATAACACTTTCCTTTCTCAAAGTGTGTTTAGATCCTGTCACTCCTCACCCTAACCCTATGTACTAAGCTTGGCAAATAGAAATCATTCCATATTACAGATTAAAACATAGTGAAATTCAGATCACCTGGATTATGGCCACATGGCCAATCCCACTGGCCTAGGTGGGGCTAGAATGCACTGCTCCCAGACATGCAGACCTAAGGCTTCACCCAGCATGGGTGGGAGCAGGCCATGACCGCCCTCGGAATTCAGGCTTGTCTCAGAAAACCAAGGTGGAAGCAAGCTCCCCACACCTCTTTACGTTCTCCTCATTCTCCTCCTCCTCCTTCTCCTCCTCTCTGGCTGAAGGGCTATTCTCCAATGGCTTCTGCACCCAGCTTAGAGCTGCCTTCCTGGGCATGACCATATATGTTGGGACCTGAGAAGTTACAACTTTGGTGCGTTCCTTAGGGGTTATGCACATCCCTTCAATGTAAGGACTAGCTTAGTGTCAAGCCTGTAAGCCAGCTCCAGGGCAGCTGCATTTCTGTGGTGGATACACACGTGTGGTGCGTTAGAATCTAGGCCTTGAGCTACACCACCTCCCTCATTTTTTGGCACCGTGGAGAGGCTGCGAAGCATCCCAATCTTGGGAGTTTTGTCAGATGTGAAACATCAGGCCCTTGGGTGTGAGATACTTCCTTATCTGTGTGAGCAGGACATACACCTGTCCTTCCCCTCACAGGAGGCTCCTGAGGCTGAACTAAAAGGACAGGCTCTGCCCCCACATTTGCTACCTGCTGGACCCTCAGAGCTACTAGGAGTGGAGAGAGCAAGGCCCTAGGAATGGGGACAGTTGTTTTTTATTTTTGTAAATAATTTGTGAAGACTGACATAACTCACGGCCATTTCATTAAGAGGCTGAGATGATTAAATGATTTAGTCTAAAACACAGAGAAAATCCCATTCAAGAGGAGCAAGATCTCTGAGTCTGGAACCGGTGCTTGAATCCGCTCCAGGTAGAGCAGGGGCTTTCCTGAGCGTGGTGGGAACTGGAGCGGTGGCCCAGCAGGGTCGAAGGCAGGGCCAGGCTGGGTCACCCCAACCCTCCCCCCGGCCTCCCCAACAGGCTCCACAAATGCTGCCCAGGTTGTGCCTCGTGGGTTCAGTGCCCTTGGATGGGCAAGCACAGGTCAACAGCAGAAGTGAACCCAGTTTGCCCTGACGGCAGGGGAAGGGGAAGGCCATGGCCTTGTGGCCCATAACAAGCGTGAGTTGGGTGTCCTCATGCACACACAATGCTGTGCAGATTTGGGGTAAGGCACTGTATTAGCCCGTTCTCATATTGCTGTAAAGAACTACCTGAGACTGGCTGGGCATGGTGGTTCACGCCTATAATCCCAGCACTCTGGGAGGACAAGGCGGGCAGATCACCTGAGGTCAGGAGTTCAAGACCAGCCTGGCCATGGTGAAACCCCATCTCTACTAAAAATACAAGCAGGCCCAAGGGACATCCTGGGTGGAAGAGACCCCTGAAGGCTCATGAGGGCGGCACAATGAAAAACTAGCTCCCTCGATTCTTACACAGAACTATTTCACCCCATTTGACATTTTAAAGGATAAACTAAAGTGTTGGGATATTTTGCAAGTATTCCTCCATATTTATTCTCCCCATTCCCCATTCATGGTTTCAGGAGGGACCAGTCAGATGGCACCCAAGTCTCATGAGACTCTGTGTCTTAATGCCTGTCTGAAGCTTCTGGAAGCCTGTGGCTGAGAGGAGAGAGGCTCTGTGTGGTCATCAAACTGGAGGGCCCTGCAGATAGGCAGAAGGGGCTCCTGGGTGGTCTGATGACACTGCCCTGGGTCCTAGGAATTCCCCTCATCATCGAGATACGGCCCTGGGAGAGGAGGCAGTGGGACAACTGAGACTGGATCCCCATTACCCCAGGGGCAGGAGAGGACACACAGGGAATGAGCTGGATCAATAGCAAAAGAAAGCTCCTGTATTTGATGGGCCCCGGAATTCAGACACTGACTTGCCTCTTGTTAGACAAACTGCAGAAAATAAGCACTGGGAAATGACCGGTGGGGTCCAGGACACTTCGATGTGAGCCAGACCTTGGCTGCCCAAGTGTGGTCCAAGGATTAGACCACTGACGTCACCTGGGGGTGGTAAGAAACAGAACCCCATCTTCCCCTAGACACTGAGCTGGAATCCACGGCTTCACCAGGTCCTGAGCTCCCCACACACCTCAAAGTGGGAGAAGCCAGATTTTCTTGAAGACCCCATTCTATCCACTTTGAACGAATGCCCCACCCACTCAGCTAGAAGGGCAGAGAGGTAGTCACCATGCCTGGCACGGGTCCAGGGGCCACCTAAATATCCAGTGAAGTGCAGATAATTCCAGAGGTGACCTCCTAGACTGATAGCCACCCACACAAACATGCAAAGGGGAGCAGGACTCCTAGAGCAAAATGTTGTGCAAAAGGAGGAGACCCAATCCACACTCTAAGATTTTGTTAAACACAGCATGTATACATGTGGGACATGGTTCTAAACAATATCAAAGGAACAATCGTAATGTTTCCATTGTCATTTGTTACAGTAATGGAATTAAAACACATGATTTTGGTTTCTTCCCTCTCTCCCTGAGCTTATGTTATAATAGTCTTATTTTAAAATGACATTATCAAAGTATTTATCAATATCACAGGCCATAAATATAAGTGAAAATATTGAATTGAAATGAAACAAAACACAATGAGTATCTCATACACTGGAGGAGAGGAGTTGCTAAGAAACTCTCATTAGAAGTAGAGGCGCTCCCTCACCCTGGCCAGCTGAAAATGCAGGTGTGATCATTTGTGCAGAGCCACAGTGCATGAGTCACCTCCTTTTCCCTTGTGATCTTGCTTTTGGGTTTGTCTTTGGTGGCAGGTAAACACTATGTTGGCATCTGACTACATTTGGGAGTACCAGGCCCACTTACCTGGACAAGGAGTTCTGAAGGCACGGTCTGTGTCCTGTGTTTCTGTGATATCCATAGCACCCGACATGACTTGAAAACAGAAGGCATTAATACATCTGTGAATTTGATTTCTTTGGGACATTTTGACAAAATAATAATGATAGTCACATGTGCTACATGTTAACTCTGCACTTCTGTATGAGGCAGAAATAACACACACTTTTACTTGTATTATCTCCATTCTCACACATACACACAAAAATCCTATGAAGTAGGGGGTGGTATTCATCCTTATCTTACAGATGAAGAAACTGAGGTGCAAAGGGATAAGGTAAATTCATCAAGCAACTTACTCATCATTGAAGAGTGGCAAAAGTGCCAGATGCATTGAGTGTGCTGAAATGTGGTTTTATTGTGCTGGTTGTCAGGAGCCTGCAGTGGGTAATATGACAGGCCAATGGATAGCATTACTCTCTGAATGGGAGTCACCACTATCTGGAAGATAGAAAGTATTTTACAGAAATATAGCATTGCCATGTATTCTCATGGTAAGAGGGTGCTAACTGTTCTATCTGGTACACAATAAGGATTAGCAGCTTTAGACTCAGGCACACTTGTCCTAAGACCTTTTCTCACCAGGATAATTTCTCATGACAGATCATTAAGTGAAGTTCTCCTTAGACGACAGACACCAGAAGACAAAGACATTTACAGAGCCACCCTTGGGAGCCCAGTTGTCATCTTGGCTCAGGAAGTCCCCACATTCATCTGCTAGGTGTAGAAGCCATCCGGAGCTCTGCTGCGGGCCATCTGGGACTAGAAATTTGCCTGGAGTTTGTAAGCAGGAGCCCCTTCCAAGAGCAGAGAAAGCATAGCCTGGGGCACGGGCCCTGTGGCTCCGGAGCACCTCTGGAAGGGACACACCCCAGGAAGACGCGCGGGGGCCCTCCTGGCCGCCTCTGGTAAGCCTTTCAGGCCTGTCTTCACCAGCGTGAATTTGTCTCTTTCAAAGGGACGACATTGAGGTCGGCATGCCTACTGAGCATTCCATGTTTTCTGGAAAGTGAACGTACGGAAGCAGCTAACAGGACACAGACGTACGTGAGCAGATTTATCCTGCCTGCCTGCTGAGGATGCCATCGGCTGGAGGCTGAACTGCCAGCTTCACAGATTTCCTATAAGTTGCCCATTATTAAATTTTAATTACATAGTTGAACTAAGAGCTTTATGCTAATAAAGACAAACTAGAAATAAAACTTTCAAAAGGGACAATTGTCCTAATCTATTTCACTTGGGTCTAGGGAGATAGATCATTGTTTCAATGGGGTCCTAATCTGTGATGCTGAGAGATGTATGTAAATGGCAGCCATGCTTGCAGAGTGACAAGAAACTCCCAGCTTCGTCTTTAGATACAAAATCGTCACAGGTGCGTGGCTGTTTTGGACCCACACAGTAGACCTGGCTGATGTCTCCAGTGTAATCCGTCACCACAGAGAGTGGCAATGTTCAGTTCCTCTGGAAAGAGGATGGCAATGTTGAAGCTGCTCTTGCAGCTTTACTACCGTGCAGAAAAATACAAAGTGAGCCTGTTCTTTCAGGGGCAAAGTGAGATGGGGCACAGGCTAGGAGGACTTCTGGGTTCGTTGGAGAGATTAACCTCTTTTCTGGGGAGGGTCACTATGTTAGCAGGAGCATCTCCCAAGCTTGCTTCGAGATGACAAGTGTCTGTCATCTATAGAGGCCACTTCCAGAATGGTCACTGATCATGGCTGCATGATGGGGTTGCATCATTTTCACCTGGACCACAGACACTAAGTCCACTGGTCACACTCCTCCTTTATTTTTTTTTCTCTAGTCCACATGATATACTGCCTCTTCGATTGTTTTTCTCAACTCAAGAATAATTATGTCCTCTCACTCTTGCTCAGAGATCTTCACTGAGATCCTGTAACACTTTTGTAATTTATAAACCATAAGCCGCTTTATTAACTCGAATTTATAAACCATAAGCCGCTTTATTAACATTATGGGTGGTGCTCTCTGCCAATACAGATAGGCATTCCCTTTCTTTTTGTTTTGTGTGTGATCGTGTTTTAGTTGAAAAGCACCAGGAGGTTCCGGATAACCACGGGAGGACAAACACAGGTTTGTTTCTCTACATCCAGAAAACCCAAGATGTCAGTAAAAGACGATGAAGGTGTAAAATAAAAAGAAAAACTATTAGAGAAGTGATCACCACAAATGGAAGATGCCAAGACATGCCCGTGGCTGGGAAGCTGAGGTGGGTGGGGGGCAGAGGAAGGTCACAGCGAGCTGCTTGCAGAGGGATGGGGACAGCACTGGTCTCCAGGAGGGAGACCCACTGTGGGGACAGATCCCCACCGAGCCGAGACCACATGGAGAGAAATCCAGGTAAGGAGCCCTGATCTCGGGCCCCCTCCCAGCCATAAGCAGCGCCCTTCAGAAAAGCCTGCTGTGAGGGCTGTAGCTTCTGGGTCAGCAGGCACAGCCAGGGCAGGAGGAGGGCTTGCAATCAATGTCCTCAACAAACTGGCCTCAGATGCAGACAGAAAACAGCTTGCGTAATTTTTTTCTCAACCTTGTTCTCCTCTGGGGACCACCTTCTTCCTCTCCTGGATTATAGCTTGAGTGGATTCCTTAGCTTTTCAGGCCCCTCTGAGTGAAATTTATAAGCCCATCCTGTTCAATATTAAAGCTCCTATCTCTTGCCCAGGGTCAGACTCCCACCCCCTTCTGCAGGTCCACGATGCCACAGGGAAGACGTGTATCCCCCACAACAGAATGCTGAAGGATTCGCCTCTGGAGGGAATGGCTAGCTCGATACTGACACACAGAAAAATGGTCCTGTCTCAGCTCCATGTAAATCCACCACCAGACGAGCTCTTCCCAAGTACCCAGAAGCTCAGTCAGCAATTTGGCAACTCTGTCTTCAATATGGGGGAACAGCCATGGGTCAACACTTCGTTGAGGGAAGCCATTGAACTTCCATGATGATGGGAGTGCTGTCTCTCTGTGCCCCCTAAATTGATGCCCACTAGTATCTTTGACCACTTAGAAATATATCTGAGCACTAGAAATATGATATAGAAATGGGGGTGAGGACCTGAATTCTAAATTGTATTTATTTGGAAATAATTTAAATGTAAATTGTCATGTGTGCCTAATGGCTACCATATTAGACTGCACAGTTAAAAAAGCTTTTACCAAAAGAGATAGAATCCAAACCTTCTCTAGGAAGGTAGAGGAAGGCATTTCACCAAATAGTGGAATAATTCCAGGAAAAGAGAGGTATCAGTTCTAGGAGTCAGAAGCTCAAACCCAGGCAAAAGGCAGAGAAAAGCACGAGAATGAGGGTGAACAGAGACGACATCTGAGGGTAGCCCTGACGGCAGCCTGTGTTATAAAATAAAGAAGAGAGGAAGGAGGGAGGAAGGAGGACAGAAGAGGGAGGAAGGAAGAGAAAGAGGAAGGAGGGAGGAAAGGAGGAGATAAATGGGAGGAGGGAAGGGAGAGAGGGAAAAAGGGAAAAGAAGATGGAAGAGAAGAAAGAAGGAGGAAAGGGGAGGAACGGAGGGAAAAAAAAGGGAAAGAAGAGAGGGAGGGAAGAAGGGAGGGAGAGAGGGAGGAAGGGAGGGAGGAAGGAAGGAAGGGAGGGAGGGAGGGAGGGAGGAGAGAAAGAAGGAAGGAAGGAAAGAAGGAGGGGCCGTAATTTATGGAAAGTATTAACCCTATTGAGAATTTGAGTTAGTGCTGAGATCATGAAAGTTTCTCAAGACTAAGCAAATGAAAAAGCAAGGCTATTATTACGTTTTGCTTCAAAAGTATGTGTGTCTCTGATGTGTGTGTGTGTGTGTGTGTGTAAGAGAGATAAAGAGAGAGATTTTTCCAAATTGTGACATGATTCCATTAGAGAATGGGGAATGGAAAGTTTGGGTGCTTGGTGGCAGGGAGTACAAAAGGGCAAGGAACGCAATAGAAAATGTCTAAAATAATTTTAAAAAGCAAGTGATGACAGAAGTCATTGATTGTGGAAGTCAAGGGTCACTCCCTGGGGCAATGCTTGTTCAACTGGGGTCCCCGGGGCCAGGAGCACAGAAGTCACCACAGGGCCAGGAGCACGGAAGTCACCATGGGGCCAGAAGCATGGAAGTCACCACGGTGTCAGGAGCACGGAAGTCACCACGGGGCCAGGAGCACAGAAGTCACCATGGGGCCAGGAGCATGGCAGTCACCACAGGGCCAGGAGCATGGAAGTCACCAGGACTTGTTGGAGATGCAGATTCTGGGCCCTCCACAGACCTAACTCCGCCGCCCTGGGCTGGGGCCCTGTCTGGGGGAGACCCGGAGAGGCAGGACCTGGGGCGGGCTGGGAGACTGGGGAGACCCTGAGAGGCAGGACTTGGGGCCAGCTGGGAGGCTGGGACCAGTCGTGGTCGGGTTTAGTCTTCCCTCGTAAACCTTGAGAAAAGATTTGACTTTGTACATGTGTTTTTCTTTTCTGATGAAAACAAATGCTCAATTTTTCAGAGAAATATAAACACATGGAAAAATTAAAACCATAAAATGCTGCCCCTAGTATTCACTATTTCAGTATGCACTTTTTTTTTCCATTACTATTTTTGGGAGAGAAGAGGATGGGATGGGCCCAAGGAAATGAGGGTGAGGCAATAGCTGTCCTTCACTTTCGGCTCTAACAAGCTCCACACTGCACACTCACAATGTGCACGCATGGCATTCACAGCAGAACAATCAAGCCCCAGTTCCAGTGTTTCCAGAGTCAGGGGTCTCCCCTGTGAAGCCCCGGCCTAGCCAGCTCCAGCCTCACCTACACAGCCATGTTCTCCCTGGCAGCCGGGGGTCCTGCCCACTCCCACTCCAGCATCACAGGCCCCCTCCCTTGCAGCCTCCATGACCTGATGCTGTGACCATGCGATGACAGCGTGCCCATGAGACTCTCTACTCCTTCAGTGGGGACTGTGCGTGCCCCTCGGCTCTGCCCCCAGAACCCGGTGAGATGCCTCACAAATCACCCCACTGAACGCAGACTTTCACTTAACTCCCTTCAGATGCATTTGGGCTTTTGTGTCTCTCTCTTGTTCTGACATTTGGCCCCAGAAGGCGGGGAACAGGGCCTCCTGAACTCTACTGGATGGTGTCTAATGCCAGTTATAACACAGGGGCCACACACAGGGAGCTGACTTGTAGGGGAGAGGACCACATCTGTGACTGCCCAGAAGGCCCTCAGAGAAGCCCCTGCCCTACACTTCAGGTCTCCTGGAGTCTCTTGGTCCATCCAGTTACCTGAAAAAATGATACTCGGTGGCGTGGCCCTCTCTGTCTGAGCACAGGGCTACACTGTGCCCTGGCCCCAAGGAACAGCTTGGTCTAAGGGCATTGCTGTGGCCAGATCTCATGCCAGCAGCTCGGCTCAGCCTGAGTCTCTGCACAGCCTTCCTCCCCCTGTGGCCCAGGACAGGGCCGACCTAACTGTGCAGTTGAGCACAGCACTCACGCCCATGTCCCCGCATTGCCGGGTTTCACTCTATCCTGAGGTCTCATATCTGTTCTAAAATTTGACAGGATGTCTGGGGAGATTAAACTCAATAGTAAATGTAACATTTTCAAAATTCAAAATACAATGAGTAACATCTATGTGAGAATAATGATAAATAAACAATGAGCAGAGAGAAATCTGCAAGTGGAAAATCACGTGAATGTCCCAACAGTGAACGTCTAGAACTCTATAAAATGCAATTAAATTACACAAACTATAATTAACTTGCCATCTCCTGCAGCCTTATTTAAAAGAGCATTGCTATAAAAAGCTTCCGATACCTGCACTAAAGGAAGGTGAGGCACGGCTTGCCCACTGCTTTTCTCTCCTATTCTGCAGAACTTTCTAGTTCCTAAGGTTAACGAATCTACTTAGCCCACAGAGGCCTGAGGGGCAAGAACTAGGTCCTGACACTGCCCGTGTCACAGGGAAATGACCTCCAGTGAAACAAGGTCCCCACGACTGCTCCTTGGCTCTGAGATTACTGGCCGAGGAGGGTTTTTTCTATGATGGGGGCTGAAGTCCACCATGAGGCATGCCTTCCAGCCGGGCGTCTATTCCAGCATGTTGTGTGGGGTGCCCGTTATCCTATGAGTCGGGTCTTGTTTAGGGAACTGGGTCCACACAGGGAAGGAGCATAAAGGCCTCTGTCCTTCTATCGCTTACGGAAGCAGCAGCGGGATCCTCGGAGGGAGAGAAGGCAGAGCTGGGGTGGGAAGGCAGGGCAGGGGGGTGGCATGGAGACGGGGGTCAAGGGCAGAAGGTCATTGGAGGTGACATTTGAGTGAAGGGTGGAAGGAGGTGAGAAAATAAGTCATGGTGACACCTGTAGAGTGAGGTCCTGGGGAGGCAGGGAGGGCAGGTGCAAAGGTCCTGCTGTGGGCATGTGCCTGGGCCACCCCAGGAGCAAACCTGGGCACTGCGGCTGGGCCAAGGAGAACAAGGCCAAGGATGAGGGGAGCACCCAGAGCGAGGGGAGGCTCAGGCAGGGCCAGAAGTTGTCAGTCTCCTAGTAAGGTAGAGACCATGGGACGTGTCAGCAGAAGGAGGGGGCCAGAGGGCATCGTGTTGAGCCTGTTTGCCTTCTGATTGAAGAGCAAGAGCTTTGCCGCTGTGTTGAGAATGGCTGTGAACTGGAAGGAGGGGACCAGGGCGGAGGCCACAGGAGGTTGTCCAGGTGAGAGGGGGTGTGGCTTGGGCCAGGGCGATGGTGTGGAGAAGGAGCTGGTCTGGGGTAATTTGAAGGGAGAGACGGCAGGGCCTTCCATGTCCTCAGTGCCAGTGGGTACAAGAAAGATGAGACAAGGATGACACCCAGGCTTGACCTGAGTACCTGGAAGAGCCGGTGACCGCCATCTCTCCGGATGGAATGAAGGAGGAACAGGTCCTGGAGGAGTCGGTAACCCTCATGTCTCTCTGGAGGGACTGAAGAAGAAGCAGGTCCTGGAAGCTGGTGACCATCATGACTCTGGAAGGAATAAAGGAGGAATGGGTCCTGAGGGAGGGGATGTGGCAAGCTGGGCAGCACTTGTAGAGTTTGCAGTCCTCTATCCAGAAAAGACGTTCACATTTGTGATAACTTCATCCTTGAGCTCATTAAAATGCTAACAGGTTAATTCTGGAGAAATCCGGATAGGCCTTATGTCATTGCTGGGTATGTAATCCCCCCAAACTCCTAAAACCCACTAGGGTGTTGAACTCTAGAATCAAAACCAGTTTATGAAAATGGCTGGAAGCTGAGAACCCAATTATTCCACACAGAGGCACACTCTCCACGGAGCTTCTGGCCCAGTTTCTTAATTTACTGATTCAATTATATTAACTGGTGATTGAGATTGGTTTGCCTCTTTGGAGATTTTCTTGACTCTGTTGGTGACTGAGGGGGTAGAGATCTGGGCTTCCTGTTCCAGATTTTGAGGGTTTCCACACAGCCTATGAATGCAAAATCAGGAGCTCAGGACATGCTCCTGGTTCAGATAAATTGAAAGTAAAATTTTCTCCAACGGCAAGACAGGAAAAGGAACACAGAACTGCTGTGCTGGCTCTCCTCCCTCTGCACACCAACCTTAAATTAAAGTACCTGGTGTCAGGCAAGGCCACTCAAGGGGAAGGTGTGAGGTTCTGTGCCTGAATGAATTGGGGGTGGAGGGGAAGGGGGGGTCGAGGATAGACAGAAGACCCTCGTCCCAGGCCGCAAGGGGGAAGCCCGTTTCCCTACACTGGGGTGCCTTCGCTAATAAGGGCGAGACAGTCGGCTTCTCACATCTGCAGCAAAAGAGAGGGAGAGACGGGAGGGAAGTTGTTCCCGGGCCACGCCAGCTGCTGCCTCTGCCTTCCCTGCTGAGCCTGGAGCCCTGGGCCCCACTGGCAGTGGAGCAAGCTGTTGACATCCCCAACTTGTGCTACCTGGGGACAGTGGGCTGATGAAGGCAGGCGGCTCTCATCTGGTGAGGGGTGCAGAAATCAGAGCCCACAGTGAGAACACAGACCAACACACAGAACAGATGGCCAGACGCCCGCTCGGCTCTGCTTCTGGGGCTGTTGACATTCTTAAGTGACTAATTTTGACATGTTATACTACTAATGAAGTTTTTTCAGTGTGACCCAGTAAACTGCTCTGCAGCCGAGACGGCGTGACTTAGCTTTACAGCCCCGTGCTTTCCTATTCCACCAGCAGCCGACTGCTGACGCGGCTCGGGTGGAATCACAGTGAACGCTGTGTCACCCGGGATGGGCTGCGTGGAGAAACTTCCTGAGATGTCTGCTTGCAGTCCGAATTGGGACCTGCAGACTTTTCTCTAGCCACATGCCTGCGTCACCAGTCTGTAAATGTTCTCGAGGACAGGAAATAAAACCGGGCAGTCCGGCAGGCTGGCCCTGTGGCCCCACGAGACCACGGAGGCCGAGCAAGCACCATCGCGGTGGCTCCTGAGCTGACAGGCAGCTGCCCATCTTTCGGATCACTTCTAGTGTCTGAAAACTGAGCCCCCTGTGGGTAAGAACCCGTGGCCTAGCGAGGTTTCCAACACTCCACAACTTTTCTGGGCAGACGTCCTGCTGCAGAGAGAGCTTCTCTCCTGACACATCGTTGGTTTATATGCACTTCAGGAGGCAGCCAAAACACACAGCCTGCACAGAAGAAAGACCCACACGGAGAAAACAGAGACCCGTGAACTGATCTGAACCGCATGTGGTTCAGCTTAGGGTGACCCCGGACAAAAATTCAGGCAGCTTCTTAAGTTTCTCAAACCAGTTTGCATGTTCAGACTCAGCAGTCTGTAAATCAAAACCACCTAGAGAAACAGGCCATGAAGGCCCTGCCCAGCTCACCTGGACCCTGCCTGCACAGTAAGCTGTGCGGTTGACATGCTGTGCCATGCACTTGCCAAGCAAGCATGAGCGATGGCAGGGCTGAGTGCTGCTGCTACCCTCAGGAACCTGCCCCGCCTTCCAGTTACTTCCAGAAATCAGACACAGAAAGTGTAGAATGGGTGCAGAGGTAAGTCTCTTGCAAGTGGAATTTGAGCAAATAATCTAGATTAACTGCCTGTTAACCAATAAGCATGTACATTAAACACACGTGTGTGTATTACGCATGCCCTTATTTATAGATATGGATTTGTGGCTATCCAAAGTATTTTCATAGCAACACTGAATAATAAAATTCTTATTAATTCTGTTAGTTATTAATAGTTTGAATGAATACTACTGCTCTATTATAAAGAGTTTATTTTAAAAGTCAATAATTTATCAATTTTCTATCAAGTCTTAATGGATCTCTAATCTTACATTTAATTCTATATATTTTTCTCACTTGTATGCTTATTATTTCTGAGGATGCAAACTAAAGTAAAATATAACCCTTTATCTGAAGGAACTTGGTAACATAGAAAGTCATATCTATAGATACAAGATGACACAGAAGGATAACTTTTGAATACTGGATCAATATAATATTCAGTGGCTTACAACTAACTACAGTATCACTAAAAGACAGATTGGACAAGCTATCACCTGACAGCAGTACCAACCTAGATAGAGAGTACTCTAGATAGAATTTTAGAGTAATAAAGGCAAGAATCTAATCACTGTTTAAACAAATAAACCCAGCAGATTTTATAATTAGCCATATCTTAAATACATAACTTAACAATTAGGATATAGTGACCATAGAAAGGCATAGAGTCAGGACGGGTTGATACAAGCACCCGTTAAAAGTGGTCTAATCAAAACAAAAGATTTGTATCTTAACCAAATTTTGAATAATATACATTTCTACTTAGCCACATATCCCCTGGTGTAGAATTGAGATCTATGTAAAAAAAAAAATCTTTATCTGTACAAGTGTGCTTACAACAGTGTTTATGTGAAAACCTGACCACAAACACTGGGAAACTAAGTCCTCTCAGGGGGACATGGACAATTCTAATCTGAAATCATGCAGGCAATGCCCTCACGGTGAAATGAGTGGCCCAATTTCTTGGAGCCCTTCAGCAAGTCTCCCTCTATGAGACGGGGGACTCCAGGCTGGAGGTGGGATGAGATGGGCTGGAGTTGGGGTTTGTGTGCCCAAGGGGCACCCCTCTGCAGACCTTAACAGGTGTAGAGTCCAGGAAACAGATTGCCATCTTTTAAATCTGCATATCTTAGAGGTAAGTAGGGGAAAGACCCCGCTGTGTCTCATCTTCATGGACCAATGTGGATTCTTTGCAACAAAGTTACAGTGTTGGAAAGCAGGTGGGTGAGGTCACGTGTCTATGCGGCTGGAGTTCTCTGAGCAAAACTTCCTGGCAAACTGGGTTAAAGGATGAGGAAAGGCACACAATCCTTGAAAGTTAAAAAAAAAATACTCCAGAGAGATTTCAAGCACATCTCTCCTGGAATAATCTTTTAAATTCTAAACTCCTAGAGTCCTTATTTATGTCAGAAAGCAGGAGGGATTTCTTTATGTCAGAAAGCAGGGGTTTCTTTGCTCTGGAGACAGCACAGCAGTGCGGTAGTTCTTACAGAAGCATGAGATTTGTAATTTGGGGTTCCCCTCCTGTAGTGCAAACCCCATTTTGCACATGCAGGTGACTTCCGTGTCTCAGCAGGATTGGGGCATGGGGTATGGGCATTACAGTTATCCCGGAAGTCAATCATCAGTCTTCCTTTGATCCAGAAACCTCGTGTGTGCTGTTAAGATAAAAGAAATAAGTATAAATATTGAAAACTTGTCAGATGCTTCAGAGGGTCCCAGACACAACACCACATTGGGGTCCTTTTTGTTCCAATCACTGAACTCAGAGGGATGGAGGCGGGATGCCTTCTTCTTCATGGCAGCACAAAACTGTGGCACTTTGAACCCTTCCCCAACAGACAGAGATCGGCACAGTCGGAAATCACCTCTACAAACTGCCTTTTGTGCAGGGTGTTCCTGAGTCCTGAAAGGAATGTCTCTGAAATTCTAGTAACATTGGGAGGATGCAAAGAATGAAGTTGACTGTTTGTTGTACAAGATTCATTAACAGGAGCTTGGGCATGAGGAGGGAACTCAGAGAGGCCCTGGGGGCCACCACCCTCAGTGTTTCCTCGGTGCCCAGCAACTTCCCAGGTCTGCCTTTTTTTCCTGCTTTCTTAGCAGTTTTAAAAGAAACTAAAGAATCAAAGGTTGTAGAGGCGGCTGTCAGCATTTCCCCTCTGGGTACAGCTTGCGGGAAGATTTGGAGGTGAACTCAGCGTGGACGTCCTCTCTATTTTGTAATTTACTTTTTGGAAGACTTCCCTTTCCAAGACAGGGATCATTTTTCTCTGCACTATAAGAATGATGTCACTCTCTTAAGGTTGAGAAGTAAAACTTTCATTAATCATAAAATTCTTGTTCTTGTCCAGAAAAGTATTAAGACATCAAATCTCAGCCTGACCAAGGAATGGCAGGGTGTCTGTTCTGTATTAGAAACCTCCTCCCGCTCCAGTCGCAAAGGCTGTTAATCGCCAACGTGGCATCTCCGGTTAACAAGGTCAGAAACGCCAGGAGAACAGGATCTGGTTCCTCTCTCCTTGTGCCATCTATGGCCTGACTCTGAACCATTCTTCCTACACCCAGGCCAATGTCAGAGAAAAACCCTGGGTGCACTGGGGGCTTTTTTTGGATTAAAATAATATTGGTCTTCACACTTGAGAGCCAAGGGACCCAGAAAATGCAAGATGCCAAAAGCCAAGGATCAACTAAGGACCAGAAAGCATCATGTCCTGCAGCGGAGACCAAGTGCCTAGAATTTTTTAAATCTCCCCAAAGAAAACTCCCATGCGCAAGAAAAAGTTTTAAACTGTACATATTGTGATGGCTGAAAAGAGACTGGAAGAGTGAATAGCAGCCAAATGGATCTCATGATGAATGGACAGACAAAACAGACGTCAGGGCAGCTGCATGCCCTTTGCTGGGTACGCGGGTTGAGGTCCATGGGGGTAAGCAGACAGACAGACAGACAGGACAGACGGGGGCCAGACCACAGGCGTGATGGACCCAGCCTGACTTTGTGCATTTCCTTCATATGCTGCAGTCCCTGCATCTTTGTGAGCTGAGCAGCCTCGATCCCAAACAGCGTTGCCGCAGACGGGGTTTTGCAGACACGTGACTAGGAAGCCACTGAACGCAGACAGGGAGAGAGGAAATGATGGAGGCAGGTGTGCCACCCATGGTGAGCTGGCAGCTGCTGTTGGCTGCGGTTCCACCAGGCCGGGCTGTGCTCCCTGGGTGCCTACTGCAGGACCCAGAGCCTGCAACCTCAGCTGGTGGGTGTGGGGAGGAGCAGGAAACAGCACAGAGCTCCAAAGAGGGAGAATTTAGAGAAAACGGAATCATTAAGAAATGGATGATGTGCTTGGTGTGCATCAAATGGGCCCATCCTGTGCTGAGCTGCTGCGGCCTCCTCTCACTGATATCTGAGCATGCTGTCAACATGGGGGCCGTCAGCAATTGCTCAGGCCTGCCCTCTTTGTTCCAGAGCCCTCCATTCAGCAAATGTCCTCTCACTGCAGCCCCCCACAGCCTACAGAACAATGGATGACCAGGATCCACGTGTGTTTCCTGGCCAGATGTTACAGCCCCTGCAACATCTGGAAGAGCGGCAGGGTGGAGAGCAGGTGACCCTAAGGAGGGGCTGAGACGCCTCCTGAGCCATGGGTGTCCATCAGCTGCATGGCCGCGGAGCTCCTCAGCCCCAGCACCTGCTCACACTGGAGAAGCTGTGACCTTCCTAGCTGTACTGCAAGAGTTCCACAGAACAACAATCCATTATGGGCACTGAGGGAGGTGCCGGTGTCATGTGAGGAGTTAGGCTAAACTCAGATCCTTTTCAGCCTCCCAAGCTGCAAATCTATGGCTATCAAGATTCCAGTCATAAGCTTTCTCTCGCCAAGCACCAACTATGCATTAGAAATAGTAGTGGGTGTGTTAGCTATCATAACAATGTCCATAGAATTCTGGGAGGTGGGTTTTCTCTCCCCCAGTTATCCCTGGAGAACACAGAGGCTGACAAGCCCACTGGTCTGCTCAACCCCACGCAGCAAATAAGCCCCTGGTCAGCCTGGCTCTGTCCGAGGCCGAACGTCCTGCGTCCGGTCGGGTCTCACACAAGAACTCCTGGACGGCAGCAGGCTGGAGTGGAAAGGGACGTGGTCCTAGGTCCTGACCTCAGTGCTACGCCCTTTCATTTTGACACCAGTCAGGGAGGTCATATGGTAACATGTGAATACGTTTTTGAAACTAATGTTGACCATGGCATGCCTTGTCATTCTAGGGGTCATTTATCACCCCACAAACCACTCTAGAAAAGTGCCCACATTTTCGATTCTAAAACAGTTTCAAGGTTGGTTGAATGTCGGCAAACACTTCAGGGAAAGCCTGTTTTTTGAGGTGACCCTGTAGGATACTCATGGAATGTGAAGGCTTGCCTATAAAACAGCAAGGTTTTCTGCGACATGGAAACACCAGCCAGCAGCAGGGTTGTGGGGGAAAGCCTGGCTGTGGGGTGAGCCCAATCTGGACTCCGACCCTCATTCTCCGGTAAAGGGCTTGGCATCCCTGCCTGCAGGCTGGGGTCAGGGTGCCACACCCCATTCTATTGTGGGGGCTCGTGCATAATGACATGGGGACACCCATGACAGGGCCAGGGTGGAGCATG
The DNA here is from genome assembly GCF_000001405.40 of Homo sapiens. Taxonomy (NCBI): domain Eukaryota; kingdom Metazoa; phylum Chordata; class Mammalia; order Primates; family Hominidae; genus Homo; species Homo sapiens. The sequence continues at coordinate 2,382,384 of NC_000005.10, read as the reverse complement.
TTGCTTGCATTCCTACGGGCCAAGAGAAGAAGGAGAGAAGACCTCCATGTGGCCAGCAAGTGCCTCCCAATTCCAGACACAAAGTGTCGACCCTCAGGAACCACACACACCTCATAAACAGACGGGAGAAGCAGAGAGAGAACCTGTGCCTGGGATAACCTCACTGAGCTTGTAAAGATGTGAGAAGCAGACTGGCCAGGCTGTGGGTGGAAGCTGGCCGGCAGGTCACCAGCTTTCCTGAGCATCAGTTACAGATACAGGGGCTCGTTCCAGGAAGGGATGAGGTCTGACCCAGAGAGTTCATCCATCTGTGGCAACGTCAGCTCTGCCCATTGGCCCGTCATTCACATGAGGCTGAGTTCCTGCCCCCATGATACTGTAGATGAGTAGATGGAGCTGAAATAAGTTGATCTCAGGTTCCCCAAACAAACCTCCCACTCAGGGAGGAGAGAGAGTGAAGCTGAGCAAGGGCCAGTTTAGGTGGCCGGGAACATGCTTCAACCTTGGGGCATGGAGGTGCAAAGCAGCAATGGCTTAGTGACTGGCCCTGGGTCTGTGGGTCAACCCCACCACAGCCAGCGGGGTCTTCTGGCTCTCAGATGGAATTGCTTACATGTCTGCAGCCTTCTCTGGAAAGCTGGGAGGCTTGGAGGCCGGGAGACGGTGGTCTTACTGTATGGGGTTTCTCTGGCCCGAATTGTGCCCCCCCAAATTTGTATGTTGAAGCCTTAACCCCCAATGTGACACTGCTTGGAGATAGGGCCATTCACGGGGTGATTAAGGTTAGGTGAGTTTCTAGCAGTAGGGCCCTCATCTGATGGGAATGTGTCCTTGTGAGAAGAGAAAGGGACACCAGCTCTCTCACTGTGTCTGCCATGTGAGGACACGGTGGGAAGGCAGCTGTCTACAAACCAGGAAGAGCCCTCACCAGAAACCAACCCTGACTGGCACCCAGATCTCAGACTTCCAGCCTCCAGAACTATGAGAAAATACATTTCTGTAATTTAAGCCACACAGCCTGTGGCATTTCATCATGGCAGCCCGAGAAAACGAAGGCAGGATTCACTCCATTCATTCAAGGGTTGAGACTGGGTTCTGCCACGTGGCGGCCTCAGGGGACCATGAGGGTGACCAGGGAAGCTGCCAGGCCTCAGGAGACCTGGGCTAGGAACACACACAACCTCACGCCTGCCACTTCTGTTGGTCAAAGCCCAGCCCTGGTTAAGAGAGTGGAGACGTAAGCTTCACCTTTTGCTGGGAAGGGCCATGACAGTGTGTGGCTATTTGCAATCTACCACACTTCCTAATCGGGGGCAGACCCAGATGTGTGTGTTCTGTTCTTTAATTAATAGACTTTATTTTTTGAGTAGTTTTGGGTTTACAGGAAAATGAATGAGAAGCACAGAAAGTTCTCATAGAGCCCCCGCCCCCAGCACCTCCACCTCACCTCCCAGTTCCCCTGTTGTTAACATCTTGCAAGAGTTTGGTATATTTGTTACAATTGGGGAGTCAATATCCGCAGATGACTATTAACTAAAGTTCACAGCTCACTGAGGATTCCTTCTTGCCCTTGTGCAGCCTATGGGTTTGGACACGTGCACGATGATGTAAATCCACTATTACAGTCTCATCCGGAGGAGCTTCACTGCCCTAAAATTCCTCTGTGCTTCACTTGTCCATTGCTCCCTCCCCAGAACCCCTGGAAACCACTGACCTTTTCACCGTCTCCATTGTTCCACCTTTCCCAGCATGTTGTGTAGCTGGAATCATCCGGTACGCAACCTTTCCAGATTGGCATCTTTCACTTAGCAGTAAGCATTTAAGGTCCTTTCATGTCATTGTATGGCTTGATAGCTCATTTCTTTCAGTGCTGAATAATATTTCACTGTCTGGATGTGCCACAGTCTAGCCACTCATCTACTGAAAGACGTCTTGGGCCAGGTGTGGCGGCTCACATCTATCATCCCAGAAGTTTGAGAAGCCAAGGTGGACGGATCACTTGAGGTCAGGAGTTTGAGACAAGCCTGGCCAACATGGCGAAATCTCATCTGTACTAAAAATACAAAAATTAGCAGGGTGTGGTGGTGAGTGCCTGTAATCCCAGCTACTAGGGAGGCTGAGGCAGGAGAATCACTTTAACCAGGGAGGCGGAGGTTGCAGTGAGTTAAGATCCCACCAGCCTGGGTGACAGGGTGAGACTCTGTCTCAAAAAAAAAAAAAAAAAAAAAAAAAGACATCTTGGTTGCTTCCAAGTTTTGGCAATTATGAATAAAGCTGCTATAAACATCCACATGCAGGTTTTTGTGTAGACAAAAATTTTCAAACCATTTGGATGAGTTTCAAGGTGTGTATCTTGTGGTAAGAGTATATTTAGCTTGTAAGGAACTGCTACACTGTCTTCCAAAATAGCTGTACTATTTCACGTGGTGCAGAATTCCCTTCAGCCATATCTTTGTCAGCACTTGGTGGTGTCCATGGTTTGGACTTTGGCCATTCCAATGGGTGTGTGCTGGCATCTCATTGTTGTTTTAACCTGTAGTTCTCTAATGACATGACACTGGGCATCTTCTCATATGCTTATTTGCCTTCTATATGTCTTCTTTGGTAAAAGGTTGGTTCAGCTTTTTTTGTCCATCTCTAAATTGGATTGTTTGTTTTCATATTTTTGAAATATGAGAGTTCTCTGAATATTTTGGAACCAGTCTTTTATCAGGTATATGCTTTGCAAATTGTTTCATCTCTGAACAGCACCTATTGAAGAGCAGAAGTTTTTAATTTTAATAAAATAAAACATCAGTTTTTTTTTTATGGATTGTGCTTTTGGTGTTGTAAAGAAAAAGTCACCTTCAAATCCAGGGTTACCCAGGTTTTCTCCTGCATTATTTTCTAGGAGTTTTATAGGAGTGTTTTACATTTAAGTCTATGATCCATTTTGAGTTAAATAAACCCAAGTTAAATAAGTTCTAGCCTTATACAATTTGGGGGACCATCTTTATGAGGAAAATACAAAGTCACAACTACCAAATTCGCTACAGGGGCTTTTGAAGCCATCCTGCAGGAGAAGAGCCCTGAAGGTCAGACTTTCTCAGCTGCAGGGTGAACCTGCCCCACTTCACAGGTGAGGCTGGGGTGCAGTGGCCCCAGTGAGCTGGCTGCAGTGGCACTGACACTCAAACCAACCATAATCATGAGGCCAGGGCAGCTGGCCCAGTGAGGCAGCCCTGGGCCCTGGAACTCCTTGTGACTGAGGTAGGTCATTGTACTTTCCCACCCATGATGGTCCTTCAAGCTCCAGGGAGGTCTCCTAGGATCTCAGGGTCAACACCTCCTGCTCCATTCAGCTCTCCCTGTCCCAGCATCTTGCAGAGTCTCCAGAAACACCTGAGAATGGAGACACCACCCCCTCCCCTCTGTATTCAGATTCCCCCATGATCCCATCTGCCCCCGTGGCAGGCAGAAACCCAGCATTTAAGTACCCCCAGCATCTAAGCAAGCCTCACTTCCTGGCCCTCTCATGGTCTCAGTTCAATCACTGAATCTCTGGGGATCTTTTGGAGGGGTGATGGAGGCTGCTTGGAAAGCCTGGCCATTCTCTAACACACCTGAAGTCATTGCATTTTCTCAGCAGGCACTTTCCATATGCAGTTCTTCCGCTACTCTTAAGGATTCTGAAAAATCAAACGACAGACTAGAGCCCCTGTTCCTCTCCTTCTCAGGCATTACCCTCAGAAGGAGGTGGGGTGTGGAGTGTCACCCACCGGCCACACCAGCAGGGAGAGGAGGGCACTCACCACTGAGCCCAGGGACATGCTTTGGGGTCATTTAATGATAGCAATTTGGGCCTCTGGACAGTTAGTTCATGAAATCTTGGTTCTTTCCTATTGTGGTGAACTTTTGATCAGCTTGGTTTTAGCAAAAATTTCCACCGAACATGGGAGGAAAGGCTCATCAAAGTATCTGTCCTTTTATCCTGGGAATCCGACCCTTTAGATGGTTGGAGAGTGTTGGGTAATGGAATAGGGACTCTGGGGGTGGTGGGGCGGGTGCTGAACTCACCTGACTTCCCTGGAGCCCGTGAAGTCTGAGGCTCTTCTTCTCACACCACTTCTTCTGCGTGAGTCAAAGCTGGGCAACCCATCCAAGATCAAAGCAGCATGAGAGGCAGGAAAACAGAAGGAGGTCAGCTCAGCTCCTGCTTTCTAACATCAAATCCCATGGACAGCCACACAAAACGTTAAGAAAAACGACCTGAAAAGAAACATATTTAAGTGGTACATCTTTAGAATCTAAGGTTTGGTGCTTGAGAGAGTCCTTCAGGTTTCAGGATCCATCCTAGAGAGCTCTGCCTGTCAATCCATCCACAATAGCACTTCTCTCTCTCTCTCTCTCTCTCTCTCTCTCTCTCTCTCTCTCTATATATATATATATATATATATATATATATATATATGTAATTTCAGCTTTTAGATGTGGGGGGTACATGTGCAGGTTTGCTACCTGGGTATATTGTGCGATGCTGAGGTTTGGGGTATGACTGATGCCCTCCCCTAGGTAGGGAGCATGGTGCCCAATAGGTCATTTTTCTACCCTTGTTTCCTCCCTCCCTCCCTCCCCATTCGAGTAGTCCCCAGAGTCTATTGTTGCCATCTTTATGTCCATGAGTACCCGATGTTTCGCTCCCACTTAATAGTGAGAACATGCAGTACTTAGTTCCCTGTTCTTACATTAATTTGTTTAAGATAATGGCCTCTAGCTACATCCTTGTTGCTGCAAAGGACGTTGATACAGTTTGGCTGTATCCCCATCCAAATCTCATCTTGAATTGTAACTCCTGCAATTCCCATGTGTCATGGGAGGAATCTGGTGGGAGGTAATTGAATTATGGGGGCAGGTCTTTCCCATGCTCTTCTTGTGATAGTGAATAAGTCTCATGAGATCTGATGGTTTTAAAAATGGGAGTTTCCCTGCCCAAGCTCCTCTCTTTACCTGCTGCCATCCAGGAAAGATGTGACTTGCTCCTCCTTGCCTTCCACCATGATTGTGAGGCCTCCCCAGCCATGTGAAGCTGTAAGTCCATGAAACCTATTCATTTTGTAAATTGTGCTGTCTTGGGTATGCCTTTATCAGCAACATGAAAACAGGCTAATACAGACTAATTATGGCTGCATGATATTCCATGGTGTAAACATATCACGTTTTCTTTATCCTGTACACCACTGATGGGCACCTGGGTTGATTCCACGTCTTTGCTACACAATAGCATTTCCAAGGGGCTCTGTTTATGAAAATCCACTAGAAAGTCTGTCTGGGAACTCATTGTTGTCTGTATCCTGTGACTGAGGCCACAGGCTGATGGGGCTCCTCAACTTCTATTCCTGGAGGATCTGTGGACTAGAGGCGTCAGCACTATCCCTATTGACTGAAAAAATACTCAAACTGCTGGGCTGGAGTCTCATCTCCAAACAAGATAGGAAAAGTTAGGCATGTCTTTCTCTTCCTTCAGTGAGGAAAAGACATACATCTCTAAAGTCCGACAAGATATTCTGGGTAAAATTCAGCAAGTCCTCATTTATGGCAAACCTGTCATTTCAGAGCCAAATCTTTTCTGCACCAGGGCAAGTCATGGGGCAAGACACCCGATAAGCCGTTGGCCCTGTGGCTGTTCTTGGGCACCAAGGGCCCCCATCCTGCTGGGCTTCCTGGGTGTCCCACCCCAGTGCGGAAGGCCTGGTGACCCTTGGCGCCCAAGAGAAGCCACAGGGCCAATGGCTTATCCTACTAAGAAGGGACACATTGAGGGAACGGTCAACCCTCTGAGAGTTTAAAAAATACCAAGTGTATTGTCAACAATAAATCCAATGCAGACAGTTTATCTGAGAACTTCAAGAAGACAATTTGTTTCAAGAAAGAGATTCTTGGAAAAGTGCTGGTATATCCTATTTTCCTGATGAAGAATGGTGAAATTAAAGCAACATCAATCACATTGCTTGCATAGGTCAATTTTCCTTGCCTCTAGAACTGGAATGATAATACCTAATTTGAACAGTTCTTCAGAGACTTCACAAGTGTTGCATATTCAAGGAACCCAGCAGAGAACCTGGGACATGGTGAGTAAGAAGCAAATAGGAGCCCCGGAGACCAAAGACTGCAATTATGCATACAGCCTTTCATTCTGGGAACAGTCCCCTGGTCCCTCAAGGACACGAGCCACTCCCTAATTCCTGATGCCATTTCTTACTTGGTGATATCTGTGTGGTTTTCCTCCCTAGGACCTGCCATTTTTATGTACAACAATAACCCTGCATTCCAGGTCCCGTCTGCCCGGGGGATTCTGTTGCAGGCCTGCCGAGTACACGCTCTGTTTTCCCACCTGACTCTCAGCACAGTTCAACAATTCATTTCTCAGGAAGGGCCAGCCAGACAGTCTGTGGGTTCAGGTGGCTGGCCTTCCATGCCTGGAGTGAGCACACGGCATCGTCCGACCTTGAGAGGGCAGGCGGATTGTGAAAAATGAAGCTCAGCGCTTGATTCATGAATCGCCACTTCAGACTGAACATAATGGAAGCAAATTATACACAAACCAGCTGTGGGTTAGATGAGTGATCATTAAAGTTTTGAGCTCCTGTTTTCAGCCTAATCCACTAGAAAATTAACTCATGTGGGGCAGGTAGTATGGTTTTCTTTGGTATCCAAAAAGCCACTCCAGCTATCGTGTTTGGCCGGGCTTCTGCGTTTTGTGGTTGAGTTCCACGCTATTAGTTGCCTTGTGGCGGAGCTCTGGGGGCTGCCCCAGAACACCCCAACCCCACTGAAGCAGCCTCTGGGACCAGGGACAAAACTAACGAACAAGAATTAAAATATCAATGACATCTGTTGCTCAAAGAACTGCGCTTGCAGGAATGAAATGCTGTGGGCAGTTTGTTAGCGCCCCTGTGACCTTCATGAAGAGAGGGTCTTCCTTACCCTCCGGTGTGAGGACCGCACCTCCGGACGCTCCAAACTGTAGGCTCATCTCCCAAGAGCTTCTCCAACCACGGTTGTGTTGGAGCTTACCTAACTTTTATTTTCTTAAATGCAGGAATATGCACATGGAATTTGTTTGTTTGTTTTTTGAGATGGTTTCGCTCTTGTGGTCCAGGCTGGAGTGCAGTGGTGCGATCTCGGCTCACTGCAACCTCTGCCTCCTGGGTTCAAGTGATTCTCCTGCCTCAGCCTCCCTGAGTTGCTGGGATTACAGGTGTGTACCACCATGCCTGGCTATTTTTTTTTTTAAAGTAGAGATGGGGTTTCACCATATTGGCCAGGCTGGTCTCAAATTCCTGACCTCAGATAATCCACCACCCTCGGCCTCCCAAAGTGCTTCGGCCTGGGATGGAGTTTTTAAACTTTAGTGACCTGAGCACGGAGCCTCCGTGGGCCCCTGCTGTGCTCTGCAGCATTCCCTGTGAGCTGGCGGGCTCCTTCCTCACTGCGGGTGCTACAGAAGCAGAGGGGTCACAGAGGCAAGCCCTGCAGAGAGAGCGGCTCCCCTCGCCGGCAGCCCTGTAGAGATGAGCAGGGGGTTTACACAAACAACGTGCTCCCATAGGTGGCTTTCTTGAGCTTGCGAAGGCCAAATAGAGCCCTGGCCCCCATCTCTGCTTTCACAGGAGCCGCGTAAAAGGAGGCCAGGTGGGCACTTGCAAGCCCCTGGGTGTGGTGGATTCACCTCAGGATGCCCCGTGCCTGCTGTATCCCGGGCAAGGCATCTTGATACCCAGGCGACCAAAAGGGAAACCACCGCTGAGAAATTTAAGTTTGTGCTTAATTAAGAAATTTAAGCTGAGGTGCAGTTCCTAGATCTGATGGCTGTGTATGTTCATCTGTATGTTTGGAAACTGAAACTTCTTAACTGACATAAAATATAAATACATAGTCAAGCGGGGAACTTTTCATGGCCCCAAGTCCAGCTTTTCTCAAAATCCCCTGAGTTTGAGGAGACATAGAGTGGACCTGGCTTATGGGAGAAAACACAACCCATGATGTGCTTTGGAATAAAAGACACAAAGACTCCGGCCTGTGAAGTCATCATGGCAGTGGTTTCCACCTGCACTGTTTGGGCTTCAGTCACTCCAGGGAACCTACTTGTCCCTGCAGGGACCAGCAGGTGCATCACTGGCCCTCGTGGGCACACAGAGGGGCTTGGGAAACCTGACTCCACGCCTCAGGCACAGAGTCGCTGTTGTTCAATGGAGGCTTACACCTGTTGTGAGCAAAGCAACACATCTGGGTGCAGGCCTTCCTTCCCGTGAAACAAGCAGAAAGCAAAAATAAGCATCTTAGGGCCTGGCATGTGAGGCAGTGAGAGCCCGCATGTCCCTGAGGGCAAGGGACTGAGAAGGGAACCTACCTGAGGGGAAGATGGAAAATTCCAGCCCAGAAGTTTTCTCTTTGCTGGGGCTGCTAGGTGATGTGGGTTGAGGCCTCCTGTGCTGGTTAAAGCCATTTTGAACATCAGCAGCAAGCAGGAGGGCCGGCGTAGGGCCAGAGAGTCCCTGTTCTCAGAATCATTCGTGCCCACACTGCAGGGAGGGAACTCCACTCCCACCATGGGCAGGGGACACCGACCTCAGGAGCCTTCGCCTCGGTCTCCTCCTCCCTCATCCCTCATTCATTCATTCATCCAGGGACCACCAAACTCAGGAGCCTTTGCCTCAGTCTCCTCCTCCCTTGTTCCTCATTCATTCATTCATCCAGGGACCACCAACCTCAGGAGCCTTCACCTCAGTCTCCTCCTCGCTTGTTTCTCATTCATTCATTCATCCATGAGTCTATTCACTCATGCATTCAACAAACATAATCTGTAAAAGTTGATGCTTTATATATGTTCACTGCAGCACTATTGACAATAGCAAAGACTTGGAACCAACCCAATGCCCATCAATGATAGACTGGATAAAGAAAATGTGGCACATAAACACCATGGAATACTATGCAGCCATAAAAAAGAATGAGATCATGTCCTTTGCAGGGACATGGATGGAGCTGGAGGCCATCATTCTCAGGAAACCAACACAGGAACAGAAAACCAAACACCGCATGTTCTCACTCATAGGTGGGAATTGAACAATGAGAACACTTGAACACAGGAAGGGGAACATCACACACTGGGGCCTGTCGTGGGGTGGGGGGAGTGGGGAGAGATAACATTAGGAGATATACCTAATGTAAATGATGAGTTAATGGGTGCAGCACACCAACATGGCACATGTATACATATGTGACAAACCTGCATATTGTGCACATGTACCCTAGAACTTAGAGTACAAAAAAAAAAAAATGAGGTCATGTCCTTTGCAAGGACATGGATGGAGTTGGAAGCCATAATTCTCAGGAAACCAACACAGGAACAGAAAACCAAACACTGCATGTTCTCACTCATAAGTGGGAGTTGAACAATGAGAACACATGGACACAGAGGGGGACAACACACACCAGGGCCTGTCTGGGGGTTGGGGGCTAGGGGAGGGAGGGCAACAGACAAATACCTAAAGCATGTGGGGCTTAAAACCTAGATAACGTGTTGATAGGTGCGGCAAACCACCATGGCACATGTATACCTATGTAACAAACCTGCACGTTCTGCACATGTATTCTGGAACTTAAAGTAAAAAAATAAAAGTTGATGCTAGATTCTAAACATGCAGAGTTGTCAAAGACAATCTCCACCTTACATGGCAGGAGCGCAGTCCAGATTCGTTCCATCTCTGTTTAGCCCACACGTCGTTGGGTGTTCACGGGCCTTGTGTGAGCCACCAGTGATCCCAGGTGAACATGAAACAGTCTCTGGTTTAAACCACAAAGAGCTCACGGTGTGAAGGCAGGTAATAGCGATGTAATGTAATAAGGCTCTGATACAGATGGAAGGTAGGGAGCTGTGGGGTGTGAGACAGTGTGGTGTGCAGAAGACACGTGTGGCTCTGCTGTGATGCCTGGAGTATGAGGCCGAAAGACAGTGAGCACGCCTCTCAAGGTGTGACCCAGGGTCCAGCTTGTGGGACTCCACAGGGATATTGAAGAACTTAATTCCCCAGGACGACAGGCATGTAAATTAGAAACAAGGATTCTCAGTAGGGAAAGTGGCACAGGTCTCACAATGACGTCCCTGCAGCCATGGAGGAAACCCCAGAGGGAAGCCTGGAGAAGGGAGTGCGTGAGAAGTTGCTGCATGGTCCGTGGAGTGGCCGCAGGCAGGGGTCAGCGGCAGACACGATTTGCAGATCCGATAGGGTCAGGGAGGAAAGTGAAGGGGTCAGCGGCAGACACGATTTGCAGATCCGATAGGGTCAGGGAGGAGAGTGAAGAATTCCCAGGAGGGCAACTGAAGGACATGAGCTCCAGAAGCAGCTCAGAGAGGACGTTCCCAAGGCCTGGGCCTCAGAAGCTCAAACTCCAGGGTGAAGGAGGGAGGGAGGTGTGGTTGGAACTGCGTCTAAGGCCATCCAAGTGGACGAGAGTGAAGGCTGACAAGCTCACGAAACAGCTCAGTGTGGGGGTGGCCTCGCGCTCCTGTTCCCCGGCAGCGCTGGCATCTACCTGTGTCCCAGCGGCATGCACAGCACCTGTTCACACTCCCAACGTCCGACCTGGATGGTAAATTACGTAATCGGGCTCCTAGCTAACAGCCAAACGCACCATCACTGATGGGGAGGGATAGGCGGGGCCTGGGGAAGGTTGGAGGTCACGCTTGCTGGGGAAGGGTTGGCTAGAAGGCCGCGTGTGCACAGGTGGTCTCTGCCGAGGTGAAAGTGGGAAACTCAACTGCACATCCAAGCTCGCGGTGGAGAGGAGATTTAGAGTTCGAGGAACAGGAAACTCGGCCTCCCTGCGGGGAAAGAAGCCGGTGTTCGGCATGTGGCTCCAGAGTCCAGTGAGACCCTCTCGCCCAGTCACCTCCAGGAGGAGTAAACTGGTGGCGACCAAGCCAAGCAGAGGGAGCGACGCTGTGCAGAAAAGGAACCTGGCATAGCAGGTCACCATGGCTCAGCGCAGTCCCGGAGCTTCCAAGCGCAGCCATGAGCCTCGCGCCAGGTGCAGCAGAGGCAGGTCCATGTCCTGTGCAGCTGCTGGTGTCTGCACCATGTGTTTACATATCAGCCGGGGAAAGGGATTCCACCTTCAAGGGGAGTGGGGAGGGGGGACATTCTGACGAACTCCTTACTTGCATCACTTCATTTACCCACCTGATGACTCCAGGAGGGCCTTGTTATTATGACCATTACACAGGCAAGAAAACGGAGGGTGCTAACACCGGAGCTGTTCGCTGCCTTGCTCCATGTGGTGTGGCTCCAGGGAGGGTCAGCGAGGATCTGTCCATGCCCCCGGGCTCACTGCTTTGTCCTTTGTCCGATGTGTGTGGACCACGCGCAGGGTGGAGGTGGGCCTGAGGGCACCAGGCACCGAGTGGCACTAGGAGGAGGCCTCCAAGAGCCTTGTCCTCCCACACACAACCATCACAGCCTTCGCCAAGACGCCAGCATTCACCATTCCTCCCGCAAGGCCTGCGGTCAGACGGGGCCATGTCTGGTGCCGGCTTCTCTGATGCCAAGGTTGTTGCATTTGCATCTCTGTGATGATGGCCTTTGTCCTGATTCCTGGAGCCCTGGGCACCATCCTCCATGACAGGACCCAGTTATGACACTCTGGGGGTTTTCCCCAGCTGGCTCTTCAAGGACTCCTGGTTTGAGGTTGCAGCATCTGTGGGGCCTGAATAAAATGGAGCTGGACTCGTGGTGTTTATGGAGATGCTCTCGCAGTGCCTCCTGGCAGCCGTGTCAGAGGACATCCAAGTGCTGCTTGTTTTAACAGTGAGTTTGAAGAAGGGTGGGCACAGGGGGATTAAACCAGTGAGGTCCTCACAGGGTGGGCATGCTCAGGACCCACCAGCTCTCACTCCCCCATTCAGGGACCTTTCCCATGCGTCACTGAAATAGACGGTGGGTGCTCTTGGCTTGTGGACGTTGTAATAAAGATCAAGTCCTTCCTGGGAACACGCAGGACGACTGAGTGAAGACAGGCTGAGGCACCGAATCTGACTGCCTGGAAAAATGGCCAGCCATCCTTTAAACGGTACCAGAAACACAGAATCTGAGTAATGATCATTGTAAAAGACACATTTTCCATCGGGAAGGTCCTTTCTGCTGTTAACCATTTTTGAACTCTTTGATAATGAAAATGAAAAGTTGGGAGAAAGAATCTTTAGGAAAGGCAAGTGCCTTCCCCTTGATCTGATAAGCCCATGGAAACTCCTCTGGAAGAGGAGTCCCGGTTGGCACACCTGGCAGGAAGACCTCGAGGGCCGGGCTGCGTACTGCGTGCTCCTCCACTGCTCATTAATCACAGCCTGTTACTGTAATTTTAATGAATGTTTATCTTATTTTCTTTGTGTAATCCAATTACTTTTGTTTTCTTAGCCAGCGTCAGGGATCTCTCTGTTGCCAGCATTCTGCCAGTCAGTCCACTTTAGATAGGAACAATTCAATTCATTATCATTAAGCGTCTACTTTTAATACCACTTTGGGGGGAAATCGGTGAAAGAAACTCCATGTGGCACAGCCCTTGCCTGGCATGGGGGAGGCGGTCTGTTCTGGGCACCTGAGCGCCCCAAGCCATGGTCCTTTGGGTCCCTGATGCCACTCTGAGCTCACAGCTCATTATCAACCTGGCATCTGGCAGCCCCGTTCATGGGGAAGAAATTCAAAGTTAAATGTGAAGGTTGTGAGAATGGTCGCTAGTGGAGGGATCCACGCGAATCGACAACTGATGCTGTCATTGGCCAGGGTGCCTGAGGCGGGAGGAATGCCCTGTGTCTGTGTGTGCATGCGTGCCCGTGCATGTGTTTGCATGTGTGTTCTGTGCATGCATGCCTGTGCATGTGTTTGCATGTGTGTTCTGTGCATGCCTACCCGTGCATGTGTTTGCATGTGTGTTCTGTGCATGCACACCCATGCATGTGTTTGCATGTGTGTTCTGTGCATGCACGCCCATGCATGTGTGTGCATGCATGTCCAGCATGTGCGTGCTCGTGTGTGCATGCCTATTCATGTTTGTGTGTTCTGTGCATGCACACCCATACATGTGTGTATGTGTTCTGTGCATGCACACCTATTCATGTGTGTGTTCCGTGCATGCATCTCCAGCATGTGCATGCTTGTGTGTGTACATGTATGCCTATTCATGTTTGTGTATTCTGTGCATGCACACCCATGGATGTATATGCATGTGTGTTCTTTGCATGCACACCTATGCATGTGTGTGCGTTCTGTGCATGCACGCCTATTCATGTGTGTGTTCTATGCATGCATGTCCAGCATGTGTGTGTTTGTGTGCATGCATGACTATTCATGTTTCTGTGTTTTGTGCGTGCACACCTATGCATAAGTGTGTGTGTTCTGTGCATGCATACCCATGCATGTATGTGCATGTGTGTTCTGTGCATGTACACATGTGTGTGTAAACAGGAGGCCACCACGTTATTCCAATGGCCCCAGCCCTCTCTTACAACCCGCACTGGTGGGAGCAGCAACCAGGAGATCACAAGCAGGGGCAGAAATGAGCCGAGACTCCTGGTTCCTCAAGTCATCAGAGAAGACAGCAGAGGCTGCAGCAGTCGTTTCCACTTGACGGATGTGTGAGATGTTAGAAACCTGCTGCTTTCTATCTCTCAGGAGCCAGTGTTGGTAGAGTCCAAGACTAGAAATGGTACCCGACATTCTTTACCTGCTTCTCTGGACCAGCCCCTTTAGCGCATGCTGAGGGAAGGAGGTTTCCGCCCACCTTGTTCCTCAGGGGGACTTTCTGACAGTTTCTGTGGAGCCTGCAGAGTTCAGAGTCTCCCTGCTGGCTGGAGGGGTGCCAGGCGCAGTTGTGCGAGCCACTCGGAGGCCGCAGTGCAGCACAGAGGGGCCTCAGACCTACGAAGGAGACAACTGAGCATAACGGGAGGCCTGGATAGAGGGAGCGGAAACGCAGAACAAAGTATCTTCTAAGCACCAGGTGATGTTGTCCAAGCAGCAGAAGTAATTGAGAACCACAATTACCCATTGGGGGTCAGCAAATTGCACAGAAGGTGAAGGTCTACATTTACAAGGTAATGGCTTACCCTAGAAAAATCATTAGAGAACTGCATGGTTGAATTGTAGTGGGTGCGTGGATTAGGAGGAAAACAATTGGAAACAGAGAGCTTATCTAGAAATGTCTAGCTGGAGACTAGCTCGGCATCCAATGTTCATAGGGAAAATGAGCAAAGATTAAGGGTTTTGATAGGTAATAAATGCTAAATTATGGAATATTCCTGAACAGTTAGCCAGTCAAAAAGAATACAGCTCTCTTTCAATATTGACACATCCAGAGGCTTCGTTGAAAATGTGCATGCTTGACTGACCCCAGCAGCGAGGACTGAAATCTGAAAAGCATTCTCACTCTGACGGACAGCATCATGACTATCCAACACACAGTCTAACAGACTTCTAATCTTGCGGCACTTACCTCCAGCTTAAGTCGGGTTTTTTTGTTGTTGTTTGTTTGTTTGTTTGTTTGTTTTTGAGAAGCAGTCTCGCTCTTGGTCCCCAGGCTGGAGTGCGATGGCACCATCTCAGCTCACTGCAACTTCTGCCTCCCGGGGTCAAGCGATTCTCCTGCCTCAGCCCCCTGAGTAGCTGGGATTACAGGCACCTGCCACCATGCCCAGCTAATTTTTGTATATTTAGTAGAGACGGGGTTTTACGATGTTGGCCAGGCTGGTATAGAACTCCTGACCTCAGCTGATCCGCCTGCCTCAGCCTCCCAAAGTTCTGGGATTACAGGCATGAGCCACCGCACCAGGCCTGTTTTCACACATTTTTGGAGCAAAGATAGTTCACAGAGAGCATCTGCTGCTATGACTGGATTCTGCAACATAGTCAAAAGTGTGCGTTGTACTTTTCTATTTGCTACTTATTAAAGCACAAGAATCAGCGGCAATTTTCTCAAATGTCTCTGAACTACGTGAAAATAATGACAGGAAATGATACACTCAAAAGTATTGCTTGAATCCTGGAGCACCAACCAAATGCAAGGAAGCATTATTACAAAAGCGTTTTGTGTATTTAGTTATTTCAATAAAATTGAAACTACTCCCTGACATTGTTTGGAGCAAACACGTGCAAGACATTGTTTGGAGCAAACACGTGCAAGGACACCATTCCATGTAGACAGATGACCTTGGAGGCTTGTTAAAATTCGAATTCTGATTCAGGATGTGGGACTGGGGTGAAGTCTGAGATCCTCACGTCTAACAAGCTCCCAGGCGATGCTGATGCTGTCGGACTGTGTATCGAGTCCAGGTGATGCCAGACTGTGTTGTGAGCCACAAACATTTCCAGAACAGACCCTGAAGCTGCCTCTGCTCCCCCAGCCTTGTGGGAGGGGTCGGGATCACTGCCTATTGCACAGAGCTGACAGGAGGATTCGACCCACTGAAACATGCAATGTCTTTGTTCTGTCTGACCCAGAACCAGCAAAAAAAATCAGCTATTGTTAACACTGTTGAGTGTTCTTTATTTAATCATTGGGTGGTGCTAGATATATACTGATATCCTGATCTTGGGAAAAATATTGCTTATCTCACAGTTAAAAATTGCTGTTTTGTTGTGAATATGTATAAATAAAATCATAATTTTCAGTGACTCAAAACCTATTATTTGATATTAAAAGTTTGATAGGCAACTACTGCATTTTATTTATACTGTATTTGAAGCATTCTAGATACTTAGACAATTTTTTTCATAAAAGCAGTTTTCTAATGTCTTTATCTGTAAAAAGTAACCTCAATCAAAGCATGAAATAAACCATCATTATGTTGGTTTCTCTAGCCACAAATGTATACAGGAGGCTGATTAAATATCACCACATTAAATGTACAATTTATCTCTATTCTATGATTGCTACTTTTATTTTAAATGGAAAAGTTTCAACTTGAAGTACTTTGGCTTTTAAACTACTTCTATATATGTTTTATAGTCATGCATAACTAGGGACACAAGGTGGGGTGTTAAGAGTCAGGGTTGTGAAACTGAAACCATGTGAATTTGACTCGAGTCATTTGACTATGAATATTAAACCTGTTCCTTAACCCTTGCTGCCCAGGAGCACAGCTAGAAAGCCTCTAAAACTGCCCACGGTAGTCTTCACTGAAGAATTCCAATTTCATCTGTTTGGAGTGTAGCCCTGCATTGGTAATTTTCGGAGTTCCTAATGGAACCCAGAGTTTAGAACCACGGCCACAGCAGAATTCTCTGATGTGCTTTTGTGTTTTTCTCCATATCGTGTACATCAGGAAGCTACCAGAGAATCCAGTTCTCTTGATTGTCCAGTGACCATCATTAAAATCCAAGGTGAACTGGAGCAAACACATTTTAGCCACTCTGTTCCCAAATTCTATAGATGCAGAGTGTGCATTAAATCTGTCTACTGTTTATATGCATTTGGTTTAATTGCCAGAATATTTTTTTGCTGCAATCTTTAAAGGGCTTAGAGAATAAGGAGAAAAATACCCAATAGTCAATAAAGTTTCTCCTCGTCTAGGATTTGTTCTCTTGCCTGTGTCCACAGCTTTGGGAACTTTACTGCACCCAGGATTTGTGCCCTGGAATGAGCATTTGTTTAAAGATGAAAGTTGTACAGAGGCCCTCCAGCTGTGGAAGAAACCCCGGCCCAGGCAGCTTACTCTCCACATGAAGATGAACTGAATGTGAGGACCAAGAATTGGCAAGTGGAGTGTCCTAGCTCTACAGACAGAAGTGAATCCCTACAGCAAGAAATACAGCATGTAGCTGACTAAATAACAACAATGACACAAACAGAAAACAACAACAACAAAAAGGAAAACACACGACTCTTCTCACTTGCCATGACTCTTTGTTCTTTGCAAAGGAACATTGATCTGGGTATCAAAATCCATCACACATCCTTTCTTTGCTTTGTAAGCTGAAATGATCTAGGAAGTGATGTTTATTATCTTCTCTGTTGATGGCATACTACTTTGTGAGAGCTCTTACATTGATTATAGTATTCTTGCTTAAGTATTTTCTTAATACACTTCTCTTGCATTTAACTTTGTATTTCCTACATTTTTGTGTAAGTTATATTGCAGAGTGCCAGTCATATATGCATTTTATCCTTCTAAAGTAACTAAAACAATAATTTGCTTAAGAAAAATATCAAGAAGAATTGCTTTTAATAAAATGTATTTTAAGACATAGAGAATAAATTAAAAACCATTCATATGTTTTAAAGTAAAAATGAAAGTTCTCATCATTGAAATTAACTAAGGAGTGACATAAAGATGGCAGAATAGGAGGTCCTCAGTCTCAGTCCCCCTCGCAAAAAGTCTAACTAATGACTATCCACAGATAAGAACACACATCAGATTTTTGTGAACAATCCCAAAACTCAAGAGTGAAGTTGCCATATCCTCTTTGACCACAGAGCTGTGAAAAGCAGCATTAGAGGAGCAGGAGGAACAGTTTCAGTTTGACAGCAGCACCCCACCCCCTGCCCAATGGAGAGGATTCCCCTGGGCCTGTGGTTTCTAGAAAGGGTAAAAGAGAGTCCCAGGTGGGTGCTCAGCTTCCCCAGCTTTCTGGGATTCTTCCCAGGAGGCCTACTTCTGTCTCACCTCACAGGGAACACTGAAGTTACCTGCAGGACTAGACCACTGAGGGCTGGCTAGAAACAATGTGGAAGGTGGGTGCACAGAAACAAGGGCATGCACCTTCACAGTAGCTCTGTGTTCCTCCCAGACGTAGCACCCGACCACAGATGCCAGCCGACAGCACAACCCACACACAAGGCTAAGCTAGTTGCTTCCAGAAGCATAGCTGAAGGTTCCACCTGGCTTGAATTCCCAGCCAGCCACCCTGCTCAGCCTCAGAGCCCACCCCAACCTCTGACCTGGCAGGAAGGCTAGCTGAAACCATGGCCTTCTGCAGAACATAATCTCTGACACCCGATCCTGAGTAGCCAAATAGTGACCCCAACCAATCTCAGAGCTTAGTATTTAGTCCTGCCAAACGGCAGAATTCAAAGAGTGGTGCCACCTGGCCAAGGAATACAGCCTTTGACCCTGCCCACTTAGAGCAGTAGTGGCACTCAGCCAGGAGCTCTACCTGATAGCAGACCCAGTCAGTGGTCTCACAGGACAGCAGAGCCCAGTCAGCAACCCCACATGACCTAAGAGTGCAGGCAGTCCAGCGACAGAGTCTGATGGCAAGCTCTTACTGCCCATTGTTGGTACCAGCTGGCCCATCCAGAACCACAGTCTAGACTAAGAGTAAAGGTCTACTTCTACCACAAAACAACTATAAATGCCAGAAGAGATGGCTTCTTCCTCAAATCCACAGACACCAATGCAAGTACACAACGATTAGGAAGAATCAGGGAGTTTTTGACACCACCAAAGGAAACTAATAAGGATGCAATAACAAACACTAAATAAATGGAGATCTATGAACTGACTGACAAAAAATTCAAAATACACCTCTTAAAGAAGTTAAGTGACCTACAAGAAAATACAGATAGAAAACTAAGTAAAATTTGAAAATTAATAAAAGAACAAAATGAAAAGTTTGACAAAGAAATGTAAATAACCACCCAAAAAGGGAACAAATAGAAATCCTAGAGATGAAGCATAAATGATTGAACAGAAAAATTCAGTAAATTTTTGTACATAATCAAGCAGAAGAATCAGTGAGCCCAAAGACAAGACTTTTAAATTATCCAGTCAGAGGAGGAAAAACAGAAAAACAAAAAAGGATGAAGAAAGCCTATGGGAACTATGGGACATCATCAAGAGAACCAATGTTCATATAACAGGCATTCCAGAAGGAGAAGCGTGCACATGAAACGTTCTCCCTGACAGATCATACTTAAGTCACAAAATCATTAACAAATTTAAGAAGATGGAAATCCTATCGAGTTTCTTTTCTGACCACAATAATATGTAACTAAACATCAATAACAGGAAGAATCTTGGAAAATTCACAAATGTTTGAAAGTTAAATGACATGTTTCTGAACAACCAATGGGTCAAAGAAGAAATCAAGAAAAATAAAAATGTCTTGAATAAAAACACAACATACTAAAACTTATGGAATGCAGAAATATAGTTCTAAGGGGAGGGTTTATAGCAGTAAGCATCTATATCAAAAAAGAGAAAGATATTAAATAAATAACTTAGCATTAGACTTTAAGGAAGTAGAAAAAGGAAAGCAAAGCCCAAATTTAATAGAAGGAAAGAAATAATAAAGATCAGAGCAGAAACAAATGAAAAAGAGAATAGAAAATCAAGAAAACTAAAAGTTGATTTCTTGAGAAGATAAACAAAATTGACAAACCCTTAGCTAGACAAACTAAGAAAAAAAAGAGGGGAGACTCAAATAAATATAACCAGAAATGAAAGGGAAACATTGCAACTGATGCTACAGAAATACAAAGGGTCATAAGAAACCACTATAAAGAATTATATGCCAAAAAAATGGTTGATCTAGAAGAAACAGATATATTCCTAAAACCTACAAACTATGATGACTAAATCATGAAGAAAGAAACAATATGAGTAGACCAATAATGATTAAGGAGATTGGATCAGTAATAAAAAGTCTCTCATCAAAGAAATTCTCAGAACCTAGTGCTTCACTGGTGAATTTTACCAACCACATGAAGAAGAACGAATATCGGTCCTTCTCAAACACTTCCAAAACATTGAAGTGGAGAAAATACTTCTAAACTCATTTTAGAAGGCCCATACTACCCTGATACCAAAGCCAAAAAAGGACATTACAAGAAAAGAAAATTACAGACCAATGCCCCCAATTAATGTAGATACAAAAATCCTCAATAAAATACTAGCAAACTGAATTCAACAGCACATTAAAAAGATAATTTATCACAATCAAACATGATTCACTCCTGGGATACAAGGAAGTTTCAACATATGCAAATCAATAAATGTGATACACCATATTAACATGATGAAGGACAAAACCATATGATTATTTCAATAGATGCAGAAAAAGCATTTGACAAAATTCAACATTTTGTATGATTAAAAACTCTCAACAAATTGGGAATAGAAGAAATGTACCTCATCACAGTAAGGCCCATATATGGCAAGACCTCAGCTAACATCATATTCAATGGTGAAAAGTTGAAAGCTTTTCTTCCAAGGTCAGGAACCAAACAAGAATGCCCACTCTCCCACTTCTTTTAAACTTAGTGCTGGAAGTGCTAGCTGGAGCAACTAGGCAAGAAAAAGAAATAAAAGGCATCCAAATATAAAAGGAAGAAGTGAAATTGTCTGTTTGCTGATGACATGATCTTATATATGGAAAACCTTAAAGAATCCACCAAAAAAGTTGTTGGAACTGATAAACAAATTCAGTAAAGTTGCAGGATACAAAATTACATACAAAAAATCAGTAGCATGTCTGTACACTAACAGCAAACTACCCAAAAAGCAAATTAAGAAACAATCCAATTTACAACAGCATTAAAAAATACTTAGGAATAAATTTAACCAAGGAAATGAAAGATCTGTATACATAAAAGTATAAAACATTGATGAAAGAAATAGAAGAAAACACAAAAAAATGGAAAGCTGTTCTGAGTTCATGAATTAGAAGGATTAATATTGTTAAAATGTCCATGTTACTCAAAGACATCTATAGATTTAATGAAATTCTTATCAAAATTCAAAATCCAATTACATTTTTCACAGAAATTGACATCAAAAAATATCACAAGGATTTAGTAATCAAAATAGCATGGTATTGGCATAAAACCATAGCAACCAATGAAACAGAATAGAGAAGCCAGAAACAAATCCACAAATTTTGAATCAATTTATTTTCAATAAAGTTACCAAGAACACACAATGGAAACAGCCTCTTCAATAAATGGTGCTGGGAAAACTGGATATCTACATGTAGAAGAGTAATATTGGATCCATGTATCACGCTATATATAAAAATCAACTCAAAGTGGATTAGAAATTTACACATAAGATCTAAAACTATAAGACTACTAGAAAAAAAACATAGGCGAAAAGCTTCAAGACACTGAACTGGCAATTATTTTTTGGATACAATTCCAAAAGTGCAGTTAACAAAAGCAAAAACAGACAAACAAGATTGCACCAAATTCAACAGCTTCTCCACAGCCTAGGAAAGAATCAGTAGAGTGAAGAAACAACCCATGGACTGGGAGAAAATATTTTCAAACCATACATATGATAAGGGTTTACTATCCAAACTATACAAAGAACTCAAACCACTCAAAAGCAGGAAAATAAATAACCTGATCAAAAAATAAAAGATTAGACATTTCTCACAAGAATATATACAGCCAACAGTTTTATGAAAAAAAGTGCCAAAACACTCGCACAAAAGGATACATGCTGCACGGGCTCACTCAATGTGGAAAAAAAAATGTATAACTCTATAAAAGTCAGACTTATGTAAGTAGAGAGTAGAATGGTGGCTACCAAAGTTTGTCAGAGCAGGAAAGGTGTTGGCCAGAGGGTAAAAAATTTCAACTGGACAGGTGGGATAAGTTTTAGTGATCTGTTGCATAGCCTGATTACCGTAGTTAATAATAATATGTATTTCAAAATTGCTAGCAGAGTAGATTTAAAATGTTCTCACTACAAAAAAATATAAGCATGTGAGGTGATGGATATGTTAACTACCTTGATATTGCCATTCTACAATATATGTATATCAAAACATCACAGTGTACCCCATAAATATATTCAACTCTTACTTGTCAATTACAAATAAAAAAAATCTAAAAAGGAAATTAACCAAAAAGTATAGAAAATAATGTATTCAATGGGTTAATTTTTATACCAGCAATGTGCTTGATTCTGAGACTGCAAAGGTGGACCTCTCAGAGAGCCCCTGACCTAATGAAGGTTATGGCACCAGGGAAAGGAAGTGGACACCCAGGGGGTTAATAAGAAACAGCAGCTTCGTCATCACCCGATGGCTAGGATAGTAAAAGTGAAGAGGCAAGTAGCTTAGGCCAGGGAGGGCAAGGGTTAGGAGGTGAGCTCAGAGAAGGCTTCCCGGAAGAAGTGGTCTCAGATGAGACCAGAAGAAGTAGCAGAAAGGAGCCAGGTAGGCCACACATGGGCAGGGATGGGTAAGGGCCATGCGCAAAGGAGCATGGGTAAAGTTGGGGTTGTCTAAATGAGCCAGAGTGGCTGGAAGTCGGGGGGAGGTCCCCAGAGGCCCAGTGGTGCAGAGGCTCTCAATTCACATCAGGGATTCTAAACTTTATCCTAAGGACAAAGTCGGGGTGTGACCACGGGAAAGGCCCGATCGGATCAGGCATTTAAAAAACCGCCCTGACTTCTGTGTGGAAAGTCTCATAGCCGTCTGGGTGGCATGCTAGGTTTGTGTGCGTGAGGGTGAGGTCTGAGGAGAAGAGGCTGAATCAGCGGCATTTAGGACCTAGAAAAGGGCAGAGTGGGAGCAGAGTGGGCATGACTCCTGGGGCTCTGTCCTGGGTAACATACTTCTCCAATTCCCCAATATGACTACACAGGGTCAGGTTTGGGGACTTGGTGGAAAGGAGATGAGGACAGTTTCAGATGTGAGTGTTGGAGGTGTCCACGGAACACCAAATAGAGACAGCCAGCAGGCTTTGTCCAGATGACTTCGGAGCTCAGCAGAGAAGGCTGAGCACAAGCTAGAGACTTGTGAGGGATTGGTCAGCAAAGATGTGAGGATCTCAGTTAGAGAAGTTGACTTCACCAGTCAGGTGAATATGAATATGAATAGGAAAGAGGCCCCAGGAAATGTTTTAATGTTGCTGCTATTTAAGGGCAAGACAGAGAAGGAAAACAACTTGGAAAGGAGCTGAGAAGCAGCAGCAGGGGAGGTAGAGAGAAAACCACAAATGCCTGCAAACACGAAGGAAAATGTTATTCTGACCCCAAGTCTCCAGAACAGAGGGCCCTATAGAGTTTCCAGGGGCTGTTCTTCTGTGTAAGATTGGACAAGATGATCATAGAGTTTTAAACCAATGCAGGAGCCCCTGTTCAATGTTGAAGTCCCACTTCTTCCCTGGGATGTGATGGGTCTGCCCCTGAAGGGACAGGAAGAACCAGAAGTGTCCCTTGCCTGCCTGGATGGGCACATACGCACCAAGGCACATTGGATGTTTCTGTCCAACCCCCATGATATTTAGTTTTTAGGAAGGCTAGAGAAAACAACAAACAAAAACTAATAAAGAGAAAGAAAGGGAGAGAGAAAGGGAGAAGGAAGAGAAAGTTAACACATCACTCAGTTTCTCAGAGCACTATTGGCATCTTATTTCAATAGCTCCTTCCTACTGGTGTTTATTTTGCAGAAAAGGACATCACAGAATAACGTCCAGATGCACACGCATCACTTGGCTGCCTCCGGGTTCCAATGTTTGAAGTTAACTACTGGACTCCTTGGGATTTGCTGCTGGGCTCCGTGTTCTGTGCTTTCATGAACAGCATCAACATTTACTCACTGCTGCTCATTTAAATGGCACCCTGCTCATTGTCATTCCCTAGGGATGATCCATTTCCCCAGCAGCGAGGTGTCCCTTTGAGCTGAGGAACCAACCTCCACCTCCCGAGGAGCACCCATGTCTCCATTGTCATCTCAAGGTGCATCTCTCTTACCTTGGAATCGTCTTCCCCCATCAGCCGTTAGCAGTCAGAAACCATCAAGTCATCCCTGAGCAAATATTAAAACATCAAACCCACCATACCACTCAGCATGCACACTGAAAACATCAACCTTAATTATGTTTTATGTTTGCGCACATCTTACACATTTGTTTTATGTTTTCATGTGTATATTTGCTTCAATGTTATCTCTTTTAAATTGTTAACTAGAGAGCGGAGAAGTATATTTTTAATGATGTTTGCACAAGGCTTAGCATTAAATCTCAACTAGAAGAACAAGGTCAAATCAAGTAATTCATGGGTGTTCAAACATGTACATTTTTCCAAATCAACAATTTAAAATGTGTATTATGGTGTATCTCTTGTCCATGTAGGTATCAGAAGCTAACATTTATTCAGTGCTTACTACACGTGTGTGCCTTTTCAATGCATTTATGTCTCCCAGTATAATAAAGGCAGGCATTATTATTACCTGCACCTGACAGGTAAGGTTCTTAAAGCACAAAGTGTATCACTAATTTGCCCACATTCACACTTCAGGTAAGCTGTGGAGTCAAGATTCAAACTTTCTCAGGTGGGACTCTAGTGTATGCTGCTCCCTAAACTCACTCAGGCTCCTCCATAATGGCATCTCTATGGTTTTCTAGGCTGCATAACAAGTTGTCACAAACTTAGTGGCTTAAAACAATATCCATTTATTATTTCAGGATTTCTGTGGGTCACAGGAATGAACACAGCTTAGCTTCATTCCCTAACTTAGGGTCTTACCAGACTACAATCCATACGTCAGCCAGGGCTGCAGTGTCATCAGAGGCTCAACTGGAGAAGGATCTGCTTTCCAGCTGTTATTACTGGCAGATGTGTCCCTCTGCGGTTGTAGTACCAAGGTCTCTGTTTTCTTGCTAGCTGTCATCCAGGGACCACCCTCAGCTCCAAAAGGCCACCCTAAGTCACTACTGCATGACATTTTCACAGCATGGCAGCTGCTTCTTCAAAGCCACAAAAGGACCCTCTCACTTGAGTCTGCTGAGTGGCCTCACATGATTACATTATTACCTAATCATGAGAGTGGCAGCCCATCATCTTTGCCACACTTGGTTGGTTAGAAACAAGTCCCAGGCCCCATCCACACTCAAGATTAGGGGTTACACAACAGCATGACTCATGGGTCACCCTAGTGTGTGTTTGCCTCAATGCTAGTAAGAAAACAATATTGATGCTGGAACCTCACAGTGTTAACTGCACTTGGTTGAATTTAATCTCCATTAAATCTCAACTTTTCTATCTGAGAATCAAGGAATACAACACTGGAAAGAGACTTGCCTGGTAGGAGATCTGAGCTCTCTCCAGGCTCTGCCACTGACACCCTTAGTGAGCACAAAGAGACCAGCACTGGATGGCCATACTGAGAATGTAATTTATTGTATAAGCCAGAATACTTGGAGAGTGAAAGAGAACAATGTTTTTTTAATTTTTTGTGGAGATAGGGTCTTGCTATGTTACCAGGCTGGTCTTGGGCTCCTGGCCTAAAGCAGCCCTCCCACCTCAGCCTCAGCCTCCCAAAGTGCTGGGATTACAGGCAAGCCACCACACCCAGCCAGCTGAGAACAATTATAATAATAATCCCACAATAAGTAAAACCAGAATCCCCCTGAGCAGATGAGGATCTCCAGCCTTGCTGGTGATACTCATCCCTTGGCACAGCCCTGGGAAGTGCAGAAGCCACAGGGAAGATGGATAATGTGGCAGGGGACTCTGCATGCACGTGATGACTGGACACAGGTGCAAACTCCACTGCCCATCCTCACCTCCATGCAGTCATGGATAAGCAGCTGTCTCCCAAGTGCAAGTGAGGACAATTGAATATCTTGTATTAAATCTTTGATGATGTACATAAAATTCTTAGCAAAAAGTTTAGAATATGAAAGTCCCTGATGAATGGCAGCCATTGTTATCACCATTACGAAATTAGATTCAATTTTTGGATTGCATTTTGTTGTTATCATTGTGTAACTTGTTGAAAATCAAGCACAAATGAGAAGCCCATCACTTTTGCTGGAGGTAGAAATCTTTCCTTGAAAATGGGAGCAGGATCTGCAGAAAGAGCCACAGACAAGGAGAAGTGTCTGGTTGGAAATTGAGTGGTGGTGCCTTCTCTTTGAGGGAGCCAGGAGGCTGGGACAGAGAGGGAGGAAGGGAGAGATAGGGTTTGGTGGTCCACAGAGAAGAACAGAGTGAAGTTGCATGAAATGGCCCACAAGCAGACAAGCAGAAAACATGCATAAATGGTTATAGAGATGTGGCCTCTGCAATCCTTTTGATTTGTTTTCACTGCATTTTCAGTGACATTTTGGCCTCCACGCTCCAATGTGGGCTCAAGCCACCAGCTGATGCATGGTCCTGGGTGAGTGTGGGATGGATTGAGTGTGGCCAGCCTGTGAAGGGCTCGGATGAAGTCCCAGTGCCTGCAGTACAGTCTGGGTGGCAATCAAGGGTCATGGCTGGGTTCAAATGTGAAGGAAAAGGAGACAGATGTGTTCACAAAGGGAACTCCTGTGGGGGTAACAGATGCACGGGGCTGAGCAGAAAGTGCAGGTGAGGAGGTAAGGAAGGAGGCATGGGCCAGGCTCTGGAGAGCAGATGCCAGGCTCATGAGGGTGGTGGGCTGGGAGGGAGAGGAGGAGGGAGGAGCCCCATGGCTGGGCAATGGCTTTGCAGGAAACTCACTAGAAACACAACTTATCAAGGCTCCCTCCACAGTCTAAGCAGATTCATTCTCTTATTTAAAAACATCCTGCATCTCTGTCACTGAATCCTGCTTTAATTGTGCACACCAGATGACATTTTCGGATAATTGGCCAAGCACATTGTCATCATTTTCCACATATCCGCAGGAGTGGATTTCATGCCACTCACATATTTCTAATATTTTGCACTTACCTTGAAGCTAATTCCTATCTGTTTTTAATATCGTGGCTTTTTGATGATCATAGCTCTGTTCACAAGTGCCTTGAAGGGGCGTTAAACAAAAATGCAAGGCATGCTGGGATCCTGTGCAGTTCCATGTTGCCCCATCGTGTTCTCTTTCTGACATTAGCATAAAAGAAAATTGCTGGTCATTACAGCATCCTTAACACTCTTACAGTCCCTCAGTACACTGTATAAAAATCTGTAATTATTGCAATAAAGTAGAGGCTCATATTATCCGTGGTGCATCTTGGTTCCTCTTCTGCAAGTCCCTCCCTGGGGCCTGTAATTGCTTTAGCCAACCATTTACCCAAAGCAAGAGACTAATAGAGAGTATATTATTGTTTAAATAATGCATTTGCTTTGAATATACAATTATGGAGAGGGGATGGGGAATCATGAGAGGAATATAATTTAGTGCAAATCTTCAGCAAGCAATCTGGGGTTCTTCAGTGTTCTCCTTTCAAAGGCTCTGAAAGGAATATGTTCATTTTCTTAGCCTGCATCTTAAATAAGGCTTGTCTATGCATGAATGGGGACGAGAATGTGTGGACTTTACTCATTTCTCTTATCCCAGTGATTCATAGCAAGCCCCATACTTTCATTGATTAATCAGTGACCTGCATCAATGGGTAATAAATTGAACTAAGTGATAATTTAGTTGTCATTGCCACAGAAGAGAGACGGCTGCCCTTGTTGAGCCAGCCAGATTTGAAGCACATTAAGCAGATATTTATTGAGGGTCTGTTATGGGCCAGAGACTGTGGGATTGTAAAGATAAATACACTGAAAACATTAACCTTGAGTATCTATAATCTAGGCTGGGTGGAAAGATAAAACACCCCATGGAATAGCATAGTACGCAGCTTGGAAGCTGCTAAGAGTCAAATATAAAGAGAGGCAGCCCCAAATGAGCAAGTCATTTCTGTCTCCCTGCAGAGTGGCTACCGAGCTCAGCCTTGATAGACAGGTGGTGCATCAGCAAACCAGAGTCAATGAAGCACTTGGAGGATCCCGTCCCAAACGGGGAAAACTCAAGACAAGAGACAGGTGCAAGCAATGGTTAGGCAACTCCAAGGAGCTCAGAAACTTCAGAGACAGCAGTGTTGGGCAAACCACAGACCCTGAACTCACATCTCCTCTGGACCAGGGGGCTCTGTAGGGTATGGAGCCTGCTCATGAAGGTGGCTGGTGTGGGAAACCCAGGAAGTGAGTTGAGTTTTTCCCAAGAGTGGTTATAGTCCATCCATAATCAGATTTTTCAGGCCCGTGAAGGCTTCCTAATCAATGAACTGGCATTTTCAGAAACTCTGGGATTGTACAGACTCTAAGGCACCTCTGGTCTAAGGAATAATAAGCATGGTAGGCGATCAGGAGTACCCCCGCGACCCTGGGGCTTAGCAGGCAGAGCCAAGGAGGGAGACTTGGAAGGTCTGAGCACCCAGGGAGGCCAGAGCCAGGCCAGGCTGCAGAGAAGGCCAGCCAGGTGTGGGAGGGTGGACCATGTGCACCAAGAGAGCACAGCCCAGTCACGACCTGTGGACGGGAAATCAAGGAGGCCGGGAGGCCATGCACATTGTTAGCCCCACACCAAGGGGCTGGAGTCCCACATGCAGGGGAAGGTGCACTGCGGGTCTGGGGATGTGCAGGCTGAGCCTCCTCCTTACGCTGCTCCCAGAGCATGGTGGGATCTGAGTTGCAGAAAGAGAACAGACACCACTCAGAGCACCACAGTGCAGAGGGCGGGGATTTCCATTTAGTCCAACTGAGGTTTGCAGGAAGTGCATCCTGGTCAGTCCCTGGGCACCGCCTGATGCAATGACGTAAAGATGAGGAAGACATGACCTGGTCCTGGGGCTTTCTGCAGAGACTCTTAGAGGGAAAAAGGCCTGGGAGAGAAGGTTCTCAGCTGGGGTGGAGCAGAAAGCATGCCTGCACACACGAGGGCAGATTTGTAGATCCAGGGACTCCCCAGCTGCATGGAAATTGGGCATCCCTGGTCACCCTGTCGTCTAAAGCCCAGTGAGTGGGCTGCCAGGTCAGCTTCCAGCCATAGATGTGGTACTGATGACAGCCATCACCTTGGGCCACTGCATAAGGCGAACATGGAGGATCCCAGCTAGGGAATTCCTGCTCCAACCTCTTCCACCATGCAGGGTGGCTCAAAGAACACGCGGGACTCAGACTTGTCAAGGCTAAGAAAGCCTCTCCCTCTCTATCAGCTTATTTTGGAGGATTTTTTTTCAAGAGGCCAAGTGCTTGAGGAACAGGGAGTGTCGCCAGGTGACTCAAGTATCAGGCTGCTTAATGGCAAAGACGAGATTCCACTGCTCAGTCTGGAACTCAGGGGCAAAGGATCTGCTGCTCTTTTTCTCTCCATGATGCTTTAAAAGTGTATGCTAATTCTAATCCCCAAACTGCCCTGCTGGCTCTCAAAATTATAGAAAAGAAAATAATTAGCAGCTGTACCAGCAGTGGGGGGCAAACCACCCACCACTGTGATTCTGGTGTAGATTTCTGGCCAGTGTTCTTAAAAGCTAAATTAACTCCAAAGTAAATTGGAGCATTGAAATATATATTCTTAACTTCTCAGGAGTTGTTGTCACAACCTTGTGTTAGAGGCAAGATTACTATCCTTGCCTAGCACTTGGCCTTGTGCACAAAAACCGTCTGACAGATGTTTGAGGAATTCACTCAACTACACATTGTTTTCATGTGTAAGGATCAGGTTGCAGAGAGAGCTAGCAAGGACCGTTCATGCCAGAGGGGCTTAGGATGCAATGCTTTCATCACATTGTCTTCCAGTTTATATAAAAAATCAGAATGTGAAAGATGATACAAAAACCTATCAATGGTTTCCTAAATTAAATACCAAGTACTACACTTCCAATGATATAGGACATAGATAGATAGGAGGGGTTGTG
This sequence comes from Homo sapiens, assembly GCF_000001405.40. Taxonomy (NCBI): domain Eukaryota; kingdom Metazoa; phylum Chordata; class Mammalia; order Primates; family Hominidae; genus Homo; species Homo sapiens. Next base: position 2,352,753 of record NC_000005.10, on the reverse strand, counting down.
TGTGTGTGGTCACTGGATGTGGACTCCACAAGGATTAGTCACTTGCCCCAGGGTTGCACAACCCAGTGATGGCAGCTGGATCTAAGTTCAAAGACCACTTTTGATAATAGTCCTCTTCCCAAGTGTTTGCTCAAGGCGCTGATGGTGCAACAGACTAGATCCCCAGAGAGAAACTCACATAAAGCCCATGCAGTGCACACACCCACACTCTTCTGCACAGATGTGAAAGGGCAGGTGAGGATCACACTCCCACTTGTCCTCCCAGGGATGAAGAACAACCAACATGCTGATTGATAAGGAGGAATGTCCCCTTCTATTCAATATTAGCCACAGTAATCATCTGTGTAGGCTTCTTTCAGACAACGTTCCTGAAGGGGTAAAGAAGCGGCGAAAGTGGAGACGTGGAGAGCTGGGTTCTCCCTGAACATGCGCGATCTGCTTGTTTGCTAGGGAGGGCGGCACCTCGGGCAGCCAGTCTCAGCGCCCCTGCCACCCGCCTCATCCTCGTTCTTTGTATTTGACAGACAGAGTTGAATGTGACAGTCCTGTCCTTCATGGTTTTATTTTTATTTTTTTTATTTATTTTATTTATTTATTTATTTATTTATTATTTTATTTTATTCCTTCATGCTTTTATTTTTTAAAGTCTTGTTTTGGAAATCTGTTTATATGATGAAGCCATAAAAATATTTTCCTACAAAAGTTGCAAAGCTACCCCTAACATATTTACTCTTTTAATTTGTGTATCATGCAAGTTAGGGAACCCCAGACTCCTCACTTTTGCCTATGGGTAATTAATTTTCCAGACCAGTCACTAAGTCCTCCACCCTCCGCTGGCCTGGAGTCCCACCTCTGTGAGCTGCAGAGCTCCCAGGCAGGGTGGGTGGGCTTCGGATCTTTCTTCCTGCCTGCTGTCTGTCGCTGTGCCCATCCTATAGTGTGTTTATTGCCATGCCCCTTAGTTGCTACACCTGTCAAACAAAGTGCCACAAGGTGGGTGGCTGAACACAATGGAAGTTGATTCTCTCTCGATTCAGGGGACAGTTCTCAGCACCCTCCAGAATCAAAGGGTTGCAGGAACATCTCTCTCTGGAGGCTCCAGAGAGGAACCCGGCCAGTCTTTCCTGGTTTCCATGGTCGCTGGGCATCCTTGGCTTGTAGACGCATTCCTCTGATGTCTGCCTTCATCTTCACACAGCTTTAGCTTCTCTTTGTTTGCCTCTGTGTTTTTTCTCCTCTTCTTGTAAGATCACAGTTGTACTGGGTTTAGAGCGCACCCTACTCCAATAATAAGTTCATCTTAACTCATTCCATCTACAAAGACCCTGTTTCCAGAAAAAGTTGCATTCACAGGTACTGGAGGTTAGGGTTTGATCATACCTTTTTAGGGACACAATTATTCAACTCACAGCACTGATGCTTTATGATAATGAGTTTTGATAATTAACATGGTGAGCACTCCAGTGTTTTCTTCCTTCAGAAATTTTTGGCTTGTTTTCAAGCTCCTTGAGAAACCCAGTAAGGATTTTTAATTGGAAATGTATTAAATTTACAAACAAATTTAGGAAAAACAAATTTAAGATATTGAGAATTCCAATATACAAATATCTTTCCATTCAATTTAGATCTTTAACAAATTTGTCTATAATAAAATGTTATAATTTTCTCTAAATAAAAGTGATATGGTGTGACTGTGTCCTGACTCAAATCTCATCTTGAATTGTCCCCCCATGTTATGGGAGAGACCTGGTGAGATGTCATTGAATCACGGGGGTGGTTACCTCCCTGCTGCTGCTCTTGAGATAGTGACCCTGCAGACAAAGCACAAAGCAGGGTCCTATTCGAGCAACATGAATTCTGCTAAAATTGAAACAATAACAAGCATCAAATTTATGGTGAAGTTTGGGTGGAAGAATGGTGAAATCATTTGTACTTTAAAAAAGTTTATCAAGACTTTGCCCCAAAGAAATCAGAAGTTTAAAAAGCGATAACTTGTTTTAAGAAAGAGTGAGACTATGTTGAACATGAAGCAGGCCTCAGTAGACAATGCACATCAATTTGCAAGGAAAATATAAATCTTATTTGTGCCCTGATTAAAGATCACCAACAATGAACAGCATAAATAACAGCCAACACCACAGACTTTTCAGTCAGTTCAGTTTACACAATTCTGATTGAAAAATTCAAGTTGAGCAAACTTTTCATTTCAGGGTGGCCAAAACCATTTTACCCAGATCAGCTGCAGACAAGAATAAAATTTTCAGCAGAAAATTTAAACAAGTGTCCTCAAGGTCCTGGGACATTTCTTGGAAGAATTGTGTAAGAGATGGAACATGGCTGTTAACAGTCTATTTTGTTGGATTTTAGAATGGCCATTCCAGCTTATTGACAGTGAATGTTTGAATGTGAATGATATATATACATATATGTATATATTATGTACATAATATATATAATTAGTTTATATATATAAAGACACCCATTTCTGCCTTTTTGTTGTATATAAAGTCTACAACATGATATTTTGATGTACATATACTTAATTAAATGATTACTACAGCAAGAAAATTAACATATTCATTTCCTCACATAGTTACCACTTTGTGTATGTGTGTATGTTAAGGATATCTGAAATCTACTCTCTTTGAAAATACAACACAATATCATTAGCAACAGTCATCATGTCATACATTAGAGCACTAGACTTATTTATCCTATGTAACTAAAACTTTGTATGCTTTAACTTGCATTTGTGTCTTGAATCTAAAATATTCCTCCTGTAAGTAGTACATAATTGGGCATTGTCATCTTGTATTTTATCCAGTACGATGATCTCTGCATTTTGACTTGAATGTTAGTCCATTTACATTTAATGTAATTTTTAGTAGGATTGGACTTATGTCTGCCATTTTCCTATTTGTTTCCTATGTGTTTTGTGTGTATTTTTGCTTCTCTTTTACTTTTTTGTATTAAAGAAATATTTTTATTGTACCATTTTAATTCCATTTACATTTAACTATATACTTTAGAATTGTTTTAACTGAGGTGCCATAAGGATATATATATAAATATAATACATATATATGTATGCATATATATTAACTTATTTCAGTCTATTTTAGGTACACATAGACCTAATTACAATAAAATATGGTAACTTTAATACATCTCCAATTCTACTCTCTCATCTCCCTCACGGATGCATGTTTGTATGGGTATACATCTGCATGTGAAAAAATATTTAAACACATGTATGTAACATATATATTATAAATATTTATAATTAACTCAACAATATAGTGTAATCATCATTGCTTTATACAATTACATGTTTATTAAAGAATTAAGAATAAAGGAATAGCCTGGGCACTGTGGCTCATGCCTGTAATCCCAGCACTTTGTGACACTGAGGCAGGCAGATCTCCTGAGGTCAGGAGTTCGAGACCAGTCTGGTCAACATGGTGAAACCCCATCTCTACTAAAAGTACAAAAATTAGCCGAGTGTGGTGGTGCACACCTGTAATCCCAGCTATTCAGGAGGCTGAGGCAGGAGAATCATTTGAACCTAGGGGGTGGAGGTTGCAGCGAGCTGAGATCACAGGATTGCACTCCAGCCTTGGTGACAAGAGTCAGACTCCATCTCAAAAAATAATAATAATAAAGGAATATATATGTATATGTACACACATATAAGAATATATGCATATACATATCATATTTTATATTGACTAATACGTTTATAATTCCTGATATTTTTCTTTTTTTCTTGTTAACATCTAATATCATCTCCTTTCATCCTGAAAAACTTTCTCTAGTGTTTCTTACAATGCAGGTTTGCTAGCAATAAATTCTCAGTCTATATTTATCTGGGAATGTCTTTGTTGTCATTTTTAAAAGACTGTTTTGTTGGAAATGAAATGTTTGGGTAATAATGTTTGTTTTGTTTCAGCATGATATATTATTCCACTGATTATTGATCTCTAGCATTTATGTGAGAAGGCAACCACTATTATTATTCCTCTATGCATGCGTTGACTTTGTTTTGTTGCTCTCAGGATTTCCTCTTTTTCTTTGTCTTCCAACAGTTTCCCTATGATGTATCCAGGTATGAAACTCTTTGTTTTTATCGTGCCTGGAGTTCCTTGAACTTTTTGGATCTGTAGACTTAATTTTTTAACTGAATTTGGGAGTTTTCAAGACATTAATTTTTTTTTTTTAGATGAAGTCTTGCTGTGTCACCCAGGCTGGAGTGCAGTGGCCTGATTTTGACTCACTGTAAACTCTGCCTCCCATGTGCAAGCGATTCTCATGCCTAAGCCTCCCAAGTAGCTGAGATTACAGGTGCCCACCACCATGCCTGGCTAATTTTTGTATTTTTAGAAGAAACAAGTTTTTGCCATGTTGGTCAGGCTGGTCTTAAACTCCCGACCTCAGGTGATCTGCCCACCTTGGCATCCCAAAGCGCTGGGATTACAGGCATGAACCACCATGCCTGGCCTCAAGCCTTTAATTTTAAATACATTTTCCATTTTCTTTTTTTCTGCTCTCTTTCTGGTATTCCTGTTACATATGTGTTGGGATGCTTCATGCTGTTACAAATTTCTCTTAGTTTGTTCCTGTTTTACTTTCAATATTTTTCTCCCTGTTCTTTATATTAGATAATTTCTGTTGATTTATATTTAGTTTCACTCATTCTTTCTGCCATCTCAAATCTGCATTTGAGCACATCTTGTGAGTTTTTCAGCTTGTTTATAGTACTAGTCAACTACAGAATTTCTGTTTGTTTCTTTTTTGTGGTTTTCATTTATCTATTGAGATTACCTTTTTGGAGTTACTGTCGTCATGTTTTCTTATATCCTTGAACATATTTCTAATAGCTGTGTTGAAGTCTTCGTCAGAAATAAAACATTTGGTCCATTCAGAGCCAGTTGATATTGACCGCTTTTTGTCCTTAGTGTGAGTTTCATCTTCCAGTTTTGTAGGATGTCTTGTAATTTTTTTGTTACATTTGAAGGTTTTAGATACTATATTGTAGCAATTCTGGGCCTCAGAGCTATTCTCTTAAGTTTTTCTTTTTCTTTTTGCAGGTTGACCTTTCAATTTTGCATCTCTAGTATTTCTTTCAGTGTCGCTTGTTTTACAATGACTTGATTTGTGAATGAGGTCTTCACTCTTAAATGAGGCTTTGCTGCATATACAATTCTTGATTGAAGGCAAGTTAGGAAGAATATCTTGTGCCTTTGGTTGTTTTTAAAAACTCGTTATCTGTCTTCAACAGTCTAGTTGTCCTCGAACATGTGTAGAGTTAGAATTCCTATTTATCTAGTTTCCAGTTGCTGTGAACCTGAATCTGAGGACAGATCTTTCACCAACCCTGGAAAATTCTGTCATTGTTTTTTTGTTTTTTTTTTTCAAATACTGTTCTCTTTTATCTGCTGTTTTTTTCTATTCTTGGAACTCTAAATTCATTAGGCCTGCCCTTTTAACTTTCTTATCTTCCTTTATTTGTTCTATTGCTTTCTCTTTTGGCTGCATTCTGGAATTTGCTTAGATCGACTATTTATCTATTCATCTTCCAGCAAAATATTACTATACTAATTCAATATAAAGAAATCTAGAGGGAAGCTGGCCAAGATGGCTGACTTGAAGACACTAGTGTGTGCTGCTGAGATGGAGACAAAGAGAAGGAGCAAATAAATACATCGCCTTCAACTGAAACATCCAGGTGTGTGTATCAGGATGCATCAAGGAAACAACTCCACCCATGGAGAGTGGAGAAAAGTAAGGCAGAATGACTGCCCACCCAGGAGTGACACAGAGCCAGGGGAGTCTCCCCTGCCCAAGGAAGCAATGAGTGAGTGAGCGACCCTGGGGGACCCATGCTTCTCTCACAGATCTTTGCAACCTTTGGGTTAGGAGAGTTCTTTATGAACTCACTCCACCAGGGCTTGCAGTCTGACATGCACAGCTACATGAAATCTTAGTAGGGCATCCACCCAGGCACATGCAGAGCCCAGGAGTTTTAGACACCAGGACTTCCCAGCAAAAGCAGCTGCAATTCCAGCAAAGTGGGAAGTTAGACCCCCATACATACCCTTAAGAAAGGGGCTGAGCAACAATGGTCTGCAGACCCCACTTTCATGGCACCTTGCAGAATAAGACCTACTGGCTTGGAAATCCAACCAGCCACCAGTAGCAGTGTTACACCTCCCTGAGATGGAGTTCCCAGAGGAAGGGCTGGGGCACTACCTACGCTGTTTCAAAGCAATTAGCCATTTCATTGCAGCCACCCTACAAAAAAGCAGCCAGACTGCTGGTTTTATGTGAGCCCTGACCCCATTTTTCCTCACTGGACAGGACCTCCCAATCAGGATCACCAGCTACCCTTGCCAGTGTTTTCCAGCTGGCAGTGGTTCTGAGCCTTTCTGGGACAGAGCTTTCAGGGGAAGTGATGGGTCACCATCTTTGCTGTTTCATAGCCTTAGCTGTTGTTGCCTTCAGGGTCTAAGGAGTCTGAGGTGACTGAGGACTGGAGCAGTCCCCCGGCACAGCACAGCAGCTCCACAAAGAAGTGGCCAGACTGCTTTTTCACCCAGGTCTTGGATCTCATTTCTTTTCATTGTGTGGAGTCACCCGACTGAGGTCTACAACCACCCCTGTCAGTGTGTTTAGGTCAGTAACAGGTCCATACTTCTCTGGGATGGAATTCCCAGTGGGAGGGGCAGGCTGCCATCTTTGCTGTATTGCAGCTTTCACTGTTGGTACCTTCAGGTGCTGGAAAATCTGGGGTGGCTAGGGACTGGAGCAGACCCCTAGCACACTGCAGCAGCCCTACTCATACATAGGTCCCTGATCCTGTATCTCCTCACTGGGCAGGTCCTCCCAACCTGGGTCTTCAGCTACCCACTGCTGAGGTCATTGAGTCTATAGCAGCTCTGCAACTCACTGAGGCAGAGTTCCCAGAGGAAGGGGAAGGTTGCCGTCTTTGCTATTTCACACTTCTCGCCTTTGCTGTCACCAAGCTCTGGAGAGTCTGCAGGGACCAGGGGCTGGTTCGGACCCCAAGCACAGAGCACCCACCTCACAGAAAAGTGGCCAGACTATTCTCCACACAGGTCCTGGTCTTCAGTTCCCCTCACTGGTCAGGGCCACCCAATCTGAGACTTCAACACAACCACCCTGCCCCCACCTGGTTACTAGAATCAGACGCAACTCAGCAGTTAAAGGCTCACCTACACACAAATATGAGAAAGAACCAATGCAAGAACTCTAGCAACTCAAAGGGCCAGAGTGTCTTACAGTCTCCACATGATCACACTAGTTTTGCAATAAGGGTTCTTAACCAGGCTGAGTTAACTGAAATGACAGAAATAGAATAAAGCATAGGAAGAAAGATCATCCAGATTTGGGAGAATGGCAAGACCCAATCCAAGGAAACTAAAAATCACCACAAAATGATACAGGAGCTAACAGATGAAATACCCAGTAGAAAAAATAACCTAATTTATCTGATAGCACTGAAAAACCCGCTACCAGGATTTCATAATGCAGTCACAAGTATTAAACAGCAGATTAGACCAAGCTGAAGAAAGAATCTCAGAACTTGAAGACTAGCTCTCTAAAATAAAACAGACAAAAATAAAGAAAAAAGAATAAAATGGAATGAACAAAACCTCTGAGAAATATTAGACTATGTAAAGAGGCCAAATCTATGAATCACTGGCATCCCTGAAAAGAATGAGGAGGAAGCAAACAACCTATAAAACATATTTCAGGATATCGTCCATGAAAACTTCCCCAACCCTGTTAGAGAAGCAAACAGTCAAATTCAGGAAACACAGAGAAACCCTGCAAGATTCTACACAAGAAAATTATCCCCAAGACACATAATGAGCAGATTTTCCAAGTTCAAAATGAAAGAAAGAGTGTTAAAGGCAGCTAGAGAGAAAGGGCAGGTCACCCGCAAGGGAACCCCATCAGGCTAACAGCAGACCTCTCAGGAGAAACCTTACAAATCACAGGAGATTGAGGGCCTATATTCATCATTCTTAAAGAAAAAAATCTTCAGCCAAGAATTTCATATCCAGTCAAACTAATCCTCCTTAGAGATGGAGAAATGAGATACTTTTCAGATAAGCAAACGCTGGGGGTGTTTGTTACCATCAGACCCACCTTACAAGAGATCTTGAAAAGAGCTCTAAATGTGGAAAAGAGAGACGACTACCAGCAAATACAAAAACACACTTAAGTACATAGACCAGTGATGCCATAAAGCAACCACATACACAAGCCAGCAAAATAACCCACTAACAACACAATGACAGAATCAAATCTGCATATATAAATACTAACCTTGGATGTAAATGGGCTAAATGCCCCACTTTAAAGGCAAAGAGTGGCAAGCTGGATAAAAAAGCAAGACCCAATGGTATACTGTCTTGAAAAGACCCATCTCACATGCAATGACACCCGTGCCTCAAAATAAAGGGATGGTGGAAAATCTACTAAGCAAATGAAAATCAGAAAAAAAAAAAACAGATGTTGCAATCCTAATTTCAGACCAAACAGACTTTAAACCAACAAAGATCAAAAAAGACAAAGAAGGGCATTATGTAATGGTAAAGTGTTCAATTCAATAAGAAGAGTTAAATATTCTAAATATACATGCACCCAACACAGGAGCACCAAGATTCATACAGCAAATCCTTAGAAACCTGCAAAAAGACTTAGACTCCCACACAATAATAGTGGGAAACTTCAGCACTCCACTGACAGGACAGATCACTGAGGCAAGAAATTAACATACATATTTAGTATTTGAATTCAGCACTGGACCAAATAGATCTAATAGACTTCTACAGAACTCTCTATCCAAAAACAACAGAATATGCATTCTTCACACTCCACGTGGCACATACTCTAAAATCACCCACACAATCAGATATAAAACAATACTCAGCAAATGTAAAAGAGCCAAAATCATACTAAACACACTCTTGGACCACAGCACATTAAAAAAAGAAATCAAGACTGAAAAAATTGCTCAAAACCATGCAATTACATGGAAATTAAACAACCTGTTCCTGAATGACTTTTGAATAGTGAAATTAAGGATAATAATGAAATTAGGGAAGAAATTACGTTGTTTGAAACTAATGAGAAAAAAGATACAAAAGTATCTTTGCAACACAGAATGTTTGGAACACAGCCATTGCAGAGTTAAGAGGAAATTTATAGCACTAAATGCCACATCAGAAAGTTAGAAAAATCTCAAATTAACAATTTCACATCACAGCTAAAAGAAATAGAGAAGCAAGAACAAACCAATCCCAACTGAAGGAGACTGAGACACAAAAAACAATTCAAAAGATTGATGACTCCAGTTGTTTGTTTGAAAAAAGAATCAATAAGATATGCCACTAGCTAGACTAATAACAAGAGAAAGAAGTCCAAATACACAATTAGAAAGGGGCCAGGTGCCGTGGCTCATGCCTATAATCCCAGCACTTTGGGAGGCCAAGGCAGGTGGATCACCTGAGGTCAGGAGTTCGAGACTAGCCTGGCCAACATGGTGAAACTCCATCTCTACTAAAAATACAAAACAATTAGACAGGTGTGGTGGCAGGTGCCTGTAATTGCAGCTACTCAGGAGGCTGAGGCAGGAGAATCTCTTGAACCCGGGAGGCAGAGGTTGCAGTGAGCCCAGATCGCATCATTGCACTCCAGCCAGGGTGACAGAGCAAGACTCTGACTCAAAAACAGAACAAACAAACAAAAAAAAACAGAAAAGAAATGACAAAGGGGATGTTACCACCAACCCAACAGACATACAAACAACCATCAAATACTGCTATGAAAACCTATATGCACACAAACGAGAAAACCTAGAAGAAATGAATAAATTCCTGGAAACATACACCTTCCCAAGACTGAACTAGGAAGAAATTGATTCTCTGAATACACCAATCATAAGTTCTAAAACTGAATCAGTAATAAATATCCTACCAACCAAAAATAGCTCAGGACCAGAAAAATTCACAGCCAAATTCTACCAGATGTATAAAGAAGAGATGGTACCATTTCAACTGAAACTATTTTTTAAAAATTGAGGACGAGGGACAATAAAAGAAAACTTCAGACCAATATCCTTAATGAACATTGATGCAAAAATCCTCAGCAAAATACTTGCAAACAGAATGTAGCAGCACATCATAAAAACTAATCTACCATGCTAAAGTAGACTTTATCCCTGGGTTGCAAGGTTGGTTCAACATATATGCAAATCAATAAATATGATTCATCACATAAACAGAACTAAAGACAAAAATCACATAATCATCTCAATAGACGTAGAAAAAGTTTTCAATAAAATTTAACATCACTTCATGTTAAAAACTCTCAATAATCTAGGTATTGAATAAATATACCTCAAAATACTAAGTGCCATCTATGACAAACACACAGCCAACATTATACTGAATGAACAAAAGCTGGAAGCATTTCCCTTGAAAACTAGCACAAGACAAGTATTCCTTCTCTCACCACTCCTATTCAGCAAAGTACTGAGAGACCTGGCTACAGAAATTAGGCAACAGAAAGAAATAAAGGGCATCCAAATAGGAAGAAAGGAAATCAAACAATCCTTGTTTGCAGACAGCGTGATTCTATACCTAGAAAACCCTATAACATTGGCCCAAAGTTTCTTCAGCTGATAAACAACTTCAGCAAAGTTTTAGGATACAAAGTCAACATACAAAATCAGTAGCATTCCTATATACCAAAAATAGCCAAGCCAAGAGCCAAATCAGACATGCAATCCCATTCACAACTGCCACAAAAGCATAAAATACCAAGGAATACAACTAAACAAGGAGGTTAAAGATCTCTACAATAAGAATTACAAAACATTGTCTAAAGACACCGGACATGACAAAAACAAATGGAAAAACATTCTATGTTCATGAATAGGAAGAATCTATATCATTAAAATGGCCATCTGCTCAAAGCAATTTGCAGATTCAATGCTATTCCTATCAAACTACCAATGATATTCTTCACAGAACTAGAAAAAAACTATTTTAAAATTCATATGGAGCCAAAAAAGAGCCCAAATATCCAAGGCAATCCTAAGCAAAAGAACAAAGCTGGAAGCATCACAGCATCTGACTCCAAACTATACTACGAGGCTACATTTACCAAAACGGCATTGTACTGGTACAAAAACAGATACAAAGGCCAATGGAACAGAATAAAGAACCCAGAAATAAGACTGCCCAACTACAACTATCTGATTTTCTACAAATCTGACAAAAACAAGCAATGGGAAAAAGATTCCCTATTCAATAAATGGTGCTGGCATATCTAGCTAGTCATATACAGAAGATTAAAACTTGACCCCTCCCTTACATCATACACAAAAATCAACTCAGGATGAATTAAAGACTTAAATGCACAACCCAAAATTATAAAGACCTTGGAAGACAACCTAGGCAATACCATTCTAAACATAAGAACTGGGAAAGATTTTATCATGAGGATGCCACAAGCAATTGCAACAAAAGCAAAAATTAAAAATTTAGATCTAATTAAGCTTAAGAGCGTCTGCACAGCAAAAGAAAGTATCAACAGAGTAAACAGACACTCTACAGAATGGGAGAAAATATTTGCAAACTATGCACTTGACAAAGGTCTAATATCCTGCATCTATAAAGAACTTAAACAAATTAACAAGCAAAAATCAACCAATGCCATTAAAAGTGGGCAAAGGACATAAACAGACACTTTTCAAAAGAAGACATGCATGCCGCCAACAAGCATATGAAAAAGTTTAATATTATTGATCATCAGAGAAATGCACATCAAAACCATAATGAGATACCATCTCACACCAGTCAGAATGGCTATCATAAAATGGCAAAAAAAAAAAAAAATAGCCGATTCTGGCTAAGTTGCAGAGCCTATACATTGTTGGTGGGAGTGTAAATTAGTTCAACCTTTGAGTAAGGCAGTGTGGTGATTTCTCAAGGAGCTAAAAAACAGAACTACTATTCGACCCAGAAATCCCATTAGTGGGTATATACCCAAAGGAATATAAATTGTTCTGTTGTAAAGATACATGCACATATATGTCCACCACTGCACTATTCACAATAGCAAAGACATGGAATTAACCTAAATGCCCATCAGTGGTAGACTGGATAAAGAAAATGTGGTACATACACACCATGGAATACTATGCAATTATAAGAAAGAATGAGATCATGTTCTTTGCAAGAACATGGATGGAGCTGGGGGCTATTATCCTTAGCAAACTAATGCAGGAACAGAAAACCAAATACTCCATGTTCTCACTTAAAAGCAGAAGCTAAGTGATGAGAACATATGAACCCAAAGATGGGGAAATCACACTATGGGGACTACCTGAGGGTGGAGGGTGGGAGGAGGGAGAGAATCAGAAAAAATAACTATTGCGTACTAGGCTTAGTACCTGAGTGATGAAATAATCTGTACAACAAACCCCCATGACAGGAGTTTCCCTATATAACACACCTGCACATGTACCCCTGAACCTAAAATAAAAGTTTAAGAAACAAAAATGAAAACTAATATTTAACCTGATTACAAGTTGTAAAGCAGTGGCACTGAATCAGGAATTACTGATGTGTTACCTGCATATGAAAAACACACATTGGGGAGTGAAAAGAATTCTGGATATCTCAGACCAAAACATAATACCTAGAGAAATCTTGTTTTAGGCTGGGATCACCCACCCATATTGGTTATTTAGGTTGAATTAACTGGGAACTGAATTGAGCATTAGTCTGGCAACAGACAAACCCCCTTCTCAGGCAAAGCTCTTCTCTGTGGCTTGGAAAAGAGGAATAAATATATTAATATACTTCTCTGGGTGCTTGGAGAATTTGCAGGATAATGTCTGTAATGAACTCTAAGCTTCTTAAAAAATAATCCTTGCAAAGTCATGCAGGGAGACTCATTATAATGGTGTCCTCAGGAGAAGCCAGGCCAGGTGAGAAGTGTGTGGCATTATAATGATGTCCTGGTGGTATGTGGAGAAACAGAACCCTACGGATACAGCAGAGCAGCTGGTATGCAACACAGAAGTCCAGAAAAGTCATTTTTGCACCATGACCAAATGCTTTTTTTCTGTCTAGGTAGAGCCCACACCTGTGTGGTGGGACTCGTATACAGGCATCTCTGAATTTCCATTCTTACTGAACTCCTATGTGCAAAGCAATCAATACAAAGGTCCTTGTCTTCGATTCCTTGACAGTGTCACATGGTAATGCTCATATTTAAACACAAACAAATAAAATGATGAAAACCAAAAGATCCCTGTAAGATCTGTGACCCCTGTGGATTGCATGTGATTTTTAAAAGTGTCCCCAAAGCCCCTGGAGGGACAGTGAGCTGAGAATAGAAATATCATGTCCCTTGGCTTGTGCTTATGAAATCCAGAGAAAGGAGATGAGTGTTCTCATTGTGTTCAGAATTGGGCATTTCCATAGAGTCATGTCCTCAAAAAAACTTTCTTTCTGAGGCAGGAAGGTGGCTGACAGGCTTCCTAATAAACTCACGATTTCGTTATCTGACCGTGAGCACGCCCCTTGGCCTCTCTGGCTCAGTCTCCCCATCTGTGAAGTGGCAGGGTTGCTGTGACGCCCCAGCACTCACAGGAAGGGCCACATGACGCGCTTGGTGCCACTGTCATTGTGCACCCTGCGTTGCGGAGTCCCTGGTGTTCTGGACGGTCCGCTGGAAGGCGGGCAAGGAAGATTGGCTGTTTCCACGAGCTGGAGACATCTCATGAGTCACCTCCCACCTCCGCTCAGGGTGCTGAGGAACACCACCGTTTTGTGACACACTCAGCATCTTTCAAACGTCACTGAACTTGGAGAAACCCGTGCTTCACAGTCATTCTAATGGATCTGTGGAACACACGTGCAAATTGTGACGGGGCCAGCCCAGGCTGCGGCCTGGGCTCGCTGCCATTTCCTAGCAATCCCGACACGGGGCTCGGGTCTCAGGAGGTGCTGAATATTAAAACATGCAGACAGTCCAGAACCTTAGCAGTTATATGGGAAAGCGGCGTAGGTGCCACGACCTTCTTAGATGCTATTTTCGATGTGAAACGGTTTTCTAAAATGTAAATGTGCCATTGTAAAGCCCCATGTTTATTCTAACTCTGCACCACCTGACAGAACCGGGCATGGTGGTAACACGCTCCAGCTGCGTCTGCTCATTCTTTTTTTTTTTTCTTTTTGTCTGCGGTGCCCTCTCCTACGTCCATCCCCACTGTGTTCAGAGCAGTCATTTAACGAGGCGCTCTAATTAGCAGTGCTTTGGGGTAAGGTTGGACACTTAAAGTAGTTCCTGGCTCCCCAGGCTTTCTTCCTCAGTAATAATTAAAAACTGAGGACGAGATATTTAAACTGTTTTGCTGAGACGATGGACACAATTTTCCCTGGAAATGTCAAGAGGGCACGAGGTGTGAGTCTCCAAAGCACCTCTGGAAAGTTTGCAGGCTCAGGAAGTGGCATCAAGAATTTCAATGAGATCTGTATTCAAATGACCAAGAAAGAGAAAAGTATGCAAGTTGGAGGAAAATGCATTAGTTACAGTTATAATAAAGATCTCAACTATATTTAAAATACATTGCTTATGGAAGGAAAATAAAGTTTTTCTTAATATCCAAGTGCATAATTATTTTATTTGCATCACAATTTTGTATAATTTTTCATAAGGGCTACCAATAGGATAACTTAAAATTAAATTGAGGTTATTTGCATCTCACAGCTACAGAGTGGAAGGAAGCTTAACAGTGGGTCCATGCAGCTAACTCCAAACTGGACGCCACGCAATGTCTTGAAATCCGCCATGGTGGGAGCATTCATGCTACCAAAATTGACAAGTGCTACGCATCAGGCTGGATTTATTGTTTTTTGATCATCTAGACTTGAAAGAGTAACGGATAAATGGCAATAACGCAGATATAACTTTAAGATGTGGTATTTCTACAGCTATTACATTGTGAATGGCACAGAAAACTAAGGAAGCATTCTTTCAATATTCAAAAGCTACCGCAAAATTCAGCAAAGAAGTTGCTCTCATTGTTGCATTGATGAACAAGTCCCAGCATATGTTTCCGCTGTTTCACTTTTGTCTTATTAATGTAAATAAAAGATCAACGAACATTCATGTCAGAACTTCAGTTCATTACGTGTGTGTGTGTGTGCATTTTAGTTTCCATGTAGCCCCCACTGAATCTTTCAGTTAGATCCTGCTGACTTTTGAGTTTGAATGCTCTACATAAGCAGTTCTCATAGGAACAGCAATATGTGTTCTCTCTACCAATAGGAAAGCAAAGCAAAGTGCTATACAAAGTAAATTTTCATTAGTCTCTGTTCTTTGACACCTCCTTATTTCTGGTTCTCTGGAGATTCTCCACCAAGGTTTCTCGTGTTTTTGCGCAGAGCTGTTTCTCCTGGGAGTGTATTTTATTTTGTTTTTGTTGTGCCTGTGTCTCCAGAGACATTTATAATTTCTGCATCATAATTACTCACTGCTTCTTTACTGCCACCTTCCCCTCTCCTCATCTCAAACTGCGAGGAGTCGGAAGGCGGACTGGCAAGCCGAGGCGCACACAACCGCCGGAAGTGCAGCATCTTCTCGCGTGGGAGCAGGACTGCCAAGGAAAAGGGGCCCAGTGGCCTGGGATTCTCCATCCCTCTGCCACAACTAAAGAGGAAAATATGCTTTTGACATAACACTGATGACGGGAGCTGTCCAGTGGTGGGCAGGATTTGCAGGCTGTATCCCAAGTCTTCCAGATTGGTGGGTGGATCGGGCCATAGGCACAAGGGAGTGTGATTGTCCCTCCCTGGGCAAACTCCTCCTGGCTCTCTCTGAGGGTCCCTGGCACGCCTCGCCTCACGTGAATACCTTGGGAGGACTCTCTGGGGCCTACTCTTTCTCTGTCCATCCCCTGGGGTTGTTTCTGATGCTGGCGCCCAAATCAGCAGCTCTGACACCAGCATCCTAAACAGGTAGTGACAGTAGGCTGCGGCCCACAGACACCAGCTCACAACCACCAATGCCTCCTGCCGAGGCTGCTGTGGCCCAGACAAGGCCCGTCCCAGCTGCAGGAGGAGCTGCTGGTGCCAAATCAGTTGGTAGCTGGACCTTTCCATGAGCCACAGAGATCACGGGAAAAATGAGTTCCCTTTCCCTGTTTATCAGCCGTCCTTCCCGGGAGGCAGGCGGCAATCCATGAGGTTTGGGCTGTAGGATTCCAAATCTCCCTAAAATTTAATCCCAGTCCCTCGGGTCTCTGAAGTCACATGCACTTGGACCCTTCCACACTTGGACAGGCATACAGCCCTCTGGGTGCCACCACCCAGGGCCTCTCCTTGGGTCCTGCCATTGTGTGAGTCCTCCCCTGTTAGAGGAAGGAACCCACAACTACCTCACGGTTGGGTTGTGTTTCACCAGTTAGTGTTTCTCCACTCTGACCACTGTGATGGGTTGAATCGGTTCCCCCAAAATTCACACTTTGACCTCCTCACTCCTAGCACCTCAAACGCTGACTGTATTTGAAGACAGAGTTGTTAAAGAGGTAATTACTTGAAAATGAGATTATACAGACAGGCCTTAATCCAATCCAGTGGTGTCCTTAGAAGAAAGGAGAAATTAGGACACAGACATGCAGGGACAACACTGCTGTGAGGACCCAGGACGACAGATGCAGTCCACAAGCCCAGGAGAGAGGCCGCTGGAGGAACCAGCCCTGCAGACACCTTACCCCGGGGTTGCAGCTTCCAGAACTGTGAGAGAAGAAAGGTCTTATGTAAGGCCCCATCTGCGGCGTTTTGTCCTGGCAGCCCAAGCACAGGAATGCAGCCACCAAATGTCCACAAGCACATTTATGTATCCAGGGCCTGGGTGTTTGCAGCCCCCGAGGCAAAGGTGAGTGAAGTCCAATGTGACCACAGTTTGGATAACTTGAGAACGTGTGTCCGTTCTGTAACGTACGTCATTATGTGAACGGATGTTCAGTTTCTCAAAACACTCAACCAACGCGCACAATTCTGAAAGGAGCCGTGTGTTCAGCCTGGATCCAGGTGGTCGGAAGCCCACAGATCAGAGATGAAACAGGAACAGAAGCTCACGGCTGTGGCACAATGCATAGCATGAGTAAGTCATGTGGACACTTCCGGAAGTCACAGGGAGGCTTGAGAAAGGACATTATCCCTCACCTCATTTCCATTCTATAGGTTTGCCTATTAAAAACAAAGGGAATCTGCAAAATCAGAGTCTGAAGGAGTCAGCTGCCCTTTTTGCTTTTGTTGTTTTTAAAGCAGCCATTGCATTGATAATCCAAACACAGACTGAGGCGTGGGCCCCGCGGGGGGTGCCCTCTTTAAAGCCTCTGAGAATAGGTGGTGCCGGGCAACACAGCAAGTGTCCTCGGGTGCTGGGGACTGACCTTTCCATCACTGCGCGTGCTGGACACACAGACCACAGGTGCAGGGGCGGGGAGGCCTTTCTGCCACATCCTTACAAAATGAGCCCCCTTTCAAAGCGAAACAGCATTATTGATCAAAGCGTAGGTGGCTCCATATGCAGAGAAGAAACAGCCGGTGTCACCCTGAGCCACTCGCACACAGGGGCACGGACACCCCCTCTCATTAAAAACGGGTTGGATTGCATTCCAGGCCCAGCCTGCAAAGTTAATGACGAGCTCGCAATAAAGCACCCGCGTGGATGTGAGCCTTGTACTGCCCCGCGATGGCCGGCGTTTTTATTAGTGGGCCTGGGCAGCGGGCCCGGCAGGCTGGTATTTGACACGCAGACAAGGATGTTCCCGGGCGCGCTGCGCGGCTGACTCACTTCAAAGTCCCAGCCCTGCTGGCTTGGTTTACACCTGAGCCAATTAGCTCCGGAGATCAGAAGAGGCCTGAAAACGGAGCCGAGCCCTTATTCTCGGGATGGAGAAAGTCACTTGATCCCAGGTAAATGATACAGAAAGAACAATGGAGGGGAGGGGGGCGCCGGCAGGAGGCTGTACCCCTCCCGAGGAGCCGAGGCGCAGGGACTGGGCGTTGGTGGGCACGGTCTCTCACGGTGTTTGTTGGGCTTTTATTGGCAACAAAGGGGCAAATTGAAATGAAGCCGTCTGCAGTCTGTTTGCTGCACATCAAATATGCTGTAAGATATGCTGATTCGCGCTTCTCCTGAATTATTGAACACTGAGGCTTCCAGAAATCAGGCAGTGGGGGGAGGCCCAGGAGGAGGGACCCTGATAGAGCAGCCCTGCCTTCTGCACGTTCCGCTGCGTCTGCGGAAAAAATGGAGGCCTCCAGTGCCCCCTGCACCCTCGTCAACTCCCCGTCAGTTGTGAACTTGCTGAACGGCCCTGGGGCCTCAAGGCGGATGAGGCTTGCTGCCGTTTTTTGGTTCACGTTGGTCAAGGCTGCGGCTGGGCGAGCCTCCTACACAGAGCGGCTGTCTGTCAGTAAGTCAGGTGGGATGTTTACACCTCCCACAGGTGGAGTAGGCCAAAGAATAGGATCCACTTGAGTCAGGCCAAAGTTCTGCCCATTAAATAAATATGTTCTGAACACCCTCCAGGGATGAGGAGACACGTTTTGGTGTCGGAGACACAGGATGAAGGAGGCACAGCCGCACTGCATGGTGGCTTGGCCTCTGTCTGGCAGGGAGTGATTGACACAGGCGTCCCTGCTACTGGCATCACACAGGGATTGCGGAAACAGGAGTGGAACTGGAGTTCCCTTTAGAAAAAACATAAGAAGAAGCAGAATATGTATATTTTTAAGAGCTGGTGCGTGTACGTGGGTGCGTGTTCCTATGTGTGGACACGTGCATGTTTCTGTACAGTGAGCTGAATGGTGCAAAAGTGATGACAAGGGAAACGTCGGGCAAGCCCATGTCACAGGGCCGGGAATACAGCGGCCAGAACGATTCACTTACTGAAAGCCTAAGGTTATGTCTTGATTAAACTCCTTCATAACTTAAGATACGTTTTATTTCCACAGTAAGTTGGAATTACACTCCTGAATTTTGCAATAAGACAAAATCTCAGGCATTTTTTTTCTGTGATGATTCCAGATGACTGCATCTCCAGGAATGCAAAATCAGCTCTTCCTCTGGTGGCATTAGAGATCATGCTAATTAGAAGGCCCACTTTGGACAGCTCGCTTGGAGTTTGGCCAAGACATGCATAATTATTTTTCTAATAATGGAGTGTGGAGCCCATGGGCTGTGGGTGTGTCTGGCTGTGGAGTGAAGCTGTGACCACAGCCTATGTGGGGCAGGATGGGATGACATGAGGCCCCTCCCCTAAAGGAGACCCTGCCCACTGAGCACGGAGGGAGAAGAGGTTAGGGGTCCCGGGGGGACTTGAAGATGCTGCTGGCTGACTCGGGCCCCACTTCCCAGGGTTTCCTTCCTTCCTCCTGCCATACCCTCCTGGAGAAAGGGCCTTTCTGGCTTCTCTGGGTCCTGGATACTAAGCCTGCTCTGCACTTGTGATGGACATTAGGAGGGGTCTTTAAAGGAGAGGGGGGCAAACATAGAGCACTCCACGTTTTGTTTCTGAAATAGCATCCTCTTCTACCACCTGTGTACACAGTTCTAAGGAAAGTGACTACAGGTGTGAAGGTTACTTTGATGGTCCAGGAATCAATGTGAGTTGTGTCCTTCCTTCTCTCCCTACTGCTCCCACTCTGTCGCCTTCCAAGCCAAGCACTAGCGCAGTCACACACATATGTGCACAGGCACATACATGTATCATAAGTACATACATGCATGCACACAGCAAGGCACAGGCACATGTATGCATACTGGTACATGCATGCATACATGCAGCACACACATGCTTCACAGGTACATACACATATGCACACAGCAAGACACAGGCACACACGTGCCTCATGGGTACATGCATGCACACTCAGGCACACACATGCATCACAGGTATATATACACACAGGCACACACGTGCATCACAGGTACATGTGTGTACATGCAGACATACACAGGCATCATGGGTACATGCATGCACACTCAGGCACACACGTGCATCACAGGTACATGCGCACACGTGCATCACAGGTACATGCACACACACACGGGCACACATGTACATCACAGGTACATGTGTGTACACAGGCACACACAGGCATCACTGGTACATGCATACACACACATGAACACACATGCATCATGGGTACATACATGGATGCACACTGCACGGACACAGGCACACACATTGATATGGTTTAGCTGTGTCCCCACCCAAATCTCATCTTGAATTTCCACCTGTTGTGGGAGGGACCCAGTCCCAGTCGGAGGTAATTGAATCATGCGGGTGGGTCTTTCCCATGCTGTTCTCGTGATAGTGAATAAGTCTCACGAGATATGTTGGTTTTAAAAATGGGAGTTTCCCTGCACAAGCTCCCCCTTTGCCTGCTGCCATCCACATAAGATGTGACTTGCTCTTCCTTGCCTTCTGCCATGACTGTGAGGCCTCCCCAGCCACGTGGAACTGTGAGTCCAACTAAACCTCTTTCTTTTATAAATTACCCAGTCTTGGGTATGTCTTTGTCAGCAGCGTGAAAACGGACTAATACACATGTCTACTGCTTTCCTTTGTGTGCAGCTGCTCAAGGTTCTTGTGGGTTGTCTGTATTCACTCTCCAGGCAAAGCCCTTTCCGCTGCCTCCTCACAGCTCAGCACTACACAACCCTCTCTGTGCAGCCACATGGCCACCTTCCCCAGAAAGCCTCGATCGTCCCCCTGAAAAGAACAGTCTGCATTGCATTTTTCCCACAGCACTTCTGTTTGGTAAACAGTGAAGCAGACAGATCGTCTCCCAACTGGACAAAAATTTCTCCAAATGTAGGATTAATTCATTACTTTAGTAAATGTGTATTGAACATTGACCACATGCCGGAATCCACACTGAATTCTGAAGTCTTTGGAGAGCAGGAGGCATATTTCCCACTACTACAAAAGATCAGTGCCCTCACCAACAAGGCCCCGGGAGCTCTCTTGCTTGCTCCACAGTGTGAGGACACAGTGAGAAGTCGGCAGCTGCAAGAGGCCCCCATCGGACCCCAACCCTGCTGGTGCCCTGATCTCCCACTTCCAGCCTCCAGAACTGTGAGAAATACATGTTTATTGTCTTAAAGTCACCTGGTCCATGGTATTTTGTTATAGACCCCAAAGTAAGACACCACCCATGAAATTCACATACCCCTTGTTCATGGACACCCAGAATTAAATAAATGTCATTGAATATCTTGGGCCATCCAGAAAACGTCTCTGGGAATGCAGACATGAATTCACCTCTGCAAAATATTAGCATGTAAAATTCCCAGGCATACAATTGTTGATTTATGCACCATATCTCCTCATGGCAGGTGTGAGACACTTACACGTAGACACACCCTGTGAGCCACATAAGAGAGAGCTGTTATCACGGTTTCCAGGGCTGGTGCACGTGTGTGTATGTGAGCCCACTCCGACGTGCCTGGTTGGAGGTGCACAGATTCACAATACACATGTTCTCCTCACAGGGCCAGGCTCACAGTCCCTCCAAAGAGAGGAGGAATGGGAAAAAGGAAAGCATCCGAATAGGTACACAGGAGGCTGGAGAACTCCAGTCAGATAAATTAATGCTTCATCATTCTACATGTCTAAATTAGATGAGCAGACCACCGATCCCTTTCCACAGAGCCCCAGCCCTCCCCCAAGGCACAGAAGGAGATTTTGGTACCAGAGAGCTGCCCTACGAGGGAGCCGTGGCTGGCGGCAGCGGCCGTCCCCTCCTACCAGGCATTCTCCCGAGTCGTGAAGACATTTGATTATATGAAACAGCAGGAAATCATTTTTTGGTGCTTCATATAAAAATAGTTCTTTGGCAGATACCCTCTTCTCTTCATTAAATATTTAATATTTTATATCCAGAGTTGTATTAGAAATTTGGCCTGAAATGTCAAAAATCTAGGTGCGGTGCCAAGACTCAGACTGTCAATCTGGAACTAAATTCTTCCTGATTTTCTGAGAATTGAAATCTCCTCAGGGGGCCCACCCTCAGTTCCCTGATTCTAATGAGGTGGGAGGGGGTGACGGTAGACATTGGCCTAGGCTGGCTTCCTGTTTTGTAAATAAAGCTTTATTGGGACTCAGCCACGCCATCTGTGGCACAGCATCTGTGGCTACTTTCACGCCACAATGGCAGGGCTGAGTAGCTGCCCAAGAGACCACAGGACCTACAACACCCAGCTGTTTATGGAAAAAATCTGCCACCCCTGTTTTAAAGGAGCTTAGATACATAGGCATTGGCAGACACACAAACCCACACTTGCCTTGGTAAGGCTTGGGCTGAACTTGGGAACAAGAGCAGACCGAGGCATGGGGCTCATTGCTGGGCCAGAGACACAACTTGATTAGAATGCGCCATCTGGAAGAAGTGTCTCAAAGCCCCAACTGGGTCGTGGTTCCAAGGGAGGTGAAAGGCTAGACCTTCTCTTCCACTGCTGCCGTGTCCCCAAATGTGGAAGTGGATACAGGGGTCAGTCCCTGTGTTTCTCAGCAGGACGAGGCCAGGAATCCAGGGACAGCAAAGGTGACTCTAGGGGCCAGCGATGCAGAAGCCAGAGAAGTCCCTCCCTCGGAGCGCTGGGCTCTCCCCGGCTGCAGACTCCCCACGGGCTACCCATGGCCTGGGACCTGCGCATGTCAGAGAGGGGCCGGGGGCCTGGCAAGTCTTGTTCTCATGCAGAGAAGGCAGCCCTGGGGCAGAGGGAGGGGCTGCCAGCCAGTCAGAGCCCACTCGGGGAAGCAGAGACACCAAGAACTAGGAGAAGGTGGCTCGGGAGAGGAATTGGCCCCCACCCACCTGTGGAAGCCGGAGAACTGCAGGTTCAGGAGGCTGGGAGGGGCCACAGCCAGCCAGTGGGCCCGGTTTCCCAGGATGGCCCCTGACTCTGATGCCAGCGACAAGACTCTTTCCTTTGCTTTCCAGGCTGGTGGGTAATGGCCTTGCTGTTGCTTAGAGCTCTGGGTTGCTTCTCAGTGCCCTGTTTGACCTCTCAGCCATCCCAGCACTGGTTTAACCATATCCTGGTGTTAAGTCTCATGTTTGCCTGTCTGGACTCCAAATGACGGGGGCAGGTGTTCAGGACACTCGTCCCCTTTGGACCACACAAGGATGTAACCTTGGGCCAGGGTGTACACTTCCATCTATCAGAATCTTGGCAGAGACCTGGGGAGCGGCGTGGATGGGGAGTGTCAGAGTGTGAATGGCCCATTTTAAAGAACCAGGGGTGACGTCAACTCAACAGGAAGCCACAGCAACGAGGGAGCCACAGGTCACTGGGGCAAAGCGATGATGGAGGCAGGTACCTGGGTCCCGGTATTGCAAAGTACAATGCCCTGGCGTGATTTCCTGCCTCACTGTCGCTGACCTGGCCCCATCCCCGAGGCGGCTGAGCCCTGTGGTCAGCAACCCCCTGCCTGCTCAGCTGGACCTGGGCTTCGGTCCTGGCTCTCACCAATTCTGTAAAGTAGAAATTGTAAAAGCCCCTTCCTCCCACAGATTTCATGGGACCCAGATGGAATAAGCCGTGGTTCCAGGCACACCTGAGTGCTTCCCAACACTGCCTTCTTATTTTCCTCCCCAATTTCTTCCAGGCCACGCTTGCTCATGCTCACTCACTCTGAGTTCTTTTCTGTCTCAAGGTGATTGCATGGGTTACAGTATTTTCCTGGACTCCGGTTCTTGCCTCTGCCCACAGTGACTGTCGGGAGCTCTGCTCATCTTCTGGGATTTTTAACCCCACTTGCTGTTGATGAATGCTTCTAAAATGTGCTCCTGTGTTTCTTCCACATCCAGGTGACACACAACTCCCAGCTGATGGAAGACATCCCCAGGCAGAGGAGGGAGGGCAGGTAAGACTCATTTCAGGAACACATTGTATTCCTAAAATGTGTAGTTGTTTCCAGAGGACTCTTGAGAAGGGATTTTGACTAGGAAACAATGTTTGACCACAACAAACATAGCAGAGAGCTCAAGGAAAACCATTTGAATATGTATATTCTGCCTGTCTAGAGAGATTCATCTTTTTTTTTTCTAAAATTAAAACTATGAGCAGCCAAACAGGGTTATAGTTTTAACCTCAGGGTTTAGGTTCCAGGTAAATGTGTAAAATGAGTGAAACGTGCAGAGATTAAGAAAGATAAGTCAAAGGACAAGAAAACTCAACAAATCTGAAACATTACCCTGCCCCTCTTTTCCCCATTCACTGTTGTAAGTATCTATCTTATCATTCAATACCAAATTCCTAAAATACTGTTCCACATCTTCTGCCCCCATTTTCTCATTGTTCAGTCCTTTTGCAACTATTTGCAAAAAAAAAAAAAAAAGAAATGCATCTGATTAGAATTAATTTTGATTAATTCGTGTTAAGTTATCAAATAAAGACTCAATAGCCTCTCCATTAATCCCATTAGAGTGGGGTTTCACACCTCCCATCATGCAGCCCTTTTTATTCTCATTTTCCTACTGTTTTACTCCAGGCCGTAACTCAGAAAAACACTGTTTAGTGAAGACTAGTTCCTTAGGAAGACAGACATGCTTGGCTGGACTCCTTTTTTATAACCGTATTTCCCCCACTGGGGAGAAGACCCTCAACTTTTCACCTCAGAAACATTGTTTTTCACCACAATAAAAGGGTTACTTTTCTTTCAGGAAGAGATTTTGTGAAAACGAATGTTTCATCAAAGAGCAAAGATAGCCAGGACCAGCTGATTCCTCTGCTTCTCTTCAGCTGATCCCTCTGCTTCTCTCCAGCTGATCTCTCTGCTTCTCTCCAGCTGATCCCTCTGCTTCTCTCCAGCTGATCTCTCTGCTTCTCTCCAGCTGATCCCTCTGCTTCTCTCCAGCTGATCTCTCTGCTTCTCTCCAGCTGATCCCTCTGCTTCTCTCCAGCTGATTCCTCTGCTTCTCTCCAGCTGATCTCTCTGCTTCTCTCCAGCTGATTCCTCTGCTTCTCTCCAGCTGATCCCTCTGCTTCTCTCCAGCTGATCTCTCTGCTTCTCTCCAGCTGATCTCTCTGCTTCTCTCCAGCTGATTCCTCTGCTTCTCTCCAGCTGATCCCTCTGCTTCTCTCCAGCTGATCTCTCTGCTTCTCTCCAGCTGATCCCTCTGCTTCTCTCCAGCTGATCCCTCTGCTTCTCTCCAGCTGATTCCTCTGCTTCTCTCCAGCTGTTCCCTCTGCTTCTCTCCAGCTGATCTCTCTGCTTCTCTCCAGCTGATTCCTCTGCTTCTCTCCAGCTGATCCCTCTGCTTCTCTCTGGAAAGATTTCTCTCCTGAGCCCCACCCTCCACCCGCCTTGTGGTCGCTGTTAGAGCAACACATCTAGAAAGGAGATCCCAGGGCTTCCTGCCACACTCCAGACTATGGCTGCTGTTCGGGGCTTGTGGGTGAAGATGGAACTGGGAGGGACAGTACCCACCATCAGCTGCCCCTACCCACCCTCCTGCTGCTGACTGAAAATCAGATCAGTGCAGGGGCACAGTCTCAAACGTCAGCTCACACTACAAAGAGAACGTTGCAAAAACATCTCCTGCCCACCCCACCTCCACCCCAGCTCCAACTCCTGATCCACAGGGCAAAATAATTCACTGTTGGGCTGAGCGTGGTGGCTTATGCCTGTAATCCAAGCACTGAGAAGGCTGAGGTGGGAGGATAGCTTGAACCCAGGAGTACTAGTCCAACCTGACAACACAGGGAGACTCTGCCTCTACAAATAAAAAAATAAAAATAAATTTGCTGGGCATGGTGGAGTATGTCTGTGGTCCCAGCCCAGAGGCTGAGGCTGGACGATGGCTTGAGGCCAGGAGCTAGAGGCTACAGTGAGACATGACTGTGACCCTGCACTCCAGTCTGAGCAACAGAGTGAGATCATCTTAAAAAAAAAAAAGAATCAAATTAACTGTTGACTCTTTCAGATGTTTTTCCTAGCATTCCATTTTGTATTTTAAGTAACACATTTATACTGCTACTTTCTGATTATTTAGGGTTAGAAGCTGAGTACTGACTCTCTCCTATGGAAGGTGATGATTCAGTGGATGTATTCCTCAAACTCCACTGCACATACACACACACACACACACACACACACATTCACAACCACCGTCCAAAGTAGACTACAATTTCCTTTTTTTGTACAGATTTTTCTTTTTGTTTTATTTTTCCTGGCTTTCAGAATTTTCTTTTACCTATCACTCCTCTGCACCCACACTTTTTGTTGGAGCTAGAAGATTCCTCAAGATGCAGGGAAGCACATCGGCCCCTTTCATTAAGGGCTGGAAGAGTCTCTCCATCCCGCTCCCCCAAGGCCAGCTCCGCAGCTCTCCCGGGGCTCCCCTTCACCCTTCACCCTTCACCCTTCACCCTTCACCTGCTGGCACTAGCACCTCTTCCATGTCTGGGACTGTGTTTGGGATCCCCCCTCATTCTCTTGTTTGAAACACAACGCCAATTAGCTTTTGGGGGAAAATGCACACAAGATCTTTTACTGAAACTTTGAATGTTTGAAAAAAGTTTTAAACTTTACTTTGACGTTGGAAACCTTAGAC
Organism: Homo sapiens; assembly: GCF_000001405.40. NCBI lineage: Eukaryota > Metazoa > Chordata > Mammalia > Primates > Hominidae > Homo > Homo sapiens. The sequence continues at coordinate 2,326,066 of NC_000005.10, read as the reverse complement.
AATGTTTTAGAAATAATTGAAAGAATGTGAGTGTGAGTGTGTGTGTATGTGTGTACATTATTGTTGGAACTGAAAGAATCCCAATCTGAAAACCATTAATGAATTCAGGGGTCCTAGGTTGGGGCTGGACAGTTTTCTGAGAGAAGGCTCCTGGCTCCATCCACCCGCTGGAACTGGAGAGGAAAGGGCTGGGAGGCCCTGCATGGGGCTCCAGGTTTGGGAAGATGCCTGCCCACGTCCTGAGCTGTGCAGGCGTCTTAGGGACCACAGCCCCGCTGGGTGAGGCCTCCAGCTGAGCCCCCCTGCCTGCTGGCCTGTGAGGGGGTCAAGGGAGCAGCTGCACATCTGTGTGGGGGGGAGCAGGGGTCTGTGCATTCTGCTTTTCATCAAACGCAAAGACTCATCCCACTTCCCGCCCTCCCCATCGTCCTGGCCTTCAGGGCTTCTCGGTGGCTCTGAATTCTCCTGGGCTTGGTGATGCCCCTCCACCTCCCGTGTGGGTTCCCTTCCTGAGGCCGGGCGTCAGTTCTCTACATTCGCGAGGCCAGGCCACGTATCTAACCTCCTTCAACTTTCAGAATCACCTGAACTCGCCTGATGAGTTTTCATCCCCTTTTCGGTTCTCTCTCTCTCATAAGTCCCTGCTTATTTTTATTCCTTTATTTTATGAAAGCTCCGAGCAAGAGGGGACTCAAGTGAGCCTGTTCAGATATATAAGATGAACTGGAAGCATATTGACTGTATATTCAGAAAAACAAAAGAAACATTGGTTTAAAAATATATTGGACCATTTTCCCATCATGTTCTGACAAAATAAATTCTGTCTACACTTAGAGGCTCGAGGCCGACATAGAAGGAAGTTGCAGGTCCCCCTGGGGCTTTCTCTTCTCCCCAGTGGCTTTTCTGGATTCCTCTGCTGATTCTTCCTCCCTGATTTTATATGGGGCTGCCAGAAAACAAACAACAACAACAAACACACACATGCACACACGTGCACACACATACACACACGTACAGGCATGCACACTCACACGTGCACACTCATGCACACACAGGTACACACGTGCACACTCACACATGCACACACGCACACGTGCACACTCATGCACACACATACACACGTGCATACACACTCAGGCACGCATGCACATACCAGCAAGTATGCACTCTCACATGCACACATGCACACACAACTTCTCAGAACTCCCAGGACCCAGCACACGCCTCATGGTCTTTCGGGGGAGCGAGGCCTGAGGGCACTTACTGCTCCTCCCTGACACCCACCACAACTTGGTCTGCCATTAAGCCACTTCAGTGAAGACTTTTATATCTAAATTTTCTACAGGAACTTTTCACTTTCCCTCTCTGATTTCTCTGGTATTTCATCTCTTCTGCTGCTTTCTCTGCCTCTTGGGCCGGCTGGGGCCTCATCTTCACGGTCTCTCAGCCTGGGAGGCCTCCCCTCTGCCTCATGTCCCATGTGCCCAGGCCCCGGCACCCAGCTTCTCCTCCCTGAAGTTGGCATCCTCCCGATATCACTTTTGCATAATTCCTCCTGTAGCCTCTGGCTCTCCCAGTAGACAGTCACTGTCCCAGGCCCCGGCACCCAGCTCCTCCTCCCTGAAGTTGGCATCCTCGCGATTTCACTTTTGCATAATTCCTCCTGTAGCCTCTGGCTCGCCCGGTAGACAATCACTGTTCCGTGTGCAGAACCATGACTGACTCTGACCAAATGGCAAGTTCCTGACAGATATTCCCAGGAAGCAGCTACCCCAGCTCTCGGTCCTGATGCACACAAGTCCCTCGTTACAGACATGCCATGATGTGCACCCACCTCCACCATTTCAGGTGGGAATTTTGAAATAAAATGTATGTTCTTCCTTTGATGTTAGTAACTACAGAGTTATTTAAAATTCTTATTGGACTTGATTTATGAAAATAACACATTAATTTTCAAATATATAAAAAACACTCCCAATGCTTAAATGTGTGTTTTATGGAAATTTTTATACATAAGTTGAATACGAAGTTTATGTTCATCATGTTAAATACTGAAACTCAAGTGATATGTGGCACCCCGTGGTACACAGTGCACCATATAAGCGTTTTAATGTCATTCTATTTTATTTTTATACATGATCCCCTCACACGCATGCACACTTGAGTGTTTTTTCTTTTGGTTCGAATAAGAAGTCAACCCTGATATTTAAGAGTGGCTTGCAACACTCAATTTTTGTTTCTATTGGGACAACTGATATCTTCCTGTTTCTTTTTTTGTCAAATAACTCTGTCTCTCTGATGTGGTTTGGATTTGTGTCCCTGCCCAAATCTCATGTAGAATTGGAGGAAGGTCCTGGTGGGAGGTGATTGGATCGTGAGGGTGGATTTCCCACTTGCTGTTCTGATGACACTGAGTGAGTTCTCGTGAGATCTGGTTGTTTGAAAGTGTGTGGCACTTCCCCTTTCACTCCCTGTCTCCCCTGCTCCACCATGGTAAGACATGCTTGCTTCCTTTTCACCTTCCACCATGATTAGAAGTTTCCTGAGGCTTCCTAGCTGTGCTTCCTGTAGAGCCTGCAGAACCATGAGCCAATTAAACCTCTTTTCTTCATAAATTACCCAGTTGCAGGTAGTTCTTCATAGCAGTGTGAGAATGGACTAATGCACCACTTAATGCATCTTTAGGTCACAGTTTTGGCTGGGCGTGGTTGTGTACACCTGTAGTCCCAGCTACTTGCTGAGGTGGGAGAATCTTTTGAGCCCAGGAATTCGAGGCTGCAATGAGCAATGATTGTGCCACTGCATTGCCAGCCTGGGCAACAGAGCAAGACCCTATCTCAAAAAACAAAACGGAAACAGAGTAAAACTAAAAAGAACAGACAATTCTACAGGCCGAAGATCTGGCTTGAGACTTGGTACAGTGAATGTGCTGAAATTCAGCTGTGATTGTTTTCCCATTGTTCTTTCCCCAGTCTGAAATTTTAAGAACATACAATATAGAAAATTACATTCTTTATTATTTATTTATTTGAGACAGAGTCTTGCTGTGTTACCAGGCTGGAGTGCAGTGGCTCAATCTTGGCTCACTGCAACCTCCGCTTCCCAGGTTCGAGCGATTCTCCTGCCTCAGCCTCCAGAGTAGCTGAAACTACAGGTACACACCACCACGGCTGGCTAATTTTTGTATTTTGAGTAGAGACGGGGTTTTCACCATGTTGGCCGGAATGGTCTCGATCTCTTGACCTCATGGTCCTCTCGCCTCGGCCTCCCAAAGTGCTGGGATTACAGGCATAAGCCACCGTGTCTGGCAGAAAATTACATTATTTATAAGTCTACGTTTTAAGCAATTTCATTGTTTTATCACTTAATTACAGCTTATTAATTTGCTCAATTTTAAAATAACCATTGAAATTAATAAGGTCTGTAATGTGGCAACAAATATTTCCCAGGGTACAAATTTTCTAATGCAGGTAAATACATTCACATGGCAGATACTATGAAGAGTAAAATAAAATAGTAGTTTTTAAAATACAAGACTATTAAATTTAACTGTAGTCTTTTAAAAAATTAACTTTCATTGCCTTCAAATAATTTTAAAACTTATATTTCTTTCACTGAATCTTAAGAAAGCAGAAACAAGATCAGAACAAGACATTTATATTAAATAACAAAAGGAAAAGTTTCCAGTACCAGGAGCTATTTGATATTTGAATACGTTACCAAGAAAAGGTACGAAATTTCTGAAGCTTTAAGGGGAAAAAAATGACACCAGTTTGCATCTGTTTGGTGTAACTTAAGTATAAATTCCGCATTTGAAAACGCCTGGCTGAGATGGTTGAGGGGCAAAGTTGGCCCTCAGGTCTACTCCAGGGCACTGGGGCAGGAGATTTTTGACATTGCTGAAATGGCAAAGAATCAATACTGTGCTTACAATCTGCAAGTATCACAGTGAAATTAGCTGTCAATATTTCCCAAGGTTCTTTTTGCACAACTTAGTACTTCATTGGTCCATCATCTTCTCCATCTTTCTCCCCATCTCTCTCTTTCTTGTGTCTTTGTGTATTTATTTTTATTCATCATTCCAGAAAGGACATGCTGACATATACATAAAGAGAATGTTCTGGAATGAATACCAGGCCGTGCAAGGTTAGACGGCCAGGACTGGGAAGTGGGGGTGGGGTCAAAAAGTGCAGGGAGGCTGGCTCCGTGCACACCTTCCCCCAGAGTGGATTCCAACTTGTAGCCCAAAGTTGAATATCCCAAAGGAATAAGCTGAAAGTTTTCTTTTTCTTTTGATTTTTCATGGCTAGTGATAAATTCAAAAATTGAAGCAAGGGAAAATTAGGAGAATTCACTGGATAATTCCTAATTAGATTATGAAAGAACAAAGCGTGCGTTTGTACCCAGACTGTCCACCTCCCTGAGTGGAGATTCTCTGGGCATGCCTGGAATTCTTACCGAAATCACTGATAGATAAATGTTGGCACAATGCAGCATTCCATTCTAACCATCGAAATATTCCATGACACTCGACATTTTTGTCTCTTAGGGTGGCTTTGAAAGGTAAATGAGATGATGAACATAGAAGCAATCTGTGGACTATGAGGAGCTTTACAAATGAAGGAATCTACCTTTCAGGGAACAATGTTGTTATGGAAGATCTTCATTCTTTAACGACATGACCATTCTTGCACATGTGTGATTCTTTGTGACATGAGTAAGAACAGAACACTATGTGTATTAGTCTGTTCTCACGCTGCTAATAAAGACATACGTGAGACTGGGTGATTTATAAAGGAAAGAGGTTTAATAGACACACAGCTCCACATGGCTGGGGAGGCCTCACAATCATGGTGGAAGGTGAAGGAGGAGCAAAGGCACGTGTTACATGCTGTCAGGCAAAAGAGCATGTGCAGGGGAACTGCCCTTTATAAAACTATCCGACTTACTCACCATCACGAGAACAGCATGGGAAAACATGCTCCCACGATTCAATTTTTTCCATCTAGTCTCTCCCATGACATGTGGGGATTATTACAATTCAAGGTGAGATTTAAATGGGGACACAGAGCAAAACCACATCACTATGGTTTTTTGGGAACACCCGGGCTTCCCTAACCACACAAGATCCACGTGGCTGTGGGAAGTGCAGCATTGATTTTTCTTGACCACCCCACCCTCCTGGCCATGGGGAACACAGCATCCATTTCCCACCCTCCTCTTGCACCTGAATGCTTCTTGGATTAGTCACCTGCAGCCTCAAATCCTGGATAATACCCAGAAGGTGCCCCAGCCCTTCCAGCTGATATCCTTACATTGCTCAAGAGCAGAAGCTGCAGGGAATGCAAGCCCTGGGTGCAAACACCGCCACGTCGTGTGTGGCTCCCAGTGCCTCTTCCAGTGGGGAAACTGATCCAGACCAGGCTGGGCAACGCCAGGGCCCGTTTGGTCTCTGACCACCCCATCTCCCGCTCCCGTGGGCGCTCGGGGTTAGCACCACATTCCTTAGGCTTCCTGTCTCCTCTTCAAAGGGTGAAATGTGGCCACACACTGATCCATGTGACTTCTTAATTCTCCTCTGGGGCATCCTTTTCTTCAACAGATGTTTTCAAAATAATTAAGTGATGGGGATCATGCATTATTGAAAATGCTGGATGCCTCCCTAATGTTCTTCACATTTGTATATTTGTCAGCACAAAATTGAGTGCTTGGAAATGTTGTGCTTATTTATTTTTCAAATTACTGAACACTCACCCTAGCCAGCTGAGGAGAGGAGAGGGGAGCGGTGGCTCCGCAAGCTCTCTGGTTCCTGCAGATGTTCCACAATCAATGGTTTAGGGAATCGTGAAGTCCTGTAGGATTTGGGAGCTAAGAATCCTTTAAAAGACTCCAGCTGATCACCCATCCATAAAATAATCCCTAGAATTAGGGCTATTTATTTCTTTTAAAAGTTTCAGGAATTTCACATTCTCTATTTTCCGATATTAAAAAACTCTTGGTCTAGGAAAATGTCCTTTTTCCTAGATATATCTGTCCGGTATCTAGAATCTTTAAGTCCGGTTCACCTACGGCCCTTACTGTAGCCTTGGAACTTGCTTGGGGCAAATATTACATTTCTGGAGGCGCCCCAGTTATTTTCATGGGATTCTAGATTGCCATCTCCCTTTGAGAGCATATGTTTGGCATTGGCGTTTATTGTTAGAAAATATTTGAACTGGATGCAGCAAGTCTGGGCTGATGACCTGCAGTTTTTCACTTCGTGTCTCAGATCTGCTTGGTAGACACTCTCTGAGGTCACAAGTGACTGAATGTGTCTTATGATAAGATGCTTTCAACAAGGTAGGCAGATTCTCATGCCCATAAGAGCTGTTCGGATAAAAGCATATCTTTCTAAAAGGGAATTTTCTGGAAAAATACATTGTTCCAGAATCCCTTGGCTTTGAAGGTGAAAAGCTTGCCTATTTATTTTTTCCACAAATATTTACAGAATAGTCACCTGGTAGCAGGGTCTGTAAATTCAGCCATAAATATGACAAAAGACACCCCAGCTTTCATGGAGCCTGAACAGATGGGAAAAGGCAATCGGCAGTGTCTTAAGGCATGTCCAGGTCTCCTGACAACTGTATGCATGCAAATGTGTCATTTCCTGGTGATCATATTCCCAACTGTTCCATGCCAAGTTGTCAATTGACCCTGTTTTCTGGGACTCAGAGAGAGGTCATAATTGAAGCCTGGGTTCAGGGCTGCTGGTTAGTTACGGTGATCTCTGTAGGTGACCTGGCAAGCAGGACAATGACCTCACACACCATCTTCCCCCCTCATGCCTCTATTGCAACAAGGAAGCACCAAGGCTAGTGCCAGAACCCGTCCAAGATTCTGAAATGGGATTTGTGAGGAGGTGTCAAACAACATGATAGAGGAGTTTGGGCTCTAGTAGTACAAGACAGAGGAAGAAGGGGGAGGAGGATATTTAAAATACAAAATCAAATGGTATTTCTGGTTCTAGATCTTTGAGGAATTGCCACTCTGTCTTCCACAATGGTTGAACTAATAATTTATGCTCCTACCAACAGTGTAAAAGTGTTCCTATTTCTCCACATCCTCTCCAGCATCTGTTGTTTCCTGACTTTTTCATGATGCCATTCTAACTGGCATGAGATGGTATCTCATTGTGGTTCTGATTTGCATTTCTGTAATGACCAGTGATGATGAGCTTTTTTTCATATGTTTGTCAGCTGGGAGAGGAACACTGCACACCAGGGCCAGCCAGGGGTTGGGGGGCTAGAGGAGGGATAGCATTAGGAGAAATACCTAATGTAGATGATGGGTTGATGGGTGCAGCAAACCACCATGACACATGTATACCTATGTAACAAACCTTCACGTTCTGCACATGTACCTCAGAACTTCAAGTATAATAATAATAAAGAATAATAATAATAAATAGAAAATCAAAAGAAGAATAGTACATATTTCTTTTTGATGTTAAAGTGGCATTTGGACAATTTTTGACAAATTATTTTTAAATGATTTACAAATGATTTTTAAAAATCATCGTCTAACACTATATGCTTTTAAGAGACTTTGGTTATTAAAAACAAGGGACATTTTTTACACCTGACTGAAATGTTGTCTCATGAAAGTGGCATAGTCAGTCCATATACTTTCAAATTCGAAGTATAAAACTGATGTTTTCACATGTTGATATCCCCAAGATTTAGAAAAATTCTTTTGGAGAAAAATGAATGATGACAGAACTTCTGTTGGGGAAGATGGAGTACATTTTTCCTATTTCTTTCTCTAAAAATACCTAAAAACTCTGGACATTATATAGGAAACAAATATACAATGACTCTGGAAGGTGGAGAGAGGACAGACCGGCTGGAAAACCTGGGACCCAGGGTGAAGGACATGGTGATGAATTAGCTGAGTTTTCTTTCTGCTTCAGAAATCCCAGACTTGATGCTAAAGTTAGCAACTCAGAGATTCCAGCAGGTGCAGAAAAACAGTTCAAGAAAAGCACTCACTGTATACAAAAGACCAGGAAAGGAGCAGCCTAGCAAGACAGAAAACTTTAGATAAATCCACACTACTCCCTGCCAAACGCCACCTAAAAACCATGGCCCCACCAAACCCACAGCAGCCAGGGCCAGGGGAGCACTTAGACTTCCACCCTCATGAGGCTGTAATGAAACAGCCCAACGTCCCAGCCAGGTAGTGGCAGAGAAGGCCAAGTAGGGAGGCTGGATTCTCCTCACCACTGGGGAGTAACCAGGCCCCCTACCCAAGATCGGGGGACCACATGAGGAGCCTGAACTTCCACCCCAAGCACCAGTCATGAGGTACACACCTCCCCCTTGCTTCTGGATGGGGAGGCCTGGTAGAGAATCAGGAATTTCACACCTGCCCAGCAGCAGTGAGGCCACCCCACCAGTGGGACAATGGAGCCCCCAGGAGAAGCCAGAGTGCCCACCCAGGCTTGCAGGAAGAACAACCCCTCCCTTGTGATGGCAAAGGAGGTTATTGGGAACTTGGACATTCAGCCCCACATCCTTCCACTGTTGAAGTGTGTCAGAAAATATCAGCTAAATTAAACAGTATAAAGAAGACCCTGAGTCTCAAAATAGAATATAAAAATATTATGATTTCCATTAAAAATCACTCACGATACCATAAACTAGAGGTGTCATAAATGTTAAAATTGTCTGACAAAAATTCAAAGCAGCCATGAACAAAAGGGGCTTCAGGGAAACATACGAACACACTTGAAGCAAAAGTAGAAAATGGGAAAATCCCAGCAAACAAACAGAAGACGTAAAAAAAAAAAAATACCAAGTGGAAATTTAAAACTAAAAATACAAGAATTTAAAAAAAGAGTTTACTTGACACTAGCACAGAAGAAACAGAAATTGTAAACTTGTAAATAGAATAATAGAAACCACCCAATTTGAACAGCTGAGAGCAAATAGAAAAAAAAATGTTATCAGAGCCTCAGGATCTGTATGACAATGTTTTTTTTTAAAAAAAAAAACTAACATTTATGTCAGTGGAGTCACAAAAAGAAAGGGGAAAGAAAAAAGAGATTAAAAAGTTCTCTAAGAAATAATGGCTGAGAATTTCCCAAGTATGATAAAAGACAGAAATCTTTAGGTTAAAGAAGCTGAGCAAAAGTTTCCCAAAATAAAATTTCCAAAGGAATACAGTTTCCCAAATTTATACAAAGACACATCATAGTCAAGTTTCTGAAAACTAAAGACAATTAAAGTCTTGAAAGAGAAGTAATACCTTACCCATAGGTGAAAAAATGGTTCAAAGTACAGCAGATTTCTCAAAGTAAACTATGGAAGGAAGTGGCACAACATTCCTGCCACTGGAAGAAAAGAACTATTAACCCAGAATCACAACCAAGTGAGAATCTTTGAGGAATGAAGGGTATATCTAGACATTCACAGATGAAGAAAAACTAAGAAAAAACTGTTCATCAGCTGATTTACCCTAAAATAATGACGAAAGAAATTTCTTGAAACAAAAAGAAAATAAAAGAAGAAATCTTGGAATATCAGAAATAAAAAAGGAAGCTTTTGAAATTATGGGCAAATTCAATCGGTTTTTCTTCTTGAATTTTACAAATTACGTTCGATAATTGAAACAAAAATTTTAGCAGCACTTGATTTACTTCTAAATATTTGCATGGAAATACTTAAAATTATTTATAAACAAGGAGGGTAAAATTATTTATAAACAAGGATGGTTTATAAAAAAATTTATAAACAAGGAGATATAGAGTAAGGTCTCTATATCTCACTCAGACTGGTAAAATATTGTCACAAGTTGTCTGTGAAACATTTTGAATATATAATATAATACCTAGAGCACCCCCTATAATGCTATATAAAGAAATACTCTAAAAAATTATAGGTATAACAAAACTAAATTTGAAAAACAAAAAGTTCAAGTAACTCATTGGATAAAGAAACAGGAATGAAAAACAGAGGACACAGAGAAAACACATAAAAAAAGTTTTAATTTCCAACACATTAATAAATGCATTAAATATAAATGGTCTAATATCACTTAAAAGACAGAGATTGATTTAGTGGATTTTTTTAAAAAGACAACTATGTCCAGGTGCTGTGGCTCATGCCTGTAAGCCCAGAACTTTGGGAGGCTGAGGCATGTGAGTTTTTTGAGCCCAGGAGCTTGGAACCAGTAGGGAAAACATGACAAACCCAGTCTCTACAAAAAAATACAAAAATTAGCTATGGGTCGTGGCACACACCTGTGGTCCCAGCTATTCGGGAGGCTGAGGATTACCTGAGCCCAAAGAGGCTGAGGCTGCAGTGAGCCATGATCACACCACTGCACCCCAGCCTGGGTGACAGAGTAAGACCCTGTCTCAAATAAGTAAATACCTACATACATACACACATACATACATAATTAAAAAGACAACTATGACTCAACTATATACTGCCCACAAGAAACTCACTTCAAATTTAACAATAAAGGCAGATTGAAAGTAAAAGGATGGTTTAACATGGTTTAATGCAAGACCTGTTATAATCCTAGCAAGGTTTTTTTGCAGATATAGACAATATTGCTCAAAAAAAATTGTATAGAAATGAGAAAGAACAAGAAGAGTTAAAAATTATGAGAAAGAAGAATAGAGTTAAAAATTATGAAATGGAAAAATAAAGTGAGAAGAAACAATCTAACTGGTTTCAAGACTTATTTTATGGCCACAGTAATGAAGACTGAGTGATAAATGGTGGATAAATGGTCACATAAATTAAGGGAACAGAACAGAGAACCAAGAAATAGACTCACACAAATATGTCCAACTTATTTTTGACAAAACTCCAAAAGCAATTAAAAAGGAGAATCTTTCAACAAAGGGTTCTGGGTGCAATTGAGCATCCACAGGTCAGAAAAAGAAAAAAAAAAATCCCTGAAGTAAACCTTACAATTTATACACAAATAACTCAAAATAGATCATAGACTTCAATATAAACTGTAAAATCATACAACCTTTGAAAAAAAGCATAGGAGAAAACCTTTGAGATACAGGTTAGGCAATGGTCCTATGATACAGGTTAGACAATGACACCAAATATGATCCACAGAAGAGAAAACTTGATAAATAGGACTTCATTAAAATTAAAAACCTTCACTGTATGGGAAAAAATGTTAAAATATAAAATTGCAAGCTACACACTAGGAGAAAATATTTGGAAACAACGTGGCCATCTCAGGCTAATAGCTAGATTATATAAAGAACTTTCAAAGTATTTTTTACAATCAAGTAGAAAATGAGAAAAAGACAGGAACAAACATTTCATCAAAGACAATATACAGATGGCAAAAAAGCACATAAAAATATTATCAATATTATTAGCAATTAGGGAAATGCAAATTGAACGAAAATGAGACATCATTACACAGCCTTCAGAATTGCTAAAATTAAAAAAAAAAAAAAACAGTGACACCACCAAATGTTTCAAGGACGTGGAAAAGCTAAAACTCTCCCAAATAGCCAGTGAGAATGTAAAAATGGTACAATCATTCTGAAGACAGTTTTGTAGTTTATTTTTTTATATTTATTTATTGATTTATTTATTTGAGATGGAGTCTTGCTCAGTCACCCAGGCTGGAGTGCAGTGGTGCTATCTCGGCTCACTGCAAGCTTCGCCTCCCGGGTTCACACCATTCTCCTGCCTCAGCCTCCCAAGTAGCCGGGACCACAGGCGCCCGCCACCACGCCTGGCTAATTTTTTGTATTTTTAGTAGAGACTGGGTTTCACCGTGTTAGCCAGGATAGTCTCGATCTCCTGACCTCGTGATCCGCCCGTCTCAGCCTCCCAAAGTGCTGGGATTACAGGCATGAGCCACCGCGCCCAGCACAGTTTTGTAGTTTGTTAGGGAAACGTGTCAACCTAAATAACAACAGAGAGGCTCTTTAAAGAAAAATGATATTATTCAGGAATAGGACGTAGCAGTGGGAGACATATGCCATAGCAAACAATGTGTGTATTCAGGGAGGTCAAAGAAGACAAAAGTTTTTAAAGGGAAATTGAGGAAGATGACATAATTGTCTTGAGATAATTACCCTTGGCTACAGGTGTCAAAAACAAGACGGACTCCAGTCCCAGGTTGGAGAGGCATGGGGGTGTTCTTACAGGAATATCGTGTGTGTGTGTGTGTGTGTGTGTGTGTGTGTGTGCAGGGGTTGCAATGGCCTTTGTGCAAGGTTCTGTTTTTTGCCATTTTTTATGATAGTTCTTGCTGTCAGTCATTTATTCATGAGAATCTTCCCTCCAAGGCCTTTTCTGGCTCTATTTGTCAGGGCTTATTTGTTTGAACAAAAGTGACTCCATTTTGACTCTGACAGCTTTCACACATGCAACTACCATTTGACCCAGCAATTGCACTGCATGCCTGGGTCATTATCCCAAAAAATAAAAATGTCTATTCATAGAAGCTTTAGCATAACAGCCAAAAACTAGAAACAAACCAGATGTCCTTCAATGGGTGAACAGTTAAGCAAACGGGTCTGTCTACATCACGGAATACTACTCAGCAATAAAAAGGAATGAACTATAGATCCATGCAGCCACATCAGTGAGCCTCCCAAGAATTATGTTGAGGGAAAAAAAACGATTTCACAAAGTTACATGCTGTGTGATTACATTTATGTATCAAATTTTAGAAATTGAGAACAGATTGGTGGTTGCCAGAGGCTCAGGAGGAGGGTGGGTGGGAAGAAGCGGGTGTGGACATCAAACAGCGACAGGGAGATTCTTGTACATGGAAAGTTCTGAGCCTGGATTGTGTCAGTGTCAGGTTCCTGTCTGTTACATTGTACTACAGTGTTGCAAGATGTTACCAGTGGGCCGGGCGCGGTGGCTCACGCCTGTAATCCCAGCGCTTTGGGAGGCCGAGGCGGGCGGATCACGAGGTCGGGAGATCGAGACCATCCTGGCTAACACGGTGAAATCCCATCTCTACTAAAAATACAAAAAATTAGCCGGGCGTGGTGGCGGGCGCCTGTAGTCCCAGCTACTCGGGAGGCTGAGGCAGGAGAATGGCGTGAACCCGGGAGGCGGAGCTTGCAGTGAGCCGAGACTGCGCCACCGCACTCCAGCCTGGGTGACAGTGAGACTCCGTCTCAAAAAAAAAAAAAAAAAAAAAAAAAAAAAAAAAGATGTTACCAGTGAGGGAAACTGGAGTACGTGGGATCTTACTTTATTATTTCCTACAAAGCAGGGGAAACTTCTAAGTTCTTGAAATTGCTTAAATAATGGAAAAAACAAAGAACAATTGTAGAAGCTAGACCTGTTTCCTCATTTTGAAAGAATGTAGAATTAAGTCAGTTATTTATACTTTTATTTCATATATATGTACATATATAATACATATATCTTAGCAGATAGAAAATGTTTTGTGTTTGCCCTAATTGGAGCATGGAATAAATAGAAGCTGCTTATCTTTCAAAGTCAAAACTTCTGTGAGCAACATAACATTTGGCAGTTCCTGCAGTTGGTTCCATTAATTTTTATATGAATGTCTTCTTAGATTATTGTCTTGTTCACCTGGAAGGAGGCAAAAGGAAGGCAGAAAAATTGTAACAGTAAATGAAGATACATCCAAAAAGGAATACAGAAGACTTGCAAGGATATTGCCAGGAAATCTAAACAGCAGACTGGCCTGAGACATGTAAAAGTGTGATTGAGTTAGCACGGGCCTTGGGGGTCGTTTGTTTATATTTAGAATAATCCGAGCAGGAGGGCAGCCAGGCCCAGGTGCCTGATGGAAGCTTTATGAAGTCACTCATGGAGGGACGATGGGAACTTCCAGCCACACTGCCTGTGGCTTCCACATTCTTCAGCAGGTGAGAAATTGTGTGTTCTCCTTGCCCAGGAACACTGCTCTTAGTCGGAGTGCTGAGATAATTTGGGCAGGGATCATTGTAAATTACTGTGTTGTCACTTCCCTTTGTCTCTGATAACACAGCTGCTGGTTCCTCTGAGCCAAGCCTTCACCCCCACTCTAAGTGCCCCCACATTCCATAAACAGCAGGACAAGTCTCCCTGGCACATATCAGTTTATGGAGTGAAAACATTTGTTTGTTTGGTTGCTTTTGATCACGCCTGGAAAAAATTGTAAGTTCTCCAGGCTGTGGGCAGGCTGCCTTGCTGAACACATTCTGGTCACTATAAAGTGGTGATCACAATAGCTGTCTTGGTGTGTGGTCTGCAAAGACAGCCAGGAACTTTCCCATAGCACCTGGCTCTGAAGAGGATGTGGTGTTCCATTCCTCTCTCTTCCTCATCTAGACTACAAGATGCTTGAGCGTAAAGGTCACGTTTAAAGTCACATTTGTGTCTAGTACCTGGCAGCACGGTGTTTTCAAGGGACAACTGAGGTTCCTGAGCTATGCTTGGTGAGGTTGGAGACACTCACACACACACACACACACACAGAGAGAGAGAGAGAGAGAGGAAAACACACACACAGAAAACACACTCACACATATGCACAAAAAACATACAGAGAGAAAACACACAGAGGTCCCTGAGCTATGCTTGGTGAGGTTGGGGACACGCACACACACACACACACACACACACACAGAGGAAAACACACACACAGAAAACACACTCACACATATGCACAAAAAACATACAGAGAGAAAACACACAGACAGGAAGCACACACAGAGGAAATACACAGAAAACACAGTCACACACACTCACAGAAAACACACAAAGACACGCACACACGTAGCTGGAGATGAGCACAATATAGTCCTCTGTTTCACAAAGGACGGCCCTTGTCAGTAGCTCTGGGCCACATTCCGGGGTCAGGTGAAGTGGACAGTCCTCCACGCCCCAACTCCAAGCGCAGGGATGCTCTGTAAGAGAAGACACTCTGCTAAGCGCAGTGCTGCAAGACTCATGCTAAAATCTATGTGTACATATTTCTCCAGGCCCCTCATAAGATCATCACAAGCAACACAGAGAAATGTTGGCCTGCTGAAAATAGAAGTGCAGAGACTCTCTCCCGTGACAGAATGAGGCGTGGAGGATTCGCAGAACTGTTTCCTCAAGGGCCCCATAGTGATACCGTCTTTTATTCCTTTTAGTAGCCTCATCAGTGCCCTGAGTGAGTATGTGTCCGTGTCTTTAAGGGAATCCAGGGAAATAGAATCCCACTGTGACGTGTTTCCTGACTCGAAATTCATCATGGTTACATTTTAATCCTTGGGCAACTGAAGACAATCAGCGTCGTAGTGATGAAAGTGGCACTTTAGCTACAATCCCCATTGCTAACCAAAGTACAAGATAGCTACAATCCCCATTGCTAACCAAAGTACCAAGAAAAAAGTATTAGGTTAAGTGAGAGACTTTGTTTCTACAAATAGTAGAGTAGTTTGCAAGCCGGGGAGACACAGTCCTTGGTACAAAACAAAGGTGCGCTCCATGACAACCAAGAGAGGGGCTGTCTTTTATAGAAAAGTTTTCCTCCTAGTCTCCCATCCTGGTCCACTGCGTAAATAAGGGATGCAGGCTTGTTTGGTTTGCATTGGTTGATAAGATTGACATAGACCAAGCATCCTGGTCCACTATGTAAATAGGGGATGGAGGCTTGTTTTATTTGCAATGGTTGATAAGACTGACGTAGGCCAAGGTCTGTTGTGTAGGTCCAGAAGGAGAAGTGGGACTTCCCATCAGCCATCAATTCAGGCACCGTGAACAGGAACAGGCAACCCTGAGGGTCCCAAGATGACACAAATGTGTGTTTTCTGCCAGGAAAGCAGAATACACATGTGACCTGCAGTCAGCAGACCGCCAGGTGCCTCCACCTTGAATTTAAGCCGGTCTTGAGGACCAGCTCCTTCAGGTTCACACTGTGGACCTCAGAAAGGCAGCATGTGTCGTAGACACTGGGACGTTGTATTACAGTGGGAAAACATCACCGCAAAGGCATAAACCTCCTCTAACTGAAACGGTCCCACACGCAAAGACACGGAGCTCCAGTCATGTGAGAGCACATTCAGTTTGGGGAAACCTTTTTTAGTCTCTTCCGATTCTCTCTCCAACAAGACACACTCTGTGCATTCCGAAGAGATGGAAAATCTTGCATGAGCCAGTCCCGTGGTGTGCATTGGTAACTCTCCAAATTTACAGCGTGTCGGTCTCATCTTCATAGCTTGTTAAAAATAAATGTCCTAAGCTCACCCCCATCCCAAAATTCTGATTCAGTAGCTCTGGAATGGGGCCCAGGAATCTGCATTGAAGACTGCCTTCCCCGACACCCCCAGGATCTGAATTTGGTGGCCTCTACACTGCACTGAGAGGGAGGACTGTGGCATTCAGAAGCCTCCTGTTAGGGGCCGTGTTAGGGGCTGTGGGGTTCCAGCGTGACTCCAATATGGTTGCTCCACCCTGGCAAGGCCCTCTCCACTGGCAAATGGACAACATGCTCCTGGAGTGACCAGAATCACTGCGGAGGTTCGTCAGTCTTTTTTGTTTGTTTTTTTTCAAGACAGAGTCTCGCTCT
Source organism: Homo sapiens (assembly GCF_000001405.40). Taxonomy (NCBI): domain Eukaryota; kingdom Metazoa; phylum Chordata; class Mammalia; order Primates; family Hominidae; genus Homo; species Homo sapiens. Next base: position 2,309,506 of record NC_000005.10, on the reverse strand, counting down.
GTCACCCAGGCTGGAGTGCAATGGCACGATCTCGACTCACTGCAACCTTCACCTCTCGGGTTCAAATGATTCTCCTGCCTCAGCCTCCCAAGTAGCTGGGATTACAGGCATGAGCCACCACGCCCAGCTAATTTTTGTATTTTTAGTAGAGACTGGGTTTCACCATGTTGGTCAGGCTGGTCTCAAACTCCTGGCCTCGGGTGATCCGTCTGCCTCAGCCTCCCAAAGTGCTGGATTATAGGCGTGAGCCACTGAGCCCGGCTGGAGGTTCATCTGTCCTTTAAGCCTGCTTTAATAGTGTACAAAGAATACATATTTTCTTTAATATTCATAGATTGTTTCTTCCCATTTAAGCTTGAAAACCACTTGTTTGGACATGGGTGTGATCAGAAGGATACATACGAGCTAAAATGTATTAGCACATTTCATTTCCTGAGGACTTCCGCCATTGTAAAATAAATGTCATTTCATTTTATGCCTTCTTTTAACATTTGGTGAAAGTAAGCTGTCCATGTTTTTTTTTTTTTTTTCCAAAATGCTTGGCCCTAGTAGTTGTTAGAACATGTACATCATACTCTGCGGGCTTCACGAATCGGTGAGAATTCAGCTAGTCATTAAAAAGACATACGGAGTTTTAAAACCTCATAGGCTTCTGACAAAATGCATTTCACTCTAAGCACTTAAGAATTTCCAGGCCGGGCATGGTGGTTCACGCCTGTAATCCCAGCACTTTGGGAGGCCGAGGTGGGTGGATCACGAGGCCAAGAGATCGAGACCACCCTGGCTAACACGGTGAAACCCCATCTCTACTAAGAAAAAATACAAAAAATTAGCCGGGCGTGGTGGTGGGCGCCTGTAGTCCCAGCTACTCCAGAGGCTGAGGCAGGAGAATGGCCTGAACCCGGGAGGCGGAGCTTGCAGTGAGCCAAGATCGTGCCACTGCACTCCAACCTGGGCGACAGAGCTAGACTCCGTCTCAAAAAAAAAAGAAGAATTTCCATGGAGTTGATGAAGAACGTGCCAGGCGTTCAAATGAATGGGGTGCAGCCTCTTTCCTTGTGTCTGCACAAAGGGGAGGAGCTCTCGTTATCCTGTACACATGACTCAGCAATGTGTGCAGGTATTCCCAGGCCCAGGTGAGGACAGCAGCGTGAGGACAGCACTCAGAGGACAGGAGAACGCCGGTTTCTGTGCAATCTTAACATTGTTGCAAAAGAACCCACACAGGGTTTTACAGCCAACCAAATGGGTGCCCCTTATTGAAACAAAGATTGGGATCTGCTGACGGGGACTGCCAGCTCGGGGTGGGGGTGGGGGGACGACCACCATGGCAGGTCCATTTGGGTTAATTATGTGTGGTTTGCCCCCAAATAGAGTGCTCCCTTGTGGAGTTTGAGATGGTGGGTGGCCACCTCACCGGCAGACTGAGGAGCTGTTTCCCAGGGGTCCTGGGCAGAGCAGTTGAGTGCTCTGCTCTGCAAGGGGACCTGTCACTTGCGTGTGTTTGCAAGGTGCCAGGTGGCCGTATCTGCAACTCAGGCATGGTCTTGTTCAGTCCCCTGATTCAGTGCTCTAGCCTCAGTTGCCTGAGGGCCTGGACTCCACTCCTGAGTGGACAGAAGGATGTCTGTGCTGCAGGAGGCCCACGACCATCTGCCTTGCCTTGCCCCATGGGAGAGGTGTGACTTGCTGAACCTGGGGCTCCCGGGAAGAATCCTCTGTTGGTTTCTTCCCTTCTGTCATGGGGACCTATCCCATTTCTGCAATAACTGCCTGCCTCCCATCACACACTTTTGCGTGCCTTGCCTGTTGCTACCTGAGGGGAGCTGGAATAGAAACCCTCTTGCTTCCTGTGAGTTTGGAGACAACCTCAGAAGACGAATTGTGTAGGCCCCTGAAGTTGCTCCTGAGAGCCCTGAAGCCGGGTGGGCCTGTGGATTCCCAGGCTGTCTGCACAGCCCAGCACTTGTTTCTGAACTCCATGCTTCAGCCCTTTCTTTGAATGGCATGTGTGGTCCTAAAAAGATAGAGGTATAGAGCATAATGCCAGAGGAAAGGTTTTCCAGAATATTGTGGTCCAAACACCTCAATGAGAGGTAAAGACCATGTGAGGCCATAGCAAGAAGGCGGCTGTCTGCAAGCCAGAAGGAGAGCCCTCACCAGAACTCAAACCCACCAGTCTCCATCTCAGATTTCCCAGTCTCCAGAACTGTGGGAAAATAAACTTACGTTGTTTAAGACACTCAACTCACGGCATTTTATGGCAGCCCCAGCAGATTACTATCTCTGTGTTCTCTTAAGCTCATAAAACATTTTCTGTTCACTAAACGTCAGCTGGAAATTGTTTGGGGGAGAAAGCAGGAGGGGTGTGGGGTGCAGTGGTGGCACAGAGCTCAGCCGGGCTGATGTGCTTTTACTTAAATATGACTCTTACTGCAGTTGAAGATCTAATTTGAAAATTTCCCGAAGCTTTTCTGGCAGCTGCTTTTTTGGTTCTTTGCATGTGGTTGGGAGGTGTGATGTGACTGCTTGCTTGCTGCAGTTCCTGATGGGTGAAGGAGAAGGAGGCAGAGGAAATGGGTGCACATTCAGGGCATGCACAGACGCTGCATGCTTGAGAACTATTCACACCATAAACTCTGTTTCCTGCTTCAAGCCTAAGTTATGTTTGCCAACGTCAGGGACGAGACACACAACTTGATTTTGTGGAAGACATTTTCTTTATTTAAAATAAGTGGCTATTTCTTGTTAAGGCCTAAGAAGTAAAATGAAAACTAGCGTGCAGAGATGAAGTAGGTTGGCTGGTGCTATAGAGTTGGCAATTGTTCCCCATCCAGCCTGGCTGGTGGGAAAGGTCTGTCCTACCCTGGAGCTAAACCCAAGCTCTGGGCCTCCCTGAACTTCTGGAAAGAATGGTCCTGGGGCTCCCTACTGCATGTGGGCCCCTGGACTGGGGTGGCTGGGCAAAGAAGGGGGGCTGGGAGATGCCAAAGGACTCACATTCTTAATGCCAGAAAACACTAAGTAAAATAGGGTTAGACAGGAGTGAAGTGAAGCTCATGGTCCAGGACATTTAAGAATATTTGTAATAACATAGAAGATGTTTATGTGATAATGTTAAGTATAAATGCATTTACATGTATGTGTAAAATATAGTGTGTGTGTGTGTGTGTGTGTGTGTGTGTGTATGCTTAGGAAGAAATTTTAAAAACAAAATAAAATACAAATTAACTCAGGCCCAGAGCTGGAAGAACAGTTAAGAGAGGCTGGGACTGCTATGTCATAAATTAATCTTGATGTCCTATGGGGCTCCTGTACCCTTGGATTTAAATGAGGTTGTGTTGGGAGGAGCTAGCAGGAGGAGTCTACAGTGCGGACTTCTTTCTGTAAGCAGAGGGCAGCCCTCAACAAGGGTTTGGTTCAGGACTGGCCACTGAGGTGCTGAGCAGCTGGGCTTTTCCTCCTGGCAGACAGTGATCTGAGACTGAGGTTGGTTTCTAGATCATTCCTGATGCTCTAGAGATAGTGAATTTCTTCAATCCTGATGTGAGGCCTCTTTCCTTCATATATGATGAGGTGCCTTTTCAAAGGCCAGGGAGGGGATCTCTGACCTTTTTAAAGATTTAATTTTTATTCTAACTTTTTTAAATTCATGCAGGAAAAGAAACGCACAAATACACAATTCTTTTTCTTACTTTTTTTTTTTTTTTTTTTTTTGAGACAGAGTCTCACTCTGTCGCCCAGGCTGGAGTGCAATGGCATGATCTCAGCTCACTGCGACCTCCACCTCCCAGGTTCAAGCAATTCTCCTGCCTCAACCTCCCAAGTAGCTGGGATTTCAGGCTCCCATCACCACGCCTGGCTAATTTTTTGATTTTTTGTATTTTTAGTAGAGACGGGGTTTTGCCATGTACCAAGCTAGTCTCGAGCTACTGACCTCAGATGATCCACCTGCCTCGGCCTCCCAAATTGCAGGTATTACAGGCATGAGCCACCATGCCTGGCCAAATACACAATTCTTTCCCCCAAATTCTGGGACAGAAGAGCAGATCTCAAGATGGGGCTTCCACTGAAACCCCGCCTGACTCTCACAACCTGGTGAGCAGCCCCGGGAAGCCTTCAGAGATTGCTGGGTCCTGGTCTCCAGTCCTCTCCTTGCTACCCGACCCTCTGTCTCCACCCCTCTGCCTTCTCTGACCATGGAAATAGCCAAGTAGAGCCACAGCTCTGGAAAGAGCTGCTCCAAAGCCTGTTACTCCCTAGGAAGAGCTGGCGGGGGGGCCAAGTAAACACTAACGCAGGTAGTGTTGGCATCACTGACGATGGGTTTCCATCACAAAGAGACGTAAAGACCAAAGACCACTTACTGAGTTTATCAATGGACCAATCCACTGGGCCTACCGTGGACCACCCAAATTTCACCTGTTCACCAAGAGAAGGTTGGTCAACTTGTACCTTACAGAATGGCTGACACAAGCCAAACATTAGAATATAAATGATGAATGAAATCTTTGACTGTGTCTATACTAAAAAGAGAAAATGTAAAGGACTTCTCAAACTAAAAATAGAAAACCATCTCTTTGGTCACGTTCCAAGCATGAGCAGAGGCCACAGTTGAACTCGAATGAAGGCCACATTTTCACGTTTTGGGGTTTCTCTGGCCTATAATCTAAGAGAAAAGACAAAGGGGGTAGTTCAAAAAAAGAAGCTCAGAACTTTGATATTATGCTGCTTGTTGCACAACATTACCTGCTTCAAAAGAAAAAGAACATGCAACATGTCTTTTGTGTTCCTGCCTGTAATCACCTACATGAGTCTTCCTCTGAAAGACATTTAACAGTTTTCACCATGTTACATAAACCAGTGATAGGAGCTGCCAGGAATTTGCTTTGGGTTGGTGAACTACCTTCTACCGAGTTAAACATTTTTGGTCATTGTGCATGTCTGCTGTCTCCACTCTATTTTAATCCTCTGAGGTTTCTGTATTATTTTGTTTTCAGTTATTACCTCTTTTTTCAAAAGCTAAAGATATGGAAACTAGTTGAGAAGGCTTTCTGGGCATCAGATATCTCTTACCAAGTATGCCGATGACTTCTGTGTCAATGAATTCCAAACACACGGTCCACATTTCCCTTAACAGCTCATGACTTCTGAAATGCAGGGGAAAGAGGCTTCGCAAAGTCGTCATGTAGTGCTTTCCCAAACCCCTTGCCAGAGACCAAATGCACTTTGATTTCCACATGACGTTTTCCCCAAATAACTGATGTGATATGTCAAAAATCAATTATTAAGAATGAACGTACACAGGCACAGATTCATATGGATACATATCTACAAGTGGGTGTTTATTTTTAAAGCTAGATTGTAATAGAGAGTTGATGCTGAGATTTCAAGATACAATTCAAGAAATATGGAATGGGTAATAAAACTGTATAAAGCAAACACTGTCGGAACTACAGCAGTTCATAACTTCTTAATGGGAAAACATGTTAATTCCATTTCTTTCTTTTCCTTTTTCTTTTTTTAACATGCCCATGAGAAGATGCAGTGACTTGTGTCAGGACAGCGTTCTCCATGCTGGCTGCGGGTGACGGCCTGAGCCCCGGTACAGTATTCCTGCTGGCCTCAGACCGCCCTCCCAGGCAAAACCTGGGGCCAGCCTGTCTGCAGTCTGAAATGCCCTCCAGATTATCCTAAATGTGCATGTTAATGACCATCAGATCTGAGAGCTGGTGGAGAAATTAAGATAAATAGAGAAAATCCTGACTGTGTTTGCTTTGGACCACATGAGACTCTCAAATTATTTTGAGGCTTTAAGGATGATGCATGCAGGGCACTCAAGGACGGCTTCAGCAGCGGATGCTTGGCCTCTTATTTCTTTGGGTTAAAAGCTCTGAAATTTGAGAAGCCGCGGCTGTGCCTGCAAAAAGCATTGAAACCAGACTGAAAAAGACACAGGGAAACCCATGGGAGCTCTGGAAGGGGTGACTAGGGGGCGTCCTCTGGGGGAGGGGGGCGAAGCAGTGAATGAACCGCAGAACTTGAGGGCTGGTCAGCAAAGCCCCTGCCCCCACGCATCCCTCTTACACCCACACACGGAGAGGGGGACGCAGAGGGGAACACACATGCTCTTCAAGATAAATTAGCAGTAGAAGGCAATTATTATCTATTAACAAAACACAGTCTCCTACTAAGTTCATCCTGTGGCAAAGATTGGCACTCCTACCTCCGTGCCTGGCATCCAAGCTGTGAGGGAAGGATCCTGTTTAGTTTTCATCAAAACCATTTGATGAATAAAAACATATTCCTTTCATTTGAAAATCAAGTAGCTAATGTTGGTGGTGGAGCTTACAGTGGGGTCTCTTGTGAGTTCATATGAGGCCAAGAGTGAAAAGAGGAGACTTTCTTTGCTGGGGAGCATCTGCCTGCTCTTACATTATTGTTAATTGAATTAATACCCTGAGCCTTAAATACCTGGATACTTTGTACGTGAAAGGCCGAAGAAGGAATCAGAGCTGCTGGAGATGAACCAATCATTAAAAGCGGTGGGAAAGGTGGACTGACTGAGAGTGGCAGCCCTCAGGATGGATGCCACGGGAGAGCATTGCGCATGGGCCATCTCACGCTGTCTCCCAGGCTCCTCTCTCTTGCTCCCTAATATTTTTAAGCACCAATGCAGATAATTCAGCTTTTCTGAAAACCCAAGTCTAATTTAATTATAGTTCTGCTAAAGGGGGAAAAATGATATTAGATGCCCAAGCTAAAATAAAATGAACTCCAGTTTTTTCTTCCTTTATTAGATTTTAATGGTATTATTATAATAATTAAGCTTTTCATTAATTTTTCCATGCTTATTGAGTCACAGTTCCCTGCAGATTTGAATCATATTTAACATATAATTACGGCGGTCCATTTTTAGAAGAAAATGTAAATGTGGGGATGTGGGAATCCACCTGGGCTTCCAAAATTAAAAAAGGCAGCAAGAGGCCGGCTCGGCAGGTGTGTCAGGCCAGACCCGGCAGCGGAGCCAGTCTCGTGTGCTCTGGGGGTAGCGGGGAGCTGCCCGCTTCAGCTTGGATTCACCGTGTTGTGCGTGATTCAGGTCGGTTCTGGAGGCCTCCAAGATGAGTGAGTGAAACACACCAGTGTGTGTTTTCTTCTGGCATCTGCAGGGCTTCAAGGCCGAACGAAGCAGTGGGCAGGTCCCGACTCTCCTGTTTGGCTTCCGACACCAGGCGCTCTCTGTAAAGGTGCCTGGGGACTCCATCTCCATGCAGGCCACTTAAAGACAGGAAGGCCAACAAAGTCCACACGCAATTGTAAACAACTCAGCTGACATGCTAATCCATTGTTTTACCTCCTTTTCAATGAGGAATGAAGACTGTTCACCAGCTAGACACGGGAAGTTTAGTCACGAGACGGGTTTATCTAACAGCAAGCCTCGGATCCCCTGTTCCTCATAGCTAAGGGAGAGAGGGGAATGAGGACAGGAGTGGAGGCAGGGGTGAGCAAGCACAGGCCCCCAGAGGGAACATGGGAGATGAGCATGAAGGGGCCCCTGCTTAGGAGCAGGGGAGTTCCCCACGTGCAGGGAAACTTCCAGAAGAAAGTCCTAGAGGCCCTTCCACTGCTGGGGGGAGGGGAGGAGTGACAGAAAAGCCTGAGAGAGAGGCAGAGGGACGGAGGCAGAGAGAAGGGGAGCGAGTGTGAGAGAGAGACAGAAAGCAGACAGACAGAGACAGACAGACAGAGAAGGGGAGTGAGAGAAGGAGAGAGGAAGAGACAGGGAAAGGAGGGAGACAGACAGGAGACAGAGATGGGAGAATCTAAGGGAAGAGAAGAGCGAAGGAGATGGGAAAGTCTGGGGACCCAGGGTAACAAACACAGACTTTGCGGCATTCCACAAAATCGTCTAAAATATGAGCTTTTCCACGGAAGCTGGCCCACCCTGGGTAAAGTACTTACCCCATTTTAGTTTCTCCTCTATAAAATCATGTCGGCCCAAGCAGGATTGCCTTGATGAGCTGCCCAGAGAGCCACGGTGGGCTGAGCCGCTGACAGCCATGCCTGTCCTCTTGCGGGTCGGGCTGAGCCGCTGACGGCTGTGCCTGTCCTCTTGCAGGTCCCAGAGATTCAGGGAGAAACCTGCAGACACACCATGCCCCCACGGCCTGCCTGGGTACGTGTCATTCCCATCTCTCAGTCCCCAGGGATTCACAGCAGCCTGGCCCTCTGCTCTCTGCAGCAAGTTCCTACATCAGTGCTGTGTCCTGCAGACACTTGGGGAGCACCTTCCATGCAGGGCAGCCACAGCCAGACCATGCACCAGGCCCAACATCCAGCCAGGAGGTGGGGCCCACAGGGACTCCACCTTCCCCTCTGGATGGCGGGCACGTGCTTGGCAGCCGGCGAACCTCTGCAGTGGGCCCAGGGGCAACACTGGAGCTGCATTTATTTCTCCAAGACCCATCACATGACTCACGTGACTCCTCCAGGAGTGAACTCCCGTGGTGGCATCTTCTCTTCCCCCGTGTGGAGCTGCCTTCTGAGACGCATGGCGAATGACGGACCTCAACCTCCAGGGCTGTTGTTCAGATGCCGCCGGGCACTGGGCCCTGGCCACATCCCAGACAGCTGTATCAGGAAGTCACCCCCCTCCCCTCATCCACAGGGGATGAAACCAGAGCACAGAGATACCAGGTGAGTTTGCCCAAAACCACCCCAGCGCCCTGGCCCTCAGAGCCAAGTTCCCTGCATGAAGTTAGATCTGAGAGCAGGAAGATCACCAGTGACAGACTCTTGCTCAGGACATTTGACGTGGCCAGAACCTAAGCCTAACACCCTCCCCGCTGGTCCTGAGCAGGGTGGGCAGGACACGGCCGCATGGGAGGGCAGCTGTTGTCAGGGAACAGGCGCACCACACAGGCCAGGCAGCTGCCAGGGTGGAATGGGGCTCCACGTCTGCTCAACCAGTCAGTGTTGCGGGTCTGCAGAGTTCCCCACACAAAATCACGCCTGCTGATGAGACACAGACTCCCGAGCACCTTTATCCATTCAGCGGAAGCATGGTATCTGCCTCAGTTTCCTTATTTATAAGCTAGAACTCGCATGCCTGCCTTTTGGGGTTGTTTAGAAACTGAAACAAGAACATAGACCAGACAGCAAGGGGTTCCTTACCTCACCTGGACAGACCTTGTCTTCCTTCCATGCCTTAGAAGAGCTGCAAGCAACCCCTGGCAGAAGAGGCGATGGCATGGAACTGAGGCTCAGGGCAGCGCTGGAGGAAGCACTTGTGCCCTGTTTTGTGGAGTATGGTGCACAGGGGGCCAGACTTGTGGGAGGTCACTCCCCAACCCCGGGATGAAACCTGTCCAGGGCACTTGGAAGCCCTCCATGCCCATCTCATGAGGAGGGCATGGAACTGAGACCAGGCTTTGGCAGCCACCTTCACACCAGCCTGTGCTCACATCACCCCCAGCCCGTGGCGATGCTGCTGGGGCTCAGCCAGCTCCCCGCACTGCTGGAGTGGAAGAGGAAAGGAGACCCCAGCCCAGCCAGCATTGTGGCAGCCTCAAGCCTCAGCCTGGACAACATGCTGGCATCTGCCTCCAAATCTGCAGTCCCTGAAGCCAGCGGTGTGTGTCCCAGGGTCAAGCCACCTGCTGGAGAAAAGTTAAACCTAAGGAAGAAACACAGGTCCCTGGGATTTAAGCCAATGAATTTATTTTTTGCAATGAATCAAATTTTTTTATCATTAAAAAATGTGATAAACCTGACTAAAATGGTGATGCTGCCGAAAGTACACTGTGTGTGTGTTGACATTCTGCTTGGTTGCGCTTGAAGCGTGAGTCCCCAAAGGCGACTGAGCGGAATCAAGGTCTGTGCTGGGCAGGTGTGAGGAGTGACTGCAGGGCCCGGGCGGGTCTACAACAGGCAGGCAGTGTCATGCAAAGGCAGGGACGGCGGCAGGCAGCGAGCGAGGCCCATGCGTCCACACGTGCGTTTTCTGCATCTTATCTGTTAGGAAACATGAGTGCTTTCTGGAACAGGAAGCATAAATCCCCACAACAGTTGTGGATATCCAAGCATTTGGGTTTCCCAGAGCTGATTTTCACTTTGCACATTGCAGAATGTGCATTGGAACTCACTTGAAAGCAAGTGTCCTTCCTCATTATAGACAAGTACATTTCCACGTCTTTGCAAATGTGTGGGTGTGTGTGCACAGGCCAGGCCTGTGTGTGTTGATTGCGTGTGTTTGTCTGGTCAGGGATGTCTGTGTGGCCTGGGTTTCCAGGCACTAGTTGCAGAAATGGATCTGAAGCCCCTCCAGACGTGGGTCCAGCCAGCCCACCCTGTCCTATTTGCTTGGTTTGTCTGTGTCAGGGCAGTAGCTTGGCTCCTGTCTGCCCTCTTGGTTTCCTGCCTCCATCCTCTATGCAGCTCGGCCCTCAGGATGGCCCTTTCTGGAGTGTTGGAAGGATGTACTGGCTTCCTGGCCCAGTGCCTATTGTTCCCCTGGCTGTAGACATGGTGATCTTTTGTTTCCCTCATTCCCTCCCACAGATCAGCCTCTAGTGCTCTGCGTTGCTGCCTGGATGCCCTCCAAGAAACAGACCCTGGTTGGCTTTGCCCCACAGTGAGGACTCTGGTGGTAGGATATGCCCATCTTGGGCAGTCTTGTTATTGCTGTGTGGTCCAGGGTTTTCAGACTCTGCAGGCTCTAGAAGAGGAGTCTTCCTGCCTTGTCCACCCTCTGGGGCCCTAGTGCTCTTAGGTGTGGCGTCACATCCCTCCAACCCCCACCTCCATCCTCACGCAGCCTCCTCCCCGTGTGTCTCCCCAAGGACAGTTGCTGCTGGATTTATGACCCATCCTAAATTTGGATGATCTCATCTGCACATCTTTAACTTAATTTTGAGGATCTTTTTCCAAATAAGGTCACATTCTCAGCCTCTGGAGGTGAAGATGTGGACACATCTCTTTGGGGCCACAGTTGAGCCCGTGTAGAAGGTGTCCCCCATCTCTCCTGTACCCCCGTCGCATCAGAACTAAAAGTAACCTTAGAGGGTAACTGTTAGGATGGAGCTGGGGAAAGACAAGACAGGAAGTGGAGAAGGCACGCAAGGGGGAGAGGCCCTCAGATCGTGCCCTGCACGCTCCCCAGAGCTCCTGCTCCTCAGACCAGGCCCTGCAAGCACCCCAGAGCTCCTGCTGCTCCCTTGCTCCCTGCTCCCACCCGTGTGCCACACTTGTGAGGAAGACAGCAGCAGGCTGGCTGGGCGGGTGCAGGCAGTGCAGTTTGCCAGACGCAGCCAGGTGGGCTTCTGTGATGCAGAAGACATGGGAAGGTAATGGAGGTGTTGGTTGTGCACACACATGGACTGTGCTCCAGGCCCAGAGGCTGGTGTGGATGGGACGACTCAGGGAGGGGGCTCGCTGTGAGGGGGGTCATGGGAAGCCCTGCAGACCACTGTGGGGACACGGGTGTCGACCGTGAGAGTGGCGGTAACCGCAATACCGTGTGGTCTGGGAGGGGGAGCATCAGACCCATCACCTCAGGGGAGGGACCTGGGGCAAGGCTGAGAGGAGCAGGGTGACTGAAAACTGTCCACGATCACCTGAAAAGGGCCACAAGAAGAATGGTGCAGGCCTTGCCACAGATGCCAGAAGATTCCATCCAGCCACTGCACTAAAATCAGTGTGGTACTGGCCAGGGAATGGGCCACTGGAAAATGCAGGCCCTAGAAGCCAGGAGGTGTGTGATCCACTGATTACAGAGTGAAGATGGTTCTGACGGTGTCAGTGCAGGGGCCTCCTGTTCCGTCAACGTGGCTGCACCACTCTCATTTAGAAGGAAAGAAAATCACACTCCTACCTTCCATCAGCAATAGGAGTAAAATGCAGATGGATAAAAGACTTCCTGGAGAAAGATAAAATAATAAGCTCACTGCAGACACTCCTGGGAGTCCACACATACGCGAAGGACTGCTGGCTGATGGGAAGCTCTGGGGCTGTAAAGGAGATGCCTTTGACCTCAAACACGTAAAAATCACTTCATATGGTGAAAATGCAATAAAATGTCAATAGACAAGCAAGAGATTTGGAAAAAGAGTACATGTAGCAAGTCCAAATAGAAAATCCACTACACAGAGGAAGAGGCAGCTCAGAGATGAGCAGGTGCAATGGCCGACAGAGCAAGAAACAGTGCTCAGACTGTGGATGGAGGGATGTGCAAATGAAGGTCAGGATGGCAAAACTTAAAACCAGCAATGACACTCTGCAGCCTCCGAGAGGTAAGAGGAAGAGCACTCACACCAAGGGTGGAAATGCAAAGTTCAACAACCTTTGTGAAAAACAAAATCTATTACAATTAGGGAAGCACATACACTTTGACCCAGTCATCTGACCCTTGGGAATCAATCTCCCACCCCTAAAAGTGCCAGCATTTGCAAAGTTGCAAGGGGCAATGTTGTTCACAGCTGCAAAAAGCCAGCAGCAGGGCGAGAAGCCACTCCGGTAATCCTGATTCATTTCCACAGTGAAATACTAGGTAGCGTGGAGAAAAACCAAGAAAGCTGCCTCACAGAGAAAGATCCTGGAAGCGTCTTTAAGAAGTAAAAGATGTGTAGGAATATGATTGCTCTTGTATGAAATCACAGGAGTGAGAGAAAAGAAAACTCTGCCTGGACTGAACAAAAAGAAATGTGTGAGCAATCTTTTTAAATCTCAGAATTTGCATATTTGTATGATTACATTTAGTCACACACATTTGCATACAATGCATGTGTGTTTATACTTGAGTGGGCATTCTCTACTTGCTTCCCTGGACTTAACACTCAGCTCTGTTTTGATGGAAATTTACATTTCCTTTCTTTACCAACTGTTGCCTGAAACTTCCCATGTCCAATGTGCTAGTTAATTAAATGGAGGCATTTGAAGGCTGCCCTAACCGGACCTCTGGCTCAATGAACTAAAACGTGCCCCAGTGGATAGGTGAATACTGAGGGATGGCAAAATGGGGAAACCTGTCCTATCCAATACCACCTTCCCTGAGAGTTCCTCTCCTTATGGGAGATCCATCTGTGGTCTGGGGATTGTGGGATTCATCCCTTTTGAGGACTGAGAAGAGAAGAGGTGTGATTGATAATTATGCAACAATAGGCCTTCAAATGTAAAAGCTCACAGATGCAGACCCCCTAACCAATGGGACAAGGACTCCTTAGACCAGACATTCATGAGGCTCCTCTGAGCCATCTTCTCCATGAGGACTTGTCCTTGGTCAGCTGAGCCCAGTGTTAGCAAAAATCCTAAGCCAGCCTAGGAAGGATCCCCCACAGTGACATCCGGCCAGGCCTTTCCTCCTGCACTCTTGGTATCTGGCCAAGTTCTTCCTGGTGGTTTTCTGTCTCCCTTCCCCTCTCTGCCCATCATACATCTCTGCTGGCCCTTCTTTTATTTAAGTGGAATTCGGCCCCTCTCTCCTGTTGCAAGTCTTGAGTGGCATCTTCTTTCTGTTTCTAATACACATTAGGATAATTTCTCTGTAACAAATTTGAAGTGGTGCTTTTCTCATGCAAATTTGCTTTCAAAGCTCCAGTCCTCCCCAGCTGGATTCTGAAGCCTCAGAACTGTCCCTTGACAGGACCTAAGGAGAAGGGAGGCACATAACGTCCTGGGCCCTGGGTGGAAAGCACCCCACAGATGACCCTGCAACAGGCACCCCGGACCATCCGTCGCACAGCGGGGCTGGGTGCCTGAAGAAGTCAGGAAAACTTCCGTGAACCCTGAAAGAGCCAGTCCCTCAAGACAGATCTTGAGTTGTGACTGGCCCTAAATTCAAATAGAACCCGGCGGCCAGCGGCTGACTCGAGGCCACCAAGGTGCTCAGTGTTTCAACTCTGTTCTTGTTTAAGTGTCTGAATCGACGGCTGCCTGCAAAGCCCATTTCACCTCCTGGACCTAACGAAAGACTATGACCTGAGTGGACCAATCAGAACTGAGCAAGTTTGCATCCCTCATTTGCATAGTGGACCAGGGTGGAAACCTCGGTGGGAACTTTCTCTATAAAAGACATTTCCCCCCTCTTTGTTCTCTCAGAGCACACCTTTGTTTTGAAGGAAGGCTCTATCTCCTCAGCGTGCCATCTGTTTGCTGGAATAAAATATCTTTCCTTTTTTAAAAAGAAAATCCTTTTCGGTAAGCAGATTTGTTAACAATTCCAAAATCCAGTGGTGCTGGGTGCACTGGCACCACCTCTGATGTGGCACACAGGGGCCCTGCAAACTCCCAGCCCTGGATGTTCAAGGAGAGTCTTTGCCGACAGCATGACCTTCTTACTGTCATAAATTTAGTAAGTTTGAGAAAAAATTCTGGTCTTGTAATTTTCCCAAGTGATTGCTTTATTGTTTTACAGCATGCATGTTGTGGACTGTAGAATAATATCCCTGGAGTGCCAGCTGGCCGGGGATGGGCACAAGGGCAACCTTGAGTCACAGCTCCTACAAGGTGAAACCCCTGATTGAAAATGGATTTACTCAGAGAGGCCTGGAAAGGTAACATGAGAGGGGGCCTTTGAATATTACCATATAAATGAAACCCGCGTCTGAGTTGGTAAAATGTTTGAAAAATGCTTTTTTCTAAGGAATGGTTTGTAAGTTGTTTTATTTATTGAATCCTCACCTGAATATTCGGAGTATCTTATTTTGGAAGATGTGTGATGTAACCAAGCACAGCACACAGAGGGCACGTGCACGATAATTAATACCTATGGTAGACAGGGTGCAGGAGGCTTCCAACACAGAACAGGAAATGCACATTCTCATTTAATTTTAATGTAAAAAATCCTGAGAGTATCACAGAATGTATTTGTTGACATTTAAAGTGCAACAATTTACACACAAAATAAACCAGTATTTGTCCCTTCATAGGAAAACGAAAATGGCAGTGGCTCCTGCCATTTCCCTCATAAGTGAATAAAGATACAGATACATAAGCCTTTGTGGGTATCCATTTCCTCGCCTTTGCCTTGGCAGGACTCTGTCTGTGGGTGGTGACTGTGCTGGGCAGGCAATGGGAGAGTGCTGTGCCCTAACATGGCCTCAAAAAGGAAAACAAAGGCCGAGGGAGGAAGCATCTTCCGCAGGCATCCACCAAAATCAGTTTCCTCCATTAACACCAGTAGTCACAATCCTTTACAAATCAATAATTAAAATGACATTGAAGATGAATACGGACAGCAATATTCTGTAGACGTATTTTCAGACTCATCCTCGGTGCTGGTTCAAGGTACAGCTGCAAAGGAAGGTTCCAGTTTCAATGTGGGACCATCTCTGCCTCCTCCTACTTTCCGGAAAGCACATCACATGCCCTTTAACCCACTTCCCCCTCCGACCCTGATGCATCCTTGGGCCAATTCCAGATAGCTTTTGTGTAAGGAGAATGTCACAAATGAGTCATTGAAGAATATGCACCACTCGGCATGTAAGGTTTCACTTTTCTGCAAGGAAAACCTGACATCATTATTTTACCTTCAGGGTTCTCAAGAAGAAAACACCCCCGTACAGGACCCACCCCTGACTCCAAATTCCCGAGGCTCCAGCGCTTTCTCCTTGGTGACCTCCCACTTCTGTGGATGCCCCCAGAGGCAGCTCTGGCCCAGAGGTGGCCCCGGGTTCCGCAGCTGTGGCCTCTAAAGGTTCCCGTCTGGAGACTAAGAGGAAAATCACTGAAGAGATGCTCATCCACACAGGAAAAGGGGTTAACAAGCAGAAGCACACGGCCTTGAGCTGGGGCTCACAGCAGCAAACGCCCTTTTTTTTAAGAAAAAAAAAGGGAAAAAAAACCTTTTAGTTTCAAGGGTACATGTGCAGGTTGCATGTCGTAGGGGTCTGGTATTCAGATTATTTCATCACCCTCGTGATAAGCATGGTACCTGATAGGTAGTTCCTTTCATCCTCATCCTCCTCTCATCCTCCACCCTCAAGTAGGCCCGGGTCTCTGTTGTTCCTCTCTTTGTGTCCTTGAGTGCTCAATATTTAGCTCCCACTTATAACTGAGAACATGCAGTCTTTGGTTTTCTGTTCCTGAATTAGTTTGCATAGGATAATGACCTCCAGCTCCAGCCATGTTGCTGCAAAGGACGTGATCTCACTCTTTTTTGTGGCTACAGAGTATTCCATGATGTACATGTACCACATTTTCTTTCTCCAGCCTACTATTGATGGAAATCTTGATTGATTCCATGTCTCCATTATTGTGAATAGAGCTGTGATGAACAGATGTGCGCATGTATCTTTACGGTAGAACAATTTATATTCCTTTGGGTATATAACCAATCATGGGAGAGCTGGGTCTAATGACAGTTTCCTGATAAGTTCTTTGAGAAATCTCCAAACTGCATTCCACAGTTGTTGAACCAAATTAACTTCTCCACCAGCAGTGTATAAGTGTTCCGTTTTCTCCTCAACCTTGCCAACATCTGTTACTGTTTTACTTTTTAATCATAACCATTCTGACTGCTGTGAGATGGTACCTCATTGTAGTTTTGGGTTGCATTCCTCTAAGGACGAATGATGTGGAGCATTTAGTCATATGCTTGTTGGCTGTGTGTATGTCTTCTTTTGAAAAGTGTCTGTTCATGTCCTTTGCCCACATTTTAATGGGGTTGGTTGATTTTTGCATGTTAATTTGTTTAAGTTCCTTATAAATTCTAGATATTAGAACTTTGCAGATGCATAATTTGCAAATATTTTCTCCCCTCTGTACAGTGTCTGTTTACTCTGTTGACAGTTTCTTTTGCTGTGCAGAAGCTCTTTAATTTAATTAGGGGACCCCTCATTTGTCAATTTTTGCTTTTAATGCAATTGTTCTTGGCATCTTCCGTCATGAAGTCTTTGCCAGGTCTATGTCCAGGATGGTATTTCCGAGGTTTTCTTCTAGGATTTTTATAGTTTTTGGTTTTAAATTTAAGTCTTTAATTCATCTTGGATTTATTTTTGTATATGCTGAAAGGAAGGGGCCCAGTTTCAATCTTCTGCACATGGCTAGCCAATTATCCCAGCACCACTTATGGAATTATGAAAAACTATTCTAAAATTCATATGGAACAAAAAAAGAGCCTAAATACCCAAAGCAATCCTAAGCCAGAGGAACAAAGCTGGAGGTGTCACATTACTTGACTGACTTCAAACTATTCTACAAAGCTACAGTAACCAAAACTTGATGGTACTGGTACCAAAACAGGCACATTGACCAATGGAACATAATTGAGAGTCTAGAAATAAAGCCACACGCCTACAGCCATGTGAGTTTTGACAAAGCTGACAGACACACTATGTACTCTCTGTCTTAATGTCTGTCTTCCTTTGCCAGCCAAGAGCATGTGAGGCAGAGACGTGGCCTCAGGAGTCTGCACCAACCATGAGCTGAGTGTCCAGGTCCTATCCAGTGACCAAAGGGACTTCGACTTGCTGTCCCCATGGGACTCATTCATGGCCCAGGGCAGGGGATTACACACAAGGAAGAAGAGAAGGCTCAGTTCCATTTGTTCGTGATGACCTGCTTTTAATAACAAACTTAACAGACAAATGCAAACTTGATCAGGATAGAATTAAGGGTTCTGGAGGCAGATACACCTGCACCTACACAGGGGATGTCCATCCTGCTAAGCGACCAGGGGCCAGTGGCCCTGAGGTAAGCATTGCTGCTCCCTAAACACCCTAATATGTCAGGGCACATGTGGTGAGAGACCCCTGAGACCACATGAGATGGAGTGAGACAGCTCCCAGCCCAGCGTCCACGCTCAGGACAGACTCGGCTCCCGGCCCGGCGTCCACACTCGGGACAGACTCGGCTCCCGGCCCAGTGTCCACGCTCAGGACAGACACAGGCCAACTCCGGTCCAGGCCCCATGCTTGGGACAGACACAGGCCAACTCTGGCACTCCACGCCTTCCTGGTGCTCAGGCTGCCCCTGCATGAAGCACCAGGCCTGCCTGCAGCTCCTTCAGCCCTGCAGGAATCCATGACTTTGGCAGCATCTCTGGGGTTGCCCAGGGTGTCGAGCCAGCTTCTGGGAATTGGTGTGGGGATGTCAGGGGCCTGGCATCACCCTCCTGGGGGGGTGACTCATACCTGTTAGAAAAATCGCAAGGAGGAAGAGAGCTCAGCCCCTCTCACCCTCGTGAGGGAGGCGGGTCTCTCCCACCAAGCACTGGCCGCACTGAGGCCAAGCTGGACAGGAAAATCACAGACCCCAGAGCTGCCTCACTGTGAAGCTGAGAACCAATGTGGAGCCGAGGATGTTCTCACAGAGAAAGCAAGATGGACTGGCTGAACACATGTGTACTGGGCAGCCTCAACCTCAGCTGGGTGATTGGGAGCTGGGCGGAACGGCAGGTCTTTGGGAGCTGGGAGCTGGGCGGAACGGCAGGTCTTTGGGAGCTTCACGTGCTCATGGGTCCCATCTCATGTTCCAACAATGAGCATCCAGCCCAGGCCCCAAAGAGGAGCCTGCTCTGCTGGCTGCACACACCAGGAATGCCTGCTGGCATTTGCAGAATACAAGCCCTTCTTCCTTGATCTCTTGTATTTCCCTAGGAAAGAAAAGAAAAGAAAAGAGGAAAAAGGAAAGGAAAGGAAAGGACAGGAAAGGAAAGGAAGAAGAGCAGGAGAGAGAGAGAGAAAGGGAGGGAGGGAGAGAGAGAGAGAAGAAAGAAAAAAGAAGGAAAGAAAAGAAAGAAAGAAAAGAAAAGAGAGAGAGGAAGGAAGGAAGGAAGGCTGGCAGGCTGGCTGACGCCTGTAATCCCAGCAATTTGGGAGGCCGAGGTGGGCAGATCAACTGAGGTCAGGAGTTTGAGACCAGCCTGGCCAACATGGCGAAACCCCGTCTCTACTAAAAGTACAAAAACTAGCCAGAGTGGTGGTGGGTGCCTGTAATCCCAGCTACTCAGTAGGCTGAGGCAGGAGAATTGCTTGAACCCAGGAGGGGAGGTTGCAGTGAGCCAAGATCACGCCACTGCACTCCAGCCTGGGTGACAAGAGTGAGACTCCATCTAAAAAAAAAAAAAAAAAAAGAAAAGAAAAAGAAAAAGAAAAGAAAAGAAAGAAAGAATAAAAAGGACCTAGAACTGCAGGGGCAGGGAGATGCAAGGATCTTCCACTTTGGCCCTCTGTGGCTCCATTATTCACTCAACCAGTGTGAGGTGGCATGTCCCAGAACTCTCAGTAGGACTCCATGGGCCAACACAGACATGCCCTGTTATTCCACAACAGACTCACCACGCTGCTACTGAAGGTCCCTGTGCCCTTGATTAGCCAAGGCATCTTCCGCAGCAGTGGTTTCATCATCTGTAACGTAAGCTCTGGAACCAGATTAAAGTTCTCAAACCTCGGTGTGTGTCAGCAGCACCCAGAAAGCCTGACACAGAACACCCAGGATGAGGTGGTCCTTGGAAACTGTGAGGCTCACAAACACACCTGGGAGTCCACGGACAAGGCGGCTCTCCCTCCTTCCACTCTGTCTGCTGGGACTCCGGGAAGATCTCCATTTGTAAGGCATATGCACATTTCTTTATGCCACGAATGTCTTTGGAGTTCACAGATAATAGATTCCAAAGCTTTTCTATACTCTTTCTATTTTTATTTATTTATTTTATTAATTTATTTATTTAATTTATTTTTGAGACAGGGTCTTGCTGTGCCTCCCAGGCTGGAGTGCAGTGGCGCAATCTTGGCTCACTACAACCTCCATCTCCTAGGCTCCAGTAATCCTCCCACCTCAGCCTCCTTAGTAGCTAGGACTACAGGTACACATCAACAGGCCCGGCAAACTTTTGTATTTTTTGTAGAGAGGGGATTTCACCATGTTGCCCAGGCTGGTCTCAGACTCCTGAGCTCAAGCGATCGGCCCACTCGGTCTCCCAATGTGCTCTTCTTTTAAAAGTCTCAGGACCTGGAAACCTTGGGGCCAGCCTTACTGGAAGGCATCCGGCTTACTTGGGTACCCTGGGGTCGGTGGCGGTCAGGCACCAAGAAGAGGGCAGAGGATGGACCATCTCCCCAGCCCAGGCAGTGTGGTTTTTGCCACTAAGCCCCCGGATTACAGTAGGCAATTTTCTAAAGCTATACTTGGAAGGTTTGGCAAACCAATATTTATGTTTGAAAAAAAACATTGCGTATAGTTTGGATGTCTCCTTCAAGTCTCATGTTAAGATGTGGTCCCCAGCATTGGAGTGGGGCCTGGTGGGAGGTGTTTGGATGGTGGGGGTGGATCCCGCGAGGCTTGGTGCCGTCCTGGTGATGGTGAGTTCTCGCGAGTTCTGGTTGTTTAAAGGCGTGTGGCACTTCCTCCTCCGCCCACTTGCTCCCCGCACTCGCCACGTGACTGCCAGCTCCCACTTCGCCTTCCACCGTGAGTAAAACTTTCCCCAGGTCTCCCTAGAAGCGGAGCAGATGTCAGCACGATGCTTCTTGTACAGCCCACGGAACCACATGCCAAGTAAACCTTTTTTCTTTATAAATTACCCAGTCTCAGGTATTCCTTTATGTGCAAGAATGTCCTAGTACACCACCCAAGGTATAAATAAAAATACAAGACATAATGAGTTTTCCTCCTGGGACAGGGACAAACACATTCATAGGGGGCAGGGGCTGGTATTGAAGCCCCTTGATGGTCTGGCCCTGGGGCTCATGGCCTCCCCAGCATTTCAATGCCAGTTCCACTGCAGAAATTCCTAGAGCTTGGTCATCTCAAGAAAGCCCTCGCAGGATTCCACTGGAAAGGCGACCGCTGATGCCATGGCCCGCAGCTGCTTTCTTCCATAAGCCAGAAGAAACACTCTCCAACAAACGCTGACGAGGTCGGCCTATGGAGCCAGCACTTTCTCAGAACCAAGAGGCTGCCGGGGAGGGCTCCGGAGAGGTCTCCTCCCTGAGTATGCTTTGCCAGACGGCAAGGCCCTCCCCAGCGGTTGACTGTTTGTGGGGAGAATGTGTTTGGCATGTCCAAGCTGCTCACATCAATATATTATTAAAGGAAAAGAGAAAACCTCCAAACATTCAACTACAGACTGCGGCTCATGGTACGAGGCTGCAACTTCTCTCCAAGTATGCTCAGGGCAGACCTCCCATTGATGAGCAAAGAGAGACGTCTTTCCTGAGTCCTCGTCCCCAAGACCATCCTCCATCCTCAGGGTATCTTCAAACACCACCTCGTTGTCTCTCGCTGATACTCCTTGGCCCCGGCCAGGAAGGCCACTGGGCAGGTCGGAGGAATCAACACAAATGGATATTGTTGCTGACGTGTTGTGAACTTCTCTCTCTCTCATATCTGCAGAGAGCACGGGGCCTTCTGGGCCTCTTTGTGCCTTGTTTCATTTTTAATGACTGTCCCTGAAAAGCAAGGAGAGCAGGGTGTTGTCACCTCGGCCTATTTCATCCCTGATTCTGGCAGCTGTT
The DNA here is from genome assembly GCF_000001405.40 of Homo sapiens. Classification (NCBI taxonomy): domain Eukaryota; kingdom Metazoa; phylum Chordata; class Mammalia; order Primates; family Hominidae; genus Homo; species Homo sapiens. The sequence continues at coordinate 2,288,051 of NC_000005.10, read as the reverse complement.
CTGAAGGTCCCTGGCTGTGGATCGGTGGGGACAAGGCAGGACCCCTCTCCACCTGCCCCGTCTTCTTTGCAGGACAGCAGAGCCCGACCTGTGGCTCCTTCCCTGCAGCTGTAACTGGAGAATCAAGGGAGCCTGTGCTGCAGAAGAAACATTCCCAAGGTGCAGGCCCTGCTGCGGATCCAGCATCAGACCCACGTCTGCAGGCCCATTTGCAGATCCATCCAACTGTATCCCCAATCTCTAGACCCAGCACAGGTATGAAAACGGGGGCCCTGAAAGGTCTTCAAAGCCACCTTTCCTCTGGGGCACCAAATTGCAGCCATCCCAGACACAAGGACACAGTGTCTGCTGTCTGCCTTGCTGGCTGAGCTCCCTCGTGAGGTCTTTGAGCTCTGAATATTTCAGTTTCCCTATATGTGTATAAAGGAACGACAGGTGTCTACAGGCATCCAGGACTCCAGAAGCATCTTCTCATCCCTCTCGCGGAGCACTCCCTCAGTCTCCTGTGAGCGGTGAGTGTCCCAGGAGGCTGGTCCCCAATTCTAAAGTGAGCTTTACTCTCTGGGAGAAAATTTCCTTTTTCATCCTTGATGAAGAAAACCAATGAAAAGTGGAAAATTCAGTTATGCAGATTCTTCTCTCTTCAAGAAGCCAAACTTTGGTTCATGTCTCCCCCATTGGGGTTGACCTGTTGTTTTGGGTGTGTAAATAAACTTTACCTAGTTGAAACTAATCCCTGACTATAAATAGAAGTTTAATTTCTTGGAAAACCTCACTTTTAAAAAAAAGCAGATGTCCAAATGTACGGATATGTATAATGTTCACTTTTCTGAATAATTTCATTGTTAATCATACAAAAAATAGTGACAACTTCGAGTGCCAATGAGGACTTGGAGAAACTGGATCACTCACACATTGATGGAGAGAATGTGAAATGCTGCAATCACTCCCAAAGAGTAGGGCAGTATCTTGCAAAACTAACATGCACGTACTTCTCATACCACACTGAAACTGCAGTCTTGGGAATTTACTCCAGAAAAATAAAACTCTATGTCCACACAAACCTTGTAACAGAAATACTTATGGCAGCTTTATTCATAATGGCCAAAAGCTGGAAATGACCCATGTGACCTTCAGTGACTGAAAGGTTAACAAGACGGTGGTGCCTCCACACCGCAGGTTACAACTGAGCAGTGAAAAGAAAAAGCTATAGGTAGGTACAGGCAGCAAATAGGAGGGACTCAAGATGATCACGCTGCGTGAAAAAAGTCAATCTCAAAAGGTTGCATGCTGCATGATTCCATTTATCGTACATTCTTAACATGATGAAAATATAGAGATGAAGAAGAGATTAGTGGTTTCCCAGGGTTAGGAAAGCAGAAAGCCAGGGTGTGGTGGTGGCTGGAAACAGCTCCAGGCCCTTGTGGTGCCACAGCTATGGATGTTGATAGTGGTGGTGGTGGAGATAAGAATCAGCATGCGTAATAAGACTGCATAGAACTAAACACACACGTGCACATGCATACATACATGTGTACACGCAGATGTTCACACATGCACAAGTGCACATGCAGACAAACACATGCACCACATGACATATACACGTGCACACAGAATGGAAACACACGTACATGTGCATACATACAATGGGCATACACATGTTCACACATGTACAAGCATACACAAATACATGTATTGCATGACATACGCACATATGTACACACACTGGAAACACACATAGGGGTGCATACATACACATGTGCACACGGACATGTTCATGCATGCACAGATGCACACACAAACACATGCACTGCATGACATATACACACATGCACACACACACTGGAAACACACACATACATGTGCGTGTAAAACTGGTCCAATCTGAATAGGCTCCGTGGATTGTTCTAATAGCAATTTCCTGCACCTTCACCCCACTGGGACTGGGCTGGCCTGGGAGAAACCTAGACCTGCACGTCACAGTGAGAAGTCCTCTCACTGTGCTGCAGAGAAGAGGATCTGGTGTGGATTCACTGAAGTTAAGCAATGTCCTACCATGGGGGAAGCTGGGTGGAAGGTACAGAGGGTCCAGCAACACTTGGAACTAAATGGGAATCTATCATTACCTTGGAATAAATACTCTAATTCTCGTGTTTTTTTTTTTTGGGAATTGGTGTCTCACTCTTTCTTGCCCAGGCTAGAGTGTATGGCACGATCTCCACTCACTGTAACCTCTGCCTGCCAAGTTCAAGCAATTCTCTGCCTAAGCCTCCTGAGTACCTGAGATTACAGGCACCTGCCACCACACCAGGCTATTTTTGTTTTTTTATTTTTTGTAGAGACGGGGTTTCACCATCTTGGCCAGGCTGGTCTTGAACTCATGACCTTGTGACCCACCCACCTCAGCCTCCCAAAGTTCTGGGATGACAGGTGTGAGCCACCTAACTTTTGTGTTTCTGAAAATGAAAATTAAATCAATCATAGATTAATGTAATTATGAAGCTCTGCAGGTGCCTCTACATGCACACATGAGTATGAAATATATATGCACATACTCATATAATATACGCACATTTTATATAGGTGCATATGATTATGTAGTGGCATTTATTTCAACACATTTTGTGTTTAAGGGAGAATAGAGGCAGTAGAGGTTTTTGGATAAAGACAGCGCGGGTGGGCGTCCCTTAGGGTTGTCTCAGGTCATCGATTCATCTGATGCTTCATCTGTCAGAACATGAGGAAGACGCTGTTAGGGGTGACGAGGGAGGCTGCGGATCCCAGACCAACACTAGCGCTGAGTGCCAGGTCCCGCAGCACTTCCCCACTCAGCTCCTTCCCCGCTGCCCCCATTTAGTCGTGTCCTATCAAGTCTGAGATGACAGCACACACTTCCCACCTGATGGGGCATTGGGCATGCACATTTCCAGCTTGAGTTTTTCAAATTATTTTTTGAGCCTAGGTCAAACTGGTTTTTGAGACAATAAAACAAAACTGACTTCTTGGACAAATTTGATGTTTTGGATTCGTTTCTTCCTTACTTCCCCTGCAATTGAATATCAACTTGCTACCAAGAGCCAGTGATTTGCTAGTGTATGATGCAGAAAGTGAAGGACCAAAGGGCACCAAATTGACCCCTCCACAGAGACATGCCGCAGCCCCAGGCCCGGGGCGAGGTCGCTCCTGTACATATGGGGAGGCAACTTCATCGAGATTCCAAGGCTGGAGGAATGCTGTCTCCTCCATCCCAACTGCTCACCAGCCTGGATCCTATGGCTGTTTTCAAAATACTCAGCTGAAGTGAAACTGAGGTCTGGGAAATAGGAGGAGAAGTCTGCTCAGGCCCCGGTGGGTACGGAGCTCAAACCTTCTATGTTCGTGTGCAATTAACTCATCAAGCGCCCTGCACCCCAAAGCCTCCATTTGTCCCCCCTGGATTGTCTATGAAGGGGTGAAGCCAACTTCTGAAATTCTGAGCCTTCCTCTGAGAAAAGCCACTGAGGTGAGCAGCCAAGGGGAGATATCCAGGAGTTAGAGGCTATGATGGCAGCAAAGGCCAGTGGTTTTTTCCTGCTGCCATCTCCTCATGCAATGACACACCCATCTCAGCAAAAAACAGCTTCCTTCATAGCTTCAAAGAGCTAGTCACCACCATCTATTTTGTTCCTGGGAAGCTCCTAGCACCTCATTAATGCCTTTGTGACTAACCGTGTGTAATGAAGTCCTTGCTTTCTGACCTCTGAACCTATGTAATATTGCGTGGCTCTGGACCCCCCATGAAGTGAGAATTTGCAGAGGGTCCCCCATATCAGCTCATCACAAATCCAAGCACTGATCAGGCAGCCACCATTTCTTTCTTTTCCCAGTAGAGGCAACTCTTAAGGTCACCTGGACTTTGCATCCACCGCTGCCTCCCCTGAGTCCAGGAGCCTCCTGTCCCACCTCTGTAGGTGCCGCCGTGTGATCAGCTTTTCTCTCTGGCCATGTGGTCCTCACCCATCCAGGTCCTGCCATCTCCACAGGGCCCTGATGGATCTGCCTCCTGTCCCACAGGTGGTGCGGCCCACGAATTGTCAACCTCATGAGGCAGGCAGATCCAAAGCAGAAAACAGCCCTCCTCCCTTACTGAGAAGTCCACACAGGACATGTGGAGCAGCCGGCAGCTTCAGCCCATGCCTTTCAGGGTCATAGGGCGAAACGGGCCTGTAGTGTGGACCAGTGCTCACCCAGTGTTCCTCACTCTGCTCCTTTCAGCTGGGGAGGCCTTGGGTCCCCCTGAGATCACCTTGGCCCCAAACCTGACCCACAGACAGTAGCAGCCTTCCCAACCAACCAGGCCCCGGCAGTCGGCCAAGCCCCCAACCCAGGCTCAGCCTCGGCTCAGCCTAGGGGCCTCTGTCACCATGCACCCTCACTCTGGTGGGACTGGCCAGCCTGGAGGAAACCTAGACCAGCTGGTCACTGTGAGAAATCCTCTATCTGCATGCGATTGCAGAGAGGAAAATCTGGTGTGGATGCCGAGAGCACCTCAACTTTTACATCTCTGGCCTTTTACTCTTACAAGGAGTGGGTCACACAGCCGTAACACTGTGACTTTATTTTGTCCTGATGCTCGAAAAACTCCTTTTGTCCTAAGCTGCTGACCTTCTCCATCTCCATTTACTCTCTCAGCTAACCCCAATTTAGGGCTCTTTCCCTTAACAAATGGAACAGTATCTCATCATAGAAGGTCATGTCCTGGGAACAGAGAGGCATGTAAAATAAATGAGGTAGGCCCAGGGAGGGTCTAGTGCAGGAGAGACGTGACCCACCCTCCTTCCCACATGGTTAAGGTGGCCAGTGGATTAGGACCCTCCAAACCGGGACCTGCTTCTACCTTCTCTCTGAAACACGCAGTATATCCACGCAGTCTCTTCCTGTAAGTGCAAAAACAAAACACAAGAAACAGACTAAACATGTCAAAGAGTGTAAAGGCCTGGCACATATGCTGGGATTGTGTAATTCCCTGGAAGAAACCATGAAGCTTCTACAAAACTCTATTTTGTTGTCATTACCGCACAGGAGAAAAAACGCCATCAGAGCCCTTGAAAATAGAGCAAAGGGCCACGAGGGCCAAGAGGCTAATCCAGGATTAAGGAAAATGAGCTCTGAACACAGACAGAAAAACGCTTCCCCCATAAGGCCAAGAAGGAACACAAAAGACAAATAAATTGTGGATTGGGAGCAAGTGGGAGATACTGTCAGTTAAGGTGACTCATTTCATTTAAACACTCCAGCTCATCTGGAGGAGACATGCGGAGAAGAAACGCACCCAGGCCAACGACAGGACATTTGCAGAGAGCTCATCCTCAACGCAGGAGACAGAGCCCTCAATAGCATGCCAGCTCCCTGCCTGCTGTTCACCGGCTGCAGGCCCACTTGTCCCTCACCTGCTGCAGGCCCACCTGTCACTCACCACTTGTCACTTACCTGCCACAGGCCCACCTGCCCTTCGCCTGCCTGCAGTGCTACCTATTCCTCACCTGCCTGTCACAGGCCCACCTGATGCTCACCTGCTACCTGTCCATCAGGCCCTGCCTGCTCCTCCACGTTGCCCAAGGAGGGCCTGGGTCAGGCCCGCTCTGCCTCTATCTGTCCTTGGCCATCACTGGACACGATGACCCAGTCAGAGGCCAAGCCCCACAATGGCCCTGCTGACCTTTGACCTCGCTGAGCCCACCTCTGCCTCCTTCCAGGAAGAGCAGCCAAGCCACAAGCACCCTTGCGTGTCCCTGCTGTGCATGTCACCAGAACATATTCCACACACATTGATTTACCAGTCATCCTTACTCCCAGGGGAAGGGTGACGTGACGGCTGCCCAGAAACAGGATCCCGGGTACCAGGCAGCCCATCCCAAAGAGCAGGCTGTAGTGTAAGGCCCTCAGCCCCAGGTCAGGGAGCAGGGGCACCAGGATTGCCTTCTGAGGAGAGGTGGAGCTGAGTGTGTTCATGAGAAAAGGGAGCCGTGAATTCCACCACTCATTGTCAGGCAGAACCGCCCATGGCAAGCTCTTGGCCCCCTGATGTTAGACTCTGCCACAAATGCTACAGGTGCTATTCATTGCTGTGTTTACTCTACATTCTATTGTCCAATAAAATACCTTCAACTTTTATTCTATACAATGGTTAAAATCTGAACTATTAAAGCCAGATATTATTATAAAGTTATATTTTAGTTGGTTACTTAATCCAAGGAAGACTGTTTCTTCCTTCCCTTTCTATGTGAGGAAGTCACTCATATATCTGGGCAGGTCATACCGCACCACTGCCCCGTTAGCCACTGGCCCTCATCGTAGCAGAGGCAGGGCTCCATGGCTGATGCTCCTTTGTGCAAGGATGCTGAAGGAAGTCACAGAACCAGCAGCTCCACTCTCCCATTCATCCACTCATCCACCCAGCCCATCCACCTGCCCACCTGCCCACTCATCCACTCACCCACCCATCCACTTGTCTACCCACCCACTCATCCACCCATCCACTCATCCACTCACCCACCCACCCAGTCATCCACCCACCCACCCATCCATTTGTCCAACCACTCACTTATCCACCCACCCACTTATCCACTTGTCCACCCACCCACCTGCCCACCTACCTGCTCATCCACTCACCCACCCATCCACTTGCCCACCTACCTGCTCATCCACTTACCCACCCATCCACCCACTCATCCACCCACCCACCCACCTATCCACTTGTCCATCCACCCACCTACCCATCCACTTGTCCACCCACCCATTCACCTGCCCACCTGTCCACTCATCCACCTACCCACCCATCCACCTGTCCACTCACCCACCCATCCACCTGCCCACTCATCTACTCTCTCACTCATCCACTCACCCACCCATCCATTTGCCCACCTACCTGCTCTTCCGCTCACCCACCCATCCACTTGTCCACCCACCCACTAATCCACTCATCCACCTACCCACGCATCCACTTACCCACTCACCCACTCATCTACCCACCCACCCATCAATCGTCCACCCACCCACCCATTCACCCACCCATCCACCTGCCCACCTGTCCACTCATCCACCTACCCACCCATCTACCTGTCCACTCACCCACCCACCCATCCACCTGCCCATTCATCTACTCTCTCACTCATCCACTCACCCACTCATCCACCTGCCCACTCATCCACTCACCCACCCATCCACCTGCCCACCCACCCACTCATTCACCACCCACCCATCCTCTTCTCCACCCATCCACCCATCCACCTGCCCATCCATCCACCTGCTCAGCCACCCACTCATCCACTCACCCACCCATCCACCTGTCCACTCATCTACTCATCCACTCATCCACCCAACCACCTGCCTCCCTGCCCACTCGTCCATCCGCCCACCCATCCCCTGCCCATCCACCACCTACCCACCCATCTGCTCATCTACCCATCTATCCATCCACACACTCACTTATTCAGTCATCTACCCACCCTTCTATCCATCTACTTACCCATTCATCCTCCCACACATCAATCCATTTAAACATCCACCCACACTCCACCTACCTGTCCATCTATCCATCCATCCACCCACACATTCACCCATCCCACTCATCCACACATCCACTCGTCTTCTCATTCACCTGCTGTTTATCCACCCATCCATCTGCCCATCCATCCACTCACCCACACATCCACCCATCTATTCAATAACCCACCCATCCACCCACCTACCCACCCAACCACTCACTCACCCACCCACTCACTCCCCCACCCATCCACCCATCTATTCATCCACCACCCATCTGTCCATTCATTCATCTATCCATTTACCACCTACTCAATCACCCACCTATGCAGAAACTTCTACCAAGCCATAGAATCTTTGGTTTACCTGTAACACACCCACACATGTCCTCTTTCCAGGGGAATAGGTAGTTAAAAAATTCTGTCTGCAATGTGAAGAGGACAGGAGGAAAGAGAGAGGTGCCCTCCCAGCTCACCCCTTGAGGAATGCGGAAGGATCAGTTCTTTCAGGAGCTGGAGGTGCCCATTCCTCTCATGCACAGGAATTATAATCAGAATCAGGAAGGGTGTATCTATTTATAACACAAAGAAATTAGGAGTGGTGCAAATGGGCATTGAAGGCCACAGGGGTCTGCCTCCTGACCCTTGATGAACACTCAGAGTCCCCAGGTTTGTAATAGACCTGGCGGTCTTTGTGTCTAATTAGATGCATACAAGAATTGACATAACCTTTGACATCCACATAATGGATGCAATGATGTTCCTTGTTCTCGCCACCCATGAGGTTAAATGGAGTTTTTAAATAAATACATAAATACTAACCCGTGGTTGAGGCCCATTTTCTCCCTGGATCTCCTGAGCTGTGGCATAGATCTGGCTACTGATATTAAAGCAGGAAGCCATAACCTGAGCGTCTCGCAGCTGGTGATGGAACACCATACCAGGCTCTTCTGAGGCTCCCGCACGGAGACTGGGCCCCCAAAAGGCAGGACGCCCTAGTTGGTCTCGTACCTCAACCTAAGTTGTTACGCATTGTAACGACAGCTCCTGGTCACTTCTGGGGCTGGCGGCGGGAGCATAATTTAATTGCTTTTCCTTCCTCCCTCAGGTCTGCATATTATATTATATTGAAAAGTAATTATGCAGTGAAAGTAAAATGTCAGCCGGCGCTGTCTGGGAAGCGGCAGCACAGATGTGAATTATTCTCTTCCTCGCGTCTTGCAGACATCTCTATACCTCTCTCGGTCACACACCACGGTGTGTGCTCATGGGCTGGAGTATTTATGCACACAAGATGAGATTTGCTGGTTTTTTTATGTTTTTATTTTTTTGCCTTTTCCCCTTGCAGCATCTAGATCCCAAGCTGAGTTGCCTCGTTGGCAATGATTGATTACCCAATATCTAATTAAACCTGATCCGATCACTTATTATGCAAAGTGGAACAAACAAACTGAAGGCGGCTGTCAGCGCCGTGATTGATGATGTGGCCAGCCCGGCTTCTGTGGCTCCGCATGTCCCGACGCTTGTTACAACCAGGCAAAGCCGCGCCGGACCAAGCGCCTGTCACTCCCCGCCGCCCGCCGCTCCCACCACCCTCGCCACCCTTCCCTTCCTCCAAGTGAACTTTTAGAGGAAAAGTAAACGGAGTGGGAAAGGGAAAACAGGGTTATTGAGGACCGATGAGATTCCATCTAGGTTGTTCCAATAATGAGATCAAAGTCTTCCTCCATAGAGTCCTGAAGCGTCAGGGGGTAGACGGCAGGGTCTCGAGAGAGGTGGGTGTGGAGGAGGAAGGATGTGCTTGTGTACGACGCTGGGTGGGGGCATCTTTGGCCATGCGTGTGAGTTTGTCTGCTGTGATGCTGTGTGTGTGTGCACCATTGCACTGTGTGTGTGCACCAGAGAGCTGCCTGAGGCCCGAGCCACAGCAGTGGACGCACCTTGGGGAGAATGACAGACAGGACACTGGCGCAAACCTAACAGGGCAATGATTTTTTCTCTACCGTCTGCCAGGCAGGATTCTCTTAGCACTCTCATTTATAAATTTTTCAGCTTTAATGTTTTAATTATTTAAAATGCAAATAGGTTCAAGGAGAAAGCAGCAGAAAATACAAATTCCCTCAACAAATTCCTTGTGCAGGGGCTACAGGGCTGCAGGTGCAGGCGCTGTCCCACCACGAGGGGCTGTGTCCTGAGAGCTGGGGTGCTCCTGAGCTCGGGGGCCAGGTCCTCTCAGAAGGTGATCGGCTTGGATGGGACGAGGCAGGTCTGATGTAGACGACAGAGGACAAGGGCCCTGTAATAAACACACCTGCAGTTGGGAGACTGAGCATATGTGGAATACACGCCATGGGGAAAGCCGGCAGCATCGTGGAGCGTCAGTGCTCAGCAGACCTGGCTGTGCTCCCATCCATACTCTCCACAGACCTGTGCACGGCTGACTCGCCACCCACCGCCCTGCACCCCCAGATGGCCAAACCTCCTCCGGCAGACAGAGCTTCCTCTCCTTTCTCTTTCTCTCTGAGGCAGTGATTCCACAGGGAAGGGTAACCACCCGGTCCCTCTCCCGTGACGACTCACAGACACCAGTGCCTCAGGTTTGCATCCCAGTAGATGAAAAACAACAGCACAGGCTGGACACGGTGGCTCACGCCTGTAATCCCAGCAGTTTGGAAGGCTCCCGGTAAATGAAAAACAACAACACAGGCTGGACATGGTGGCTCACGCCTGTAATCCCAGCACTTTGGGAGGCTCCCAGTAGATGAAAAACAACAGCACAGGCTGGACACGGTGGCTCACGCCTGTAATCCCAGCGGTTTGGGAGGCCGAGGTAGGCGGATCACCTGAGGTCAGGAGCTCGAGACCAGCCTGGCCGACATGGTGAAACCCTGTCTCTACTAAAAATACAAAATTACTGGGCATGGTGGGGCATGCCTGTAATCCCAGCTACTTGGGAGGCTGAGGCAGGAGAATCACTTGAACCTGGGAGGTGGAGGCTGCAGTGAGCCGAGATGGCGCCATTGCACTCCAGCCTGGGTGACTGAGCAAGACTCTGTCTCAAACATCAACAACAGCAAAACCAGCACAGCCTCAGGGACCACAGGAAGGGAGAGGCCTGAGGCCTGTCATTTCAGGAAACACCTGATCATTGGCGGTGGGGCCTTGAGCTACACATGTGAGACTGAAATGTGGACCTGAGAGGCGTGAGGGTCAGCAGTGTAGGGACTGTCACGGGGCCGGAGACTCCAACAGATGCCGGCGCAGGGGGTCAGCACCCAGTAGGGGAGCCTCCTGTTGGTGGCCCCTGCTGTTCCTGGCTCTGTGCTCATCCCACCCTCAGATGCCCCTGGAGGAGTGAAGGAGCTGGCAGGGTGCACACACTCAGCCAGGCCGTGGTGGGTCCTGCTCCCATGCTGTATGCTTCCTTGGCTGTCTGGGAGACTCTGGAGAAGGAAGTGCATACGGGACTGGCCCCTGAAGAATGGGGTCTTCAACAAGTAAGGACAGGCGGCTGCAGGCCTCAAGTCCTCCATCCCTGGTGCCTCCTGACTCTGTCCCAGGGCCCTGGAAGGGCTGGGGACTCCCAGGGCACAGGCAGCATCCATGGGCAGAGGCTCTTCTGTCCCCTCTCATGAGCTTCAGGGACCATCTTCTCTTGTACACGACAGTGAGAAAATGCAAAAGCAAATTGCAGGTGTGTGCATTTCTTCTGGGGAGGCCTAGACTTGGCTCAAATTTACAAGTTTGTGAAGAGAGAGAAGAAAGAAAGAGAGAGAGATGAGAGCCATGTCTTCTGTTTTCTGTGAGCTCTGTCCATTACTCTGCAGCCTAAAAGCACCCCCATTAGGGAGCTTCCCCTCCACGCCTCCCTCTGTGTTAAAGCCAGAGGTTTACCCAGGGCATTCAGCAGTCCACCCCTAGCATGGAGAGGAGCGGGCCTACAGGCACCAGCTTCTCCACGCTGTTCCAAGAAATGGAAAAGATACGGGATTTGGAGGCTAAGACCCAGATTCACATCCTGACTTCCTGAATGTGGGAAATTCAGCAAATCTCCCGGAGCCAAAGTTCTTCATTTGTAAAATGGGCAAATTTAACCCAGCTTTGAGCAAAGAGAAAGTGATAGAAATAGGAATCCTTGTCACCTGGGAGCGTTCCTGAGGTTGGATGAAGGGGTTTACCTGTGGGAGGGTGTGATGGGAGGGAGGGCAGGGCCACTGGCCCCCTTCCCGCAGAGCCCCGGAGCCCTTCTGTCCTGGCCACGTGGCAGCACCCACGGGGGGACACACATGCGGCTGATATACATTTAACGGTCCAGTGCCTGTTATAAAAGCTCTTGCACACTAAGAATGAACTTCTATGCATCATTGGGGTTCCAAGGTATGCTGGATAGAAGAAAGATGCAAAATACCAAAAATGTTCCATTTTTCTGATTTTTCCCATAGTTTAGACGTGGATTTTCTTTATGCCAGCCCCAGTGTAAGGTTTTCTCACCTCCAGCATCTCAGATGCAAATGCCTCTTCTCCCTCCACCTTCCACCCTAAGCCTCTCTCCCTGACCCGAGACCACTTTTCCAGTTTGACTTGAAACTCCAGATGTGGCTTGGACATAGGCTGTTTAAGTGGTATAAGCTGCCTGCTTTTCAGAATTTGCTAATGGTTGAACTTAATTGATTGGCAAATTTAATTTGAATTAGAAATATACTCTGCCCTGGGCCAGGCACCGTGGCTCATGCCTGTAATCCCAGCACTTCGGGAGGCTCAGGTGGGTGGATCACGGGGTCAGGAGTTCAAGACCAACCTGACCAACATGTCGAAACCCTGTCTCTACTAAAAATACAAAAATTATCACAGCATGGTGGCACGCGCCTGTAGTCCCAGCTATTCTGGAGGCTGAGGCAGGAGAATCGCTTGAACCTGGGAGGCGGAGGTTGCGGTGAGCCGAGATTGTACCGCTGCACTCCAGCCTGGGCTACAGCACAAGACTCCATCTCAAAAAAAGAAAAGAAAAGAAATATAGTCTGCCCTGGTCACTTGGTCAACACAGCCATTTCATCAACTTTTCAATGAGGACAGTGCACATTATAAATGGCGGAAGATAACTCCGGGCTGGTGCCCCCGATGCTTCGTTCTGCATCATTATTTCCTTTTTGCTACATGCTCTCTCTGCAGGAGGCTGTGGGACAGGAGAGAGCCATGTGCCTTCGGAACCCTTAGATACAGGTCAATAGTAAAGCAGGGCGAGGACCTGGGAGAAAACTGTGGGGCTGAAGAGCCCTGGAAGAAGGCTTTAGCGGCTTTGGTGCTAAAATATTCTCTTTTAAAGTCTTTTAAAGAGCAGGGGAAAATTGTCTCTGTGAACTGACCCAAGCTGGTTTGCATTTGTGTGAGCGTCAGGTCCTGAAGGAAACTGGTCCTCATCATAAATCTGGTTCAATTTTCTTTAACTTTCACTGTGTGCATCCTTCCTCCTTTCTGAGCAAGGGGTTTCTTAGTCCATAATCACCACATTAAGATAGAAACACAGTGGCAAAGTGGAAACTTCAGTCTCTGTGGAAATGGGCATTTTAAAAAGAAGTGGTAGAAATGGGAAGCCTTGTCACCTGGGAGCGTTCCTGAGGTTGGTTGAAGGGGTTTACCTGTGGGAGGGTGTGATGGGAGGGAGGGCAGGGCCACTGACCCCCTCCTCCCTGCTGACCCCCGGAGCCCCGGAACCCCGGAGCCCTTCTGTCCTAGCCATTTGGCAGCACCCACAGAGGGACACACATGCAGCTGACATACATTTAACGGTCCTAATGGGTTTGAGCAGAAGTCAGGGTATTATGAAAGGAAGTTCATGTATTAGTGTACCTTGTCTTTGAGTCAGAACTCTGGAAAATATGGATTTGTAGAGCAGATGGAGATCAGGTAGTTATTGGCTGTAGTAAACACAGATCATTGTTTATAGTAAACATGCTTTGTCCATCAGAGATAGACTGGATAATGAAAATGTGGCACATATACACCATGAACTACTATACAGCCATAAAAAGGAGTGAGATCCTGCCCTTTGCAGGGATGTAGACGGAGCTGGAAGCTGTTATCCTCAGCAAACTAATGCAGGAACAGAAAACCAAATTTAAGAACCACATGTTCTCACTTAAAAATGAGAGCTGAACGATAAGAACACACGGACACATGGAGGTGGGAACAACACACATTGGGGCCTGTGGGGGCCGGGGGGAAGGAGAGGATCAGGAAGAATAGCTAATGGATGCTGGGCTTAATACCTAGGCGATAGGATGGTCTGTGCAGAAAACCACCATGCCACACATTTACCCATGTAACAAACCTGCACATCCTGCACGCGAACCCCAGAACTTAAAATAAAAGCTGAAGGAAAAATTAAAAAGACATGTTTTGTCCTAGTGTGCGCTGTAATCTCAGCTACTCTGGAGGCTGAGGAGGGAGGGCTATTTGAGCCCAGGAGGTCCAGTCCAGCCTCAGCAACATAGCAGGACCCCAATCTCTCTCTCTCTCTCTCTCTCTCTCTCTCTCTCTCTGTCTCTCTCTCAAAGAAGAAGAAGGAAGAGGAGGAGGAGGAGGAGGAGGAGGAGGAAGAGAAGGAGTTGAAGTTTTGAAACCGGACTTGAACTCCACAGAAGGATTTTTGAGTCCAATTCACTGAATGGGCTTCAGAATCATAAAGAAACATTGACTTTTGATATCCACCCATTACTATTTTACCAGATATAGAATTAATGATGAAACATCTGCCAAGCAACTATTTTAATCCTGTTAAGTTGGTAGAAAGATGAAAAAAAAAATCTACTAGAAACCAAATCTGGTTTTTCACAGCAATGAAAATCAGTGTTTTACATAAAGGCACAGTGAGTCCTGCCCCCCGGATAAAGCCAAATTCAGCCCAGAAAGGTTATCTCAGGCGGGCACTTATGGTGCTTTTCTCTAAATTTTCACTTCAATTAATCTCTAGAAATTTGGTGTCTGATCCCCGTGACAGAAGCCTCTGGCTTCTTCAGAGTGACTGCCGAGGAAAAATTATCTGACACATATCAAACACGCAAGAAACCACACTGGACAGCATTAATCAAAACTTTCTCATTTCCCGAAGAATTAAGCATTAAATAATTAATCCCAGCACTACAGGCAGCTGTAAAAGAGGCCTCATGCCTCCCTGCTGGTAGGAATTTGTCCTTGTCTAAAAGACTAGATTGATATATTTATTATTTATCAGATTAATCATGGCCAGGAACATTATAGATTGGCAGCCCAGCCCAGCCGGGGATGGCGTCTGGCCCTTATCAGAGCAGAGAGGCTCCCACTGACACCGCATGCAGAGGGTGGAGGGAGCAGCTGCCCTCCAGCCTTTCCTGCGAAGGAAAAGGTGTTTAAAACATTATCTTAAAAAGAGAGCGAGAGAAAAAAGGAAAGTCAAAGAAGAGAGCTGATGAGGAAGATACCATTGACCTGGGGCCAGAGGAAAGGCCCAGGGGTCGTGGGAGAGCCGTGGGCCGTGGGCCGTGGGCCGGAATTTCAAGGGACGCTATGAAGCCAAGATCATGAGCTGTGAGTCCGAGCTCCAGCGGCTCCATGTGTATGTCAATCAACGCTGCCTTCTTGACTTGGAACCCTTCACATCCCCTAACCTCGCCCTTCAGTGGCCCCGACCACCACTCCCTGCAGGCAGCTGCTGTCTCATTTTTGGCTGATCTTTTTTTGCAAGGCTGGGTTGCCACACAGCTGTCCTGGCTGTCCTGGGGGCTGAGCGCATCTGACTGAAGACAGGAGAGAGCAGACGTCAGGGAAGAGCCCTTCTCCATGCCTGTGAATTGTGGTGGCTCTCATTTCATTGTTGAGATACTTATTTCATCAGAACAAGGGTTTTCTAATCAAGCAAATCCAAATGTCCAGGATTTCTACTCAGATTTGAACAGCAAGAACAGTTCATGGAGGTAGAGAATAGCACCCAAGCAGAGAAGGGCGTGAAACCTTTCAATCTCATGATTGATTCACAGACATTTTAAGGAAAAAGGGGTTCGCTTGGGTAAATAAATTCGGGAAACTCTGGGTAAATTGGCTTAAATGGGCTGCCTTTCTGCAGGACTGCTCAGAGCCTTCTTAAGGCTGGATGGTTTTGTGGGACCCTCGACGGCTTTACGTAAGCAATGCTTCCCCACTGGGGCCCAAGAACACACGTTCAGACCCCGGCCTGGAGACTTCAATCCCTCAAACATGGCAGCCTCTCCAGCCTCCCCCTCCAACCCCAGCCACCTTCTGGCACAGGGTCTGAGTGAGGCAGGTCAGAGACTGGGAAGAGGCCAGGACGGTCTGACCACACCCTCTGTCCACTTAAGGATGCTGTCATTCTGGAAAGGCAGTTGATTCACTTGTTAGTAGCGAGGAGGCCAGTCTGGAGGGGTCGAAGGACACACACTTTGGTTGACAGAAGGCGGCTCTCCCAGCCCTTCACACAGTCCCTGGGGCAACTCCACGAGTCCGAGATGGAAAACTCTCCATTTTACTTTCCTTAGTAAAACTTACCAAGGAATGTTATTGATACGTATAAATAGATTTATGTACTAAATAACTATACATGTTTATTGAAAATGATTATGTGAATAATTCATGCAGAATAAACTTTATTTTCTTAGAATAAAATCGACTGACCTTGAATTACTCAAATAGTGGCTTCAGGTTTGCTGTGTGAATGTGGATCTCACCCCCAGCCTCTTCCAGGACTCCCTCCCTTGACCACCTCCCTCCCCTGACCACTCCCCTCCCCTGACCAGCTCTCCTCCCCTCACCACCTCCCTCCCCTCACCACCTCCCTCCCCTCACCACTCCCCTGCCCTGACCACCTCCGTCTCCTGACCACCTCCCTCCCCTCACCACCTTCCTCCTCTCACCACCTTCCTCCTCTCACCACCTCCCTCCCCTCACCACCTCCCTCCCCTCACCACTCTCCTGCAGGCACAGGTCTGCCCACCATGAGTCCGTGATAGCAGCCACAAGCCAGTTACAGCGTTGGACCCATGCCCCCCTTCTGTTCTGCTAACGGTCAACACTGGGCCAACCGTGGAAGACTCCAAGCCGCCCATTCCTGGGGTCAGAAGCATGCAGGTCGTCCTTTTGCAAACACAAAAGCTGAAACACAGATGCCTTCTCAGGGAAGAATTCCTGCGTTTAGGAAGGGAAATTGTTCCCTGCAGCTGCACCTAGCAGGCTTAGGCTTCCAGGGTTCTCTCTGGGTTTAATAAGCATCACCATTTTCCTAAGGTGCTGTTTGGTTGCCAAATTCAGATAAAATGTTTTGTTTTACAGATAGAAAATCCAAGATGCTAACAGGTTTAAGTGATGTTTTCATCGCCACACCTTTTCCATACATAATTTAACTACAATTTCACCCTTTCTTTCAGTAATAACTTAATTGGTACGATATAAATGACATCAGATTAAAAAATATATTAAGAGTCCACTCATTTCTCTCAGGAATGCGATAAATGATCATCAGTGGATTTAGAGAGGGTTTGTGCGGAGTATGAATAATTTAATTTCCATTGCTCGACAAATTTGCAAATGTTTTTAAGCCATCTAATTTTTTTCCTTTTAGTTTGACTAACTAGAAGTTGTTTTCATTATTTCCAATATCACATATGTATTCTGCTCACAGGTGTGAGCGGCCCTGCATGTAGATCTGCCTCCCGCCGATCCTCCGGACTGCACACAGGTGGTGCAGGCAGGTGAGCAGCTGTGAGCTGTGCTGCAGGGGTCAGTGCTGCCTGCGACCGCAGGGCACCCCAGGTGACGACAGCCAGCCCTGACCCTGGGAAGAGCGGCCAGGAGGAACAGGTATTTCTCAAACAAGAATGGATAGAGGAAGCTGCACCAGGTAGGAGGAGCCTCCTGAGCAGAAACAGAGAGGCCTGGAGGAGCTGCCTGCGGGCTGGGGTGGCCGCACAGAAAAGCAGAGGAGGACCTGGAGGCTGCAGCACTAGAGCCCTTTACAAACCTGACTTGGCTGCAGTGAGATGTGTGAAGGCAGAATCTGACAGTCCGAAATGATGAACATGATGGACAGTAACTATGCAGTGTAGTAACAAACTCTAAATCTATTGAAAAATTAAGGGGAATTCCCATGTTTTTGTATGGAATTGGGTTTTGAATGAACCCATTGAAGACACTGAAATTCTTAAAATAAATGAACAAGCATAGAACAGGCTGGGGTGGGCATGGGAAGTGCTGTGTCCCCTGCCTGGAGACATACGGGCTGTCCCTGAGCCCCACCCTGCCTCTGCCTGCCCTCACCTGCTGTCCTTCCTCCAGGAACGCCCTGTGTCTCTTCTTTACCAAGATTCTGCTTACATCCCAGGTATGGTCTGAATGTCTGTGTCCCCCACCAAATTCCTATTTTGAAAGCTCACCCTCAAGGTGGTAGCATCAAGAGGTGGGACTTTGAGAGGAAGGAGATCAGGCGATGACGGTGGTGTGCTCAAGATGGGGCAGTGTCCGACAGGGAGAGCTGACTGTGTCTCCCACTCTTTCCATCCCATGAAGACACAGGAAGAAGGCAGCCCTCAGAGCCAGGGGGCCTCCCCAGAGCCCACCACTGTGCCCACACCCTGATCCTGGACGTCCAGCATTGGAACTGTGGGAATAAATGTCTGCTATTGGAGCCCCCGGCCTGTCATGAAGCCCAGCCTAAGGTAAACCCCCTTCCTTGGGAAACTCCTCCTCAATCTCTCTGCAGGTTGCTTCTTGGTGAGACTCCCTTGCCTGCTCGGCCACCCTGTCCACCCACCACTGGTCTACCACATCTCACTGTCTACAGCTCTGTGTAACCAGCTCTCTGCAACCAGCTCTGTGTAACCAGCTCTCTCTCTCTGTAACTAGCTCCCTGTAACCAGCTCTCTCCACACTCAGAGCAGTCCTTGACTCGGAGCCCACCCAGCTTAGGCACAGGAGGGGCCGCGTGGGCTGAGCCTGCTGAGGGCACCTGTGTGGATTCAGGGACCATGCTGTTCTCTTGATGTCTTCCTTTATTCAGAGAATCTGAAGTGGTTAGTTGGATGGTAAGGCTGGTTCTCTCTAGAGAAGCCTCTTTCTGAAGAACTCACACCACCATCATCCTGCCTTTAAAACAAAGCCAGCCCCATCCACCACCAGCTGTGTGGGCTGGGACAAAAGGGACTAGAGGCTGGGGGACAGGCTCCCATAGAAACTCAAGTCAGATCCACACTCCAAACAATTAGCTCTCCAGAGAACCACTGGAATTTGTATAAGGAGTATAAGGAGAGGAATTAAAATAAAAATAAATTAAATACATTGGTATAATTCATAATTTTTTGGTAAATATAAATAATCAACTCAAGATGAAGAAATTTTGAGGTTATCAGTAATAACCAATGGAACTAAAAAAAGTCAAAATTTTTTCCCATAACTGTTTCTAGGGCAAGAGGATTTATAGGCAAATTTCATCAAGATTTCAAGAAACGTTTTATTCCAATACCATATGAATTACAAGAAAGTTAAAACAAGACCACAGAAAAGCGACTCAATTCAAATCTTAAAAATAGCAAAAATCTGGATATGAATAACCTGACAAAAAAGACAGAGTGTGAGAAACACAGCTTGGGCTCATGTACAGTTGTCTGTGTAATCCCCGAGCGGCAACTTTTACATGTCTGGGGATTTTGCAAGATGGTTGTTGTATTAGTCCATTCTCATATGGCCATAAAGGCATACCTAAGGCTGGGTAATTTATGAAGAAAAGAGGTTTAATTGACTCACAGTTCTGCAGGCTGTACAGGAAGCATGGCTGGGAGGCCTCAGGAAAGTTACAGTCATGGTGGAAGGTGAAGAGGAAGCAAGCAGGTCTTACCATGGTGGCAGGAGAGAAAGACAGAGCAAAGGAGAAAGAGCTCCACACTTGTAAACCACCAGATCTCATGAGAACTCACTCACTATCACGAGAACAGCAAGGGGGAAATCCGCCCCATGATACAATCACCTCCCACCAGGTCCCTCCCCCAGCACTGGGAATTACAATTCAACATGAGATTTGGGTGGGGACACAGAGCCAAACCATATCAGTTGTTAAAAGTAGCCATTATTTAAAAATGTTTAAAATAAACCCATATTAGTTATTAAAAATAGCCATTATTTAAAAATTTACTAATGGCTATTGTTAAAAACAGCCATTTTGAAAGCCATTATGACATTACTATATAAATTTAAAATTAATAAATTGTATTTTTAAAGGCAATGCTTACTAAAGAAGCTTCCCGTTTTACCCTCTGCACGCCTCTACTCCCGCGCCTGTGCGGTGGAAATGCACTGAGGACGGCCGCCATGCTCCTCCTCGCCCGACGCTCCCGGAAGTCCCCCTGGCAGCCTGAGGTCAGCATCCCCGCGGGAATATTTACACCATGGAGGCTGGCAAATGCTGCCCAGCAGGACTTGTTTCCTTGTTTGGTTTTGTTGACTGTCTAAACTTACAGAAGTAATGGAGGACAAAATGTAAAATATGAAATCAAATGTAAAGGTGGCTCATGTCTTTAGTCATGTTATTGTAATGAGCACAATGAACTGAGAAAAAAGTCTCCCTGTGTTGGAAAAAATTCTCCCCTGTATTGGAAAACTATTATGCAGTTCAGCAAAGAAGCCCTCACATCACGGACAAATGAGTCAAATTCCGACTGTGTTCTTCTCGTCAAACTTTTGTGTCACTAACATAAATCAAAATATCAACCAACCTTCATCTCATTCATATTGAAAGTGATTGTCAATTGCAGCCAGAGGTTGGCTACAGAGTCAGGAGTTCAGCAAATTCAATAAAACATTCTGAGGATCAATTGCTTGTGTGACATTTACAATAAAGAGTATTGTATATTGTATTATTATTTGTTGATTATGTGCCAAACATCCCTTATATCAGTAGAACTTATTTTTTAAAAATATGTAAGCATATGTGTGCATATAATTTTTTCAGAGCGCTAGATATTTACCAGCACTCCTCTGCATAAAATACTAATGAATCAGACTTCACAATTCATTAAAAGTCAAATCTACCAATATCAAAATTGATTTATCAAAAAAGTAGGGTGGCTTACCTTAACAATATATCTATTAATATAGTATATGGCATTAATAGTTTATTAGAAAGCCGTGTAGCCAGATAAATAGATGTTACAAAGGCAAGCCCATTAATGTCTTCATATGTAAGAATTATGTATCATAATTATAATATATATTCAACTAGCATATATCATGAATCTACATATTCATAGCATATATCATGAATTTAGCATATTCAAAAATCTACTAAAGAGTATATACTTAACCTGGTAGGGAATATTTGCCCCAGCCCACCAATCAACATCATCTAACAGCAGAACACCCGAGGTATCCTTACTAAAATCCAGGGACTCAAGGCACTTTCCAACATTCCGCTCCGGCACAGCTGCGTTAAGGGGTAGGACTCCCCTAGATTGGAGTTCAGCTTCTACCTTTGCTTCCGCCTGCCCTGTGGTTGGGGCAAGCTTTGGTTTGCTTGTTTTAGGAGTCTCTGAGGATTAAATCAGATGACGTATGTGAAGTATTCCTTGCGGCCTCTTCTGTACTGTGAGAGCTAAATACATTATGGACAGTGCAATTCTGTGAGCCAGAAATAATTGGCAAAGTGACTGGGAAGCAGGAAATAAAATTGCCTTTATTTGCTGATCATGTGATTTTTGCGGCTGGGCTACATCAAAGAATCACCTAAAAATAAATGAAATAGCAGAAGGTCGGGTGGAGACACACACACACTGTCACCAGATCAGAGGCTTTTATGTCATACTACAATTGACATTTATAATCTATGATGGGAAAGTGATCATTCAGTTCATAAAATAGAACAATTAAGAAATGAGGAGGACCCACCTGAAGTATTGTTATAATTTGAAAAATATAGAAGAGTTTGAGTCAAAGGTGAAATTCAAAATATGCAAGTTGTTTTTGTTTAACAAATGAACATGGGAACCATTTTGGAGGTCTATGTGACAAAATGTTTCTAAAAATGTGTCTGAAATAACAAAATTACTGCAAATAGTTCTCCCTCTTCCCTGCTTCCCTGCCTTCCCCATTTTTTTTTATTTTATTTTTTTTTTTTTGAGACTGAGTTTTGCTCTTGTTGCCCAGGATAGAGTACAGTGGCACCATCTCTGCTCACTGCAACCTCCACCTCCTGGGTTCAAGTGATTCTCCTGCCTCAGCCTCCTGGGTAGCTGGGATTACAGGCACATGCCACCACACCCAACTAAATTTTGCATTTTTAGTAGAGACGGGCTTTCAACGTGGGTTGGCCAGGCTGGTCTCAAACTGCTGACCTCAGGTGATCCACCCGCCTCAGCCTCCCAAAGTTCTGGGATTACAAGCGTGAGCCACTGTGCCCGGCCTTGCCTTCCCCTTTTACCTTCAATTTTCTTTTCTTTTTTTTTTTTTTTTTGCTTTTTTCATTTTTGTCTTTATAAAGAAAATTTATTTAATCTAGGAGATTGTAAAACATGTAAGATTACAGTCATTGTTTGGCTTTCATGCTAAAATATGCAAATGAAAAAACAGATACACACATTTGAATATGAAGATTAGCATTTAATACATGGCAAGTACGTAGGGCATTAGTAAGTATGATAACAAGATAGTTTAAACACTATATGTAATAAAAATGAAAACACATGACATACAAGAAAAAAATGGGGTCACCAATCTCTGGAAGCAAAAGGATTTTCCCAATATGTCAGTTTTTAAGGCAGTGTGCAAATGCACATTGATACCTTGGACCACATAACTGATGAACAGGCTTGCATTTAAAAAATAAAACTAAGTGGAAGACACACTGCGAAAATATTGCAACTGATATGATTTTAAAATCTCTTATAAATTAAATAAGATAAAATATTAAGACCTCAGTGGAAGAGGAGTGAGGCGTGTGAACTGAGCCGAGGGCGGGGCAGGGCGAGGATAGTGGCGACCGCAGGTTCACAAGTCCTAGCACTGATAAAAGGTCAACAATCAGGAAACAACGTTTTTTATCTATCCATTTTGTAATTTCATTAAAAATGAAAATACCAGTGGAGACCGAGTGTGCTAACATGACTACCTTCATTTGCTATCGTGCATGCACATTCGCTGTGACAGTTTCATAATATGCATTAAGATAAAGGCTGCTCAGTGATGGGATGAATTCAAATTCATTGTAGAGATTTTTGTTGGGACAAAAGGTAACAAGAGGATACAAAAATAAACCACAAGTAAACTATTTATGTTTTTACTGGGTATTTCCACTTACATGTATGTGTGTATTATATTATTATATATATGTATTTGTGTAGTCATATATTTATGTGTGCAGATATAAAGATATTTCTATAGCAGAGATTATATTAATATATAGTTTTTATCTTGCCTTTTTACTTAACATAAATCTTTACCATTTAAACCATGTATTTCTTTTATTTCTTTAAAAAAAAAACAGGATACAAGCGCAGAACGTGCAGATTTATTAATAGGCGTACGTGTACAATGGTGGTTTGCAGCACCTAGTGACCTGTCCTCTAAGTTCCTCCCCTAAAACCCCACCCCTCAACAGACCCTGGTGTGTGATGTTCCCCTCTCAGTGTCCATGTGTTCTCAGTGTTCAGCTCCCACTTATAAGTGAGAACATGTGGTGTTTGGTTTTCTGTTCCTGTGTTACTTGGTGAGGATGATGGCTCCCAGCCTCATCCATGTCCCTGCAAAGGACATGATCTCATTCCTTTTTATGGCTGCATAGTATTCCATGGGGTATATGTACCACATTTTCTTTATCCAGCCTTTCATCAATGAGCATTTGGGTTGGTTCCATGTTTTTGCTCTTGTAAATAGTGCTGGAATACACATACATGTGCGTGTGCATGTGTCTTTAGAGTAGAATGATTTATCATCCTTTTGGTATATACCCAGTAATGGGCTTGCTGGGTCAAATGGTATTTCTGGTTCTAGATCCTTGAGGAATCGCCACACTGTCTTCCACCACGGTCGAACTAATTTACATTCCCACCGACAGTGTAAAAGGTTTCTATTTCTCCACAGCCTTGCCAGCATCTATGGTTTCCTGACTTTGTAATAACTGGCATTCTGACTGGCGTGAGATGTGGACCACGTATTTAAATATCCTCAAAGATATGCCTTTAATGGCTTCATAATATTAATATCTAATTTTGGGAACATGTTTTATTTAATCCTCCCCTAACACTGTCTATTTAGTTTCTTTTGGAGGTTTCACTGCTGCGGGTTGTTCTGCAGTGGACAACTGTAAACAAATGCCCTTTAGTGCATCTGAGATCGCTGCCTGAGCATTATCTAGTGACCCATTTCCACCACAGGGTCACTGCTCCCCGAGAGCTCCCTTGGGGACCAGAAGCCTCTGCCCTGAGCCAACCCATTTCCATTCCATGAGCCAGAAGACTGAGAACAGCCAGGTCCCAGGAGAGCCATGGCTGCCCATAACACGTGAGAGGCCTCTAACTTCCCTGCGGGCTGCCTTCCACCTCCCGTGCCGTGCCCACGTTGCATCTGGAAACTGCACTTTGCAAGTGTGGACGCTGGCTGTGGTGCTCCTGGAGGAATCACCTCCAGGAGACTGCAGTGTTCAGCTTCCTTTCCTCAGGAATGTGTCGCCTGCAAAGTGGCACGTAGATTCATGCATCTCACATGGTGAAAGGCGTTCTTACGCATTCCCGTTGGCTCCATTTGTCTTGGAAGTGTCCTTTCAAGACTCTGGTGACATTGGAAATTGTTCTGGCACTATAATTATTGGATCTGTTAAATGTTCTAGTTGGATATTTGGTACCATGGATTTCACTCTATACACATGAAACCCGAAAGCTTTTTTTATTTCTACCTATTTAACTTAAGAAAGAACAAAAAAGACAAGAAACATAGCTGTACAAATTAAGATAATAAAATTAGCATTTCCATCCACGTGAAGAGGTGGCATTGTATAACCATCCTTTTGCTTTGATAATAAAAGTCTAATCTTATTTTGGTTTTAAGAAATAGGACATTCATCTTATTAAAAATAAATATTTTATACATGTTTTCATAATCGCCTTCATAGCAGATTGCTGTTGGAATCGTGCATATGCTTCTGTTTTTTCCATTTGGGTCTGGTTACGGAGTTTGATGATTTCTTCATTGAAGTTGTTTCAGCCCACTGAGCATTAATACTTTGAATTTGTATCATTAATTTCATACCTGACCCAGAGCTATGTTTTTATTACATTAAAGAGTGCTGGAGTAGATTGTGTTCATTTAGAAATAAGTATTAGAAAAAAAAATCCAACCAAGACTCTATTGAAGCTGTTTCTATTTTATCCATACCTGTTTCTCTGTAAAACTGGTTGGCAAAGGTCTTTTCTACTGTTTTCTATAAGGAGGGCAAAGAGGATTCCTGAGTCCCAGGTTGACCTGGGATGTCCTGGGATGACCTGGGATATCTTGGGATGACCTGGGATGACCTGAGATGTCCTGGGATGATCTGGGATGTCCTAGGATGTCCTGGGATGACCCGAACGTCCTGGCCCCTGTGGTTCAGATGCAGATCTTCACCAAACCCGTGCTGACTCCTCTGACTGCCCCTGCCCTTGGGGTCGGGGAAGGGAGGTTGCTGACTTGCAGGCTACCCCTCTCAAGGGGATCCCATGGCCGCTGCCTTGATGTGGACCTTCCCGCTCTTCAGGTCCTGGGAGTGGCCCCACTGGTTTCGGAGTTCTTCTGTGCACAGCAGAGGTCAAAGGGAAAGACGTGTTTAGAGAAGAGGAGGTTGGCATGGGGTGGGGGGGTTCTGGCTGAAACCCACAATGGGCCGGGCAGGGCCTGGGAAGCTTTGTTGTTCTTTTGTGGGTTTTTTTTTATTTTTCAGCATCACTCCTACTTAATTTAATGCTTACAAGCAACCTAGTCCCTCGGGAACTTCCAATGTGAAGGCTTTCCACTGGTGTTAAACCTTGTGTGGGCTGGACCTGGGGAGTGCAATCACCAAAGCCGCTCTGCCTGGACCCCCATCTCAAGAGAGAGAGAGAGAGAGAGAGAGAGAAAGAGAGAGAGAAAGAGAGAGACTTTATTTTACAAAAAAGTTCAAAACCCTAAGCTTCTGGCCCATTCTGCCATTGTACAAACTACAACTGCTCGCTCAGAAGCTGAGGGGCACCCTTGAGTAGCATGTCTAAAAAGTGAATAAAAATCCATATAAAACAAATACCCAAATAGTTTCCATAGGAACACAGATAAGTGTGACCCGTATCCTAGTCTTCCACGTGGCTGATCCGCGCTGACCCTACTCTCACAAAGACATTTCCAAACTAGCATAATTGAGTTAAATGGTCCCCCCAACTCCCTTAATTCAAGCTAAACTTGCAGTTTAACAACTATAGGAGTGATATCTACACATTAATGCCACACTTTAACATGCCTAACACTACACATGAACACGCTTCCGGGTGCTGTTACATCCCGCTCTCTCCCAAGCACGAGACACAGGCAGGATGCTGACGTCCTGCTTCTCTGCTGCGGGCGGGAAGTCAAGACTCCGGATTTGCTGCAGGAGTTGCCGTGGGGATCCTGACTTCACGCAGGAGATGGTCGGCCTCTGGAAGTGCCTGGCCCGTTTATCCTTGAAATCTACCTGTGCAGGTGGTCCTTGCCTCAGCCCCTCAGGACAACACAGGTCTTTCCTAAGTTACAGGGAGACCATCAGATTGTCGTGTCCGAGCCCCCTGAAGTGGAACCCACAGTCTCCATTCAGTCTGCCCTCAGTTTCCCTCCCCTCTGCAGGGCCATTGCTGCTGTGGACGCGGCTCTCGCACTCCTCCACTCTCTCCGGCTGCTCAGCGTCAGGGTGTCGGTGGGGAAACAGCAAGGGATAAGGGGACAGTAAAGGCCTTACTGGTGGTGCTCCTGTGGGAAGGGGCTGCGGGCAGCCTGTGTCCGACCAGGGCCTCGTGGTCCTGTGAGGGTTGCCTCGCTGACCACATGCCCACGGGCACATACACAGATGCCGGGTTCCCCACGCCAGGAGTCCTGTAGCATCCACGCTCTCAGGCAGGATTTAAAACGCATTCCGGCTGCTCTCTTTCCCTGAAGTCTGCATGGTGGGCCCGGTGGTGCCCATGAGTCTCTTCTCCAGCAAGCTCCAGGCGCTCAAGCCGATGCCCACTCAGCCAGGCCCCTCACCGGGACACCACGTGATGCTTTCACGGAGAACATCTAGAACGCAGGTGGAAAACTCGGTCCCCTGGGAGTCCTCACTGGAGGGACCCCCGCCCTTCGCATCTGAGATCTGGTGCAACGTCAGGTGTTTCCATTTGAGAGGTGTTGCCCGTCTCAGCCACAGAGCCACCCGGAGAGCAGGCTTTCCGTCCATCTCTGTGCCACGGAGTAGCTCTGGGGCTCATGCAATTTCTTCTCTTTTCAGGGGGATCTCACCTGCTCAAGGATTCGTTCCTGAGACGGCGCTCATTTTCCCTGCTCCCATCTGTCTTTGGAGTCAGCTCCTTTCCCAGTGCCAACCTTTCACCCAGGACTCGGTCACATCATCATCCGAGACTCCCGACGCCCCCTCCTGAGGGGCTGAGTGCGTTTCAGAGGGGGCAGATGTCAGCGCTGTCCCTCCTCCAGACGGCCCTTATACTGCAGAAGCCAGCTCCATTTCCAAAGGAGACAAGTGGCAGGCTGGGTCCTTCCCTGCTGAGAGAACACCGTTCCATCAGCCCTTTTCTTTTCACACTAGGAAAGAAATGAGTTTGTAGGACGAGCACAGCCCCGGTGGGTTTGACGCTTTCCTTCTGTGAACAAGCATCAGAAAAACGCTTTCCTCATTTGGACAACGCCAAGGGGAAGCAAAACCAGACTGAAGACCTGCGCTCATGCCCACCTCAGTTCTGCCACTTGAGCTTCTAGCAGGTGGGCAAGGTCAGAGAAACTCGAGTGTCACTGCTTGAAGGCCACATCACCCAAGGATGGTGAGGCCACCTGAGGGGCAGGGCAAGGGCACAGGAGCGGTGGGCTCAGGGCGGGAGGGATAAGCACGGGTCTGGCCACAGAGACGGCTTCACCTGCCACACACGGAGTCCTTTTGGTATTCAGCCATTCACAGGCCAGGGCCTTGCCTGGACATCCACAGATCCACTGCTTGTGACAGGCAGGCCGGGTTCTGCAGTGGGCTCACTTTGCAGTAGGTCCTCATGGTGGCACTGGCCACAGGGTCCTTGGAGCCTGTCATTGACGCCTGTGGGCTCTGCCTTTGGACTTTCCAGGCTGCACCATTCCACGGCTCTGCAACTGGTGCAAAGCTGTTGGTGACATTCTTGGGCTCCGCCCTCGGATTCTTCAGGTGGCACCACTGCACAGCCCTGCAACCAATGCAAAGTTATCCAAGTCTCATCTGAGCAAAAATGACCAGTGACTGCTGGTCCCAGTACCTGGGGCTGTGTGAGATCAAGTGAGAAAAGGGACTTCGAGGGCTCAGGTCAGCTCTTGTGAAAGGTCACACTCTTTCCATAGGCTCTGCTCCATACTCCAGGATGTCCTTGAGTCCAGCTGCTTCTCCGTGAGCTGCCCCAAGGGCCTTGACCTCGGTCAGCACCTGCTGGCCGCCCTGTCTCTTCTCTCTGGCCATGCCAGCCTCCCTGGCTATCCGGGTGGTGCTGCCACACTGGGTCGACCAGCTGACTCCAGGTGCACCTGAGCAGCTCAGGTGTGTCCTGCCTGAACCTCAGGCTGACCTCAGATTTGGCTCTTTAAGAAACTCCTTGGTTTTG
The DNA here is from genome assembly GCF_000001405.40 of Homo sapiens. Lineage (NCBI taxonomy): Eukaryota > Metazoa > Chordata > Mammalia > Primates > Hominidae > Homo > Homo sapiens. The sequence continues at coordinate 2,259,694 of NC_000005.10, read as the reverse complement.
AGCAGGAAGAGATTGAACTTCCTGGCAAAGTGCACCAGAAAGAGCAGCCCTCAGCCCAGGGAGGGGTGGGGGTGAGTGCGGTCACAGGTGACATTCTGGTCTTCCTGTGTCCTTGTTTCAAATGTCTTTTCAGCCCCAGAAATGCTGCCAGGGTCAACAAACTATAACTGGCAACACACATATTTCTGCATGCTTAGGCTCATGCACATTTCTGCACACACGCATTCACTTCTGCACACTTAGGCACACACACTCCTGCACACCCTTACACATGCTCCTGGGCACTGAGAGTTATACATTCATGCGCACCCTAGCACACTTGTGTATCTTACACACTCACACACACACTCATGCTTATACCCAAGCTCACACACACTTACACACACGTTCACACACATCCACACATAAGCACACACTCATACACTCTCTTACGGGAGCACACACTTGCTCACTCTCTCGTGGGAGCACACACTTTTTCTGCCTCCTCTCCACTGACCTTTGCCAGGAGAAGCTGACATGTGCGGAGCTCCCTGCATCACCCTGACCTGGTGATGTTCTATTACAGCAGGGCAAGGGCAAGGTGGCCACTGGGAGCCTAGATTCCTTGCCCGGCCTCTAGCCGAGGTGACCGTATCAAGCAGGAGGTCTACGAGGCTGCAGGTCCAGTGTACCACATGGCCTGTGGCTGCTTCTTCTTTTACCCCCACCACAGAACTTTTATCCGGCCTTCTCTTTAATGTCAGTGATGATAAACTCTGCAAATACCATAACTGACCACCCAAATGGCACACCTTCTACTCCCCAGAAATCCGCCCACAAGCAAGGAGCTGGATGGGATGTGCTTGCAGCAGGGGCCAGGCTCGCTGCCACCCACAGCTGGACCCTTCGACAGGGACTGCCCTTCCATAAATTACCACCACCAAGAACTAGGCAGGAAAAGATGAAGACCTAAGCAAAGCGTCTTTCTCAGAAAAGTAAATGATGCGTAAGATCACAGATTGCAAAGCTTATGGGAGATACAGGAGTGTAGATGTTGTACCTGTAAAATGACGACCTGAAAATTTGTTAAGCAAATGTCAAATAGATGCATACAGGCGCCAGAGGGAGCACTTTGGGGTGTTCTATTTACAAATTTTTAATTACGTTTTCTGTTAAAATTAGTTCTCCAAATAATTAAAAATAGCAGCCGTTGCATTGGCATTGCTCTCCCGTGTCCCGGGTGGCCTTGCTGTGGAGCGCCTGGTCGTCCTGTGTGCCAGTGTCAAGCTTGTTAATTAGGCTGAGCGTGACGCATGAGAACCTCAACCGGAATCGGCCCCCTCGGGTTGTGTGGCAGGGTGACTGTCTCCAGCATAGTAGCTTGTTGGAGCAAGAGAGTATATTTATTGTTTTACAAGTTGGTGGGGTATATTGCTCATAATTTTCCCTTACGTAGAAGCCTTTAATATACCTGCATGTGGAAGTCTTCCATCTGCACAGCAGTAGGGCTCTTGCTACCCTAGGTAAGCCCTGGTTGAGGATTTCCACAGGGTAGATTTCAACCAGGACTGGGATGTTTGTCCACACGATGTGGTATTCACATGAGGCCCCAAGCTTCCTACAGATAGTGAATGCATCCCCTGATGAAGAAGTGGGGTGGCTCCGCTTGGCTTGAAGTCTTCTGTCATGTTCACCTCTGCGTGCATCTGAGCCAAAACAGAGGTGCCAGCCATGCTAACAGAGCCTTCTGTTGCCTCCAAGAGCATCCCACAGAGTACAGAATTCTGCAGAACCTTTCATCTCCCGAGTCTTGGAGTATAGACAGTTCCACCCCAAGACAAGATTGCACATGAAAAATAAAGATCTCCAGGTTCCCTCATGGGGAATTCAAGGAAGGGTTGCTCTACAGCATCCGCAAAACCACCGTGACTCTGGAACATGAGCATCAGACCTTGTTTCCGAGCTGGGGTATATTGCTTGGAGGGGATCTGGATGCACAATTCCCCAGGGGGCTTCATATCTCCGTCCCCTTCCGGGCAGGTCCCACAGCCACGCCGCTGCCTGTGCAGGCTGCACTCACTGCTGGTGTATTGCAGGTGGACACGGCCTAAGCCTCGGAGTCTTCGACCATGTCTCCATGCTTTCTGGACAGCCAAGAGGCAGGCCTCTTGTTCCTAGTACATTTCATGCTGGGAGAAGTCGGGGAGCGTAACTGCCTGCCACAGGAAGAACAGACCCCGACTCTCACAGGCACCTCTCCAAGACCGGCAGCAGCTCTTCAGCCCATCATGGGCTCCTTCTCCCCCTGGGTGCCTCCTTACTCTCCCTCCTAAGCTGTAGCAGTCCCTCCCCGACCCCCACCAAGACATGATGACGTGTTCATCCACACTAGGTGAGGCAGAAGTTCTCTGGGGATGTTGGCATTTTATTGGCCACTGGGTTTTAACCAAGAAAACTGTGAGTCGTTTCTAGCAGGAAGGGTAGGCTGAGTTCAACCTCCTCCAGCGGCCTCCAGTCTTGGAATCCAGCTCTGGGGAACAGCTTCCTCCACCCAGAGAGTCAGTAGTTCATCGGGAGTCACAGTCATGGGCTGCCTGCTTGGGGCTGGCAGCGTAAGAGGGCAGCTGGAGCAGGCGGGCGCCGTGGAGAAACGAGGCCACCCAGCAGACACCTGTCGCTGTCATTCTACAGGAAAATGAGGGTGGAGGTCTGGGCTAGGCAGCAGAGGAGCTGGGAGGGCCCCCCATGGGTGAGGGCTGTGCAGGCACCAGCCAGGAGCAGGGGGAGACAGAAGCACGTGTGGACCCAGCTTTGTCTGTAAGGTCAGGAAGTCACCAGTGCCCCCCAGAACCCCAGGGGTGCCCGCAGTGAGACTGATTCACCTGAGACCTCCTGGCTGAAAGTACCCCAGATGAATTTGGCCTCAGGCCTGTCTGACTCAAGTGTTCTCTGAAAACGGAACTGAGCCGTGTATATGGCAGTGGCCCACAGGCCCTGTTACGCCCGCCCCCTCACACCAAGGGCTGAAGAGAAATCCAGGAACAGACGCTGCTTCTTTCTCATCAAGGCTGTGCAAACAATGCCCTCAGCACACGAGCCGCCCTCTCTCTGCCTTCGCCTTGATTAGGGGGCTCTGAGCATTGCTGAGACCCTGGGCCACCCCCATTAAGCCTGTTGATGCCAATCCAGAGGACCCGGGACCCCAGGAGGACTTCGAAGGAGCTTGGCCCAGACAGAAGCTCAGCGCCCCAGGTGTGCACCTCTGCTCCTGGGGGCCTCCATCCTGCCCCCTCCCCATGCCCATTGTCACACACATCCACACACACATGCACACACCCAGAGACACACTCATACACACACATGCACACACACCTAGAGACACAGACACACAGAGACACATTCATGCACATGCACATAGAGACACATACGCACAAACACATGCATGCAGATAGACAAAGACAAATCCACACACACCCATATGCATGCACATACAGAGACACATACATGCAGATATACAGAGACACATATGCACACACACACACACATACAGAGACACGTACGCACACAGATACACACACATACAGAGACACATGCGCACACAGATATACAGACACACACACCCACACACATGCACATACAGAGACAAATGAGCAGACACCCAGAGACACACTCATACACACACACACGCACACACATGCACACTCACCTAGAGACACATACACACAAACATCCACGCATAACGGATATACAAAGACAAATACATGCACATACAGACACACACACACAGATATACAGAGACAAGTACACACCCACACACATGCACATACACATACACACACAGATATACAGAGACAAATACACACATGCACATACAGAGACACATACACACAGATATACAGAGAAAAATACACACACGCTCAGCCTAATTAACAAGCTTGACACTGGCACACAGGACGACCAGGCGCTCCACAGCAAGGCCACCCGGGACACGGGAGAGCAATGCCAATGCAACGGCATTGTGTGTGTGTCTCTGTATGTGTATGTGTGTTTATTTTTCTCTGTATATCTGTGTGTATTACAGAGACACACACACAATGTACACATCCACATACACAGAGACACACACACACGTCCACATGGTACACATCCACGCATGCGCACATATGGACACAGCCTCCAGGGCTCTGACCTCTGGGTGTGGGGCAAGTGATTTGAATTCCATGGGCTTCTGTTTCTTCACACATGTCAGGAAGCCTCTGGACAAGATTGTCTCTAAGGGGAACTGAGTTCTAAGACTTGTATTCAATTTCCCAGCTTGGTAAGGGAGCCACTGTAGGAATCACGACAGGGAATAGTTTCATGTTGATTAACCTCCCTGTCACCAACTCTTAATAGCCGCTCACTCCACACACACACACACACACACATGCACACACACACACGCACACACAGAGATGCATGTACACGTGCATACACACACGTAGGAATCACGGCAGTAAACAGTTTCATGTTGATTAACCTCCCTGTCACCAACACTTAACAGACGCTCACTCCACACACACACACGTGCACACACACAGATGCATGTACACGTGCATACACACACATGCGGGCAGAGGCAGGTGCCCCCACACCACACTGTGCCTGAGGGCAGACAGCCCACACAGCCGGGAGCCGTCACCCCAGGGGGCTCCAGCCAGCCTATTTCAGGAAGAGGTTTTTCCTGAATACCTGCTCTCTCTGGTGTGAACACTGAAAACACAAACATACCCCTGCACGTGCCCACCCACGCATGCATGCCCTCCATACGCACACATGTACACGCAGGTGCACACACATGTGCATGCACATATACTTCAGCATGTGGCTCAGAGTCTCTGTTACATAAAACTCATTTGTCACCACTCTTGAAATTACTTATCACCACATACAAATAAAGGTATAAATTGAATAACTTTACTTAAGAGAGCTCATTTAAAATTTATTTTTACAGAAATGGGTGTTATGTTTTTCAGAAATCAATACACTTCTCTGAGATCAAGGACTTTTTACAGACAAGTTTTTGGCCTGAAATTTCTTCAGAACTTCGTGCATAGAGACGTGAGTGCCACCTATAGAATGAAATTAGAGGCATGTATTTCCTCAGAGAGAGAATCGAGGAAAAGAAAAGTGAAAGAGAGAGAGGAGGAAGAGGAAGAGTAGGGGAAGAAGGTTAAAAGGGAAGCAGGCATTTCAATTTCCTGTTAAGGCAATTTTTGCCTGTATCAAAAGGACTTTTTCCAGGAGGCTTTGAATTTTATTATATTTCTTAGTTCATATTACAAATTTAATTAAATTCAGTATATCAAAGATCTGAATAATCTTTAAAGAAAAGGAGCGGTATAAATAAATACAATTTAATATAATTGTAAATACTAGATAAAATAATTATAAATATAAGATTTATTCAAAGAAGAGAAGGCCTTGCTTTAAATAATTGTATCTTAGTTTCAGCAAAAATGAAATTACATAAATAAAGAGTTTTGATAGTTTCAAATCTTCCTTACCCCCACAGTACAGTAAAACCAACAGAGAATTTCACCCAATTTGTTTTCTTTGATCTTCTTGGCTGCCTTTCAGTTAGAGCTGTGAAGACGGAAAGTGTTTTTCTTCTGACCATTTCACGAAAGCGGTCCCTCTCCTGTTTCCACTCTTCCCCTCCTGGTTTGGAGTTTTCCTTTTCATGTTGAAAAGTGTTTTAATTGCAGCAATGGGAGGGAATACGGAGCCCTTTATCTAAAGCCTTTCTGCTAGTTATATATCTTTAAGTTGCAAATATATCTGGCTTGTAATTTAAATCATAATTGTACTTTCTATGGAAGATACTAAGATGAAAAGCAGAGGGCAGCCTACCACATACAAACGCCACTGTGCGCATACACACACACACACACACACACACACACACACAAAGAGAGAAAAAAGAAAAGAAAAAAAGGATGAGCAGGATAAAAACAGCTTGTGTCACTCCCCAAAAAATCCATTTGTGATCACAAATGAAACATTTCCAATCTCATAATGGGCAGACTGCTTGGTTTAATACCAGCCATGCAAAGCAAGACCTCATCAAAAGGGGAGCTGCACGGAGGTCCCAGTTTTCCATTAAAATAATTTCAAAAAGCTTTTTTTCTCCCATTGAAAGAACCCATTTTGCAAGATGATTTAGCTCAAAATCTGCTGGGAGTAACCCTTGACATAGAGTCATATTGTGTTGGAGTTTAGTCCTAAATTCATACATCAATTATTTACTGTCAACGCCGATTGTATAAGTGTAGAAAATTACGAGGAATGATATTTTCTCTCAGGCAGAAAAAATGTGATACAGCAGATACACCCCACCTAATGTGCCGCCCCGCTGTCCAGAGCCCAGAATTATTTATGCATTGGAAAACAGTGTGCCGGGGCCAAAGGGAAAAGACAGAAGGGAGAGAGAGCGACAGACACATTATTTTAAACCTTTCATAACACCCATAAATATTTCATAACAAATAAATAAAGAATGTCGGGCTTGTGTGGAGACAGCTGTAGCCGCACGGTTCAGCGCTCGCGGAGCTCTGGGGACCCCGCACTTACCCTCCGTTAAGCCCCTATTTCTTTTTAATCATCCACTTAGTGCATTGTGGGTAGAGGCTCTCCAGGTGAGCGGAGTGCTGAAGGTTACGCACGTGGAGGCCGCTTTTCATCTGACTTCAGGGTTTTTCCTTTCCTATTCTTTTTTTAGAAAAATAGGAAAATGGGATCTTCCTCCTGTGTCCAGAGGTCTTATCAGAGGCCCTGTCCTGGGGCTTGCATCCCGACCTATGTCGTCTCTCCAATATCCCCCTACAAAAGAACTAATGATTGTCCAGCTCGTGGAACCCATCTGTGAGACTCACACCGTTTAAACTCTACCACCTAAGACTTTCCTCAGGCGCCACTCTCTCACTTCAGGAGGCACTGTGTGCTTCCTGAGGTGTCTTCCAACTTTATTCATTTTTAAATCGGTGGGAATCCTTCATGGTAAAAACAAACAAAAAAAGGCAAGACGAACGTGAAGCCTCAGCAGAGCACAGTTTGCCTGTGCGTAAGGGGTGGCGCGAGAGGTGCGTGCGTGAGCGTGCACCTGTGCATGTGTGTTTCTGTCTACTGTTGTGGCAGGGACACACTGACCCACAGTATGTGGAGGGGTCACCTGAGGAAGGGTGTTGTTTACCATGAGGCAGAGCAGCAGTTTTCAAACATAAGAAACTGAGTGTGCCAAGGGCTTTGGCTTCCTGGGTTTTCAGAGTGTCTAGGGGGATGGGTGTGCCCGCAGGGACGCGTCCCTCTGGGCGGAGGACACTGCATAGTTTCTTTATCCTCATGGAGCCTGAGGGACCCTCCCAGTCAAGCAACTTCTTCCCATCCACTCTCCGTGACAGTGGTTTGTTTGGCAGGTATTACTGAAATTCCCCTTATAGACTATTGTCACTGGCTGGTTGAGGAGCTCACCTGTGGCCACCTAGCATCTGCCTCCCACTAAAGCAGGGCTCAGAGGGGATTCTGAGGGCTTCCCCTCCTGGAACGAAGATGCATGCTGTAGCATCTAGATCCAGGCAAAAACTAAACATAGCAGCGAATCAGAAGGCCGGCCGGGCACCCTGCCACCAACCTGCATGTGGACTGCGGGGCTCCAGGCTGCTGGCCCAGCCTCAGTTCCAGGGGCCTCTGGTGAAAGCCTGTTCCACAAAGTCTGAGACCAAAATGTCCCTTTCCAGACACTGGTGCAGCCGAGACCTGTCTGTGAGCTCACCTAATCAGGACCTGAGCCCGGGGCTGACTGGGACACGGCAGGGGAGGCTGGGGTCTGTGTTTCTGGTGCAGGCCTGGATCACTGGCGTCTCCCTTACCCTGGCGGCTGATGTCCCTTTTTCCCAGTGTTGCAAGGTGGTGGCTCTACAGGGGCCTTCCATGAGGCTGCACTACGGCTTTTCTAGAATCCCCTGCAGGTCTGGGATGAATTCCTGACCCCCAGGGAAGGGCATTTGGAGATGGGGCCTTGGGGAGGTGATTGTGTCGTGAGGGTGGGGCCCAGAGAGCTCCCTCAGCCTCTCCCCACTGCACGAAAACACAGGAGGAAGCAGCTCTCCACCAGCCAGGAGGAGCCCTGGCCAGAGCCACAGCTGCACCTTCCTCCTGGACTTCCCAGCCTGCGGCTCCATGAGAGGGGATATTGCTGGGTAAGCCCCCACCTGTGCATGTTTGTCCTGGCAGCCTGAGCTCCCCACGCTCCACTTTGTAGCAGTCAGCAGCTCCCCTGGGTGAGCTCTGTGGTGGCATCCCAGCACTCGTTTCTGAAGACCACGCTCAGATCTGTGTCCTCCAGACAGCTCAGTGATGTGGCGAGGCCCTAACTCTGTTCTGTGTCCCTCTTGCTTCCTGTTCCTAGTGACTGAGTCCTTGTTTTTCAGATTCTCATAGATCTCGTCATTCTGTCCAGGGCATCTGTCTCCAGCTTCTGTTCTGAGGGTTGGCTCACCAATCTTTGGAAAACAAATCTCTATTTTCTGAACTTAGGAAGAAAGGTACATTGCAAGAACTCTTATGGAGTCATCATTTAAAGATTTAATAAACCTCTCATTATTTTTTAAACATTTCAGGATATAACCAAGATCTCAAATAACCTGCTAAATATTTATTTCATTAATACTTAAGTGCACATTTATTTTTCACTAATTATTGCACATGTTGCTGAGGTATATCTACTGTAAGCTCATCCACAGTAATTTCAGGTTTTGAAGAAAGCAAGGCATGAACATCTAAACTTCATTCCCCAGCCCCAGGAGGATGTGCTGGGCTTTGCTGTGGGTTTAAGTCCCCAACTGTCACTGGCTGTAATGTCTGCTGTCCCCACCTGCCCCAGACGCCCCAGGAAAGAGCCGCATCCATGTGTAGCGACACATCTGGCCCATCATGGAAGATCCCAGTGACTGCCTGCAAGAGTGGCCTGAGAAAGGGCATTTGCACGATGTCATCCTTAGACAGATAAAAGTGGGAGGCTTTGCAGGTGTCGGGGTGACCGGAGGTGGCAGTTGGGAGAGGAAAGGAGACAGCGAGGGAGGCAGGGGAAATGCTCAGGGCAGACGCCTGTCCAGGTGCCAGCCTCCTTAGGGAATGGGGCTGCAGGGAGTACTTCACACCGCCTTTGGCTCCGTCCTGGTGCTGGTTCCCTCTGTGACCAACTTCATGAAGCCCCGCGCCTGGATATCACCTTCACTTTCTCTGTGTCATACCCAGTGTAAGTTTTACCCAACAGTGGCAGCTGCTTTTTATAGGCAATATTTTCCTGAATGTCAATTTCAAATACAGTTCCCAGACAGTTAAGGGCGTTTTGTTTTGTTTTGCTAGTGTTTGTTGATCGCCATTTTTTTTCAGATAAGAAAACTTTATTTTTAGAATAGTAATTCAGATAACGTTAAATCTTGGAAACTTGGCTGGTCGCTTACTTGAGATGCTTCAATTACGTCCACGTATATCCTGAAGGGTTTGTTAAATATTTAAGGAAAAGGAACCCTATTTTACTTAAACATGCGGCACGTGTTGCTACTCTGCAACCCTCTTTCAGGTGTGCCTGTGAAAGGAACCTCGGAGACCAGGAAGCCTCCGGTGGCGTCGAGGAGATGCAGCAGCCATGCAGGCTGGCACCGTAATTTCCTGACAGTGTGAACCAGTGTGTGTGTGGAGCTCCAGGAGCTCGTGTGGGGGCTGGGGGAGGTGTGAAATTCTAAGGCCTCAGGTTCTGACAGTCGCTTACCTTAGGACAAGCTGGACTTGTCCAGTGATGGTTCCCCCAGGATTGAGATAATGTATTGTTTATGAGAATGTTCTGGTGAGATGGGAGCCCCGTTCAGATGAGCTGGCCCAAATGCTCCAGGGAGGACTAGGCCAGGTCATGGCCACAGTGGGGCTCTTCATTGCTGCCCAATGGGGCACTACTAGAGACTGGAAACCAGAGAGGACAGGGCTCCAGAAACCTCCGGGAAAGGCCTCAGCCTCGGGGGCAGCTGCTTCCTGGCCAGATCCTGAGTTCTCATTGCCATTCCACCAGCCTGAGGGACTCACCACCTCCCACTGTCAGCATCCGGCTCAGCTGCCAGCCTGCAGCACCTTGTTAGTGGGCTACTTCTACTCAAGTCAGCACACCCGTGCGACTAGCTTCCCCAGGCCCGTGGTCTCGCAGGCTTCCCTCTCTTGGGGCCAGCGAATGGAGTCACGTGGGCTGGATCTGCAGCAATTAGAGTCACAGGGCTGGATCTGCAGTGATTAGAGTCACGTGGCTGGATCTGCAGTGATTAGAGTCACGTGGCTGGATCTGCAGTGATTAAAGTCAAGTGAGCTGGATCTGCAGTGATTAGAGTCACAGGGCTGGATCCACAGTGGCTGGAGTCACAGGGCTGGATCTGCAGTGATTGGAGTCACATGGGCTGGATCTGCAGGGATTAGAGTGATAGGTCTGTATCCACAGTGATTAGAGTCACAAGGCTGGATCTGCAGCAATTAGAGTCACATGGGCTGGAGCCAGTGGTATAGGCATACAAGCTATGTTTTCTGCCCACTCCTTGACACTCATTGCCATGTTTTCCTGTGAACTGTGGTAAACAAGTATTTTGAGAAGAAGTGTACCTGGGTTTGCTCCAGAGTGAGACCCCTTCTCATTGGCTCAGGGCTAAGGTCCACAGAACTGCCTGTTCTCAAACAGGTGAGGAAAGCTCATTTAGGTCTTAAAGTCTCAGTCAGGAGAGCTTCAAAGATGTCCCTTCCACCATGATTCTCCATGTGTATTCTCAGTGGTTATCAGGAGCAACTGTAGGGTGACAGGAGTTAGTAGGTCTTCTTGTCCATTTTGAGGTGCAGACGTTGCCTTGGTTACTTCTGGAGATGCCTCCACGTTTGAGCACAGAAAGTTATATAGATAGGCTCGTGAAGCATTCACATAAGGAAGCTCCAGTTCCTCATTTGTAAAATAGATTGTTTTGATGTAATAGTTCTTGACCCCTCTCTATGGGCTTGACATGATGCTAGGCCAGGCACACATCAGTGAGCAGGACATGGCCACGTTAGAACTTCCCATCCCTTAGATTATTAAGTGATATAAAACACATAGAAACTTCCATTAAGTGCACAAATAATGTTCAAATATGAGGCTTTATTGCATTGGCCAGCCACAATGGTTCATGTCCAAGAAAGTCACTATTTGACGACCTTATCTCCATTGCTGTTGAATGAATGCTCCTCTTCCGTCCTCCTCTGATGAACCCCATGATCCCAGCATGTGCTCCCTCCAGGGAACTAAGAAGTGCAGGTGATGAAAAAGCAGAGGCTGAGCATCCCAGGGCTTTCACTGGGAGGTGTAGATGTGGGGACTTCAAGGAAGCACGTGGGAAATTTGGTAATTTAAATAGAGGAGCTGCAAGACACAGACTCTTGAGGAGTTCTTAGGGAAGCCCAAGGCCAAGAAAATGAGGACTAGAGAAGAATATGAGGTCCTTGACACCCATAGCTAGAAAAATCTTTAGGTAAAGATGAACTCCTAGCCACACTCACATAAATACTCATACCAGAGGTCTATTTTCCTCAGAAAACGACAAGCCATGTCAAAAGGGAAAAACCAAAACAAAATAAAAATACAAAAACTTAGTTTAAAAAGACAAAGTGAGCATCAGAACCAGACTCAGCCATGGCCCTGATGAGGGAATGAGCAGATGGGAATGTAAATAATTGTGAATACTATGTCAGGAGCTGTAATGGGAAAAGTAGAAAGCATGAGAGAACAAACAGGGACTGTAAGTAGAATGATGGAAATTCTGAGTCTGAAGAATTTGCTACAAATGCTACCAAAAAAGAACACTGTGGTAGAAACAAAGAATGTTAATCAGTGAGCATCACTGATGCTCCAGTGATCCAATACAGCTGAAGAGAGAATCAGTGAACTTGAAGACAGGTCAATAACAATGTCCTAAATTAAAATGCAGAGAAGAAAGAATAAACACACACACACACACACACACACACACACACACACACACACACAGAGAACATTCTTTACTGGGAATGGGAAAATTTCAAAAGGTATACATATATGTAATACCAAAGGAGAAAAATGTTAATGTTAATGACAGACTCAAAACCACCCATACTAGAAGCTCAGACAACACAAAGCAGAATAAATATAAGATGAAGAAGAGAGGAGAAGAAGAAACAGGAGGAGAAGGGAGAAAAAGAAAAACTATACACAAGCATATTATTTTCAAACTGTAAAAAATCAAAAAGGAGGAGAAAATTTTGAAAAAAGCCAGAGAGAAGAACAAGGATAAGAATTGCAGCTGACGTCTTATCGGAAATCAGACAAGCAAGATATGAGTGGAGTGAAATATTTAAATTGTTAAGAAGAAAAACCCCAAGAATTCTATAACCAATTAAATTTATCTTTAAAAATGAAGAAAAAATAAAGTCTTTCTCAGACCTCCCTCCAAAAAAATTCTTGAGAGAATGTATCACCTGCTGATCTGCCATTAAAGAAACAATTAAAGCAGCTCTTCAAGAAGGAATGTGATATAAATCAGAAACGTGAATCTCCGCAAGAGAAAAGAGTCAGGGAAGGGATAAATGAAGGTGAAATGTATTGGGTGATTATAGTATGTGAGTAAATGAAATGACAGCAATATCACAAGGGACAGGCAGGAATAATCAAGAATTCTCTGCTAGAAGGCACCTGCACTCCACATGGAGTGGAATAGTGTTCTTTGTAGGTGGATTTAGATTAGTTAAAATGTATATTGTAAATTCTATGGAAGCCACTATATTTTAAAGAAGTGTAATTGATATGGTAAGAGAGAGGATAAAATTGATTCCTATAAAATGGTCAGTTTAAACCAGAAGAGTCAGAAACAGAAGTCTTCAAATTTAAAAAAAAAGTTACAAATATGGCTAATATTAATCTAACTAGATAAATCATCACTGTAAATGCGAATGGTCTAAATATGTCAATTAAAAGAGCAAGATCATCAGAGTACATTAAGTGGATTAAGAAAACAGACTCAAGTATATGTGTTGTCTATAAAAATCTACTTTAAATACAAAGATACAGAGACATTAAAATAAAGATATGGAGATAGGTTCATCATTGTATTAGTCAGTGTTCTCTAGAGGAACAGAACTGATAAGATATATATACATCCTTTATATATAGATATATATCCTTTATATATACATATATATCCTTTATATATAGATATATATCCTATATATATGTGATAGGATATATATATATCCTTTATATATACATATATATCCTTTATATATAGATATATATCCTATATATATGTCCTATATATCCTATAGCCTATATCCTTTATATATATATCCTTTATATATATATCCTATATATCCTATAGCCTATATCCTTTATATATATATATATCCTTTATATATATATATCCTTTATATATATATCCTTTATATATATATATCCTTTATATATATATATCCTTTATATATATATATCCTTTATATATATATATATCCTATATATATATATATATATCCTATATATATATATATATATATATATATATGGAAGTTTATTAAGCAGTATTAACTCACATGATCACAAGGTCTCACAATAGTCCATCTGCAAGCTGAGGAGTGAGGAAGCCAGTCTGAATCCCAAAGCTGAAGAACTTGTAGTCTGATGTTTGAGGGCAGGAAGCATCTGGCATGGGAGAAAGATGTAGGCTGGGAGGCTAAGCCAATCTAGCCTTTTCATGTTTTTCTTCCTGCTTTATATTCTAGCCACGCTAGCAACTGATTAGATGGTGCCCACCCAGATTAAGAGTGGGTCTGCCTTTCCCAGTCCACTGACTCAAAGGTTAATCTCCTTTGGCAACACCTTCACAGACACACCCAGGATCAATACTTTGCATCCTTCAATCCAATCAAGTTGACACTCAGTATTAACCATAAGAACTCCAATCCTTGCTAGCTTGAACCCATACACATCACCAGAGATCATACATAGTCTTCAAATAAAGGCAATAATAAGGCCATAATTACGGCTGACCTAATACAACTGTCCTTTGTACAACCGGAAATGCACCAATCCCCAACCCAAATGCTATTACATAAAGTTAACAATACTTAAATGCTGATATGAAGTCAATAAAGTTTATGTCACATGATAAAGGAAAAAGGAAATAAAATAAATATATTTTGTAGTGCAAATGTATACATGCACAAACATGTTTTTAGCAAGAGAAGGAGGAAATGCTCATGATAATTACAGTCGTCCTTTCTGCGACTGGTCACGTGGTCATAGCTGGTATTGATGACTACCTTCTTCTATTACCCATTCTGTATTCCCTTTGCCTTCAGCAAGCACCTCAGCAAGTTTTTTTCTCTTGTGTTTTTTTTTTTCCCCCAGGTGTAGTGACCCAAACCTTCATTCCTGAAGGGTCCGGGCCATTTGTGGTCCTGCCCAGATTGGGCTGTTGCAGTTTCCCATTGACCTTAATCATAGGGCATGGTAATACTAAGATACACCCTAATGGATCTCCTGTATTCCATGCATACTCTTCCTTACCTCCACTGTGGAGTAGTAGACTGATTTCATCTTGATAGTCCAGGTCAGTCACCCCAGCCAACACTGGAACTCCCTTCTTAGCCTGTTGACTTGAATGTAGGAGGAGCTCAAAGTGTCCAGGTGGCAATCTTAACTTCCAGTTCAATGGAATTGTTGTTGTGTCTCCTGGTGGCAGCATTATTCCCTATGGTACGAAGACCTCTGGGCCAGCAGAACATAATGTCGTGGGAACAAATGGCAAAAATTTGTTCCCACGACATTAGCAAAAAAAATTTGCTAGGTGATGGTGAGTGGTGCCACTTCCATTTTCACCTCTTGATTCCTGAACCTGTGAATTCTGGCTATGAGAGAAACAGCATATCTTGGATGCTGATTCTGAGCATACACAGCCTTTTAGAGGACTTTGCCCCAGCCCTGAAAAGTATTGTCGCCTAGTTGACCTTGTAATTAAGACTTCAAAAGGCCATTCCACCATTCTATTAATCCAGGTGCTTCAGGATGATGGAGAACATGGTAAGACCAGTGAATTCCATGAGCATGAGCCCACTGCCACACTTCTTTAGCAGTAAAATGAGTGCCCTGGTCAGAGACAATGCTGTGTGGAATACCATGATGGTGGATAAGGCATTCTGTGAGGCCACAGATGGTAGTCTTGGCAGAAGCATTGCATGCAGGATAGGCAAAGGTATATCTAGAGTAAATGTCTGTTCCACTGAGGACAAACCTCTGCCCTTTCCATGATAGAAGAGGTCCAATATAATCAACCTGGCATAAGGTAGCTGGCTGATCACCCCGAGGAATGGTGTCATATCGAGGGCTCAACATAGATCTTTGCTGCTAGCAAATTGGGCACTCAGCAGTGACTGTAGCCACGTCAGCCTTAGTGTGTGGAAGTCCATGTTGCTGAGCCCATGCATAACCTCCAAACGTGCCACAAAGGCCACTTTGTTCATGGGTCCATTGGCTGATGACAGAGGTGGCTGGGGAAAGAGGTTGAGTGGTGTCCACAGAACGAGTCATATTAAAATCCTCCTCTGCTGAGGTCACCCTTTGGTAAGCACTCACATGAGATGCAAATATCTTCACAGTTTTTGACCACTCAGAGAGATTCGTCCACATACCTCTTCCTCAAATTTATTTGTCACCAATTTTTCAATCATGCTTCTTCCAAGTCCCTGACCATCCAGCCAAACCATTGGCCACAGCCCATGAATCAGTATATAATTGCACATCTGGCCATTTCTCCTTCCATGCAAAGCACACAACCAGGTGCACTGCTCAAAGTTCTGCCCACTGGGAAGATTTCCCTTCATGGCTGTCCTCCAGGGATGTCCTAGAAAGGGGCTGTAGTGCTGCAGCTGTCCACCTTCAGGTGATGCCTGCATGTCGTGCAGAACCATCTGTGAACCAGGCCCCAGTCTTCTCTTCCTCTGTCAACTGATCATAGGGAACTCCGCATGAGGCCATCAGCGCAGACTAGGGGAGAGAAGGCAGGGTGGCAGGAGTGCCATCAAACTGTACTATACACAGTAAAGAAGCACTTTAGGCTAAGAAAAAATAATACTAGAAGGAGACTCAGTTTCTCCAGCAAGGAATGAAAAGCACCAGAAATAGTAAATATGTGGTTAATTACAAGACTATTTTTTCTCTCAGTTTACTTCATATACACACCTTTTTAAATAAAAAATTATAATAGGGTCATGGATTCTATAATGTATATAGATATAATTTGTATAAAAATTATACTGTAAAGATAAGTGAGTGAGGTGGGTGAACTATATGGTTGTAGAACTTCTACATTTCACTTGAAGTGGTGCAATATTAACTCTAAGAAAACTGCAAAGCATCTTCTCAGATGTATAAGATGAACATTGTAACCCCTGCAGCTATCATTAAAATAATAATGCAAAGAGGTGTAGTTAGAAAGCAAATGAAAATGAAATACCAAAAATATGTAATTTATCATAACACAGAGGAGATTAAAACAAAACAGTGAATCTAAACAGAATGTATTAAATAACAGTAAAATAGTAAACCCAAATCCATCTATGTGAATTATATTAAATGTGAGTGGATGAACATTACAGCGTAAAGGCTGTGTGCATGAGACATCCCTTCTGCGTGAGACAAGCAGAAAATCTGAAGCCAGTCATTGGATGTCTTCAAATACCCAGGTGTCTAAAGTCATGTGGATCAACTGCTCATTGTTCTACTGGTTTTTCAAGTTGTATCCAGAAAGTTTACATTGGGTAGATTTTACCCACTCCTTCAGCAGAGAGAGGCTCTGGAGATCCAGGAGCTGAGAATGGAAGCAGAGAAGGGAGGCCGGCGGTGCCCAGCGCACTCCTCCAGGGCAGGACCCTGGGGCAGTGCAGGTGGGAGGAGCTGTTCCTGAAATGAAGATGCCCCCTCTGGTGTGAGGGAGCCTTGGGGGATGTGGGCTTCTTGAGCAAGTTTTATTTTTTATTTTTTTTTAACTTTGATGAACATAGGAGTCACTGAGAATACCTAATCCTAGAAAATCCACCGAATCCTATAGGTCTGGGGTGGAATTCCCAAATCTGCAATGATAGCAGGCACCCAAGTGCGGATGCAAAGACACCAGCTGGAAACATTAGACCGGAGGGGTCAGGGCACCTCAAATGTGGACAGTGCTGGGTGCATCAGAGCCCTGAGTGCTGGCTGCAAGCTGGGTCCTCACTCACTCACCCCACCGACCCCAAGCTCCACAGCATCACCGAGCACCGCCTACCACATGTGTGCCACCAGAGCCAGGCCAAGAGCCCCTCACCAGGGGCACGGCCCTCACAAGGGCACGCTCACCTGGGTCAATCTACTTCTTTACTTCAATAATTGAAATAACTTGTCGGAGCCCAGATTTAATGGTGTCCTTGAATAATCTCACTGTAGGCTTCTGCAAAGCAGATTCTAGGCTGGGGAGCATAGAAAGTCAACCTCTATTTGTTGTTTTTCAGCCATAAAATGCCTCTTACAAAACAAAGGCAGCTGAAGCCGGGGTGTGAGGCACCGTTGGCAGGTCCCCGGGGAGCCAGGGCAGGGCCTGATGCTGCTTCACTTCAGTGCTTGCTCCATTTCATAAATTGATTCTCAAACGGCAATTCATTAAGTCACTTAAATTGTGCACATGCACCTGCAATTTAAGCAATGCTAAAGTAATCTCCTGTCAATAATCAAATATATTTTATTATGTTTTCCCTTCTGGCAAAGAGGTAAATAATCCTAAAACAGCCTATTTTAGTCACTTACAGAAAATGGACACAGCCTTTTCTAGGATATGGGTCATGGTCATGTGTAGACAATACTTTTGATACAGTCAGCTCACAATTGTCCCTAGAAAAGCCAAAGTCATTTACATTCTATCTAATTCAAGGGATAAAGTGAAAGAAAGGACACATAAAATTGGAAATACGGACACAGGCCTGAGAGTTGTCCAATGACATTACTAAACAACACTATTTGCTAAAAGCCAATCAAACCAACTCTGAAGTCAGATATTCTTTTACTTTTTTTTTTTTTTTTTTAGATGGAGTCCCACTCTGTCACCCAGGCTGGAGTGCAGTGGCATGATCTCAGCTCACTGGAACCTCTGCCTCCCGGGTTCAAGGGTTTCTTCTGCCTCTGCCTCCTGAGTAGCTGGGATTACAGGCGTGCACCACCACACCTGGCTAATTTTTGTATTTTTAGTAGAGATGGGGTTTCACCATGTTGGTCAGGCTGGTCTCGAACTCCTGACCTCGTGATCTGTCCGCCTCGGCCTCCCAAAGTGCTGGGATTACAGGCGTGAGCCACCGCTCCTGAAGTCAGATATTCTGAACTTGATGTTAAGCAGTGAAGAAAGTCGCTCTCGTGAGTGAGGTCTGGGCTTGCAGTTCTCTCCGTGGGGCCCTGCTGTGGGCAGGAGCCCGTGGATGGGGTGACGAGGTGCGGGGCGGGCTCTGTGGTCCTGCAGTTGCTCTGGGTCTCCTAGCGAACCTGCGTTCCTGGGCTGCGGCTTCTCAGTTTCTTTGGGCGGGACAGCACCGCTAGCATGGGCTGGAGGTGGGCATTTCTCTCCCCGTCGGTGGGTGAGTCTCTGGTAAAAGAGTTTCCCTTGCAGAGAGGCCTTGTCAAGAAGAACCAAGGGCTCTGGTTATTTCTAAATAATTCGTTTCTCCTCTCCCGGCAGAAGCAGGAGGGGATTTTTCTCTGATCTTCATTGTGAGGACCCGGCCAAGCCCCTTGAGGTAAAATCCACAGAAGTGTGTGAGGTTTCCCTAAGACAGGACCCTGGAGCGTGTAGCCTCAGATCCGTCTATGTTGAGCCTGCAGCAACTGGTCCAGGATGGCTCCAGTTTCCGGCCTCGCACTGGGACGCTGGCTCCTGTGGAGGGTCCTGCCTCGGGGGCAACGCTGTGGCTCTGCACTCACCTGTCTGTGGCTCCGATTGGGGCAGCCCTGGGCCTTGACTTCTCTGAGGGATCTAAGAAGAACTGTCAATTTTCAGTTCGCTCAGCTTTTTCCCCAAAGATAAAGCTGGGGATGGGAGTGAGGACTCCCAAAATCTCTCCTGCCAGACCGGAAGCCACGAGTCTGAATCTCGCTACCTTTAAGGAAATGAATCCAGCCTCCAGGGCTTTATAAAGAAGACAGAATTCCTGCTCAGGGGTGTGGCCTAAACCCCATCCCACTCAGGGGACTGCATGCACGGAGGGGCAGGCCTTCTTCACATTACAGGAGACTGAGAGAGCAGGTGCCTTGGTTAATGCCTCCCAGGTGTGGCTTCTGACAGGTGGGTCTGCTGGGTGTGGCCCTGAAGCTTATCTTGAGGAGGTGAGGCTTGGGCCCCAGACCCTTGGGCACTAATCGCTTGGGTTACATCTTACACTGAGTGCCCAGGGTTTTGGGGACCTGACCAGCACATGTGCCCTACAGCTGATCAGGTTTCTGTCTTGATCTTATCTGTGCCTCATCTTCCTTCTCTAGCCATCTGGTCCATCCCAAGTGCTAGCTTATGCCTCTTCAGCAAATTATCTTCTTACATTCAGATTTGGGTCCAGTGCTTGTAAGCCACCCCTTAATTGGCATCTGCTCCTTACTTTTTTAAATTTCAGCTTTTATTTAGACTCAGGGGTACTATGCAGGTTTGTCCTATGGGGTATATCCCACGGACCTCTTTCTATCCTCTGTCTTCAGCAAGTGTCACATGAATCATGATTGGACACAGCTATGAGACAGAGACAGTTAATTCCTTGAGTATCTATGAATGTCCAACACTGGCGCTGATTCCTGCGGGCTCTGAGCAGCTCACCTTCCGGGATGGCTCCATCTCCTGGGATGTGAGGGGTCGTTCCCCAGGGCAGAGCCAAGGACGGCATCTTCCCAGGGCTGCCAGCACCTTAGAGAGCCCATGCGGGGAAGAGCAGAGCGGGTCACGTGGGGCCAATGGCTTTTGACATCTGTGATGAGGGCAGATAACAGACATAGGAAATGATTCTGATTGTTTTAATTATCGTTCATCTGAAATCATTTCACCCCAGACAGCTTGTTCGCCTGCTCCAGACAAAACTAAAAACCTGACTCGTCTTCCACATGGCAATAGAGGACAAAGGTTACATCAGGCAATTCTGCTTTCACTTTAGGGCAGTGGCATCCCTCAGAACGCACGCACTCCTGGCCCTTGACGCCATCCCAGCCTCCCACTCATTCCCACATGGCCCGGGACACATCTGGCTGCTTACCCTGTGGCGTGCCCAACATGTGCATATTAAACATCTCACTGTACTTCGTTCTACTAAGCAACAGTTAAGAAAACAACAGCAGCATGTACATACTAAGCAGAAAAATACTTAAACTGCTCCTGTTAGCTAATTGTTTCCTTGAATTCCTCACAAGTCCATGTTTTTGCCTGGCTTTTAATTTGTGGTTGACTTCTGGGGGCTCTTGTACCTTTAAACATCAGCATTAACTAGGTGTATTTTAAATCACTAACTAAAAGAAAGAAAACCTCATTAAGAACCAGAATCACATCTTTAACCTCCCCTGGGTTTCTGGGGCAGGGATCCTCTGCACTCCCTGTTTAAAATATCAGGAATATGACATGGCCCACTGCAGGGGTCAGCGGAGCCTCCACCCAGCACTAAGGTGCTGTCTTTAGTGCTGGACAGGAAAATCTTGACGTGCAAATCGGGTGCTCACCTGGGCTAAGGTGATGGAACTGTAGGCCCAGACCTGTGCCTACACCGGTTCTCCAAGCCCTGCTCACATGTCCACAGGGTCCTGAGAGTGCGCTGGAGGTGACATATGAAGCCACACGCTCTGGTCCCCACCCACCCACTGTGTGTTCCATGCCTGTTCCCAATCTTGTTTTTGACTCTACTTCCCCCTGGCATGGTAAACAACATTTATATAAAAATGGCCCTGATTTATTTATTTTCGTTCAAATAGACAAAGGAATAGACAGTTCGTGTTCATTTCATAGTCACATGACCTCTGATATTCTAAACTGTCCATCTGTAATCCGGGCGACTGGGCGGCGTTCTTCTGATAGTCTGATCCCTATTTCCCCAGAAGCAGTTGCAGCTGGGCGGGGTGGCTCGCGGAATGTGTAATGATCAAGTTGGGGTGTTTGGGGTATTCCCCATCGTAAGTGTTTATCGTTTCTGTGTTGGGGAAATTTCCAGTCCTCTCTTCTGGCTACATTAATACATACAATGCATTGCTGGTAACTATAGTCACTGTAGTCCACAAGCAAACATTAGAACTGATGTCTTGGCTGGGCACAGTGGCTGACGCCTGTAATCCCAGTACTTTGGGAGGCTGAGGCGGGCGGGTCACGAGGTCAAGAGATTGAGACCATCCTGGCCAACATGGTGAAACCCCATCTCTACTAAAAGTACAAAAATCAGCTGGGCATGATGGCATGTGTCTGTAGTCCCAGCTACTCTGGAGGCTGAGGCAGGAGAATCGCTTGAATCTGGGAGGCGGAGGTTGCAGTGAGCTGGTATCAAACCACTACACTCCAGCTGGGCAACAGAGCGAGAATCCGTCAAAAAAAAAAAAAAAAAAAAAAGAACTGATGTCTTCTATGTAACTGCAAGCTTGTAGCCATCCCTCTCATACAGATACCTCTGGTGTCTGTCATGCTGCTTTCTAACTCCGTGAGATCAAATTGCTTAGCTCCCACACACACGATTGAAAACATGCGGTATTTGTCTTTCTCTGCCTTGCTTATTTCACTTAACATAAAGACGTCCAGTTCCATCTATGTTGCTGCAAATAACATAATCTCATTCTTTTTTATGGCAAATAGTATTCCATTATGTACATATACCACATTTCCTTTTCGTAACTTTTATTTTAGGTTCAGAGATCCATATGAAGGTTTGTGTAAACATGTATCAGGGGGGTTTGCAGTACATATTATTTCATCACCCAGCTATTAAGCCCAGTACCCGATAGTTGTCTTTTCTGCTCCTCATCCTCCTCCCACCCTCCCCTCTCAGGTAGACCCCAGTGTCTGCTGTTTCCTTCTTTGTGTTCATAAGTTCTTATCATTTCACTCCCACTTATAAGATCGAGTAGAAGACCTTGATCTTGTGAGAATGTGTGGTATTTCGTTTTCTGTTCCTGTGTTAGTTTGCTAAGGATTATAGCCTCCAGCTCCAGCCATGTCCCTGCCAAGGACATGATCTCATTGTTTTTCATGGCTGCATAGTATTCCATGGTGTGTATTTACCACATTTTCTTTATCCAACCTGTCACTGATGAGCATTCAGGTTAATTCCATGTCTTTGCTATTGTGAATAGTGCTGCAATGAACATTCATATGAGAGTATCTTTATGGTAGAATGTTTTATATTCTTCTCGGTATCTACCCAGTAATGAGACTGCCAGATCCAATGGTAGTTGTGCTTTTAACTCTTTGAGAAATTGCCATACTGCTTTCCACAATGGTTGAACTAATTTACACTCCCACCAACAGTGTGTAAGTGTTCCCTTTTCTCTGCAGCCTCTCCGGCATCTGCTTTTTGTTTGTTTGCCTTTTTAATAATAGCCATTCTTACTGGTGTGAGATGGTATCTCATTGTGATTTTGATGTGCATTTCTCTAATGAGCAGTGACACTGAGCTTTTTTCTTATGTTTGTTGGCAGCATGTATGTCTTCTTTGGAGAAGTGTGTGTTCATGTCCTCTGCCCACATTTTAATGGGGTTGTTTGTTTTTCTCTTGCAAATTTATTTACATTTTGTATAGATGCTGGATATTCGATCTTTAGCAGACACATAGTTTGAATGCATTTTCTCCCATTCTGTAGGTTGTCTGTTTATTCTGTTGATAGTCTATTTTGCTGTGCAGAAATTCTTTAGTTTAATCAGATTCCACTTGTCAATTTTTGCATTTGTTTTGATTGCTTTTGATGTCTTTGTCATGAAATCTTTATTTCTATGTCCAGGATAATATTGCCTACATTGTCTTCCAGGGTTTTTATAGTTTTGGGTTATATGTTTAAGTCTTTAATCCATCTTGGTTGCTTTCTGTGTGTGGTGTAAGGAAGAAGTCCAACTTCAGTCTTTTGCTATGGGTATTCAGTTATCCCAGCACCATTTATTGAATAGGGAGTCTTTTCTCCATTGGTTATTTTTGCCAACTTTGTCAAAGATCAGACACAGATGGTTGTAGATGTGTGCCTTACTGTTAGGCTCTCTATTCTGTTCTATTGGTCTATATTCCTGTTTTTGCACCAATACCATGCTGTTTTGCTTGCTGTAGTCTTGTAGTATAGTTTAAAGTCAGGTAACATGATGCCTCCAGCATTGTTCCTTTTGCCTAGGATTGCCTTGGATATTCAGGCTCTTTTTTGGTTCCATATCAATTTTAAGATAGTTTTTACTAGTTCTGTGAAGAATGTTTTTGATAGTTTGATAGGAATACCATCAAATCTGTGAGTTGCTTTGGGCAGTATGGACATTTTAATGATATAGATTCTTCCTATGCATGATCATGGAACGTTTTTGCAGTGTTTTGTACTTCTCATCGTAGATATCTTTCACCTCCCTGGTTAGTTGTATTCCTTCCTATTTCATTCTTTCTGTGACAATTGGGAATGGAGTGCCTTTCCATTTGGCTCTCGGTTTGGGTGTTGTTGATGTCTAGAAATGCTAGTGATTTTTGTACATTGATCTTGTATCCCGCAATTTTGCTGAAGTTGTTTATCAGCTGAAGGAGCTTTGCACCCAACCCTGTGGGGTTTTCTAGATGTAAAATCATGTCATCTGTAAAGAGGGATAGTTTGACTTCTTCTCTTCCTATTTGGATGTCCTTCATTTCTTTCTCTTGCCTGATTGCTCTGGATAGCACTTGCAATACTATGTTGAATAGAAGTGGTGAGAGAAGGTATCCTTGTCTCATGCCAGTTTTCAAGGGGAATGCTTCCAGCTTTTGCCCATTCTGTATAATGTTGGCTGTGGGTTTGTCACAGATGGCTCTTATTATTTTAAGGTGTGTTCATTCAATACCTAGTTTATTGAGAATTTTTAACATGAAGGGGTGTTGAATTTTACCAAAAGCCTTTTCTGTGTCTATTGAGATAATCATGTGTTTTTTGTCTTTAGTCCCGTTTATGTGATGAATCTCATTTATTGATTTGCATAAGTTGAGCCAACCTTATAATCCTAATTTCAGACAAAACAGACTGCCAACGAACAAAGATCAAAACAGATGAAGAAGGGAATTACATAATAGTAAAGTGTTCAATTAAATAAGAAGGCTTAACTATTATAAATATATATGCACCCAACACAGGAGCACCAAGATCCATAAAGCAAGTTCTTAGAGACCTACAAAGAGACTTAGACTCCCACACAGTAATAATGGGAGACTTAAACACTCCACTGACAAGACAGATCATTGAGGCAGAAAATTAACATACATATTCAGGACCTGAAGTCAACATTGGACTAAATAGATCTGATAGATCTTCACAGAAGTCTCCACCCAAAAACAACAGAATATACATTCTTCTCATTGCCACATGGTACATACTCTAAAATCAACCACATAATTGGACATAAAACAATCCTCAACAAATGTTAAAGAACCAAAATCACACCAAACATACTCTTGGACCATAGCACAATAAAAATAGAAGTCAAAACTATGAAAATTGCTGAAATTTATGCAACTACATGGAAATTAAACAACATGCTTCTGAATGACTTTGGGGTAAATAATAAAATTAAGGTAGACATCAAGAAGTTATTTGAAAATAGTTAGAACAAAGATACAACATACCACAGTCTCTGGGATGCTGCTATGGCAGTATTAAGAGGGAAATTCATAGCACTAAATGCCCACTTTAAAAAGTTAGAAAGA
Source organism: Homo sapiens (assembly GCF_000001405.40). Lineage (NCBI taxonomy): Eukaryota > Metazoa > Chordata > Mammalia > Primates > Hominidae > Homo > Homo sapiens. The sequence goes on along the minus strand of NC_000005.10, from coordinate 2,234,710 downwards.
TCTCAAATTAACAACCTAACTTCAAAACTGAAAGAATTAGAGAAGAAAGAACAAATCAACCCCAAAGCTAGCAGAAGATGAGAAATAACAAAAATCAGAGCTGAACTGAAGAAAATTGAGACATGAAAAAACAATTCAAAAGATCAATGAACCCAGGAACTGTTTTTTTGAAAAAAATAATAAAATAGACCACTAGCTAGACTAATAAAGAAGAAAGAGAGAAGATACAAATAAATGCAATTAGAAATGGCAAAGGGACTATTACTACTGACCCCATATAAATAAAAACAACCATCAGAAACTACTGCGAACATTTCTATGCACACAAACTAGAAAACCTAGAAGAGATGGATACATTCCTGGACACATACATCCTCCCAAGACTAAGCCAGGAATAAATTGATTGCCTTAACAGACCAATAACGCACTCCAAAATTAAATCAGTAATAAATAGCCTACCAATAAAAAATACCCAGGACCTGAGGGACTCACAGCTGAATTCTACCAGATGCACAAAGAAAAGCTGGTACCATTCCTATAGAAACTATTCCAAAAAATTGAGGAGGATGGACTCCTCCCCAACTCATTCTATGAGGCCAGCATCATCTTGATACCAAAACCTGGCAGAGACAAAACAAAAAAGAAAAAAAACTTCAGGCCAATATCCCTGATGAACATCGATGAAGAAAATCCTCAACAAAATACTTGCAAACTGAATCCAGCAGCACATCAAAACACTAATCTTCCATGATCAAGTAGCCTTCATCCCCGGGATGCAATGTTGGTTCACATTTTCTTTATCCATTCATCCATGGGATCCGTGGACATTTAGGTTTGTTGCTTATCTTTGCTATTGTGAATAGTGCTGCCATAAACATGCAAGTGTAGGTATCCCTTTCGTATACTGATTTCTTTTCCTTCGGCTAGATACCCAGTAGTGGTATTGCTAGATTGTATGGTAGTTCTATTTTTCTTTTTTTAAGAAATTGTAATCCTGTATTCCACAGTGGCCGTACTAATTTACATTTTCACCAATAGTGTACAAGAATTCCTTTTCTCCACATCCTCACCAGCATCTATTATTTTTTGTCTTTTTCATAACACCCATTCTAACTGTGGTATAATGATCTCATTGTGGTTTTGATTTGCATTTCTCTGATGATTAGTGATGTTGAGCAATTTTTCATACATCTGTTGGTCATTTGTATGTCTTCTTTTAAGATTGCCTATTCATGTACTTTGCCCACTTTTTAATGGTATTATTTGATTCTTTTACTGTTGAGTTGTTTGAGCCCATTTTATACTCTGGAATTTCGTGCCTTGTTGGATGAATACTTTGCAAAAATTTTCTTTCATTTCACAGGTTGTCTCTTCACACTCTTGACTGTTTCCTTTGCTGTTCAGAAGCTTTTTAGTTTAATATAGTCCTATTTGTCTATTTTTGTTTTAGTTGTCTGTGTTTTTGAGGTCTTAGCCATAAAATGGTCACTTGGGTCAATACCCAAAGTATTTCCATCAAAGTTTTCTTCTAGTAGTTTTATAGTGTTGAGTCTTACATTTAAATCTTTCATCCATCTTGAGTTAATATGGTAAGAGATAGGGGTCCGTTTCATTATTTAGCATGTGAACTCCAGCACCATTTGTTAAAGAAGGTGTTCTCTAACGTATGTTCTTGGCTCCTTTGTCAAAGATCAGTTGGCTGTAAATATGTGAATTTATATCTGGGTCCTTCATTCTGTTCCATTGGTCTATGTTTCTATTTTTATATTAATATCATGCCATTTTGGCTACTATCACCTTGTAATATATTTTGAAGTTAGGTGATGTGATTCCTCCAACTTTGTTCTTTTTGCTCAGAACCACAATTCTTAAACACAAATGATCCTAGACTGGTAGTGACTGAAGGCCACTGGCAGAAGCAAATGGATGCAAAGGCATAAGAATGATACAATGGACTTTGGGGGCTAGTTGGGAAGAGTGAGAGGGGGTGAGGGATAAAAGAGAACAAATATGATGCAATGTATACTGCTCAGGTGATGGATGCACCAGGCTCTCACAAATCTCCACTGAAGAACTTACCCATGTAACCGAATACCACCTGTACCCCAATAACTTATGGAAAAATAAAATTTAAAAATTAAATAAATAAAATCCCACTACCCATATAGTCTAGAGAACATTACTGACTTCGCAGGTCTAAATTAAATAAGATAGTGTTTGCCTAGTGCTTAGCATACACATGCTCAATTAATGGACATTTCAGCAAGGGCAGAAGAGGACTCTGGTTGGGTTTACAATATCCCTATAACCTCCTTGACACTCACTGTAATCAACAGGAAATGAGTTTCTGATTCCTAACTTAAAATAAAGGTGGCAAATCTAGGTAGCATAAAGTGATTTAAAAAAATGAAGCAAATGGAAACATTTTCTGGAACAATGTGCCTTCATTCTAGGCCTCAAATAAATATTTAAGTTCCTGATGAGCACACAGTCAAAAGCAATTGGTCACACAAAGGAATCAAGTATCTATGATAAAAATAAACAAGCAAGCAAACAAAATCTAACAAAAGAAACATACAACAAGTAGGATGGGAAATATTCCAGATAATAAAATTATTTGACACAGAATTTTATTTTATTTTATTTTATTTTTGAGACTGAGTCTTACTCTCTCACCCCATGTGGAGTACAGTGGTGCAATTGTAGCTCACTGCAGCCTCCAACTCCTGGGATCAAGTGATCCTCATTCCTCAGCCCCCCAAAGATTTTTCAAAATAATTAAACAAGAAAATGAATTTAAAATATGAGTGAAAGGAGGATATTATAAACAGTGCCCAGGCAGATTTGAAACATATCTAGATAGACCTTTTAGAAATGACAAATTAACCTAAATAACACATTCAGTAAAAACCTTCACAGCAAATTGCAGATAGCTAAGGAGAATTAGTGAGAGGGTAGCTAAATTAAGAAAAGTTAACCAGAATGAGACACGGAGTTTCAAAAGGATGGAAGCAGAGAAAATCTAAACGTATTTAACAGGAGTCCCAAGAGAAGAAAAGCAAAGGCAAAACAGTTTTCAAAGTGATAATGGCAGAAAAATTTTGTAAAATTAATCAAAATTAGTGTAAACCACAGACTCAAGAAGCCCAGTGAATCCTAAGAAAAGTAAATAAAAAGAAACCTAACTCTTCCCAAACCATGGTGCAAAAGTTAAAATCAGCCAAGCAGGAATGACGGCAAATAATGCCTTAAAAACAGCCATGGTTAGACATTGTCAGCAGCATCAATGGAAGCCAGAAGACAGAAGAATAACTTTTTAAATATGTTAAATAAAATCACCACCAACCTTGAGTTCCAGACCCAAAATATGCTTTCAAGGGTGAGAAAAAAAATAAAAGAACTATCGAAAAAAATAGCTACAAACAAGTCCACACTAAAGGAAATTCTAGAAGATCTGTTTCAGGCAGCATGAAAATAATCCCAGATTAGAATTCTGAGATTCAAGAAGGAATAAAGCACAAAGAAAGCTATAAAATATGTGGGAAATCTAAAAGATTTTAGGCTGTATAAAATAATATCTCCTGTGCTTAAAAATAAAAAAGTCAAAATACTTAATAACAATTTTATGTAAGTTTTGAGGAAAGTAAATGGAATTAAAATGTTCTAAAATCTTTATATAATCTGAGAAGAATATAAAAGTGTTAATTAACTTTAGGCTTTGGTATGTAAAGTATGGCTGGTACAGTTTTTAACATAGAAGAATAGAAATAAAAATATATAACAAGAGACTAGAAAGAGGAAAAAGCAAAATAATAAAAATGTCACTATATTCCAAAAATAAAAGAAAAGAAAAGACAAAAGAATATAGAATAAGTAGGAGAATTAACAGCCATAATATGATAGTGGATTTAAACAAAAATGAGTAGTCATATCAAATATAAATGGATCAAATAATCTTATAAAAGGTTAAAAACAAGTAAACGAAATACTATGGCAATGTTTAAAAGAAGAATTCAAAAATCTGCAAGTATAATTTCTCATAGACAATAAAGGAAGGTAATCTTGAGCTCCTTTTTACGAACCATGCTTGGCCAGGTGCGGTGGCTCAAGCCTGTAATCACAGCACTTTGGGAGGCTGAGGTGGGTGGATCACGAGGTCAGGAGTTAAAGACCAGCCTGGCCAAGATGGTGAAATCCCATCTCTACTAAAAATACAAAAAAAAATTAGCTGGGTGTGGTGGTGGGTGCCTGTAATCCCAGCTACTCCGGAGGCTGAGGCAGGAGAATCGCTTGAACCTGGGAGGCGAAGTTTGCAGTGAGCTAAGATCGTGCCACTGCACTCCAGCCTGGGTAGCAGAGCAAGACTCCATCTCAAAAAATAAATAAATAAATAAAATAAAAACTATGTGAACTGTAACATCCGTCACAAACTCAATGGAAACTAGCATTACCAAATATAAAGGTCATTTCAGAATGATGAAAGTAAATTTATCAGGAAATTATAACCGTTGTAATTAATATGTACCAAATAACATGATCTCAAAAGCTGTGATGCAAAAACTAGCAAAACTTTATGAAGAATGCATGAATCCACACACATACTAGAACATTTTAATAACCATCACTCCATTTGCAGTAGTTAATAGAACCAACAGCCAAATATTTACTAAGTATGTAAAAGAGTTGAAAAATACAATTAAAACATTTAATTAATGGAAACATATGGAACGCTGCATGAGATACTTTCTTTTCAAGCAGATTTAATAAAATTGATGAAATCTTGGGCCATAAAGAAGTGTCAACACATTTCAAAGGAATGAAATCATATTACACATGTGATACAACCATGATGAAATCCAGGTAGAAGTTAATAACAAAACAATAGTTAGAATATTATCTTCACAAGTGTTAAAGTGAAAAATGCACCTCTAAATAGCCAATGTCAAAAATAAATTTACAGCAAAATGGGAAATATATTTCAAACTGAAAACAAGCAAATGAAGACTTTGGAGTAGGTTCTGATTGGAACATGACAGCATCTTTGTTCTGAATGCTTCTTCTCCTTTTCAGAAAAAACACCAACAAAAAAGCAAAACATTAGGAAGAAATACTCACAAATTACACGTCCAGTGGGCCTTGGGAAGAGAGGAGGAGAAGCTGCACAGTCCACAATGCAGGTAAAGGCTTCCAGAGGCAGAGGACAGCAAGTCTTGGCAGTAGATGGGTTGTCATGGGACAGAACAGGGAGCACCCAGAAAGGTGCATGTGTTGTGGATTGGGGAGCAGGTGATGGATCTTGGAAACCTTCAGAAAAGGGAGGCCCACCCCTGAGCACATGACAGTAATCAGGGCAGGCGTTTCTGTAGGAAGAGGAGAGAGAAGCTTGGGAAGCCTCCCAGGAGGTGAGAGGTAACACATTCTAGGAAATGAGAGCAAAATGCAACTTTGGAAGCCTCTAAGGAGACCTAGCATCCCAGATAGCAATAAAAACTTCTCTGGATCAGGGGAAGCCACAGACTGGTCCATATTTTAATGTGGCAGCCACAAAGAAGAGCTACTTATATTGGAAACTTGGAAAGCTTTCCTCGTCTATATTCACAGAATATTTGTTGCCTTCTCCAGAAAAAAAGCAAATTAAACCAAAAACTTCTGGGTGTCCAAAAGAAAAAAAAAACACCTATAACCATTATAAACAAATTCAAACTAGTTGAGAAAGCAATATTTGAAATGCTTGTCAAAGACAAGGACCAATATTACTTACCCATAAAGTCACAAAGATATGAGGGGGGAGCAGATTGAAAACCCAACAGAAACACAGGATTCTCTAGCAGAACCAATTCCTGACTTCTCAGAAAGAATCATAGCAATAATATTCCTTCAGAGATTTACATGTTGATGACAGACAATAGGTAACTAACAGAACCTTTCTCTGGCTATAAAATCATTGGTTCTTATTTTCTTAAACATAACAACTAAGTTACTCCATTTACTTCTGGCATAATGTGTTGCTGAAAAAAATGACAATTATCATTTTCTCTCCTTATAAATCACTTGTTATTTTTGCCTGGACCTCAAAAAATGCCTACCTTTCTCCCTCCCTCCCTCCCTCCCTTCCTCCCTCCCTCCCTTCCTTCCTTTCTTCCTTCCTTCCTTCCTTCCCTTCTTTTGTTAAGGCCAGGAAATTTACTAAAATCTCTTGACTTTGGCCATTCACGTTTATATTCTCAGACACATGCTGTGCTCTCTCAATATGCAGTTTCAAATCTTCTCCTTTCTTTTAATTTCAGAAAAGTGTTCTTGAAGTATAGTTTTTAGTATTTCTTCTGTTTCTTTTTATTTTGATTTTTCTTTCCAGGGACGCCAATTATTAATATGTCAAAATTTCGTTGCTTTTCTTGAGTATTTGTCATTTTCAAATCTTTTCATCTCTTCCTTTTTTTATTTGTAAATTTTTTATTCTATCTTTTTTGTTTGCTCATTTAAATTTTTATTTCTTTATTTGTTTTTGATGGCTTTCTTCCAATTACTTCCCGGGTTCTTTTACCTCATTTTTGTGTCTTCCTGATTCTGATATTTGCTGTTGGTGGTTTGTTTTCCTATTTTGTGTCTCTTTTTTTAGCTTCTTTAGAATGAGCCCACTGGAGGGTGGATCTGTGTGCTCTTCTGTTATTGCAGGGATGTTCTTCTGTCCTTTTCTAGCTAAAGCTTTGTGTGGGGCTTGACCTGGGTGCTCTTTCATTGCTGGTTTCCATGAGAGTTAAGTTTCCTGAACTTGAGGAGTTGGTATGGCTCCTGATATTTTTTCTGTCTTCATGGAATTCTTCCTGGGGTTCCGTTTTTCACTGTGTGAAAACAGCTGCTGCTTTCTGAGATTCTCGGCTCTGCCAGGCTCCCTTTTCTCTAGACCCCATTCCTCCACCTCCAGCGTCTCTGTCCTGCTCCCTCTGTCCAGTCAGATCAAAGCAGCTTATCCTCCACATGGGGCCCTGCCTGGGAGGGAGCCGTTAGGGCTGACCTGGCCAGCACTCCAGCCAGCCCTCTATCTGAGGGGACAGAGCTCTCCCCTGCACCTGCTGCCTAGCTCTGGGTGGCTGCAGGGCTTTCCGGGAAACACCCCTTGGATCCTAGGCTGTCTCCTCACCCCAGACTCAGTGGATTCAGGGCTGCTTCCCTGCACTTTCCTCCACACACAGGTGAGTACCCAGCAGGACTGGCCACCATTGCTGGTGTCCTCATCCACAGGGACCTTGGGTTTAGGGATATCTTGTCCCATCTTCCTAGAACTGTTATACTCTTTTTCTTTCCAGTAAATTGTGTGTGGGCAGCAGGGAGGGGAGGATATGGAAAATACTTGAATTCCTCTCTGAACTTCTCTTTCGAAAATGATTGATACTTTAATGTGCTGGTTAATACTGAGTGTCAACTTCAGTGGATTGAAGGATGCAAAGTATTGATCCTGGGTGTGTCTGTGAGGGTGTTGCCAAGGAAGATTAACATTTGAGTCAGTGGGCTGGGAAAGGCAGATCCACCCTTAATCTGGTGGGCACCATCTAATCAGCTTCCAGAGAATATAAAGCAGGCAGAAAACGATGCTTTATATATAATAAATATGTATTATATATATAATATATAATATATATTTATATAAAATATATGTGGGATTTTATTAAGTATTAACTTACACTTTCATAATGTCCCACCATAGGCCCTCTGCAGGCTGAGGAGCAAGGAGAGCCACTTCGAGTCACAAAACTGAAGAACTTGGAGTCCAGTGTTCAAGGGCAGGAAGCATCCTGCACAGGAGAAAGCTGTAGGCTGGGAGGCTAGGCCCATCTTTCCCTTTCATGGTTTTCTGCCTGCTTTATATTCTCTGGAAGCTGATTAGATGGTGCCCACCAGATTAAGGGTGGATCTGCCTTTCCCAGCCCACTGACTCAAATGTTAATCTTCCTTGGCAACACCCTCACAGACACACCCAGGATCAATACTTTGCATCCTTCAATCCACTGAAGTTGACACTCAGTATTAACCAGCACATTAAAGTACCAATCATTTTCGAAAGAGAAGTTCAGAGAGGAATTCAAGTATTTTCCATATCCTCCCCTCCCTGCTGCCCACACACAATTTACTGGAAAGAAAAAGAGTATAACAGTACATATAATATATGTACATATAATATATAATATATTATATCATATATTATATTATATAATATATGATATATTATATTATATAATATATGATATATTATATTATATATTATATTATATAATATAATAGTTTATATAATATATTATACATTATATAATATAATATTTTATATCATATATTATATATTATATAATATAATATTTTATATAATATATTATATATTATATGATATAATATTTTATATATGATATAATATATAATATATTATATCATATATAAAATATTATATCATATAATATATAATATGTTATATCATATATAATATATTATATCATATATAAAATATAATATATAATATATGAAATAATATATTATATCATATATAAAATATAATATATAATATATTATATCATATATTATATCATATATTATATTATATAATATATTATATCATATATGATATAATATATAATATATCATATATAAAATATAATATATAATATATGATATCATATATAATATATAATATATAATATATTATATAATATAAAATATAATATATAATATATTATATATAATATAAAATATAATATATTATATATAATTTATTATATTATATATAATATAATTTATTATATATGATACATTATATATACTATAGTATATATAATATATAATTTATTATATATTATATATACTATAGTATATATAATATAATTTATTATATATTATATATACTATAGTATATATAATATAATTTATTATATTATATATACTATAGTATATATAATATAATCTATTATTATATATTATATATTATATAATATTATTTTATATATAATACTTAATAAACTCCTCTGTATATAGTTTATATATCATTTATAAATAAACTATATAAACTCCCATATATAGATACAGATATAGAAATAGATATAGATATATCCTATTAGTTCTGTCCCTCTGGAGAACCCTGACTAATCCACCTGACAACAGGATGGCATGGCTCCTTAATCATGGCACAGATTAGAAGAAATCTCATGCTAGAATATTCAGATGTTAAATTATAGACACGGGAACAAGAACGATCTTCCATTTCAAGCCACTTCTTTCATACATGAACACGCGTCCTTTAACAGGGATACTTTTCCTCAATCAGTACAGATTTCAGCAGTTTGCTGAGATCACAAGTGCGCTTCCAGGCCGTTCCTCCACTCCTGCGACAAGGTCCGCTGGCAAAGTAAACACTTTTTTTTCAAGCGCTGGAGGAAACTCGGCTCCCTTGCTGTGCACCTGCGGGGTCTGGGTTCAGCCTCTGAGCTGTTTCCCATTCGTTCAGACCCTTCCAGCAGCGTCAGCAAATCTCCGCAAATCTCAGACTCAATGATACTTTCACCAGCACTGGCTCTTCTCTTATTCTGCTTTTCATCCAGAGATATTGATACTCTTGTTTTACATCCATTTTAAAGTTTACTTTTTAAATCACGAAATCATTACCTGTGACATACTTAATTTAAACAGCACTAAATAAGTTTCTGCCTGCATCTGTCCCTGTCTGCGTATTTCCCGGTGCTCTACCCTAGAACCAGAGCCAGCGCATGAGCGACTTTCTGCATCTTCCAGGCTCCTGATCGCCAGGTCTCCACATCCCCCAGACAGGTGTGCGTGGTCCTCACGCCCTGGGCAGTGCACGCGGCGTGCTGTCCACCCAGCCCAAGGGAGAACTGGCTCTGCTGTACAACTCCTTCATTTTTTTTGAGGAGCAAGTTCTAGTATAGCATTCAAGTTGCAATTTGTTTCATCGCTAAGGAGATGAAAAAGATATTTTGGCATATTGCTCTTCTTTTGTTAGTTGCCTATTAATTTTTTTCGTCATTTTTTATTGCTTTTTGTGAGTTTTTAAATGTATATGTCAGAACTACTTCTTTTAAACATATTAACCTTTCATCTGTCACATTTGCTAAAATGGCATCTTTGTATTGGTGGCATTGGCTGTTAACATTAAGTTGTTTTACGGATGTAGATAATCTAAAATCTAGAGTTGTCAAGGCTTCATGTTCCCCACCTCAGTGGGTATAGCACGGTCTGACTCGCTCAGACACTGCTTCATACCCACCTTCCAGTCCCTGCTCCTCGTTATTATTTAGTTTTCTCATTGAAGCTTTGTTCTCTCTTCTCCTTCCTCAGTTTCCCTTCTAATCCCTCTCCACAAGGGCTGTTCCTTGAGCCCAGTGGGATCACGCCCACCATGGCAGAAGCCTTTTCCTCCAGGCAGGGACAGGTAAACATGGCCCAAATAGAGGGCTCGGAAATGCAGGGTTCTGTGATGTAGACGGTGGAGGACTAAATCGTTCTCTCCAATTCACCTTGAGCCGTTGCAGTGTGTCTATTAGAAGCACTGGTCTGGAAACGTGAATCCACAGCTGCATGGAGAATTCAGATGGAGGAAGACGCCTCAGCATCTTCTGGGGGCTTTGCTGCATCTTGGCATCTGCACTCATCATGAGCTAAAGCAAAATAAACCGAGACCAAAACACCAGGCTCTTCCACTGGGGCCGGTATCTCTAGGCTGCAGGGCCCAGAGCCCCTACTCCAGTGCAGTAGAGGGGTTCTAGGGCCGCTGGAGTGGAGATCCCAGGCCCCAAGGAAGTGAGTATCTCTGTACCTCTCCTCCGAAGACCCACCCCTCAGAAGGGGCTCATTTAGAAGGGAAGATGGCCCCGCACCACGAGATGATCACAGGCATGGACAAAGACAACCTTTGGAATTAGGTGCTGATCTTAAAGACAGCATGGCCAGTGTTATTAAAACCTGGGTTCTAGAATCAAATAATTCAAACCCTGCCTCCAACACTACCAGGGTCTCGACCTTGGCAAGTCACCCGGACTCCAGCCTCCTTTTTCTAACGAGTAAAGTGGGCATCCCAGCATGACTCTTCCCTTCCGGTTGTTAGGACACAGCCCGGCACACGTGACTCGTGAGTGCTGGAAAGCATGACTACTTGGAAGTGGCCAGATGGCTGTTGCAAGACTGAGGCGGCCCTAAGCGAAGCGTGTGCTCAGCCACATGATATAGATGTTTAATGTCAACACTCTACAATGTGCTGACCTCAAGCCTTTTCATCCAGCTCTGCAGCAACTGCTGAACCTGGGGCCGCAGCGAGGGGATGTGGAAATCATTGGGAAAGTGGTACGCTTGAATTAGGAAATCAGGAACCTTCCGGAAGTCCCATCTTTGGGCTTCGTCTAAGGGGGGGATGTGGGTCAAAGATCTTATTTATAGGACAAATCCTTAAATTACTCAGAATATTAGAAAAATACTTGTCTGTTAACCCTCAAAGGTTAATAAAGTTAACTTTTACAAAAGCATGCATTTCAAAAGACATTATAACACAGATTTTGTGCATGTTAAGGAAAACTCTATGAAAATATCCCCTCTCTTCTTTTCTTTATTACTTCTTTCTTTATTACTTCACTTTATTACTTCCTTTTTTATGACTTCAGAAGCCGCCGCACCGTCTTCTCCAATTTGCTACCCATTCTGTGGCTTTCCTCTTGTTTTCTGCTTATAACCTTTACAATCCTTTCCTGAGCATGTGCTATAATTCTCTCCCCTTTTCTTTATCTTCTTGTTCCTACAAGCTGGCTTGAATAAAGGACTCATTATCACCAAGGCCCACAATGGGTCCAGACATCCTCAGTCAAGATGCTGTGCAGATGAAATATTGATCGGTCCTCAGTGAGTGATAGTGCTCCCATGGAAAGAGCGCCCCGAAGTTAATGGGTCCGCCCATGCACGCCACAAACGAGGCATTCAGCAGCACAAAGAGTCCAGGCCTGCGAATTATAATTACTCCCTACAACAATAAACGTCAGGACTGTTTTTATTTATTGACCACAACCAGTGGCCCTCTGTGGGCTACACATTGAAAATTCATTCTACAAACCAGCGCCCTGGATGGACTGTTTGCTTTCTTCCAGGGACTCTGGATAATTAACCCTGGAGCTGCCGCCAGCCCTGGTGTGTCGAGTTTTCTGCAACAGGATCACAGGTCCTGGGCCTCACTCCTGCAGCGTGCCAGGTGCCCCGGGCCTGGGTAGGAGTTGCAGGAGCCTCCAGCACAGGCGAGTGGCTCTGAAGGAGGAAGGTGTTAAGGAGCCATCACAGGTCCTGCCGCTCCAGCCAAAGCACTCTGGTTGGCGTCTGAAGCTCTGGTGCACAGGGCTGAGCTGTGCAGACAGCAAAAACCACACCTGCTGGGAGAACCAATTGTCCGGACAGGTGACGGCAGAGAGTCCCTCCCAGCCCCAGTGCCTGGGTAGCCAAGGACTGCAAAGCCACCTCCATCCCCACTTGTCTCTGGAACTCAGTTTGAAGATTAATAAATTTAACTTTTTTTTTTTTGAGACGGAGTCTTGCTCTTTCGCCCAGGCGGGACTGCAGTGGCGTGATCTCGGCTCTCTGCAAGCTCTGTCTCCCGGGTTCACGCCATTCTCCTGCCTCAGCCTCCCATGTAGCTGGGACTACAGGCTCCCGGCTAAGTTTTTGTATTTTTAGTAGAGACGGAGTTTCACCGTGTTAGCCAGGACGATCTCGATCTCCTGACCTCATGATCAGTCCACCTCAGCCTCCCAAAGTGCTGAGATTACAGGCGTGAGCCACCCCGCCTGGCCAAATATAACATTTTTGACTGGTACACTTAACATGCCAACACCTGGCAGCTCTTCTGGTCCTTAGCTATTCAGCTTCTCTCTAGAAGAAAGCAGTGTGTCAGCCACAGTGCCTGTGACGGTGGGTGCTTGAGGGAAGCTCGCCAGGGGCCTACCCAGGAAGTTCCAGGAGGGTTCTAGGCACCAAAGGTGACCATCTCAAATGGCTGCACCCTCAAAGGTCTCTTGCCCCAGAGAGGGCATTGCTGGCAGCAGAGGCCTGGGGTCCCCAGACCAGCAAACAGCATGGCTTCCACACATTAAGGGCTCCCTGAAGTCTCACGAAGGGCTCCTGGTGATCAGGAGTCTGATGCCAATTCAGTGCCCCTCAAGGCCGCCTCTCCATCACAGAAGGAAATGGGAAGCCCAGGAGGAGAGAAGGGTGCCGCATGAGCAAAGCCCTCTGGGGGAGGCCAGGTCGTGTCTGGCGGGAGCTTCCCCAAAGTCCTAATGGTGGCAGTGGCTTCCAGGAAGCTCTGGGTGATGAGGTTGAAGTTCTCAGTGCTAGTTTTGCTGACACAGCTGCCAGTCCCCGAACCACTGCCCCCTGCTATGGCCGCATGGCTGCCTGCGTCCAGTTTCCTACGTTGAAGCCCCTTAAGCTGCTTCTGTTCCCCTGCTGGGACCATGGCAGATCTGTCACATTTGCAGGAGAAGACTTAATTCAGTTCTGGATCCAAGTCACATTTTTATTGCAAAATTAAACATCACGTCGCATATTATGTGCATAGCAGTGTATTGTGCTGAACACAGACCATGCCTCTGAGTAGCTTAAGATGCTGCATTCACCTTAGAAGGGCAAACAGAGCAACATCTAAGCCCAGAGCTACCTCACCTACGAGCGGCACGAACACATCTGGGTCCCGCTAGACTCAGGGGCTTCTGCGGTGAGTTGAGGGTTTGTGATGCCCCAGAGGTGAAGACACTTGAGCTGGGGCAGGTACCAAGTCCCCCCATGTCCCAAGTAGCTCCATGCCTGGGACAAGGCCACAGGACAAAGAGGGACCTTGGAATACCTTTTGGCCACCCCCAAAAAGAATGTATCATCACTGCTCATTGTGAATCCATTTCTTAGAAGTACATCAAGAAACTTCTGGGCCTGGAGGCCGCCTTTCTCTCTCAGGAAGGACTTGCTCAGTGAAGGGGATGACGGAGGTGGGAGGGAACCAGGTTGTGACATGGAAAGTACACTTGAAGCCTGAGGTTTGCTGCGGTGCCAAAGTGGTTGACCAATGGCTTTTTCTTCAGTCCCTTGTGGGGCCAGGGCTTGGTCACCATACAAGGACCATGACTGCCCCTTCCCTGACATGCTGTCAAGGGTGCCACAGCCTGGGACAGGAGTTCTTGAGGGAACTTTGATGAGAGGGTCCCAAGACTCAGATACAAACACAAGCAACAGCAGCTGGCGCTGAGCAGCTGGGCTGCATCCCCGCAGATAGTCAGCGGGAGGACACTTCACCCTCTTCCTTACAAATCCCGCGGGATGGTCAGCGGGAAGACCCTTCACCCCTTCCTGCCAATGCTCTGTCTCATGGAAATATATTTGGTCTTACATTTTAAACATTTTCTCTTACAAACAGGATAAAACTTAAAATTTTAATTTATAAATTAGATCATTCTAATGTTTGTTTATGTATTAAAGGTTATAAGGAAATCAACTTACAGATCAAAAGCTATAAAATACTCCAGAAAATTAGTAAGAATTGGAAAATTAGAGAAAAATAATTTAATGATGGCTCAGAAGAAGAATTTCCAATAAAAGGAGGAGGATTTTCCATGAGTTCTGAGTTATCACATGGTTGTCTGTATAGCCACACCCTGACCTTACCCCTCTAGCTGATACCTAGTGTGTGAGATTTTAACATGAAACATACCTGGGGCACTGGTAAGGAGGGAGCACTTGGGTTTCCAGCATTCTTAAACTTTGGTAACTTGGAGGAAAGGGCATGGCGAGACAGATGAAATGTTTGTTTTGCTCATCAATGTATCCTCAGTCCTGGAACAGGGTGGTTGAGAGCAGGTACTCCATGAATACTCATTGGATGACTAGATGGATGAATAGGTGGGTAGATGAATGGATGGGTGGATAGACAGATGGGTGGATGGATGGATGAATAGATGAATGGATGGGTGGGCAAGTGGGTGGGTGAATGGATGGGTGGTTGGTGTGTGAATTAATGGATGGATGGATGGTGGGTGGATGGATGGGTGGATGTGTGGGTGGATGAATGGATAAATGGATGGATGGGTGGGTGGAAGGATGGACGGTGGATAGGTAGATAGGTGAATGGATGGATGGATGGGTGGATAGATGGATAGATGTGTGAATAAGTGGATGGGTGGATGGTGAATGGATGAGTGTATGGATAGAGGGATGAATGGGTATAATGATGGGTGAATGGATGGGTGGGTGGGTGGATGAATGGATGGATGTTGAATGGATCAGTGGGTGGATGAATGGATGGGTGGATGAATGGATGGATTATGAATGGATCAGTGGGTGGATGAATGGATGGATGGATGGTAGATGGATGGGTGGATAGGTGAACGGATGGATAGGTGGACGGATGAGTGGATGGATGGATGAATGGGTAGATGTGTGGGTGAATGGATATATGGATGGATGTGTGGATGGATGGATGGTGAATGCATAGATGGGTGGAGGTGTGGGTAGATGGGTGAGTGAATGGATGGGTGGATGAATGTGTGGATGGATATGTGGATGCATGGATGGACAGATAGATGGGTTGGTGGATGAGTGGGTGAATGGATGGGTGAATGGATGGATGGATGGATGGATGGATGGATGGATGGATGGATGGGTAGACGAATAGATCAACCAATCAATGGATAAATATTACACACCCTAAACTCAAATTTGCCAGAAAAATTGCATACAAGAGCTATTCCATCTCTCACTTCTCATCTGAAGTCCTTGTGTCCTCCTGACTAGACTTCATATGCACAACACAAGCACCACTCTCAGACCTTGACTAATCATTAGGTATGATTTAAAAATCCATGCAATCAGCCATGACCACAGAGTCCTTCATATAACTGACTCTTGAAGACTTGGAGGAAGAGTTGATGAAACGTGGAAAGGCAGCCACTGTGTTGTTCAAAGCCCAGTCTACATCTGCTGGCCTAGCACCAACAGTGATCGTCGTGAATAACTGATGCTTACAAAGATGCTTTTAGGATCCAGATATTTGTCTAAGAAGGAATTTATATTAATTAAGTTGTCTTATACCTGCAGTTTGTCAGAGCCTCTCACAGACAGACACTTGGCCAGGCCACTTCATAGATAACCAGTGATGCTGAAGTTGGGAATACTGTCTTTTTTCTAGAGACAGGTCCAGTATGCCTTGCACAGCATCTCCTGACCTTCTGAACTTCATTCTCTGGAGTACAGCTTTCTCATGTATAAACCGGTGAAAGTATAACCTAATTTACAATGTTGTTATTGGGATTAAAAAAGATAACAGGTCCTCAGAAGTAAAACTCCTAGAATGTCACTGGAGCCAATGGGCATTCAATAGCCCTTCCTTCCCTCCCTTCCTCCCTTCCTACCTCCTTTCCCTCCTCTTTTCTTTCCTTTTCTCCTTCTTCTAATCTTCCCTCATCCCTCCTTCCCTTCCTTTCATTACTCATGTTTAACCTCAGATTAAAATGCAATGAAAATATACTGTTTTTGCTTTGACTGTGATAAGTCACAAGAAGGAAAGAAAGCAGTTTCAGACATCTGGCATTCCGTCAGAGTCAGGAGGACTTGGAAGGAAATGTCCTGGTGTTCTCTGACTGAGTCTTTGAGAGATACCAAGGCTCAGGGCCTGGCTTGTGTATTTAAGCTTTCTCTGTAACAGCTGCCTATGAAGGGTATTATTTGGGGTATTCTGGGATGAAATCTGTCTCTTTGAAATTGATATGTTAAAGACCTAACCCCTAGCACCTCAGAATGTGACTGTTTTGGGAAATAAGGTATTTAAAGAAGTGATTAAGTTTAAATTAGGTCTCTAAGGTGGGTCCTAACTGAATATGACTGGTGTCCACATTAGAACAGAGAATTAGGACGCAGACATACATGTAGGAGAGACGTGTGAAGGTTGAAAGAGAAGACGGCTGTCCCTAGTACAAGGAGAGAGGCTGGAACAGAGTCTCCCCACTGGTCCTCAGAAGGAACCAACCTTGGTGGTACCTAGACCTCAGATTCCCACCTCCACACTGTGAGCAATAAATTTCTGTTGTTTAAGCTGCCCAGACTTTGATATGGCAGCCCTAGCAAATGAATGCACAAAGTATCCGCACAAAGACCCCATAGAAAGGGCAAGGGTGACAAATGCAGCTGGCAACGTCTGAACAGCAATGGCTCTGCTGGGCCCCTTGCCAAGCAGGTGCTGAGGACCTCAGGTGGATCTCAGGATCTGCTCTGCATGGGCTACAAAGCCAGCTGTGGCCTCCATGTTGATTGCACATTTCTAGTTGGGAGGCCACGTGTTCTTGGAAAAATCACCAGTGCTTAGTACCATGGGGGTCCTGGACAGTGGTGTGATTGTGACTGCTCCCTGAAGAAACGAAAGTTCCAGGAAATATTGCCCCACTCCTTCTTGTGGAGACATATTGTTGGACACACCATTTTCCTGTGAAATTACAGAAGGAGATACACGTGCCATCCTCTGAAGGACACCTGAACCCACTCACCCCTCTCTACGTCCTAATTTCTCCTCCATGAAGGTCAAGAGTGTCTTTTCAGACCCAGCACTCTGGGCCAGGAAGAAACTGACCTCTACCACCGAGTAAGATATGCTGACCAGAGGCAGGTGAGCTAATGAGAACATGCACTGTCCACAGTGCTGGCTACAGGATGCAGGACTGACAGCCGATTGTGGCACAGGTGATGTTACTGAAAGTCAATAAAGCCATTCATCATGATGAGAATGATTTTCAATTTCCATGTCTCCATTCTTCCCCACTGAAATTTGAGGGTGATAATTTGTGTTGTGTAACCCTATCAATGGGATTTTTTTGTTGTTTGTTTGTTTAAAACTCAGTTTTTAGCCTACCTCACCTGCCTGCTCATGGAAACACTGGAGAACCCTTCCAAGGGGACAGAGGCAACTGAATCTTGGCCCAGCAGGGAAGGACCAGGATGGCACACAGGAGCTGGCTTCAGGCTCAAACTGTTCTGGTAGGAAAGCAGAGCTGGCCCCTGCCCACCTGTATGGCATTGGGTGATGTGTTAGCTTCCTCTGCCTCCGGGGGCTGCCACAGGGTTTCAGGGAATATCACATGGGAAGCACCTGGATGGAGGAGGCTCTCCAATGATGGTAGCCTTGGATCCATGGATGGTTTAGGTAGAGCAAGCATGGAGTTGATTTCTTACTGAATTGAACTGGGACTAAGTCATTCATTCCCTTAAGCAGATGAGAATGTCATATGCACGTACAGGCACACGTATGTACACACTCAGAATATACAGGGACGTTCACTAGACGAATCCATTGCACTGACCTTTTTTAGTGGAAGAATAGAACCAGCAATCTCAACTTATTGTTTCCCTCAGTGCTAAGTCTCAGGGCTCGGGGTTCCCTACATTTTATTAGCAGGACCCACAGCTGTCCTCTCGGCAAAACGTAAAATCAGCAGCGAAGGGGCTGTGGAAACTGAGCAGGCAATGAAGTGTCCACACAAATGCCTGCAAACCTCGTCCTCCAGTCAAAGCACGAGGGCATTGAACATCCAGCCTGGACTTCCAGGACACAAACGGGCCCCTGGCCATTTTAACACTCCCAGAAAACTGCAGAGAAGCGGGCATTGCTACCCTTGTATGTTAAGGTCAGTGCAGTCATTTAAAGTCACTGTGATAAAGAGACTATAACCAAAAACTACCGATTGTCCGATGCAAGGAGCGATTTTCCAGGGCTCATTTTTCCCATACCACGTACAGATCCCCTTCCATCTTTTTGCTGCTGTAATTTCAAATTTGGACACACACACCTCTCCAGCACATTTCAAGAACCAGACCATTTTTAAAATTAATTTTTAATAATGTGTAATAATCTGAGTGGCCCTGGTCTGTGTGCAGAATTAGAATTCCTCTGGTAGAAAAAGAAATATTTGTGCAGAGCCTTATGAGCAGAACTGGCCCGAGGCTTCCCAGGGCTGATTGAGAAACCGCAGCACCACGCTGCTTAACCCCTTCCCTGCCGCTTCCCACCTGCCCACCTCTGCCAACACAGGGAGTCACTTTGGCTTTATTACATAGACAAAGACTGAGGAGGAGAGGCTTGCTGATTGCAGAAGAAAGACTCTTTGAAATTGAACACGGGCTTTATTTAAAACTGCCTGAAGACCATGAGGCCACAGCTGAACACGTTTATGCCACCAGGCACGAAGCCTCAGGGTCCCCCACAACCATGAAAGGGAGCCCTGATCTGGACGCCCCATTGATGAGGCCAGGAGGAGACCTGGTAGCCGGTGGCGTCTTGCCTCCCCTTTGGCCTCCTGGGATTCACAGCAGGGCCTGACATCAGCAGCGGCATTCCTTCCTGGAGGTGGATAGATCACAGGTAGCAGAGAGCATCAGCAGCAGCCTGTGCTCCCCAAATAAAAAGCCTGGTGAGGTTGCCGACGTTCCCATGAGCGCCCATCAACCTGAAACCGAGCAGCAGCTGACTTGGGTGCATCTGAGTCTCTGCAAACTCTGCCGTGTGCGAGAGCATGTCTTGCCTGGTGTTGTGCTGACTGAGACTCTCCTGCCCTTGTCCGGCTGGTGATAATTACATCTATTCATGATTTCCAGTGAAGCCTGAGAACACTGTCTGTGGCTCAAAGAATGTTCTTCCCAAAACCAAGTTGAAAAGAAATTCATTTCCAGCCTCTGTTCCCCATGGGAAAAAATCAGACCTAAAACCAAAACTCTGAAATTCAAAAGAATGGAGTCGAAAGAGTGAAAGTAGCTGCTGAGCGAGACTTCTGTTTAGCTGTAAATCCAAGGCCCTTCAGAGCCGCAGCATCCGCGTGTGGCTGGAACGACTTCAATACGACAACCTCAGGGCGGGGTTTGGGTTATTAAAATGAACACAATTCTTAGTGAAAGTCTAAAACAAAAATCTGTCAGTGGCCTTTGAAAGTGTCTGTTGATTTTTCATCTGTGCTTTGGAGCAGATGATATGATTATTTTTGTAAACCAAAAACAGCATCAAGTGGTCCCACTGTATCTGAAGTTTGCCTCAAATAGTTTGCCTAAAATGCATCGTTCTATACCAGCAGCTACTCTTTGTCACAACTGGAAACAAAGCCCACATAACTGAGGGAACCGATGAGCGTTACCCTCTCTCCTGAAGGAGAGAGGGCACATGGCATCTTGCTGCACTTGTTCTGGGTGTGAGTGACAACACCCTCGCCAGCCTCTAGGCAGACCCAGGACAAGCACACTGAGGCGTTCTGAGGTAAGGTGGGTCTTCCCGTCAGAGTCTGTGAAGCCTCAGCGTGCTGGGTGGTTGCAGATGACACTGGTGTGTTCACCACCCATGAGAAGGAAGGAAGACCTGGCTGGCTGGGCCTCTGGCCCCTTCTTCACCTTGCAATCCATCGCCTTTTTATTTAATCTCTCTCTTATTATTCAAGTGTATGATTATTAACTAAGAAATGGGGAACTGATCTTCAAGGAGTAGGTAGCTCCACCTCCTCTGGGGTCTGATGTCTACACCACCTGATGCTTTTTCCAGCATTTTTCCTGTGTGCTGTGAGCTTGTGGGAGCCTCAGGGCCTCACCTCACTGTGACACTGAGTCGCTCTGCAGGGACTCTGCCCTCACCCAGTCCTTGGCGTCTTAAAGCCACACTATGTTCATAAAAGCCCCCAAGCCTGCCATACGAAACACAGCAAAACATCTGTGCTGAGGAACCCGCTTCCTAGTGAATTGAGCCACTTTGGAAAAGGATCGCGCAGCACCATCTGTTTGGAGAGAGACAGGGTGATGCTGGCGTTTCACGTCTCGTGCTTTAACTCAGCCACACAGCCCCCTTGCCATCCCCCCAAGACCCAGTGAGTTCTCATGCAAAATGTTTTCAATCTATATTGATCTCAAAGAATGGCAGCGAGAAAGCTGCCCTCACGGAGGCTGTGGCCCCCCAACCTGGGGGCCCTTAAAGACCCCCTCCCTCACTCATGCATCTCAGCTCCCAGTCCCCGACCCACCTGTGTGGTCTCACTTGCCTCACATTAGAAGCACCTGAGGAGGTGCTGCAGGTCCTTCCGGGGCAGCTGTCTTAGGTCAGCCTTTGCATTGAGACCGGCCCCTCCCCTTCCTGGTCCCAAAGTCTGCAGCAGAGTCTAGCCTGAGCCTGGGGAGGGGTGGGCAGCTCCAGGATATGGACCTGCCACCCGGGTGTTTTCGTGTAAGACACAAGAGCTATGGAATGCCCCCAGCGAGGAGGCTGGCTGGAAGGCCTACAATGCAGTCTGCAGGTGAGAACATACACCTGCTGAGACGGGACGTCACCATCCTGGAGCCCCTCCCTTACCCTGGGGAAACTGTGTCGGAGCAGCCTACCCCCCATGGTTTGGGACCCCCCAACTGCAGAGCTGCCTATGAGGACACAGTGGCACTACTGGACCATACCACAGTGCCCTGGCAGAAAACAGGTGGCATCCCACACGTGAGTTGGGGGCTTACTACATGGAGCCTGCTGCCAAGTTTGGGCAGGGCAGGAAACCACTTCAGATAGGAAAAGCCCCATCTGGAAGCCAGGCCTAGCAGGGATCCATGTCCACCCAGGGCTCGAGGGCCAGAGGAAGAGTCCTCAGCAGAGCAGGGAGGGCGTCCCTGCAGGAAGAGTCGGAGCGGCACACCTGGCCTCTCTCTGCCCACCCTCCAGCCCCTCTGCCTCCTCTCTGGGGGGCTGGACACCTGGCCTCTCTCTGCCCACCCTCCGGCCCCTCTGCCTCCTCGCTGGGGGCTGGACACCTGGCCTCTCTCTGCCCATCCTCCAGCCTCTCTGCCTCCTCTCTGGGGGGCTGGACACCTGGCCTCTCTCTGCCCATCCTCTGGCCTCTCTGCCTCCTCATGGGGGGGATGGACTCCAGGCCCCTCTCTGCCCACCCTCTGGCCTCTCTGCCTCCTCTCTGGGGGGCTGGGCACCTGGGCCCTCTCTGCACACCCTCCAGCCTCTCCACCTCCTCACTGGCTAGACCTGACCAGAAACCAGAGGACCAGAAGGGCGGTTGGAGCAGCCTCTTTAGGTACCTGGTGGACAAGGGGCAGCATGAAGAGGCAGAGGCCGCCCTGGACAGGTGGGTGACAAGAGCCAGTCCTGAGGAAGGCTTTCTCTCTCACGACCAGAGACAGACATTGAGCACCCATAACAATACCCATACAGGAACTATATCCATATAGGAATGATACTCCTACAGAAACTATATCCAAGTAGGACTGATATCCACCTCCTCACTGGGGGCCTTACCTGAACTAACAAGGCAGTTCAATGTGCTGACAGCAGTCTTTGAAAGTCTGTTTAAAGGCTTTATAATCATCCAAAGTATTTTTTAAGTGTGACCAACCCAAGGAAACGTAGTGTGAAGCAGGAAGAACCAGCCACATGTAAATAGCACTGCAACTCCACTGTGAGGAACCGGCAGTGACAATGGGCTCTCAGGAGACCTAAGTCCAGAGTTCTTTCCGTGAAACCTTCTGTGTGCCCACTGGAAATTATTTGTGCCTCAGTTTCATAAAACTCCACAGAAAAGAGCAGTCTCAATCCCTTTCTTAAAACAGTTCTTTAGTAACAAATATTATTTTATTGGAATGTGCTCGCTTTAAATCACTCGGCAAACATTAGCTACAGTTATAAAAGCCCTAACAGATTCGTTTGATAATACTGGAGTGAAGGGTTTTATCTCAAGGACATTTTTTGTTCCAAATTCTGAAACCGCATTATTTCAATAACAACATTAAGTTTTTGAGGCTGTACCGCTAGTCAGACATGTCTCTGGGAGCTCAAATGCCTAGAAGTGTCTAAAATGACTTTAACATAAAGAGATCACGATATAGACTAATAAAACTTAAAGTATAATTTTAAAAAAAAACCTGTTTGCCAAGCTTTCAACTTACAAATCTATAAAAGGTGAACAACAGCAATATCTTGTGACCTTAAAAATAAAATAATTTTCAGAGAGCTTTCATCACAATAAAATAAAGGTGTGAAAGCAAATTCTAATGTATATTTTACCCTATTACATAAAACAATTTCACAATTGTTAAATTATGAAATTTTAAAATAGAACTTAAATACTGTAACTTTTTAAAATTTTCTGTAACAAGCTTTATTATTTATAATGAGACAATCATTTTTCCTAAAAGTAAAAACTAAACATTTTTAAACATAAAAGTACAAGACTAACAAATAGATTCCACGGACTAATGACAGAGAGTTCCTTTCCTGTGTGACAGGGTTCCTGTATGGATACAGTTCCTGTATGGGTATAGTTCCTGTGTGGGTACAGTTCCTGTGTGGGTACAGTTCCTGTATGGATATAGTTCCTGTATGGATATAGTTCCTGTATGGATATAGTTCCTGCATGGATACAGTTCCTGTGTGGATATAGTTCCTGTGTGGGTATAGTTCCTGTGTGGATATAGTTCCTGTGTGGATATAGTTCCTGTATGGATATAGTTCCTGTATAGATATAGTTCCTGCATGGATATAGTTACTGTGTGGGTACCGTTCCTATATGGATATAGTTCCTACATGGGATCATTCCTATATCAATATAGTTCCTGTATGGGTATAATTCCTATATGGATATAGTTCCTGTATTGCAATCATTCCTATATGGATATAGTCCCTCTGTGGGTATCATTCCTATATGGATATAGTTCCTTTATGAGCATCGTTCCTATATGGATATAGTTCCTGTATGGATATCGTTCTTCTATAAATATAGCTCCTATATGGGTATCAGTCCTACTGGGATATAGTTCCTCTAGGGGTATCATTCCTATATGGATACATTCCTATATGGGTATTGTATCATTCCTATATGGATACAGTTCCTGTATGGGTATCGGTCCTATATGGATATAGTTCTCGTATGGGTATTGTTCCTCTGTAGATACAGTTCCTGTATGGGTCTCATTGCTATATGGATATAGTTCTTGTATGCATATCATTCCTACATAAATACAGTTTCTGTATGGATATTGTTCCTATATGGGTATAGTTCCTGTATGAGTATTGTTCTTGTATAGGGATATAGTTCCTGTGTGGGTATAGTTCCTGTATGGATATAGTTCCTGTATGGGTATCATCCTGTATGGATACAGTTCCTGTATGGGTAGCGTTCCTACATGAGTATAGTTCCTCTATGGGTATCATTGCTGTATGGATGTAGTTCCTATATGGGTATCATTCCTATATGGATATAGTTCCTATCTGGGTATCGTTTCTATATGGATATAGTTCCTGTATGGGTATCATCCTGTATAAATAGAGTTCTTCTAAGGGTATAGTTCCTGTATAGATACAATTTCTGTATAGGTATCATTCCTATATGGATACAGTTCCTGTATGGGTATCGTTGCTATATGGATAGTTTCTTTTATAGGTATCATTCCTATATAGATATAGTTTCTGTATGGGTATCATACCTATATGGACATAGTTCCTGTATGGGTATCGTTGCTATATGGACGTAGTGGCTGTATGGATATAGTTCCTGTATGGCTATTGTTCCTACATGGATACAGTTTCTGTATAAGTATCATTCCTATATGGATATAGTTTCTGTATAGGCATCATTCCTATATAAATATAGTTTCTGTATGGTTATCGTTGCTATATGGACATAGTGCCTGTATGGGTATCGTTCCTATGTGGATACAATTTTTGTATGGGTATCATTTGTATATGGGTACAGTTCCTTTATGGGTATCATTCCTATATGGATATAGTTTCTGTGTGGTTATCACTCCTATATGGATATAGTTCCTGTATGGGTATTGTTCCTATATGGATATAGTTCTTATATGTATATCGTTCCTGTATGGATATCGTTGTTATATGGATATAGTTCTTTATGGGTATCATTCCTATATGGATATAATTTCTGTAAGGGTATTATTCCTGTATGGGGATATAGTTCCCCTAAGGGTATAGTTCTGTGTAGATGTAATTCTTGTATGGGTATCATCCTGTATGGATATAGTTCCTGTATGGGTATTATCCCTATATAGATATAGTTCTTCTGTGGATATCATTCCTATATGTATATAGTTCCTGTATGGATATTGTTCCCATATCGATATAGTTCCTGTATAGGGATATACTTCCTGTATGGGTATCGTTCCTATATGGATATAGTTCCTGTATGGGTATCTTTCTTATATGGATATAGTTTCTCTATGGGTATTGTTCCTATATGGATATAGTTTATGCATGGGTATCATTCCTATATGGCTACAGTTCCTGTATGAATATCATTCCTATAAGGATATAGTTCCTCTATGGGTATTGTTCCTATATCGATATGGTTCCTGGACAGGTATCGTTCCTATATGAATATAGTTCCTATATGGATATAGATTTTGTATGGCTATCGTTTCTGTATGGGATATAGTTTCTCTAGGGGTATCGTTCCTGTATGGATACAGTTCCTGTATGGGTATTGTTCCTATATGAATATAGCTTCTGTTTGGGTATCATTCCTATATGGACATAGTTTCTGTATAGGTTTCATTCCTATATGGATACAGTTCTTGTATGGGTATCATTCCTATATGGATACAGTTCTTGTATGGGTATCATTCCTATATGGATACAGTTCCTGTATAGGTTTCATTCCTATATGGATACAGTTCTTGTATGGGTACCATTCCTATATGGACATAGTTCCTGTATAGGTTTCATTCCTATATGGATACAGTTCTTGTATGGGTATCGTTCCTATATGGATACAGTTCCTGTATAGGTTTCATTCCTATATGGATACAGTTCTTGTATGGGTATCGTTCCTATATGGATACAGTTCCTGTATAGGTTTCATTCCTATATGGATAGAGTTCTTGTATGGGTATCATTCCTATATGGATACAGTTCCTTTACAGATATTGTTCCTATATGTATATAGCTCCTGTGTTGGCATCATACCTATATGGATACAGTTCCTGTATGGGTATCATTCCTATATGGATATTGTTCCTGTATGAGTATCGTTTCTGTATGGATATAGTTCCTCTATGGGTATCTTTCCTATATGGTTATTGTTCCTATATGGCTGTATTTCTTAGATGGGTATCATTTCCATATGGACATAGTAGTTCCTATATGGATATATTTCCTATATGAGTATAGTTCCAACGTGGATATAGTAGTTCCTGTATGGACTTAGTTTCTGTATGAGTGCAGTTCCTTTTTATTGGTGTTGAATGTAACTTTACCAAGCAGGTAAAAATTTAAATACAATACCCAACAAATTTCCGTTTCTCTTTCCACTGACAGCATCGCTGCTGTCACTTTGTAGCTTTCCTGATCAGGAACTCCATGAGAGAATCCCTGATTCTCTGGCTCCTGGGGGCAGCCCACCCTCCCCTCTGCGTGAGAAAGAGCTGAAGCGGCCTTCCCGCTTGCCCCGTCCGGCGGGTTAGCAGACCTGGGATGCTGCCGGCCGGGGAGGACGGTGGCCGGATCCAGGACCCTGTGTGAAACAGGGACATCTGCTGGCTGGGCCGGGAGCAGGCCTTGCTGTCGGGTGTCATGCCAAGGATGAATTCAGAGTCCCCAGGCTGTTCTTAGGCTCTGAAAGGGAGTGGGGAGAGGAGCTTCACACACAGGTGCAGATGTCAATCCTGGAGCATGCACTTCTCCAGAGCTGTGCTGGGGCCTCCGGGCCTCCAGCCGCCCATCCACAGGGACCCAGGCTCTAGCAGCCCCAAGTTCACTCTGGAAAGAAGGGCCATGTCCAAAGACCCAAGTTACACCTCCTCCCCTGTGTGTGTGCACCTGTCACATTTAATCGGTGGACTGAGGATAAAGTAGAGGCGCTGGCCAGCGAAGTGTCTGTGGAACTGTTCTGTGACTGGAAAGCCGGCTTGGGTTCTTGCCTCTGCAGGAAAGGTGACCAGCAGCATGTGGTGGGCACAGCTGAGATCCGCCCTAGTTTTGCAGATGCCGCTCTCTTCCCTGGTCCTTCCTCACTCTACTTTGCGTGGTGTTTACTAGAGTGGAGCAGCGTGGCCTTCTCAACTGGCATGGCTGCTCTCAGACATAGTTCCGTGATCTCAACTGGTGTGGCTGCTCTCAGACGTCGCTCCGTGATTGTGAGCCACAATGGCAGCTGCAGAAGCAAAGGTGCTCAGGGACTGTGCTGGGGCTGGAAGACAGTCTCCCGTATCCCTTTGCTCACTTGCTTCTTTGTGACTTTGAGTGAGCTTTACTCTTAAGATGGTGCCAGCACAGGCGGTGAGGTGCAGACCCAGGAGCCACCGCTCTTCCCAAGCCTTGTGGGTCTCCACCAGCTGAGTCGCTGGTGCTCTCTGGGTGCCTAAGCCATATCTGTAAATGATGAGATGGGATTATGTACCTGCTCTCAGCTCTGGGGGCTTTTCACAGGGAACTTTGCAAGCCCGGTTCAGGTGCTCTCTCAGTGGAAGGTGTCCCAGAAGGGAGATGGTCGCTCTGCTCTCTGTAAGAAACTGAATCATATTTAGAGGCTCATCCTCATTTCCCCAATACAACACGCAGCTTCAGCCAAGGACTTCAGGCACCACGCAGAACTCCTGATCATCAGAGCGGACGCCCATCCATAAACAGGGTTCTTGCTGGTGTCCTCCATGACTTAACGTCTGCACCGGCTAGGCCCGACCTTTAAACACTGTGATGGTCGGGACCCAGGCCTCCGCCTCTTGGCAGGGTGAGGACGGGGCAGGGGCCGCAGGCTCAGGTCTAATTGTTGAAATGTGTTCTTGAACAATGGCTCCCAGGGAAAATTTAAAAAAAAAAAAAAAAAAAAAAAAAACCCACAGAGGTGCCGAGTTGTGAAAGAAGGCTGTTTGGGGCCTGGTTTCCTGAATAGACTTGTTAAATACCATGGCTGATGTATGCCGACGGAGGGAGGCCCGGCCAGCTGAGCGGCCCCTCTGACGGAGCAGGCCCGGCCTTCCAAGCTCCTTTGGAGGTAGGCGTGAAAGCCAAACTGCACTCTCCCCTATATTTTTTTTTCCGTTTCTGCCATGCAAAGATAATCAGGTTTATGTAAAGTCTGTGTGCTCTTTTGACAGCCCATGGTATCTCATTAATTCAATCACACCAAACACCATTGTTCCCAAAGTGTTTGAAATGCGGATAGGGACGGAGGCTTTTCTAATCCTGTCAATCATTGTTAACATTTTCTTGCAGTTGCCATGGCTGGGGCCGGAGTTCATGAAAACACAGAGTGAGACCCAACAAAACACGAATAAAGACTTATTTGAGATACTCTTTTTAAAGGCCATCTACCATGCACGGAACATGGGAAGTGAATGTAGACAAGTTTGGACACTATGCGCGCGGAGAGGAAAGAGCGTAAGGAAGAATTTGAAAATCAAATAGGCCTATAAAAACTTGACCCAAGAGTCTCTGGGAAAAACCCGCTGAATTGCTCCCTGGTAGAACAATGCTCTTTCTTTCGTGCGTTCTTCAGGGGGACAATGGCTCATATATTATAACACATGCCGCTGGGGTCTTTACACCGTTGTAAGCCAGCTCAGACCCACAGAATGCTGATCGCGGACAACAAGAGATTGCGCGCCGGTAATGCGCTCTTTTTCTGGCTGCACTAAAAACAAGCACTGGGAAAATTATTCATGCATAGAGGCCAACAAAGCCGAGATGGAGATTTGCGATGTCACACAGCGCGATCATGTGACACACTTAAAAAAAAGGACAACAGGCATTCGCCCTGAGACGTTGTTAAATTCCCATTTCATCTGCATGAATGTGCCCGCGGCCAAGTCGCCACGTACTTGTGGTGGCTGTGGCTGATCTGGGGACGCCACACGGATTAATGGGGCCGCAGTGTGTACAGGGGCAAAACCGGACGGCAGTGGCAGAATTTCCCAACTTCTGAGGTTCCTCAGGATGACTCTGAGGATTCCTCCAAGGCCTCCGTTCTCCTCTCGTTGGAGAACAGTCATGGCTGTGGACACGCAGCCGACTCTGGTGCTCGGCTCGGCAGAGACGACGGGGCCAGCACCAGGGGCTCCTCTGCTGGTCTCACGTTTCCATTTGGTGAAAAGGGGCACAGTTTTGGGAGGCATGTTGATTTCTAACTTGGTTTGCATTGCTCTTTTTATTGTTATCTCATTTTTCTTTCTTTCAGGGGTGCTAACAAGCCCCAAAGAAGGGCAGCCTCTTCTGACCAGCTGCTGGTGAAGCCCAGCGTGGCCTCTGCACATGCGTTACCTCCCATTGATGCCCCGGCACGGCGTCTCACCTCCCCTCCGTGCCCGGGCGCGGCGTCTCACCTCCCCTCCATGCCCTGGCGTGACATCTTACCTCCTCTCCATGCCCCAGAACCAGAGCAGTGCTCCAGGGTTCATGATTTAAGCTCAGCATCTTCTACTCAAAACGTCAAAGGAAACCCAACCCAGCCATTTCTCATCATCCCCATGGCCAAGGCCCCGTGATGGGCAGCGCCTCCCACACTTGCATGAGGCACCCTACTCCCCCGGCCTCCCTGCTCCATCCGGGCCTGGCCCGTACAGCCCATTCTCAACCCTTCCCAGTAAGTCAGGGCTCCTTCCTTGGGGCCCAAGACCTCCAGGGTCCTTGGATGGCTTAGGGTCAGAAACCGGGGTCCCGCCCAAGCCCCAGCCCCACCCCCACTTCCCTGGCATCACAGTCTACAGCCTCCCTCCCTCCTTCTACCCAGGCCCACAGGGTTGCCAGTCCCTGGGACATACTTCCCCAGATAACCCCCACCAGCCTCCCTCTCCTATGGTTCTCCGTGAGTCCGTGGTTCCTCTCGCTGCTTCCTGTCCTCTTTGGGCACGTGGCAGTCACACGGGAGTGTCCACTCCCTGGCACACTCGTGACCTGTTTCCGTCCTGGACAGGAAGCTCCAGGAGGGCTGAGCCTGTCCTTTCTGCTTCTTGACTCTTGCATTTGCAGCTCCTGGCTCTCGGTGGCAGCCCAGGGTATGTTCTGAGTGAAGGTGTTGGGAGTGCCTCCTGTAGGGATGGGAAGACAAGGAGGGCCTCCTACAGGGAGGGGAAGACATTCCTGAGGTCACTGTCCATCAGCCACGTTCTTGCGGAGGCCACTGTCCACCAGCCACGCAGGGCTGCTCCGAGTGAGTGGCCACTTCCCGAGGACCATGTGCCCTGGGTGCCTTGTAAGGGGCCATGCCTCGCTCAGGATTCCCACTGTGCCCACCTGCCCTGCCTTCTATTGCCTCGCGTTTGGTTGCCTTGATCTCATCAGATGCTGTATGTGTCTGTCAGTCTCCTCAAGTCCTGATTTGCAGCCAGGAAAGGTATAAATACATTTCTCAATAATTTGTGTTTGTGAATAAAAAAGTCATGGGCACATTTGGCTTAAGGACAACACAAATCTCAAAGTTAAAAAAAATACTATTTTTAAAATTACCAAAAAGAATCTGACCTCCTTGCTGTCTCTTTTTTTAAAAAATTGTCTTTTATGCTGGAATCTTGCTGTCCCTTAGCACCAAGAGCTTGTACATTCCTTCTTAGCTAGGAATCCATGTATCCCTTTCTTCATTATTACTTTCGTGGTGTCGTTTTCAGTGTCTAAGGACCTTTCTTCAACAGAGCTCACCTGCATCGTGTTTTTGTCTTTGAGCTTTGTCATTCTCACCATTTGGTTCTGAAAAGCCCCAGAATGGTGAGGAATCTCAGATGCAGCACAGGGCCTGCTGGGGTGGCCCTGCCCAGATGGCTCAGCCAAGGGCCCTTCAGAATCTAATCAAATGGCTGCAAGGAAAGACCATTAGATTGTTTGAATAAAACAAAACTATCAATAGTAAGAAATTAGTTAATGCTCTAGAATTCTGATTCATAGACACTGTCCCAGGAGTAATTCCTCCAACAGCAAAAATAAAGCAACAACACAAAATGTTTCACTAGAAATGGAGGGAGAGAGGATCAGAGAGGGCTGGGAAGGAAACAGAAGCAAGTCTGGGAGGTGGGGATAGGGAAAGAAAGAAACCTTCAGGAATAAGAATAATGACCTGGGGAAGATCATCTGGAAAGGGAACTAAGGAAAGGTGGCACAACCACATTCTGATTTTTTTTCTACTTCTCCCCAACCTCACTTCCAAATGTGCCTGAGGGTGCTGCTTTTGGAGGAGGCCCCTGCTCTCACACAGCCTCCGGGATGGCCTCTGTGAGCTTCACAATTGCCCACACATTTTCCCTTAGCCTTTTCCCTGTTGAAAAATTTTGAAAGGAAAGAATCCTCACTTAGCTAATTCAAGAATATTTTTACCGACTTCATCTTTCTTATCTTATTAAAGCTTACATAGCTCACTTTTTAATCAAATGGTATATTAGTTTAATAATAAAAGTTCCTATTCATTTTCACCCTCCAGCATGAACATACTGTCTTTTTTTAAGGACCTATATTTTCCCTTTATATTTTAATAGGGCTACTTATAATAGATTATCTCTCTGGACACATTGATAATTAATTACTTCCTTTGGTGCTAATGGCCTCTCACCCCTTCCCGGGCTTCTGGTTTACAGGTTCCGACAGCATACCCATCTTCCTGGTCATCCCCTCTCCTGCTGTAGAGGCTGTTTAGCCAACTCTCAATTTTCCATGACCATGAAAGGAAGGAAATGTTTCAATAATCCCAAACTATAGATGGGTTCAAATATTTGATATTTGGCCTTGTGATACATTTTAATATAAAACCACATTAAGATGTCAATGTATAATAATTTTGAAAGGGATTGTGCATAAGTTTTCATTTTTCTAGTGATGATAAACATTTTGACGTCATGTGTTGTGTGTTTTAGCACATTACATTTACTTTAAAGTCACTTCCATACCAATTCTCATCACTTTGCTCTCTATTAAACTGAGATTCTGTGAACACTTCAAGTTTAAGGCATTTGAAACTAAAATAAAATCATGAAACGAATATTAAAATATTCACCTCGCCTGCCCTGGGCACCCATCAGGGTGAACCCTGGCAGGTGGGAGAAGCAACCCCACAACAGCAGTCACTGCAGGAAAGCTACAGAGCAGGTGCACTGGAACACCCCTTCAAGAACTAGGACGTTCCCCTTCCTGGGTCCAAGTGTTCTCATTGTTCAATTCCCACCTATGAGCGAGAACATGTGGTGTTTGGATTTTTGTCCTTGCAATAGTTTGCTGAAAATGATGGTTTCCAGCTTCATCCATGTCCCTACAAAGGACATGAACTCATCATTTTTTATGGCTGCATAGTATTCCATGGTGTATATGTGCCACATTTTCTTAATCCAGTCTATCATTGTTGGACATTTGGGTTGGTTCCAAGTCTTTGCTATTGTGAATAGTGTGGGGTGGGGGGAGCGGGGAGGGATAGCATTAGGAGATATACCTAATGTAAATGACGAGTTAATGGGTGCAGCACACCAACATGGCACATGTTTACATATGTAACAAGCCTGCACGTTGTGCACATGTACCCTAATACTTAAAGTATAATAATAATTAAAAAAAGAACTAGGACGTTGCACCCCCAGCTCCACCCAGATCAGGCGTGGACCCTACGAGCTGGGCCATCCCTCCTAGCACATCGTTGTCTCCATGCACTTTCCCACTGAGAAGTCAGGCCACTCTGCACGCTCTGAGGCCCTTCCCGAATGGGCCAGAAAGCTGGAGCGAGGGACCAGGGTCAGGCTGAACACCTGACGGTGGAGAAAAGAAATGCCAACAGCTATGCTGATCCCATTTTTTATGCACAGGGAATATCCTTAGAGCATCTGTACTAGCCATTTTGCTTAAGTTGGAATCAAACAACTGATTATTTCAGAACAAACAGGCTAGCAAACATTGGTTTAAATTAATGCAAAATTTCCAGATTTGTTTTTGATTATAACCTCAAACATATGAAGAGAAAAAAACCAGAACGATGCCAACATAACAGGAACAAAACACTGCCAAGGAATGAGTCTTAAATTATGGAGAAAAATCTGCAAAAACCCAGCAGCTTTCGAGTCAAGACACCATTTATGACAAAAATCATCAGCTTCCATTCCAGATCCTGGAATTATTTCAGAACAAACAGGCTAGCAAACATTGGTTTAAGTTAATGCAAAATTTCCAGATTTGTTTTTAATTATAACCTCAAACATATGAACAGAAAAAAACCAGAATGATGCCAACATAACAGGAACAAAACACTGCCAAGGAATGAGTCTTAAATTATGGAGAAAAATCTGCAAAAGACCCGGCAGCTTTCGAGTCAAGACACTATTTATGACAAAAATCCTCAGCTTCCATTCCAGATCCTTCTCTATGCACTGATTCCTGTACTGCAAGGCAATTCCTCTGGGAAAAAGAAAATTAGGAGGCATGGTCCTAGAACAGTGCCTCCTGGCACCTGGGAGGGGCTTGATCCCGGACATGCCTCCTGCCAGGGTCACCTGTGAGCACTTCCCTCACCCACGTGATGAAGATGGAGCCCTGGGAGGCAGCACGATTCTACCTGGACTGTGCCAGGCTGGGACTCAACCTGGTATCTGAACTCAGGTCTTCTGTTTCCTCATGTTGCCAACCCCGCAAAATTCCAAGAAAACAGATCTGAAATGAATTGAAATATCACCTAAAAAAATTTTCCATGTGAGTTTGTGTACAGTCTAATTAAGAAACTTTAGGGGTAGTTTGAAAATGTAAAAGCAGGTTCTGGAGACCAGGAGCCAAACTGCCAAAAGCAGCTTAAAATGCATGCTTCACAGACGTCCAGTGGCCTGTGAAATGCTGCTGCAGTCGTGCATTTGCTGATGGGTGTCTCCTGGCAGGCAGGCAGCTGAAACCCAAGACAGCCAGGAGGAAGCAGACAGGCAGGTTTCTGGGCTGTTTGCTGGCACTCTTGACATGCACGGGAGACTGGCCATGTCACCTCCTGGTCTTCCATCTCTTCAGTGAGTGAACAGTGTCCATTCAGAGCTCCCAGACCCTACGGTCCAGGTAAGACTGCCAGAATGAGCTGGGCCTTAGGAAACAGGTATTTCTGGTCTCCACAATGCCTGGAGCACCTACAAGATCTATTGCACCCAAAGCGGTCTGATTCTTTCCAAATGCTCCCTGTCCTGCTCCGTGAGCTGGGAAATGGCACACCCCACTTGCTCTGATCTGTAGTCTGTGTTTTCCGCAGGTGCCAGGGTGCGTTTTACCAGCTCTACTGCACTCCTGTTGACGGCAGCTGGGGTGGAGATTCTGCTGGCCGACTGTCTCATTCAAACGCCCAAATCGGCATCAAGGTTCCAGCCCCACCTCATCTGCTGCTGTTGCTCTCAAAAGCAAAGCCGGCATCATCATAAGTCCTAGGTTCCCAGGCCGGGGAGCATCTTGAGATGGCACGGTCCATTCATGAGGGGGTAACTGAGGTGTGGGACATCTGGGAATTTGCCCAAGACACGGTCTATTGGGCCAAAGCTGGACAGAGAATCACAGGCCCCCGCTGGTGCCAGATCACCCCTCCTCCCCAGCCCACCTCTGTTATGAATTTCACAAAAGAAAAATACAGTTATGATTCAAGTTCTACTCTTGTTCTGTCACAATCTATGTTATTTTCCGAAGAGAGGAAGGTCAGCCCTGGCCTTCCTTGCCAGCGTGTGGGATTCTCCAGCTTCCAGTCGGAATTGCATCCACGCGGGGAGCAGGGTTGTTTGGCTGGAGCCTACTTGAAGGAGATGGAGCTGTTCAGCGGAGCAGATGGAGATTTCTCGGCTCTAGTCTCTATTACCCATGACTGCACTGCCGTCCCGCTCAGAGCCCTATTCCGAGCCCCCCGGCTGGCATGGCCACCCCACGCAGGACTGACCAGGGCGGGGAGGCATTTTGCACTCACAGAATACAAGAAAAAAAGCCATTCTTATACACCTGTAGAATGAAGTGGTGCCCACTGAGCCCGAGTGTTTTTTAAGTGAGGAAGAGTTAGGCTTCTGTCATGTTCACAAGCATAAAAGGAAATAAAATTAGACTCTGCCTCTCACAGCACTGCTTGTTCCAACGGTGGGCATGTGTGTGAGATTTCAAGCTTCTCAGGTGCCCAGGAACCTTTGGGCCAACGAAGGGTTAGATACATGAATCTACCATGAAACAAGTTTCATGTGACATCTTCATGCATTGCCAGAAAGGTGAACCCTGAAAGAGTTAGCTTATTCTAACAACAATCATCTCCCAGATATCATTTTTCCTTTAGTACTTAGGAAACAATATATCCATCTTCCAATTATTTGTGGGGTTGAAGGAGAAGGGTAAAGTGTTTGTCTGAAATCCCTAGGTATTTCCCAGATATTTTAAATAAACATTCAATAGTTTCAAATGTTTCCCCAGAAAAACCACTACAGATTGTTATAGGCCTCCAAAGTTTAGGAATGATTTTGTTTGTTTGTTTTGTTTTTCAGCCATAGAGAAGGATCTCTAAATGAAGAAAATACACATATTGAAATTACAAATCATGCTACGATAAAGACACATGTACACGTATGTTTATTGCCCACTATTCACAATAGCAAAGACTTGGAACCAACACAAACATCCATCAACGATAGACTGGATTAAGAAAATGTGGCACATACACACCATGGAATACTATGCAGCCATGAAAATAGGATGAGTTAATGTCCTTTGCAGGGACGTGAATGAAGCTGGAAACCATCATTCTCAACAAACTATCACAAGCTCAGAAAACCAAACACCACATGTTCTCAGTCATAAGTGTGAGTTGACCAATGAGAACACATGGTCTCAGGGAGGGGAACATCACACACCAGGGCCTGTCAGGGGTTGGGGGCAAGGGGAGGGATAACATTAGAAGAAATACCTAATGTAGGTGATGGGTTGATGGATGCAGCAAACCACCATGGCATGTGTTTACCTATGTAACAAACCTGCACGTTCTGCAGAACTTAAAGTATATATATATATATATAAAGAAGAAGAACAGCAATCAGGCATGGAGAAATTTAAAAATTTATCTAAGTCGTTCACAATACTTTTTAAATATTTCCTGACTAGCAAGAATTCACCAGCTTAGTCTCTACTAAGTCAGAATTTCTGAAAAGATGAGGGGCAACCAAAACTAAAATTATACCTTTTTCTCCGTCTCTAAAGTGTATGCAGAAAAAGAATTAATGATACAAGTCAAATTTTCAGAATGCTGCTTGAACTCTTAGGAGACTAAAATATTTTTCAAGTACTGTCAAGCATTTGAGAGAGATTTCTTTATATCTGAATAATCCATATGCCAAATACTTCTTCCAAGTTAAGTATGATGGAAGTTAAGAGAGTTACCTCTTCCTGAAAGCTTGGAGCCATGTCTTGTTCAAGTGTGATTTGCACAGTGGATTAAGGGAAGTTGGACTTTGGCAGGTAGAGCAGGACATGGTCCCCTCTGGGCACAAGCATCCAGTCGCATCCCTCGGTTCAGCTCAGTTTATTAAACAGGTGTCATTTCCTACTGTGTGCCAGGCCCTGTTATGCTCCCCATTCAGGGGCCTCTGGGCACGTGCTGTGTTTGCTGGGGCACTCAGTATCTTTCTGACTCATCAAGCCACCAGGATGAAGGTGAGCTCCTTACACAGCAGGTGCTCAGGCGCTGTTTGGGGATGCGTCCATATATTCAGCCATGGAGCTGACCTGGGGCACATCTAATTTTTAGCATGGAGTAGGGACTGAGGGTCACTCCAAAGGTGCTCTAAGATCTCCTGATGACACCTCTTCATCAGAGACTGTGGGGAGGGAAGAATAAACAAAGCATCAAGTACATAAACCAATTTCTTTATCCCTTTGCTTTGGATGCCTCGCTTATAGCAAGAAAATAGGAAAGGTTTCTGCCTTGTGAGAACAAGCCGTGTATTGTGAGGAGAAAGAGTAGGTAGATTTGGATTAGCAAGCAAAACTGTGTCCTATTTTGAAGAGCTCTTGATTCCATCCGACTGTGTCGGATTGTTGAAAACGCTAACATTGTGTGTGACTATTCATTTTCGTCACCTGCTCTTGATTAATCCCGTTCTAAATGGCATCTGTAGACCCTGAAATCTCATACCACTTAATTAAATTAGCGACACATTTGTCTCCCCCGTTTTCCTATCAAAGGGTTGTGCTCAGGAGAAATAAAACCTTTGTTCCCCGCTACTCCGTATAATTTACACCCTTTTCTCCCCCTGTCTTCCAGCTCCTGGCTCAGATGCTAAATTGTCACCAGTAACAGGGAGCTATTAGGGTTAGTGAAGCATGTCAAAGAAGCCGCAGTGGAAGCTCGGCTGAAAGGGGCCTCGGCTCCCATGGAATGGCAGGGTCAGGAATCTGGAGTCCAAATTGTTCAGCTTGGCTTTGTACCAAAGTCACACTTTTTGAACTAAAACGTTTGACCTCTATAAACAGAGAAGAGAGGAGAACTGCCTCTGAATAGCAAGACAGAAGGCAGAGACAAGCACAGCCGGGAGGTCTCCACGCACTCAGCCGTGGGCGCTGAAGACGACAGGTTCGCGGTTCTGCTCCGTGGACACAGGCAGGTCGAGATGGAAGAGATCTTTCTATTTAACTTAAATGAAAGGCTTCGGCCCCAACATCATGTGAATTAACAATGGATTGGAATACAAGTGTGAGTGAGTGAGTGGAAAGAGATGTGTTTATCAACAGAAAATTCTAGATGCTCTGTGTATTTGATTTTGGCTCGGGAGGTTTTCAGTGTTGAAAGGCACCGCGAAGAAGTCACATTTGCCCTCATGTGCACACACACGGGGAAAATAGCTGCATTTTCCTCTGCTTTGCTTGTGTTGCACAGAAAGCTCTTGCATCTTGAATGTGCAGGACAACTGCCAGAGACACAAATCCTACTCCTCCACGAAACAAGTGCCTTCCCATGGCTTTAGCCCAGAGGGAAGACATCTGGAGGCAGAAGGCAGAACCTCAGATTTCACACATTGGCCCTCTGAGACTGGAGCCACGTCAAGGAGACCCACCGAGTGCCCACCCTGACAAGAACACACAGACGCCTGTCTGGCAGGGTGGCAGCTGCTGTTGACCCCGGTCCTGCTTATCAAAGGGGAAGGCACGCTCCCCTGGATCCACAAGTGACTGGAAGGCATTTCTGTGCCCAATCTGCTTCCCGTGCTTGACCCTGATCTCAGCAAGTCCTATGTTAGCGTGAGCAGAGCTGATGCCCTGAGCCGACATTCCTGTGATTTTGGATGGCCACTTCTTTTCTTCAGCAAAACAGGTCCCCTTATAGGAAACAGAGCCCTGTCTTGTGCTCTAACAATGTTTGCTATAGACACACACAAACACAGCCTTGACTCTTGACGGGCTCAGTGGTCAACTCCTGAAATAAAAACCAGGGATGGATTCACATGGAATCAGGAAAGCAGGCCAGTGAAACTGAACACAATCAACACAAATAGAAAACGTGCAGGAAGGAACACAAGTTACATCTTTAAAGCAGGTGCATGAGATTATAGTAGATGCATGAGCCCCAAGGTGTTAATAATAGAAGACGAAGCCAGTCTCTGCACCTGCCCGTGCAACCGTGTGCATATTCATCACTGCCTGCTGATTGCCACACCACACGTCAGAGTTGTACATGATCAATTCTGCTGGGAAGAGTTTCATGGCATAGGTTTTTTCATGATGTGAGGGTGTTGATCTTGCTGATGATAAAATAGAGTTGATCACATGACAATGGGGTGATTACAGGTGGATTATGTGGCAAATGATGAATACAAATAGATATTTTTGGAAGCAGCTCAGAAACATGCTAAACTAACTCATGTTCATTAGAAATGTCAAAACATCCTCATTCATTATTTCAAATCAAATATGCAATTTACAAGAAAGGAACCCAGCAGAGTGCTTACGGATTTTAATAGGTGTAAATGGGAAGGTGGGAGGCTTCAGAATACGAATGGATTCCTAAGAATTAGCAGAGGGGCAAGGAGAGAATGGGTGAGAATGATGCACAGGACATAGGCCCAACAGGGACAAATGCAGCTTTCAAGCTCTTGGTCCAAGCACCCAGAAGGGAAATGTTACCCAGAATGGTCTGCCTGGAGGAGAGCCGAGGGAAACACCCAGAGGAGAGTGGTCTCTGCATGGGTGATGAGGAGCCAAAATCCATTTTCAAAAACAGACACCAAGTTCCAGGTACCATGGCTTCTTTAACCCAGTCAGTTTATCCTCCCACCACCCCACAATGCAAGCTCTATCCTCCCTTCCCAGACAGGATGCAGGGGTCCCTTGTGGAGGTTCCGTGGTTCTTACCAGCCACTCTGCTACTCAGTGAGGAATTTAATGCAGGCTTGGAGCTGCCTGACTCCAAATGTCAGCTTCCTGTTCCAGATCTCACAGACACAGATGAGAAATAACAGTGAGATGGTGTTGTCAGGAGGTGTGGAGACACATCTTCTCGAAGTCAGGTGTGGGATTTCGAGAGAGAGTGGCAGGCCCTTCTAAGACAAGCCCATTAGAAGTGGTGGATGAACCATCCATGCAGAGCCCCAACCAAGGGAGTGTCTCACTCCCAGCCCTGTTGGGAGGGCACCAGCACCAAGAACCCAGGCCACATGTTGGAAGGGTTGGACAGGGATGGTCCTACACATGGAGGATGACAGGGTGACTCAACAGACTCCTCTCCAACAACTTTTGCCACATCAGTAGAGTTTTTTAATTTGTGACCCTGAATTATGACTGAAAATATTTTCCATGCAACAGAATAAAATGACCACTTTTCTTTTTCCTTAAGAAAAATAATGCAGAGATGTATTTAGTGAATGGCAAATTTATTTCAAGTCATCAAGGAGCACATGTTCTCTTTTCTTGATCTCAAGATTACACCCTGTTATGATGACTTTGATGCTGTTTTGACCACATCATGGCACTGGCTTGTGTTGGATTTGTAGTCAATAGAATTTCTTCGCTGGAATGGACCTCTTCCAATCCAGGGTTCCTGCCACATTTTATTTAAAATCTAGTCGTAAGATGCACATTTGCTATTAATAGGATTTGTTCTGTTCATTTCTTCTTAATCGTTTTTAAATACTGACTTGGCCAACTTGAGTTTCAAGTCTTCCCACCAGCACCTCCTATCCCAACAACGACATCTGCTGATTCTCAAAGGCTGGTGCAGAGACTTGCCCAGGGCTCCTTGCTCACCCAGATGCACGGACACAGAGCTCCACAGACAGATGGACAGACTTACAGATGTTGTGTGCATCCATCCGCACGGCCACGGCGGCCTACTCCATCCCCCTTCCTGCTGGGGTGGGACTGTGTGACATGTCATCCATGGCCTGGAGAGTAAACAGCAGGCACCAGACCTAGATAGTTCTGGGTACAAAGCTTCTGCAAACTGCCCACTCCTGATTGATTCTTCATCTGTACAATGAGGACATGTCCCACTCCTGACATTGCTGCAAGAGTTCAATGTTGTGAGTCACACAGGGAGGGCCCGTCACAGAGGAGGTAAACAGCATCAGACAGTCCCTTACTCCACAGGTTCAGTAGGTGCCCTGGGAGCCTCCTCTAGGCTGGAGTTGAGAAGCGCGGCCATGGTGAGCTGGGGCCAGATGTTGACTCTCAAATCCAGCCACGGCAGTGCCCAGAGCACGAGGGTCCCCTTCTGCCAGGCCCCTGTCATGTGTGCTGTGCCTTGTGGCCTGGCAGCAGGTCCTTCTGCCTCCTAATATGGAAAGGGAGGCTGGAAACCCCCAAGGGACCAAGTAAAGTCAATTTACTCATAAAAAGGCAATGTATTATGATAGGATTCAGATTTTCAATTGAACACTGTAAAGGGAAGTTTTAAAAGTCACATATAATTTGATTTAATAGGGTTGCTTCCCC
This sequence comes from Homo sapiens, assembly GCF_000001405.40. Taxonomy (NCBI): domain Eukaryota; kingdom Metazoa; phylum Chordata; class Mammalia; order Primates; family Hominidae; genus Homo; species Homo sapiens. The sequence goes on along the minus strand of NC_000005.10, from coordinate 2,193,804 downwards.
CGCTCAGCAGGAAAATGGAATGCAGACAGAAGTGTGATTTTCATTTAAATGTCTTCATATGAGAGACGACGTGCACCATCAATCTTCTAGTGACAAGGAAAGAGGGCAGGAATTATTGATGTTTAGTGTCCGCAGGATTATAAACAGGGAAATTGAAAGTGATCCTTAATTGACAGGGCCTGTCTGCAGCCGTGGGAGAGCCTGGCCTTTTCCCACAGTGAGAAGGGAACACAGAAACAGCTGCAAGAGGTGGGGCGAGAGTGACATTGGAATCTAGAAGATGAGGGAATGGGCTGCAACCTCAAACGGTGCTCTCTTCCATCCGCAGCCTGGCAGTGCCAAAAGTCATCCTGGATCTCAGGGAGCTGCTGATACGGTGTCCAAGGACCTAAGAAAGAAGCTGCAGTTTCAGGTCATCATTGACTCTTCAAGGTTGGCACATACCTCGGTCCGGCTGTGCTACCCCAGATCAAGTGGTACCCCCAGGAGTGGGATGTGGCACTGGCTTGTGGCTGGAGGTTCCTCCTCAGCACTGCCAGGAGGGGCCTGCACCAGGAGTCCTGGCCAGCACCCACTGAACACTTTAACTGCACTTACTACACTGTGATGTCTCATTCTAAAATTTGTCACCTGAACCACGTACCTCTAAATGTTAGGAAAGAAGGGAGTTGGTGTTTGTGAAACTGCCACGTGAACCATAGAACACCAGGCACAGGTGAGATACTATCGTGCATGACATTCCAGAATAATTTCTCCCTTTTCCTTTAGGAGAAATTTTTAGAAATGTTCGTATCTGTCAGTATCTGAGTTTGTCTACAAATGGCCACAGAGGACGCTTTCAAGATTCCAAGCCTCATTCAACATGTCTTTGGTGTGACTCTGGATCTGAGGTGGGGAACAGGCAACCACAGCCATGGGCACCCTTCAAGCCATCAGGCCAGGGCCTCCTCCTCTCGTTTCCTGCTCCAATAAGTTTGCAAGTTTGCAGATAGGGAAATGCCTTGGCCAGGGGTCCACCACACTCTTTGAAGAATGTGGCTTCTTGCAGGTAAGACAGCGTGGGGTCAGGTGGAGCTGCACCTGGCTCTGCTGCTGAGGGGAGCATCCTTGCCGCAGGCGGTACTTCTGTCTAATCAGTCTCCTGCAGAGCACCCCTGCTGTATCCTGGCCAAATGCCCGCCGCCGATGGAACCAGACGTAGAGGACACAGAAATGATGCTGAAAGCCACCCAAGTGAAGTCTAGCAGGGATAAATGTGAGTGTGGCTGAGATTTAAAGAGCCACCCTCAGGGTCCCAGGATGGCAGTGACCTAGAGCAGCAGCAATTCATGTGGAAAAGGGTTTGATGGTCTAAACTATGAGCTGAATAATGTGTAATAGGATTAGAAATGTTTGCAGTTCTTAGAAAACACTTGAACTTTTCAACAGCTTGGACAGCGCAGGCAGCGGGGGTAAGAGAAGGCAAGTCCTGGAATGGTCTGAACATACAGGCAGGCGGCAGGGCCTGTGCCAAGGAGCAGCCGGGATGGGCACCTGCCCCACCTCCCATCCTGTCAGTGCAAACCTGCAGCAGAAAGGGCCAATGCCCACAGCTCTGAGAGTGCTTGGGACCAGGAATCCTGAGCAAGGGCCCCCAGCCCAGGTACCACACTAAGAGGTGGTGCTTGGATTTTGCAGAATCAAGGTGGCTCAGAGGACAGGTGCTGGACAGGCCAGGCCCAGCTCAGCAGGGCAGAGGCCAGGTGGAAGGCTGTCCCCAAACTGCTCAGGGTAACCCGGGCCTCACATGGCAGCAGCGCTGGAAAGAGCTGGTGGCTGCAGCAGGAAGTGGCTCTTTAGCACCTCCAAGCACACGGAGGACACTTGGGAAGGGCTGGAATCCTTCCTGAGCCAAGGCCAGGATGCACAGAGATTTCAGTGTTGATGTAAATCCGATTTTATCCAGAACTATGGACTATTGAGGTCCCAGATGGAACCACCCCCAGTCTCTGATCTTTTTTTTTTTTTTTTTTTGAGACAGAGTGTCTCTCTGTCACCCAGGCTGGAGTGTAGTGGCACAATCTCAGCTCACTACAACGTCCGCCTCCCGGGTTCAAGCAATTCTCCTGCTTCAGCCTCCTGAGTAGCTGGGACTACAGGCACATGCCGCTACGCACGGCTAATGTTTTTGTATTCTAGTGGAGACGGGGTTTCACCGTGTTGCCCAGGCTGGTTGAGAACTCCTGAGCTCAGGCAAACCACCTGCCTCGGCCTCCCAAAGTGCTGGAATTATAGGTGTGAGCCATTGAGCCCGGCCCAGTCTCTAATCTTCAGGAAGCTGCCGAGTAACCTGTTCCTTCCTGAAGGGGCTCGTGGGGATTCTTCCCCCGAAGGCGGTTTGCCCATAACCTGTCATCACCCATCCGCGGAAGGATTCTTTGTATAATTAATATGTTTATCAATCCAAGCCTCATAGTGTAGCGTGATGATTGAGTATAGACCAGAATATGAAATGTTATGAGTTCAGGAATAACCTTCATTACACAAAAAATCACAGGCTCATAGAGCCCCGGGATGCTGTATCAGACCGATCCTATCTGGCATCTCATAAATCAAATACCCCCTCCGATTGGCTTTTCCTATGTGAGTGCCTGTGCTGAGGCTTTATTTCACAGGCTCTCAGGTTCATCAGAGAATTAAGAGACAGTGATTGATTCTTAACTGGAGCCCATCAACCCCAGTTAAAATTTCATAATATTCACATTAATTAAAGTGCTTCATTATCCATTTTCTTTTGCATAGAGTGAGTTGGGCACCTCCGGGTTTTGGAAAAGCAAATATATTTGAAATGAAGCCCTGACTCATTTAATTGTAACCACCAGGGAAACAGTGGCAAAATTCTAAAACAGGGAGTGTTAGGAAGTAGCTGCCAAAGTACGTTTCCCAGAGTAAATCACCAGGAGGGGGTCTCATGCTGCCATGGCAGAGGTGCAGATGGACAGCCGGGATTTTGGGCCACAGTTGCTCAGACACGAGAAATGACTCCGTGTTTTATCCACAGTTGTGTGGTAGGAAAGTTCCAAATGTTGGAGGCGAGGTCTGAGAGGCTCCACAGTCCAGCAAAAGCGCCGCCTGGGCAGCCCTGGGTGGGTCTGTTCTTCACCTCTCTCCCCTTCCCTGGAGACCCCCACACCGGAAGCCCCACATCCCGTGTGGTTTGGACCCCTGCAGGAAGGATTTTCTCCTGAAATCCCTATGAGGTAGAGGTGATTATCATTCCTATTTTACTGCAGAGAATTCTAAGATTTAAAGGTTAGAAAAAGTGTGCAGGACACTACAGCATCTGCTTCCATCTACATAAACTCCGCGGCATTAAAACAGAGAAAAGGGATCAGGAACAGACAGAGGTTAGGGATCGCTGCAATTGCCCTACGAACTTAATTGACCTAAATTATGCATGTAGAGCACCGGAGATCAGAGATAACACGTTATTTTCAAGCAAGGAAATAATCATGTATTTTGAGGGAACACAAAATACCAAGATACACTCTATTCTAGACCATAGCAGAATTCTTTAATAAATTTGATAGAATTCAAATTATATAGAATATGTTCTCTGACCATAATATAATTAAATTAGAAACCAATAACAGAAAAAATTGTCTGGAAATAGAGATATTGAGGAAGACTGAAATAGCTGGAGAGATACACCCATGTTCATAGATCAGGAGATTCCATTTTGTTAAAATATCAGTTTTTTCCACATTGATCTCAATCCCAAACTTGATTTTTTTGTAAGATTTAAAAATCTGATTCTCAAATTAAATGGAAATGAAAAGGATTTTAAATGGGCAAAACAAATTTAAAAAGTTGGAACACCTACAGTGTGGTTTCAGGACTTATGATAAAGTTACAGTAATTTAGACAGAGTTATAATTGCACAAAAAAAATCCAAGTATATAAATTTTTTAAAAACAGACAATCTGAAACAGGCTTGCATGTGTGAGGTCAAATGATATTTTTTAAAAGGATAAGATTTTTACCAAATCATGATGGAACACATGGTCAACCACCTTGATTCCCACCTCACACCACATACAAAATGACCTTGATGTTGAAAAGCTAAAGCTTTAAAACTTTAAGATAACACTGAAAAAAAATCTTAGTATTTATGTTTCACAAATATTTCTTCAATGCTTTCACAAAAAAGGATACAAGAAAAATCAATAAATTGAACTTGCCAAGATTAAAAACAATTGCTCTTTAAAACTTATAAAAATCAAAATTCAAGCCACATATTGGGAGAAAAATATTTGCAAAACATGTATTTGACAAAGGATCTATATCTAGTATATACAGTCAACTCTTATAGGTCAAGAGTAAGAAGATACATTCAGAAAGTGGGTAAAATATCAAAACAGATACTTCATTAAAGCAGATATATGGCCATCACATAAGCACATGGACAGAAACGCGACATGAATCACTAGGGGAACTGGAGATGACACCACAGCAAGACACCATCCCATTGCCATGAGAATGACTAAATTTAAAGACCGACCTCACCAAGATGTGTCAAAGATGCAGAGCGACTGAAACTCTCAATCATCCAGTAGGAAAGGGAAATGGCACAACCACTGTAGAAGACAATATGGAAGCTTTTTTAAAGAGTTATACCTACACCTGCCATTAAAGATCCAGCATGACCAAAGAACAGTGGGTCTAAACATCAGAGAATTCTCTCTCTATTAAAATATAGCTTCCAGCTTCCCCCAAGGAAAGCAAACTCCTAGGCTGCTGTCACTTATGACATTGTTTTGTAACAAAGATGACTTGCTTGGGTGCCTGAGGAAACACTGGATTCCCCAGTGGCCTTGTGGTGGTTGGGCACGAGGTGTCTGGAAAAAGAATTCACCTGTACAGGAATGGAAAGAGGGGCTCTACGCTGCCCCTGCCATCCTCATGGGCTTCATTTTCAGCCAGGTTAGCAGGTCCTGCCCTTGCTCCCTCCCCATACCCCAGAAAGCACCGGCTCCGCTGCAGTGGACACAGCCCTGCCCACAGGCTGCCCCTCTCTCTGTGTGACTTGGCCACTGTCTTCCAGCTTCTGGACCCTCTGAGACCCATAGATAATGCAGCCATTATATTTAGATAAATGCATGCCCAAAATGAAAACATAAATACACTAAAACTTGAACATGAATATTCATAATAGCTAAGTAAAAGAAATAACCCAAATGTCCACCAACAAGTGAACAGAGAATAAGTTACGGAATATTCATACTATCAAATATTACTCAGCAATCAAAAGTTACCAGCTATTGAAACATGGGACAACATGGGGGAAACGTCAAAAGAATTAGTCTGAGTTAAAACAAAAAAGCCAGAAGCAAAGAGCATGTTCCGTAGATTTCTATTTTTATAAAATGCTAGAAATTGCAAACTAATCTATTCTGACAGAAAGCGGGCAGTGATTGCCTGTGAGCCGGAGGGGTGGGGTGGGGAGGAGGGAGGGATTACGAAAGGAACTTGGAGGTGACAGGTAAGTTCACTACTGATGTAGTGATGATTTCACCACATCAAACAAAACTCATGAGATTGTGACTTAAATATAAATACGTGCCATTACTGGATGCATAGGATGGTTCAGTAAAGATGAAAAAAAGAATCTGAAGTTCAAACAAAGCGCATGAGTCCTTAGGCCTACAAACGCCGTTCAGATTCACGTGGCCAGCGAGAAGAGAAGGACCTGGGTGTCCAGGGGTATCCTGCAGACCCCAGGCTCTGGGACTGGCACCAGGCCGGCATCCTCCCAGTGGCGCCTCAGCCTTGCCAGGTGCGCATCTGCCTCAAGCCAGGAAGGCTGGGGCTCAGAGGGCCCGGGAGCTGGAAGACAGTGGCCAAGTCACACACAGAGAGGGGCAGCCTGTGGGCAGGGCTGTGTCCACTGCAGCGGAGCCGGTGCTTCCTTTTCTGGGGTGCGGGGAGGGAGCAAGGGCGGGACTTGCTAACCTGGCTGGAAACGAAGCCCATGAGGATGGCAGGCGCAGTGTAGGGCCCCTCTTTCTGTTCCTCTGCTGTTGAATTCCTTTTCTGGACACCTCATGCCCAACCACCACAAGGCCACTGGGAATCTAGCGTTTCCTCAGGCACCCAAGCAAGTCATCTTGTCACAAAGTGGAGTCATAATTGACAGCAGCCTGGGAGTTTGCCTTCCCTGGTGAGGGGCTGGAAGCTGCATTTTAATAGGGAATTCTCTGATGTTAAGACCCACTGTTCTTTGGTCCTGCTGGATGTTTAATGGCATAACTTGAGTCACTCTGACCTTTGCGTGGGGTATGATGTCTTCCTGGTGAAGACTTACGTAGCGCATGGTCTGTGCACCCCTGTAAGTTGCACACACTTACGAAGATCGGTATATTTAATCTTTCCAAGACCGCATGACACAGTTGGTGCATGGTCCCGTGACGCAAGCGGGAAGTCTAGTCACAGATGGGTGAGTCGCCTGCTCCAGGCCACATCACTGACTACCCGCTTGGTTTTGTGCCCAAGTGTCTGGTGCCAGACTCCAGTACTCAACACTAAGCCCAAGGTTGCTCCTCACCCTGCCCACCTGCCCCCAACCTCAAGACCTGGGAGGCCAGCCTTCCCAGGGTTTATGCTGAAAGGAAAACATCTCATTTTAGGAAATCACATCATAAGTCATCATTCATTAAAGCAGATGATTAATTACAGCACATAGGAATTAATGTACAGACCAAATACCTACCTTAATTTCAGCAACTAGGTCTAAACAAGCCCCTCGCTATGGATAAGCCTCAAATCTCTGCTCTTCAGTTCCACCGTCTATACAATAAACCGAGCTCCCGGCGGCCCATGGCACCAACTTTCTCTCTGGAGAGGCGTCTCTTTGGTGAACGTCTCCAGGGAGAAGCGCGGCTCTTCTTGCTCCAGATGCTGATGATCCGGGGCGCATGGTCGGGTCGAGGTGGCTGCTGTAGCTCCTCTGTGCGCTGCTGCCCCCTCTTCTTGGGTCCCATGGGGGCCAGACCCCCTCAGAGCATGGGAATGCTTGTGAGTTTCGGTCATGCTGCAGCTTTACACCCACACGGGCTGCTGAGAGCTGCTGCCACGCTGCCTCTGTGGCTGGAACCCTGGGGCTGGCTCAGGACTATTTGGAGGAACTATAGTGGATGCCTACAGGTTTATGTCACCTCCGCATCTACCATGAATGGGTTTAGCTTTCTCGTGCCAGAGCCAGGGTTCAGTCACCCTCGCACGTGTGCAGTTTGACACCACATCCAAATGGCTCAAGGTGGCGGCCAGAGGTAAAAACACAGACGTCTCTCTCGCCTCGCACACTGGGCTCCTCGTTTTCCTTAAAATGGGTGATTCAGGCCTTTGCCTGTGAGCTTAAGGTGCCCCCACCCGAGTCCCCCGTCTACGCAGTGGGCTGCCGGGAGCCTGCTTTCTCCCTGCCCGTGCTCTCTGACCCCTGAGTGTGCGGCCTCCAGGTGTGCTGTGTGCCCCCCGTCTGTAAGTACTAAAATCTCAGGCGTTCACATCGCGGTTGTATCACCAAAGCCACGCCCTATCCCTGACCCTGAGGCTGCTTCGAAGGAAGGGACCGTTGTAAGTGGACCTCCCTCCTGTGGGATTTTGTCCAGGCCTCTGCTGGCTGCTGGAGACAGAAGCTGCCCGCTGATTTCATGGCGAAAGTCCAGGAGGCTGATTCAAAACAAGCACCCGGGTTGCTGAAATGGGGCTGGAACCCATCCTGTGACCCAGGGTGGGCGAGGCGAACCCCGTGCCCATTTCTCCCCAGTGGCCCTGCGGGGCCTGTCTTGCATCTCAGGATGGCATCCTTCCTTCCAGCACCTTCCAGCACCTTCCAGCACCTTCCAGCACGGAAACGCAAGCTGCAAACCACAGAGGAGTGTGGGTCAGCTCGCTAGGGCTGCCCCTGGAAGCCCCCAGGTCCCAGGGCCGCCTGCTCTCACTGCCTGTTGGTGGCCCAACCCCACCTCCATCTTTTCAGGGTGCACCAAGGCCAGCCCTTCAGCCTGAAGCCCCAGGTGGGACCACGGCAAGTGGCGTCCAGAGATGACCAGCAGTGCCCTTAGCTTCAGGCTCCGTTGGGGTGCCCATCTAGCCGAGGTGTCCCTCCCTGCATAAGCCAGGCTAAGGCCCCTGCTGGCCTCTGGACTTTCCTTCCTCTGCCCCGGGCTAGAGGCTCACACCTCCTGGACCCTCAGCAACCCATAAGAGGGGCTGGCCCTGCCCTAGATGTCCCCCATAGTGACAGCCTGTTGTGGGCTCTGCTGCAAGCTGGAGTACCCCCTCCGCCAGCTTCTACTGCCCCCTCTCCATACCCCCTCATCCTTTCTCATCACACTCCCTGCTGGTTTCACCCTAAGTAAAGGGTAGAGATGAGGCTTTTTTCTTGCCTTCTGTCAAACCATCACCCGATGTTCCTCCTGCTCTAACGAGCTCATCAAGGTGATTTAGGGAACAAAGTGGGTGGAGAAATTCAGTACTGGAATAGGAGGCGGTGATTCATGGGTTGTGAAGAGTTGGGGGATTGTTCCTGGTGTCCTGGAGTGGAGCTGTTCCTGTGCTCCCCTAACCCTAACCCCTGACCCTTAACCCCAACCCTAACCCCAAACCCCTAACCCTTAACCCCAACCCTACCCCAAACCCCTAACCCTTAACCCCAACCCTAACCCCAAACCCCTAACCCCTAACCCTAACCCAAGCCCTAACCCCAACCCTAACCCCTAACCCCTAACCCTAACCCAAGCCCTAACCCTAACCCGGGACAGATGTGGGCCCACCAGGGAACTGCCAGGGCAAAGGGGAGAGGGGACATGGAGGCCTGCCACAAAGTCCACCCAGCCCGTGTGAGTGAGAGGTTCAACACCCACCTGTCAGCCTTCCTGAATGTCCCAAACTCAAGCAAAAAGACGATGTGGAAACTAGAGTTTTGTTTGGTGCGTTGGTTGTTTTATAGACCAGCCAAGTACAGTAGTGAGGAGAGCGGGGAATAGAACAAGGAGTTGGATCTGTAGCTGACGGATAGCAGCCGGCTGAGAGAACCCATGACCTCCGGACCAGCCCACACCAGGAGTTTTTAATAGTTGCCCAATTCTCAGAGACAGAAAAAAGTTTAGAATATTTTTTCCCCTTTTCCATCCATTCCTATAAAATAACTTCCCTCTTGTTCAAACAACAGGGCAAAGGTGAAGGTGGGCAGCCATCCTGGGTGGAAGAAATCCCTTTCCATTCGATATTTTCCTAACTCCTCTCTTAATCCCGGAAACCATTTCACTCTGGCCAATCTTGAGGATTATGTGTCAAACGTGAACAGTGCCCTGTGGTTAAGACACGATATGAAGTCGTAGCGGGAAATTCCACTCTTATTTTAGGGAGAGCATTTCCCCACGCAGACTAGAGCGACTCTCTGTTTTTATGCATTGGTGAAATTGAACTCTGTTAATGCTGGCTTGGACTGTTTTTAATGCTAGCTTGGACTGTTTTTAATGCTGGCTTGGACTGTTTTTATGACTTTCCTGATGACACCAACAATTAAGGAGCTCCAAGTTGAACAGAGACAGTCCTTGGTCAGAAAGCACAATGTTCCGCCCTCAGAGGACAGTGAAGGGGAGGAAGCGGGGCGTGGAACAGGAAATGCTGACCATGCTCTCTGAAGTCAGAAACATCCTTGATGACTGCCATTTGTCTACCAGGAAGAGAGATGCTATTCCAATCATGCGCGGCCTAAATTGCAGTAAACTGTGACATTTGCACATTTGCAGGGACCACTTTAAAAGTCTTTCCATCCTTACAGATCCATGAAGAACAGCAGGGGCTGCAGCACGGAGGGAAACCAGCAGAGAAACAGAGGGACAGTGGGCTTCCCCTCCCCTGGCAGCCTCCCCGAGGGCCCACAGACAGAGGGGCAGTGGGCCTCCCCGCCCCCAGCAGCCTCCCCGCAGGCCCATCCAGGGCACTGATGTTCCCAGTGCCAAGGCTACTCCCCCATCCACTGCTTAGTTCCAAAAGCCTTTCTTCAGAAGGCCAGGGCTCCGACTTCAACTCTGCTCCCAAGTCAACGCTAAAGCAAGAGAACTGAATCTCAGGCTCGTTTACACTGAATCCACCAAGACCCAATTCACTCACCCCCAGCGCCGACTCACCCTCTGTTTGCAAAGAAGAAACACAAACACAGCCCTCACAAGACAAGTTATCAAAGACAAACAACAAATAAACAATCAAGTCACAGGGTCAGGCTTTTTGCCAATGGTGTTTGAAGAGTAGCAGATTCTGTGTAAGGAAGAGGCCAAGGGCACACAGGAGGTGTCCCCGGAGCTCAGGTTGGGCCCTGGACACTCCTAAGTATTGACAGGGCACTGGGTCAGGGGACCTTGTGACTCCCAAGGTTAAAGGAGCCCGCATTTCCAGGCAGCATTTGAGGAGCAAGGGGAAGCTGCCTGTAACGCCTCAGGAGCGGCAACGCCCTCCCCACCTGCTCCCCGAAGAGAAATCCCCGACACTGGGTTAAAAATGCCAAGGGCCTTACTCCTGGTTCCGCCTTGAGTCCTCCCAGCTCCCTGGCCCCTCCTCACCCACCCACCTGACCAGAGCCTCTTCCACTTCCTGCTTCTGTGCCCTGGATGGCTCTGAAGCCCCAGCTCCATCATCTCCACGACAACTTGGAAAAAATGCTCAATGTTAGCATTTCAAATTTTAACTCTATCCTAAATTTATAAATTTATAGCATACCTTTATAGCATGTCAAATGTAGCATCGATGTATATACACCTAAATGTATATACACTTATAAATATCAAGTTTATTTACGTGTGTTGCTGAAAGGATTGATTAACTGCATTAACTAAAGCAGAGTGATCATAAAATGGAAGAAAAAGCAGCTGTTGCAGAAATAAAGCAGCTAAATAATAAAGAGAAAAGGTAAAAGGGCGAAGTAAATGTAATTGAGCACAAATCTTTTCTGTACTGCTTAGGAATTTATTCATCCACAAGTCACAGGAAACCAATTATTAAGCCACTATTTCTTCAGGTAGCGTGAAGTCCATGGATGGGCACCACACACCAGCTCTCACAAATTTACCATCCACCCTTCTCCTGTGTTGACTTTTATCTTCGTGCTTTTTGTCTCATGCTCACCAGACAGCTGCTGCAGCTCCAGACACCACATCCGTAAGAGGATGGGAGGAGGAAGGGCTTTCCCAGCTCACCCGTTCCCTTCAACTCTCCTTGGGACCCTGCAGCAAACTTGTCTTGGATGTCAGAGTCCAGCTCAAACTGTCCACTGCCTGCTGAGAGGGAGGCTGAGAAGCCTGGGAATGGCCTGGTCCAACCAGGGTACATTGGCTCAGGCTGGGCACAGGCCGCCTTGAGCAAAAACAGGTGTTTGCAAGGCAGAAGGCAGGTAACATCCTAGTGACACCCCTGAGAATTCTAGAAGCCCAGCTAAAAGGAGAAATTCAACTTTGATCAGAAGAAGCAAAATACTAGGAGGCACTTATCACTTAGGTCTCCAGGGAGGAGGCCCTGTGCAGGGTGCAGCTGGACAACACGCTTGCTGGTGGCTTTACTGTGGCAGCAGCGTCTGCAGGAGGGGCCACACTGCAGCACCGTCAGCAGGTGGGCAGGGCTGCTCCACACAGGCCATCCCTCTGTCCTCCTCTGTACCCCCTTCACCCCTGGCCACCATGACCTTCACTCCACCTGGCCCATCCCCCTCCAACTGGGCCCCAGTGGGCACCCTGTCCGCTTTGGGACTGCAGTGTCCTCTGGATTCCAGTTCCCTCCATGGTGTCCCCATGTGCCTGACGCTCCAGGACAGATCCTCTGGAAGCCACAGCCTGGTCCCACGCACGAGGTCCTGCTGGGGAAGGGGAGGCCTCATCTTCCCAGGGTCGGGACCCTCCCTCCTGGAAGCCCCTCAGAGCTGCAAGCAGGAAGACATACGGGCTAGAGGCCAGCAACATGGTAGGCATGCAATACCCCCTGCGGTGCCAGGCCCTGGGGTGGTGGACACCAGGTCAAGGCAGAGCCTACCTTCTTTCCTGCGTTTGCTGCACGCGGCAGACCCTGGGCGTGTAGAAGATGCCGGAGACGTACACAACCAGCAAGCGCGCAGGGGCAGCCTGTGTCTGCAGGTGATACGGAGGTCTGTCGTGGGCTGGATGGTGACCCCAGAAGACATTCCCGCATCCAAACTCCAGGAACGTGTGGGTGTGGCCGTGTTTGCATAAAAGGTCTTTGCAGAATAAGTTACGATTTTGAGATGAGGAGGCCATCCTGGATTATGCGGGCCCTAAATCCAATGACAAGTGTCCTTACAAGAGGCAGAGGAGCAGAGAGAGACAGAGGACAGATGGCCTCGTGAAGACAGAGGGAGAGGCTGGAGCAGTGTGTCCACACCTCAGGGGTGCCTGGAGCCCCAGACGCCAGCACAGGCAGGAAGAAGCCACCCCTAAGACTTGGCAGGGACTGTGGGCCTGCTGCCTTCTGGATTCCAGACTTCCGGTCTCCAGCCCCGGAGGAAAATACGCTTCTGCCACTTTAAGCCTGTTTGTGGTCATTTTTTCTGGCGGCTGCAGAGCACACAGAGGGTACAGAGACAGGGAGCATTCAAAGACAGAGACAGACACTGGGTGGAGGGCAGAACCCAGGTGCAGTGTGGTGCTATGTAAGCCAGGCCGGAAAGACCATGAAGATGGGAGGCCAGCTCCGTCCACAGAGGGGAGGAGCAGCACTCTCTCAGACTGCCTTCTGCAGCAGTGCCACCTCTGGAAGTCCGCACGACCTCTCTGGGCCCCGGTCCCCAACTGTAGAAAGGGACAATGACCATGCTTGCCTCATGGAGACACTGTGAGTGTTAAATAAACTAATAAACATAAAACACTTAGGAGCTTTATGTAACAATACTCTCATGAGTTTTCCCTTAATCTCTCAATATAGCCCAAACCGACCCTTTGGATGGAGGGGACTATGAAGGGGCCTCTTGTGAATGACTGAAATGACGACATCTCACCTGCTCTCCATCCTGTACACGACTTCAACAGAAACCGAGCGGAATCGGCCCCGGCTCTGACCATCTCGATGGGCCTCCTGCAATGGATTCCGGAACCACGCTTACATCCTGGAGCGTTTTTGTAAAGCCTGTATGGTCCTCTGTTCACCCTGAGAGCTCGGGGTGGCAGCCTGCTGTTATTTTTCCAGGGGGAAGCTCCAGGGGAGAGCAGCCCCGTATCTCGTGAGAGGACGCGAGCCCAGGTCTGCAGCCTGCAGAGCTGAATGGAATCTGAAAACAGAAAATCTGACTTGTCAAGGGAAATCGAGCTCCCAAAAACACCGTTTTCCTTCATTTGGCCGGGGGGACAGTCTCCAGGTCCCAGACTTCACGGAGAAGGCCGAGGGAGATGCTCTCTCCCCTCTCCTCCCGGAGTGTTGCCGTGAAGGTGGTGGGGGGCCGCGTGGAGCTCTCCTGCCGTGAAGGTGGTGGGGGGCCGCGTGGAGCTCTCCTGCCGTGAAGGTGGTGGGGGGCCGCGTGGAGCTCTCCTGCCGTGAAGGTGGTGGGGGGCCACGTGGAGTCCACGCTCCGGGAGGTGGGTGCCACCCTCTCGCCCCCGAGGTGTCTGCTGGCCGGTATGTTCACGCTTCCTCCTGGGTGCTGAGAACTGAACTTGGTCTTCAAAGGAAACAAGATGTATCGTGAGTGATAACCATGGACAGGCCTGTTTACAAGAGACGCGCAGCCGCTCCTGGAAGGGGGGCTGTAATTATTTCCCGATGTCTCTCCGTGGCTCCGCAGCCTCATGAGGCCCCAGGAACACAAACGGAGTGCAGGCGAAGTCTAGTTCCAGGGCACAGCGCCAGCGAGCCTCAAACCGCCCCGTAAACAGGTGATTTGTATCCTGTAATTGACAACAAAACACTGGCTTCACAAGTGACTATTAAAATATCCTTATGTAAGGAAAGTGTGAGAAGGTGGTTAATAAAATCAGAACAGAGCAGTGTCGCCTAGTGATGGCAGCCCGGCCTCCTGCGGAAGAGTCACCAGCCCGCGGCTGCCACCAGCTTCCCTCCAAGCTGCGCTCACCGCTCATCCTCATGAAGCTTTCAGGAAATGCCACCATCTCTGTTAGGGTTGAGTTTGTAAATTAAAACCTAAGTCGGTGTCCTCTGCATTTTCTGAGCCTCCCGGTCAACTGGAAACCCAGAGCTGTGGAGTGGGGGCCCGGGAGCCTTCTGTAAATGGCTTCTCCGCAGACATAGGTGGAAAGCCCTGTGATCCTGGCTTTGGCTTTGCCACTTCATGCTTTCCAAAATTCCTTCAGCCCTGACGGTGACTGTGGCTCCTTGTGTGTGTGTGATTTTCCCATGTGCTGGACACTTGCTTGCTTGGATGTGGTTTAATTGTGCTGTAAGCTCCTGTGCAATGTGGTCTTATGTTTCCCTAACTCTTTCCCTGTTCTGTAGAAGAGAGTAATTATGCACACAACTGGCACAGTCAGGTTTGCTGGCATCCTGCTGGTCAAGTGAAGCCTGGTTCTCAGCCCAGGGTCTGAGTCAGGGACCCTGCAAGGCACAGAAACCAAGAGGAGCAAAGAACCCATGGCCTTTAAAGCGATCGTTTCGTGGAGAACAGTGGCTCTGAACCCTCCCTCTCCTTGGTGAGGATCTAAGTTCTCACAGGGCAGAGACATGCAGGGACAGAAGTCAAGCCCATCAACCCCAACTCCAGAGGAACACATTGTGGTCACTGCAAGCATTTCCATTTTTCCATGCCGACGCATTGCAATACTGGTCTGGGGCCCTGGTTCTACACTGTCACCTCTCCCCTCCAGGGGAGGCTGTGCGTCTTGCCGCAGGGCCTGGGAGGCCCTGAGGGAGCCCCTCCCACACCTTTGGCTCTGCACCTCCCTGGCAGTGTGCCAAGGCTTGGGCATGAACTGGCCGGGTTTGCAGATGTCCAGGACACCTAGGAAATATCCTCTGCTGTCTGGAGGTGCTGGCGCCTTTCTGCCATGGGGCTTGCCTGCGAGTCCGCCCCACGGCCCCTTCCTGTGGAGCCCAAACCCTCCCAGCCAGGCCAGGTATGCTGGTCAGCGGAAGTGATGGGCACAGCGGGGGACGTCGCCCTGGGTCCCTGGAGCATTGCAGGCCCCCTGTCCATCAGTGTGCAGAGCTGACACCCCAAGGAGCTGGGCCCACAGCACCCACACAGCTCGCGGTAGCAGAAAGCATGGCCATGTCCAGGCACCACCCATGCTGGGAGGGGACGCTGGGTGTTGGGACAATCCAGCGGGGCTCCTCACCCAGACCCAGGCCCAGGGTCAGGGCCTGGTGGCACAGGAAGGCCTGAAGGCTGAGCTGGACTGAGGCTGAGAAAGAGACGGAGGACCGGAGGTTGCCACCCAGGACACAGTGCCCCAATGGGAGGTCAGAGGGGCTTGCACCCAGCGAGCACCACGCAGGGCCAGGCAGCCCAGGAGACCCAGTGAGGCGTGGAGCAGCACAGGGCTCTACGGGGTTCCCAGGGCTCCCTCAGCGCCAGGGCAGGTCACCTCCTTCATCTGAAGGCCTTCAAAGGGCTGGCTCCTAGGCAGCAGCAAGGGAGGAAGGGCAGGCAGGCGGATCACGGATCTGAGACGTCCTGCGTGATCCTTGCAGCAGGGCAGACTTCCTCAATGGTCACGCCCAGCCTGCCACCTCTTCTGGGCTCCCAGCTGCCCCTCAGGCCTGACCCTGCTCCTCCTTCACCTCCGTGTGGCCACCACCCACCTTGCCATTGTCACATGACCTTGGGGATACTCTTCTCTCCATGAGCCCTTGTATTTTAAGAAGGAACTTGGGATTCTGAAAATATCCCTAGGCCTTAAGAAATAAAGGAACAGGCCGGGCATGGTGTCTCACACCTGCAATCCCAGCACTTCGGGAGGCCAAGGCAGGTGAATCACCTGAGGTCAGGAGTTCGAGACCAGCCTGGCCAACCTGGTGAAACCCTCTCTCTATAAAAAATACAAAAACTTGCCAGGCAAGTGGCAGATGCCTGTAATCCCAGCTACTCAGGAGGCTGAGGCAGGAGAATCATTTGAACCCGGGAGGCAGAAGTTGCAGTGAGCCAAGATCACGCCACTGCACTGCAGCCTAGGTGACAGAGTGAGACTGTCTCAAAAGAAAAAAAAAAGAAATAAAGGAACACCTGCTGCCACCCTTCAGGAACTGCAGATGGGCTGAGCAGGGGGGCAGGAGGGTGGGGCGAGGGGACAACCGCTCCACGATGGATCCTGGGTGTCTGAGCCTGGGCTCCTACAGGGCTGGAGGCTGTGGGATGGGATGAGGACTCCAGGATAGTGTGGATGCCTTGGAGGACTTCCTCTCCCCAAGGAAGTAATGCTACTCCCTGAGGTCACTGCTGGACAGTGGACAGAGCGTGGTCACCTGGGCTGCCTCTGGAGCTGGGGCTGGTAGAACCTCAGCACCACTGGGATGTTCACATCTGCATAGAGACTGCCTTCCGCCGGGCAAAAAAGACGAGAAAGGGGCTTTGGTTTAGGGGCCCCGAGCTGGGCTGCCTCCTTCTTACCAGGGCCTAGGGTCGCTAAGATCACACCCCAGAGTTCAAAGAAGAAAACTGGATTCTTGCCTTCAATGCACTTGCAGCCAACTTGGAAAATTTTATACATTCTTCAACCCCCGTCTTTCTATCAGCTGCTTGTTAAACGTAGCTACACAGCTACGTGGGCTTTCTGTACAGCAGATTATTTAAATCATTTGCTGAAAAGCTGTACTTTATTCACATTTAAATTCAGTTATTTGAAATAAATTTACCTTTAAATCATGTGTACATTACAGATCATAGTAATTATGATTAGGAAATATGTCAGGCACTGACAAATAAATCAACAAGTGATCAAATGATAAGTTGGCCATTGATGTCTGACTCACTTTTTAATCCAGAATTCCATCTGCAATACTCAACGTGTGTTCAAAGGTCCAGGTATCTCTGTACACCACCTCAACTTGCTCAGGCAGAACTACCCCTGTCTCCAAGTCAGAGCACTGAATTCCATATGCCTTTAATTCCATGCCTACCTCATCTGCTTGTTCCAAGGAACAAAGAAGAAAGATGGAGAGATTTCCACACTGCTTAGCATTTAGAACCTGTATAATATATTGTTTTCTTCCTGTTTCTCAGGATCTCTGTAAATGCCTCAAATCACAAGTTACTTCGGTATTGCTTTACCTTACAAGAAAAACAGGCGAGAAGAAAGTAACTGGTAATTATCCGTTTAAGTAATTAAGAAAATTGATTAACAGACAGAAGTATTCTTTCTGAAGGAATTTTAAAAGAGATTTCTACTACCTGCTGCACCATTTATAAAATAGCATAAGGGAATGTCAAGAAAAATTAATGGAGTAATTTCTTAAATCTGATGAGAGAGAGAGGCCTGGAGAGAGAGACGAATTCCCTGGTTCCGACGGTTCCCCTGTCCGGGCGGTCGTCTCCAGGCCGGCAGCATCAGCATCACCTGGGAACCCGCTGGAAATGCAAATCCCTGCCCCTCCAGCCCTGGGGAGTCTGAAACTTGTGGGAGGCCTCCAGCAGATCTCCACGTGCACCAGTTTGAGAACCCCTGCCCTAAATCCTGGCTTGGGGCCATCCCTTGGGGCCACCCCTGCTGCAGCCACCTCCCACTCGCTGCCGGCCGGCTCAGGGCAGTGTGGAGGGAGGATGGCTTTCCCCGGTCCCACCATCGGCGTGGTCGCCAGGGGTGCTGCCCAGGCCAGCGCCGTCCTCACCGTTCCTCCGGGGACTGGCAAGGAGCTGCGAGCCAGGCGGGAGCCCGCGAGGACGGGCAGCTCCCTCGGGACCGGTGGGCTCTGTGTTGCCGTCTCCAAAGCCAGAAGCGGTGAGCACTGAGTGAAATAAAAACAAAGCTGGGAGCTCTTCTCTCCAAGGGTTGGCTCCCCAACACCTGTGCCGCAGGTGCCTGGGGGACGTGTTCCTGTCTGAAATTCAGATTTCTAGCCTGAATTCTAGAGGTCTGATGCGGACTCCCTGCTTTGGTGAGATTCTACAAATGAGCCAGGGACAGGCCACCGATGATGGCATCAGCCACCCTGGGGACAAGAGAAGGCCCGAGAGCAAACAGAGTCCATCCTAAGGCCCTTTTCTTCCAAATTAATGTAGAAATTTAAGCCACTTATAATAATAATAAATTGAGAAAGTAACAAACATTAGCAACATCCTAATTATAAAAATACAAAATCATTAAGAACTGTAAGCAGCATAAAAGTTGCTTTTGAATCTGATGAAATGACTACACAGATTAACATGCAGGGATGCGGTGTGTTTTGGGGGCTGTAAGGGAGGGGCTGTGGGAACCTGAACTGCTCTAAATCACAATCTTTCCATCAGTGCATTCTCAGCACAGAGAAGGATAGCACGGAAATCGACCACAGCACCCCTCACCCTGGGTCCTGCACAGTGGGGCCACATTATCGGTCAGTCTGCAGCCGGGAGGGCAGCTCAGGCCGGACGCAGAGCGCAGCTCTGGGAGCCGGGGGAGCCGCGCAGCACGGAGCGCCAGGTTCTGGGCCATCCGTCGCTCATGGGGTGTCAAAGCTCTTTCCAGATAATTTAAAGTTTTAAGGAAAAGCAAAAAAGGGCATAAAATTTCAGAAAATATATCTGTGGAGATTTATGTGAACTTTGGATGGGGGAGATATTTTTAAACATGGCCCCAAATGCGGAAAATCTCCAAAAATCAATTTGGCAGGTTTGGCTAAAAGTAAAAAGCGAGCACATAAGAAAGCAAATGTATATAAAAAAAAAAAGTCAGTTCACAATTTAAACAAAAATGCTAATAAGCATTAATATTAGAAAAAGTATCCATCCATGCCACACATGATTCCAAAAGCGGGGACTAGATCAGAGTGGGGAAGGGAGCACCCCCTCACCCACCGCAGCACAGAGAATCCAGGTCCTGGGAGGGCCACCAGGAGCAGGGCAGCCTCAGGGCCAGCCTCTCCGACCGTCCAGGCTCTAACTGCAGCCTCGAGCAGGGACCACTCCTTTGAGTCCGCCAAGAACAAGCTCAAAAGCGCAACTCCAGAAATATTCATTTCAGGATGTTCAAAGCAAAAAATCGGAAGCACTAAGTACACCATCCAAGAAAAGAGCCTAAAGAAGAAACAAAACCACACCGTTTGGGGCACTCTGCGCTGTGAAAATGAGGCTCAGGGAAATTAGGGGAGATAAGATCAAGACTTCTCCTAATGGGAAAAGTTTAGAAAGCATTGCAAAAAGTGCTACCTTTTTGTGATCACACATCTGAAAAAAAAATAGAGAACATAAGAGTAAGAACTTATGATGATACCTATAAAGATGCACACTCACAAATTATGTTTTGTATTTTCACCTCTTATCTGATTTCTATTTGACAACATGATGCCATTTTTACAGTTACTATACTTA
This sequence comes from Homo sapiens, assembly GCF_000001405.40. Classification (NCBI taxonomy): domain Eukaryota; kingdom Metazoa; phylum Chordata; class Mammalia; order Primates; family Hominidae; genus Homo; species Homo sapiens. The sequence continues at coordinate 2,174,309 of NC_000005.10, read as the reverse complement.
TACTAAAAAAATTAAAATGATAGTAGAAGAAAATAAACTTCTGAAGGTTCAATTTAACTTCTCTATAGAACAAGGAAACAGCGATTTCACAAAGCTCTGGAAAAACACTCAGTGGCTTGCCTGAAACACAGCCTTCTCCCCCAACCCCAGCAGATGTTCATGGTAGAAACAGCACGGAACTTCGTAACCCTGCCCCATCTACCATCCAAAGGTGCTCTATGGATAAAAAGAGATTTTTTTAGAAACACCTTGACATATGGAAAAGTTAATGTGGATATTCAAAAATAAAGTGTTATTATGACTCCACATCTCATAAAATTCACAGGAATGAGTGCCAAGACAGGATTTATTTTTAAGGATTTTGTTCATCCTTATCACCTGGATTCTTGAAGTCTATGGCAGTGACTCTCAAAGACCCTTGCAGGGTCTTGGTGATCCTACATGGTTTTTAAACAAGCCTCTTTGGAGAAGAGGCTGGCCCTTGTGTCTGTAGGAGCCCTGGGCCCCAGCAGGCCATCTAAATCTTCCTCATGTCAGGACATCGGCTGGCTATAAATAACCTAGACTTCCATGTCTGTGCGGCTCGGTAATTTCTCTTCCTTTCCCCCTAGGGCTGAATACTCCTTCTACAAATAGTAGCAGAGAGCCCTGTGAAGCCCCTTTAAAAGCGTCCACAGGCTGCCAAGACTTCACAACCACAGATAAGATGAATAATTTCAGGCACAGTCCTGCTCTGCCATGGCCCCCGATTCGTCAACTCCAGGGCTCCAGAGAAACCCCAGCACAATTGCCAACAGGCTTCACTGAAATGAAAACATCATTTCTCCTTCCGTCCATCTCAGGGAAGCCTGGAACTGCCTCTGATAATTAATCCACTGAGGGAAATCAATACTACAACTGGTTGAAGACGAAACAACCCGTAGCAAAATAAACTTGCCAATGATGCTTCAGCAGTTTCTGCAAGCACACACTGTCGGCTGCAGATGTGGAATCTAAATAAATGTTGCTTTCTCTCCAAAGATAATCCCACCCAGAAAGTCAATTACCCTGAACCATTTTATGTTCTAGGCCGCTTGTGTTATAAATACAGCCTTTGTTCTCCCAATGTGGGCTAGTTGGCTTCCTTTTCCCATTAGAATAGCAAATGAGGCTATAATTTGATAGGTGGAAATAGACACAGAGTTTCAGGTGTGAATGATTGATGAACAATGAAGAAAACACAGATTCATCCCATGCGCCCTTTGTAAATACAGGGTGAGTTTTTGGGATTTGTGTTTGTTTGTCGTTGGCTTAGGTTTTTGATTTTTGCTTTTTTAATTTAATTTTTCATTAGAAAGGCAGGTTGAGCCAGCAGCACAAACTGAATCATAGTTTAGCCCATGGCTCAAGGTAGAGTGTAGTGGCTTCACCAAGTACAGAAACGACTGAGGGCCAGGCCATTTGTTCACAAGAAGCAATGGTACATCCAGTGTTTGATGGGCCACGGTTCATGCAGAAATGAAATTTGAATAAGTAAATCCACCATGGCAGAGTATTAGGTTTCCATGAGAAAAGTGTCACAGCAAAGGTCCTGCCCGGCCGCCTCTGGGTCACCTGTTGGCTGACACACCTGAGGCTGGCTGGGCTGCACAACCTGCCCAGGCAGATGGAAAGGGGAGAGGCGACACCTGTGCTGGGCAGGCACCCCTGTGCTGGGCGGGCACCCCTGTGTTTGGCACTTTCATGTGTTCTCTTTACCAATTCTTACAGTAACTCCTGCAGCAGACCTGCAGTAGTTCAGGGATGGAGTCAGACCACCCAGCTCTGAATCCTGGCTTTGCCTCTTGAGAGCTGGGCAACTCTGGGCAAGTTGTGTGCCCTCTCTGTGCTTCATTTTCCTCTTCTATGAGAATAGTGCCTCTCTCATGCGGTTGCCATGAGGATTCATAGTGTTACGTGCAATAGGGCTTAGAACAGTATTGGGGTGTTCCTGGAGCTCGAAAAGTGTTGTTTTTTGTTTGTTTGTTGTTTTTTGTTTGTTTGGTTTCTTTGTTGTTGTTGTTGTTTTGAGACAGAGTCTCAGTTGCTCAGGCTGGAGTGCAGTGGTGCAATCACAACTCACCGCAGTCTCAACCACCGGGGCTCAAGTGATCCTCCTGCCTCAGCCTCCTCAGTAGCTGGGACTACTGACACCACAGTCAGCTATTTTTTTTTTTTTTAATTTTTGTAGAAACAGGATCTCTCTCTGTTACCCAGGCTGGTCTCAAGCTCCTGGGCTCAGGCAATCCTCCTGCCTCGGCCTCCCAAAGTGCTGGGATTGCAAGCGTGAGCCACCACGTGCAGCCTGTTATTCCTGTTGGTATCCCAGAAAGACTTGCTCGAATTTACACAGGAAGGGTGAGGCAAAGAAGAACCTGACCATGTCATTTAGGCTCCAAATTTCATCCTGTTCCCATTGTTTCCAGAAGCAGAGAGAAGGCAAATGAAGACTTTGGCATGAGCTTGCTTTAGGAGCAGCTGGGTAGGTAGGTAGGTGAGGCCTCGAGTTCTTTTGAAAACTGAAGCTACTTTGGAAGCAGCCACATATTGTTCTTGCCTTCTAATCCCTCTCCTTCCATCTAAAGGAACAATATATAATTCCCTGTTTAAACTAAGTTCTCCTTTATACAATGAATACAATCATTGAATGAAAAATTGGAAGAAGACAAAGAAAATATAGAGAAAAGGTGTTTCATGTTGTCATTGAAGAGAAAGAAGAAATACCCCCATTATCAGAGACGGCCACTGCTGTGGAAAGTCTCCACTCGCCCTGCGTGAACCTGGGTGGCTGCTGTGACATCCTTTGTAACTGAAGTAAAGTAAGATAATCACAGGCCTTTTGAGCCACAAATTGAGCCCAATTCTGAAGCCATAGTCTGTTCTGTTGGTTTTTAAAACCAGCAACAAAAAACAAAAATGCATCTCTGCTGGGGAGAAGGAGCATCATCCCACGTAGGGACAGACACTCCAACCATGGCGCTCCATCTTCATCCTCAGTTCCCAAATATATTCACATGTGTAACGTCTTCCCTGAGCTCTCCGCCAGTATGTCTCCCTAGCGTAGAATTCTGTGATGAAGTTTTAACCCACCTCCAAACCTCTTCCTTCATAAACTTTCACGTTTGCATTTTGCAAAAGGCACCAGCCGCAGTCATGCTTAAAAAGAGGTGATGCTAATTATGCACACATACCCCGAGCTGCAGGATAATCCATTAGCCACACCTCCCTTCCTTGCAAACAACGTTTGAGGAAGATGCTCCCTATCTCAGAGCCAAGGGCTCAGTTCATTAGAGCTGAGCTCAGAAAGCCTGTCTGGGATTCCTCTCCCTCTTCTCCCTCCTTTCAACACACTGAAGCTTTCCCTGGAGTTCAGAACAGATTGAAATGATTTTGGAGTCTCCCTCTGGGGAGACGTGAAAGCTCTTTTCGTAGCAGAGGTTGGTTTTCTGCTATTGATCTGTTCCCTGCTCACCTGCAGCCACAGTGCCCTTCGTTTATTTATGAGTCACAGCAACGCCAGATCCAATTATAATCATTACCTTGACGAATGCTGTAACCCGCGGGTAGAGCATCTCCAGGCATGGCTGCCCCTGGGTTCCCACTCACCGAGGGAGCTCAGCCTGTCTCTCTCTGGTCTCCTCAGGGTGTCCCAGGGAGGAGAGAACCCTGGGAGGAAGGCCTGGAGGGGATGGGCCTGGGCCCAGAGGGTGTGTCCAGTTCCTGCTGTGGCTTTCAGCGCCCCAGGTTTGCATCTTCATTTCCAGTGCAGGAGAAAGAAGCTGAGGCCCTCCAGCACCGTGGCCAGGGGACGCTGTGCAGGGAACTCAGCGAGACGCTCCTTAGACACAGACGAGGGTCCTCCGGGCAGCCAAGGCGGCTGCAGACAGCAAAGTCTGGCACGCTGCCCAGCCTGGCGTGACCATGGAGAGCCTGCAGGGAGGCAGGAGGAGCCCTGAGGAGGAGCGGGCGATGCCCTCCGCCCTGTCCTTAGCTCCAACCGCATTCCCCAAGCCGCCCTGGCTTGGGAAGGGAGGAGTCGCCTCCCCGCACACGCCCCTGCTCTATGGCCATGCAGATGTCCACCAGGAGCCTTTGTGGGACCCTCGTGGAAAATGGGTGGGCACCGGGGCTGCTGCGAGGCGGCCTGGATACCTCCCTGCAAGGCTGTTATTCCCCGGCTACAAGTGGTCGTCATTTCTGAGTGGCCCGAGTGGCGAGGCTTTGGCCCGCCTTGTCCACCTAAAAGATCATTAATCACCACCCCAGTTTATAAATCAAGGAGGCCGACTCGCCGCGCCACGATGGGGTCAGGCGCCCGGGAGTACTTAGCCAATTCCCAGCCCGGCCGCGCCCTCCTCTCCTCCGCAGCGGCCCATCCATCATCCCGCACCCACCGAGGCAGCGCTGCTGACAAGAGTGCCCGCCAGCCAGACAATGTGGTCCCCCAAGACTTGGGGGCCGGAGCTCTTTAAAATTTCCAACCAGTTCCTTAGCCTTTTGTGTTAACAAAACCTATTCATTTCAGGATTTGGCAGTTCAAATTATTTCAGACAAGACCCCAAGACAAATCGTTATATGATAGAGTCACACGGCGCGAGTGGCTGCGACAGAGGGATGGATGCTGTTCACTGAGGGCGGGGAGAAAAGGAGCAAGGGAGGCCCTCGACTGGGCTGGCGTCCTGGCCAGGGTCCTCGGCTTCCCCAGGCGGCACTGGCCCACCAAAGGCTGCCTGTGCTCAAACTGTGCACATTTTAGAGTTTGTTTTCTGTGATGGGTAAACATGAAGAACTCAGCAAGGAGCTATTTTTCCTCCTATATTGCATTACCTGCTAAGTTGCTTTTACATATTTCAAACAGAGTTGTTGGGGTCTTTTTATTATTATTATTATTCCCTGCAAAGAGAAAACATAAATTGTCTACTGTCCAGGAGAAAGTGTGGGAGGTAAGGGTAAGTGGAGCCGACAGCTCCCATTTCCCTTGCTCCCGCGGGAGAGTGATGGGCGGGGCTGGAAAACTGTGTTTGAAGCAACGTCGTGACGTGCGATGACCTCCCGTTCACATGACGATGAGCAGAACAGCCAGTGGGACCTTTCTCCTCAGTCTCTTCGGGAGAAACAGGATGGGTATGCGGGAGGACAGGGAGAAGGGGCGGAAGGCCTTTTGCAGGACCTTTGGACTCAGAAGCTAATGAAAGCATAATTGCAAGGAGTAGGTGGAGGGCCTGATAAAAGCCGGCCCTGGGTGTGGCCCACCCCGATCCTAATTCCAATTTGTGACCCTCATCTGTTTTGCATGAACAGCCCAAGCCACAGGCCCATGCGGGAATACCCGGCCCCCTGCCAGGGTGGCAGCAGATCCTGCCAGGGATGTCCCTTCATCAGGGAAGCCATCCAGAGTGTGACACAAACATTCTTTCAATCTCTCATTGCTTTGAATGAAGGGAAAGAGCCAGGGCACATCCATAAAGAACAGATGGAGTGTGGACGTGCTTGGCCACCCTCATATCTCCGAGAATGCTCTGCGTCCAGGGAGGCGCAGTGCCAGGGTTTGGGGATCCACTGGAGACGACCAAAGCGCTGTCCTCACACATTGTACCTCCTTCCCTCTCTCCTCTTCAGCTAAAAGGAAATATAGTTCAGGTTTATTACTTATTAATTTTGTTGCTTCATCTTCCTGGAAAAACCGTCACTGTCCCTGCCCAAGAATATTCACAAGCTTGTCACCCCTGACAGGCTCCAATGTGACTGACTCATTTGCCCTAAGATGCATGGAGTCCTGGGGCTGCTCCTGCCTGCTCCTTGTCCACCACACTGTCCCATCAAGGGAGGCTTCAGAGGGACAGGGAACAGGACTTCTGTCTTTGAACATGATCTTTTTTTTTTTTTGAGATGGAGTCTCGCTCTGTTGCCCAGGCTGGAGTGCAGTGGGGTGATCTCGGCTCACTGCAAGCTCCGCTTCCCAGGTTCACGCCATTCTCCTGCCTCAGCATCCCAAGTAGCTGGGACTACAGGCACCCGCCACCAAGCCCGGCTAATTTTTTTTGTATTTTTAGTAGAGATGGGGTTTCACTATGTTAGCCAGGATGGTCTCGATCTCCTGACCTTGGGATCCACCTGCCTCGGCCTCCCAAAGTGCTAGGATTACAGGCCTCAGCTACCGCGCCTGGCCAAACATAATCTTTACAAAGTAAATCAACGGCTTCTCTGAATCTCTCAGGCAGGACTTGGTTTTCTGTCCCCACGCACCTGGGCACCTCCCTTCCCAGGGCAGCGCTGTCTGTGAAGCCTCTTCCTTTTGTGCGCAGATTTAAAAATAGCACCATTTCCCTGCGCAAATCTGGCATGGAGCAGTTTTCACGGTCATTTCTCTGAGGGAGACATCAATGTTGCCCAGCTCCTCCCGGCATAGAGCCCAGAAGCAGCCATCATGCTCACACCCGCTCCTTCGGCCAACAAGGACATGCTCTGAACGTCCTAGTTTTAAAGTTCGCCTGGCAGCCTTTTAATGAACACAGTGTCATTAAATAATTAAATTAATCATCCTCCTTTTCTCCTGGAAGGAGGGGTAGACTGTGTGTGCCGGGATCACATGGGCCAGTCCCTTCCAATGTCTGCCTGGCTCCAGTGGAGGCAGCACACACGGCCCCTGGGGTTCTTCACCTTCCCGCACCCTCTGCATCAGCAGGAATCCCCTCTCCACTGCAAGCGGCTTTCAGGATAGCGTTGGATAAAGTTCATTCACTTGAGACTCTAAATGATTCGAAAACATGAAAACATGAAATGCTGACTATGTCGCTGTCATTTATCCTTAGCAAATAATAAGAGTTCCCTTTTTGCTCATTAAAGAAATATCTAATTGTGAATGCAAGGCATCCGTGAATGCATTCATTTTTATTTTTATTATTTGGCTACATAACAAATTATCACAACCTGGCAACTTAAAACAACCTGCGTCTATTCTTCTGTGGTCTTGTGGGTCCTTTGCCTTGTGGGCCCTCCGCCTTGGGTCACACCAGGCTGCAGGCAAAGCATCAGCCGGGCTGAGTCCCCATCTGGAGTGGGGCAGAACCAGCTGGGGCTCTCCTTGGGCCCCATAGCCACCTGCAGTTCCTTGTCATGCAAGGTCACCTGACACAGCCGCCCACTTTGAGGGGCCCATGGGAGTCTCCAGGCTGCTGAGACTGAGTCTTTGGAACAAAACACAATCACAAGACAGACATCCTATCCCTGGGGCTGCCTCTTCTGGCTGGAGGCAAGTGGCTCATGCTCAAGGAGGAGACGGATCCTGGAGGCCCGGCCATAGGGCCACCTGAGGGTCCGTGTGCTGTGGGAGTGAGCTCTTTCCACACACGCACTCCCACATAGATTGCAGACAGCCCTTCTCCACAGACGGCGTTTCTAGAGCCTGCTTTGTCTTCATATCAACAGAGGGAGCTCCTGCCTCCCCCAGGTCCACAGACTGGACAGTCTGGTCAACCTCGTGCAGGATGACTGTGGCCGTCCCCATGTCTGATGCGGCCCAGGAAAGATGCTTGCTGAGTCACTTTTACTCTGTCTCCATCCAGGGCTGTCAGGGTCCGGAGGCACCTCCAAAGTGGATGTGTGTGATGTTTACTGAGCAGCTGCTGTGTGGAAAGGGGCCCCTGGGAGCTGGGGCAGTGGTGGAGAGCTGAAGACAAGCCTGTCCTCAGGGGCTGCTTGCTGGGGTCTCCTCTCCACTGGCCCCCCACACTCCCACCACAGTCAGCAGCTCCCAGCGTGTGTGAGCAGAATCAGTGTTCTCAGGCAAGTCACTCAGTGTCTGGAACCTCACCTTTCTCCCTCGACGGGGCGGGTTAACCATCTCCAAGGAGTCCTCCTGGAGGAGCATGAGCTGGATGCAGGTGGAGTGCTGGGCGCCGCAGCAGGCGCCCATGTCATGAGATTTCCGTGTCTGACATCCAGTGATGCCCAGCGGCTGCCCACAGTTGTCAGGGGCTGTGTTCCTCCTTCCCTGTGGTCCAGCCTCGGTAGTATCTTACCAGGGCAAATCCAGCCCATCAGATGAGGAGCCAGGCTTGGCCTCCATGCTGGCACCCCTCAGGCCCACAGCTCCCTGCAAAAGGCGGCTTCTCCCAGGCACCTGGGGAACTTGAGGCGGCTGCTGTGTTCCAACCTGGCAGATTCATGCTCTGGGCAAGTCCCCTCTGCCTGACCCCACATAGCCCAGAGCCCCTCAGCTGGCTACATAGACAACAGTCTCAATGTGGGTCATGTGAGGTTATTTAGAGCACCGTGGCCCTGTTGGCCCATGTTCTAAATCACGTCCTCTTTGGCAGCTTGGTTTCTCTCCTCATGCCCCAAGTCCAAGTGGCCTTTGTGTCCTTCCGGCTTCTGCCAGAGATCTGTGTGTGTGCACACATGTGTGAGTGTGAGTGTGCCTATCATATACACTGAGAAGGTGTGAGTGAGCGGGTGTGTGAGCAGGTGTGTGAGCAAGTGTGTACCAGTGTTTGCATATGTGTGCAGAGCGAGGAGAAGGTACTTCTCCTCATGTGACTCCCCGCCTTGGTCCATGTCCTCACAGGCTCACAGTGTTCCTGGATCCAACAAGAACAGGTGAGGGGGCTGGGCACATCGTGTTCAAAGTAGGGAGTGGGTATCTCCAATTTTACGATGAGAAATCCACACTAAACTTGGAGCCGTGGTCTGTTAAGTGGGGCCCCAGCCAGAAGCTTCAGTCTCTTGGAAACTTGTTGAAATGCACTTTCCAGGGCCGGACTCAGTCCCTTCTGACTCGGAGGCCCGGGGGTGGGGTCCACGACCCCGGCTCAGCTTCTAGGGGCTTCCAGTGCACTCTCAGCTCTGAGCCCAGTGGCTCCGCCCTCAGACCAGGCTCCTCCAGCTCCAGATCTCAGCTGGTGTCGCACACGTGGGCACATGCACACTCACACACGTGCATACACACGTGGGCACATGCACACTCACACACGTGCATACACACGTGGGCACACGTTCAGAAGAAACAAGCCCCTCACAGGAGCTGTCACCATTCACATCAACCACCCTCGGAGTGCGTGTCCAAAATGTATTTTTCTATGCCATCTTTACTGGCATTTATTTTTTTATGGTATTATAATACTATTTAGCACACTTTCATGAAAAAACTATAGACCAAGGAGAAGCCATAATACACAGAGTATGAATTATGAAATTATAAAATAAGTTTTCTAGGCACATTTAATTAGGGGCAGAACGGGAGTAGCAGTATCTCTATTTGTAAGTTGGAAAAAGAAAACAGAAAGACGTGCTTATGCTCCTTTACATCTTCACAAAAATAGTGGGCACTTAAGCCCGTTCAATTGTTAATTCATCAGGAAAAATAGTCTTGTGGTGATTCAGGAAAACAAAGTGGCGAGGCAGTGGCCTCCCCCGCAGGCCTGGGACAGCAGGAAGCGCCCCACCAGCTCACTCCTTCCCAGCTCCAGGGGCTTCTGCCTCTATCCTGGGCTCAAGCGTAGACGCCTTGCCTCCAGGCTGGCTCTTGATCTCTAATCCGAATGGGATCCTCAGGCCAGGGTGGATGTCTCCTCATGATGTTGTGTGCTGTACAAATGACCAAGAGTTTAAACTCGGGTCTCGCCATCTGTGGGTTTCACGCTGAAAGCAGGAGCATGAAAAGCAGACGAGAACTCAGCCCAGCAGAAACGTGTGTGGACCGGGATTGAGGCCACTTGTAAAGAAGTGTCTAGAACTTCTGTGAAAGCAGTAATTAGAGATAATACTAAAATACAAACCAGGGAACCAGAGAGCAGGCAGGAAGGACAGCTGTGGGATCTCCAGGCTACGCTGTCAGTGCCAGATGCTGAGTGCTGCTCTCGGGATTCCTGGACCTGGGTGCAGAGCAGAGGTGCCCTGGTGGGGCTCAGGGCCCCAAACAGCAGCAGGCAGACGAAGAAGACATGACCAGTGGGAGAGGAGGCCAGTGAGAGACAAGGAAGACCCCTCTGATGATGTGTCGGGGGCGGAGTCTGGGGCAGGCGTGGGTGACGGGAGAGTGGGCAGGGAAGTGCCAGGTGCTTGACCAGGCCCAGAGGTGCGCAGGGCAGGCGGGAGGGCTGGCAGGTGGAAGGAGTGTGTGGGCTCTTCCTAATTGTAAGGGTAATCTGCCTGAGGGTTTGCAAGGTGCATGGCAGGGGGTCCACGCTCTGAGTAAACAGTCGCCTGGCCGCTGGGCAGGAAGCAGAGGGCCAGAGGCTGCCACAGAGGTCCTGCAGGTGTTAAGGTCCCTGGACCCCGGGGGGGAGCACAGAGAGGGGAGAGAAACGGTGCCCAATGTCCCGTGCAGGTGGCGCCAGTGAATGGGATGGGGGATGAGGAGCAAGAGGAGTTCTGCAGAGCAGGTGCTCCTTAAACTGAGTATCCTCCCTGGGTGAAGAGCTGTCCTGCGAGGCAGAGCCCAGAAAGCAGGAGAGCAAGCTTGGCAGAGCCATCGCTATCCCAGCATCAGGGGAAAGATGGAAGTCCAGCTCTAATGTCACCCTATGTCTTAAAGATAAAATTGTTAAATTACTCAGGGCTCATCTAAAATGCCTGGTCATGTGACCCAGCTCTGGGGGATGTTTTGGGGATCAACATCAGGCCTGGGTTCCCCGTCAGTGAATTGACAGCCACAGAGGCGAGGCCTCGGATGCAACCCTGCAGTCGGGACGGAAAGGCGCCCAGGAGGGTGCCCAGAGCCGACAGATTCCGCCTTCACTGCTTCTCAGTGCTCCTGCCCTTCCTAAGCTGCTGGGAGCATGGCCAGCAGCTTTCCCAGAAAGCAGCAAACACTAGATGGAGAAGATGCAGTGGTCCAGCCAGGTGGACACCCAGCTCCCAGGCAAGGCCCCGCACTTCTGAGCACCATCTCACCACTGCACTCAGCCTTTGTCCCCTTGGAACCCCTCACACGCGGACACCCCAGCTCTCCTCGGAATCCCTCCCACGTGGACACCCCGCACCCAGGCAAGACCTCACCCTTCCCGAGCACCATCTCACCACTGCACTCAGCCTTTGTCCCCTCAAACCCCTCAAGTCATCCTTTAAGTGGAGGCCATCCCCATGTTAGAGATGAGAACACAGTCTGAGAACGGCCAAGCGCCTGGCCTGGATACAGAGCAAGAACCCGCAAGTCCAGAGGGACAAGTGAATCACCGCTCCTGTGGGTTGTAGAGTCCTAGACCAAGAAAACATCTTGTACCAAAAATGCAAAAGCAAACTAAGTTCATTGAATGACTGATGTCATTTAAAATACAAAATCAATAATTGTCCTATGTCAAAAGAGTAAGCATTTGGAAATACAAAGGAGGAAGCAATTCAGTTCACAAAAAATAGATAAAATATCTCTAAAAAAGCATAAGGAAATACAGGACAATATGCTTTTCAAATTAAAGAATTATGTGAAGATACAAGAGAATATTTGAATAAATGACAACAACTCTTGTTCTTAGCTAAAAAGACTCAGCTTAAAAAGATATGATCTATATTTGTTATACATTCCCAATTAAAATAACAATTAGAATCTTTGACCTTTGCTGGTAGGAAAACAGCTTGAATAACATGACATAGGACACAGGACTCTAAAGATCTTCCAGAAACATAAACATTTTTAAATAGTCAGAAAAGTTTTAAATGAAAAGTAATTCAGAGGAGCTGCCTTATCGAACACTGAAATATGTTATAAAGCACAATCAATAAAACTATGCAAAACAGGAGAGAAATCATCACATAGAACAACATAATGAAACAATTCAGAATGATTCATCTAATAAAAGTAATATTTCAGATCACCAAGTAAAAGATTAATAGCTTCTAAAGGATATTGAGACAGTCTACTAGTTAATTAGATAAAGCAGGATGCCTATCTCATGCCTTACAACAAAAGAAATTCCTGCTGGAGCATCAATTTAAGTATAAGAATTTAAAACTCCAAAGACAAAATCATAGATGATAAAGAAACAACTAATCTTTTCTTTGAGATACACTTTCTGAATATAACAAAACAAGCAGCCAGAAAACATGAAACTCTTTATTTTGAATTCATAATAATGAAAAAAAAAATGTTCAGAGAAAAACATTTTACAAAGTCAAATGACTAACTGAAAAATATATTAGCAACCTACCTTATTAAAGGATCTCTTACAGATTACTAAGAAAAGCAGAACTTACTTGAGAAAAACTGAAAACTCAGAGTAGTGAGAAGTAAAAATGTCTAATAAATATTTGAAATGACGTAAACTAATGCTACCAGGGTTTCTTATATCTCAAATTGGCAGGTTGTTTTGTTGTGCTCCTCCCCCACCCCAATTGACTCAGGTAATGGAACACAGACTCTGCTCACCTGTTGCCTAAGAAGTATTCTAGAGCAAAGTTTTGGAAGTCCACTTGACAATGTCTTTCAAAGATTACAAGGGGCATAGCCTGTGTCTTGACAATCACATTTTCAAGACTGTGTCCCATCAGCATACCTGCCTGGGTACAGGAATATAGGGATGATTTGTGATGGGAGAAAATGGAATCAGCCCTAATGGCCATCATTAGTGGTCCACGGAGTACCATGCAGCCATGAGAAATAGGTGAAGCTGTAGACAAATGTCACTCCAAGATTCATTAAGTGAAAAAACAAATTCAAAACAATATGTGTAATGTGGGGCCATTTCTACATTAAAAGGATAGATAAATGAATGGATGGATGGATGAATAGATGGATGGATGGACAGATGGGTGGATCAGTGGATGAATCAGAGGGTGGATGGGTGGGTGGGTGGGTGGGTGCATGGATGGATGAGTGGGTGGATGGACAGGTGAATGGACAGGTGGTTGGACAGGTGGATAGATGGATTGGATGGTGGATAGATACATGGATGGGCAGGTATATGATGGATTGGAGGGTGGATGGCTGAATGGATGGACAGGCGGGTGGGTGGGTGGGTGGAAAAATAGGTGGATGGATGGGTGGATGAGTGGATGGGTGGATGAGTGGATGGGTGGGTGGGTGGATGGATGGGTGGGTGGATGGATGAATGGATAGATGGATTGGAGGGTGGATGGGTGGGTGGGTGGATGAGTGGATGTGTGGGTAGATGGATGAATGAGTGGGTGGGTGGATGGATGAATGGGTGGGTGGATGGATGGGTGAGGGGTGGGTGGACTGCCAAATAGACAGATGAATGGATAAGTGAGTGGGTGAATGGGTGGATGGGTGAATGGATGGATAGGTGGGTGGGTAAATGGATAAATGAGTGGGTAAGTGGATGGATGAATGGGTGGGTGGATGGATGGGTGAGTGTGTGGGTGGACTGCCAAATGGACAGATGAATGGATAAGTGAGTGGGTGAATGGGTGGATGGGTGAATGGATGGATAGGTGGATGGATGAATGGGTCGGTGGGTGGGTGAATGGATGGACGGGTGGATGGGTGGGTAGGTGAAAGGATGAATAGGTGGGTGAGTTGGTGGGCAGGTGGATGGGTAGGTAAGTGGATGGATGAATGGGTGGGTGAGTGGATGGATGAATGGGTGGGTGAGTGGATGGATGAATAGGTGGGTGAGTGGATGGATGAATGGGTGGATGAGTGGGTGGGCAGATGGATGAATGGGTAGGTAGGTGGATGGATGAATGGTTGGGTGAGTGGATGGATGAATGGTTGGGTGAGTGGATGGATGAATGGGTGGGTTAGTGGATGAATGAATGGGTGGGTGAGTGGATGGATGAATGGTTGGGTGAGTGGATGGATGAATGGGTGGGTTAGTGGATGGATGAATGGGTGGGTTAGTGGATGGATGAATGGGTGGGTGAGTGGATGGATGAATGGGTAGGTGAGTGGATGGATGAATGGGTGGGTGGGTGGATGATGGATGAATGGTTGGGTGGGTGGGCTGACAGATGGACAGAAAAATGGATAGGTGGATGGATAAACAGACATACACATTGCATGCAAGTATACTTTTACATATACACAGTAAATATCTACACTCAGGAAACAACAAAGGTCCCTCTGGAGTGAGAGAACTAAAGAGATACGGTCAAGCCTGACTCCCAGTTTTGCTGTTTGCTGACAGCATTTAGGCCTCACCCCTCTTCTTGTTCTACCCCATATCTGTCAGGCTGATAAGAAAGCCAGGCTGCTCCTTTCTTGAGCACCATTGGGAGATGCAAACCAAGCAAGACCGTGCCCATATGTGTGAACCTTCACCCGAGTCCCTCAACCACGAGGAAAACCTCACACCACTCAGCTTTCATGGCCCTCTCGAGTAGTTTCTGGAACAGGTTGGGGTTCGCTCTGCTTTCCCCTCAAAGGCTCTTCATGTGGGTCATAAACCCCCCCATGCCCTCCTAGCTGTGTGGCGTGATCCGTCCAACCTCCAAGCGGGGTTCTGGGTATGTTCCATTCTGTTTCTGTAGGCAGCCACAACAGGACAGAAGGGAGTCGTTACTCTTCTTAGGACATCTTTTTGTACTGTTTCAATTTGTTTACAATAAATAGTCTTTATAGTCAAAATAAATAATAAAAAAGTCATTCAAAAAGAAGCAGTTCTGTCTCCAGCTTGCTCTCCGTGTTAACGTCAGAAGAGTTTCTTCACTGTAGGTGCCCTGCATCCGACAATACCATGGCAGGATGGGGTCCCCAGACACTTCTCACCATGAGCTTCCTTCCAGAAAATCTGCACCTTGAGTTCATTCAGGCTTTAGAGTTTCACCAAGCACGAGATGAATCTGATCAACTTTTCAGCTCCAGGCACTTGGTCATGTAACAAGTGTGGGAAATGATTTCTAAATGCAGCAAAAATTATTAAAGCTCAATTATTCATGGTGGCACTGATTATTTCTTCCATGCTCCCTCCTATCTGTCAAGCCTGGGTTCCACTTTCAGATGAAATACAACGCTCGGTCCTCAGACAGCCCCAGAGGTGACAATTAATAATTAAAGACCAGTTGATGATAATTACATGATAACTTTATTGACCAAGCTCAAACGGACGGAGTGATGGACTCAGAGCCTGTGGAGGAGAGGAAGCCCCCTACCCAGCACCAACCAGGGCTTCCAGAGGGAAGTTGCATTCCCAGCAGCACACGCCTGTCATGTGCAATCCCATTGAGGATTGATTGGGGTTTTATTCATCGAAAAGCTCACTTTAAGATCTGAGAGTCACCTTTCAAGGTTCTCGTGGAGTTCAGGGGTCGCCCACGCCCACTGCTCCAAGCTACAGCACCCTTGGAATAATTAGAAGGATGGCAACGTCAGCTGTCTAAGCCCTGCTGCTCACAGCCAAGAAAAACAAGGGCTGTGTACTAGAAAAGTTCACACAGAACCGGGTGGAGAGTAATCAGATAGACTCCCTCGGTGAAACACTCTGCGGGGGAGTAGTTTTTATCTGGAAAGTACCCTTCACGTTACCTTCACCATTTATTGCAAGAGTCATGGGATTCCTTTCTGGAGAAAGGCAGGATATTTGCAAGCATTTTGTTAATGTCAGAACCTTTGTGGGGCTGAGTTGCCATGAGATGCTGGAAGTAAAATGGAGGAAAACACAAAAGAAAAAGGTAAATTTGGGAGTGAGCTAGTTTTCAAGAACCTGATAGCAAACTCTTCCTATGGTCATTTTTTAAATTGGTTGTCACAGACTTATCAAGAAAAACGTCTTGCCACTCAGCAGCAATACTTAGGGAGCTGATTTTTTTAAAAAATCACAATTCAGATGATGCTGCTCCCCGTTGTTCTCCAGGTGCATCCAGATTGTGTTCCTGGTAGCTGCCCTGACCCACAGTGCCCAGGGCCACCTCTGTACTCTGCTGTGTGTCCACCATGCTCTGTCGAAGAGCATTTTGATGGCATGGAATATAAGAACTGTGGGGAGGCCTGGATGCTTCCACATGAGCTAGAGAACCTGGAGGAACAAAATGAGACCATGGCTTTACACATCCCGTTCCAGCTCCAGGTATGAAACTGAAATAAATGTCTGACTCATAACTCAAGAATCCAAACCCGAAGACTTGGCATGGGAACGTGTAGGCAGGATCCAATGGGGCTGTGATTCTCAGTCCCTCAAACTCTGCCCAAACCCCTCTGACAGTAGCTGGATCCCTTCTTCCCATCTGCAGGGTTCATCTCCCCTTGCTGCAATAACCCGGCATTAGAGCTCTCAAGAGAAACAGAACCAACAGAGAATGCATAGCTATATATAAGATGATCTCTTATGGAAATGTTATGGAGGCCGCGAAGCTCCCTGATATGCTGTCCAGGCTGAGGAACCAGGAATCGCCACTCGGTGGTGTAATTCAGGTTGAGTCTGAAGTCCCAAAACCAGAGAAGCTGACGGTGTAAACTCCCAGCCTGAGACCAAAGGCCCGAGCACCCCGGGAGGCTGTCAGCACAGGTCACAGAGTCCAAAGTCCCAGTAGCCAGGAGCTCCAGTGTCAAGGGCAGAGGGCGCTGGTCTCTTTTGTTCTTTTCAGGCCCTCAGCAGATTGGTTGATGCCACCCTCACTGCTGATGGCAGATCTTCTGTACTCAGTGCACTGGTTCAGATGCTGGTATCTTCCAAAAAGTCCCTTGCAGACACACCCAGAAACAATGCTTCACCAGCCCTCGGGCATGGCCTAGCCCAGTCAGGTTCACACCCCAAATTAACCACCCCTCCTCCGCCATGACCTCTCCTGCGATCCCGACTTGCAGGGGAGGCTGGTGCTCCTCCAGACCCATGCCCGGCTCCTCCCATCCTTCCTGCATCTGTAACCAGATGCACGCACGAACAGGCCCAGGGCACTCGCAGTTGATGGGAACAGGATTCGGAGCTGCAGGCAGGAGGGAGAGAGCACTAAGTGTGGCCCACAGCACACATTGCATGCACCAAGGGCTCACAGGGCTTCCCCAGCTTATACTGACAGAGACCTATATAAGATGCCTGGAAGGGGGCCTTGGGATTGTTCTACCTGGGTAGGAAGAATATCACACAAGAAAGGGCAGGTGAATGGATATAAGGGCTCCAAGCAGAATTCTGAACTCATGGTGCCATTCCTGTGTGTCTCTGGCAGTGTGCTTAGCTGGTTAACCATAACTTGTACCCAAAGGCCATCTACAGTGAATGTTTTACCAGAAACAAGTCCCAATCCAGACCCAAAGAGAAGGTTCTTGGACCTTGTGCAAGAAAGAATTCGGGGTAAATCCATAGAGTACAGTGAAAGCAAGTTTATTAAGGAAGTAAAGGAATAAAAGAATGGCTACTCCATAGGCAGAGCAGCAATGTGGGCTGCTCATCTGATTATACTTACAGTTGTTTCTTGATTATATGCTAAACGAGGGCTGGATTATTCATGAGTTTTCCAGAAAAGGGGTGGGCAGTTCCCAGAACTGAGGTTCCTCCCCTTTTTAGACCATATAGGGTAACTTCCTGACGTTGCCATGGCATTCGTCAACTGTGGTGGTGCTGGTGGGAGTGTCTTTTAGCAGCTGATGCATTCTAACTAGCGTATAATGAGCAGTGAGGATGACCAGAGATCACTGTCCCCGCCATCTTGGTTTTGATGGTCTTTAACCGGCTTCTTTACCACATGCTGTCTTATCAGCAAGGTCTTTGTGACCTGTATCTTGTGCCAACCTCCTAGCTCATCGTGTGACTAAGAGTGCCTAACTTCCTGGGAATGCGGCCCTGCAGGCTTCAGCGTCATTTTACCCAGCCCCTATTCAAGATGGAGTCACTCTGGCTCAAACACCTGTGACAAATGTTGAGATTCAAGACCTCCCCTGTGTACCATGGAGGAAGCTAGCCAGGGGCTGGGTGAGATGGGAATGTGGAATAAATATGTT
This sequence comes from Homo sapiens, assembly GCF_000001405.40. NCBI lineage: Eukaryota > Metazoa > Chordata > Mammalia > Primates > Hominidae > Homo > Homo sapiens. Next base: position 2,156,464 of record NC_000005.10, on the reverse strand, counting down.
ATGCGAGCCAGGCTCACTACCCCAGGGAGGACACCTGGTTCAGCACGTCCTTGAGAATGCTCCCGCGGGAGAGGCACAGCCACGCTCCAGTGAGGAGGCTCTGCAGGCCGAAAGCATGGCAGGAAGGGTTCTTACATAGCAAAAGAGTGAATACACGTATCTCCTTACGTGGCAAGAGATGGAAATAAGCTCCAGAACGGAGCTTATTCTGGTTTCCCCAGATGAACCCCAAGCACAATTATGTGTCTCCATAAAGGGGAAAGGTAGAGGAAGTTTGGGTCAGTTCCACCCAGAGGAGGAGGCCACGTGAAGGTGAGGTAGAGATCAGAGCGATGCGGCCACAGCTGAGGGACCCCCGGAGTCACAGAAGCCATCCGGGGCAGGGACGATCCTGCCCTGGAGCCGCTGGAGGGAGTGCGCCCCTGCGACACCCTGATTTTGAACTTCTGACTCCCAGAACTGTGAGACAAAAAATGTCTGTTGTTTTAAGCCACCCGGTTTGTGTTACACCTGTTACATGGTTCCCCAGGAAACTCATGTTCCCCAGCGCGGGGAGGGCTGCGTTCATTTGGGTTCTTTCCTGCGTTCTCTATGCTTCACAGAGTTCCAGAAAAAGCCAAGTCCAGAACATACTATCCGTGTTCGAGTATGCAGATGACTAAGTGAATCATACCTATGCAGGGCAAACACGTAGCCCCACCTCTAGCGTGCGCCTGACGAAAGCAGGGGAGTGTGGACTCCGCAGGCCCTGCGTTCAGTGGTGGATCGCGGCAACTCCGGGGAGGACTGCGGAGGATTCCGTCTACCTGTCACGGTTCACTTCCACAAATAAGTGGAAAAGTTAGATGCAAATGTTTCAATGTGCTCATTTAAGGTGGAAGGTTCATTTCTGTTTATTACCTTATCTCATAATTTTGCTGTGGTTTTTTTTCAAATTGCAAAGTAAGAATAAACAATAATTCTTAAAATTTGCATTGCTTCCAAACTGATTCATTTCCCTACAGCACACAAAAAGCGCCCCATACAGATGTTTTAAAACTACAGCCTGTAAAACCCCAGCCTTATGATTTTGAGGACAGGAGCATTAAAAAACAAACTATCCGGCATCTTTCAATTGACATCTATCTGTTTAATGGTTTAAACTCTATTGCTTTGGTAATGTTCTCCTAATGCCCCATTCATTTTGTCATTCCATCTCTGAAAAAATCTAATCTTGATCTCCGGCTCTCCATTTTTCTTACCTCTTTAATAATAATCCCGGCAACAGCATATCAGTATGGAAATTGCTTCTGAAGAACGTTGTAATAAATATATGGCAGGCATATTACATAGGATTTGCTTACTTTTGATTTAAAAAGCCAACATTTAATCTAAGAAGTTAGAACTCAGAGTATACATCTTGCACTTCCAAAGCTCGTAAGTAAATGCAGATCAGGCTCTCTCCCTCCTCACCCATTCAAAATTCATTGCTTGCCATTTGCCTCTTAAACAGTGGGTGCAGGTCACGATTGCATACTCCAGTGCTGGGCAAATATTGACTCTAACCGCAGGAACCACCTGGCTCTGGGCAAATGGCTTCGGCTACGGAGTAATTGGGGTCTTGACGCGGGAGCAGGGTCTGAGGGCATCATCAACCCCCTGTGTGAGGAGGTCCAGAGATGAGGGATTAAACTTGTTTGGATGTTTCTGCATGAAGAGTTGCTTTGAGATGTGTAGAGTTAAATAATTTGGACATTGATTATATTATGGATATTTTAATACAAAGGAATTGATGTGCAACTAATGTTGAAATGTTATTTTAGTATCTTCTCCAGAAAGGCCAGAAGAGGCCTGACCAACAAGAAAGAACAGAATCACACATTCATTTCTATTAACACCTGCTTTCTGGATAGAAGAGCAAGGGCCTTTTCTTATTGTTGAATATAGAGTATGAAATTTAAAAATTTTAGAAAAAAAGAATATTTGAAATTATCAATTCTAATGCTCTCAATTCATACAAGGAAATTGAGGCCAAAAGAGATGAAATACCTCTGGAAGGCCTGAGCCATCTGCATCCTGAGTTCTCTGGCCCTGAAATGGGTTCAAAGTAATCACGACCGTATTATTTGACTTGAATTCCAGCCAACACCTTGGTGCCATGACCGTCATTTCTATTCTGATTGTCACAACAGCCTCTTAACTCTCCTACCTACTGCCGGGGTCCCTCCACTCACGTGGTGACCACAATGATCTTCACCAGATCAAAGTAAAAACAGATCCTGCTTGTGCTTAAAGCCTGTCCACACCCCAAGTCACCCTGTGAATAAAGTCCCAAATGGGTAATACAGACTAGAAAGGCCGCAGTCAAGCTCCTGTTGCCCCATCCAGCCTGTCTCTCCCACCTCCCCACATACAGCTCTGGGTGAGTTCCCGGCCCACCGGCCTCCTGCACGTGGTCGGAATGTGCCCTCGGCCCTCCTCGCTGTGGTGTGTGCTGTTCCTGTTGTTGGACTACTATTCTCCTCACTGTGATGTGTGCCGTTCCAGTCGCTGGATCACTATTCTCCTCGCTGTGATGTGTGCCGCTCCCATCGCTGGCCCACTATTCTCCTAGCTCTGATGTGTGCCGTTCCCATCGCTGGCCCACTATTCTCCTAGCTCTGATGTGTGCCATTCCCATCGCTGGATCACTGTTTTCCACCTTGCACCCTTTTCTCTTGACTGAGACAACTTTATTCAGGTCTTGGATCCGACTGCCTTTGGTTAGAAGTTCTTTCTGAAGCCCCAAGATGGGACTGGTCTTTGCATCTGTCCAGCATCCTCTCTGCCAGCAGACGGCTTTCCCTCCTCATGCCCCCATGGTTCCTGGCAGGGCTGCGCATACCCCCTGGCTGCAGTGCTGGCAGTGGCCTGGATGCATCTTGAAGGCCTGCCACAGTCGAGGTTCCAGGTGGACCTAGAAGGCCCGCCAGCCCTACTGATTTCCCCGGGATCTGATATGCAGGTTTAGGAGAGGTGAGTTCACTTTCCTCTGGTGTACCTGGAGGCATGGCCCACCTGCTGTGTCTGTGGCTGTGCCCACCAGGGTGGTGCCCAGTCCTCCCTCACTGCTCACAAGCAGCATCCTGAGTGGGAAAGAAAGTGCCAACTGGGAGACAGAGGCCGAGCCACAAGACAGACAAAAATGGCCCTAATGTCAGAGTCTGGGTGCCCAAGCCCACCATCCTGGGCTCCCCAGGCCACCAGCCATTCTCTTTGTTTGTTCAAACCAGTTCATGTTGAGTTCTGCCCCTTTTAACCATGAATGTGATGATGCCATCACCTTCCTCATGGCCTCCTGCCTTTTTTTTTTTTTTTTTTTTTTTTTTGGTGGATGGGGCAGTGGGGGAGGAACCCTCTGATTGTTTCTGCATTGACTGGTTCCCCACAGGAATGCCAGGTCCCAGGTCCCTGCGATGGTTCACATTCACTCTATGCAGTGTCTGTAGGGGTTCGTAAAATGGGAAGTCAGGAGGTAGTTGTTGAAAAAGGGAAGAAAGATGTAAGGAGAAAGGGAAGGAGAGACAGAAGAAGAGAGGGAGGGAAGGAGAAGAGGTAAGAAGAGAGGAAGGGAGAGAAGGAAGAAGAAAGGGATGGAGGGAGAAAAGAAGGGAGGGAGGGGTGAAGGGAGAGAGAAAAAAGAGGGAGAGATGGAGGGAGAGACGAAAGGAAGAAGAAAAGGAAGGTTCTAATATTTTACTATATATTGCTGGAGGAAAGAACTATAGGCTAATATCAAGGAGAACTCAGGTTCAGCCTGGCTTAGCCACAAATCCACTGAGTATGACCAAATCTCCACTCCCATTGACTCTTCAGTCTTCCATCTGTGCAGTGAGAGTGCAAATGGTCCATCTTCCATCTGTGCAGTGAGAGTGTAAATGGTCCATCTTCCATCTGTGCAGTGAGAGTGCAAATGGTCCATCTTCCATCTGTGCAGTGAGAGTGTAAATGGTCCATCTTCCATCTGTGCAGTGAGAATGTAAATGGTCCATCTTCCATCTGTGCAGTGAGAGTGTAAATGGTCCATCTTCCATCTGTGCAATGAGAGTGTAAATGGTCCATCTTCCATCTGTGCAATGAGAGTGTAAATGGTCCATCTTCCATCTGTGCAATGAGAGTGTAAATGGTCCAAGACCCTCCCCAGCCTCGACACCACTCTGTGAGATGGGGACGAGATCTTCAGGTGAGTCTGCTGCCACTGAAGGAGTCCACGGAGACTGGGAGGCACCCAGTGTGGACTCCATAGCCTGGAGTCAGGCATGATAAGGGGTTGGACTGAACAATCTCAAAGCTTCTTTCTGAAACATTTGTAAATCTCTAGCTTATAAGGGAAGGGTAAAAATAAGATTGTGAGGACCAATATCTGCCCAGGCTCAAAGCCCCAGCACAGCACCTGTTGAATTATTATTATTATTACTTTATTTTAAGTTCTGGGATACATTTGCAGGTTTGTTACACCGGTAAACGTGTGCCATGGTGGTTTGCTGCACCTGTCAATCCATCACCTAGGTATGAACCCTGGCATGCATTAGCTATTTATACTGATGCTCTCCCTTTCCCCAGCTCCCCAACAGGGCCCTGTGTGTGTTGTTACCCTCCCTGTGTGCATGTGTTCTCATTGTTCAGTTCCCATTTGTGAGTGAGAACATGTGGTGTTTGGTTTTCTGTTCCCGTGTTAGTTTGCTGAGGATGATGGCTTCCAGCTCCATCCATGTCCCTGCAAAGGACATGATCTCACTCCTTTTTATGGCTGTATAGTATTTCATGGTGTATATGTACCACAGTTTCTTTATCCAGTCTATCATTGATGGACATTTGGGTTGATTCCATGTCTTTGCTATTGTGAATAGTGCTGTAATAAACATATGTGGCACCGGGTAAATTGTTGAGTGACCCTGAGGTTCTGGAACCCAGGAAACAAGTGGCTGTAGTTGGGTGATGTTACCACTAGATGTCGCTAGTCCCCCTCGGGCAGCAGAACCCTGGGTTTCTGCTCTTCCGGTACCTGGTAGGGGTCTGGGCCCAGAACCGGGGGCCAGGGCAGGCGTCTTCAGTTGGAGTCTCCCTTCCTGGCCAGGTGAGGCAACAGACAAGGAAATCAAAACGCAGAAGGTTAGTATGGCACTGGCTTTAAAATTGGATCTTGAAAGCAATAAAATAGACATACAAGGTAGATATTTCCTGTGGACTGAAGTTCCAGGGAGCAGTTACCAGAACAATCAGGATTTGTGGGCACAAGGGGCCTGGGTGGCAGTGGGCTTCCCAAAGCCCCTTTCTTCAAGCATTGACCGGCAGGCCCCCGAGTCCAGCGGGAGTTTCTGGCTTGGGCCTTCAGGTGCCCAACAAGGCGCCATGCGGGGCACTTCCCATGGCCTGCATGGGTTACGCAGGCATCTCCAGTGCTCAGATCCCCCTCCCACTGCCCTGACCCTGACCCTGCCCAGGAGGCAGCCTGGGCTGCTGCATGAAGACCCTCAGCTGTGCACAAACCACAGGACGGCTGATTTAAAACTCAGGGAACAGACAGAGCAGAGTCGCATCCGAGCCAGCAAGACCCTTGATCTGGTTTGGCTGTGTCCCCACCCAAATCTCATCTGGAGTTGTAGCTCCCACAATTCCCATGCGTTGTGGGAGGGACCTAGTGGGAGATAATTGAATCATGGGGGTGTTGTTCCCCATACTGTTATGCCAGTGAATAAGTCTCACGAGATCTGATGGTTTTATCAGGGGAAACCTCTTTCGCTTGGCTCTCATTCTCTCTCTTGCCCCCGCTACATAAGAAGCGACTTTCACCTTCTGCCATGATTGTGAGGCCTCCCCAGTCATGTAGAACTGTGAGTTCATTAAACCTCTTTTTCCTTATAAATTACCCAGTCTCAGGTATGTATGTATCAGCAGCGTGAACAGAGTAATACACCTCTTCCGTAGAGAGATGAGTCTTTTCAATTAGAAAATGTTCAACTCCTAAACAGCCCATTCAATGCATGTTTCAAAGATGGTTGCCTGTCATTTAATCTTTGCAAATAGTGGAGAAGGGGGCACAGATGGGCCATCGGACACCGTGTCCGTGTTTCTTTGGCGTCTCCTGAGATCCTGATACACTCCATGCATCTGATGCTCTGCAAGGTTCTCCTGCAAATGCACATCTCCCCCACAGGGGTAGTGGTGAGGGCTTCAATGACAAAGGCAATGATGAGGACCCACACAGCCCTCCAGGTGACAGAGGACTCTCCTGTACGTGAGCTCCTCTGATTCTCCCATCAGCCTCGCGAGGTGGGCTGTGTTACCGTTGCAGAAACATCACCTGTCATATGGACCCTGACTCTGCCATGGGCTATTTCCCGAGTGGCCAGGGAGTCTGGTACCCCCAAGGCCAGGGAAAGGCTGGCTCCTGGGAGGTAGTCCCCAAGTCCCTAATAAAGAAACCCTCATTTTACATGAGGAAGGAGAGAGAACCTGTCCCTGACATTGTCGAACATCAGTAAAAACCAATGCTGACCCTAAAAGCAGCAAAGAATGAAAATTAAGAAAAACAAAAACAAGAAGCCACAATGAACTGGCTTCTCTGTGGTGCATTCTCCAGAGGACACTGGGTGCTTGCAGGTCAAGGAGGTCCATGGTGTGTGAGGAGAGGAATTTCACGCAGTTCTGGCCACAGCCTCTGCCCTCAAGCTCCCAGCACAAACCCAGAGGCTCTGGACTCACTGGGAGTCCAAGGAGGCAGGTGTCTCCCAGGCAGGGCAGAGGTCAGCAGGAGCCCTGAGCCTCACATGCATAGCTGGGACCCAGAAACGCCGTGTCCACCTGCCCATCCGCGGACCTGTCTCCCGCTGGCTACAGTTGGAGACTCCAGGTGGTCTAGTAACCAAAAAAGACTTCAACACCAAGCCTGTCTCTTGAGAGGGGGCGCACGCCTGCCTCCAGCTTCATTACCCGGCAAGGATGCAAGGAGTCTCTCCCAGGCCAATTATTCCCACCCAAACTTCAAACACCGATCCACAAAAATTAATTCAATGGGAACTAGCTTGAAACCCGATCACGCTGCTGCTGCTCTGAAGTCAATAACACTTAACCCCGGGCTTCCAGCTGCTCACTCGGTGGCTGGGTAGTGCCCGAGTGACTCATCCTGAAAGAAGCCAATGAGTCAGCCACGCAGAGGCCACCCGGCAAACGGAGGCACAGCTTCACTGCAGCAGAGCGGCCCGATGAGGGGCTGTGTCACATCCATCTCCCACCTGTATCGGGAGGAGGGACAATGACCACCTCACAATGCCACAGCAGCAGTGGAGTCTTTCTTCCTGAGAGCGTCACAAAAAAATCAGACTTTAAAAAATGCTTAAAGATGATGTCTGTTCAGTCTTGAAACAGCAAGTAACACAGTTGTAGGTATAATTGCCAAACAGATTATTGTCCGATCTGATGTCTCTGCAGGGTGCAGGGGGGCAGAAGTGCAGCTGCTGAGGGCCAGGCCCAGACCAGGAAGGCCAGAAGGATGTGCTGAAGATGCTCCTGGTGTCACATTTGCACACTAGATGGTCTCTGGCCACTCGTGGACCACAGATGGGGCAGGGGCAGGGAGTGCTGGTCAACTGGCCCTCTAGAGAAACCCCATCTGTGGCCTTCGTACATGTCCACATCCCACGACCTGGAGCACATGTCCTTGTGCTGCCACCAAGGAGAGGGAGAGGACACACTTCCCTGGAGGGTTCGGGTCATGAGACTTGGGGCAACTGTTGTGTGTACCCCCATCCTCTGTGTACCCCCTGTTAGTCATCTGCTGTGAATCCTGCTTGGGGCAAGACAAAGGAAAAGCCTGGGTATAGGCTTGGAGCAAACTGGGGTGAAAGGTGGGCCAGGTGTCCACAGAGCCCAGCTGCTGTGGGAAAACCTGAACAAGCAGGGTCCAATAAGGGAGGGCGGCTTTCCCTCGCCCAAAACCTGGCGCAGGTAGGCCAGGGCGGGGGCCAGCAGGGCAGGTCAAAACCCCCAAGCCCTTCTGCCAGGGTGGCGACACCCTCAGCACACAATCGCATCTGTGTTCTCCCTCCTGTCACCAGCAGAAGGGACACAGTGAGGACACTCAGGCTGAAACCACGGCCCGTCTGCCAGAACCTGGCCACAGTCTCTCACCTGCAGCTGGAAAGCTGGGGCTGGTGGCTCGAGCTTGGGAACACGGCCCAGTCCCTCTTGGTGAGAATGGGTATTGGGAGACAGCAACAGCCTCTGCTGCCGGTCAAGGACCAGTTGGGGGCGCCTCCAAGGCCCTACCCTGAGGTTGTGACGTGGAAGGGGGCACCAACATGCTGAGGGTGAACTCATGGTGTGAGCAGTGTGGCAGACCTGGGATGTTTGCAAATACGCAGGTTGTCTGACCTCAGGATAACTGGGAATGGCCAGGGTTGGGGATGCCAAACTGCCCTTCACAATGGGATTAGCCCACTAAACCCTGCGGCACCCCTGCACAGAAGTGCAGTGGAATGCCCTGGATATCCTGGGCACCCAGCAGGAAGTGGCACAGAGCAGAGGGTGACAGCAGGAGGAAGAGGAGGGGGTGATGGGCTCTTCAGGGGAGGCCAGGCTTTTCAGCCAAGCAACTGGGACTGCCCCAGGTGTGGGCTGTTCCTGCAAACCTGAGGGTCGTGTAAATCCTGGGGAGGAAATGAATGGGAGAATTAAAGTCTCCTGTAGTTCAGGAGGTGGGGCTCAGAGCCACAGCAATGAGGCCAGGCGCGGTGGCTCAAACCTGTAATCCCAGCACTTTGGTAGGCCAAGGCGGGCCGAGGTCAGGAGTTCGAGACCAGCTAGGCCAACATGGTGAAACCCTGTCTCTACTAAAAATACAAAAATTAGTCTGTAATCCCAGCTACTTGGGAGGCTAAGACAGGAAAATCACTGGAACCTGGGAGGCAGAGGTAGCAGGGAGCCTAGATTGCACTCCATTCTGGGTGACAGAGCAAGAGTCCATCTCAAAAAAAAAAAAAAAAGTCATTGAGAAGATTCTAGGAGCTGAGCCTTGGTGGCACTGGGGCTGAGAAACAGGTGCAGTGGTGATGTGGGGACCCAGGTGAGAGTTGAGAAGGTGGCGTTTGGAGGGATGGTTCAGCGGGAGTGGGCTGAGCCTCATCAGGGAAGAGACATAGAAGGATGTGGTTCTGCGGACATGGCGTGTGGAATAGGAGACACAGTCAAGGCCAACTCCAGCTGACTTGGGGCACGCACATGCTCTGCAGGGGTAGTTCCTCTCATCCTCTCACCAAGAAAACTCAGCACCAGAAAGAGAAGAGGTTTGTGGAAAAGACAACAAGTTTACTCTGGGATGTGTTAATGCAATGGGCTGCATGTGTTCACCCCTCCCCAAATCCATGTGTTGAAATCCGAATCCCCAACATGATGGTGAGGAGGTGGAGGCTCTGGGAAGTGATTAGGTCATGATGGTGAGGAGGTGGAGGATCTGGAAGTGATCAGGTCCTGATGGTGAGGAGGTGGAGGATCTGGAAGTGATTAGGTGGTGATGGTGAGGAGGTGGAGGATCTGGAAGTGATTAGGTCGTGATGGTGAGGAGGTGGAGGATCTGGGAAGTGATTAGGTCGTGATGGTGAGGAGGTGGAGGATCTGGAAGTGATTAGGTCGTGATGGCGAGGAGGTGGAGGATCTGGGAAGTGATTAGGTCGTGATGGTGAGGAGGTGGAGGATCTGGGAAGTGATTAGGTCGTGATGGTGAGGAGGTGGAGGCTCTGGGAAGTGATTAGGTAGTGATGGTGAGGAGATGGAGGATCTGGAAGTGATTAGCTCATGATGGTGAGGAAGTAGAGGATCTGGAAGTGATTAGGTCGTGATGGTGAGGAGGTGGAGGATCTGGAAGTGATTAGGTCGTGATGGTGAGGAGGTGGAGGCTCTGGGAAGTGATTAGGTCGTGACGGTGAGGAGGTGGAGGATCTGGAAGTGATTAGGTCGTGATGGTGAGGAGGTGGAGGCTCTGGGAAGTGATTAGGTCGTGATGGTGAGGAGGTGGAGGATCTGGAAGTGATTAGGTGGTGATGGTGAGGAGGTGGAGGATCTGGAAGTGATTAGGTCGTGATGGTGAGGAGGTTGAGGATCTGGAAGTGATTAGGTCGTGATGGTGAGGAGGTGGAGGATCTGGAAGTGATTAGGTCGTGATGGTGAGGAGGTGGAGGATCTGGAAGTGATTAGGTCGTGATGGTGAGGAGGTGGAGGATCTGGAAGTGATTAGGTCGTGATGGTGAGGAGGTGGAGGATCTGGAAGTGATTATGTCGTGATGGTGAGGAGGTGGAGGATCTGGAAGTGATTATGTCGTGATGGTGACGAGGTGGAGGATCTGGAAGTGATTAGGTCGTGATGGTCAGGAGGTGGAGGATCTGGGAAGTGATTAGGTCGTGATCGTGAGTAGGTGGAGGATCCGGGAAGTGCTTAGGTCGTGATGGTGAGGAGGTGGAGGACCTGGGAAGTGATTAGGTCGTGATGGTGAGGAGGTGGAGGATCTGGGAAGTGATTAGGTCGTGATGGTGAGGAGGTGGAGGATCTGGAAGTGATTAGGTCGTGATGGTGAGGAGGTGGAGGATCTGGAAGTGATTAGGTCGTGATGGTGAGGAGGTGGAGGATCTGGAAGTGATTAGGTCGTGATGGTGAGTAGGTGGAGGATCCGGGAAGTGATTAGGTCGTGACGGTGAGGAGGTGGAGGATCCGGGAAGTGATTAGGTCGTGATGGTGAGGAGGTGGAGGATCCGGGAAGTGATTAGGTCGTGATGGTGAGGAGGTGGAGGATCTGGAAGTGATTAGGTCGTGATGGTGAGGAGGTGGAGGATCTGGAAGTGATTAGGTCGTGATGGTGAGGAGGTGGAGGATCTGGAAGTGATTAGGTCGTGATGGTGAGGAGGTGGAGGATCTGGAAATGATTAGGTCATGATGGTGAGGAGGTGGAGGCTCTGGACGTGATTAGGTCGTGATGGTGAGGAGGTGGAGGATCTGGAAGTGATTAGGTCGTGATGGTGAGGAGGTGGAGGATCTGGAATTGATTAGGTCGTTTTGGTGACAAGGTGGAGGATCTGGAAGTGATTAGGTCGTGATGGTGAGGAGGTGGAGGATCTGGAAGTGATTAGGTCGTGACGGTGAGGAGGTGGAGGATCTGGAAGTGATTAGGTCGTCAGGGTGCAGCCCTCCTGAATGGGATTAGTGCCCTTAAACCAGAGGCCCCAGAGGCATCCCTGGCTCCTTCCACTATGAACCAGAAAGTGGGACCTCACCAGACTGCAAGTCTGCTGGATGATTTCATCTTGGGCTTCTCATCCTCCAGAGCTGTGGGCAATAAATTTCCATTATTTATCAGCTACTTGGCCTACATATTCTGTTATAGCCACCAGATGGACTAACAGTTGAGTTTATAAATCTATAAACATCTTCTTCTAGAGGCTGAAGTCCAGGTTGGGGCATCAACCTATGAGACAGCTTGCAACTGCTGTGGCTGGACAACCTGTGGTGCCAGAGCTTCTCAGCCCGGCATTCTCAAACCACGTGGTGGTGCAGGGCTGAGGAAGCCACGGGCATACTCCAGCCTCATGTAGGGAGCCTCCTACCATAGGTGGTTTTGCAAAGGGATTTTCTCCAGCCTCACAGAGGGAGCCTTCTCCGAGAGGTGGTTTTGCGGAGGGACTCTGGGTTTGCCTCCTTTTGCTGGGCTTGCACTTCTCTTTGTCCTCCCGGGTCTGTTACTCCATCTCCTTCCAGGGTTGGGCTTTTTCTGAACACCTGGCTGTGCACATGCATGCTAGGACTCCATAACCTGCTCCACTCAAAAAGGAGAAGAGATTCAGAGCCTGTGGGTGGAACAGGGCTGCTGACCAGGTGAGGTGTCCTGGCGTGGGATGGAGGAGAACCCCAGCCGGGCAGCATGGAGAGATTTGGAGAAATCCAACACGTGTGGGCGTGAGGTTAAAACCCTCCTCTGTGCCACACAACAGCCGAGTCATGATTGCTCATACATGATCCTGGGCAGGTGCACTCTCGCTGGAATGTGTCTGTTGAGGGAGAGGGAGGTGGGGTGCATTGGTGGGATCAGCACCTGTGGCCTCAGAAGACTGTCACCTGGTTCTCTGTCACCCAGTGGCTTCCCAAGGAAATGAGCTGCTCATGTTGAATCCTAGAATAGCCACTTGCACGTAGGTTATATCTCTATAAACAAACAGCAAACAGGGCTCTGCTGGCTGCTTTTCTTATAGCACCATCTATGGCCTGCAGGCTTCAAGGACAGCCATTGTCTCTCAGGCAGCCCTCCTGTGGGTCACCTGATGGTCGGAAGGAGGGGTGAGCCCCGGATTCAGTAGCCGTCAGTGTGAGATCACAGGTGCCACTCAAGGATCTTCCCAGGTCGATTACTCCATCTCCTTCCAGGGTCAGAGTGGTGGGGAGAGGCCTTTCCACCAGAATATCTGTTGTGGCAGTGCTTCATGGCTTCCACATTGTGAAATGCCACCCATTCTGACCCTTCAAAGAAGTCACTTTGCTACAAACGAAGAGCAGGTGGTTTAAGCAGATTGAGTGATGCATGGGCGGGTGCCGAGGTCTCGGAGCAAGGCTTCCGTGCTCTGGGTGGAGCTCGCCAGCTCTGAACATGGGTCTGTGGGGGTCAAGCACTCAGATCTGAGGGGCCGGGCAAGGTGCAGGGCTGAGGAGACACAAGAGTGTTCATCACTGACAGAAAAAAAAAAAAAAGATAAAGAATTGAATCTAAAAATGTAGAGGTGGCTAAAAAAATTATGGAATATTCAGGCACTTAGGTGTTATATAATTACTTTAAAACAGTATTTTAAATTATAAATGTATAATTTATAATTATAAAACAATAAAATGGCACTCATAAAGTTCAATGAAATAAATGACAGAAATGTTTAAATTGGGCATGTTCTAACTTCTATAATGCTTATATGTTTACATTTTTTACATGGAAAAATAGAAGAAATATTTGTATTTACACCTGCAGATATTAGTGTGCTCTTATTTTTATCATTATGCTTTTCCCTAATATTTAAATATTCAACAAATGTTATTTTTAAAACAAAAAATAACTTAGAAAAAAGAAAGGGGAGGAGCGGGCGTGGGTGTGAGGCTGTGGTTCCCATCGGCCACTGCACGGTGCCCGGCCGGTCGTTGAAGTATGATTCTGCCCTGGTTCAGCTCAGCCTCACAACACTCCCAGGAACCTCAGTGCATGGCGACAGAGCAAACCTCAGTGCATGTAGGGGCCTGGCATGGGGGAAACGCTCCGCACGTGGACACCAGAACATTCTATGAGGATGGTTTGTGGATTCTCCACTTAGGGAGGAGACTCAGATGTGGAGGAATGAGGGTCTGGGGCTGCCTGTAGGTCCCCAGGGGCTCCAGTCCAGAGCTGAGGCTCCCTCTGTAGCTCACCCTTGTTTTGAGTGACGCCCACAAGGTAGGTGCACCGAGCTGGGGCAGGAAAGAGCTGAATCCCATGTTTGCTGCATTATTGTCTGAACATTTTGGCAGGAGAAAAATCGTTAGCACCCCTTTCTGAAAGCTGTGATTTTAGCATGGAGCTCCATCCCCGGAAGCTGGAGCTCCCCAAGCCCACTCCTGTCTGCATCCAGGCTGCAGCTGACGGAATTGCAGAAAACACACAGGGAAGAAGGTGATTGCCGGGGGTGCCGGGACATCAGAACCCAGCCACACTCGGAGCCTCGCAGATTCCAGAGTGGCTTCAAAACCTGAGGCGGGAAAGGCGTGGGAAAGCACTGATGTGGTGGTCCTCCCCTGCCATGCAGCTCTCACCACGGCCTCTCTGTTAGGCAGCCTGGTGTCCCCATGCCAGCGACATCGGCAAGATGGGAATGTCCAGAGGAAATGTCACCTTCCGTCCTCAAATAGCAAACAAACAAAAAAAGCTGCTCAACACTCTTAGTTGTGCTTCCTCAGCTCAGAAACAAAGAAGGACTTTTTAAATAAGCATGCACACCCACACACACCCTCACACACCCGCTTTCGCTAGGTGTCTGTTTTAACACGTGCATGTGCTTTCACTTTGTAGTAGATTAAAGTGGCAATTTCTTCTTTCTTCAAAAATAAAAGCTAACACTGTTAAACGCCTCTAGCACCACATTAGAGCTATACAATAAGAATGGTTTTGCCTAGAATAATAGCTTACAAAAGAAATGTAAAATTAAGATCCAAACACAGCAGTAATGTAATGTAAATAAAAATTACAACATCGGCGTAAAATGTTCTCCATTGCACGGCTGATTTGAGGTCCTGAGCCTTCCAGATCAGTGTTCCAAACCGACCTGGATGAGGGGGACTCCACACTCCACAGGCCTGGGTGCTCCTGCCCAACCTGTGCTTCATCCACTGATTTCATCCCCTGTAAGCATCCTACCCCTACAGCCACCCGTGCCTCATTCCCAGCCCCGGTTTCAGATGCTAACTCATTAAAGTGGGAACAGAACACTGAGCATCCTGCCTCCATCTGCTCATCCGCACAAGGAGCCCGGACATGAAGAGGATGTGCAAACGGCCCACGCCCACGCTGTGGGACCTAACGCCCAGAATGCCAGCTCCCAGGCCGTAGCGTGTGACCCTGTGCCCCCGACTGGATGTGCCCACCACCCAGGTGCCCCCTCCTGGGGTTATGGGGACAACAAGGCCTCCGCCTCTGAGGCAGATGGGAGCTGGGGCCGTCCAGCCTGGGGTGGTTCCATACATGACCACACAAATGCTTTTCTGTGTATTGCCTTCCCAAAAGGTGGAGATCCCACGCCACAGCCGGGCTCAGCACCCTGCATGCTTCAGAAAACGGCCCTGCCCCTATTCCTACTGGCCCGCTCCTGCCATTTCCCTAATGTAAATTTTAGCCAACTGTGACTTAGTGGTGCACTTCCAAATTACTACAGTGCCCACGAGGATGTACCGAATAACACAGTGGACGAAGGGGCTGCGGAGCAAGAGAAAAGCGTCAGCCCCAAATTCAGATACGGGCGCCCTGGACTGCGGGACCTTAATACACAGAAGAGCTCACGTCTAGCATTCCCGGTTGTTAAATAAGATTCTTTGTGACTTGCAAAAAAAGGAAAACACAGTGAAGAATTATCAGGGCCTCCTCCGCAGAAGTAATCTACATGTGTTTATTTAATAAACAGAAGATGGCTTTATTATACACATTTGATTTCCATATGCAATCGTTTCCTTATCTGTCACTTGTATCTAAGCAGGGTGCTTTATACAAACCTGAAAATGAAAAATTCAGCACCGGGCACAGGAAACTCATTTAATGTCGAGAGCAGTCAAAATCAAGATTTCTTTATTTGTAGTAACAACGCTGTTAAATCAGAAAATTACTCCCCCTTTCTGCACGTCCTTCTTCCTTTACAATTTCGTTGTTTGATCATAAATTGTCGAGTGCTGCGACTTGTCTCTGCCACTTCCCACACTGGCCGAGACAGATTAAAAACTCCGCACACAGACCAGCCTCGGCATACCATTAGCATATATATGAGATTTGAGACATTTTCTAATATTCTCCAGCAGGACTCATCTGTCAGACAGGTGATGGATTATAAAAACTCTTAGCTTGTTTGGAAAATAAAAGGGAGGGGGCGAGAGGAGGGAAGGAAAGGACTCGGACCCACCTTTCCTCTTCCCAGGCGTGCTCCAAGGGGGTTCGGAAGTCCGTGTCCGTCCGCTTCGGGAAGCAGAGAGAGTGCCCAGAGCCCGTTTGTCCCAAGGCAGGGAACCGCCAGCCCAGGACCGGGATGTGGGGTTGATGTGGTCCTAACAAGAAATGGGAGAACTTTCAGCTCATCCAAGCATTTTTTTTTTTTTTTTGACAGAGTTTCACTCTTGTTGCCCAGGCTGGAGTGCAATCGCGTGATCTCGGCTCACTCCAACCTCCGCTTCCCAGGTTCAAGCAATTCTCCTGCCTCAGTCTCCCAAGTAGCTGGGATTACATGCATGCGCCACCATGCCCGGCTAATGTGTGTGTGTGTGTGTGTGTGTGTGTGTGTGTGTGTGTATTTTTAGTAGAGACGGGGTTTCACCATGTTGGTCAGGCTGGTCTCAAACTCCTGACTTCAGGTGATCTGCCCGCCTCAGCCTCCCAAACTACTGGGATTACAGGTGTGAGCCACCATGGCTGGGCCCCCAAGCATCTTAAAAATGAAATGCTTTTGCGTCTAAATTACATGCCTCTCAGGGTTAATAAAACAAAGTACTGAAAACGTGAATTCAAGGTTTAAATACTGGATCCAATAAGATGCAATATTGTCCCTCCTGGGAATTAGAATGTAAACTTGGGGCAAGGGGAGTGCTTTGGGGAGAGAGAGAGAGAGAGAGAGTGTGTGTGTGTTGTATGTGTGTGTTTCATTTTCCACGGCTCTGTCCCTATGATCCAGACACGTCCATTGACAGCATCCAGTGAGTACTTGGGTTGAAGACTTCAATGAAATTGAAGACTGGGTAGAGCAAATTATTTGTTCAAGTATCGTAACTACAAACAATAGGTTTGATTATTTTTCCTCCTGCATTTGATTTTGTAAAGTCTTGGAAAAGCACCCAATGATGATTTTCTGCCTCAGAAACATTTCGAGTGGGAATCAGATGAATTGCTGACACTGAGTAAGCTGCAGATGCAGGGCTAGGAGCCCCCCAGGAGTCCTCAGTGGGTGGGAACCTAGGGAAGGTCCGGCCCCCATGGGAGGGCCCAGTTCTCTTCTGTCCCACCCTGTGCCCCAGTCATGAGCCTGGAAGGGCGACACTGACTAGTGCCTGGTCCTTGGTGTGTGTCATGCCCTAGCCTGAATGCCCTGCCCCACATGACCTGCTGTGAGCTCAGTTCATCCTTGGAGATGCAGCCACTTCTGTCTGGGCAGTGTCCACATGCCTCACGTCTCCAGGAGCATCAGTGGACTTCTCTGTGATTTGTACACACCGAGTACATATTTCCAGTGCAGAGGTAATCTCATGGTATTGTGATCATTTGTTTATATTTCTGTCTTTTTTATTAAAGGAAAACTCCTTAGAAATGGAGTCCGCATGAGGCTCATTGGACACATGGCCACACCTAACAGCAGATGCCACACAGGCAGTGTGGGCCACAGTGCTCTCCAGTGAAACAATCAGAAGACACAGACTCACTGGACGTAAAAACACCTAGGATTCGGGACATTGCTTTGGATGGGGCTGGCCGCCTATAAGGAAAAGGCAATGAGCAAAGGCCCTGCAAGGGGGGTTTGATCAAAGCAATGAGGAGTTTCTTCTCCAACTCCAAACTGCTGCCAACACACATGCGAGGCGTGCTGACTCAGGCCCGTTTGACAGAGGCATGAGAGGAGGCTCTGCCCACGTGGCCCCTGGGTAGGAGCAGACCCTCGGCAGGCTCTGGCGGTGGGCTCAGCAGGCTTGCACGAAGGAGCAGACTGCTGTGGGTGCTGGTAGAGCGTCACAGCAATAACTAATTAATTGATTAATGTGTGAATACATAAGCACTTTGGAAATGATGTATGGGTTGAAACGTGGGTCTGAGGCCAAGAAGAGGCAGGTTTGTTTCATTCATTCCCTTCTTGCTAGCACCTCTAGGAGCACCTGACAGAGAGTGTCCAATCAGCATTTACTGAAATGACATTAAGAATGAGAGCAATTCATGGATAAAAGTAATTTACCATTTTGAAGAAGAGGTTAAAATCTCTTAAAGAAAATAACCTGGTCAGGCGTGGTGGCTCACACCTGTAATCCCAGAACTTTGGGAGGCCGAGGTGGGTGGATCACCTGAGGTCAGGAGTTTGACACCATCCTGACCAACATGGTGAAACCCCATCTCTACTAAAAACACAAAAATTAGCCGGGCGTGGTGGCGGGCACCTGTAATCCCAGCTAGTCGGGAGGCTGAGGCAGGAGAATGGCTTAAACCTGGGAGGCAGAGGATGCAGTGAGCCAAGATTGCACCATTGCACTCCAGCCTGGACAACAACAGTGAAACTCAGGAAAGGAAAGGAAACTCAGAAACTTGAGAGGAAAGGAAAAGAAAAGAAAGGAAAGGAAAGGAAAGGAAAGGGAAGGGAAGGGAGAAAGGGAGAGAGAGAGGAAGGAAGGAAGGAAGGCAGGAAGGAAGGAAGGAAGGAAGGGAGGGAGGGGAAAGAAAGACGAAAGAAAGAAAGAGGGAGAGAGAGAAGGAGGGAAGGAAGGAAGGAAGGAAGGAAATCCAAGCACAGTAAAATACCTGCTGAGACATATTAATTGAGAAGTGATCTTGTTTGAATGATGGTGGCACCGCCTTGCGACTCTGACTTGGAGATTCTGAAATGGGTGAGGAGCCCATGGGGCTGCCCCCACCCTGCCAGCAGGGTGACAGGATGCAATTCATCGTCGGTAATTCATAATCACCACTCTCACTGACACCAGGTCCTTATGTCTTTTCTGAGCATGACCTGAAATGAATGGTCTTCCAAGAAATACAACTCCAAGGAATGCTTGATGATGCGCAGGAAAAGACGGGCATCTTCCCCGTTCCCCGGGAATGGCGTAGTAACGCGGCTGGTTGTCAGCATCGCAGTGAGTGAAGCGGCATCGGGATGAGCTCCTTCCCAGGCCCCGCCTGCCCTGAGGAGCGCAAAGGGAGGCTCTGCTTTCCTGTGTGTCTCCAGGAAGAGCAGTGGCCCCACCTGGGGACACCCCAGAGCCAGGACTGTGTCTTCCTTCCTGTAGCCCAACAGCTGGAGGCCCTCTCCTTTAGGAAAGGGAAAGCCACCACCGACAGCCAGCACTGACTGGCCTGGCCCTAAAACCAGGTCTCAGTGTTCTGCTCGGCACCAGCCTCAGACCAAGCCACTCTGTGACAGAGCAAGAAAAAGAGCATCTACCCCACGGCCACCTCCGATGAACATCGTCCAACCACAGGATGACCCAGCAGGCCGGATCCGAGCTTGGGCAAGTGACTGTGGCCTCCTTACCAGTCACGGCTCAGGCCTCGCCTCATCTCCCCATTCCTGGATGGGATTTACTAAGACACAGAATCTTCCCAGCTTCCTGACAGCAGCCAACCCAAAGCCGAGTCCTGCTTCCCCAAATGTCCCTCAAAGCTGCCTGATACAGCCTGAATCCTGAGAGAAGGCCATTCTCACCCCTCACGGTGATGCCCGTGTTTCTCCAGCATGCCTCCTCCCTCGCTGCAATGAGCCATGAAGTCACTTCTGTCCACCCACGCATGCACGCCTAGTCAGTTCTGTCCACCCACGCACGTGCCTAGTCACTTCTGTCCACCCACGCATGCACGCCTACTCACTTCTGTCCACCCACGCACTCGCGCCTAGTCACGTCTGTCCACCCACGCACGCAATGCCCAGTCACCTCTGCCCACGCACGCACGCCTGGTCACCTCTGTCCACCCACGCACGCAAGCCCGGTCACCTCTGCCCACCCACGCAAGCAATGCCTAGTCACCTCTGTCCACCCACGCACGCCCGGTCACCTCTGCCCGCCCACGCACGCATGCCCGGTCACCTCTGCCCACCCACGCATGCTGGCCCAGTCACCTCTGCCCGCCCACACAGGCGCGCCCGGTCACTTCTGTCCACACACGCACGCCCAGTCACTTCTGCCCACGCACACACACGGGCCCAGTCACCTCTACCCACGCACACACGCGGGCCTGGTCACCTCTGTCCAGGCACGCACGTGGACCCGGTCACCTCTGTCCACTCATGCACGCGCGCCCGGTCACTCCTGTCCACCCACCCGCGCGCACCTGGTCACTTCTGTCCACACACTCACGCCTGCAGGTTTGGCAGCAGGACATTGACAGATACTCATTATATGCAGCAGAAAACTAAAGTCATCAATACCACAGTCACCAACAGCTAATACTGCAAAATCCATGGGCTCGTGACACAAACTGATTAGGATTCAACAAATGCTCAGCTCTGAAAGGAAAAGCTGGACTCTCTGTGCAAATCCACGAGAGCATGCTGCGATCACCATAGGAAGTGGCTCCCTTGGTGCTCTTCCTCCCTGCAATTCCCAAGCCCAGAGAAGTCTTGGGACAAATTAATGTAACTCCCAACTGTTTTCTTTCGTTTGTTTCCTAAGTGTCAATTTTATTTTCTAAAAGGAAATATAATACAAGATGGAAACATCAGTACATCCGAGACTTTGTTCCCAGAAACAGCTGAGAGTAGAAGGACCAGCATCCCTTCTGGTGACATTTCCAGAGGAATCAGTATCTGGATGTCACCCTCTTCAGGAGCCCATAGTCACCATTTATTTTGTGCAAGGCATTTGGAACATTCCCACGGACACAGACATGCCAAGTGTGGCCAGAGAACAAGCCTGCATGGGGCAGGTACACAGGGCAGATGTGATCCCGCCATCTACAGGCCAGAGATGCAGGGGAAGAGGAGAGTCATCTCCAGCATGGGCACAGACTGCCCCTCCAACGGCTGTCAGGCTCAGGAGACCAGAAAGGCAACAGGTCAAGAAGGGCAGGAAGGATGTTCCCAGGGAAAGGACAGAACGTGGCCTGCCCGGCCAGTAAAGCACAAGAAAATCATATTTAGCCTCCATAACCAATGGCCATAAGCTCCCAGGAAATCAGGAAAATGAAGCTTAGACTATGGCCAGCTCTGTCTCCCTGGACAAGCCTGGGAAGCTCTGGGATCAGCCCCCACCCACCTCTCCCCGGCCCCCTCCACTGGTGGCTGTGCTGGGCTCCACACTCCCCACAAGGACAGGGAGATGAGATGTCTGTCTAATGAGAGCTCCTGGAGGCTGTGGGGTGACAATGAGGACCCCTCAGCACAGTGCTGGGCCTGGAGGCTCTCGGAATCAGGCTGGGGGTCTTCCTGCAGCGCCCCCTAGAAGCACCCTGTGCAGGTGCTGATTCTGCGCCCCCCACCCAGAAGCAGCATGGACCTGCCTCCTCTCCTGCTTCCTGTGCACCTGGCCCCTGCCAAAGCAAGCTAGTTCTGCTCCCAGTATACTAATAGCAGCTCCAAAATCAGCTTCTTCACAGCATGGCCAAAAGAAGGACAGTCCACAGTCCCGGGTTCCGGGAAGCAACGAAGCCCAAGCGTGTGTCCAGCCTGGCCCCCTTCCCTCCAGCACTATCTCCTGGGGAAGAACAGCTCTCGGCGCATTTCTGAGCTCTTCACTTTAACTATCTGTCCTCCAGACTCCAACAGTTCACCAGGTCAACTGGGACAATGTGTCCCTGAGCCCTGCAGGGACCGTCCACCCACGCGATCGACAAGCACAAACCGGAGAGTTTGTAACCCCATCTAGCCTTTACCCCGGTGTTTGGACAGGACCTTGAACATCTCTGAGGAAAAATAGCCATTTCCTGAGACAGTCCGGAATAAATGTGTACTTAGAAAAAGAAAATAACTTGCAAAGATGAGTCACAGCCCCATCACATGTTGACAGTGACTTCCTGAGACAGTCCGGAATAAATGTGTACTTAGAAAAAGAAAATAACTTGCAAAGATGAGTCGCAGCCCCATCACATGTTGACAGTGACTGCTCAGTTTCACCCGGTCTGAGCATCTTTACTCTGGAATCGGACCTTTCATCACCTTTGTAAGAAGCCAGGCAGGAGCCAGGTCATCCGCAGGCGTGAATTAGACCCTCCCTCTGCCTCTGCAATGAGGAGTGCGTGCGGTCTTTGGTACTGGGGTCCCTCTTCCCGTCAGGCTTCCATACCCCAGGACCAAGTCTTAACAGAGCTCGTGGAGAGAGAAGCAAGGTGCCTGGATGCTCGGAGCCTGGAGGGCAGATGCAGCTTTTGTACAGATTGCACTCTGGCCACGCCTGAAGGGGACTTGGACCTGGGACTGGAGGCCATGGCTGCAGGTGGGGCTTGGCCTTGGTGGGGGTCAGGGGATGTGGGAGGTCACCCCAGTGAGCACCAAGGAACCATGTCCTACAGCAGATGGAGGCTGGGGCTTCCCTGCTCCCTTCAAAGCTGTGGGTGTGGTTGGGGAAATACTTTACTCCCAGTCTCATAGTCTTAGGGCACTCCCCAACTGCAGGGCCAGTTTAGCTCCCTGAACCTGACGGAGACATCATTTGTGTGAGAGTTGACCGTACTCATGTGTTTCTGAAGCTTCTGAAGGGGAACATCTCTCCCAGCCACACTGCAGCGTTGAGACCTTGAAGCTGGAAACGGTCACCTGCAGGGTCCCTGGGATGTGCCGGGTCACCGCATGGCAGTGTGTGGGCTGCACTTTCTCTATGTACTTCCTTGCTCCTAACTCAAAGAATAAAACAGGCTGGACTCATGGAACCCAGCAGCCAAAAGTCCCAGCGGCCAGCAAGGCCTCCAGACACCTACTCAGATGGAGTGACAGCCTGGCTGCCCAGCCAGCTGGGTCCCCAAACAAGGCCAAATGAAGCACCTTCCTCTGTCCACATGCCTCAGCTCCCTTCAGCAGAGCTTCATCCTGCAGACCAACAAACCGCTTTGGTGGCTTCCTTCCTAGGGACAATGGCATCTCCTGAGACAGTGCACCTAATCGTGTGCCTCTGGATGGGAACATGCACTCTCCTATCAGCCTAGAGAGAATGCTCTCCAGGGCACTAGACTGAGCGGTGACCCCAGACTCCACATGCTGAGACCCCGGTCCCACTGGGACTGATGAGAGACAGGGTCTTTACAGGGTTAATTCAGGTAAAGTGAGGTCATATGGGGCCCTAATCCACTAGGACTGGTGTCCTTATAAGAAGAGGAGAAGAGGACACAGACACCCAAGAGGGACGACCCTGTGAGGACACCAGGAGAAGTCGGTGTCTACAAGCCAAGGAGAGAGGGTTCCGGAGAAACCCACCCTGCCACACCTCAATCTCTGATTTCCAGCCTCCAGAGCTGTGGGAAAATAAACGTCTGTTGTTTAAGCTTCCCAGTGGGTGGTGGTCTGTTATGGCAGCCTAAGCAAACTAATACGAGAGAAAAACTTTTTAGGGGCTGGGGGAACCACACTGCTAAGCCCCTATGTTTAGAAAGTGAAACTGCAAGACATCATTAGAAAGATTAACCCAAACCCTGCTGAATGCTTAGCCAAGGAACTGCACATTTGAACAATGGATTATTCTGAAATTTTGCTCCTGGAAGGGAGAGAAGAGAAAGTAGACAAGGACGACTCACATTCACTCACGCCGTGCATTTGTCAAGAGCGGCTGCTGTTTGCAGGGCACAGTTCATGGGTTCCGGGGCAATAGAGACACCAGAGAGAAAAGCTTAGGCCAAAATCCCTGGGTTCACACAACCAGATGAGGAGAGAAAGAAGCCTGAAAGGAATGAATTGGTATAAAATGTCTTGCGGGGACTGGAGCCAAGGAAGAGTCAAGTAGGGAAGCAGACACTGGAAGGTGGGGGCATTTTGAATCCCTCAGAAGGTGGCATTTGCGCAAAGACTCCGGGAGATGACAGAGCCAGACCAGGGAGGTTGCGAGAAGAGCCTTCTGCTGGGAGAAGAGGAACTCACAGCCCTTCCTTTGCCAGAGGTGGAGAGGGCCTCTGCGGGAGCGTGCCCAGCTCAGTGCACAACACAAGAAGCCAGGTGGCTGGGAATGGTGAGCACAGGCAAGGCTCAGAGGCGGGGGCTGCGGCCTGCAGTGTCATGAGGGCCGTTCAAGGCACTGGCTGACTCTCAGGGCCGTGGGGCCACTCCGGGGTCCCGAGCGGGAAGAGTGGATCTGACTTCCCTCGCAAGAGGACCACCCTGGCTGCTGGGTCAGGAACGGACTGAGGTGGGAGCCAACTGACCCCTTGCAGCACTTCAGGTGAGGGACGGCCGGGCATGAACTGCTGAGAGCCGGGAGAGGATGCGTCCCGCTCTGGAGCAGTCCTTGGACAGGCCCCGCAGGCTGCTGTCAGACTGGACGTGCGACGTGGAGAACAGAAAGAAGGGGTGGCCCAGGTGCAGGCGTCGGGGGAAGACGAGATGTCGTTTCCCGACAGGCCTCGTGCGCGATGCTTCGGAGGGGACTGGAGCCTCCAAGGCAATGGACGGAGGAGCCTGCAGCCGGGATGGGGTGTCCTCTGCTGGAGACAGAGATGTGGGTGCATCTTCAGGTCAGGAATGCTTGGATTTCCCCAAGAGGGGGCTGACGCCATCGAGCATGAGGACTGAGGACCGCGGCCTCCAAGGTCAGGAAGTCGCCATCCACGTGGCTCCAAGGGAGCCTGGGAAGCACATGGGGTCGGGGCAGCGCTCCCCAGTGGCACCAGGCCCTCCCTGCCTCAGTTTCCTCCCAGCACACTCTACAGTTTACGACCAACTTTGCTATCTGTCTTTCCACCCCGAAACGAACATCCACAAGGGTAGAGGTCTTTGCTGCTGCCACACCCAAAGCTCCAGGCAGCACTTAGCACAGGGAGGGACGCCCTGTAAGTGGCATTCAGGGGCCATGAGAGATGTGCTTGGAAAGGGGGGCGTCACCGGCCATCAAACGCTGCTGCCTGTGAGGAGGGAATCAAGCCTCCGCAGGCGGTGAGACTCCGCAAAGCGCCCTGACCGCGGGCATTGCAATTTTTGGCACAGAGGCGGGAGCCGAAGCCCAGCCGAGGCCAAGAGACTGGGTGGAATTGGAGGTGGCAGAGAACCCCTGAGCGGAAACAGAGGCAGCATGGCTGCTGCCATCACAGAGGGACGTCCGGTGTTCCTTCTGTGAAATAGAAGAAAAAAGGTGTAAAAAAAAAACACAAAAAACAGGCTCCTTGTAAAGGAATGGTCCAGTGAGAAGTCACTGGCGAAGAGGCTGGGACAAGGGAAGCTCCTTGGGAACAAGGGCCAGGGAGGTGTGGTCACAGAATGGTGTGGCGCGTGGGAGACACCAAGTGCTGACCACTGTGTAACATGAGAGGCTACACTTCATGTGTCCACCACTCTTCACGTGGCTCCTGTGTGTCATGTGTCCACCACACTTCACGTGGCTCCTGTGTCATGTGATCATGGGACGTCTGTGATCACCATAAACTATGAGGCCATTATGCTTCATGTCACTCCTGTACTCCATGTGACCGTGACCGCTCCTGGGGCCCCTGCACGTCCTGTGACCCCGTGCCAGGCTGCCTCACCGCAGGTGCTGTGTGTGGCCGTTATGGCCATGTGCGGTTTGAGAAACAGGCTGAATTTCTCTGGTGGATTCACGTAGATTGGGAAACAGAAAGGAGGAGCAGAGACAGGACCTGCACCAAGGGACCCCAGGAAGCCCACACTGGCCTGGGAGTCCTGGATGTTTGGGGAGAAGCCGTGTACTCCCACAGGTCACAGAGTTATCTCTCCAGCTCCTGAGAAATAGGGATGGCCCAACTGAGGGATTTAGGGCACCCCCGAGTTGCTTTGGTCTGCTGTGGATTTGCTTTTCTTGGGTGTGCATTCCGGCATCATCACTACACCAGGAGAGACTGCGATCGGAGAGAGCGAGCGAGCTAAGGAGGGAGGGAGGGAGGAAGAGTTTTCATGTATTGAAAAATGTCTCCAAGTATTTGGAACCCTAGCATGATCTGTTATTTCTACTCAGAGTCTGAGCCTTCAAGAACATTTTTTGAAGCAGAGAAGAGAGGGAACATCTGACAAGTATTCTGTAAATGAATAAGAGAATTCCAAATTTCACTGTTCCGCTGTTTCACTGTGGTGGTGCTGGGGGTTCTGGACAGTTTGCCTAAGGCCCCTGTCTCCAGCTTCAGCCAAACCCTCAATATCGCACACAGTCCACCTCCTTCCCACCGTCCATTTTGGTTGGTAAGGGGCGGGGCTTCCCATCTCCCCTTTTATGGGAGTCCTGATCTCCATACCTGCTTCCTGGGAGGCCCCTCATGGACCTGCGGTTGGGGAGCATACCCTCCCCTCAGGCAGAGCTGGAAGACAGAAAGCCAGGAAACCCCTCTCATCAACTCCTTCCAAGTTCCTGGCCTTCTGTGTGGGGGAGTGGCTGGAAGTGCCTGGCCTTCTGTGTGTGTCAGAGGGTGCACTGGGAGTGACGGCAGACAGGGTCCGTGCCTTCTGGGAGTAGGTTCTGAGTGGCAAGGCCGAGCCACTCTTTAGGATGAGGACTCTTGTTCCCTGTTCACAGCCTCTGCTGAAATACAGTGAGAGTAAATTCCCAGTTAACCTCCTGTTCCCCAAGTCGCCTGATTTTCTGTTGGTTGCACAAACATCCTATTGTTTTATTCCTAGGCCACAATGGAACATGCTGCTATTTCACTTTTTATATGAAAACACTGCCTTTCCAATGATGCTGTATTCTTTAGGATACCAGGGGGCATGTAAAGCTGTATCCCTCTCTCTTCCGCTAGGGAAGGCCAGATCCAGTCGCCCCAGGCTGGGCTGTCGCAGCCTCTGCAGGAGCCCCGGGGTTCCAAGTGATGGGGTCAAGGTGTTGCTGCCGCACTGTGAGGCTCACCCAAGCCGGTTCTGTTCTATGGATCATCTAGGTTGTATGGAACGATCAAAAATATTGATGGGTAATGGATCCTTTCTTTTTAAAATGATTGATTGCTGTAAACGAAGTACAGTTCAAGGAAAAACAAAGCACACACTGAGGAACCGGAAAGGGCAGCTGGAGGCCGGCTGCTCACCCACAGAGGCCGGCTGCAGAGTCACGGCTCTGCTCCCCCTCTCCCTCGCTGCACCCTCCTTTTCTCCCTCTTTGCTATGGAGCAGGGTGGACGGCACTGGATTTATTGTGCTTATCGTCACTCTCACCTCTCCCCGAGGACTCTGAAAGTCTTGGCATTGAAAGGAAACTTTCACACAAAGTGCTGCGGAGAAGGAAACGTGCCACCAATTGCTTCGGCAGCCTAAGCCCTTTCGAGACGATATATTTGCCCTTGAATTATGTTTTTCTTCTCATGATGATTTGCGGTTCTTGAAAAACATCACTGTTTAAAAAAAAAAAATTTCAAAGGAGACAAAGGAAATGAACAAAGTCCCTGCTCGGAGGGGGAAAAGCAATAGAAGCTGCCAATAGGAAGATTTCATGCTTCTGTTAATTAAACGAACAAAGAAAAAAACAGGACAGGAGTCTGTAGCCTACATTACGGCTTCCACTGACCAAAAGTAATAGACAATCTCCTGCATTTGGTTCCTGTGAGCACGTTGAGAGCAGGTAATGGAGATTTGGGACTGGAAGGCTTCACCGCTGTCAGGAGGAGGGGTCCCCTTCCCCTCTCTTTTATTAAACGACAAAGTGCAGCCGCCTGTGTCCTATCTCTGCCTCTTGCAACTGTTGGATTGTATTATTTTACATTTTGATTGAAATGATGTCACCACCAGATAAAAGCCGGGCCGCATTGTAATTGAATCGGCCCACGTTGTTTATTCTGGTGATCCACAGCCGCGCTCCGCTTGTCCCAACGCCACAGACATAAAAGATCCCCTCCTGTTTAACACGCCACTGATTAGATCTCTCCTCAAAAAAGGGATCGAGCTGGGGGGTCGAGGGCCCAGAGAGAGAGTTATGTGAAAAAAAAAATTGGAAAAAAAAATTAAATGAGAAGAGACACCATCTGCCAAACTTCTCAAGTGTGACTGAAAGTTTCCATGAATGAATTTTGCACGGTGTCAGCGCCAGATGCAAACAGCTCTGATGGACAACACCTAAATGATGGGTAATGGGAACGGGTGCGTTTGGGAGACGTTTTCACCTCCCTTCCGAAATGCCATTCCCATGTTCTCATCTGGAGAACAACCCTAGCTTTATTTATAGAATACATTTGCATTTGCTTTATTTGGGCATAAAAGTGACATGACATCTACAGGGATGATGAAAATGAGGGAAATAATTAAATGTTTATATCCAATTATTTGGCTTTTTTAATAACCATGTTTCTCCCCAAAATTCTGCTTCTAAAAACAGCTGTGGTGATATGTCTGTTCTATCTATAAAATTAAACATAGCAAGAAAAAAGAAGTAGTGTCATCACTATTTGTGCTAACAGGAGAAATGGTTTTTTAACCCTATACATTTCAGTCTAATGACCAAACTTTGTTGTGAGTGAAGGTAATTTTTTTTTTTTTTTTGAGACGGAGTTTTGCTCTTGTTGCCCAGGCTGGAATGCAATGGCACGATCTTGGCTCACTGCAACCTCCACCTCCCAGGTTCAAGCAATTCTCCTGTCTCAGCCTCCCAAGTAGCTGGGATTACAGGCACCTGCCACCACGCCCGGCTAATTTTTGTATTTTTAGTAGAGATGGAGTTTCATCATATTGGTCAGGATGGTCTCGAACTCCTTACCTCAGGTGATCTGCCCACCTTGGCCTCCCAAAGTGCTGGGATTACAGGCCTGAGCCACCACGCCCAGCCAAGTGAAGGTAAGTTTTACATATATATATATATATATATATAAACAGAGTTGTATAGCATACATTTTTGTGGATTTTCCTTATTTCTGGGTCTTGAATTCCTAATTCCCTCCCCAGTCACTCAGCCATAGGTTCAGTGCTTCCCATTAGAGAGAGGAAGATGGTTCCATCCTCCCCATCAGATAGAGGGTCAGAAACCATCTTACTGAAGGGACACAGCCCAAGCAGCACAGGAGAGGCTTTAGGCAAACCTCCTTCACCTTCGTCGTGAAGCTGTTCACATGGTCAAATGTTCAAAATTAAAGGAATGCTAAATTTACTTTTACTGTTGCTGTTACACAGGCTAACTAGGCCTCTGTCAGAAGTGGAAGATGGCTCGTATTTATTTGACTTGCTGGTTGGGAGGGTCTTGCCACTGGTGGACCCCAAAGTGGCCTGGCCCATGGTGGTTTGCTACGTTTTGCTTCTGATCTCTCTGAAAGGTCGCCTGGCACCTTAGAAAACCTAAGCTCGTAATCAAAGTCCAAAGACCACAAAGTATCTTTCCCTTAAAAAGTCTACATTTTAATCTTAATGCTTTTTCCCTAAAAAAGAAAAAAAAAACTAGTTAGGCAGGATGCCTGTCTGTTAAGTAGACAGACAAATTGTGGTTACCCCCACGCAGTGAAATATTACTCAGCACTAAAGAGAAATGGTCTATGAAGTCACGAAAAGACACGGAGGAACGCTACATGCATACGGCAAAGTGAAAAAAGCCAGTCGGAAAAGGCGGCCTCCTGTAGGATTCCAACCCTATGACACCCTGGAGAAGGCAAAACGACAGAGACAGTGGAAAAATCAGTGTTTTCCAGGGACTCAGAGGAGGGAGAAACAGGTGGAGCACAGAGCAGGGAAACTCCTCTGGATGAGACCATAATGGTGAGTCCATGTCATCGTAGGCTGGTCCAAACCCACAGACTGTACAATACCTAGAGTGAACCCTCATGTAAACCATGGACTTTTAGTTAATAGTAATAACGTATCAATATTGGATCATTAGTTGTAACAGCTGTACTGCACTATTGCAAGATGTTAATAATAGGAGAACAAGGGGTGGGGCATATGGATGCTCTCTGTACTCTACACTTTGCTTAGTTTTTCTATAAATCTAAAACTCCTAAAAAAACTGATTATTTGTTAATGCACAATTTAGCTTACCTTTAATATTTTTCTTGGAAATTCAGGATGTGTTTTCCCCACACCAAAGCATGCTGTAGCCCTAGACCAGTGCTTTGGGGTCCTCTGCACCTATGGTGGCTGTCTCTCTCCCACCGCCAGAGTCTCTTCTACAAAACAGAGGAGCCCCCAGTCCAGCTGGCAAATCAGACTAACTTCCAGAACCCACCTAGCGCCTTCTGCTCTTCCTTTTTGGATAGGTGGAAAACCAAAGCTTGGCCTCACTCTTGGGCCCAGGACTGTGTCCCCTTCTCAGTAGCCCTGGCAAAGTCGGAGGAACCCTCTCTCCGGCAGGGCCCGACCATCGTAGGACAGCAATTCAGGACGGTCCCATAGGCATCCCGCCTCCTTTCCTGTCCAGAGATTAATAAAGTTTCCCCTTCAGATACGTCCTCAGCACCTGTGGGCATTTCACAAATTTAAATAGTGAGGAAAATACCATAACAATGTAATTTAATTTGCTTTTGGTTTCTTGTGAAATCTGTATTAAAGGAAACATGCCCAGATCCATTAACATTTTCCCTGCCCACACAAATGTGTTTTTCAGTTAATAAGCACCAACAGAGGTGACAGAGAGAATAGCACGGTCAGCACATCCTTCAGCCTCCTGGCGCCCACCGCCCTATTTACCTCCCGCTATTGGGGCGAATCTGTCACCCGTGGAAAGGTTCCCCACCCTCAGCTCCTCAGTGCATTTGCTCCACACTGAGCTGCAGCAGGCTCCCCGTTCATGGGACACAGTCTCCAGCCATGTCCCATCCCACAGCCTCACACTGGGCTTGGAGTCCATGGTCCATCCCTGCGAGCACCTTCACACACGCCTCCATGCCTTTCCCCCCATCCTGGGAAAGTGCCAGCAGGGCAGGCCGTCTTCTTCCTCTTCTGAGCCTGTGCCTTAAGCAGCAAAGCTCTGAAGATAGAAAGGTCCCCCGCCCAGTCTCCCCACCTGTATCCATCACCCTGCAAGCTTACTGTCTGTCTGGGCATCTCGCTCTCTCACCTTTAGCAAAAGTTACTCAGAAATGTCCCCTCCATTGTCAGCCTCTGACTTTTCCAACTCTCTTATAACTCTCAGGAACGAGACCGATGTTGGAAAATTGTCTCTACAGCACAGACGAAGTAGAATCCACCAGAGCACAGATCCACCCCCAACACCCAAGTCTACACCCGTGGGAGTTGACCCCCCTCCTTCCTGCTGAGGAGCAGCAGCTGACTGCCCTCCCCTTGGCCTGCCCCTCCTGGGCCCTCCTCCCAACACTCCCTCACAGGGTCCACCTTACAAAGTGCACTGTGGTCTCTCGCATTGAATCAAGATTTAAAGCTACTCTCCCTGGAGCCACATTCCACCATCCCAGCTGCTTCCCCACATCACAGATGCTCTTCCCTTCCCCTTACCCCCAGGCCACTGCAACCTGTATCCCACCCACCTTCCATCAGGACAGCCCCCAATACTCCAGCTGCTGCTACAGCTTCATCTCATCCTGTGGGCTTCCTGGGTCTCCCAGCCAGCCAGCCTGCCTTCCTCCTGCAAGCCCTGCCTGTCCCTGCCTTCACCACCCATCCTACCTGGCGTGTCCTCCTGCTGCTCCCCTGGGCTGCTCCCTCTGCTCCACCCCCTTAAAATGCAGGGCTCTTCAGGCACGGTCCTGGGAATCCCCACCCTCTTCCACTTCATATCAGAGCTCCTCAAGAAACGTGGCATGAAGGGGCATGGGCATGTCCAGAGCCATTTTCTGCCCCATTCCTTGGGGTGTCTTGGAAGTCTGCTGCTAGAACCCACAGCCTCCCGGATCTGGCAATAGCCTCTTCCCTTTGCCCAATATTATACATGCATCGATTACATGGATGCTCTGAAGGGCTTTGTCCCTTAGGGAAGGCAAGATAAATGCTCAGTTTTCTTACCTTTTATGCAGCAGATTTTTGAATAATGAGCTGGTTCCCTAGCAACCTCTGAAGGTTGATGCTGATGGTTGTGATTGTTTTAGCACAATTAGGAACTCATAGGCATTAATGAGAGTGACGCTTTTCCACCCATGGCCTCGCCACCCTTATGGATGTTCAGATTGGCCCCTGCTGGGCCAGTGGGGGCCTCTCCTGTGGGCTCCTGTGTCCTGTGACCTGGTTCTGGTTGTCACCGAGCACCTCCTTGCTGTCTGAGGTGACAGATGCTCCAGAGCTGTCCTTTCTACTTCCCGCCCTACACCTGGAATCTGCCAATAGGCCAAGCAGCCCTGGATTCCTGTAACTGATGACATTTGGAGACTAGCGTGCTGGTGTGAGGGTGCTCTTGGTACCGGATTAGCATCGCGTCCAGGCTGCCCTAGAGAAGAACTGGAGAAGCACACGTCATGAGTACACCCTGGCATCACGGAGTCAAATGCCAAATTGCAGCTGTCTGGGCTGAACACCATGGTTTTGAGCTGCTTCTGCCCATTCCTCCTGCAGAGCGTGACTGTGAACCCCGGGCAGGAGGCAGGAAACACCCAAGGGGGAACTCTGGCTGGCAGTGCAAAGAAGGGGAGCTGCCTTGGGAACCCAGGACTGAAAAGATAACACATGGCAGGGCACCTTAAGTCCCTAACCAACTAAGAAGACCACTCAGACCCAGCACTTCTCAAACACAATGGCAGAAGGCAGCCCAGGGAGGCTCATTGCTCTTGGGATCAACCCGGAGTTCTTCTGACACCACGCGAAGGACTTGGCATTGCTAGGAAAGAGGATCAATTGAGACCTTCAGTAACAATCAGTGCCTAGGGAAGCATCTCTTTCCCTGTGAGCCCTGGGACCCCCATGCCAGAGACACTGGGACAGCTGGGGGCACCTGGGGAGCCCCTGTGACACCTGCCAAGTCAGGCCCCTTCCTCCTCCTGGCTGGAGACTCCTTGTCGCTGCTAGGAGACACCCGGTGCCCTGGCCTGGGGAAGCCCCTTCCACCCCAGAGGCGGTCCCAGAAGAGACCAGTGTGAGCCTCACGAGCAGCAGCTAAACCAAGATGAAAACAACCCCACAAAGCCCTCAGAATAAACCACTGGAACCACAGCTCTCAAAGGAGGCCGGGACCTGCATGCCAAAATACAGCAGGGGGACTGCATGCTGAAATTAAAAAAGCAAGTAGGACCCAGTGTCTCCTAACATGAGAGACAACATGCCTAGGGTACAACAACCCACGATACCAATAAACAAAAAATCACATTCTGAATTTTAGAAGACAATCAATTGATGACAGCTCTCTGATACAACCATGTTTCCAAAGTTAAAATTATCTAACAAAGAGTTTAAAGCAGCAGTCATTAAAATTCTTCACCAATAAATTACAAGTTGCCTTGAAAGAAATTTTAAAAATTTAGAAGTTACAAAAACTATCCAAATCAAAATCATAGAACTGAAAAATCACAACGATGGAACACTGATTGGAAAGAAATTTTTAAAAATCACCACAAAGAAATAGAAGTTACAAAAACTATCCAAATCAAAATCGTAGAACTGAAAAATCCCAAAGGTGGAACACTGACTGGATGGGCTCAACAGTAAAGTGGAGATGACAAAGGAGATGACCAGCATACTTGAGGAAAAATTAATAGAATTTACCCAACCTGAGAAACAGAAAAATAGAATGAAAACAAATAAAGAGACCCTCAGGGACCTGTGGCACAGTAACAAAAGGTGCAATAGTCATACCATTGGAGTCTCAGAGAGATGAGAGAAACAGAGTGTGATATAGTTTGGCTGTGCCCCCACCCAAATCTCATCTTGAATTGTAGTTCCCATAATCCTCACATGTGATGGGAGAGACCTGGTGGGAGGTAATTGAATCATGGGAGCGGTTTCCCCCATGCTATTCTCATGATACTGAGTAAGTTCTCATGAGATCTGATGGTTTTATAAGGGGCTTCTCCCTTCGCTCAGCTGTCATTCTTCTCTCTCCTGGCGCCATGTGAAGAAGGACATGTTTGCTTCCCTGCCATGATTGTAAGTTTCCTGAGGCCTCCCGAGACAAGCAGAACTGTGAGTCAATTAAACCTCTTTCCTTTATAAATTACCCTGTCTCAGGCATTTCTTCATAGCTGCATGAGAATGGACTAATACAGTGTCTGAAAAAGTATTTGAAGAAATAATGGGTGAAAACTTTGCAAGTCTGGTGAAAGACACAAACCTACACATACAACAAAGTGAACAAACCCTAAATGAAATACACAAGAAACAACAACAGCAACAAAAGAAACTCACAAACTCGCCCCAATTAAACTTCTGAAAATGAAAAACAAAGAAAAAATCTTGAAAGCAGCCAAAAAGAAGCAGCACCTGACCTACAAGGGAACCCCAAGTTGAATAACAGCAGCTTTTTTACCCCAAAACTTAGAGCAAAAAGAAAGTGGCCCAGCATTTTTGTAAGTACTTAAAGAAGAATTGTGAGCTATGAATTATATAGCCAGTGAAACTGTCCTTCAGGAATGAGGAGGAAATGAAGAAATTATCAGAGGAAGGAAAATTAAAAGGATTTGTTGCTGGCAAATTTAGTCTTGTAAGGTTTTTACTGAATCTCTTTAATTGTGATAATACTTAGAATATTTTACCCAAAACTATCTACAGATTCAGTGCAATCTATATCAAAATTCCAGTGACATCACAAAAAAAAACCTTAAATACCCAGAGCAATCTTGAGCAAAGTGAATCAAGCCAGGGTCATCACACGAACTGATTTCAAAATCTAAAACAAAGCTATAGTAATAAAACAGCATGGTACTGGCATAAAAACAGCAGAAACATAGACCAGTGGAACAGAATAGAGAGCACAGAAATAAATCCACACATTTATGATCAACTGATCTTTGAAAAAGCTGCCAAGAGAAACTAATGAGGAAAGGAAAGTCTCTTCAATAGATGGTGCTGGGAAAACTGAATATTCACATGCAGAAGAATGGAATTAGACCCTTATCTCACTCCATATATAAAAATGAACAGAAAGTATATACCGACCTAAGACCCCAAACTGTAAAACTACTAGAAAAAAAACCATAAATATTAAATAAAGACATGGTCTAGCTCTATCACCCAGGCTAGCATGCAGTAGCATAATCATAGCTCATTGCAGCCTCTAACTCCTGGGCTTAAGGGATCCTCTTGCCTCAGCCTTCCAAGTATCTAGGGCTACAGGCATACACCACTGTGGCCAGCTAATTAAAAATAAAAAACTGCTTTTGTAAAGATGAGGTTTCACTTTGTGGCCCAGGCTGGTATTGAACTCCTGGCTTCAAGCAATCCTCCTGCCTCGGCCTCCCAAAGTACTGGGATTACAGGCAGAAGCCACCATGCCCAGCTGCGAAAAGCTTCTTGACATTGGTCTGGGAAAGATTTTTTGGATATGACCCCAAAAGCCCAAGCAACAAAACTGAACATAGATAAATGGGATTGCATCAAACTAAAAAGCTTCTGCACAGTAAATCAGCAGAGTGAAAAAGCAACTTACAGAATATGAGAAAATATTTGCCAACCATGCAACTAATAACTGGTTAATATCCAAAATATAAGGAGCTCAAATGACTCAGCAGCAAAAAACCAAGTAAGTTGATTTAAAAATGGACAAAAGACCTGAACAGACATTTATCAAAAGAAGATGCACAAATGACGAATAGGTATATGGAAAAGTGATCAACATCAGTAGTTTTCAGGGAAATATAAATCAAAACCACAATGAACTCTCACCTCACACCTGTCAGAATGGCTACCATGAAAAAGATGAAAGATAAGTATCAGTGAAGATGTGAAGAAAAGTGAACTCTTGTAGACTATAGGTAAAAATTAAACTAGTATAGCCACTATGGAATACAGTATGGAGGTTCCTCAAAAAATTAAAAACAGAACTACCAAGAGATCCAGCAATCCTACTACTGAGTATTTCTTCAACCTACCTCAGTGTGTCCAAGGGGTATCAGCTCTCCCCTGTTCATCACAGTATTCAAAATAGCCAAGATATGGAACCAACCTAAATGTCCACCAACAGAAGAGTGGTTAAAGAAAATGTGGTATATGTACACGATGGAATATTATGCAGCCATAAAAACGAATGGAATCCTCTCATTTGTAACAACATGGATCAACCTGGAGGACATCATGCTAAACAAAATAAGCCAATCATAAAAAGATAAATACTGCATGATCTCATTTATATGTGGAGCCTGAAACAGTTGAACTCACAAAAGCAGAGAGTAGAATGCGGTTATCAGGGCCTGGAGGTGGGGGCAAAAATGGGGAGATGTTGGTCAAAGGATACAATGTTTCAAAAAATAATAAATAAAAATTTATATTTTTATAAATAAAAATAATATATTAAAATAAATATAATAATATATTAAAATATATTAAAAATAAATAAAAATATATATTTTTTAATAATGGTAGTACTTTCTCAATTGATTATTTTGAAAACCTTTAGGATTGCTTTTACTGGAAGGAGGAGAAATGGTACCTACAAGATCCCCCAGACAATCTGTCAGTCCATGGATGCATAGCAACATCGTGTAGTGAGCAAGTATGATGAAACGGAACTGCGGGGTCTGCCATGCCCTGCTCTGTCTGTATCAATGCTGGGTGAGTTAAGAAAATTCAGCAGCTAATGAAAGCAGCAAAATTATCATTTATCATCTGGAAAATCCACAAAGTGCCTGGAAATTCTTGACATTTTCTGGAATGCTTCCTGCCAATGCAAACACATGTAATTTTTAATAAACGTGTTCAACACCATCCCAATGTGTTTTACTAGATTAAAAGCACTTCAAAATTTTCCACATTTTCCTCTAATCCAAAACGCACTCCTGGGGGCTGGCAGGGGTCAAGTGGGAAGCAGTCTGCTGAAACAACACTAAATGAATGTCAATAAATACTCATTATTCCAAGAGGAAAAAAAATGTTTTATCTATCTTGGAAAATATTTTTTAAAACTTAAATGAGCCTGAGACACAAAATCAGCTTAAAAATCTATATCTCTAGGGAAGAGGAACTAAAGGGGAAAAAAACCTATTCCTTATCAAAATGATGAGAATAAGAGTATTGCATGGCATGAACAAAGTACTGAAAGAGATTTCCGTTTGACCCGGTCACGGCCCATCTTGTAGATTTGCTGCAAGATTTCTGGGCTGCTCCAGGCTCCGCATTAAAGAGCCCTTGGCTGGGAGGAAGCCCTGTTCTTCTTCAACGCCCTCAGTCCGAATTCCAGTGTCACACAGCAGTTCCATCATATTAACTTCAGAAATCTCAGGTTAAGAAAAAGTATTGCAGTTATCTGTGAAACTGTATGAAAATAACTCAAAGAGGGGATAAAACAGGGAAATCAGCTATTCAAAGAATACAACAGGCTTGGTCACATTTTATGACAGATACTTAAAATATGTATCATAAACAATTAGACCCTTTGGCTTTTCCTGAAATCCCATTCCTCACCCCTTAACTTGCCAAATTGAGTCCACGGTAGTATAAATTGACAGTTCATGTTCTTGAGGTTATAGACTTTATGCCTGACTCCACTGTAAATATTTGATAAGATATATTTTGGCATTTATTAGAAATCAAAAGTACAATTCTGAGAGCTTTAATAAGGACCTATGACAATTATTTATTTTTAAAGAACCAGGAAATGTAGAAAATTAGTTGCCTGTCCATAGGGATCTTATAATTTCTTAGTAGTCAAATATCAAAGGTTTTACAAACAAATTTAAAAATCATCCACTTTAAGTGGAGCGAAGCTTTTATCTGACGAGATGGTTGGTTGTTGTCTTAACCATCTGCCACTGCATGTGATGGGGCTTTATGTTCATGCTCAGGAGTGTGGGCAAGTGCTCAGAGCTCATCTCACAGGTGACCTGAGATTCTTGAGCCCCTCGGTGCTGGAAACCGGGTCTCCTCCACGGGCTCCTGCACTGCAGTGGA
Source organism: Homo sapiens (assembly GCF_000001405.40). Classification (NCBI taxonomy): domain Eukaryota; kingdom Metazoa; phylum Chordata; class Mammalia; order Primates; family Hominidae; genus Homo; species Homo sapiens. The sequence continues at coordinate 2,118,988 of NC_000005.10, read as the reverse complement.
AAACAGACAAACAAGTAGACAAACAAGAATGTAAAGTGGAGATTTGTGATTTGGTGTTTATACACCACAGAGTTCTCTCTCATAAGATGATAGGAAATATGATTCAGAAGTTGGCATTAGTTATTAGTAGTTACATGGTAGTAACAGTGTCAGGTAAAAATGTGACAAGCATTTAGAATCCCTCTCCCATTACCTCCCAAGGAGAGTCTGCACAAGCCCCTGTTTTCCTTGCTGGATGTGTGAATGACTCCCTGCATAGAAAAACTAGGAGGAGGTTTTCTGAATGACAGTGGGTCCTCACCCTTGCTGGAGAACACAGGAGGAAAGGAGCGAGAGGGGAGGAGGCAGCTGAGAGTGTGGGCCTGGGAGGGAAAGACACGAAGACCGTGCTGTTGAGTAAATTTCAGCGATGCTCCTTCTACTGGAGAACACTTGCATTTCTTTTAGAGGCTTCCTGGAGTGTGTGAGTGTGTGTGTGTGTGTGTGTGCGCGTGCTGACACAGCATCCTAGTGAAATGAGCCTTAGGGAAGGAACATGGCGCCCAGGTCTTAGTTGCACTGTCTTCATTTGTTGACTGTTTTCTGGATGCCAAGTTCTCTGGTATTCCCCTGTGAGTCAATAGACCAGCAAATAGAAGAGCCTTGTCTTTCTTACTCCAATATCTGTGATCTTAAAAACCACTACTACAGGGCAGAGAATTTCTCCAAGCAAAATCCAATTTGGGACTAAAATCGTGGAATGGGTTCTTAGGGGTGTCCGTCGCTCCCCCACTGGAATTACTGATCCCCACAGCCTCTTCCAATTGCTGCATCGTAACTGCTACACGTTGGCCAAGCAGAAGCTTGCATTGGGCGGGCTGGCTGGCATTTGTGGAGGCCACCAACTGACTGGAAGAGCCTGGACATGGCTCTGAGGTCTCATCACTCCTCCATCGGGTCCTGCACACACCAGAAGATGCCTGGAGAGAAACGTGAGATTAAAGATTGGTAAGGGAAAGCAAAGACTGTAAACATGCCATTTTCCCCCAAATCCAGGAAATCTTAGCTTTCTTGTAAGAAATAGTAAGAAAACCTTTGAAGAAGCAAATGAAATGTTTGCCTGACTGTCGTCACGCTTCCTGCATACAGACACAAAAGTTCCACGGGCATTGGGCAGTGAAGGAGATAGGAAAATGTGTTCAAAGTAGTCGTGCTTTCCTTTCAGACATCGGAGAGTGCTCCATCTACTCCCGGGGGACCTGGCTCTGTGGGGAGATCGGGAGGGATGAATTCTGAGTGCTCTTCATTGATGACATGAAGAAATGGCCGTGCAGAAAAGATAACTGATGAATCAAAGAACTATTCTTCACCCCATGGTGCCGCAGGAAGCTTTGTAGCTGTCACGGATTCCCAGGAACTCCGTGTGTTGTGACTTAGTCTCCTGTGTGATGGTATCTCATGATGGGGCCTTTGGCAGGTTATAGGTCATGTGAGTGGGACCCTAGGAACAGGATTTGTGCCCTTAAAAAACAGGCATGAGAGAGCTTCCTCTTCCCAGCGCCCTCGCCACCAAGAGAGGACACAGCGAGAAAACGCTGTCTGCAAACCTGGGGGAAGGCCCTCACCAGACAGCAGGTCTCCTGGTGCCTTGACTTTGGACATCCCAGCCTCCAGAACTGTGAGGAAGAAATGTTTGTTGTTTGAGCCACTCCATCCACAGCTTCTGTTGGAGCACCCTTAGCTGGCTAAGACAGTAACAAACATTTAAAGAGATTAAAGAACCTAGAAATTCTGGTAGAAATGGGTGCACAGCATCTACAGGCAGCAGAGCCAACATTTACTAAACTCCAGGACATAGTAAACAACCGATGAGCAACGGGTGGGTCCTGCTTATGCCAGAGGACGCTGGTTCTGCAGGGGCAGTTAAGTTGGCTTTGAATCCTGTCTGTACCCAGACACAGGGTCTTCAGCAAGTCACTTGGCTTCTGTGCTCTGTTTCTCTCTGCATGGAATGGAGGCCACAGCATCTAAGCAAGAGGGTGGGGTCACAGAGGGAACACCACAATATCTACAAGAGGTGCTTAACACAGGATCTGTGTCTGGTTGGCGAAGAAGAAGGTGCCATTTTCTTTTCCGTGCTTGGCAGGGAAGGAACCCATCACCGTCTGCTGTGCCATGGCTCTGGTGCCTTCTCCCCCTCTGCAGTGATATGACTGGCAGACAGCGTGCTTCCGGGTGCTCCTCCCACCCGTCCCACCCATGGCTGCAGTGATCATAGTTCACAGGCAGCCTGGACTCCACAGCCAGGAACAAGGCTGGCTGAGACATTCCAAGAAGCTGCTCTTTTCCAGGCATTGTGCTGAGCACCACCCAGGCATTTAACCCTCATACAAGCCCCAGGAAGAAGGATGATCATTCATTATCCAGTTCAGGGCAGAGATGGTGCTTAGTCTCTCTATGGCCACAGAGTTAAACATCCAGCCAGAATTCAAACCCAGATTTCCTGACATCTCAACTCCTAATTAAAATTAACTTCAGGCTTCCTTGGCAAATGTACCAGGCATCTTGCTGTGGCACCAAGGGTCATGTGGGGGAGGCCTGGGCAACAGGTGCCTCCTGCCACTTCACATGTCAGTGGCCTTCCCCTGGCCCAAGCACCCCACAGACACCCAGACATCACATTTTTAATTATAATAGTTATTTCACTTTTACTCTGTACATACATATGTCCTAACTGCCTCCACAAAGACCTGCAGAAGTTTATAGAAACTGAGAGAAAATAAAACAACATAGAAACGTAAGTCAAACATTGGTGTCGGAACCCACCGACTCATCACCCTTCATAGCCCAGGAGGATCTCTCAGTGCTGATGACACTCTGCCCAGGACGGAGGCTGGCGGCAGCTGCTGGAGGCACAGAGGGTGCTGCTTCTGCTTTATGGGCCCTGCCAGCCTCAGGCTCAAGCAGGCATCAAAAATCTTTGCTTTTACTTGAGCCACAAAAGCCTGTCATTTTTCTTAAAGATCCTCATTTAGCTGGAAATCCAGTCATCCTACAACTTGACTCTTGTCCCCTTCGTTTGCAAGAATATGCACTGAAGTTTGACCTCTGTAACTGATACGGTTTGGCTGTGTTCCACCCAAGTCTCATCTTAAGTTGTAGCTCCCATAATTCCCACATGTTGTGGGAGGGACCGGGTGGGAGATAACTGAATCATGGGGGTGGGTTTTTCCCATCCTGTTCTCATGGTAGTGAAGAAGCCTCACGAGATCTGATGGTTTTATAGATGGGAGTTTCCCCGCACACGCTCTCTTTGCCAGCTGCCATGGAAGACATCCCTTTGCTCTTCCTTCTCCTTCTGCCATGATTGAGGCCTCCCCAGCCATGTGGAACTGTGAGTCCATTAAACCTTTTTTTTTAATAAATTACCCAGTCTCAGGTATGTCTTTATCAGCAGTGTGAGAACAGACTAATACAGTAACCTAGAACACCTGTAATTCAGGTGAGCTGGGGTTGACCTTGCTCTAACCTTCTAAAGAAAGTCCATCCCCCCAACGTGGGTATAATTTTGTTAACCACTCCCATCTTGAAGACAGTAATAAAGGACAATTCCTGATCTTGAAAGGGAAGCAGAGAGACAGAAATGTACCATTCCCCTGATGATTTGACATGGGCAGGAAGAAAGCCATTCCTTTAAAAAAAAAAATCAACAACAACAACAAGGATTCTAGGGATTTTGAGGGTACTTTTAAGGGAACCAAAAAGATCTCTCTGACTTGGCAGGAAGGGCAAGCAATGTGGCCGTGCCAGCAGGGCCATCCTCCAGGGAGGGGGAGTGGCCCCTGCTCAGCAATGTGCAAGCTCCAGGCCACATGCAGTGGGGCCTCTGAGGACGACATCCCAGCAAGTCTATATGGTGGCCTTTGCACGAAAGTCTGTGAATCTCTCCTTCCTCTTGGATAAGGGGAGAGGTTGGATACGAAAGGACCTCATTTTTCCCTCCATGTAGCTCTCCCGCAGTCACAGGCTCATGCCTAGACCCAAGTCATGCAAAGCCTGAGCACCAAGCTTTGCAAGAGCTGGCAGCCTCTGCAGTGGGACAAGAAGGGAAGGTACAAAGAGCCTACAGGAGAACTTGCTGGAAATGATCTGCAGAGGGAGGCAGGGCAAGAGGCCACACTCCACAGAATCGGGCCAGCTCCCCTCCCAGGGAAGCCAGGGCCTGAGAAACTGCACTTGGAGGAATCTGCCAGGCACCATGGGCTCAGGCCATTGTGCACAGCACACAGGCCACTCATTCCACATTTCCAGAGAGGGCCATTCATGTAGACCACGGTGCAAACTGGGCCTGTTGGAGGGGAACAGCTTACATTTACACAATCCTCTGGGTCAGCCCTGAGACCTCCCACTCGACCCACCCACCAGCAATCTCACACTCCAGGTCCGGGGAGTATTGACTCCTTCTCACTCACCATTCGCTGGAAGGGGATCTCGAATGATGGGAAGGACGGGGATAAGTGACCAGCACCGATGCTTCTGTACTGCTTGGTTTAATCATCAATGTCAACCCCACCTTCATACCCACGTGCTTTTGTGAGACACTCAGCGATCCTTACACAGATGACTGGCATGGATGTCCATTTGGAGCAATCACTTTGGCTTTTATCCTGAAAAGGCAAAATCTTCAATGATCAATTATGTTGCAATTTTGAGAGTTATAACTGCAAGAGGAGAAACCAAGTGCCACAGTTTAATTATACACTTAAATCTAGATTTGCATAGTTCATCTCAGTATCTATAGAAATTATTAGGTGCATAAAATTGTATCTGCCATTTGCAACAGATACTGATATCTTTCTATACGTATGGAGTTTAGCAAAAAGCCAATTCACTAATATGGAATTTTCCTTAAAAAAAAAATGACCTTGGTTCATAGCTGTAAAGTCTCCACCCTTGTAGAGCTGAGCTCATCCCATTCACAGCCCACAGGATGCTAAGTGGATTCTCCCAGCTGCAGCGCACACCCCAGCCCACTCACGATCCCAGAGGTGTGGGCAAGGGCTGATTCCAAAGACTTCAGTTTTGCAGGAAAGGACAGACAGGAATATAAAGTAAGTCTAGAACCAGGGACATGATTATCCCCCAGGCACCTTCTTCACTCACTGGAACCCTCGCTGTGACCCAGCATGGGGCTGTGCTAGCCGGCAAGCTCTGTCAACACCAGAGCAGACTGGTGCAGAAACAGGCAGTCTTAAGCTGTGGGCAACATTTGATCAGGCAGGCAGAAAAATTCTTCCGACCTTATTAGGAGTTTCAGGGCAAAGCTAGTTTTACCACAAAATATAGCACCAGGAGTATGTTTTCCAAAGTCTATCATTAAATTTGGCCTCCTAGGAGGCAACTCTCATATCCTTATCCTTCTTTAACCTATGACTAGACTGACATTGTTGAGCGTGCCATGTGTGTGACATGTGTCTTCCTCTACGTCACTGAAGAGTCCAAAAGTACGAGGAAAAAATGATGTTCAAGCATCAACTGTATCTAAAAGCGCATTGTTTATAAACAGCCCCTTGACCAGATTGAGAAATATTAAAGGCTCATATTTGAGAAGTCATATTCCCCAAATGGGATATTGGCAACTCTTCCATTTTTTGTCCTTATTCTTTACAGGAGACACAGAAGCTGTCGCTTCTCAGGCCCATATCCAAAAATTATCTGGTCCGAATATTCTTCTGTGATGCTATTTTGCAGGGTTGACATAATCAGGGCGGCATAATTCAATTTTTTTAATTAGCCATTTATTATAGTGTGGGCAAGACATAAACATTTCCATGAATCACACACGTAAATAACGGAAACTAAAAGTAAAATGAATTTTCCCTATCGGCAGGGTAATAGTTTAATTGTACACAGTTATTCTTACATTAAAAGCTGCATACCTGGCAAGCTTTATCGGGTAACAGGGACTTTTAAATGTGCCAATGTTTCTACACAAGTAACGTGGGTCAATTGCAAAAGGGATAACCATAATGATTAAATCATTAAAATTTTGTCTACGCTTCACAGAGCATAGAGAAAATTAACTTCCCACCAACCTCATTTTTCTGCTGAACATGAAATAATGATTTTCTGCCAGTATAATTACAAAGCTAACATCTGATAGAGTCAGCATCCAGGGGGGATTATCACAGGCATGAGTATTAGACCTCATTACCAGCTTGACTGCAAAATTATTACATCTTGTAATTGGAGGGTGAGATTTATATACAGATTGGCCGGGTTTCTGTAAGATTGTAATTACAAGCTTCGTTGGTTTGCTACTTATCACACGGTGCAGGAGGCGGCAAAAACAAGCAGAGGGAAGGCCATTTCATTAAGCTGTAACCCTATCAAGGGAGGAGCGCTGTAACGTCCCTGTATTTATTAGGCCAAACAGAGCTGTTTGCAGAAGGGGAGGCCATTTATTACCGCCTGACAAATGGGATTTCATTTATTTAACCTCGGTGATCTATTTCAGTAAAATGTACAAACGAGCCATCCATTTTATGATTCCGGAGTCAACGCTCAATTATCTAAAGGGCTAACTGAGTGTTAAAGTGGCCATCTGCTAGGATGAATTCATTGATTTAATTTGCTCCACGTTGCTGAATGATTCCGGGTAGGCGAGGAGGTGGGGCGGCTGCCTGAGCGGGGCCGGGCGCCCCGAGTGTGTGCGCGCGTGTGCCTGGATGTGCACGCGCACGTGTTTAATCCTCACACAATGCAAGGAGGCGATCAATAGCAGCTTAAATTTTATGAGACAAGGAGTTAAGTTGTTCAGCTCAAGCCAGAACACCTTTGTTCTCCCACAACAAGTAATCTCCGCGGCGGAATTAATATTGACAGACTGGCTTCTTTGTGGCTAATTTGGAGGGCACCCGGGCCAATTGGCGGGCGGGCGGTGATAGAGCTGTTATTAGGGTTCATTACGCCCCGCGCGATCGATGCCCCGGGCCGCCTGCAGGAAGGAGGCGCGCGCCTGGGCCCCGGCCTCAGCCAGTCCGCACTGCACTCCGGCTTTCAAAAGGCGGCTTTTGCAAAATAAATAAATAGGAAGGAAATAAATGGGCGTTTCTTGGCGAGGCAGGTCTCGGTGTTCTGAGCCATGGGCTTGGGGAGGAGGAGAGGAAATGCGGGGAGGGCGGCGCGGAGGCGGTCAGGCCCTGCTGTGCTCCAGGGACCCGCGTTCCCCAGGACTGGACCCCGACCCCAGCGGTGGCTCAGCTCCTTAGGGTTCGATGCCCCCCGCCTAGTCCTTGCCAAGCCCCACAAGCCGGCTCAGCCTCTGTGGAATGAACAGGAAGGTTCCATGGCAGGAATGAACATTTCCGGGGTGGGGCAAACGGTCTCTCTAGGGCGCTCACACCCTTGCTTAGGCTTTGGGAGTGTTTTTGTCACAGACATCTTCACCACACAGAAGGAGCCTGCGGAGCTGGTGCTCACAGGGAAGTTTCTAGAACATTCCTCTCTGCAAGATGCTGCCTCTCTCAACTCTGAAAGGGCCCTAGTGGGTACAAGCACCCCTCAGACAATAACTCATCTATCTTGTGGCCAACTCAGCGCACATGAGAAGCTTTCCAGAGTGGGCACAGGAAAGCCGTGCACCCTGCGTTTCTCTCCGCGGCCGGACAGCTGTGCATGAAATCGGGACAGCATCACACTCCAGAAGGGAAAAAGACAGGCCTGTGCTGATGAGGGTCATGGCTCCCGCCTTTGATGCCCGGGTCCTTGATGGTGGGTAGAGGGTGGCGGCCTCCGCTCTGCTGCTGGCCAAGCCCAGTGCTTCTCTGCCCACAGCACAGGGGGAGGAACTCTGGATTCTCTTCACGCACACTCTCTTGTTGTGGTCACAGTCTCCTCTGTTCTCCCCATCTCCTCCCCAGTGAGCTGTCTGCCTCCAGCTGTGGGCTCCACCGCAGGCCTCTGCCCACCTCTCCCTCGCTCACTACCCAGCCCCTCTCTCCCACCCATGCCTTCTCCTCTAAGTCCTCTGTTCCTAAGCAGCTCTGTTGGAAGAGCGCACTAGCGTCCCGTGTCAGTGTTGGGAAGGACGACGTCTCCCGTGTAGCTCCTCCTGTGGACTTCTAGAGCTGCCCGGGTCCTGCTGCACACCTGGGTCCTGCCGCACATGGCCACTGGCTCACTCTCCTGGTGAATGAGCCTTGGCCAAATGCAATCACTGCTCCCACCAGTGTGTCTCCTGGGTTCCCGCGCAGGATATCCATGCAGCACACCAGGACATCACCCGGGCGACACTGTCCTCAGAGAACAAGAGTATACTGAGAGTCCTCAGGAGGTGAGCTCTGCTGAGTGTCAGTGCGTCTTCAGGGCCTGGTGGGGACTGCAAGGGGCCTGGAGTCCGCCCCGTGGAGGCAGCGGTGCAGAAGCGCGGGGAGTCTGCCATCGGGTGGTCCCTGCAGGTGTGATGATTCACAAGTGCTTCAGCACTGCACGTTCAGTTCACTGGGAGAGAAACACACCCGTGTTTTTAAAGAAGTATCCCTGGTCCAATACCTCCAGATGAGAGTTTTCCCAAAAGAATCAATTTGGAAATTCTCTGCCTTTATGAGCATTGGAAATATTCTGCGCCTCCTGTTTTCAAAGCCTTTCCTGTATTACAGTGGGTTGTTTGAATTACCCCAATAGTGGCCACTCTTTGCCATTGCAGGGGCCTTTTTTTTTTTCTTTTTTCTTGAGACAAATTGAAACCAGTGTTTATGTCACATTTATACTGTGCATTTAGTTTGTCTACTCAATGTTTTCATTACACTGATCAACTAGTAATCATTAAGAAATATTTACACTTGAAACTGAAAATCATTAATGAATGGGCTAACCTATGCATTATAACTTATTTACTTTTAAAATTTATTTTAAGACAGTTCTTAGCTTCTGCCAGGAATCTACAGAATAAATATGAGCAATTGGTCTTGTGTTCCATTTGCTCATAGATAAAATAAGCAAACTTGACATATCAAGTATTTCTCCTTAGAACCTGAATTATCCTATTGATTTTTGTATCTAAAGAACTATATGGCACTCCATCTTGCCTCTCTTATTTGCTATTTTAGGGGCAGGCGCTTTAGGCTGTGTTTATTTAGAGCAATCGATGTGATGTAGTCGTTTAATCATTTGCACAATCTAAATGGTTCCCACAAGCCATTGAAACAGGAAACCGACTTAATTGGTCTTAGAAATAGCCACAATAGCCAGATTAGTTTCAATGCTTGGATCAGGCAGTTGCTTAAAACAGAAACAAACACAAAAACAAAATCAACAACAATGATGTCAGTACAACCGTAGCCAGGAGAGACTATGTGCTGTGTGGACTTCCAACCAGATGTCTGCATTTGTGTGGGGTGTGGGGGGACCCACAGTACATGGTACCCAGGAGTGATGTGGAAGCCCAGCTTTGTTGATTATTCGGTTATTGTTACCACAGGGAATTGAAGACTGGGGTTGGGTCAAGATTTGAGCAGGACTCTGAGAGTTGAAAGTGGCATATCCCATGACTGACACCAAAATGCCTTTTCCAGTAAAAGGAAGAGTTTAAGTGCTAGCCTCCAAGGATCACAGACCCACACGGCCACCAGAGAGAAGGCGGGAAGGTATCCCAGCTTTAATGAGACTCATTTCCTCCATTCGAGGCACTGACTCCAGGGAGCCTTCTTGTCAGAAGTACAATCTTTTTTGTCTGCACTTAAAAAAAATATAAAGTGTTGTTTAAATCCCAATTGTTTTCAGCAATAGAAAAAAGCACAGCAAGATATGTCTAGCATTTTCTAAATATCAATGAGTTATTGTTCAACTCATTCTACTTCAAGACAGCAGAAACTACAAGATTAATTTGTGTTGTTTATCCCTTGAGAAATTGTCCAATTTATAATAAACATTAGTACATAAACCTAGACACATTCACATTTATTACTTATATCTAATATACTCAGTCTCAGGAAACTATATTACCTTTTTTGAGAGTATTGTGATGCTACAAATTAATTTGATTCAGCTTTCTCCCTTAAATAATTCCTCCTAACAGAAAACCCTGTTTAGACTATTTCCATTTAATGCAATTATTGATACAGTTAGATTTAAATCTACCACCTTGCAAGATGTCCATGTTTTCTACTTGATTTCTATTTTCCTCATTTTCTGCCTTGTTTTGGATTAATTTTTTTATGTTTTAATTTTATCTCTACTGTTGATGCAACAGTTCTATCTATCCATCTATCTACCCATGTGGCCATCTATCTATTCATCCACCTACCCATGTAGCCATCTATCTATTCATCCACCTACCCATGTAGCCATCTATCTATTCATCCACCCATCAATCTATCCAGCCATCTATCCATCTATCCATCTGTCTATTCATATATACATCTCTTTATCTATCTATCTACTCATCTACCTATCTTTCTATCCATCTATCCATCCGTCTATCTATCAATCTATCTATTCATCTATCCATCCATCTACCTATTCATCTGATATGGTTCAGCTCTGTGTCCTCACCCAAATCTCATCTTGAATTGTAATCCTCATAATCCCCACATGTTGAGGGAGGGACCCGGTGGGAGGTGATTGGATCATGGGTGTGGTTCCCCCAGGCTGTTCTCATGATAGTGAACGAATTCTCATAAGATCTGATGGTTTTATAAGTGTCTGACAGTTCCTCCTTCACGCACTCTCTCTCACCTACCACCATGTAATATGTGCCTGCTTCCTCTTCCACCATAATTGTAAGTTTTCTGAGGCTTCCCCAGCCAAGTGGAACTGTGAGTTAATTAAACCTCTTTTCTTTATAAATTACCCAGTCTCAGGTAGTATATTTATAGCAGTGTGAGAAAGGACTAATATACTATCTATCTATCTATCAATCTATCTATGTCTACATCTATTTATTCATCTATCCATCTATCTATCCATCTACCAATCTACATATCCATCTATCTATATACATCTATTCATCTATGCATCTATCTACCTATCCATCTATCCATTCATCTATCCATCCATCTATCCATCTATCTATTCATCTATCTATCCGTATATACATCTATCTATCCCTCTATATATCTATCTATTCATCTATCCATCTGTCTACCTATCCATCTGTCCTTCTATTCATCTATCCATCCATCTATCCATCTATCTATTCATCTATCTATCCATATATACATCTAGCTATCCCTCCATATATCCATCTATCTATTCATCTATCCATCGTCTACCTATCCATCTGTGCTTCTATTCATCTATCCATCTATTCATCCATCTATCCATATATACATCTATTCTCTATATATCTGCCTATCTATTCATCTACCATCTGTCTACCTCTCCATCTGTCCTTCTATTCATCTATCCATCCATCTCTCCATCTATCTATTCATCTATCTATCCATATATACATCTATCTATCCATCTATATATCTGCCTAGCTATCTATTCATCTATCCATCTGTCTACCTCTCCATTTGCCCTTCTATTTCATCTATCCATCCATCTCCCCTGCACCTGTCCTTTGGGCTACTATTGTCATACGTTGCACTACTACTGATTTTATAGAATTCCATTTCTTTTCATGGTTGCTCTGGCAATTTAATACACTTTTTAACTTTTAGTAGGTCTACTTTTTATGTAAAATATTGAAATCTTACAGCTTTAAGGTCTATATTTTTTCCATGCCCTTATGTTATTATTGTCAAACGTAACACAACTACACACATTATAAACCCATGACACAATGTTACCTTTTTCAAAACAGTTTATAGCTTCTATGAAATCAAGGTGAAGAAAGGCAAAAAAGAAAAATAGTATTTTGAATTTATTCAGATATTTACCATTTCTGATACTCTTTGTTTGTCCCTTATGTTCTGAGCTTCCTTCTGGTGTCACTATTATTCTTCCCCAGGAACCATCATCAACATTTCTTGTAGTGATGAGTTCTTTTAGTTATCTTATATCTTAAAATGTCTTTATTTTACCTCCATTCTTAAATGATAGTTTCACTGGATATAGTATTTGGAGTTGACATTATTTTTCTTCCAGCACTTTAAGGATGTTGGTCCACTTTCTTTTGGCCTCCATGGTTGCTAATAAGAGGCAGCTCTTGACTGATTTTTATTCTTGTCCTAAGCCGTATTTTCGTCCTCTCATGCATGCCTGGAAGTGGCTTTGTTTGTTTGCTGGATGTTGAAAACTGTTAATTTTATGTTGTTGGATGCCAGATTTTATTAGATTCCTATAAAGAATATTGTGGGGTTTTTTCCTGTTTGTACTTAGGTATTTTTGAAATTCGTTTGATCTTTTGAGGATTTGAAGCTTTGTTAGGGAAAGTCAGAGTGCTACACAGTCTAGAGCTCATTTACCTCCACTTCTGAACCAACCAACACATCTTCAGACTCTATCTGATGCCGTATGTATTATGGGTTTCTCCCACATTGGCTGTTGGAATTCAAACTATTCTCAGCTCTGTGTAAACTTTGAGAAAATTTTCAGCCTACTGCTATCAGATGGTTCTTTCCATTTGTAGTAAATTTTTGTTTTTTCTTTCTTGAGAACAGAGATGTTTTCCTTGTCCGTGGTGTTTTTCAGTGGCATTTCTATAACTTGGTGAGGATTTCTTTTTAATTCTGCTGCTTGGGGTTTACTGGGCTTCATGAACTTGAGATTCGGTGTCTACTGTCAGTTGCTGACAGTTCGGAGCCTACCTTTCTAATGCTACCTCCTCACCATACCCTTACCTCTCTGCCCTTTCTTTGAACACTCTTGTGTATTTTCTGTATTTTTGTAACTCTGTTGTGCATCCTGAGTCAGTCCTTAAAATCTGTCTTCCATGTTTTATATAGAGTAACTTAGCTCCAATTCAGCCTTTAAGGTCTATGTGACCCCCCCGCTGTGCTTATTTTCATTATTACGTTTTTCATTTCTAGACATTCTATTTGGTTCTTTGTCAATTCCACATGTCAATCTTGGTAGTCTCTGTTACCTTCATCATTCATGCATTTCCTCTTCTGATTTTTAAATATATTACATGTGTTTATGTTCTGTTTCGGGAGATGCCAATATCTGGAGTGTGTGTGGTTCTGATTTTGTAGCTGTTTCTGTGCATCCTGGGTTGTGGCAGCTTATTTCCTCATTTGTCCTATGAAGGTTTGTTCTGACCTCTTGTTTTATGGAATTTCATCAGTGGGAAGTCTTTGAGGTCATTGTCCTTATGTAAAGTATATTCCTCCAGAAAAGACCTGAATTTGTTTCTGCTTGAGTGTAACAATACGAATAGGAATACTCCCCCCTCATTCTCTCCATTGGAGTCAAAATTAAGACAGGTTCTATTCCAGACCTGTGTTTCCCAGACCTCCCACTAAGGGCACGATTCCTCAAAGCCCAGGCTTTGTGGCACCCCTGGTGTGACCTCACCCTACCCAGGCGCTGCCTCCTGTCCCACCCAAATGAGACCTTTTACACTCAGGATGTAACTGCCAGACGCAGTGAACAACAAGGCGGTGGCTTAACCCACAGACCCAGGGCAGGGGACCCAGGGCCGCTATAGGCAGCTGAGTAGGTTACTCGCAGTGCCCGCAGCGGGGAGCCGTGAACACGCCCTGTGATGTAAGCAGTTCCTTCCTCGGTTGTGCAGGAAGAAACACAGAGCCAGAGCTTCAGCATCATGCCTTCCTGTAGCCCAGTCACACTTTCGCTGAGCCCAGCATTTTCAGAGACCCTGGGTGAGAGGGACTTCTCTGAACACATAGTCAGAAAGAGTGCTGGCAAGGCGAATTCCACAGCCTGTTTTCCCCCAAGTACCCTGACTCCCAGTCAGCATTGGTCATCTCTGCCACTGCCTCACTGTGCCCACACCTGGCCTGCAATTTATTTCTATTTACCAACCAAAGGCAATATCCGTTCCATTTTGTACATTCAAAAAGAATGTAAAATCTTCATGGAAATGGATTTAAAATTGCCTCAATCATTTACTTAAGATGAATTAAAAATTCAGAATTATGACAAGTAATACTTGTATAAGTTACCCATATAATTACTGTATTTCAATAAGAAACTACCAGAAAAAGCTAAATGTATGACATAAATATAAGACAAAATATTGCATATAATTTGGAATAAGACCAACAAAGAAAAACCTATCACTTTTAAGCAAAACTTATCAGCGGTCTGGCTTAAATTTGGGTTGAATTCAGGGTAAGCCCAGTCAGATGAGCCATTTGGATGAGAAGCTTTCAGTTTGTGTTTCTTATGATAGCTCCCTGAGGAAGAAAATTTCTTGCCATTTCACATCTAATATAAGTCCATTGTTGGTGAAAAGATGACTAAATTAGTTCGTCATTTTGTAATAAAATATCTCATGACTTGTTTATCTGATCAATGAAGAGTGCATTCTCAAGCTGTTCAGTGTTAATGGGCCCGTTGCCCTAAAATGGTGAATTATTGACTCTCGGGGAGACATGGGGGTTTGAAAACTCAGATCAGATTTCCTGCTTGAAATTGACAGATTGCAGTTAAATTGTTAGAATCAAGAATGCAGGCCCTTTGCCTCTCACACCGTGGAGATGCCAAAAATGTAAAACCATTGGTAACAACATTATGAAACTAGCTTTTTAAAAAAATTACATCTTGACACAAAATTGCAGGTTCAAATGTGAAAAAGTTATGCACATAACCACAGAAATATTTTGGTGCAATTTGAGAGGTCCAATTTCTGTACTCCGGTAATGTATTTATCTTAGTTGGTTTGAGCTGGGTTTTGAAATGTATACACGCGTTCATTCACCATTCAAGTATCCATTTACTTATTTATCTGCTCACCAGGTTTTAACTGTGGTCTGACCACGTGCCAGGGACTGTACTAGCAATGAGGGCACTGCAGTGTACAGAGATGTGGTGCCTGGTCTCAAGGGTCTCATGGTGGTCCTAGGGAGATGGCAAGCAGATGTGCCACAGATTTGAGCCACATCCTATTGATCCAGAGCCTGGCTTTGGAGTCAGGTGAGCGCGGGTGCAGGGAAGCCTGCGTCCCAGCCCTGCTTGGCAGCCTGGGAAGATTGCTCACCTCTCTAAAACTCAGTTTTCCTATCTGTGAAATAGGCTTCATAACAATATTGGCTTACAAGGTTGTATTATGAGGAACCAGCAAGATGACCTACCTAGAATGCTTGCTACCCACCTGAGAGATGGAAGCCCTCACGGACGGACGTTCACTAACACTACGTTCCAAAACACATGTGCCTCAGAAAACACAGCGAGGTGACCCAGCAGTTGCCAAGTGTTCCACTTCCCAGCCGCTGTATCGGAGCACCGGCTGCAGGCCCTTACAGGCTCCCCTGTAGGCTGCACAGAGAAAAGCCCAGGCCGGCCAGGCCCCGGCATCTATGGGCTGCTCCCGCCTCACCCGTAAGGGCCACAGCATCAAGATCCACTTTGCAGGACTCTGGGTGGAGACAGTGGGTTTATTAAAATGCAGAGACCACTCCCTTCTCTCTACAAACTACCAAGATAATCAGGAAAAAAAGATAGTGATACCTTTCATAAAATTAGAAAAAACCTCTCACCACCACAATCCCCGGAAGGACTGTGAAGCAGGCTGGAACTTGGCCCACATGCTGCCCCGAGGTCTTCAGGGGAGCGACACAGCTCAGGCCCCGGCTTCTACAGCCGCAGGAGAGCAGGGGGGTGGCGGGAGGGGGCAGCTCCCTTCCCTTACGCTCACCTCTGCGGGGTCTGATTTGTTTCACTGCAGTGCTCCTCACCTGCAAGCTGCCATACACGTGGCGCCGCGGCCTCTGCTTCAGGACACCCGCTTCCCCGGCCTCCTGCTGCCTGGCCACCCTCCACCGTCACAGCCTCCGTTCCTGGAAAACTCTGCTGCCCTGATTTCCTGGGGAACGTTCTCCCTGAACCGGAGCTTCCGCTTGTCTTGGCCTATTGAGTGGAATCAGGAGGTTGCAGTGACGTCAGATGAACAAGCCCAGGGGTCTGGAATGCACCACGATGTCTGTCATTAGTAAAGCCACACGGCTCTCTGGAAAGTCGCTGAGTAGATCCGAGCTGCTCCCAACACATAAATAAAGGAGTTATGTGAGGAGAAGGAAGTGTTAATTAGCTTTACCATAGTAATCATGTCACTATGTCAGTGTACATGAGAACAACACATTGTGCACTTTAAATATACACAATTTTTATTTAAAATGTAAAATAATGTTAAGAAATCAATGAAAATAAATGACAGCAAAAACCCAATCTAATGGTCTTTTATCCAATCTAATGGTAGTAATTGGGTACAATTATTAGTATACTAAGTAAACTGGTGTCTCAAAACCTTTAAGAGTAGTAAGGTTTGGTGCAGAGAGACAGAGACACCTGAGCGCTTATAGCAGGCAGGTTCTGGAGAAGTCACTCAGGAGCGGCCTGTGCCATGGGCTCTGCATCCCCGCAAGGCTCACAGTGGTGCTTTCACACGCAGTCGTCTTCCATCCAAACCTGTGCCCTCCAGCTCGGAGCCACCTGCCCAACATAGCTGTTGGACACATGAAGCCTGCTTAGTCTGGCCGGGCACAGAGGCTCAGCCCTGTAATCCCAGCACTGTGAAAGGCCAAGGTGGCTGGATCACTTGAGGTCAGGAGTTTGAGACCAGCCTGGCCAACATGGCTAAACCTCATCTTTACCAAAAATACAAAAATTAGCCAGGCATGGTGGCACATGTCTGTAATCTTAGCTACTCGGGAGGCTGAGGTTGCAGTGAGCTGAGATCACGTCACAGGCAACAGAGAAAGACTCTGTCTAAAAAAATAAATCAATAAAATAAAGGTGTAAAATACACGGCCAATTGCAAAAAAAAAAAAAAGGAAAACGTACATTCTGAAATGACATTTTTAATATACTGGGTTAAATAAAATATATCATTTTTTAAAAAATGAACCACAAACTCAAGTGCTTTAGGGACCAGGCAAGGAGGAAGAAGAGAGACATCCCATGTAAGGGAGAGGTGGGCAGGCACCTGGGGAGGGAGGAACCCCGCCTGAAACTGTTGCATCCAGTCTCCGCCTGGGTGGACAGACCGCAGCTGCCGCTGAACAGCTGCATGTCCAGCTGTGAGCCCAAAGACCCTGTGCTGAGGCCCCCAGCAACATCCGTCCATCCAAATCAAAGTCCTGTTCTCAGAAGGAGTGCTGGCTTTGGAGTAAAGAGAATCTTGGCTCAACTCCAGGTGAAGTGAATTATTTCAGTGTTGGAGCCTCAGTTTCCCCAATGAAAAACGGGCCCAGTAATACCATCCACCACCTCCCAGAGTGACTGCAAGCTTCAGGACAGAAACTTGTGTCCGTATGTATCAAGTTCACACTACAAACTTGACTCCTAGGAAGCACTGACTAGTGGCTGCGCAGTGATGCGGTCTAGATATTTTACCCGTCATGCACGTTCGTGCTTGAAAATACTTCCAAGTAACTTGCGTCTGCTTCACAGGTGAGGAGACAGGGGCTCAGAGCCCCTGGGGGGCAGTGTCGGCCGTCCTCTCTGCATCACTGGCTCCACCATTCACAAAACACTTATCGTTGTGATCTTGGAGAGTAAATGTAGAATCTGACCCATGTTTCAAAATAACCGCATAAAGTTCCTACTAGGTATTCATTTTTTTTTTTTTGCTATGGTAAAGCATAGAGAATAGAATGCTTGCCGTTGTAGCCGTTTTTCAGCAGACGATGAAGGAGCATTAAATCATCTATTCACAATTTGTGTAGCCCTCACCACTGCTATCCCCAAAACTTCTTCACCATCCCCAACATAAGCTCGGCACCTCCAATAACAACACCCCCTCCATCCCATTCCCCAGCCTTGAGTGTCTCCACTCTACCTTCTGTCTGTGAAATTGCCTGTTCTAAGTATTCCGTGTCCATGGAGACATGTCATATCTGTCCTTCTGTGTCTGGCTTACTGCACTTCATGTGTTTTGCAGGTCCATCCTGGTTGCAGCGTGTATGAAAACTCCATCCCTTGTTGAGGCTGAAAGCATTCCCTTGTATGGACAGACCACGTTGGGCTTACCCATTCACCTCTCCATGGGCATGGTTGCTTCTGCTTTTTGGTTATGGTGAATGATGTTGTTATGACTTTCCTGTACAATTATCTGTTCCAGCCTCTGCCCACAATTCTTCCGGACATATATGCCTAGGAGTGGAGTTTCTGTGTGATACGGTAGTTCTACATTTAACTTTGTAAGGAGCCACCAAACTTTTCCATGCCAACTACTGGGTAATAGTTTTTACTGGAATTTACAATTTGTTTTGGGGGGTTTGGGCCCTTACCTCACCATCCACTAAAATATGTTACTGTGAAATGCACTAAAGTTCTAGAAAACAACAACAACAACAACTTAAGACCATTGCAAAATAAAACACAACATACGTCATAAATGCCCTGGCCAAGAATTATGTATGGGAAGTTCTAGAGGAAAACCAACAACTTATGATCATAATAAAATAAAACACAATGTAAATCATAAATTCCCTGGCCAACAATTACATGTACAAGAAGTTCTAGAGGAAAACCAACAACTTAAGATCATAGCAAAATAAAATACAACATAAATCATGAGTGGCCCGGCCAACCCTACATGTACAGGAAGTTCTAGAGGATAACCAACAACTTAAGACAATTGTAAAATACAAGATAAATCATAAATGTCCCAGCCAACAACTGCATGTATGCAAAGTTCTAGAGTATAACCAACAACTTAAGACCATAGGAAAATAAAATATAACATAAATCATAAATGCCCTGGCCAACAATCACATGTATAGGAAGTAGATGACTTTAAAATTACCATACATTGACCAGTGTTTTTACTGTGGTTTCTTCTGCTTCAAGCTTAGCCCTAAGAAAAGGAAAAGAGAAAAGCATAAATAAAACAAAAAATTGTAGCCCCCTTTTGTCTCTTTGTCTCCACTAGAGACTAAGTATTTTCTCCTGGTCTACCCCATCAGTTACTTCCAGAGACGTTCACTGAGTTCCAGTCACTGCCAGGAACTTCGCTGAGTCCCAGGAGGGGTCACGTGTGCTCAGCCCTATTTTTATATGTACTTTTTACAATGGAAGAGGACCTGAAGGATATAACTTTTTTCTCCTTTGTTTTCAAGTTAAAACCCAGAGTCCTTTAGTGATCATCTTACCCAGGAATAGGAGTAGTTGGCAGAACAAGAGAACTGAGGCCTCACCCCCAACCCCCACCATCCCCCAGCTTTGTGACTTGGGCCCCTCAACTTTATTTCTCCGATCTCGATTTGACTTTCTATGCAGGAGGAGTGGGGCGTGGACCCCATCCCCCTGTCACTGGGCTGGGCCTGGAGACCCCAGCTGAGCAGAACAAGAAAACCAAATGCAAGGAGACTTGTGATGGAGTTGTGAGGACACACCCAGGTGTGTTGGGGTCTCAGGGACATACCCAGGTGTGTTGGGGTTTGAGGGATATACCCAGGTGTGCCGGGGTCTCAGGGACATACCCAGGTGTGTTGGTGTCTCAGGGACACACCTAAGTATGCTGGGGTCTCAAGGATATATCCAGGTGTGTTGGGGTCTTGGGGTCACACCCAGGTGTGTCGGGATCTCAGGGATATACCCATGTGTGTTGGAGTCTCACGGACATACCTAGGTATGCCGGGGTCTCAGGGATATATCCAGGTGTGTTGGGGTCTCAGGGATATACCCATGTGTGTTGGGGTCTCAGGGACATACCTAGGTGTGTCGGGGTCTCAGGGACATACCCAGGTGTGTTGGGGTCTCAGGGACATACCTAGGTGTGTCGGGGTCTCAGGGACATACCTAGGTGTGTCGGGGTCTCAGGGATATACCCACGTGTGTTGGGGTCTCAGGGACATACCTAGGTATGTCGGGGTCTCAGGGATATACCCAGGTGTGTTGGGGTCTCGGGGTCACACCCAGGTGTGGGGCTGCAGAGGAGTTGGCCAACCCCCTGGGAGATCTTATCCGTCCTGGATATCAGAAGTGGACTAGGCACTGCCCGGTGAGGGAGAGAATGATGTGGTGATGGGGTTTTCTTCTGATGAGAAACCTTCAACCTTGACCTTAAATTGGCCTGGGTGTGAACTTCCCACACTCACACCAAGTTGAGCCAGACTGTGGAGCTGACACAGGGGTCTGTCTCTACTGATGTGGAACAAGGATGTGGGAGTCTCACAGCTGCCACCCCAATAAGGAAATTTGAGATGCAGCTTTTCTAAGTGTGAATTTAGGACACATTCGTGATATTAAGCAGTTAGAGGGGTGGGTGTCCGTCGAGGCCCACCCAAGGAAGCCGTGCTCAGCACTGCTCCAATCGCTCAGTGAGCACCACAGCAGAAGCTGGGTTTTTTAAATAAATGAATACTATACAAGGTCAATCTTGAAGACTCTGCTTTTAAAAAGGAAGCACTTGTGGAAATTGCTGGAAATGATGCAGGCCAGGCCTGCGGAGAGCAGAACTCAGGGAGGCCTCAGGGGTGTGAGGTCCTCATGGGTCCTCCTCTGTGGCAGCTGAGCCCTGAGGCCTGAAGACCAGCTCGATGCCTGGTCCCCTCACCTGGCACCAGGGGCTGATCATGGACCAAAAAGGGCGTCATCCCCAGCGAGCGGCCATCAGATCTCTCTCCTTAAATGCACGTCTCCCATCTGGACTGCTTAGGCTCTCTACTAAGAATCCTAAGCCTTTCTGTGTTCACCTGCAAACAGGAAGTCCTAGGTCTTCATAATAAATAGCCCATAAGATCTAGAACTTGGGTCATGGTTAAACCTCAGTGAAGATGAGCAAGTTTATAGTAAAAGGGAATATGGATGAAAAAGAGCAAGACTGCAAGGAAGGAGAAGGACAAACGTGGGGGCTGGGGGAAGAGAGAGAGAAAGAGGGAGAATAAGAGGAGAGAGAGAGAAAGGGAAAGAGAGAGAGAAAGAGAAAGAAGGAATGAGAGAATGAGAGAGAAAGAGAGAGAGGAGAGCACTCTGTTCCCACACTCAGGTCCCTTCAGGAATGAACACAGGAAACTAGGCTGGACGTGAGGTCACTGTGCCTCATTTATCGCCTGCCTCTAGGAACTGCCACCCTTAGGTCATCTGGGAGATGAGCATGGGTTTTGTGATTTCATGAGGGAAGGAGAGGAAAGCAACCCACCTCAGCTCAGCAAAATCCTCATTCCAGCTCTCTGGATATCCTCGCACTCTGGATCCCCTGTGTGGCAGAAGTCACAGATCACCCAGAACAGGGGAACCTGCATTTTTCTAGCAAATTTGCTATTCCTGCCAGGTGAGCATCCTGCCAGGTGAACATCCTGCCAGGTGAGCATCCTGCCAGGTGAGCAGGTGCCTTCTCTGGCAGATCAATGGCAGCCTTGTGGCTTTCCAGCACCCATCGCCCCCTCAGCCCACTCCATTCTATCACAGGAAGAGCAAATCACATTTTGGGAGATGCTTGGTACCATAGAGGGCATCTCCTTAGGCACAGGTGCTAGGACAGTGCGCAGGGTCACCTGCGGCAGAGCCCACCATGGACCCCCTCCTCTTCTTGGCCCCACAACACCTCATCACAGGTCCTGAGGTCCTGGGAGATGCAGACCCTGGCTTTCCAGCCACGGCAGCACTCAGTCACTGTAGACGTGGTCGCCAGGGGACGAGGTCACAGACATTCTTTTGGTGTCGTCCGCTGGAGATATGATCACATGCTCAACCCTGAAGCAAGAGAAACAAACTGAGAACAGAATTGGAGGCGGGAACGGGGAGAGCCGCTACGATCCACCAGCTCACCTGTGGAGAGAGAACCAAGGAAAAACAGTATTGATTTTTTTTACAAGCCAGTGCACAGATTTGTCAGACAAAAGAATAGAGATGTCAACCCCTGGACCCGCTCTCCAGCACGGCAGGCCTTCAGGCGGCCAGAGCCAAGGCGGCACTCCGCGACTCCTGCACTGGCTGCAGAGGGGATGGGCAGTTTGATGAAAGAAGGAAACGCCAGCCCTCGCACGGATATGCGTGTCAGTAACTCCCACCTGAGCAGAGCTCAGAGATGCTTCCAGCACAGCCCAAGAGAGGTGGCTCCCTGGTCTCAGCATCTGCCGAGGTTACCTCTCTCCTCTGGGGGCTGTGGGAGGCGCTTCTGCACGGGGTCACAGGAAGGTTTTGGATGTTTACCTGAAGGGCGGTTCTGTTAGAAAACTCCAAAACCAACGGACATTTTAGATTTCAAAGAGAATCCAGTACAACGTATTTTCATCTCCTAACCCAACAAAAGGGAATCTGAGCTGATTATTAGAAGTTTACTCTTTTACCTGGCAGGGGGCAAAGAGCATAGACATCCCCAGGTCTCCAGATGCACAGGTGGAGGAATTCGTCCACTAACGCACCCTCGGAACAAACACCTGAACACACAGGAAAACTCGGTGTATCTGGAGAAGGAATGTGTTCGTTAATTGCATTTTTGAATATCTAGCTAAGCACAACATCCCTTTAGAGTCCACCTGTCCTTTAAAATTCTTTCTAAAATAAATCTGACAATTTTCCTGATCTGCCATGCTGAATAGTTTGACGACATTGATCATTTGGGGAAATCGTGGCTGTCAGAGGCCATTCAGAAAATAATATTATGAGGATGAAGGACCACAGGTAGGGAGCCCCATAGAAGAGTTGGAACTGCTTCATTTTTGTGTTTACTCCTTTATTCAGGCTTGATAGGTTTCTCTGAGTTTTACCTTCCTCTTTCTAAGAAGGAAACTGCTGTCATGTAATTTAAAGTTCCCGTTGGTCATTTCTAATGAATAAAAGGTTACGAATGTCGAGTAGTAGTTGGGTGCCATGTAAACTAGTTCAACCATTGTGGAAGTCAGTGTGGTGATTCCTCAGGGATCTAGAACTAGAAATACCATTTGACCCAGCCATCCCATTACTGGGTATATACCCAAAGGACTATAAATCATGCTGCTATAAAGACACATGCACACGTATGTTTATTGTGGCACTATTCACAATAGCAAAGACTTGGAACCAACCTAAATGTCCAACAACGATAGACTGGATTAAGAAAATGTGGCACATATACACCATGGAATACTATGCAGCCATAAAAAAGGATGAGTTCATGTCCTTTGTAGGGACATGGATGAAGCTGGAAACCACCATTCTCAGCAAACTATCGTAAGGACAGAAAATCAAACACCACATGTTCTCACTCATAGGTGGGAATTGAACAATGAGAACACATGGACACAGGAAGGGGAACATCACACTCCGGGGACTGTTGTGGGGTGGGGGGAGGGGGGAGGGATAGCATTAGGAGATATACGTAATGCTAGATGACGAGTTAGTGGGTGCAGCACACCAACATGGCACATGTATACATATGTAACAAACCTGCACATTGTGCACATGTACCCTAAAACTTAAAGTATAATAATAATTTAAAAACAAATGGGTGGTCAACATTCTAACCTCTAAAATAATAGTTTCTGACAATACGATTGCTACATTTTTGAAAATTATCATAGCTAGGTCATCATACTTGGCATATACTCAAGTATGTTCTTTCATGTACATTTCTTAAACATGCATGTGTCTCCTGTGACATTTAGAGAAATGTCTCCTTAGACGCAATATTTCAAACATTAGAAAGTGCGGTCGCCTAAATTGCATTCACAGAGCTCCCTCGGCGGGATTCCTGAGTGCGATCCTGGGCGATCCCCCCACCGCGGTTTCTGGAAGACTCTGATGAACGCATCCACCAATGGGTGGGGAAATGAGGTCAGCATCCTGTGGTTCAAGGATCCTAGGATCAGTGACTGGGAGTTACAGGTTTGGGCATCACTCAGCATAAGTGGCTGTGAAACCCTAGGGCAGCGTCCCCTCTGAAAGCCCATCTGCTCGGACATGAAGTGCAGAAACTTGGGGTGAGTTGGGACACAGCTGGCTGCCCTGCCCAGCCTTGAGCTTTGGTTTTGCAGGAAGCCGGGTCCCAGCTAGTGGAGCGGGCTGCACTGTGGCCAGGGCGAGGGCCCAGCCCGGCTCCCCACCCACCGTCTGGTGACTGGGCCACGGCGCTGGGACTCGAGCGCTCCTAGTTCACAAGCCACCACCTCTGATGGGGAAACCAGACAGACGTGGCCAGAACTGGAGCACACCTTGTCCTTTCCCAGCCAGGGGACGCCAGTGTTCCTGTGGCCGGGGCCAGGGCTGGCCTGGCCGCCTCCTCCCCGATCCTGTCTCCTCTGGTGATGAGTTGTGTTCTCTTGGCAGTGGAACTCCCTAGAGAGTGGAAAACGTCATGCACTGACAACAGAAACAAAGTACAATGTTATCATGCAGTCAATATTTGATGGCCAAAGGCACAGTAAGGAATAATCTGAGTTAAAATAAAGCAGGGAATTGGATACATCAAAGAGTTTAGTGTTATCAGCCATTAAGGAAGGCAGCAGTGAGGCCACCACACAGCAGTGGCCTGGACAGACAGCCCTCCGTGCAGGCGTGTGCCTGTGAGCACCTACACATGCGTGGGGCACACCGGCTCCGGCGTCACACACTCCTGGACGTCCACTCTTGGTGAATCCTCACACAGACCTTTCCTGCCGGGATTAGGGCTTCCTTTCGGTTTTGTGTATCATGTGACACCCTCTGTCACTTGTGAGTGGCTTCCCACCATCTGAAAAGGTGCAAACTCATGGCCCACATCAACGACGCCCCGTGCCAGGACGCTCTCCCATGTGAAAGCTGGCTGAAGTCCTCGGTCTGCCCACGTCAACGACACCCCGTGCCAGGACGCTCTCCCATTTGAAAGCTGGCTGAAGTCCTCAGTCTGCCCACGTCAAAGACACCCCGTGCCAGGACGCTCTCCCATGCGAAAGCTGGCGGAAGTCCTCGGTCTGCAAGGCCATGAAGGAAAATTCTAGTAACTAATTCCCACCAAGTCATCATTTAAGAATTGTTTTGAAGTTCTGCTGGAACACAGTGTGCATGGGTTTATATTACATTTTTGTTAGCTTTGTAAGTGGTGTATGAATCATGTTTGTTTTTATAAATGGTTGCTCTGGAGTTGACAATACACAGCATTAACTTATCAAGAATACCCAAGAATAACAAATAATATGGCATCACTTCCCATGTAATTTAATAATCTTACAACTGCCTGGTTCCATTTCCCACCTCCCAGCCCTTGTGCTATTGTTAGCAGACATTTTGCTTCTACTTATAAACCCCAAATGTATTATTATTACTGTTTAAAACAATGTTCAATAAAGAGATTTCAAAATACGGTAAAACACGCTTTGTATTTGCTGATGCATTTTACACCCACTCCTGTTCCTTTGTGTAGACCCTCATTTTTATTTCTTATCATTTCCCTCTGTCTGGAAACCAACTCTAAAATGTCCTTTAGTGCCTGGTGGTGCCGGCTGCTGACAGTGGCGTCTCTCTACTTTTGTATGTCTGAGACAGTCTTCACGTTGCTTCTATTTTTTAACAGCCTTATTGAGGCTGAATTTATATAAGAATTATACAATTGATATATACATTATACACATTTAAAATATAAAATTGGATAGATTTTTAAAGATGTAAAAACCCATAGAAAACACTGAATCTATCAAAATCAGGATATTATCCATCTCCTTGGGAATTTGCTTTGTGATAATGTTTTGAAATTGTTCCTTCTTACTCCTCCCCTCTCCCCCACCCTCCCTAGGCAATCACTGATTAACCTCTGTCTCTAGAGATTCATTTGCATTCTCTGTAATTTTATAAAATAAGATCATAATTATGTATTATTCTTTGTCTGGCTTTTTGGCTCAGCATAATTATTTTGAGATTTGTCCATGTTGTATGTCTCAACGGGTTTTTTTTAACCTTTATATCACTAAGTATTACTCCCCTGAATGGATGTATTAGTTTTTATCCATTCACTTGTTGATTAACATTTGGGTCATTTCTGGTTGTTAGCAATTACAGGTAAAGCTTCCATGGACATTTGTGTTCAAGTCTTTATAAACACACATGTTTTCATTTCTCCTGGGAAGTACATAGGGATGGAATTGCCATGTCAGATGGTAGTTATGTGTTTAACTTTTGAAAAAAAAACTATTTGCAGTATATTCATAACTGTGAATACACTTAATGTCACCGAACTATGCAATTAAAATAGGTTCGATGGTAAATTTTATGTTGTGTGATTTTTACTACAATTTTAAAAATAAAAATAAATAGATTTGAATGAAAAAAAATTAATGACAACACGTCGCCTCTCTTAGACTAGTCATTGTGCCATAATATCCATTATTTGCATCTATTACTAACGTAGTGAATACTTTTGAAGATCCATAAATGCTCTTAGATCAATAAATTCAGCTATTTCACTTTTTAATTACAGTATGATCAAGCATTTAGATCAATAGTAAAAAAGTCTTCCTTTGACTGATTGTCTCATGTATTAAATAGTAAAAACTGTCTTCATTTGACTGTTTCATGTATTAAAATATTATTACACATTATATATGATTTAAAAAGGAAATATACTATATCAGACCTTCAGGAAAATTTGACCTAGTTTACAGGAAACAAAAGATAATATAATTGAAAATTCAACAAAAGTACCCAATACAAGATTTTGACCAACAAGTATAGAGTATTATATTAAAAGATTCTTCACAATAGGCTGAGGTGGGCTTCGTGCCTCTGGTTTCTGCTGCGGTCTCATCTCAGTCTGCCAGGAACACTGGAAGCCATTTAACACCCGCTAAGATTTGCTTCTCCTTCTCCAGTCCTTTCTGATGTGATGTTATTCACACTTTTCTTTCAAGGACAGAATGCAGCTACTCACTTTAAAAACGTGCTTTGGAGCAGGAACATCTAGGGACACTGCTGCCTGATGGCCACTTAAGTGCTCAACCAAGCAGCTGTGTGTGGCTTGTGTGAAAGACTCAGAAGCAAGCTGCCAGGTGAGAAGGTCAGTGGGAAAAAGGAAAACTCATGTTAAATATGTGTGAAATGTGTGTAGAAAAGGCAGGCAGAACAAAGCTGCCTTAGAAATTCTATGAAGTCTAACACTTTGTCTAACACCCACATATTAAGTATTACACAGTAGTGTTTTGTCATTTATTGTATAATCCATACTTACTTACCTTTTGTTTGAAAATGTTTATATAATTTTGCAATAAACCCCTATACCATTAATAGGCTCAAAAAATAATATTAGGAGATTTTAAATAAAAATGGAAAATACAAAACTAAAAAAAATATAAAACTTTTCCAAAGCGGTTGTAACATTTAATATTTTAACCAGTGACATGTGAGCATTCCAGTTCCTATACAGCCTCACCAGCACCTGGCGTCATTAGTCTTTTTAATCTTAGCCATCTAATAACTGTGCAATCATGTCTCATTGAGGTTTTAACTTGCATTTCTCTAAGAGCTAACGGTATTGATCATCTTATCATGGACTTATTTTCCATTCACACATTTTCTATGGTGAAGTGTCCATTCAAACCAATAGATCATTTTTAATCACTGTCTCTTTTCATTTTATAGAGTTTTAACAGTTATCTAGCTAATCTGGTTAAAAGTCCTTTGCTGTATAAGAGAAGCAAATATTTTCTTCCAGCCAATGGCTTGTCTTTTCATTATACTAGCTGTGTTTTTCAAAGAGTAAGTGTTTTAATTTTTATGAAGTCATATTTATCATATTTGCTTTTATAGACCATGCCTTTCTTGTCATATTTAAGAAATCGTTGCCTAACTCAAGGTCACGAAGAATTTCTCCTAATTCCTTCCAAAAATGTTATGGTTTTAGCCTTTACATATAAGGCAATAATCTATTTCTGTGAGATGTATGGATCAAAGTATATTCTTTGCATGTGGCTATTTAATTGTTGTAGCGCCATTTCTTTAAAAGGCTGCCTTTTCTCTGCTAAAATGCCTTTGCATTCCTTTTAGAAATCAGTTATCTCTATAGGCTGTTGTCATTTTCTGGACTCTCTATTCCATTCCATTTATCTAGTTGTCTAGCTTGATGCCAATATCACACTTTCTTGATTATTGTAGTTTTAAGTCTTAAACTAGTGTTCATCCTTCAGCTTTATTCTCTGCTTTCAAAGTTGTTTCCACAATTAAAAGCCCTTTGCAATTTCAAATTAATTTTAGAATAAGTTCATCAATTTCTACAAAAATAAAAGCTTGCTAGTACTCATTGAGATAACATTGAATATGTAAATTTGGGAAGAAATTAAAACAATACTGAATTTTTAATCCCAAGAACATGATATATCTCTCCATTTGTTTAGATGTTCCTTAATTTCTCTTGGTGATGCTTTATGGATTTTAGTACACAGGACTTGCACATTTTGATCTGATGCTATTGTAAATAGTCATTTTTAATTTTAATTTAAAATAATTCATTGCAAGGATAAAAAAGATTGCTACTTGTATATTTACATTGTATTAAGCAGTCTGCTAAACTCATGAGTTTTTGTAACTTTTGTGTACATTCCATAAGTGTTCTTTTACAGATGATTACTATGTCATCTGAGAAGAAAAACAGTTTTACCTGTTCACTTACAATCTGGATGCCTTACATCTGTTTTTATTTCTTTTTGTGTCATTTGGGGTTTCATTGATTGATTGACTTTTTTTATTTACTACATTAGTTATAATGTCCAGTACAATGTCAAGTACAAGTGACAAATAAAACATCCTTGTCTTGGGAGAAAAGAATTTAATGTTTCACCATTAAAGATGTTAATTATATTTTTGCGTTTGGGGTTTTTTAATCCTCAATTTTTTTGTTAGATGCCCTTTATCATATTGAGGAAAAGTTCTCTTATTCATAGTTCTCTAAAACATTTTTTAAATTAGCAATTGAAATTGGTTTTGGTAAAAAAATGGTTTGGAATGTTGAGACAGTCATATTTTTTTTCCCTAGGGTGTCTATATAATAACTTGCATCTATTTTTTATGTTAGGCCAACCTTAAATTTCTGGAATAGGCACTACTTTGTTGGGCTATATTATTCTTTTTATATATTGCTGGATTCAATTTGCTAAAATTATATTTAGAATTTTTTGCATCTACATTCATGAGAATTTTAGGTCTGTTGTGTTCATTACTTACAATGTCTTTCTCCGGTTTTTGTGTCTGGGTAATGCTGACCTCACAGGACACATTGAAAAAAAACGTTCTTTCTGCTTCCGTTTTCTGAAAGAGCTTTTGTAGGGTTAGTATTATTTCCTGTTTAAATATTTAGTAGGATGTAACCTTATTTAAATTCATCTATTATTTTTTCTGTTTTCTATTACTTTGAATTCGTTCGTCTATAATCATTATTTCTTTTCTTCTACTTGCTGTTGGTTTAACTTCTTCTTCCTCTAGTTTTTTCTTTTCCATAGAGGTTGAGTTGATTGATTTGAGACTATGTTTTTATCCTACATTAGCATCTAATGCTATAAATAACCCTCTAACATTGCTTTTGCTTCATGCTACAAATTTTAACATGTTGTGTTTTTACTTCTAATTTACCTTTTGATTTGATTTTTTTGTGCCATTTTCTAAATATGAAGGGTTTTTTCAAGAGTCATTCCTACTGTAGATTTCTAACTTTTTTCCATTGTAGACAGAGAAGATACTTTGTATGACTTGAATCATTTTTAAATTATTGAGACTTGTTTTATGACCCAGAGCATGGTCCACCTTGGTAAATTATTTGTGTGCTTGAGAAGAATGTATACTCTCCTATTCTTAGGTAGAGTGCTCTATAAATGTAAATTAGGTTATTTAAATGACAGTATCTATCTTCTTTTACTATCAATCATATAGAGAGAGTCATTGAAACCTTAACTATTTTTGTGGTTTTGTCTATTGATTCTTATAGTTCTATTAGCTCTGCTTCATCTATTTTGAAGCATTGTTATTATATGTACATGTTTAATATTGTTTCATCCGTTGATAAATTGATGCTTCTATCTTTATGAAGTAGTAATGTCCTTGGTTCTGAAGTCTATCTGGTGTACTATAGCCACTATAGCATTGTTAAATTTTTAAACTGTTATTTTGCTATATCTCTTATATATGTTAAAGGTATAACTTTTAACTTTTAGCTCACTTGTGCCTTTATATTTAAAGTAGTTTCTTATAGAGAGGATCTATTTGGGTCTTTTTTTTTTTTTTTTTTTTTTTTTGAGATGGGGTCTTGCTCTGTTGACCCTGCTGGAGTAGAGTGACGTGATCTCAGCTTAGGCTTACTGCAACCTCCACCTTCTGGGCTCAAGCAATCCTCTCACCTCAGCCTCCCAAGTAGCTGACACTAGAGGTGTACACCACTAGTCTTAATTTTTTTATTTTTTGTTGAGATGGGTTTTTGCTGTGTTGCACAGGCTGGTCTCAAACTCCTGAGCTCAAGTGATCCACCTGCCTCAGCCTCCCAAAATGCTGGAATTACAGGCATGAGCCACCACGCCTGCCTGGTTCTTACTTTTCTTAATCCAATCATTGCATTAAGAAAAATAATTGAATTAAGAAAAATTTGACCAAGAAAACTGATTGGATTAATCCAATCATACAATGATTGCATTTTAATTAGAGTATTTAGACCACTTACATTTAATGTGATTATTAATATAATTAGGTTCAAATCCATCAGCTTGCTGTGAGGGAACTTCAAAATGTTAGTGAAAAAGTATAATTAAAAGATACAAGTAAAAATACAAATATGTTCATTTCTGAAAATGAACATTAAGTCTAAGACATTTTTATAAGTGATGACATCAGCTATTTAATTCATTTCGAAAGAACTGAGGGTTCTAGGAATTTAACCATGTCAATCTAGTCTTTCGAACATTGTTAACTGAAGACAAATAGGTGATCTTTAAATGTTTTTAAGATTAGGAAAGAAAAAAAAAGGAAAACTCTAAAGGAGGCAAATCAAAGCTGTAAAGCAAATACCTAATGATATTTACCATTAAAACCCTCACAAAATTGCCCTGGTTTTGAGGAAGGATAGGTAGTCAAGGAAATGACCATGTCCTCAGGATGCAGCAACTGTGGTGACCATTCAACACAATAAACCTCAGCATTCACGTTATTTAGCTCATTCAAACAAAGCAGTCTTCAGCAGGGAACTTCCTCTCTAGAAAGCATGCACACTTTGACTTTACCTGTCCTCAAATTGACCCTTGGCTCATTATAATAGTAAAGAATGGGCCCCTGGGTGGAGATTTAAGATGTTAATGAGGCATGTGACGTATGAACAAACATGGACAGCTACTGCACATGTGCACCCAGAGGACCACCCAGAACATGCTTGCTATTAACGCCTCTTCCCACCTCCTTAGGAATAATCACGTAAAACTCCCATAAAGGGAATCTCTCTAGTGCCAGTCTTTGCTGTCTCACCCTTATGAGCCACCCTCCCTGAATTCTCTCTCTCTCTCTCAGGGGGTACTGTCTATTCTGCACTTAACTTTCAAAATATTCCTTCTCCTTTGCAATAAATTACTCTATGTTGCACCTCCTTTGCTGTGTGTCTCTCGTTTAAATTCTTTTAAACTAAGAAGAACTGAGGTATTACAACAGCCATTAACAGTTTGTTGAGAAGAATGAGCAAGAGCATTGTTGTGGTGAAGAAAGACTGTCTGGTGAAATTGTCACAGGCGTTTTCCTGCTAAAGCTTTAGCTAACTTTCTCAAAACTCTCACAATAAACAGATGTCCATTCTTTGGCCCTCCAGAAAGTCAGAAAGCAAAATGCCTCAAGCATTCCAAAAAACTGTTGCCATGGCCTGTGCTCTTTTGACTGGTCCTCTTTTGACTGGACTGCTTCCTCCTCTTGGTGGCCATTGCTCTGATTGTGCTTTGTCTTCAGGATGGTACTGGTAAAGCCATGGCTCGTCTCCTATTCTAATTCTTCAAAGAAGTGCCTCAGCATCTTGATCTCACTTGTTTGAGATTTCCACTGAAAGTCCTGTTCTTGTCTGCAACTGATCTAGGCACAACGATTTTGGCACCCATTAAGTAGAAAGTTTGCTCACTTTAATTTTTTGGTCAGAATTGTGTAAACCAACCCAACTGAGATGGTGATAGTGTTGGCTATTATTTGTGTTGTTAATTGTTGGTCTCCTTCAGTTAAGGCACAAACAAGATAATATTTTTCCTCACAAATTAATGTGGATGGTCTGCCACTGCAGACTTCATCTTCAACATCACCTCATTTTTTCTTAAGATGAATTAATTCATTTGTAAGCTGCTGATTTCTTTGAGGCTTTTTCTCCATAATTTTTTTGTAAAGCAGCAATGATTTCACCATTCTCCCATCCAAACTTCACCATAAATTTGATGTTTGCTCTTGGTTCAAGAACAGAACTTTAGCAGAAATCATGTTGCTCTGATAGGGGTTCTTTTCAAACTGATCTCTTACCCTTCTTAGTGCCTCAGACTAGATCCTGTTCAGACATGTGACGACAAGTTAGCACAAGGTTATTTTGGTGCAAAAAAAAATTGAAATCCATGCATAGTTCTTTTATAGTACATATTTTTCATGAACTTTTTAGAGACTCTCTTCATTTTAATTTTTCCTCTATTTCATTTGTTTTGTGTTCTCTTTTGCCTTTTTTGGATTAATTGTTTATTGATTCATTTTTTCCTCCTTGGTTTTCTTGTTATTTATTGCTTTTAATATTTTGTTGCTATTGTTGTTTTGGTCATTAGAATTTGTAGTATAGAGTTTACCTTATTCAGTCTACCCTGAAGTGATGTTATGCCACTTAATGTATAATATACAAATCTTATGATAATATCCTTTCACTTCTCACCTTCTAAACTTTGTTCAATTGTTTTCATACATTTTACTCATATATATAAGAGTAATAAACCCATACTTGTCGTTATTTTGGCTTACATAGCCAATCATTCTTCTAAAAGATTTAAATAATAGGAAAAGAGCTTACATACTTATCCATATAGTTACCATTCCCAGCACACTTCATCCCATTCATGTTGCCATCCAGTATCACTTTCTACTGTCTGAAGAATTACCTTAACATTTTTTGCATTTTAAGTCTGATGGTGGTGAATATTTTCAACTTTTGTATGTCTGAAATTGTATTCCATCTTTGGGTTTTTGTTTGTCTGGTTGGCTTTTTGTTGATTTTGGGTAGAGATGAAGTCTCTCTATGTTGCTCGTGCTGGTCTCGAACTACTGAGCTCAAGTGACCCCCTACCTTGGCCTTCCAAGGGTCTGGGATTACAGGCGTGAGCCACCGTGCGCAGCCTCACCTTTGTTTTTGAAAGATATAATTGTTTGATATAGAATTCTAGATTGATTTATTCTTTTTCCAGAACTTCAAATATGTTGTTTCACTATCTTCTCGCTTGCATTGTTTCCAATGAGAAACTTGCAGTCATCCTTATCTTGATTTCTTTCTACAAAATGTATATTTTTGTTGTTATTGGCTGCTTTTAAAATTTTCTCTTTATCACTACTATTGAGCATTTTGATTTTGATGTGCCTTGTAGTTCTCATGTTTCTTGTGATTGGTGTCTGTTGATCTTCTTAGAACTGTATGTTTATAATTTTCTTTACAAATGGAAATTTTGGTGGATAATTTCTTAAATACTTTTTCTGGCCCCAGTTCCTTTCTTCTTCATGAATTTCAATTACATGTATATTTGGCTACTTGAATTTGTTCCAGAATTCACAGGTGCTCTGTTCACTATTGTCTTTTTAATTGACTTTGTTTTAATTCATCTAGCTTAAATTACTATCTTCAAACTCACTAATCTTTTCTTCTGAAATGTCTAGTCTGTTGTTGATCCCATCTCCATATATTTTTCATCTTAGAAATTGTATCTTTCAAGTCTGGAAGATTTATGTGGGTCTTTCTTTATATCATCTATATTTCTACTTGACTTTTTGAACAAAAGGAATCCAGTTATAACTGCTTGATATCCTCATCTGCTAATTCTAACTCTGAGTCTGTTCTGTGTTGGTTTCAAATAATTAACCCTTCTCCTGAGTTATATTTTTCTGCTTCTTTGCATGCCTGGTCATTTTTTTATTAGATGTCAGATACTGTGAGTTTTAGCTTGTTGGATGCTGAATATTTCTGTATTGCTGCTATAAATACTCCTGGACATTGTTCTGAGACCACATTAAATTTATTTAAACGTTGTATCCTTTTGGGTCTTCTTTTGAGATTTGTTAGGCAGGATTGGAGCAGTGCTTAGTCTATTTCCTGCTACAGGTGTGAGTACACCACACTGAGGACCCTACTCAGTGTCCTGTGAAGAAGGTTTTTCTCTCTGGCTCAGGGAACAGGCACTGTGCGAACTCTAAGAATCGTTCCTCCACCCTCTGGGTGGTTCTTTCCCCAGCCTTCACTCGTGTTCTTACACATTCATTCATCATTATCACCTTCCTACTCAGCGGTGATTCGGTATCTCCTGGATGTTTCCTCTCTTCTCTCTCCCTCTCTCTCTCTTTATGTGTGTACCTCATCTCTGCTACTCTGTCCTCCTATTTCTAGTTGCTAAACCCTCATCTTCACCTCTGCCAGGGTACCCCTCCCTGCACCGCACTGTGGGAATGCCCTCCAAGGAGCCGCTCAAGCCCCTACAGGGCTCACCACCTTTGTCTCCCATCTGTCAGCATCCATGGTCTTCATTGCTTGATGTTTGTTGAAACTTCTATTTTATATGTTTTGTCTGCTTTGTTTTTTTCTAAAGTGTAAGAAAAAGTCTATCTAGTCCATGTTATTTCTGTTTGTCAGGAAGTTAAAATCTCCTTCATTTTTAAAAAAACAAATATTTTCTCTGAGGACAAATTCAGACAGAAAACATTATGAAGATAGTGTAGAGAATTCTAATATACCTCACACAGGCTTCTCATATTAGTAACATCTTAGTTTGGTATGGCACATTTGTTATAACTAATAAAACAATATTGATGAATATTATCATTAACGAAAGTCCACACTTTACTTAGATTTCCTTGGTTTTTACCTCACCTCTTTCAGCTGTTTCAGGCTCCTATTCAGGATATCATATTACATTTACTTATTATGTCTCCTTGGGCTTCTCTTGGCTGTGAAAATTTCCCTAACTCTACTTGTTTTTGATGACCTTGATGGTTTTGGGGAGCACTGGTCAGGCATTTTATTTTGTTTTCATAATTAAACTGGGTTATGTGTTTTTGAAGGGACGTCCACAGAGGTAAGTTGCCATTTCCATCACGCCATCTCCAGCATCCATACTCTCCTGGTGACTTGTCACTGTTCAAGTTGACCTCCCTCACCTGGCTGAGGTGGTGCTTGTCAGGATTC
Organism: Homo sapiens; assembly: GCF_000001405.40. NCBI lineage: Eukaryota > Metazoa > Chordata > Mammalia > Primates > Hominidae > Homo > Homo sapiens. The sequence goes on along the minus strand of NC_000005.10, from coordinate 2,083,629 downwards.
TCTGTTATAAAATTCATCTTATTTATTTATTTATTTATTTATTTATTTATTTATTATTATTATTATTATTATTATTTTTGAGACAGAGTCTCCCTCTGTTGCCCAGGCTGGAGTGCAGTGGCAAGATCTCAGCTCACTGCGATTCTCCTGCCTCAGCCTCCCAAGTAGCTAGGACTACAGACGTGAGCCACTACACCCGGCTAGTTTTTCGTATTTTTAATGGAGATGAGGTTTCACCGTGTTAGCCAGGATGGTCTCAAGCTCCTGACCTCATGATCTGCCCACCTCGGCCTCCTAAAGTGCTGGGATTACAGGCGTGAGCCACAGCGCCCAGCCAAAATTCATCTTTTTTTCCCCTTTTCATGCCATAGTCTTTGGAAGGAGGTCACTATGCGCAGCTCACATGGAAGGATGCAGGAGTTACACTTCACCTCCATGAAGGGAAAGTAGCTATGTTAGTTATTTGAATTCTGAAAGGGAGGTTTGCCTCTTTTCCCCTATTTACTTATTGATCCAGTCATTTACTGATATCAGTATGGACTGAGAATGTGGAGATGAGAGTTTCACAAGCTAGAAATTGGAGGATAGAGTAGCAGAGGTGAGGTACACACACACAGAGAACGAGAGAGAGTAGAGAGGAAACGCTGGATACGTTGAGAGTTGCCCTTGAGTAGGAAGAAGAATCAGGATCAGTGGATGTGCAAGGATGCGAGTGATGACTGCTCCTTTGGGTTACAATCGAATTTGTTTCCTTGCTCTCAGAATGAACACCCTGTTCTTCATTTTGCTCTTTAGTCTTCAGGAGCCCTTGCAGCTGGTTCCTGTATCCTTCTGACATAAAACCATCATTGTGGGTGGTCTTCAGGAGCTCTTACAGTTGGTTCCTGTGTCCTTTTGACACACAACCATCATTGTGGGTGGTCTTTGGGAGCTCTTGCAGTTGGTTCCTGTGTCCTTTCAACATACCACCATCATTGTGGGTGGTCTTCGGGAGCTCTTGCAGTTGGTTCCTGTGTCCTTCTGACATACCACCATCATTGTGGGTGGTTTTTGGGAGCTCTTGCAGTTGGTTCCTGTGTTCTTCTGACATACAACCATCATTGTGGGTGGTCTTTGGGAGCTCTTGCAGTTGGTTCCTGTGTCCTTCTGACATACAACCATCATTGTGGGTGGTCTTCGGGAGCTCTTGCAGTTGGTTCCTGTGTTCTTTTGACATACAACCATCATTGTGGGTGGTCTTCGGGAGCTCTTACAGTTGGTTCCTGTGTCCTTCTGACATACTATCATCATTGTGGGTGGTTTTCGGGAGCTCTTGCAGTTGGTTCCTGTGTCCTTTTGACACACAACCATCATTGTGGGTGGTCTTTGGGAGCTCTTGCAGTTGGTTCCTGTGTCCTTCTGACATACCACCATCATTGTGGGTGGTTTTTGGGAGCTCTTGCAGTTGGTTCCTGTGTCCTTCTGACATACAACCATCATTGTGGGTGGTCTTTGGGAGCTCTTGCAGTTGGTTCCTGTGTCCTTCTGACATACAACCATCATTGTGGGTGGTCTTCGGGAGCTCTTGCAGTTGGTTCCTGTGTTCTTTTGACATACAACCATCATTGTGGGTGGTCTTCGGGAGCTCTTACAGTTGGTTCCTGTGTCCTTCTGACATACTACCATCATTGTGGGTGGTTTTCGGGAGCTCTTGCAGTTGGTTCCCGTGTCCTTCTGACTTACAACCATCATTGTGGGTGGTTTTTGGTTTGTTTGTTTTGAGCACTTTTTTACTTTCTGGCATTAGAAGATGCTCCAGGCTCATCCTGTATATTTTGTGCCCCAGCTCTCCAATCAGCCATTTCTCTAAGAAGCCCTGGTTCCTTTTACTGGAGAATGGTGTTATAAATAAAGATCCGGGCTTAGGCATGTTCCTTGCCACTGGGTTACCATTGCTCCAGGCCCCTCTCACCTGACAGAGAAGGGAAATATTCATGCAGATACTAACCCATTTATAGTCCCATAACTGTAAATATCGCTATACATAACCATATTTATGCCAATCTAAACATGAGTTTATACTGATGTCTATAACTCTAACAGATGCCACATGGTCATCTATTCCAGCCTATTCCTCCCTTGCCTATTCGTAAACTCCCACTCCAACAGTAAGAAACCTGGCTCTGATCATCTGCCATCCATTTGCTGGATTGTTAAATTCTTGCATACATGGGTAGCAGCATCAGAATTGTTGACTTGTAACCCTCTTGGAGCAAACTTTATCAACTAGAGGACAGTGCTTATGTACAGTTTATTTTGCATTTAGCCTTATAGACATGACTCATTTCCAAAGTTACTTAGGTCAGCCTTTTTTTTCTCCCTAACAGTTTTGTGATGTTGTTTTACACATCTGCAATGTATCACCTTCATTTTTGACATAAACTTTGCTTTAAAATTCTAAGCTGACAATTTATTTTTCTTTCAAAACTGGAAAGAACTGTCCCACTGTCTTCTGGCTTGTGTGTTTTGTGGCTGTCATTTTTACCATGGATTTTCTGTACATAATGCATCTCTTTCATCTGGCTGCTTTAAAAATGAACTCTTCGTCACTTGTTCAGCAATCTGGTTATAATGTGACTAAGTGTAGTTTATTTTGTTTGATGTTTACTGAGCTTCTGTCATCTGTGGGTTTATATTTTCTCCTATTTGGAAAATTTGCAGCCATAATTTTTAAGTGTTTTGTGATCCTCCCACAATCTTACAATCTTGCATGCATTTTAAGCTATGAAATATTTTCCCACAGTTCACTGAGGCTCCTTTCATCCTTTCCCAGTAAAAATACTTTCTCCTGCTGTTTTAAAGTTCACTAACCTTTCCTTCTGCTAAGAATACTTGTTACGACTCTGCCATTAGCCCCGTTCTATGTATTTTATTTCAGGTATTGTAATTTTTATTTCTAGATGGTATACTTGAAACTTCTTTTGTAACTTACGTATCTCACTTAATAAGGTGACATATATGTTATATGTTTTCCTCTAGCTTCTGGAACTAGTTTCCTCATGTTTTCCCCTGATTTTGCAAACATTGGTGGCATATTTATTATTGTTATTTTAAGGTCCTTTATGTCCATCATCTCTGTCATTTCTCAGTCTGTTTCTATTTACTGATTTATCTCTTAGTTACAGCTATTTTAATATATTTTTCTGTTCTTTCACATATTTAGCATTTTGTAATTAAACTCCAGGCATGGGACTTTTACATTGTTAGTGTTTGATTTTCTAAAATTATTTTAATTACATTTTTTAATGGTTTAGGTTTAGAGTTCCTTTTTTTTTTCCTCTTAGGTGGAGGTATCTAGCATCAGTTTTATTCTTTGAGCTTTGCTTTAATGCTTTCTTAGGGTTGGTCTAGAAGAGCCATTAGCATAAGGCTAATTTTTCCCCCTTGCTGGGGGAACACCCTTCTAAGGGCTCTATCCAATGTCCCTTTCATTAAGAGAACTTTCCAGTGGCTTTCAGGAACACAAACTTTTGCTGGTCCTGTGTAAATTTTAGGAATTTTTCTGAACGAGTGCTTTTGGTGATGGTTTTTCTCCAGCCTCATTCTCCAGAGTGTAATTGTTTCCTCACACTCACATGCAGGTCAGACCTCAGCCAAAGACTCCAGGAGGCCCCTCAGCAGTTCTCAGGGTGCCATCTGTCCCTGTGCGGGTCCTCCTCTTAGGTTTCTGTCACACAGATTACAGCTGCCTCACTCAGCATCCCAGAACCCTGGATTTATCACCCTTGTGTTAGCATTTTATAATTAATAACTCAGAAAAAAATGCTTATGATTTAAAGTTCCTGACAATTAATTTACTTCTCATCTTCAGTGGGCTTTTTACAATGGACTTTTGTTTCAGTTGAATTAATCGGGTTGGAGTTTAAAAAATGCAAATAAATTAGCAGCTTAACTGTATAATTTTTGTATCAATTACAAGGATAGAAGCTGATGGACCATGTATTAGTTCTCACACTGCTATAAAGAGACTGGGTAATTTATAAACAAAAGAGTTTTAATTGACCCACAGTTCCACATGGATTGGGAGGCCTTGGGAAACTTAGAATCATGACAGAAGGCAAAGGGGGGAAGAAGCCATCTTCTTTTTTTTTTTTTTTTTTTTTTTTTTTTGAGACGGAGTCTAGCTCTGTTGCCCAGGCTGGAGTGCAAAGGTACAGTCTTGGCTCACTGCAACCTCTGTCTCCTGGGTTCAAGAGATTCTCCTGCCTCAGCCTCCCAACTAGTTGGGACTACAGGCGTGCACCACCGTGCCTGGCTAATTATTTATATTTTGAGTAGAAACGAGGTTTCACCATGTTGGCCAGGCTGGTCTCGAACTCCTGACCTCAGGTGATCCATCTGCCTTGGCCTCCCAAAGTGCTGAGATTACAAGTGTGAGCCACCACGCCCAGCACCTTCTTCACAAGGCGACAGGAGAAAGAGAGACAGAGAAGGGGCAAGTGCCACTTTTAAAACCATCAGATCTCCTGAGAACTCCCCCATTATCACAAGGACAGCATGAAGGAAACCACCCCCATGATCCAATCAGGTCCCACTAGGCTCTTCCTTGACACATTGTGGGGATTACAATTCAAGATGAGATTTGAGTGGAGACACAGAACCAAACTATATCAAACCATAATCTCTAAGCCTTAAAAATTGCCAAAAACTGAAGAGTTTTCATCTCATCCCTCAGCTTGGTAGCAGATTGAAATATATAACAAATAGATATTTTTAATACTTCTGGTTTTAATTAACATTGTTTTCAGGGAAAGAAACAGAAAAAAAAATCATCATCTTTAAAACAATGTTGTTATCGACAATCTATGAATACATGATGTGGACAAAGGCTTGCTCGTCCATTGGCTACAAATCAGATCCTGCTGTGACAGGTCTTTGCCTTCCTGATGCAGCAAAGCCTGCAGAATTCTTCCAGCTCCAGCGGCTGAAGATGAAAAGACTGACTCAGCCACTCCCAAAACACTGACATGGCAGTCATAATTTTCTTTGCCTATTATGATTTGTAGTCAAGGCTATATAAAAACCAGCCAATATGAACTTTATTCAGTCACATTCAGAGGACTGTTGCAATGTTATTCAGATTTTTCAATGCATTTATCCTATCTAGTGGCCATAAAATGCCATTGAACCCTGAATTCAGCAGATCTTACTGAAACACACTCAGTTCTGATGTTGGTCACTTCCGTTATCTATTCCTGCATCAACAACCACCCCAGAACTTTGAACTTGGATCAAAGCAAAGCACGTTTCTCCCATATGATTCAGGGAGTTGTCTGGGCCACTCTTCTGCTGGCCTCTCTCAGGCTGCCTCACATGGTCAGGTAGGACGACATTAGTCAGGCTCCGGGGGTGGCCGGACCCTGGAGGCAGCCTAGGCCCTGCACGGCAGCCCAGGGCACTCTCAGAGGTCAAGGTCCAGAGTGCAGGGCCCAGCCAGCCTCTCCCTGTGTTCTGTTCACTGATGACCCTCTATCCAAAGTGAGGCACCTGCCAAACCCAGATTCCGAGAGAGAGGATCAGGAGGGCCTGGATCCTGGAGGTGTGGTTCGCTGGGGACCACTGATGCAACAACCACAGTCTCGTCCTGGCCTGGTGTGAGACACAGGGAGATCCCCCTGGCCCCCAAATTTCATCAATCACAGCATCGGGCTGGCAGCCCATGATACTGTGATCTGCATCCTATCTGAATGGAAGGGGCATCCTCAGTGCAGCTCCTTCTGACCCAGACAAACTAAAAGCACAAATTCTGTCCCCATCTCCTACATACCAGGAAGACAGGGGCAGACCCAGTGTAGGGGACCCAGCCAGAGCTTTGACCTTCGCTGACCCTGCCCATCAGCTTAGTGAGCAATTGCTCACTAGCGTAGTTTCAACGTTAGGGAACATATTTTTAATAGAAAAAAGGTATATATTGCTTTTTTTAAGAAGTAAAGTGTATCTTATTGCAGATTAAATAATCCTTTATCTTTGTAAAGTATTCACTAAAAATCTACTAGAACTAATAGATAAGTTCAATGAGGCCACAAGATACAAGAACAGCATATAAAACTTAATTGTAGTTTTATATACTAGCAACGAGCAATCTAAAAATTAAGTTAAAAATTATATTAATAATAGAATTAAAGGAAAGAAACAGAGATAAATTTTACAATAGAAGTCCAAGTCTTTTACACTGAAATATCTGTTTACATGTATTTTATTTTTATTTTTTTAACTTTTATTTTAGGCTAAGGGGTGCATGTGCAGGTTTGTTATATAGGTAAATTGTGTGTCTCAGGGGTTAAGTGTGCAGATTATTTCATCATCCAGGTAATCAGCATAGTACCCAATACATAGTTAGTTTTTCCACCCTCAACCTCTTCTCTCTCTCTACCCTCCAGGAGGCCCCAGTGTCTGTTCTTCCCTCTTTGCATAAATGTGTACTTCCTTTCTAGCTCCCACATATAATTGATAACGTGGTATTTGATCTTCTGTTCCTCTGTTAGTTCACTGAGCATGATGGCCTCCAGTTCCATCCATGTTGCTGCAAAGGACATGATTGCATTCTTTTTTATGGCTGCGTAGTATTCCGTGGTGTATAGGTACCACATTTTCTTTATCCAGTCTACCACTGATGGGCATTTAGGTTGATTCCATGTCTTTGCTGTTGTGAATAGTGCTGCAGTGAACTTATGCCTGCATGTGCCCTTATGGTAGAAGGATTTATATTCTGTTGGGTATAAACCCAATAATAAGATTGCTGGGTTAAATGGTAATACTGTTCTAAGTTCTTTTGGAATTTGCCTAACTGCTTTCCACAATGAGTTAAAGAGCAATACATATTGCTTTTTAAACACTTACAAATCCACAAATTAGTATTCATATAAAAATTAGTCATATTTCTCTGAAAAACTAGGAGGATGATGTTCTAAAATAAGTAAGGCACTCTAAGTCGTTTCAACCTGATGAGAACAGTGCACTCTTAAAGGTAAATGTAAGAGTTTTAGTCCTAAAATGCAAGTCAATGCAAGAGTTTCAGTCCTAAAACTCTGATGGTTTCAGGACTAAGAGGAATCGTTTGGCAAATCGTCTTCCTGTTTTCGATAGCCACTCAGCAGCAGGTTGTTGAAATGTACCTTGCAGAGAGTTAACTTAGGTTTAGGGTATTGATCAACAAATATTATGTGTGACTACATATTATTACATGTAGTATGGTTTCATAAATTTATGATTAAGTATAAATTGTGGAAATTCATAAATTGCAAAGTTATTATAATAAAATTGCCTGAACTAGGGAGACCTGGAGCTGCCTGAACTGGGGCAGTGAATACTCACTCTGCAGGCTGACCCCAAAGGAAATAGCCCGGCAGCTCGGCAGGACCGCCCAGGTGCTGCTGTCCCTCATTCAAGTGCCTGGGACAGTGCTCTGGGCTGTCCATGAACAGCAGCAGGATGAGGAGGCCATGAACATGCATGGAAAAGGGGCTCCTGTCCATCCATCTGGGGCCTGGCAGGGCTCATGACAGCACGATGATTAATCTTTCCAGAAGCCAGAGGGGCTCAGGATTTGTTGGACAAAGTCCTTACTCTAAACACTGGCTAATGGGGCAGAAAACTGTAGTGCATGTGTGAGGCTGTTTGGAGAGAAAAGTCAGAACCCCAGACCCCATGCTGTGGTGGATCCGATCTGAACACTGACAGGCAAAGGGACCAGGCTGCCAGGCCACCTCCTCCCAGGCCAGGGTCCCTGGGACCAGGAGGGGGCGAGAGCTCCCTTGGTCACAAACACACCAAGCTGCCATGCCGACGCCTACCACCCCAGGCAGCTAGGAAGAGAGGAGCTTGGTGATCTTTACAGAAGGTCCTGCAGCAGTCGGCACTGCTGAGAGCTGAGTGGAGGCAAGGCCAGCAAGCTGTGCTGCCCCTGTGAGCGGACCCTGCCCTCAGAGATCTCACCAAGGATGGCTGCTGGGATCACATGGTGGGTGGGTGGGAGGGTGTCTAGGGAAGAAGGGGTCTCCTCCCCACCCCCACAGCCTTGGACCTGCCAGAAGAATGTGCCTGGAGTCCCATCAGCACAGCCGCCCCGTCCCCTCCACCCTGCTCCACAGCTGCTGTCCTCCAGCTCTCCCCAGCCTGGGGCCAGCGCAGGAGCAAGAGCCCATGGCTTCCTGCTTGGTGGCAGCAGGTGCCCACTGCTCTAATAAAAGTCGTAAGAAAGCGTCTAACATCACCATAAATAAGAGATGTTTGTGGCTACATTTCTCGCAGAAAACCTCAGCCCAGCTCTGGTGAGAAGTTTCTCTTGGCTTAGCCCTCAAGGCCTCACAAGGGCAGAATCAGGAAGATAGCCCTAATCCCAGCTCTGCCTTCCGCCAGCCTAGGCCTTGTCCACTGGCTTCCCTGCACTCGCAGCCTTTTCCCAAACAGAAGGCCACGGTGGCTTGGGAGGGCTCTTTCCCTCACACCCATTTATCCCCCATAGGACTCAACGTGCATTTCTTTGCTGAAGAGCATGACCAAAATGAAATTCATTCAAACTTGGGTTCACTGACAGCCAAGAAGATAATGTGGACTCCTGTGGAGCCCAGCTTATCAGACAGATGCTTAGGAACAGCATGCATTCAAGGACCTCCAAGGAATTGCTTAAAAAGTCAGAACAAACTCCAGATGCAGTGCCAATGCCTGCCCAGGCCACCCCTCACCCATGGCACAGATGTCTGTGCCACCTTTGCACATGCAGACATTGCCACGGCATCCCTGGGTGAGCGCCCCGTCTTCTTGTCTATTTTGTGAGCAGAGTTGCATCTTTACGATGCAAGCCTCACTTGGATAAATGAAGAAAGTTCGACCCAGCATGGAAGGCCCGGGAAGAGCATCTCAGGGTAGTTTTTGAACCCTTCATTACCAATGAACAAATGTAGCTTTATGGAAGGCCCTAAGTGTGTTTAATGGTGGGTCCCATGACCCCAACAAAGGAGCACAACCAAGACTCCCAGAAAGCAGCCCAAGCCCTCTGCAAAGCTCCTCACAGAGCCTGGGGTCCATTCCTCAGCAGCACTCAGAGAAGCCACTGTTTGTAAAAGGGTTTCACACGGAGCCCAACAGGGAAGCTTAGGGAAATGAGGGCAGGCTGGGGCCTCGCAGGGAATGCAGGTCCTGTGGACTCAGTGTCAGCAATGAAGTTCTCTGCTGGCGAGGAGAGCAGGGGCTTCTGGCTCTGGTCGTTCATTTCTATTCAAGCTCCTCCTGCACCGTCCATGGAAAACACTCATCATCCAAAGTCTCTGAGCACCCATGGTGTGTCAGCCTTATGTCAAGAGCTGTATTTCTATTGTTTAATCCTCACAGTAATCCTATGGAGCAGGTAGCATCACTATCCCAGTTTTACAGTTGGGACAGTAGGGACAGTGTGTTAGTCCATCTTGCATTGCTATAAAGAAGTACCTGCGGCTGGGTAATTTATAAAGAAAATAGGTTTAATTGGCTCACGGTTCCGCATGACACCTGCTCTGCTCAGCTTCTGGGGAGGCCTCCAGGAGCTTTCACTCATGGAGAAGGGGAGCCAGTGTGTCACATGGTGAGAAAGGGAGCATGAGAGAGAGGGAAGGTCGCAGACTCTAACAACCAGATCTCACATGAACTCACTACTGTGAGGACGGCACCAAGCCGTTCTTGAGGGATTCACTCCATGACCCAATCACCTCCCAGCAGGCCCCATCCCCAACACTGGATATCACATTTCAACAGGAGATTTGGAGGGACAACACATCCAAACCATATCATTACATCTCTGGTCCCCCAAATCTCATATCCTTCTCACGTTGCAAAATATGATTCCCCTTTCCCAACAGTCCCCAGAAGTCTTAACTCATTCAGCATCAACTCAATCCAAGTCCAGATCCTCATCTGAGACTCCAGGCAAGTTCATCCCTGACCTATGAGCTGTAAGATCCAAAACAAGTTACTTACTTCCCAGATACAGTGGTGGCATAGGTATTGGGTAAACATTCCCATTCCAAGAAGGAGAAATTGGCCAAAAGAAAGGAGCAACAGGCCCCATACAAGTCTGAAACCCAGCAGGGCAGACATTAAACCTCAAAGCTCCAAAACAGTCATTGACTGCATGTCTCACATCCAGAGCACACTGGTGCAACTGGTGGGCCTCCAAGGCCTTGGGCATCCCCACCCTGACAGCTTTGCTTGACACAGCCCATGAGGCTGCTGTTATGGGTTGGAGTCTGGTGCCTGTAGCTTTCCCAGGCTGAGCTTGCCACCTGCCAGTGGCTCTGCCATTCTGGAATCCGGAGGGCGGTGGTCCTGTTCCCACAGCTCCACTAGGCAGTTCCCTGGTGGGGACTCTATGTGGGGGTTGCCACTCCACATATCCCCTCTGTAGTGCCCTAGCAGAGCGTTTCTGTGGGGGCTCCACCCCTGCAGCACCCAGGCATTCTCATGCATCCTCTGAAATCTAGGCAGAGGCTCCCAAGCCTCAACTCTTTCACTCTATGTACCTGGCAGGCTTAACACCGTGTGGAAGCTGTCGACACTTATGGCTTACACTCTCCAGAGTGGCAGCCCAAGCTATACCTGGGGACCTTTGAGCCACAGCTAGAAGAAAAGCAGTGAGGATATGGGGAACATCTGCCTAAGGTGGCAAAGGGCAGTGGTGGTCCAGGCCGGGCCCCCAAAACCATGCTTTCCTCCCAAACCTCTGAACCTGTGATGGGGGGGGCTGTCCCAAAGCTTTCGAGACCTTTTTCCTGTTGTCTTGAATATTAGCACTTGGCTCCCTTTTCGTTATGAAAATCTCTCTAGAAAGTAGTTTCTCTGCAGCCCCCTGCATTTCTCTCCTGAAAAAGTGTTTTTCTTCTCTACCACCTGGCCAGGCTGCAAGTTTTTCAAACCTTTGTGCTTTGCTTCCTTTTTAATTGTACGTTCCAACTTAGGGACATTCCTTTGTTCCCACATCTGATTCAGATTACTACAAGCAGCCAGGCCACATATTGAAAGCTTTTCTGCTTAGAAATTTCCTCCACCACATACCCTAGGTCATCAGTCTTAAGCTCAACCTTCCACAGATTCCTAGGGCAGGGACATAAGGCAGCCGAGCTCTCTGCTAGATCATAACATGCACGAGTTTTGTTCCAGTTCTCAATAACGTCCTCATATCCATCTGAGGCTTCATCAGCCTGGCCTTCATGGTCCATTTTTCTATCAGCATTTTGGTCACAACCACCTTATCAGTCTCTAAAAAGTTCTAAACTTTCCCTCATCTTCCTGTCTTCTTTTGAGCTCTCCAAACTCTTCCAACGTCTGCCTGTCACCCAGTTCCATAGCCACTTCCACATCTTCAGGTATCTTTATAGCAATGCCCCACTCCTCAGTACCAATTTTCTGTGTTAGTCCATTTTTGCATTGCTATAAAGAAATACCTGAGGCTGGGTAATTTATGAAGAAAAAAGGTTTATTTGGTTCACAGTTCTGCAGGCTGTACAAGCATGGCACCAACATCTACTCAGCTTCTGGGGAGGCCTCCAGGAGCTTTGACTCATTGCCAAAGGTGAAGGAAGAGCAGACACAACACATGGCAAGAAAGCGAGCAAGACAGAGGGAGAGACACATGATGAGAAAGGGAGTAAGAGAGAGGGGAAGGGTCCCAGTCTCTTTACCAACCAGATTTAACGTGAACTCACTATTGTGAGGAGGGCACCAAGTCATCATGAGGGATCTACCCCCATGACCCAAACTCTCACCAGCACCCATTTCCAGCATTGGGGATCACATTTCAGCATGAGATTTGGAGGGAACAAACATTTAAGCCATATCAGAGAGGGTAAGAAACTTACCCAAGGTCACACAGCTAAGAAATGTCAAAGAGTGTGTATTAGTCTGTTTTCACGCTGCTGATAAAGATATACCCAAGACTGGGAAAAGAAAGAGGTTTAATTGGACTTACCGTTCCACATGGCTGGGCAGGCCTCAGAATCATGGCGGGAGGTGAAAGGCACATCTTACGTGGTGGTGGCAAGAGAAAATGAGGAAGAAGCAAAAGTGGAAACCGCTGATAAACCCATCAGATCTCATGAGACTCATTCACTATTATAGGAATAGCACAGGAAAGATGCCCCCATGATTCAATTACCTCCCCCTGGGACCCTCCCACAACATATGGGAATTCTGGGAGATACAATTCAAGTTGGTATTTGGGTGGGGACACAGCCAAACCATATCATTCCACCCCTGGCCCCTCCAAATCTCATGTCCTCAACATTTGAAAACCAACCATGCCTTCCCAAAAAGTCTTAACTCATTTCAGCATTAACCCAGAAGTCCACAGTCCAAAGTCTCATCTGAGACAAAACATGTCCTTTCCACCTATGAGCCTGTAAAATCAAAAGCAGGCTAGTTACTTCCTAGATACAATGGGGGTACAGGTATTTTGTAAATACAGCTGTTCCAAATGGGAAAAATTGGCCAAAACAAAGGGGCTACAGGCCCCATGCAAGTCAGAAATCCAGTGGGGCAGTAAAATTTTAAAGCTCCAAAATGATCTCCTTTGACTCCAGGTCTCACATCCAGGTCTCGCTGATGCAAGAGGTGGATTCCCATGGTCATGGGCAGCTCCACCCTGTGGCTTTGCAGGGTACACCCTCCCTCCTGGCTGCTTTCATGAGCTGGCATTGAGTGTCTGTGGCTTTTCCAGGTGCACGGTGCAAACCGACGGTGGATCTACCATTCTGAGGTCTGGAGGACAGTGGCCCTCTTCTCACAGCTCCACTAGGCAGTGCCCCAGTAGGGACTCTGTGTGGGGGCTCCCTCCCCACATTTCCCTTCTGCATTGCCCTAGCAGAGGTTCTACAAGGGAGTCCCACCCCTGCAAAACATGTTTGCTTGGGCATCCAGGCATGTCCATACGTCTTCTGAAATCTAGGCAGAGGTTCCCAAACCTAAATTCCTGGCCTCCGTGCACCTGCAGGCTCAACACCAGGTGGAAATTGTCAAGGCTCGGGGCTTCCACCCTCTGAAGCCACAGCCTGAGCCATACCTTGGCCCCTTTTAGCCATGACTGGAGCAGCTGGGTCACAGGGCACCAAGTCCCTAGGCTGCACACAGCACAGGGGCCCTGGGCCCGGCCCATGAAACCACTTTTTTCTCCAGGGCCTCCAGGCCTGTGATGGGAGGGGCTGCTGTGAAGATCTCTGACATGGCCTGGAGACATTTTCCCATGGTCTTGGGGATTAACATTAGGCTCCCTGCTACCTCTGCAAATTTCTGTAGCCATCTTGAATTTCTCCCCAGACAATGGGTTTTTCTTTTCTATCTCATAGTCAAATTTTCCAAACTTTGATGCTCTGCTTCCCTGATAAAACTGAATGCCTTTAACAATACCCAAGTCACCTCTTGAATGCTTTCCTGCTTAGAAATTTCTTCCATCAGATACCCTAAATCATCCCTCTCAAGTTCAAAGTTCCACAAATCTCTAGGGCAGGGGCAAAATGCTGCCAGTCTCTCTGCTAAAACATAACAAGAGTCACGTTTGCTCCAGTTCCCAACAAGTTCCTCATCTCCATCTGAGACCACCTCAGCCTGGACCTTCTTGTCCATATCGCTATCAGCATTTGGGGGAAAGCCATTCAACAAGTCTCTAGGAAGTTTCAAACTTCCCCACATTTTCCTGTCTTCTTCTGAGCCCTCCAAACTCTTCCAACCTCTGCCTGTTACCCAGTTCCAAAGTCGCTTCCACATTTTCAGGTATCTTACCAGCAGTGCCCACTCTAGTGGCACCAATTTACTGTATTCGTCTGTTTTCATGCTGCTGATAAAGACATACCTGAGACTGGGAAGAAAGAGGTTTAATTGGACTTACAGTTCCACATGGCTGGGGAGGCCTCAGAATCATGGCGGGAGGCGAAAGGCACTTCTTACGGTGGCAGCAAGAGAAAATGAGGAAGAATCAAAAGTGGAAACCCCTAATAAACCCATGAGAGCTGGTGAGACTTATTCACTATCACGAGAATAGCATGGGAAAGACCCACCCCATGATTCAATTACCTCCACCTGGATCCCTCCTACAACTCGTGGGAATTCTGAGAGATACAATTCAAGTTGAGATTTGGGTGGGAACACAGCCAAACCATATCAGAGTGAGTGTCAGCTGGAAGGCCTGGACCCAGAGTTTCTACTTTTGACCGGGATCTTTCCACTGCCTTTGCTGAAATTGGGAAGCAGCATCCCTCTGTCTATTTCTGGAGGAAAAGTTTGTACCTGGACTGCAATAGGACATGCTCAGAGAGTCCATGAAATAGTCTAGCCGGCTGTCCCTTCAGCATCCTCTGGTGTCTGGTGATGGCCAAGCTTATTGTCCTCAAAGCAGTAGCAGCGACCCAAGCCAGAGTAAATCAACCAGCTGAGCCCACAGCTCCCTCCTAGGGCCCTCTGGACGTGGGTCTCATGGCCTCTGTGATCTGGAAAGCCCAGAGAAAAGCAGCGTTATCTTAGACAGGGAACTGTTATGAGAGCGAGGAGGGGGCCCTGCACCCCTGCAGCAGGGGGAAAGCCCGAAGCAGGGGCCAAGCCCGAAGCAGGGGACGGGTATGAGGTTATAAAGTGGGCTTATAGTAGGCTTTTTTCCCCCACCTGATTTCACTTCAATTAGCCACAGGTGTCAATTCATCCTCTTTCTCTCGATGCTTCCCTTTGACCTTCTGCTCCTGTCATTTTCTTCTCTTTTTGTTCACCGAGAGGAGAAAATGAAATGAGACAGGACGTGGGCCTCCTGCACAGCTGGGTGTCGTTGTGGGGATCTCTGTGAGTTTCCTCTTCCAGGGCGTAAGAGGCCGGCTTTCCCCCCGCAGGCCGGTGCTGGCTTTGGTACCCCCGCGTTTCTAGGATGTCGGAGGCTCCTCCCACGTTTCCTCCCACCCTCCACTGACTCACGGGTTCCTCCCTCACTGCTCCTGAGGGAGAGCTGTTCAGTCTCTTTCCAGAACTGGCCTTAGCCCAGCAGGGTGGTCCCAGCTGCACCCCATCTTCAGTCCCTTCTCCAGCTTCCTCACACCTGCTATGTGGCTGCCATAACACGTACCGCACACTCGGTGGCATAAGACAACGGAGACTTATTCTCTCACAGTTCTGGAGGCCATAACCCCCAAATCAGTACCCCTGCGCTGAATTCAGGGTCTCTGCAGGGCTGGGCATGGGGAGACCCCATGTCTCTGTCTTTCCTTCTTCCGGTGGTACCTGGACCCCTGGGCTGGCAGCCCCTTCCGTCATCTCTGGCTCTGTGGCCACATCACCTTCCCCTCTCTGCTGTCCTCCCTCCCTCTCAGAAGGACCCTGTGATTTCATTGGCCCGCCAGGATCATCCAAGAAAATCACCCATCTCAGGAGCCTCAGCCCTATCACATCCGCAAAGCCCCCTTTCCATACAAGGCGGTGGTTGCATGTTCTGGGGGTCAGGATGTGGCCATCCAGAGTCCTAACTCGACCCCCCACAGCCTCCGTGTTTCATGTTTCATGGATTCTCTCGCTGCAAATCTTTAACTAGGTCTTAGTATATTGCTCAGACCCTATGGCCTCCACACAGCCTTCCCCAGCAACCCAGCAGGGTGATCTGCCTCCCCACCCCTGGGCTGTCACCACTCACCACAGGGTCTGATCCACAGGCAGACGGCTTTCGATCAAAGGATCTGGCCACACAGGCTCCAGGTCAGGCAGCAGTGGCAAATATTTGCGGAATTAAAAATGCGTAATTGAATCCGCAAATACAGCCTCAATGAGACCCACAAAGTCCCCTGATCTGCAAGTGTCCCGGGCAGGGGCGGCTGACGGTAAAAGGAAGCGCTGGCCAACCAAAGCGTTTGTAGAAAGATGAGTCCTGGAGTCACAGGCTCTGTGACTTTGGGCAGCCTGAAGTGGGAGGTGAGAGCCTCCAGGGCTTCTGAGGATTAAAATATGAATACCGTCAGAAACTGCTTAACATGACTTCTGGGAGGGCCCGCTGAGGGAAGAGTGAACACTCACCTGGTGAGATGGCTTTGATGACCTAGGCTCACAAGCTTTTAGATAATCAGCATTTTTAGGCAGCCTGTTTCATACACAGATTGTCTATTGTCTGCCTGTCTATATCTACGTATTGTAAGCTGATCTATTATTATGGCACAGCAGCTGTCACTTGGACACAGGACTCGGAGCCAAAAAACACCCATCCTAATCCAAATTCCACTCAGACTCTTTCTGAATATTTCTTTCTATCCCCTGAGCTCATGTGTGTTTTTGATTCATGGCAAATTGTAAAGTCTTGACATAAACAAACAAAGAAACAAAACACGCAGGTCGGAAATCTGGAATCGTTTCTGAGACTGTATGTATAGAATGGTTTGCCTCAAGTTGCATTCTGTTGTCTGTAAAGGAAAGTATTTCTTTTTTTTCCCCTACTATTACTAATTTTAATGTCATTTCCCCGGGCACAGCGCCTGGCCACATCACTCTATATCCCTCCAGACACCCAGGGTCTCTGGAAAGAGGCAACTGTGGAATGAGGGGAGGCCGACCTCACTCACCTTCTGCAGGCTGCATGGGGCCGGGGCTCCAGGTCTTACCCTGTTTAGATCTGCTTTGCCCATTAGGTTTGTTTTCATATCTCACCTCCTGAAACTAAAAGCTGTGGCCAGTGATGTTGTGGACATTGAGGCCTAAGAGGGTGTGATACTCTTCCAGTTCACTTGTGTGTGTGTCTTTCTTGATTTAATGTGGAAGCACTCTTTTTTTTTTTTTTTTTTTTTTTTTTTTTTAGACGGAGTCTCTCTCTGTTGCCCAGGCTGGGAGTGCAGTGGCGCAATCTCCACTCACTGCAACCTCTGCCTCCCGGGTTCAAACGATTCTCCTGCCTCAGCCTCCTGGAAGCACTCTTTATAATAATTTTCATGAAGAACAGAGTCATGCTCCGGCAAATCGTGGAGCTCAGAACTGGTGCTGCGGCCACATTCCACGCACGTGCAATCTGATCTTCGCTTCTGTCTCCAGGCAGCACGTGCGCTGCTCCCCAGGAGGAAACTTCCCTCCGCGTCTGGATGCCGTCCACCTGTCGGGAGAGGCGTTAACAAGGGTCATTGACAAGATCGGCAGCAGACAATGTGTGAAGGCAGCGGTTCCAGACTTAGAGGTAACAGTGATTTAAGAAGGATTAATTTTGTATATGTTTCCTCCAAGTGAAAATCTTTCTCTTCTGAATGTTTTATTCTTTATTATCATTTTTTTCTTTTTTAAAAAAGAAAAATCTGTTATGTGAAATTTTTAGTTTAATATGTTTTTATTCTGGGTCAAGTAGCTTGCAGGAGACACACCACCCCTCACTCCCTCCACCCTTATTATTTCTAAAAAGTATGCAGATACACCCACTCAATTAAATATAGCATCTTTTCCTTACCTCTGCATTCTTTCTTTTGGAAATAATTTTTGTTTAAAATCCCACACTAGGCAAACTCAGTGCCTGGACCAAGGTTTCTTAGAATGAGGCTGTTGACCACCTTCCTCAGACCCTGGAGTGTCAGAGCACCTAATTTGTTTGTTTAAAATGTAGATTCCAAGGCTAACACCCCCACCACTGCTCCGCCTCTGTTTCCCTGCTGGCCATTGCACAGCCCTGCAGTACACAGTACAGGAGCAGAGACGGACCCTGTCCTTCCCGCTGTCACCTGTCTGTCCCCAGGAGGGAGGGTGCTCTGGGTGGGAGTTACAGTCCTATCGCCTGGCACAGGCCAGTTCCGCCAGGGTTGGAAACACTGCCTGGAACTGAGCCTGGGTGTGGGTGGGAGGGAGGGAGTGTCTACATCCCATTTGCTTTGCGTGATTCTCTTGTCTCTTGACTTGCAATTCTCCAGTTTTCTAGAGTCTGCATTAAAGTGAGTCCTTTTGTTATTAAATATCTACCTTGTAACATTGTATTACTGATTGTTTTATTAATTTAATGAAAGACAAAGTCAATTTTCCCAATCAATTATTGGGATGGGGAGTCCCTGTCAGGGATTTTAATCAGAAACATTCAAATATTTTAGTGTGAAATAAATGAGAAGCTAGTGATGCATTTCTAACATGGATCAAGTCCCTCCTGAGTGCTTGCTGAGCCTCCAGAGTGTGTGTTCCCCTCAGCAGAGTCCTCAGACCAAAAAGCCACAGCCACTCCCCTCAGGGACCTTCCCACCCCTTTGGGAAGATAAGCAAAGTCCCGCCATGGTTCATGCATGAAGCAATCCATATTAGTCCGTTTTCATGTTGCTGATAAAGACGTACCTGAGACGGGGCAATTTATAAAAGAAAGAACTTAATGGCCTCACTGTTCCAGGTGCCTGGGGAGGCCTCACAATTATGGCGGAAGGCAAAAGGCGTGTCTCACATGGCAGCAGACAAGAGAAGAGAATAAGAGCCATGCGAAACGGGTTTCCCCTGATAAAACCATCAGATCTTGTGAGACTTATTCACTACCATGAGAGCAGTATGGGGGAAACCTTCCCCATGATTCCATTATCTCCCACTGGGTCCCTCCCACAAGATGAAGGAATTATGGGAGCTTCAATGGAAGATGAGATTTGGGTGGGGACACAGCCAAACCATAGCAAATCCTAAATGCACACCTAACAACAAAGCTATAAACGCACAGGCCCAAAACTCACTGAGTTAAAGGCAAGACAGGCAAGTCCACAGTTATATTTGGATACTTTAACATTTCTCTCTCAGTCATTGGTAGAACAAATAGACAGGGAATCAATGAGAATATAGAATACTTGAACAACGCTATTACCCAGCTTGATCTAATTAGCAGCCTAGACTGCTTTTCCTGACAGCAGAAGAATCCATGCTCTTGTTAAGTGCCTACAGAATATTCACCAAGAGGGACCGTATGGTGAACCACACACAAGTCTCAGCAAATGTGGAAGGATTAAATCATGCAGAATACGCACGTTCCCTGACCACAATGAACGTCCATTAGAAATTCATACCACTCAATGAGATGACGAAAAACGAAACAGAACAAAACTCTAAAGTGAGCAAAATATTTCCGAAAGTGTTTTGTGAAAGAACACACATGAATGGCCAGCAGACACACATACAAGGATCACAGGTCTGATCAAAAAGCAAACATGAAGGTGACTGAGAGAGTCATGTGCAGGCAAGACAGAGCAATGGCAACTCCCATCCGTTGCTGGTTAGCATATAAAATGGTTCAACTGCTTCAGAAACGGTGTACAGCACAGCTATACGAGATGGTACCATTGGGGAAACCGGAAGTAGGGGGTGAGTGTCCATGGGCTCTGATGACTTCTCACAAGCCCAGGTGGATTCACGGTTATGCCAGGTGGATACTGACCTCATTCAGTTGGGAATGTCGTTTTGAACTCTTACTTCTTCCCTTTCTTGCAACTTCCATCCCCTAAGCCAACCTGACAGGCAAACACAATCCCATTTCCTGCCCTGCTGCACCTCCCAGAGGCTCTTAGCACCTCCGGAGAGGTTCCGGGCTTCTCTCTTCCCAGTCCCAGAGGAGAAACGGGAACATTAACTACAGGGGAAGGGCGTTTATGACAGGATTGGAGGAGGTCACCAGGAACATTTACTTCAGACAAGGGTTTTATTTATTTATTTCATTCTCCCTCAAGATCTTTATTTTATTTTTTATTTGTTTATTTTCTTTTTTATTATAATTAAGTTCTGGGATACATGTGCAGAATGTGCAGGTTTGTTACATAGGTATACCTACGCCATGGTGGTTTCTGCACCCATCGACCCGTCATCTACATTAGGTATTTCTCCTAATGCTATCCCTCCCCTTCCCCCACACCCTGTGACATGCCCCAGTGTGTGATGTTTCCCTCCCTGTGTCCATGTGTTCTCAATGTTCAGCTCCCACTTATGAGTGAGAACATGTGGTGTTTGGTTTTCTGTTCCTGTGTTAGTTTGCTCAGAGTGATGTTTTCCAGCTTCATCCATGTCCCAGCAAAGGACATGAACTCACCCTTTTTTATGGCTGCATAGTATTCCACGGTGTATATATGACAGATTTTCTTTATCCAGTCTGTCATTGATGGGCATTTGGGTTGGTTCCAAGTCTTTGCTATTGTGAATAGTGCTGCAATAAACATACGTGTGCATGTTTCTTTGCAATAGAATGATTTATAATCCTTTGGGTATATACCCAGTAATGGGATTGCTGGGTCAAATGGTATTTCTAGTTCTAGATCCTTGAGGAATTGCCACACTGTCTTCTACAATGGTTGAACTAGTTTACACTCCCACCACCAGTGTAAAAGTGTTCCTGTTTCTCCACATCCTCTCTAGCATCTGTTGTTTCCTGACTTTTTAAGGGTCACCATTCTAACTGGCGTGAGATGGTATCTCATTGTGGTTTTGATTTGCATTTCTCAAATGACCAGTGATGATAAGCATTTTTTATATGCTTGTTGGCTGCATAAATGTCTTCTTTTAAAAAGTGTCTATTCATATCCTTTGCCCACTTTTTGATGGGGTTGTTTTTTTTTTCTTGTGAATTTGTTTAAGTTCCTTGTAGATTCTGGATATTAGCCCTTTGTCAGATGGATAGATTGCAAAAATTTTCTCCCATTCTGTAGGTTGCCTGTTCACTCTGATGATAGTTTATTTTGCTGTGCAGAAGCTCTTTAGTTTAATTAGATCCCATTTGTCAATTTTGTCTTTTGTTGCCATTGCTTTTGGTGTTTCAGTCATGAAGTCTTTGCCCATGGCTATGTCCTGAATGGCATTACCTAGGTTTTCTTCTAGAGTTTTTATGGTTTTAGGTCTTACATTTAAATCTGTAATCCATCTTGAGTTAATTTTTATATAAGGTGTAAGGAAGGGGTCCAGTTTCAGTTTTCTGCCTATGGCTAGCTAGTTTTCCCAACACCATTTATTAAATAGGGAATCCTTTCCCCATTGCTTGTTTTTGGCAGGCTTGTCAAAGATCAGACAGTTGTAGATGTGTGGTGTTATTTCTGAGGCCTGTGTTCTGTCCCATTGGTCTATATTTCTGTTTTGGTACCCCAGTTGAAAGACACAGACTGGCATATTGGATAAAGGGTCAAGACCCATTGGTGTGCTGTATTCAGGAGACCCATCTCACGGGCAAAGACACACATAGGCTCAAAATAAAGGGATGGAGGAAGATTTACCAAGCAAATACAAAGAAAAAAAAAAGCAGGGTTGCAATCCTAGCCTCCGATAAAGCAGACTTTAAACCAACGAAGATCAAAAGAGACAAAGAAGGGCATTACATAATGGCAAAGGGATCAATGCAACAAGAAGAGCTAACTATACTAAATATATATGCACCCAATACAGGAGCACCAAATTCATAAAGCAAGTTTTTAGAGACCTACAAAGAGACTTAGACTCCCACAAATAATAGTGGGGGACTTAACACCCCATTGTCAATATTAGACATGTCAACGAGACAGAAAATTAACAAGGATATTCAGGACTTGAACTCAGCTCTGGACCAAGTGGACCTAATAGACATCTACAGAACTCTCCACCCCAAATCAAGAGAATATACATTCTTCTCAGCACCACATCACATTTATTCTAAAATTGACCACATAATTGGAAGTAAAACACTCCTCAGCAAATGCAAAAGAATGGAAATCGTAACAAACATTCTCTCAGACCACAGTGCAATCAAATTAGAACTCAGGATTAAGAAACTCACTCAAAACCACACAACTACGTGGAAACTGAACAACATGCTCCTGAATGACTACTGGGTATATAACAAAATGAAGGCAGAAATAAATAAGTTGTTTGAAACCAATGGGAACAAAGACACAAGGTACCAGAATATCTGGAACAGAGCTAAAGTAGTGTTTAGAGGGAAATTTATAGCACTAAATGCCCACAGGAGAAAGCAGGAAAGATCTAAAATCAACACCCTAACATCATAATTAAAAGAACTAGAGAAGTAAGAGCAAACAAATTTAAAAGCTGACAGAAGACAAGAAATAACTAAGATCAGAGCAGAACTGAAGAAGAAAGAGACACAAAAACCCCTTCAAAAAATCAATGAATCCAGGAGCTGGTTTTTTGAAAAGATCAACAAAATAGATAGACTGCCAGCCAGACTAATAAAGAAGAAAAAAGAGAAGAATCAAATAGACACAATAAAAAATGATAAAGGGGATATCACCACTGATCCCACAAAAATACAAACTACCATTAGAGAATACTATAAACACCTCTACGCAAATAAACTAGAAAATCTAGAAGAAATGGATAAATTTCTTAGCACTTATACCCTCCCAAGACTAAACCAGGAAGAAGTCGAATCCCTGAATAGACCAATAACAAGTTCTGAAATTCAGGCAGTAATTAATAGCCTACCAACCAAAAATAGCCCAGGTCCAGACGAATTCACAGCTGAATTCTACCGGAGGTACAAAGAGGGGCTGGTACCATTCCTTCTGAAACTATTCCAAACAATAGAAAAAGAGGGACTCCTCCCTAACTCATTTTATGAGGCCAGCATCATCCTGATACCAAAACCTGGCAGAGACACAACAAAAAAAGAAAATTTCATGCCAATATCCCTGATGAACATCGAAGCAAAAATCCTCAATAAAATACTGGCAAACCAAATCCAGCAGCACATTAAAAAGCTTATCCACCACAATCAAGTCAGCTTCATCCCTGGGATGCAAGGCTGGCTCAACATATGCAAATCAGTAAATGTAATCAATCACATAAACAGAACCAATGACAAAAACCACATGATTATCTCAATAGATGTAGAAAAGGCTTTTGATAAAACTCCCTCAAGATCTTATCAAATGTTCTGTGTTTTAACTATTTCCATTAAGAAACTTTCTCAGAAAAGGGGTCCCACGACTCTCTGTTTCAATCAATGACCATCTTTATTTTACAGAAGTTCTTCTCAGATGTTCTTATCACTCCCCCTGAGGTGTAAGCTCACCAGCTGCTCCTGCTCGTGCTATTTTCCTGAAAGGCATCCAAGCAGAAACTGTGAGAGACCCTCAGAAAACAGTCAAGGGACCCCTCCATTCCTTGCAGGCTCTGCTGGCTCTGGCCTTGCGTGAGAAACAGTGGATGGCCCCGTGAGGACGCTTGGAGAGGGGCGACAGTTACCTTCTCAGATCAGCAGCGTGATGGCAAAACAACCAGGCCCCTCAGTCAAGGTGTCCACGCCGCTGTCTGGTGTTCAGGAACATCAGCTCCCAAGTAGGAAGCTCGCATTCACAGGCCAGAGTGACCGCTCCACTCAGCATTGGTGGGAGCTGCTCTGACTCCACCTCCAGATCAGACCTTGGGGAGCCCAGCCAGCTCCTTCTGGGTGCTGTTACCTTCCTGTGATTTATGGCCTCCAGTCTGGATGCCCTGAGGTCATTCTTGTTAGGACGATCACCTTCTGAGTTGCTGTGCCTTGCAGAGAGCATTTATTGCCAGATGGGAGCTGTCGCGGGGGTCACCAGAGACAACTGCCCCCAATTTATCTCTCAAGACCTGGACCTGTCATCTACTTGCTGTGTCATCAGCAATATCTGTGTAGCCCCTTGTGTGTTGTGTGTAAGGAAGGTTGAAAGTGAGCGTCCTTCACGTCTTCTCTGTGGTGGGAGAGTTACTTGCGTGTCCCTGCTGCACTGAGCCCCTCGCCCCATCTGCCTGGGCTCCTCCCAGTCAGCCCCTTGCCGTCTCTTAGGTCTTAACATATTTAACCTGCCACTTTGGTCACAGTATCTTCTGAATAAGCATTTATTGCTTAGAATTGGATATTTGTATTTGGAATAATGCTTGGACTAGTATTTTATGGTGACTGAATGTCCTGACTTCTTCAGATAGAGTGGTATATCCCCCCATCTCCTGCTGCACAACCTCATGTCACTGAAAGCCTCGCATAGGCTGTTCTTACCGTGGCTTTGTGAGCCTGTAACTCCTGGCTCTGCTCTGCGGGCAACAGGACCTGCTTCTGGCTTGTCCCCTGCTTCCAGCTTGTCCTCTGCTGCAGGGGTGCAGGGCCCCCTCCTCGTTCTTAAACCAGTCCCCTGCTTCCAGCTTGTTCTCCTCTGCAAGGGTACAAGCCCCTCCTCATTCTCATACCCATCCCCTGCTTCGGGCTTGTCCTCTGCTGCAGGGGTGCAGGGCCCCCTCCTAGCTCTCATAACAGTTCCCTGTCTAAGATAATACTGCTTTTCCCTGGGCTTTCCAGATCACAGAGGCCATGAGACCCATGTCCAGAGGGGCCTAGGAGGGAGCTGTGGGCTCAGTTGGTTGATTTTCTCTGGCTTGGGTCGCTCCTACTGTTCTGAGGAAAATAAGCTTGGCCATCACCAGACACCAGAGGATGCTGAAGGGACAGCCGGCTGGACTATTTCATGGACTCTCTGAGCATGTCCTATTGCACTCCAGGTATAAACTTTCCTCCAGAAATAGACAGAGGGATGCTGCTTCCCAATCTCAGCAAAGGCAGTGAAAAGATCCTGGTCAAAAGCAGAGACTCTGGGTCCAGGCCCTCCGGCTGAAACCCACTCTGGTATGGTTTGGCTGTGTTCCCACCCAAATCTCAACTTGAATTGTATCTCTCAGAATTCCCACATGTTGTGGGAGGGATCCAGGTGGAGGTAATTGAATCATGGGGTGGGTCTTTCCCATGCTATTCTCGTGATAGTGAATAAGTCTCACCAGCTCTCATGGGTTTATTAGGGGTTTCCACTTTTGATTCTTCCTCATTTTCTCTTGCTGCCACCACGTAAGAAGTGCCTTTCACCTCTCGCCATGATTCTGAGGCCTCCCCAGCCATGTGGAACTGTAAGTCCAATTAAACCTCTTTTCCTTCCCAGTCTCAGGTATGTCTTTATCAGCAGCATGAAAACAGACGAATACAGTAAATTGGTGCCAGTAGAATAGGGCGCTGCTGAAAAGATACTGGAAAATGTGGAAGCAACTTTGGAACGGGGTAACAGGCAGAGGTTGGAACAGTTTGGAGGGCTCAGGAGAAGACAGGAAAATGTGGGGAAGTTTGAAACTTCCTAGAGACTTGTTGCATGGCTTTCCCCCAAATGCTGATAGCGATATGGACAAGAAGGTCCAGGCTGAGGTGGTCTCAGATGGAGATGAGGAACTTGTTGGGAACTGAAGCAAGCATGACTCTTGTTTTACCAAAGAGACTGCCCTAGAGATTTGTGGAACTTCGAACTTGAGAAAGGTGATTTAGGGTATCTGGTGGAAGAAATTTCTAAGTAGCAAAGCATTCAAGAGGTGACTAGGGTACTATTAAAGGCATTCAGTTTTATAAGGGAAGCAGAGCATCAAAGTTTGGAAAATTTGCAGCCTGACTATGAGATAGAAAAAACCCATTTTCTGGGGAGAAATTCAAGATGGCTGCAGAAATTTCCATAATTAGCAAGAAGCCTAATAGTTCGATTCTAGCTATGAGGCTACCTTGAAATCTCGCAGTCACACTCTAGGTATTAGACTACCTTGGAATCTCAGAGTCTAGCTATGAGACTATCTTGCAATCGCGCAGTTAGATTCTAGCTGTTAGACTTTGGGTGGCAACATTTGCTAAAGTTTCCCAGTCGCATGCGTGGGCCTTGGGACCCTCTTAGCCTGTCTGGAGAGCTTCAGCATGAGCCAGTTTAGCAAGAGCTGGAGACAGGGCTGAGGGTGATGAAGCCCCAGTTGAAGAAGCCAGCGACTGGAGAGAAGGCCCCCTTAACATATGCACCCTTTGCACCTGTTCCCAAATGCACACTGCATTTGGTGATTGATTATTTTCCTATCATCAGTTGCAGTATGCACCCTTGGTTTGTTTACCTCACCGCCATTCCCAATTCTCCCTTCTCTCTTCCATGCCTCAAATTAAAGAGAAATTCTTAAAGACCAGTAATCTATTTTCCAGGATCTCTTGTAGCTACGATTTTCCATGAAACAAGTTCTAGCCAAATTATGGAAGAGGAAATCTGTTGGGGCTTTCCAGGAACCCCATACCTAATAGGAACCCCATTATTTTCTAGACAAGAGATGGGCACACACTTGCCGGCACATCTCTACCCCTCCCTATTCCTTGAGCTCCAATGTGCAGTCTGCAAACCTGGCTCCTGTCTAGTGAGCATGGGTCAGCCAGCATGAGCACAAAACCCACTGGGGTCGTTGGTGGGTGGCTCAGCCTACACCAGTGGCCACTGCTCACTCCTGTCCATCCTTATGTGAGTAAGAGAAAGCCCTGTGTTTTCAGCCGCTGTAAATCCATTTCCTGGTTTTCAAAAAGTAAGATTATAAGGCAATGCAAGTATTACTTTGCAATAAAACACTGCCAAATCACCTTCCAGCTGGTAACTAATTACAGTCTTAACAAAGACCTCAAATGAG
This sequence comes from Homo sapiens, assembly GCF_000001405.40. Lineage (NCBI taxonomy): Eukaryota > Metazoa > Chordata > Mammalia > Primates > Hominidae > Homo > Homo sapiens. Next base: position 2,057,220 of record NC_000005.10, on the reverse strand, counting down.
AACCTACTAACCTAGCAGGCAGCCCACAGAATTGTAAGCAATAATAATAACTTGTTGCTTCAGGTAACTAAGTTTTGAGATGATTTGTTACAAAGTAATACGTGATTGGAACAGTTCTCCTAAGTCCTGGGGCAATTCTTTGCTTTCTGGCAAAACAGGATGCCCTGGGCTTTCTCTGCCTCAGTCTGGAATCAGCCTATTCTTTGGGAGCTCTGTTTCCTTTCAGTGGAAGAAGGTAATTAGAAACCAAGATCTGGGCACCAGGTGTGTTCACTGCTGCTGATGTGACTCAGCTTTTATGCTCTCTCAGCAGACAGAATTGGGAGAAAGGTAGATATGGACATGACATAGATGGGTACAAATATATGTCTAAATGTCCACATTGTGAAAATAAAATCATGAATTTACTGCTATCTCTAATTCCTATGCAAAAACACAGGGAATAGTTCAGTCTTTGTTTCCATATATGAAACTCCCTTATGCAACCCTGAGAAACACTGGCACGCATTTGCTGAGGCCCAGAATATGCAAAGAATAGTTTCAGATATGCTACCCATGAAAGTGTTAACAGCAAGCCTGCAACTTGATTTCAATATTTGCAGGGGACTTTTTAGTTACAATTTACATACAGTAAAATGTACAAACCTTAAGTGTACAATTTGATGAGGTTTGACAGATGCATGCATCCGTGTAACCCATAAAAATATTGAACCTTCACGTAACCTCCAAAAATTCCCTTGTCTGCCTTTGGAGGCAGCCCCCACCACCACAAAGCAAGCCCTCTTTGTCACCACAGATTAATTTTACCTGTTCTAGAACTTGGAGTAATGGATTCATGAAGTCTGCCCCCTCTATCTCTGACTTCCTTTGCTCAGCATGATGCCTGTCCGTTTCATCCAGGTCATCACTTGCACCCACCATTTGTCACATTTTTACTGTTATGCCATTATCTGAATACACACAATTCGTTTAATCCACTATTTTCTTTTCTTTTTTTTTTTTTTTTTTGAGATGGAGTTTTGCTCTTGTTGCCCAGGCTGGAGTGCAGTGGCATGATCTCGGCTCACCACAACCTCTGCCTCCCAGGTTCAAGCAATTCTCCTGTCTCAGCCTCCCGAGTAGCTGGGATTATAGGCATGAGCCACCACGCCTGGCTAATTTTTGTATTTTTAGTAGAGACTGGGTTTCTCCATGTTGGTCAGGCTGGTCTTGAACTCCCAGCCTCTGTTGATCCACCCGCCTCGGCCTCCCAAAGTGCTGGGATTACAGGCGTGAGCCACCTCACCCGGCCTAATTCACTATTGTCTTTATGAGCATTTGGAGTACTTCTGCCAAAAGCTGCTGTGAAACACATGTTGAATATTTGAAATGTTCCTTCACACAGTGAACATTTTGTACAAGTTCTTTTTTCAAAATAAACTTTTATTTCTTGTGGGTAAACATCTAGCAGAATAATTGCTGCATCATAGGTAACTGTGTGGTTAGTTTTATAAGGAACTGCCAAGCTTTTCCCAAAGACTTGTGCACTTCAACCCTCCTGGGCTGTTGTGTGAGAATCCTCATTGCTACAGATCTTTTCCTTTATTTGTTGTTATCTTTTTAAATCTTTTAATTTGAGCTATTCTAATGTCTCTGTGTTGTTTTCTTATTTTCCGATATGTATATCCCTGATAAATTGTGATGTTGAGCATTTTTCCATGCAACTATTTGCAGGTGATTGTTGTAAAGTATCATTTCAAGTGGATAGCTCTTTTTATTGTGTTGTTTGTCTATTATTGTAATGTTGTATGCATTCTTTATGTAGTGTGGACAGATACTAGTCTATGGTCAGATATGTGTTACGTGAATATTTTCTCTCAGTCTCCTGCCTGCCTGTTGATTTTCTTTATGATATCTTTTGATGACCTAACATTACTAATTTTTATGAACAATGATCCATCATGATTTTATTTTACATTTTTTGCACTTAGTGTTCTAAGAAATATCCACATACTCCCAAGTTATGAATGTATTCTCCTAAGTTCACCCCTAGAAATTATGTAGCTTTTAAATTTAGGTCTACAATCAATATCAAATTAATATTTAACTATGACATGGAATAGAATTCAGGTTTTATTTGTATCCATACGGATATCCCATTAGTCCAATGCCATTCAATTTCTGCAGCACTTTTGTCAAAAATAAGTAGACTGTGGGTCTATTTCTGGACTCCCTATTCTATCCTATTGATATCCTACTCCTATGGTTCCATACTTCCTGATCTCTGTCACTTTATTCAACTTGGAATCAAGCAGTGTAAGGGACAGGGAGAGCAGACATCATGGCCCATTTCCAGTCTTGGAGGCAAGCGTCGGTGCTTCACTGTCAAATGTAAGCAGAATGTCTATTTCACAGATGCCCTGCCTCCGATGGAAGAAGTTCCTCTCTATTCCTAGCTTGCTTATAACATACATAGGTGCAGTTATGTATTTCTGATTTGGTGTTTGTTTTATTCTTTCTTTAAATGTCCTTTTTTGTCTGGATGAGATTCTATAACTATTCATTCATCATGACCACATCTTCTTCTAAGTCCTGGAGTTCATTTTTAGTGGTAGTTTTGAAACCATTGTTAATTCTGCTGTCTGGGTCTTCTCATGTCTCGTTTCTGTAACCCGATTTTTTTTGTTTGTTTGTTTGTTTGTTTTTGAGATGGAGCTGTCGCCCAGGCTGGAGTGCAGTGGCGTGATCTCGGCTCACTGCAAGCTCCGCCTCCCAGGTTCACACCATTCTCCTGCCTCAGCCTCCCAAGTAGCTGGGACTACAGGCACCCGCCACCACGCCCAACTAAAATTTTTTTGCATCTTTAGGAGAGATGGGGTTTCACCGTGTTAGCCAGGATGGTCTCGATCTCCTGACCTCGTGATCCGCCCGCCTCGGCCTCCCAAAGTGCTGGGAGCAACCTGATTTCTTTATTGAGTGTGGGCTCCATTTCCTGTGTCTTCACGTGCTCAGTATCTGTTTTGAATACTGGATGCTGTGAGTTCTGCGTGGCAGAGATGCCGGGCTCTGCTGCTTCTCTGGTGGTTGATGCCATTTTCATACCAGGTGCTTTACGTGGCTGGGCTTACACCCTAAACTCTGTCTCCCTTTTGGTGGACAAAAGCCAGAGTCTCCATCCAGCTCCTTCAGCCTCACAGCTGCTCTCCTGTTGTCACTGTTGTTGACATTGTTGACTTGTTTTGCTGGGAACCTCGGTTGTCTCCCCATAGGTGTGAGTTCGAGGGTGAACCACACACTTTTACATATATTAGGTGCAGATTTGGCCGTTCCTTATTGTGTTTGCTCCTTCAGGACATATTCTCCTCTCCTTTTAGTGACTCTAGTTTCCCTGGACATTGTCCTCCAACTCCTGAGACCTTAAGACTGCGGCTTTCTGCTTGAGATTAGGGGCCCACCCCTGTGCAGCAAGGGAATCCCCTCAGGTAAAAAGCCAAATATCTGCCGATCGTATCCCATGTGGTACCTTCTCACAAGGATTCAGCACACTATGTATTTTTCCTGCCTTCATTCACTCTCCACTGCATTCAAATTGTTGAGAGTTTAAAAATTATTTGTGCAGGATTAAAAATTGTTACCTGCAGAAGAATGCATCTAACAAGCTTCTCCCCTGTGACTTTATTTCCTGTGTATCCCACGATTATCTTTCTTTTGCTCAATATTGAGCTCACCCATCACCAGGCCTACCCTCAGCACCTGGGAAGTAAAATCATTGCTAACAGGCACAGTGGTAGAAATTGTATTACATGTACACATGAAATAAACAGTCAAATCACTGGTCTAACTTCCACACAGCCTGAAGATTCTGAAGCTAAGCATCCACACCTGGATTCTGAGAAGGCCCCTGAGTTCTACGGGGCTGTGTTCCCCTGCACTCAATTCTAGCTTGGCTGACAGACAGAGGAGAGAGAGGAGAGCCCTCACCAGGTGTGGTCCCAGGCTAGCCCGGAGTGACGGGACACTGGGATGACGCCAATGGCAGAGCCGGCCACCTCACGTGCCCAAAATCTGTGTGGCTGGATCTCAGAAACGAGAAGCTAACTCATCTCAGACTGGAAGCAACTGTCACCAGAGCATCTCGTTTTTAAAAGTCCAGGGTGGCTTCTCGTCGCAGCTAAAACTGACCTGCGTCACCTAAACCAGCAAGCACTTGCAGCACCGATGCTTCAACCAGCTGCATGGGCCAACAGGCTACTGGGGGAGAACCAGGACAGAAAAGATGATGGCGGGAGGAGACGTGGGGAGCAACGGGGCAACTTCCTGGTGGCGGGCAGCCCGAGGCACCGGCTCCCCAGAATGCTGCCCCCAGAGGACCGGAGGAGGCGGACTCCTGGCAGCACAGCTCTTCCTGCACCCACTACAGGACCGTGGATGCCAAAGACAGCTATGCTCATGTCCTTTCATCTCAGCTACATCTGTGCCTAGAACAGGGCAATATCTGTCCTCATCTGAATAGAGAAGATGGAAAAAATATGAAAAGTATAAGGAAAATAGCAAAATCTACTGCATAAGAAACCTTATCTATTTGATTGCCCTGCAAATAATACTTTAGAGGAAAGAACTGAAGGTTTAAATTGGGATTCTATGCCCTCTCCTGGGGTACTTACTGTTAAGAATTCACTCGATGTATATGTACCACATTTGCTTTTTCCAGTCTATCATGGATGGGCATTTGGGTCGATTCCACGTCTTTGCTATTGTGAATTATGCTGTAATGAGCATATGTGTGCATGTGTCTTAATAATAGAATGATTTATACACTATGAAATACTATACAGCCATAACAAGAAATGAGATCATGTCCTTAGCAGGGACATGGATGAAGCTGGAAGCCATTATCCTCAGCAAACTAACGCAGGACCAGAAAACCAAATACCGCATGTTCTCACTTATAAGTGGGAGCTGGACAATGAGAACACGTGGACACAGGGAGGGGAAAAGCACTTACTGCAGCCTGTCAGGGGAGGGCGGGGGAGGGAGAGAGCATTAGGGAAAAGAGTTAATGCATACTGGGCTCAATACTTAGGTGATGATGGGTTGACAGGTGCAGCAACTATCATAGCACCCATTTACCCATGTAACAAACCTGCACATCCTGCACACGTCCCTGGAACTTAAAAACAAAAACAATAAAATAATCAAAAAAAAAAAAAAAGAATTCACTTGAGACGCGTTTGAGTGACTAAACCTATTCCTCGCAATCCTACTCATGCCCTTCACAGTTTCACTCATCCGAGCCAGCGCTGTTGTTTTCATTTTAACTTCAGAAGGGGAGCATATGTGCTAGAAAAACAGATGATTTAAGATCACATTACTATTGAATCTCTTGAACTTCATATAGGACTGTGAAATTCACAAGTGATTTTGACAACCATTGGATAAGTTTTTCCAAGAGAGTTTTCCCAATTTAGCACTTACCACATACTGTGCGTTAGAATATTTGACAAAAGCTATTTCCCTCCTGTGGCCTTCCTTTTTGAGTTGTTTAATGGAATCATTAAGGGATAATAGATAGAATTCAGTTCCCTTTCATGGGAGTTGAATGTCCACCCTGCTTAGAATGGAAACTGAGAACCCTGGTGCCCAGGAATATGAGGTGCTGACTGAGGCCTTTGCAGATGGAAGTCTCCAGAAATACAGACTTCCAGGTTCCGCCTCCTCCAATTTCTACTTCCCATCTCTCTTGAAAACAAGTCAATTTGCTACATTGTGTTAAAATCAAACTCTACAGAGAAATGTGTGCAGCAAGGAAGGATATTTAGCAAATTAACAAGGGCTTTGTTTTAGATTTATTATTTATACTAATCATTTAATCATTTGAACAAAATACTGTATTTTCCTATATTAATTAATGCTTATCCCCAATAAGAGATTTATACAAAAATTTTACAAACATGCATACAATTTCCTTGTATTATGTACTTGAAACTGAAGGCCAGGATTTGTCAATATTTTTGCATAATGACAGTTTTATTAAAAAGAAAGCCCTTATTTTAAAAAACCTACTCCTCCTAAAAACAGTCACAACATGATAATTATTCTTCCTTCTTCTACGTCCCATGCTTGACTATGACATATCTCTTTTAATATGTTCTAACTTTTATATTATTGGTTTTTTTAGAAAACAAATCTGTTAGTGATTATTATTTTGGTATCAATGTCTGAATTTGATTACGTTATTACAATCTTGTATTTGTCACTGAATTTTGCTGGGAACTAGTGATTCATTCCATGTCTTACACCTGAAAGGTGTAAGAGCATTTTAAAGAATGCAAAGATTGGAGTGTTCATCACTTCGACTCATGCATGCCTACTGTGTGCTTTCCAATGGTAGCACATCAACTTGTTGATACCCAAGTGTGGCCTTTGTGCACGGGATAGACTATTTACAGCTACTTGGTTTAAAGTAATATTTAACATATGAATATATATGTGTAAATATATATATATATAATATACATATATGCACACATGCACACACACACATTACCAATTTAAAATCCTAGATTTCCTTATGGATTAAAGTCTAATTTGCAACTATTGTTACTCTAGTTATAAATCTGGTAAAGTTAGGGGAATCACCCTTCAGTTTTCCATTTATGAGTGTAACTCAAGTTAAACTAACCAATTTTCTTAAACACCAGTTTCATTTACAATCTAATGAAATTTCCTTAACATCTGAAACAGTGTATCTAAAAATTCACTATATCTGGTGTTCTTTTAAATATGCTTTGACTGTCTGAGCATTGATTTCTATAACAAGAAAAACCTACCCAAATATTTAGACAATCTGTTGCAAAGGGCTATGAAGTAATAAGGAAACATGGTATCTTAATCAGGTTTTTGCTAAGGTATTGCTGCTTAAAGAACCTTAAAATTCTAGCAGTTTAATATAAGTTAAAGTAATAAGCATGTGTCTCTTGCCCAAGGTCTAAGGACCTGCTGAGGGCTCTGCTCCAGGCTGTGGGTCCAGATCATATTTGCCCCATGACACTCTTACCCTAGAATCCAGGCTGGGGAAGCAAGGGCTGCAAGAGTGTGTCCTTCTCGTGGGGAAGGACTGAGCCCAGGAGGCCAAGATGAGCACACTCACAGCTCCAGCTTCCAGCACCCAGAGAACATCACATGGCCAAGCCCAAGCCAACAGGGCAGGGAAGAGGCTCTACCAACCCTCCTGGCAGCCACTGGAATGAGACGCTGCCCAGGGTAGAGAAGGAATGATTCCACAATGGGAGAGTGTGGAGACCTGGGAATTTGTCTGATCACCACACCTAGGTATCAATATTAACCACAGTCAAAGTCAAATGCAGGACAAAAAAGCATTTGACCCACTAAACAGGGTCTTTTAAACTGACAAAATGTGTAATACACAATGACGAACGCTAGCTATAACACTAAGAAATTGTTAGGCTACAAGGAGAAATTTAAAGTTCCATCAAGAGTTATCAGAGATGAATGCTTTTCTCAGCCTTTGGCACATTAGGTAGAGAAAAACACTAGGATTTGTGAAACATAATAAGTAAACTGTAACTTAAAAGCTACATAGCAAACTGCTTCCTAATGGCAGAGACTTCACTGTTTCTTAGAATAACAATCAAACATTGAAAGAAAATAATCACATGCTAGTTTTCAAAGAAACCCTTAATGAATTTACAGAATGATGTGTTTGTACCACAGTTTAGAGACAATAAAAGAAAATTTGAAACAAATAACAGATGCTTAAAATAAAAACCAATTATGCAATTTGAAGCACAAAATCTTTAACAGCTATTCAAAGAAAAAATAAAAACTTCAAATAAAGACTAATTTTAAAAGTGAAGTGAGAACCCAGCTCATGAAAATGGGCAAAATGTGGCAAAGGCGAAATGCAGAACAAACGTGAATACATCGATGTTCTCTGTGCTTCAAAAAGAAAGAGATTGTTGTGGGTTTCTTTCCTGTGGAATACTTCCAGCTCTGAAGGAACACGGAAGATCCATGCTGGCCGGCATTGGGCAGAAGGAAGTCTTCCTGAATAATTTCACAAAGCCGCCATTGCCTCGATGATCAAACCTCACCGAGACAAGTGAAAGGTTGCTGGAGTTAATTATCTCTTTGAAACGTGGGTTTCTAGAACTCTTGTGTTTTCTGAATTTTCTAAAATCAGTGTATATTTCTTCTTTGCGTTTTTTTTTTTTTCTTTAACTACTGTTTTAGACAGCAAAATGGTAGTGGGAGAGGCTTTTCCGGAATATGCAGGGGTGGAGAGTCACGGAAATGGCCCTGCACCCCACAGACAGCACCAGGAAGGGCGTTCTTTTATTTCCCGGTTTGTTTATAGTTACTCTGCATGCACGGGAGGCTGGCCCATGACTGGACGCTGATGTATCTTTAAGTCATTCCTCCAAAAGTGCCTTCATTGTGCTCCGGAGGAAGGCAGAGCTGGGAAACCCAGTTTCACACAGAGCCCAGTCTGAGGTGGTGGGCAAAGTAGCGGGTCTGCCCTTCCCTTGCTCACATCCTTCTAGTCTATTCTAAGGGGCCACTGGGTCTCTGCTCGTGCAGGAATGGAATAGAAATTGGCTCCAGCTACAGCAACTGCCCAGTCATTCACTCCAGATACACTGCCTGGTGCCAGGTGTGAGTCTTCACGCGCCCATCTCTGACACTGGTATCTCACCTGCTTAATGACCTCATCCTAGGTGTGTCTTCAGGAGAGCGCCTGGCCAGTGAGAACCTAGGATCTGGGTCTGCACATCCTCCAAAGCCTGCCCGCCCGTATGCTCAGCTTCCCTAGGCCACCATGGTCTGTGTGAATGACACTCCCCTACAGGCAGCCCGACGCTGAGTGCTTTGGCCTCTCTGGGTAAACACACACGGAATTCTCCAATATTCAGTAGCTGCTTTGGGGCCTCCCATTAAGTTCAGGACTCCACAGGAACACCTTGCAGCATCATCTGATGTCGTCCTCACAGCAAGGCCATGAGGCAAGGCTCACAGACATCGACACCTGCTCAAGGCCAGTATTGGTCAGGGGTGGATCTGACATCCAGGCCTTGTGTGTCCTGACTTGGCTGCATTAACTTCTCCAAAAATTGTATCGTTTGGCATTCTCGTGGTTCCAATTTGCTGTTCACTCTTTTTCTCCAAAACATCATGTTGCGGGATGAAAAATCCTTTGTCCATAGCATTTTAAACAGTCACTAAACGACTTGAAAGAGAATCGTTTAAATACATAAACTGTTTTCCTATGCCTAGTCTGACTCTCTAATGATACAATTTTTAAACAAGTAATGAAGTTTGGAGCAGCAGCAGTGACACAGCGCAAACCACTCAACCTGCAGTCCTGGGGATGGTGTGGAAGAGGGGCCGATTCCAACTTTGTGAGCTTCAAGCAAACCACTCGACCCGCAGTCCTGGGGATGGTGTGGAACAGGGGTCGATTCCATCTCTGTGGGCCTCAAAAGCCTCAATTCAGAAATGAGGAAGTGGGGCTAAATAAACCCTGGAGTTACTTCCAGAGCTAATTCTGTGGCTTCACAAACACTTCTCACTGGTGATTTTAAAAGATGGTTATTTCCGCCCAATTAATGACCTCAGACACTGCACTAACACAAATTGCAGAACCATCTGGGTGTTATCGTGTTGTTGAGTTTCATACTGCAATATTAAAAGCACGTGACTTTTCTCAATGACCATTCCCAGCCTCTGTTTCTGGATTGATTCCTGCCAGTGTCTTTTATTTGTCTATTTCTGCAGTTTGGGAGAAATGCTTCATTTGTTAGAAGCCAAAAATAGAACTGAACCTGCTTCTCACCACAGGGTTCTGGGGAACAAGGTCGCTGGGATGTTATCGTGAGTTGTGCTATAATGAGGGTAATTCTGGTCAGGTTTAATTAGGCAAAGTTGCTGCTTGAAGAGGCTGGGTCCACACTTCATGTGGGCTGCAGCACAGGGGCTAGCAGGGACATCAAGGAGGTGGGGCATGCCATCAGCCACACCATCAGCCACCTCCTCTCTTTTAGATACCTCGTTGTCATTGAAAAGCAGGTGTCACGGGATGTGCCATCATGAAAACATTTGGTATTGGGAGTTCATTATCTAGACATGATGATGTGCCATGCACTAGTACAGCAGCTATTTTAAGCTCTTTGTTCCTTAACAGAGTCAGTTCTCAATTATCCATCACAAGAGAGGGTCAGTGGCGGGAGTGAACTCGATTGACAGGCAATTAAAACCATGCACATTTAGCTGTAAAATTAACAGCACAGGAAAACAGGAAAAGATACTTTGTAGGTTACTAAATTACAAAGCATTTTAAATTGCATTCTTAAGTTGTTACAAAAACAACACATTTGATTGTTGACTTTTAAATCAAACAGTAAAAAAGCAACAGAGCTCTCACTCTGCACCCCAACCACACATTCCACATTTTAATTATTTCCATTATTAGTTCTTCTGGTTATTTTTACCTCCGTATCTCTTAATAATATGTTATAGCACTATTTATTGATTTATCAATTTTTGGTATTAAACCTATTGGCTGTCTACAGTGGGAGATTGCAGCTCATTTGTATTACTTCCCCCTCTCCACATTTGACCAATATACCTACTGTATTATTTTTGGTTCCCATGTTGATTACTTTTATCATATAATTGCAATTCTACTTCTTGTTTTGTTAACTATAGTGTGGATGGTTTCCTGCTTCACAAGATGAAATCGTTACATCCTCTGTATTTCCATTAATTCATCATCTCTCCCTTCCACCTGTTCCAATTCTTCTTCCAGATTCTCTCTATATTTTACTTTATATTGTCAAGTTTGATTGCATTTGCATTCTATCCCATAATCATAATTAAGAATTCTCTGAATTCTGTCTATATTGGTTCTAAAGCTTAGAAAATCAATGAACCATATTTATATTATGGTCTTGGTATATTATTTGCTGCAAAGTGGAATCATATGCTATAATTATATTTCCTTCCTTTTAGAGCTTTTTGGTTTTTCTGGAGTTTCTAATTGCCTTGTTTTTCTGCATTAGTTGTTTCTACCATGTTCTTTTTACCATGTTCTTAAGATTTGATATTTTAAAAGCACTATCAATGAAATCACCCACCATTATTATTTTTTTCTTCCCAGGGACTTCCCTTTTGGAGAACTCTATTCTCCTGGACTTATTGCTCTGTACCCCTATTATCCTGGGACTTCAATTTCTCAATGTCCTGAGTTGTATCCCCTGTTTCTCAGATCCATATCTTCTTGATTTTCTCCATTATTTTGTTGCAGTACATCTTCATGTAATATCTTTAGAAAGGGTTGGGGCATGAATCTTTGCATATTCACAGTTTATTGATGCTATTTGCATAGTTAATAATAGTTTGACTTGTATCTAAGGCTGGGCTCTCCCAACAAATACCCTGGGACAAAGAAGTAAGTGCCAGCAGTTTGCATGGGAGGTACTCTGAAGAATCTCTTGTAGGTGAGTGCAAAAGTGAGGAAAAGAAAGCAAACCAATATGATGTGCCTCAAAGTGAAGGTTACCACTATGAGCAGCAGGACCTCTGGCAGACTGTGTGGTAGGCATGTTCTCCAAGTCATCTCATTCAAGCTGGGAGGAAACCAGAGTAATCGGCGAAACCCCCATTCCCTGTGTGAGGGCTACTCCCAGAAGTGTTGACTGCCTGAATTGTCTCAACTGCACAGGTTGCCTCCTTTGGCCAGAGAAAGCCCTTCCGCAATGATCTGCAAGGGTCATGGTAGGATGCAGTCACCCTCTCAGGACAGGCTTTGCAGAGCACACCATGGGCATCTGCCTCCAGTGCGTAGAATTCTAGACAGGAAGTCACTTTCTTTTGAAAGTCTGAAGCCCATAATCACTGTGTTTTGGGATAAACCCCCTGTTTCTTGATTATCTAAAAGATGCTCTTATTTAAAAGATACAATATCTCCTTGAATTTTCTCTGAGAATATTAGAGATGGTCCAATGTTTTCTTTTGTTCCCCAAACTGTCTGTTTCCTTCAGAGCCAGGTTTCTCTATTTTGTGGATTACTGTACACGTGGGCAGTGCTTCTTAGACAGTGGCTTCACACGGGAATGAGCAGGCTGAAAAGCAGCATTACCAGGGGAAACCCCCAGTGACAGCATCCGCAGGGTTCCACTGAAGGACCAACCTCCACACAGGTGAGTTCTGGCTCCCATTCTCCCCCAGACACCTCCCTTAATTTTCTGGAAGGATGGGTTTGGGGGAGAAAATTCCTATTAGAACATCAAGCAAGGTAGCAAGAGGCAATTGAACATATAGGTCTGGATTTGGGGAGAGAGGTCTGAGCTAGAGACATAAAAGTCTGGGTCATTGGCTTATGGATGTTACTTAAGCCACAAACCTGAATGAGATCTGACAGACAGAGAGGACACCCAAAGAAGAGAAGTCCAAGACCCGAGATTTGAGGACTAAAGAGAAATCCGTGAAACTGGAGAGCTGGGAGGTGGCGGGAGGCAGGTGTTAGTTAACAGACATTTACTGTCTCAGTGCTCGAATGCCAACGTCCACGCTGAAGGTGTCAGCAGGGTTTGTCCCTCCTGAGGCCGTGAAGGAGAATCTGTTGCACATCCCTCTCTTAGTGTCTAGTGGTTTGCCAGCAGTTTTGGGGATTCCTTACCTTGCAGACACATGCTCCAATCCCTTCGTTACACAGCCACCTTCCCCCCGTGTCTCTTCACATCACCTTCTCTGTGTGCATGTCTGTCTCTGTGTCCACATTTCCCCCTTTTGTGAGGCCTCCAGTTACAATGGACTGGGGCCCACCTTAGTGACCTCAATAAGGCCACTCTCGAGGTGCTGCAGGTAAGGATTTTAACATACCCTCTTGGGGGGGTGTCCTCTTAGCTCATTTCCTCCCATCCAGGTCTCAGGATGGATACCCCGTGCCCTCCAGCTTCTCTGTACAATGTCCCCCGGGACTGCCCCAGTGCAGAGGCGGCCGCTGCGCACCCACATCCATCACCAGTCCCCTCTCACTCATGTGCTTTCCGAAGGTCATATTTAGTTTTTCAAAAATGTGCTTATGGCAGGCATATTTCTATTGTAAATATGCATGTTAATTAAATGTTATACAATCTGACAAATGTGAAGGCAGGGTTATTTTTTCATGGAAACCAAGTCAAGTGCTTGGGAAACATCTGCTAGTAAGAAAAGTGACTCACCACAGTTACTGTGAAATTAAGATTGGATAAAATCACCATAAAAGATTGGGAAAATCTCTCAGAAATGTAGAAGGAGTCTTCACTCAGATTGTGTTGTAAGCATTGTATGTTCTTGACCTGTTTGAAAGAAACCCAACTTGTAAGTTGAGGTCAATATACAATGCATATGGTTTACAAAGAAAAAAAAAGAAAAGAAAAATATATCTGCTCAACTCCAGTCAATAACTTATGCTCAAAGAAAAGACTTGGTCTCCACATCAAAACATTGGCTGGTTGGTGCCATGTATTTGTTTAAAATGGAAAGGAAACATTTCAGGTATTTATTACTGGTTTTATAATTCTGCTTCTTGGCTGTATTACAAAAATATGGATCCTACATTAACATCACATTTCCCAGTTGAGGCTCAAAGTCCTTAAATATTGTACATGTTGTAGGTAGCTGAGGCAGGGTTGAACAGAAGCAGTGGAATTGCAGAGCATCCCCGGAGCTTGTCCCTCCAGTACAAGCAGCAGATCGACTCACGGAGGGGCCCATAACTGACCCAGGGAGGTCTTAGGAGTCACAGTCTATTCGACACAATCTATTGGCATGGTTAAATGTTAACCTACGGGTTTCAATCTTTCTCTAACTTCGTCTCAATTTCTTTTTCAACCTCCATGTTTGGTTTTCCTATTCTAGCTTTCCCATATTTCAAATTTTTAGGCTGGGTGTGGTGGCTCACACCTGTAATCCCAGCACTTTGGGAGGCTGAGGCGGGAAGATCACTTGAGGTCAGGAGTTCAAGACCAACCTGGGCAACATGGTAAAACCCCGTCTCTATTAAAAATACAAAAATTAGCCGGGCATGGTGGTGCACACCTGTAATCCCAGCTACTTGTGAGGCTGAGGCAGAAGAATCCCTTGAACCTGGAAGGTGGAGGTTGCAGAGAGCTGAGATCACACCGCTGCACTCCAGCCTGGGCGACAGAGCGAGTTTCCATCTCAAAAAAAAAAAAAAAAAATCAAATTTGTATATAATCACAGAGGAAAACCCAGCCATTGTGGACAGGAGAAGACTGAACACTGTACCCATGCCCTCACCTGTCCACGGAGCTGGCAACAGACAGAGTGGAGAACCCACCTGTGCCTGGGATCCTTCCAGACCCGGTGGACTCGACAAATTCAAGAGCGAGTGAGATGGAGAAAGTCCCTCCCCATCAGGACCATCAACAAACACGGATGAAGCTCCTGCTCTATCTGTAAGATATTATGCTACCAAGTGGGGGTGCATAGACGGGTAGGGAAGGATACTGCATCAGCGGGACCCAAGCCAGGCGCCGGGCTCCTCCCATGTGCACATTTCCTCATTCAGTGCTCACAGCCAGCTCTAGGGACAGGCGCCAGCTCTAGGGGACAGTGTGATCCCCAGCTTTCAGGTGAAGAAGCTCAAGAAATGTCGAGGGAGTTGAGACATTCGCGCGGTTAGAGCAGAGACAACCCTCCATGCCCGCCATCCTGAGCATCCAACAAGGACTTAAACTGCAACAGTGATCTCACAAGAGCCTTTGTCTGTGGAATTGTATTTCCGTGGATGCCTATTTTCTGTTTCAGGGCTTAGAAGTCTCACTGCACTGCCTATATTTACACACATAGGCAGCAGAACACCCAGCAAGCAGATCTATGAACTCTGACATACTTTGAAACTGGGCTGCTCCGTTGAATCAGCTGAGAACATTTGCCTGTCTTCCTACCTCTGAAGGTGACCTCTTGGCCAACGTTTCAGCACAAGCAACCCAGCTGCGGCCAGTCCCCCAGCCATGATTTTCATGATCCCCTTTTGAAATCTGGCCGTGCCAAAGTGTTAACCTCAGGCTGTAACTCTGTGATTGATTCGGCTGATTTTCAGGGGCTCCTGCACTTAAAGAGGCACAGTTGGCACAATCAGCTGGCAGGGACCTTTACATCCTGGCTCTGAGCGCGTCCTGGGAAAGGCCACCATGGCTCGGGAGCCCTCTGGGTGCAGAGTGATCCCGGGAGCTGCCTGTCTGGGTGAAGACGAGGGCGTGCGTTGTCTAGAATGCTTAATGAACTGCAGCCTTAAAACAGTCTCGTGATAATATTGTCAGGACACAAGTACAGTAGGTGGGCAAATTGCTTCTTGGGGAAAGACCTTTATTATTTTCTGAAATTATGAAAGAAGAAGATATCTTTAGAAATTTGGAACATATAAAATAATACACCTTTTAAAATTACCCATTAAACCTCCTCACCAAGGGATTGCTACTACCATCTCATCTGATTTTCCTTCCAGGATAGACACATATAATGTCTATTTAAATATATGTTGAATACACATAAAATATTTTGTATATAATATATATTAATATACGATTTTCGTAAATTCACAAGTGTTCCGTTTTTGTAGCTTTTCATCTTGCCTTTCTCACTTAGCACCGCAGTGCTCGGCTCCGTCTACGTCTCTGAAACGCTGCCGACTTATAGCCTGGGTCACTATATTTAGTTTAGCACCTCTGCTCTTACAAAAGTGGGTTGTTCCCAGCTTTTCCCTTATTGTAAATTATACTGTGATGACAGTTACATAAATGTGACTTTCTGGTTTCCTTGTGATACTTTTCTTTTTCTAGACGGGGAATTATTGGGTCAAAGCAACGGAAGAGAGTGTTCATGATAAGCGTGGCCAAATTGCTTTCCACGGACGCAGAGCTGACCGACACCTCCACCAGCCACCCACGGACGGGCTGTGCCGCTGCACCGTCACCAACACTAAGCGCCACCACAAAAGTGGACGTGCCGATTTGGTGCGTGAAAACTGGTGTTTTCATTTTTTTATTTTATTAATTTGTGCATCTTGACTCACCCTGAGGCTCCACACGTTCCTAAACCGTACCGGGTGTTCCAAATTTCCTTTCTTGCTTTGACTGTTTATATCCCTTCTATTTGGTTTTCACGTTTTTCTTAAAAATTTCTATGAAAATAATTGGCAATTAATGTTCCAGCCCTTGCATGAATTTTTAAGTGGTATCAATTAAAGAGAAAAAAATATTTGACTGTGTGCTTTCCCAAAGCATCAGACCTTGCATTTCACAGGGACTTATAAAAGGTCAATACTACCTCAAAGTCAGACTTCAATCTGGAGGGACTGCTACCAGAAGGAACAAGGCTTTAGCTATGCTCCACTGTTTGAAATGAGCTAAAATTTTGACTTCTTAAAATGTCAACCTCATAAATTCACTCTGCCAGACAAAATCAGGCGCATTCATTGTTCAACAGATATTCCCTTAGCTACTATGACGGTTTGGACCTTGTCCTTAAATAGCCTGAAATTTAGATGCAAAGATGAAATTTGAAATCCTTTATCTTTTGCCCTCTTTCAATCCCATTTAATCCATTCTTTCCAAATTCAGTCATTTTGGGTGAAAACATATAAAGCACTTACAATGTTAGTGCAGATGAGATCTAGAATCCTGTTTTAGTTTCTGGTGGTTTATTTAATCGATGCTCAGAATAGCTCTTTCACACTAAAATGACTATGTCTGCGTCCCCTGCCTTGAGACCCCTGCCCCGTCCTGAGTGCCTTCCCAGATGCTGAGCCTCCTTCAGACTTGGGCAAGAAGGAGATGGGTGTCGGAGATAAAACAGGAGCAGCTCTGGGAGTCCATTGGAGATAATGGGGGTTCATTTCTGGCAAAAGAACAGGATTGAAGAGACCTGAGCCCCATGTATCCTAACTTGAGGCCACAAGGGCTGACCCCTCCCCTCTGTTACGGCAGAGCCCATCGAGCCCCCCTTCTCCAAGGGGCAAGTAGAATCTGCCCACACGCCGAGGCTCTAGGGTAAGCATACCTAGCCTGATGGCTTCGCTCAGCTACAGGAAAGCTAGTCACCTTAAGCCTCAATTCCCTGATCTGTAAAATGTAAACAACAATAGAGCCATATTGTGATGTACGAAGGACTGTGTGTAGCTTAGCACGCAGTACAGAACAGGCCCCGGTAAAGGCCATCTGCTCTACTCGGCGCCTCTCCATGGGGCTACGGCAAGGCTTGCTGCCTACGAGCAGAATGGAGGGTGCCGAGTTCTCCTAGAGACAAATCTGTTCTGACTATAACAGCCAGAAAGTTAACCAGGTCCGAATTGAGGTCCTGTTTTGTCAGAACACCGTGGGGCCCCCCAATATCCCCTTTCTGGGTGTGGGCTTGGGGAAATGGGTACAAGACATACGGGGCTTTGGAAAGGGCTGCAGGGAAAGCCCGTCTCACAAACCCAGGCTTGTGGGGATGGGCCAGGGAGGGACCTCGGAAGCTATAAGGTGCCCCCTAAGGCAGGGCACCACTAACAGCGATCAAGGCAGGTGTAAACTTCACAAGAGAGGCTTCCTAAGTGACAAATTGTGGGCTGAGGCATGCCGGGTGGAAGCAGGCCCATCACTCTGCCAGGCAGAAAACAAAGGCCTGTGCCACAGCCTCCTGGAGGGCCCTCGGGAGGCTGTAACCCCTTCACACCTTATTGCTGGGAAGTGACTTTGCGATTTGACACATTAAAAACAAGTTGAGGCGAGGCTCCTCTCCAGTGAGTTGGAACCTCCGAGTGACAGGCCTCCCTTCCCAGCTCGGGCCCCTCCTGCTGGCGCTGGCTCAGACAGGAGCCTTCCAGAAGGAAGGGGGTGGGGAGGCAGGTGCCAGCTCCCGAGCTGCGTGTTCCTAAGCTCCCTGCACTGTGGGAAGGGACTGGGGAAGGTGTTTAAATGAAGCACTTGATACTCCTCAAATAATAATGGTAATAATAATGCAGCCTTTCTACTCTGGATTCTCATTCATCCTGGGGACCAGCAGGGGACCAGCCCCCCTCCATCCCCCCAGCCCAAACCTCTGTCCAGCCCCTCTTTGGCTCCTGCCCAGCCCTGCTCAGCTCTGCCCAGGCCCCGCCCTGCCCAACCCCTGCCAAACCCCTGTCCAGCTCAGCCTAGCCTTGCCAAGCCCCTGCCCAGCCCTGCCCTGCCCAGCCCAAACCCCTGTCCAGCCCCTGCCCAACCCTGCTCAAGCCCCTGCCCAGCCCAGCCCAGCCCTGCCCTGCCCAGCCCAGCCCAGCCCAGCCCAGCCCAGCCCAGCCCTGCCCGGCCCCTGCCCGGCCCCTGTCTGCCAGGAGTGCAGCACTGGCTGGAGCCAGCGTGTACACGAGTGGCCAGCAGAGGGCGCACTGCCTGGGCGCCGCCGTCCGCTGCCTGCCGCCCGCCATGGCTTGACCCAGACTCGGGTCAGATCCTGACCCTGACCCGGCCCGGCCCGCGGAGAGAAGAGCACTGCGCCTGCGCGGCATCGGGGCCGGGCTGGAGGGACGCTGGCGGCGGAGGTGCGGCCCCGGGCGGGCGCGGCGATCGATGCCCAAGTCAAATGCGTTTGTGCCACCTGTTGGCTCCGGGCCCGCACTGCACGCGCCGGGAGGTGGCTGTGCGGCGGCCGTCGCGGGCCGTGGTCCCCACCGGACCTCCCAGGGGCGGTACCTGGAGGGAGGGTGCAGAGGGGTTCGGGGCAGCCTCGCCAGGGAGAGGGAGACGCCAGCACCGCGGAACAGGCTGCGGGGCCGCCTCGATCAAGTGCCATCCCATAGTGAAGACAAGGTTCCAAACGGCAAAGACACTGACTCGTCTGTAAAGAGGAAACGCCTGGGCAAATGCCGCTTTTCAACAGTGCAGTGTTTTAACTTATTTTTAATCTAATATTGTGAAAAATCTAATAAATTGATTCGTTTTTGGGATTTTTTTCCAAATTCAAAATTTGACTAATGCGCATTATTTTCACTAGGAAAAAAGTTACTGTTATAAACGTGTCTCATTTTTCTACACATATTTTTACTTTCTTTTTAGTGAGTGCTTCTTTTAAACTACATGTACACTACCAGACATATGTGTAAGCCACATGAGTTGGAAATAAACATAAAGAAATACATGGGGTTTAGATTTACAAACAGTATCTTTGACCGGGCGCGGTGGCTCACGCCTGTAATCCCAGCACTTTGGGAGGCCGCGGCCGCGGCGGGCGGATCACTTGAGGTCAGGAGTTCGAGACCGGCCTGGCCAACACGGTGAAACCCCATCTCTACTAAAATACAAAAATTAGCCAGGCGTCGTGGTGAGCACCGGTAATCACAGCTACTCTGGAGGCTGAGGCAGGAGAATCGCTTGAACCCGGGAGGGGGAGGTTGCAGTGAGCAGAGATTGCACCATTACACTCAAGCCTGAGAGACAGAGCAAGACTCCATCTCAAAAAGAGACGAGAGATGGGAGAGGGGAGAGAGGAGGGGAGAGGAGGAAGATTTACAAACAATATTTTTATAACCAATTTGACCAGATGTCATATTTTCCACAGATATTTTGGCTTGTTTGGTACATGTTTGTGGGCACACAGAATTTGGTCTCATCTGGGCCTCGTGAATACCTGGAAAGGTGACTGGGAAAGATGAGGCTGTGTTCACACGTTAGTGCATGCATTCCAATCAAAACAGAAAGCCGGGCTCTTGAGAGAATGTACTGAAATAAGCTGGGTATTAACTGTTCCCATATCACAGCTATGTCATATGTGATCTGTGTAACTCGGGGGTTTTGGCATTCATTTCTTCAGGAAACAAATACTTTACCATGAATTGTAAGCACCACAAAAAAAAAAAAACATGAAAAAGGCTCTACGTATAGCTGTTGACACCCTAATAATAGAAATGAAAGGCATATGCTTTTAAATGTGTAAATACAAAAAAAGGAGGCAGAGCTTGACGCCAAAGCGCACCCTTCACTGCCAGGGAAAACCAGCTTTGTCCTGATTCGCCCCTCTCTTCTGCTTAGCCTCAGCGTGAACCATTTCCTTACCTTGCCGTTAGTAAATAAAGAGGATTTGCGTTGCAAAGGGTCAGCTATTTTACCATGGTCAGCAAATATTATCCAGTCCTTCTTGCTTATTGGTACACATTTTGTTTACACAACATTATATGCATAAGTTAAATATATTTAGCCCTTTCCTTTAATATGAAATGTTTCAATTATAACTTACAATAATCTAGCAAGGGAGACTGCATAAATGTGAGGAGTGGAGAAAAGCAAGAGGAATTCTGCTGTTTGTGTGTGTGTATATAAAATACACATAAAATGCACACATGTATACATATATATGGTGTATATGTACATATACATACGTATGTGTATATGTATATATATTATAACTAGGGCTGTTAGAAGAATATATATTCTATTAATATATCTTACACATTTATAAATAATATTATGTATATAAAATTAAGGTATAAGAAGAGTAGCCAGTGTTGGACTGAATGAGATAGAGAGTAAGGAAATGGAAACACTCGTTTTTTATTAACAGGACCTCCACATGGGATCCAAATTCAGCGACTTAAGTAGATCCTAAAGATTATATCAGGTTTTAAATATCAGGAATAATAAATAAATATGGCATTTTTAATAGCAACTCCCGCCCCGCTAACAGATGAAGGGGATAAGGCATTCCCTAGTCATCCTAACAGTGCAACTCCCATTAGTAGTAGCTAATATTATTATTGCACGAAAAGGCAGTTTCCTAGAACAGTGTGGGGAGAGCAGATGAAAACTTCATCCTATAGCCTGGGGTTTTTAATATTAGGAATAGAGATTTTTTTAAAAAACAGCATGTTTCTGGGCAGATGGAATGCAAGATGACCATGCCAAGTGAACCATCCAAGGCGCCCTGGCTTAGGGGGTTTGTTTTGTTTTGTTTTGTTGTTTCATAGCACTATGGATAGCAACACTGCAACGCAAGGGAAGGACAGATTAAGATTTTCGCTTACCCAAAGGCAAATAGAGAAGCTCCTTTCTCTACCACAGCCCAAAAATTGTGCAAAGAAAGAGCGTTATTCTTTAGGGAAGGCTCTACAGATTAAATGGTGTAAGAAGATATAGTATCTGCTGGGCGCAGTGGCTCACGCCTGTAATCCCAACACTTTGGGAGGCTGAGGCGAGGGATCATGAGGTCAGGAGTTCGAGACCAGCCTGACCAACATGGTGAAACCCTGTCTCTATTAAAAATACAAAAATTAGCCAGGCGTGGTGGCACATGCCTGTAATCCCAGCTACTCAGGAGGCAGAGGCAGGAAAATCACTTGAACTCGGGAGGCGGAGGTTGCAGTGAGCCAAGATCGCACCACTGCACTCCAGCCTGGGCAACAGAGCGAGACTCCATCAAAAAAATAAATAAATGAAAAGATATAATATAATACAGTCCCTTTTCCCATTATTCATTCATTGTTTATTGAAAGTTTCAGGCACCGTACTGGGCACCAGAAGAATAAAGATGACAATGACATGGACAGTGATGGAAATGAATGTGCGAACTGAGAAGAGAGAAACTGGTAGAGGGACATTGATCAAGTATAGTGGAACAGAAGGTGGGGGCAAGATGAAACATCACAAACAACCTCTTAGAACTTTTTTCAAGAACTTTCAAACATATACATTAATTCTTCAGCAAGTGTTTATCAAATGTTTAATATTTACTGAAAACAGTTCTAGGAGCTGAGATCACAACTGCTGCGGGGAAAGTAAAGGGTGTAACCTCCAAGAAATTAGAATTTGGTGGGGAAACTGACACTATCACCCAGTCACACAAATAAATGTAAAATTCTACCTGTGCACCTCAGTTACCCAGTGGAGTAATTTATAGCACGGGGAAAATCATGGCAGATTTCACCTGCTAGAGGAGGTCAGAGAAACCTTTCCTGAGAAAAGCACCACGGAGCTGAGCTGTATAGATAAGTAGGCATGATGAATTAAAGATGACCACAAATTATATCGAGAGTTGTGATCTACTCTCCCTTTGATTTGAAGCTAGTACTAAGGTCTCACTATAACCAAAAATATGTGGGAGAGGTAAGATGACACGCCTTCCAAGGCTAGGCGAGAAAAGGCTGCAGCTCTTGCCTTGGTCTCCAGGTTCACCTGCTCCCAGATGCTTCCACTGAGGTTACTCTTTTTTAGAACTCGGCCATGGTGTTTTGAGTCTCCCAAGCAAGATGGAGCCACCCACAGTGCACGCACTCTGTGGGACAGACAACCTCAGCTCCCAGACAGCAGACAGCACGAACTCAGCTGTGAATGAGCCCCTTGAATATCCAGCCCACCAGAGTTTTAAATGACTGCAGCCCAGCCTGCATCTGACTGCAGCCTCCAAAGCAACTCCCACTGAGAAGCACTCAGCCTAGTCCCTCCAGCCATGCTGGCCTACAGAATCTGCAGCCATAATAAATAGTTGTTTGTCTGTGTCACTAAATATTGAAATGAATTGTTACATATTCATGGGGAACTAGAACAGAATGTGGTACCTAGAAGTGGAATGCTGGCAAAATCATACCTAAAACCTGCAACATTGATTTTGAGCCCAGCAGCCAGTCACTGAATGTCCTCACTGAATGTCCTCAATGTGGTGGTTGGAAGGGCTTGAATGGAAGCAAGAAAAGTGCTATTGGAGGCTGGAGGTAAGAAACTCTTGCTATACAGAGACAGAAACTCGACGACACTGTGTGTTGTAGTGACACAGGACATGGGAGTACAGCTAACCATGATCTCAATGAGGACACTGCTAGGCAGAATATTCATAGCACTACCTGCCTTCTTCTTGCTGCTTGTAATAAAATGTGGAAGGAGAGAGATAAACTGAAGACCATCTATTTAGTTTTTGAGTAGAGTGTGGATGAAATGACAAGTCAAGAATATTTTTTCCAATGAGAAAAATGCTTGTGAATGAAGGGATGACCTCAGAGCTAAGATCAAATTAAGGTCACTTCCAGTAAACTAGAGCTTCACAGAATTCAGGGCATGGTAGTAAGAGCCCTCAATAAGATATCAGAAAGGTTCAGGGTACTGTATCCCATACACTCTCCATTAAGCGAAATTCCCGCTGCTTATTTCAGGGCATGTCTGATAGATCCTCTCAGCTACACAACAGTCTAGCTTTAAAGACCTTCAAGGGCATTGTCCCTGTGGTAGCCTCACAGAAGGTCTAAGGGTAGAGAAGGATTTATCTTGAGAAGATTTGTGAATATGGCTTTTGTGTAATGGAATGAATTATAAATTGATACATAAAAATTCATGTAGTTTTTAAAGGAATTAATATACTTAACTGAAGAAGACAGAGGTTGTCAAAATGAAAAGAGGGCTTTGGAGTCCCCCAAATGTCTGGTCAGGATGCAGACCTAGAAAGCTACACAGCTGCAACCGCAGTCCACTTCTTATAGAAAAGGCAGAGCCAGGAGCCCAGACAGGAGAGCCACGAGCCTTGGAGACTCATTCCCAAGGAGCAGGACTGGGCCCTCACTGAAGGGGCAAACACCTGAGCCTGGAAAGATTTCGGAAATGCTATGAACCCGTGGCTGCTGTTGTCCATCATCGTCCTCTTTTTGAATGGACGTGTTTATTGCAGTCTTCCTCACTCAGTGTCACTGTTGCACGTTGGGTGTGAGGGAAGAGATCTACCTAGATCAGAGACCTATGGACTGAGACAAGTGCACTTGAAATGTGGGTTCTGAACTGGGGGCCCCGGGGGAAATGGAAAAACAATCACTAAACAACTAGTCATGGAAAGGTGACGTTGAGAGAGATGATCCTGAAAACTAAATTGTAAAACCACACTGAGGGGAAAATGTCATAAAAGAGAAAGTCAGCAAATGAGAGAATTCACTCCCAAGGAAATGGAAATGATAAAGCAATCTAAAGAGAACTTTAAAATTAGTATGTTTAATACCAAAAAGAAAAAAAAATAGGAGGAGGAGGAGAAGGAAGAAAAAGAGTAGAAAACATAGCAGAAAGTTTATAACACAAAAAGGGCCACCATAAATCAAGGACATCTGGATTTAAAAATAACTAGCTTAAAATGCTGAAAGGGAAAACATAAGTAGCTCACTGGATAAGCAAATTTGAAAAGAGAAAAGAGAGAATTTAGCATAAGCATATTAGAAATTTAGAAATTTCTAAATTTAGAGAGAATTTAGTGTAAGAACTTAGAAATTTTCTGTGAAAGGAAGAAAAATGGGATAGAAAAAGAGATGTAGGCATATGGTGGATCTAAGAATCATTCCTTCATACCATCACTACGGGACAGATGGGAGCATGATGGGAAAGATACAACCAGGAGCGATGGGCTGAATATTCTAGAACAAAAAGATGTCATCCACAGTGTGAGGCTCCTGAATAAATGAGGGTGGGATCCAAAATTAGGTGGAGAGACCGTGCTTCTCCAGGGAAGGGATGGCTCCTCTGTGGTAACGGGCAAAGCAGTGGGTGGTGCAATTGTCTGGTGTTAAGGATGGGGCTCTCAGCGGGGGCCTCTGTAATCTCTAGCAGCAGGAGATGCATGAATGCTGTGGGGAGGTTTGAAGAGTGTGAAAGCTAGAAACAGCCATTGCTGTAAGGGGAGCGAGGGGTCACAAGGACAGGGTGGCAGGCATTTTGGGAAATACACATGACACATGAAATGCACGATGTTTGCTAAAGGGACCATATACTACTTTTGTTTTGATGTAAACAGTAAGAATTGTTAGATCTTCACTGGTTACCTTGGTATCAGTGCCTGGCAATCATTTTGCTATCAGACAGCAAGGATAAAGCACAACCCAAAACACGTTTGTGAAGAGCCCTTTTTAGAAATCAATAATGCCATTCATTTTGCTTTCACTAATGAAAGGGCAGCAAACCACAAAAATAAGGGGAGGGAAGGAGATGTGACCCTCACAGGGGAGGCATCTGGAAACAAAACTGCAAAAGGCATCATCATGTTCACTCACAACCCTTCTGTCATTTGGGAAACTGTACAATAAGGCAGGAAACAAGGCAAGTGCCCGATACTAGGGGTCCCATCTGGCAACGATTACAGAGCACAAAGAACACAGGCCCAACCTTCTCCTCTTCCCAAAAAGGGGCTACATCTCAGCGGTGAGGTGGCTCTCCGAGGGCCACAAACTGCCACGTGCAGAGCAAGTCTCCTGCCCCGATGCCAGGGGCTCAGGCATGTGTTTCCACAGCCCTTACTCACTGCCCACAAGGCTTCTCCAGGGCTGGGACACAAGCGCTGAGGCCTGTCACCCCAACCCCAGCCCCATGAGAGGAAAGATTCACAGACACCACCATCACAGATGCAGACACCAGCGAGCTGGTGGTCCTGGCCTCAGGGTCTCTCCACAGGGCACCAGCCGTGCTGGGAGCTGCACTGGCCGCGTGCTGCCTCAGGTGTGAACCACCATCAGACCTCTTATCGATGCAGCAACGGTTTTCTGAAGACACACGTACGGGACTTTTCCCAAAACTTTTCTTGTACTTTTCTTCTCCTATTCATGATATTTTATCCCACCCTTCATGACCGGCCGTAGAGCTAAGCTAAGACATGCTGGTTAAATGTGCTGTGGCATCTTGGACAGAATCTTGAAACAGAAGAAAGACAGTAAGCCAATAAGAAAATCTGAATAAAATATGGACTTGAATTAATAATAATGTGTCACTATTAGTTCACTGAGTATAACAGGTGTATTGTTCTAATAGAAAACAGGACTCACTATACTGCTGCCATAATTTTTCTATAAATCTAAAGTGTTCTAAAGAGTAGTTTATTTTAAAAACAATAATAACCAGTTATGGTACTATACACAAAGCAACAGCTCGGAAGCAGAGATGGGAACTTCTTGGGAAAGCAATTAGACAAAACTTATCTGAATTCTTGGTTATATTTCTGTCTTTCCAACAACAACAAAAAATTCATATTTTAGTTATCTAGTCTAAGAAATGTTCAGAAGCCCAGAAAACTTTTATGGACAAAGGCGCTATTGAAACAAAATTTATAGTAGTAAAAAAATGCAAAAAGTAGGAGATTGTGGTGGATCCATAAGTGGGAACAGAATGCTATGAATCAGGCATAAGATGAATCTGAAAGACAGAAGAAAACATTGACCATATGATCACAGTACCTTAAGGAAATGCATTAGCATAGTGGCAGCAGTTACCTTTGGACAGTGAGGGACAGTAAGTCAGGTTTTCAGTTTCATCTTTGTTTCCAAATGTTTTATATTGTGGAGATATTACTTCTGAAATAAGGGAAACATACACATATAGGAAAAGAATGGGTTTCAAATGAAAACATTAACACTTGTTTTTCTATCTCTAAATATTAAAAATAACAATAAAAGTTTTGTTTTCTACAATTTTAAAAATTCAGATGCAAAATCAATAAGAAGATCATTATTTTTACATAAGCTTCTGTTTTAAAATAGTTTTTCCTACAACTCTGTGTGACAATGGAAAGAGGGCCAAGGCTCTATTGCTGAATAATCTGAACCAGAATTACCCTCCTGGTGCAAACTAGAGACTTCAGATTGTACCCTGATGCGATGAACAGTTGATTCAGCTCCCTCAGTTCTCCACCTGTAGATCTGGAGAATGCACTTGTGCATAACTTTGCATGCAACAATAAATTATGCATCCAGCACTCAGATGATTAAGTGACAGGAGTGTGTCACCTGTAGGCAGAGCCGGCAGTCACAAAGCACACAGTAGCAGCTCTTTTGAGCAGGAACGTTCTCAGGAACACTGAGGTCATCCTGTGTCTAAAATATGCCATGAGATTCTTCACACGTGCCTTGAGACTGCTGGAGATGAATGATAAGAACTTCGGCTTGATGACTTGTTTCCAGGGCAACACTTCTAGTCATGCCACATTCTCCAAGAAATGAGAGTGAGAACTGAAGAGTTTTGAGACGCCAACATAACTGTGCATACTCTGTGTCTTGGTTTTTTTAAAACATTGCACCACATTTCCAGAAGTCTTGAATAAAATTGGACTCCCCAGAGAAATATTGTCAAAAAGTTATAAAATGCTTCTGAGTAAACAATAATGCATCAGTGTTTCTGCCCAACGCTCTACTCTGGCGCCAATACTAACTAAGAAATACTAACACATATTTTTTAACTCAAATTTTATTCTAAGTTGGTGGGTTTCCTAGAATGGTGGAGGAAGACACTTAATAAATTTCCTTCCAAAACAATAACAAAACTGGACAAAATTGTCAAATACAATATTGCAGAACTCTGGAAATCAAATAGAAGCATTTCAATAATTGGGAAGCATGTATCGCACACACACACACACACACACACACAAAATCGACTAAACCTCAGGTAAAAGCATTGTAAACTGGTGTTTTCATAGAAGCTGTTTTTGCTCTGCCCACCCCAGATTCAACCATGTGGTGGTCCTCCCTAGGCTGGGCAGGCAGTGCAAACTGGCAACTTGGCTGCCAGAGGGGGCTGACTGGATATGATGTGGGGTGTGGTGTTTAATAGAATAGCAATCCCTGTGGCAAAAATATATATATATATATACACCCAAAGGCAAACATTGCAGCAAGCTACGTTAACTGACTGGCTTTAAAATGCATTACCCAACCCACACGTGGATTTATTGGCAAAAGGCAGAAGCTTTATTAGCTCAAGATGTTTTAGCACAACCATTGGCCAAACATTGTATGACTAAGCTAGGCTGACCACAAGTGGTCCCTGCAAAACTAGGCTTAAATATAAATGCAAGAATAAAAAGTGGGTGGGGGGAACCGAACAGAGATATGAGTGATCACACACTGCAGGAGAAAAGGAATTTACAAAGTTAGTCCAGGCAAGTCACTGAACACACAATAAGCAAAACTTGCAACCACAACCCCGCAGGGAAAGGGAGTTGTGATCTGGAGTTGCTATAATATATGACCTAAAATGTCAAGGTTTAAAGAAACATTGTTAAGACACGCAATGAAACAGGACAGTGTGATTCTCACATAAGAAAAAACAGTCAATAGAAACTCTCTGAGAAGACCCAGATGTTGAACCTGGCAAACAAAAACCTAAAAAAAAACTATTATAAATATGTTCAAAACATTGAGAAAACCATGTTTAAAGAATTTTTTTAAATATAGTGATAATGACTCATCAACCCGAGAATATCAAAGAGATAGAAATTATTTTTTAATCCAGTGGACTTTTTGCAGTTAATAAGCACAATAATAAAAATGAAAAATCAAACAAAAAAAGATTTGGACTGACCAAATAAGAAATCAGTGAACGTGAAGACAAATTGAAAGAAAGTGTTTAATTTGGAAAAGCAAAAGAGAGAAAGAGTAAATAAAAATAAACAGAGCCTTAGAGACCCACTGAACACCAAGAAGTATCAAATTTATGTTTAACGGGAATATCAGAATAGCTAGAGATCATGTGGCAAAAGGATATTTGAAGAAATAACTGAAAACTTCCAACTTTGATGAAGAATCTGCACACTCAAGACGCTTAACAAATCCTAAAGATAAGCAGAAAGAGACAGACAGACACATCATAGTCAAATTGTTGAAAAACAAATAACATGAGAAAATCACGGAGGCAGCAAGAGAAACAAGCAAACAAAACTACTCAGCACATATATTAGGCCATTCTCGAATGGTTATAAAGAAATACCTGAGACCTGCTAATTTATAAGGAAGAGGTTTAATTGGCTCACAGTTCTGCAGGCTGTACAGAAAGCATGGTGCTGGCATCTGCTCAGCTTCTGGGAAGGCCTCAGAAAGCTTGCAATCATGGCAGAAGGCAAAGGGGGAGCAGGTGCGTCACACGGCAAAAGCAAGAGCAAGTGAGAGACTGGACGGGAGGTGCTACATTCCTTTAAATGACCAGATCTCAGGAGAACTCACTCACTATTGCAAATTCAGCACCAAGCCATGAGGGATCCGCCCTCATGACCCAGACACTTCCCATCAGGCCCCACCTCCAACATTAGGGATTACAATTTCACATGAGATTTGGGCAGGGACAGGTATCCAAACTCTATGACCATATATAAGGTAACCATCATAAATTAATAGCAGACATCTCATAACAAAGAATGTATACAAGAAGGTATTGGGATGACATATTAACAGTTCCAAAAGAAAGAAAGAAAACTATCAGTAAAGAATTCTATAGTCAGCAAAAATATATTTCAAAGGTGAAAGCAAAAATTTTAAAAAAGACTTTTCCAGATAAACAAATATTGAGACAGTTTGCTGACAGTGTGTCTGGAATTGGTTCCTTCCTGTGGGTTCTTGGTCTCGCTGACTTCAAGAATGAAGCCGTGGACCCTGGCTGTGAGTGTTACAGTTCTTAAAGATGGTGTGTCCAGAGTTTGTTCCTTCAGATGTTCAGATGTGTCCGGAGTTTCTTCCTTCTGGTGGGTTCGTGGTCTCACTGACTTCAGAAGTGAAGCCGCAGCCCTCCACAGTGAGTGTTACAGCTCATAAAGATAGTGCGGACCCAAAGAGTGAGCAGCAGCAGCAAGATTTATTGTAAAGAGCCAAAGAACAAAGCTTCCATAGCAGAGAAGGGGACTCGACCGGGTCGCCCCTGCTTGCTAGGGTGGCCAGCTTTTATTCCATTATTTGGCCCCACCAACATCCTGCTGATTGGTCCATTTTACAGAGTGCTGATATGTCCATTTTACAGAGTGCTGATTGGTCCGTTTTTACAGAGTGCTGATTGGTGCGTTTACAAACTTTTAGCTAGACACAGAGCACTGATTGGTGTGTTTACAATCCTTTAGCTAGACAGAAAAGTTCTCCAAGTCCCTACCCGACCCAGAAACCCAGCCTCTCAATAGCCTACCTATCCTACAAGAAATACTAAAGGAAATCATTCAGATAGAAAAAAAATGACACCAAATGGCAACTCAAATGCCCATGAAGAAATAATGAGCAATGTTAAAGTTCTTATGCAGGTAAACATAAAGACAGTATAAACATTTTTGCATTGTTCTTTGAAGTTATTTAAAATGCAATATAAATGCTTATATATACATGTAATATTCATGACAATGACAGCATAAAGGAGGGAAAGGATAAAACTGTATTGGAGCAAAGTGTTTCTATTTTGCCAGAATTAAGTGAGTATTAACATAAAATAAACTATGATAAGTAAATGTGTATACTCTAATCCCTAGAGCAATATTTCCCAAGAGAATAACATTTAAAAAGGAATAAAATGGTACATTAGAAAATTGCTATTGAACATAAAAGAAAGTAAAGAAAGAATGGGCAAACAAAAAAGACATAAGATAAAACTAGCATCAAGATGGTAGAAATAAATTCAGCCATCTTATGGTGGAAATAAATTCAGCCATTACTTATACTAATAAATCCATTAACTATAAATGCATTAAAAACTCCAATCCAAAATTAAAGATGGTTTAAATGAATTTAAAACAAAACAACCAGAAAAAAATCAAATGGTATGCAAGAAACACACTTTAGTTTCAGACACAAAATCGTTTAAAAGCAAATGATGAAAAAACATATACCATGCAAGCAGTAATCGTGCAAGAGCTATAGTAGCCATACTGATATCAGACAAAGTAAATTTTAAGACAAAACACATTACTAAAACTTAATAAGGATTTTTATAATTACAAAAAAGTCAATTTACCAGCAAAATATAATTGTAAATATATACCCACCTAATAACAGAGTGTCAAAGTACATGAAATATTTTTACAATGAAGCAAAACTAATAAAACTGGAGAAAGAAATAGACAATTGCACAATGATAGTTGGGCACTTTAATATCCCACTCTGAATAACTGATGGAAAACCAGATGAAAAAGTAGCCAGGATACAGAAGATTTGAACAACACTATTAACCAACTTGACCCAACTAATATCTAGGGACCATTCTCAACAACAGCAGAATATATCATCTTTTCAAGTGCATGTAGACTGTCCTTCAGTATAACCATGTGAAAAGCCATAAAACAACTCAGCAGTTAAGTCGTCAGTCAAATTAGGAGACAATTATGCACTGGATTATATTTGTGACCATAGTCTAAGGATTTAAAAGCTAAAGTGAAACCAGAAAAATAATTAAACCAGAAAAATCTCAAGCTTACCAGCTTTTACTTGCTCAAATTTGTTCCAGTCATTTAAAATGAATAAATTCGAAACAGAGGAAAAGTTTTTGAATGTTAGAAACAGTACTATTAACAATTGAATTGCCAATTCGGCTACGATTTCTGATTAATCCACTTTATGCTAAAAGGCATTACAGCTTATGATGAAACATAGAGTAAATGTAAATTAAGATTATGGTCAACTGTTTCAACAATGAAAGGCTGACTTTTAGTGCCAGTAAGCAAGAAAAAAGAAAGAAGGGAAGGAAACAACACAAGCCCAGAAAACCGTTTTGCAATATTCGTTCTGTAAATGGTGAGTGCCTGGACAACGTTGGACTTGCTACCCAGGAGGGTGCCATTAGGCTTTGCCACATCTTTAAAAGATTATTAATTTTCAGGTAACATGTTAACACCCCCAACAACAAAAACAAACCAGTTCCAGATTTGTGTTTCCAGTGTGGTTCCTAGCACACTGGGTGGCTTCCTGTGGAGTCAGCACTGCTGTAAAAAACCATCTCCTCCTAGCTGAGGGAAGCACCGCCCTTCAGCAAGCCTTTAAAAAACCATCTCCTCCTAGCTGAGGGAAGCGTCACCCTTCAGCTAGCCTTTAAGCCTTACCTAATATATAGCTAGCTCTAAGATGACACAAGCCTCAGATGGACTGACAGGGTAGTCTAGACAGATAATCCCAAATTGTTTTCCTAATATTTAAATTCCCAACAGAAGACAAACGAAACAAAACCTACTAGTAAAAAGGTGATTGCAAAACCAAGTCAAAAGTAGCCTTTGTGAAACTCCCCCTGGCTCCCGCTGTGCTCCGTGGCCTCATTCTCAGGAAGGCACAAGCGTCCTCCGAAGCTTCCTCTGTTTTGGCGTCCTGCTCAGAACCGCTCTGCTCCTATCCACATCCACAATGACTCTCACCCACCTTTTCCAAGAGCGCCAATTTATCAAGTTCAGACTCCAACTTGACGGTGCACCCACCTGTCATAAACATCGATAGCTATCACCACATATCCAATTCCACCTTGCTGATTACACCATTGATTCCCAGGCATTGCAATGCCTGGATCGGTGGACATCTGCTCTAGGACACCTTTATGGGGAGACTTAAGGTTTAACTTAAAGTACGGTTTAACTTAGAGTTATATCTGGACCCCTTATTTTTCATGAAACATGCTTATAAAGAAGTCTGTGAAGGTTGAAATAATTCACAAATGTCATGTTTTTAAATATTTATATGTAGTTTTTTATGATTGCATGTGTAATCTCTCTGTGTAATGTTGTGTTGCTGAAATCTTACATTAATTAGGAGTACTGTCTAAAGGCATAGCATTATGAGCCTTTCTTTAATAAAAAGTTATTTTGAAAAGTAGACAATTACACGTTGAAAAATACTGTATTTGCTTCATTTGAGGTAGATAATCTGAACAAAATTAGTATATTTTATCTTCATGTTTCAGTATAATTGCATATAAGAAAAAAGAAAATCAAGGTTAAAGTCCAGATAGTGTTATTATACAATTATTAATCCAATCCCATTTTTAATTTCTATATACTTACAGAAGTTCTACGGAAATTACTAGGGCAATCTGTTAAGAGCTGTGTTATTTTCATATATGTTTAAGCAGTTTTCTGCACAGTGGCCTTAAAATAATTAGCAATTTCACTGTTTTATTTTATAGCATTCACAAAATTATTTAACTTTTTTCTGTTTGTTTTCTCATTTTATAAAATCAGATGAATCTGCCCAAAACAAAGTGTGCCTTACAAAGATACATTTTTTGAAATTCCAAATCTATCTGTAATCAAAATAAGTGTAAATGGATCAAATTCAGCAGCTTGAAGGCTCAGCAATGTCTTCTTTACAACAGATATGTATAAAATATAAAATTGCAGAAAGATAACAAGCAAAAAATTGCAAAGTTTTATCAAGCAAATACTTAAAAAAAACCAGTGTAGTTATATTTATACCAAGCAAAATATAGTTTAAACCAAAAAGCACTACAGAGGATAAAGAGTGATAATATATAATGATGAAGATAGCAATTAATCAAGAAAATATAATAGGCATAACCTTATATGTACCTAATAAGATAGTCCCAAAATAAAGGAAACAACAAAAAAAATAGAATTTAAAGAGAAAGAAGAAGTCTGCAATTGTAGTGGGAGATTTAAATATGCATCCTTAATGTCATATTTCAAATCAGACAAGACTATGTGGTCTCTGATAAAAACGGCTTGAAAGAGGAAAATACTATACACGTAAAGTACTGTTATTAGCATTAATAATGGCATGTAAGAGGTGAAACATTAATTACTTTCTTAGAAATAACAGTCCGGGTTTCATGTCGATATATTCCAATGAAGTGGATTCCACTTATTTTCTGTGACATTTGTAATAACCAGGATGGTTTTGGCTGCTTATTTTAGGTGAGTGCCTCTCTTAAATCACTGCCCCAGCAGACGTGTCTCCTGCTTACCTGGAAACAGGTAAAACTGGGGCAGCTGCAAACGCCAGCTGCTCTTAGTCAGACTCGTTTTTCTATGCATTTATGAATTTGGAAGCTGTTCAAGGAAACATTTTTGGTTCATTTTAAAATATACACATAACTTGTTTCTCACTAGCCAGGAATGTTTCTTTCTGGCCAATGTCTGCATCTTGCCCATTAGTGTATAATGTCTCCACCCTTGAGGGGTGTAGGTGAGACTGAGGAACTTCCACCTAGGGAGATAAAGGTGTAGACAGCATTCAGATCAAGACACCTGCTGAAGGGAAAGTACATATTTTCTGGACACTCTAAGATTCTGAGGGGCCTGAACTGGACATCAGTTTGTCTGAAAACAGAAAAATACAGATTTGCTTCCTTTGGGAAACAGCAAGGATTTGCAAAAGGTCGGGGAGCAAAAGACCATTTGGATCCACAGAGGTGGGAGGAATGAGGCTGAATTCTGACTGCGATATGCAGCACCAGCTGCTATGCAGGACGGGCATCTGATAAAGAAACTCAGAAAGGGCCACAAAATCCCATCTCCTGTCTTCATCAATATTACCATAGCAATGAAGCCCATATTCAACAGACCCACAGCAATGGGACCAGCACCTCAACAGTCCCACAGCAATGGAGCCAGCACCCCAAAAATCCCACACCAATGAGACCAGCACTTCAACAGTCCCACAGCAATGGAGCCAGCCCCTCAACAGGCCCACACCAACGGGACCAGCACTTCAACAGTCCTACAACAATAAAGCCAGCACTTCACCATTCCCACAGTAGGAGCCAGGGCATCACCATTTCCACAGCTGGTGAGCCAGCACCAGTCATTGTCTTCCCCAGTGTTGATGCTTAGTAAACCTGGCTAGCGTCAGGATGGGCCACTGACCTGTGTGGCTTTGGGTCCAGGTATGTGGCTTCGGGTCCAGGCATGTGTTCCCAGCAGTGCCATGTGGGGCTGCTCCAGACCTCCCCATTGCTGCAAGTTCTGATTTTTCTTCCACCGTCCTGTTCATCTCAGTCATCCTCTCTTCGCTGCTTATTGATCTAATTCTGTTCCAGTACCAGTGTATTTATGTGGCACAAAACTAGCTGTTTTTGGATGAGTTTATGTAGTCTCACTAAGTAACCCAAAAGACCAAATAATAAACAAAATTAAAATACCCAGACCTCGCTTCATCATATTTAAAAACACTCAAACAAGTAAAATCAGTCCAACTGACCAGCTCAGCTTCCACCCCCAGATTAACCTGTCATGTTCATGGCAACAAAATACACCGACAGGTGTGAGTAGCCATCCCACAGCAGGAGGTGAGACGCTCCAAGGAAAAAGGTTGGCATTCCCCAAAAGTGGAGATTATCCTAGCATTTCCCAAAGGCAGGATCAAACTAAGAAGTTATCAGGAATATCCCAAGGGGAGCCGGGGCGGGAGGGTTTACCACCGGAGACGCTGGGGATCAGCAGAACTGGTTTGGGTTTTGGCTCCGTCTTTTACTTAAGCATATGACTTAACATCTGTGTTAGGGGGAGGCAAGGGGTAGGGATGCCTCAGGACAGGAGGGTCCACAGGCACCCATGGAGACGAAGGTGTTGGTCTGCCTTTGTCAAGGCAGCAGCTGGAGGCTCGCTCTGCAGGGAGCGCCCCCTACCCGAGCTACCTGGTCCTGTTGCATCCTCACGGACCCATAAGAGGAGCAATTCCCCTCAGCAAAAGAGGCTGTGAGGATCGCATGCCCACATTTCAGACACAGGAGATGCCCGGCAAACAAACCCCGATACAGCTGCTGCCACCAGCTTCAGGGGTGCTAGTTTAGGGGACCAGCCACCAGCAAGGAGGGCCTAGGGAGAGCCATGGTGGGCTTGGTGCTTGCCTGGTTGGGGCACTGGCCTCTGGGCTGTGTGGTGATGGTGACCAGATGTGGGGAAATGGACTTGGAGCCCTCAGGGTGTCCCCACAGAGCCCAGGGGGTACACACAGACTGAGGAGCCTCCGAGGAAGAGTCAAGGGCAGGAACCCCAGAAATGCCAAACCTTCAGGGGCAGTAGAAGAGCAGGAACAAGTGAAGGACCCTGGAGGGGTGGGAAAAGCCCCTGGAGAAGCAGGTGGCGGAGGGAGCACAAGGCAGAGAGCAGCCAGCTGGCTAAGACTCAGAAACGCAGGCAGGGCCATGCGGGCACAGAGGCCAGGAGGCCGCCAGGTTCCAAAGGAGACAGTCACTGGGGTTCAGTGACTGAGGGGCTGGAAAGGCAGAGGGCAGAGGGCACCTGGGAGGTGGAGGCCAAGAGTGTGTGTTGCGTTTTTACAGCTGTGCACAGAAGAGACTGGAAAGATACCCAACAGACTGTGACCAGCACACAAGGTGGGCTAGAGATTTGTGGTACTTCTCTGTATTTTGAAAATTTTTAGGGGGTACACTTAACTTTAGAATCAATAAAATAATGTTGTTAAGTGCACGATGGAGGTAGCTTTGAACAACCGGAAGGAAGTGGAGAACCGGTGTTCAGGTGGGCGCCGAGGCAGCCTCAGATCAGGAAGGAGCTCCTGAGGTGCAGGTGCCCGGTGGATGGTTCGGCTCCCCATCTTCAACGGCCTGAGGCCACACGGCCTCTCTGCACGGCGAGCATGGACCTGTCTTTCTGTCTGTCAACCACCAGATGAGTGTGTTGTCTGACATTTCTAGTGGCTGACTGGCTCATGAAAAAAAATTTTTTTTTTTTTGTAAATCCAAGTGGCTTTACAAAGCAGAAATTCTGGTAGATTGTTTTCATGATTGCTTAAATTGGATAAAGTTGCATAAAATCATCTTCCAGAAAGCAGCAGGCTCCCCAGTGACCTGCCACCCAAGCCAAAGCTCACACAAGGACTGATTCCTGCAGCACCAAGAACAATCATGCATTTGTGTTTTATTCTGTTTTTAAGACAACCTATTGAAAGTAATTTTGGGACATGTTGCTGATTACCAATGTATGCTTTGGTATTATTTTTGCAGTATGTGTGTATTTGTCTGTTCTCATGCTGCTAATAAAAACATACCCAAGACTGGGTAATTTATAAAGGAAAGAGGTTTAATGGACTCACAGTTCCACATGGCTGAGGACACCTCACAATCATGGTGGAAGGCGAAAGAGGAGTAAAGGCACGTCTTATATGGCAGCAGGCAAGAGAGCGTGTGCAGGGGAATTGCCCTTTATAAAACCATCAGATCTCATGAGACTTTCACTATCACGAGAACAGCATGGGAAAGATCCACCCTGTGATTCAGTGACCTCCCGCTGGATCCCTCCCACGACATGTGGGAATCATGGGAGCTACAACTCAAGATGAGATTTCAGTGCGGACACAGCCAAACCATATCAATGTTTATACTATGAACATGGACACGATGTTTCTCACGAAAGCAACCTGGAGAGAACCAAACTCGTTTGATAGGTCATACGGCAAGCCAGGGTAAAGTGAACAGAAAGCATCTCCTTGAATTCTTACCAAGTGATTGTCTAATCTTGAGGGGACGCTTGCAGGGACCGCCACAGCCGCTGGAAAGCTGAGATGTCATGCCCAGCTGCTCCCACCTCTCCCGACACTGCACTCTCCGTCCTGTGTGAGGCTGACAGCAACCATACCTGAGGGGCTGCCAGGGGCTCCTCGTTTGTGCTCAGTGTGTGCAGCCTGGCAGAGCAGGGTACTACCTGGGCCACGGGAGAGCAGGCCACTCTGTGAGAGGGGCCATGGCTGCTGCTCTGAGCCAGAGATGTGGCTGCAGGCAGAGGCCCCTGGTGACCCAAGAAAGCACCCAGGTGGGCCCACGCTCTCCCTAAGTCTCCAGGTCTCTGCCTGCATCTTCCAAACAGTTACTGATGAAGTTGGGCATGCAGACTGGAGACGCATGTGTCATGCCGGGCACTACGGTGTGTCCAGGAGGGCTGTGATCCTAACCCATGCAGAGCCTCGAGGGAGGGGTGGAGCCTGTGTGGGGCAGGCAGAGCTGCGCTGTGGCAGGAGGCTTGGGTGGGAGTGCTTTGAGAGAGACAGGTAGGGGAGATTGTCTGCGTGTGCATCTAACCCCACCCCAGAGACAATGCTCAAGGAGCGTGGCCCTGAAATCAATGTGAAATCAGCTGACTCTGTCCCCACCTAAGCCAAGCACAGGGCACAGGGCAGAGCCCAGACTTTGGTTCTAATTCCAGCCCTGCTCAGTCCCTGAAGTCCAAAGCCCCAGATAGGTCAACACAACCATAGGCCTCTCTCCTCTTTTCTGCTGACCTCCAGATGCAGTTTGGAGCCAGAGATGGGCAGACAGAGTGGTCAGCATCCTGTAACGCAGCTGTGAAATTCTCCCACCCAGTGAATCCAGCATCCTGTAACGCAGCTGTGAAATTCTCCCACCCAGTGAATCCAGCATCCTGTAACGCAGCTGTGAAATTCTCCCACCCAGTGAATCCAGCATCCTGTAATGCAGCTGTGAAATTCTCCCATCCAGTGAATCCAGCATCCTGTAACGCAGCTGTGGAATTCTCCCATCCAGTGAATCCAGCATCCTGTAACGCAGCTGTGGAATTCTCCCATCCAGTGAATCCAGCATCCTGTAATGCAGCTGTGGAATTCTCCCACCCAGTGAATCCAGCGTCCTGTAATGCAGCTGTGAAATTCTCCCATCCAGTGAATCCAGCCTCCTGTAACGCAGCTGTGAAACTCTCCCACCCAGTGAATCCAGCGTCCTGTAACACAGCTGTGGAATTCTCCCACCCAGTGAATCCAGCGTCCTGTAACGCAGCTGTGAAATTCTCCCACCCAGTGAATCCAGCATCCTGTAATGCAGCTGTGAAATTCTCCCATCCAGTGAATCCAGCATCCTGTAACGCAGCTGTGAAATTCTCCCACCCAGTGAATCCAGCATCCTGTAACGCAGCTGTGGAATTCTCCCACCCAGTGAATCCAGTCATGAATCATCAGGCCAACCGCACCAACTGTCTCCGTGCACTCGCTGATCTCTTCTTGGCTTCGTTCCAAATTTGGTTATAAATTTTTGTGGTACTCCTTCACCCCAAAAAACATTTCTAGGCCTGATTTCCATAGCACCTGCCACCACAGAAAGCACAGAATTGATTGTGTCTCTAAACAAATTCAGAGTTTGGTTTGCATCAGAGGAGGTGAATCTCTGCCACCCGTCCAGAGCGGCATTTAAGGAAAGGTGCGAGACAGCACGCAGTGCTGGACCCGAGCCTCGGAGTCTGCTCTGAAAGCAACTCCATTCTTTGTTGGAGAAAGACGCTCTGCATCCAGACACAAACAGCAACGGAGGTGAGAGGACTGAGGAAGACGCTCCGCATCCAGACACAAACAGCAACGGAGGTGAGAGGACTGAGGCCCTGGCAGACAAGCCGCAAGTGTGTCAGATGATTGACGGGTGTCAGATAGAAGCCTTTGATTTCAAAGTGACGTTGAGGCAATATTCAGAAAGCAAAACCTACTCAAGAAGAATTATATTTTGATGTTTCATAATCATTTCTACGGGGATTGAAGTCACCTTGTCCAAGCACTGTTACCCAAGGGTCCCTCTGGACTGCCTGCGGTTCTGCGGATTTGGGACAATATGCCTCCAAATTCACCAGGAGAGGTTTTCTTTGGTGTCATGAAAACCTCATAAGCATGTCACATCTCTTAAGCATCACTCAGGAGATTTGGAGAAGTTGGCTCCTTGTGACGAAGCCAGTGATAAGGTACAAAAACCTGCAGTTTGTGTTCTGTACAGGAGGGGGCAGTGGAGATGCCATCTTTGCATTTCAGGTCTCCACGATGAGGTTGGGACAAAGGTCTTCAATGTGCCCATTACACAGGTTGTAAATAAATAAATGAATACATATGTACATATGTACATACCAGAGGCACAAAAAAGTTTAAATGAATGGGTCCAATTCAGAAACTTGGATAATTTATAAAGGAAATAGGTTTAATTGCCTCACCGTTCTGCATGGCTGGGGAGGCCTCAGGAAACTTACAATCATGGCAGAAGGTGAAGGGGAAGCAAGGCACCTTCTTCACAAGGCAGCAGGAAGGAGAGTGTCGAACGAAGGGGGAAGAGCCCCTTATAAAACCATCAGATCGGCCAGGCACGGTGGCTCACGCCTGTAATCCCAGCACTTTGGGAGGCGAGGTGGGTGGATCACGAGGTCACGAGTTCAAGACCAGCCTGGCCAAGATGATGAAACCACGTCTCTACTAAAAATACAAAAATTAGCTGGGCATGGTGGCAGGTGCCTGTAATCCCAGCTACTTGGGAGGCTGAGGCAGAGAATTGCTTGAACCCAGGGGGCGGAGGTTGCAGTGAGCCAAGATTGTGCCACTGTACTCCAGCCTGGGTGACAGAGTGAGACTCCATCTCAAAAACAAAACAAAACGAAAAAACAAAAACCCTCAGATCTCATGAGAACTCCCTCACTATCACGAGAACAGCATGGGGGAAGCCCCCACCATGATCCAATCACCCCCACCCCGTCTCTCCCTTGACCTGTGGGGATTATGGAGATTATAATTCAAGGTGAGATTTGGGTGGGGACACAAAGCCTAACCATATCACCATATAATTGCAATCATCTTTTCAAGATCCCTAACCTGGGTTTGGTATTGGAGCCTGTGTCCCCTCTGAACTGTGACCTCCTGAACCTCCTCTTGCAGGGCCCTCACCATCTTCACAGATTTGAGCAGGTGACATCAGCAAGGAGAAGCAGCAGCAACGTTGGACAACTCAAAGTATGGGCTGCACAAGAAGCCGTCCGTCATGTACACAAATTAACCAGTCCTGAGGACTGCCCAGCTGGACTCTAGTTGCTGCTTCAAAGATGGATGTCTTTAAGGACATCTGGGAAGAAAAAGATTGTCACTTAAGATCATTTTCTACATAACCTAAAATTATTTCTTTACATACTTCTTGTCTCTGACCTTCACTTACCTCTACACTTCTGGCTATAATATACTTCTCCTAATACTGTTTGTTGTCCAGTATTATTTCATGGTCATGTTCTGCAATTGTATTGGGCTCTTTCACTGTTAATACAGGCTCTGGTTGTGTTTGCAGGAGCTCAGAGTTTGCTATCTATTTTCATGCCATATATTTTGCTGTTTTTAATACCATTTAACCTATGTAACATCAAAGCAAACATACTACAGACATAATTGCTATTTCCACAGACCCTGCTTTAATTAATTTTGTATGAACTTTGAGGTTCTCAGAAAAGAAATCTCCCACATGTGAAATTCTGAATATTTGGTTATGCTGCCATCAGACGCTTCTGCTAGTACCTTTCTCCTGGGCGCTGTCAGCGGCTCCCTGATGCCCTGGGACCCACAGCAAGGCTGGGGCCAGACGGATGCTGGCTTCACAGAAGCATGAGGACAGGTGACTCTCCGAGGTGTGGTGAGCAGTGAGCGGGTGGCTCCCGCATGCCACACTCAGAGCTTATTCCCCAGACTCTCAGGTGGCCACACACCCAGAAAAGCCTTGGTAGACCTCATTATGTGGGAAGGGCATATATTTAGAAGCTGAGATATTTTTATTTTCATAAAAAACGAATATTGTCAAGTCATTAACATTTTGGAAAACCGAGAATAAAAAATAATCCTGCAATCTTAGCCAGATATAAGTACTGACAACTTGTATATGTTTCCACCTGGGTTTTGTTGTTGTTGTTAACTCTTCTCTACATATCAGTTTTTCATAACAATCAAAGAATATCATGTCTACTTTACAGAAAGAGAAACTGAGGCATTTGGCAGGTGGGTAACTAGCCAGAGCCCTCTTCAGTCGGCGGCAGCCCTGACTGTGGGCTCCCCTGCAGACAGAGTGGTGGTCACAGCTGCAGGATCTGAATCCCCTCTGGGACCCACACACATGCACCGAGGCTGCCCCGGCCATGATAGACCAAGAGACTGCATGTGAGTGGGCAATGCCAACAATCACCCAATAAATCCCACTCACCGAACCACAGTGCTGACGCGTTTCCAGATCAAGGCCTTCTTGGGTTAATTTCATGTTGAAAATGTTCCCCATGCATGAAAAATGGTGGGAATGTGTCCCTTGTCCTTCGCATGCTCCAGAGCCGATTGGCCATTGTTTTAATAGGGTCCAGGTCTGCATGGCTGGAGGTCACTGTATTGAAACATCTTTCATGTCTGGAATTACTTTCTCAGGAAAGACTCTGGAATCAGCGGACAGCGCCCCCTGAGGCGTCCCCACAATGGCCCATCCTGGAACTTCTACACTCACACCCTCCTGCAGAAGAAGGAGTTTCCATTTCACCCAACTCCATCAAACTGAGTATTACCGCTTGCCCTATTTTACTGGAAAACAATGATTTCATTTGCATTTCTGATGTTGCTAAAGCATTTGAGTATTTCATTAATGTTTCCTGTCTCTTTCTCTTGTGTATAAGGATCTCTGGCTCTGCTGTTAGGATCTCTGTCTCCCTTTTTGGTTCATACGCTTCCAGCATATTCAAACTTTGTCTTCCAAACTTGTTACACACATTTTTGCTCTTGGCATTTGTCTTTGCTAAGAGAAGTCCGGCATTTTTTTTTCTTGCTATCAGAACAATACACATACATTGTGAAACTTTGAGAAACGAAGATAAACCAAAAGTACACATAAATATCCACAATCTTAATCACAAGCAAGAACATCGTGGTGAACATTGCCATGCATTTCTCCAGTCATTTTTCTCCGTGAATAAGTACATATTTTGTTTTTCAGAAATTGAATTGTACAGTACATGCTGTTTGCAATCCGCTTCTTTTTTTAATTTACTGAAGCACAAGTGTTTTCCTGTGTCACCAAGCATTATTCTCAGGGCACTGCTGTTTAATGGATGAATACAGTCTCTTGTGAAAGTAACACAATTTCTGTCCTGCTTTTCTAGGGCTGCACCACACACTGGACTGCTTTAAACAATAGGAATTTGTTCTGAAAGTCCCACCTGAAGGTGTCAGCAGGGTGCTGTGCCCTCTGAAATTCTGACTGACACCCTTCCTCGCCTCTCCCTGGCATCCGAGGGTCGCAGCCACCCTGGGTGTGCCGAGGGTTGTAGACTCGCCGCTTCTGTCTCTGCCCCGTCATCACAGGCTGTCCTCTGTGTGTCTGTCTCTGTGTCATTTTGCATGCAGCTCTCTGTCAAGTACACAAATTAACCAGTCCTGAGGACTGCCCAGCTGGACTCTTGCCACCGCTTCACTGATCCATGCACTTAAGGTCAGCTGGGAAGAAAAAGATTGTCTCCTAAGATCATTTTCTACATAATCTAATTTTTTTTAACCTGCTTCACATCTCTGACCTTCACTTACCTCTACGCTTCTGGCTATAATATCCTTCTCTCACTACTGCTTGTTGGACTCGTCCTACTCCAGGAGGACCTCGTCTTAGCAAATCACATCTGCTAGGCCCTATTTCTAAATTAGGTCCCGTTCTGAGGTACTGGGGGTTTGAACTTCAACATATCTTTTGGGGGACAATAACTCAACCCGTAACAATTTCTATAACCTGCTCCCTCTTGTTCCACAATGAAACTGCTCTCAGTTTTCTTCTTTGATCAGGGTTTCAGTTCCTGATCATCTGTACGTTTCCATGACCCTTCCCTCAGGGTTCACTGTCGGAAGTGGGATTGATCGAATGTTTGCCGTCTCCCGTCCCTGTGGAGTGGGTGAGGACAGGACTCCGCGTATTGTTGGCAGCCGTCCTCCTCTGTCTCAGCCTGGAGGGGCTACTCATTGTGTCAGAATAACTTGCAAGGACCCATAGAGGGAGAAGTTCACCTCAGAGCTTGTCCTGAGCCAGAGCCTGAAGACCGCAGTATGGATTACACAGGCCACGTGGTAGAGAGAAAGAGGAAACCCAGAGTTGCTCCAGCTTCCCTCTCACCCTCGTGCTGACTCTCAGGGAGCTTTCCACGCTGAGCTGAACGAGGAGTCCCTGGTCTCTGCGTGTCACTATGGCCTGATGACAGGGTCAATTCCTGGGCCCTCCCTAAGCCCCTGGGGTGTTCACTGAGAGCTCAAAAGTGCAGGTCAAGCCTGAAATGGGAAGGAGCATTAGGCATAGAAGTGGCTCCCAGCGTGTGGTCTGTGACGTGCTGTTGACATTGTCTGCCTCCCAGCTCAGGGCTCCCACCCCCCAGGCCCCAGGGTCCTCCATGGATGCACACAGGTGTCACGGGGAAAGCATTACTTTGATTTCTTGCAAAGTCATTAACAAGACAAGCAGTGGGGTAAAAAGTGCTTGTGATCTTGTTTAGACATGCCAAGTTGGAACACCGAGACCAGGAGGCCTCTGTCTGAACATCCGTCTGCCTGTGGCAAAGGTCACTGTCTCTGTGGCGCTCACCCCAGGGTCACAGGGCAGGGAGAGACCCCCAACACTGACCACTCTCCTGAGGGCTGTCACAAGTGGGCCTCGCTGAG
This sequence comes from Homo sapiens, assembly GCF_000001405.40. Classification (NCBI taxonomy): domain Eukaryota; kingdom Metazoa; phylum Chordata; class Mammalia; order Primates; family Hominidae; genus Homo; species Homo sapiens. Next base: position 2,013,092 of record NC_000005.10, on the reverse strand, counting down.
ACTCTGTGAATGAACATGTGACAGAAAGGGCACTCCTGGAGCTGCTGCCCCGCTGGGGCCCCTGGCAGCAGAGAGACTCTGCTTGTCCAGGTGACCGGGCCTCGCCTGGGCCAGGAAGCAATCACAGCGTCCTTTCTCCCACTCTCAGCCCTGCCTTTGTGCACTCTGGGGTCTGTTTCAAAGAAGGGATGTGTTCTGACCTCTTCTTAAATGTCCCCTGAGGCAGAAGTCATGGGCCCCTCATAGTATGCAGCCATAATTCTCTCGCCTCATTGGGTCACTGTGGCAAATCTCTCTCTCTGTTCTGTAACAGAAGTAGAAAAGTGAAGCACAAAATTTTTTAAAAACAAAGAAGCACTGACACAGATCCTGCAGGTGTCACACTTCACTTTCTGGGGAGGAGTTAATGATCCAGGTGAGATGTACACCAACCTTGATGAAAGTTGTCAGAAAGCAAGGAGGCCGGCAGCATCTTCAGACCCTTCCATCTCCCCAGAGAAGGGGAAAATGTCATCACTGGTTGTTATGGATCGAATCGCATCCACCTCCCAAAAGGTGCTGAAGCCCTAACCCCAGTACCCAGGAATGTGGCCTTTTTGGAAACAGGGTCTAATGTGGATATGATGAATGAAGAGCAGGTCATGAGGGAAGGCCCTAATCCAGCATAACTACATCTTTATAGAAAGGAGACATTGGGACACAAAGACAGACGTGTGGAGGAAAGGCAGTGTGAAGATGGAGGGAGACATCTACAAGCTAAGTAATGCCCATGGCCACCAGAAGCTGGGAGAGCCCGGGAATGGCTCCTTCCTCCCAGCCTTAGGAGGAACCAAGCCAGTTCAGCACCCTGACTTTGCATCTCTGAGCTCCAGGACTGTGAGGCAGTGCATCTCTCTTGTTTACGGCGCCTGTGTGTGGTGCTTGTCACACAACAGGGACAGGACGCTCATGCCTGGGCGATATTCAGAACCGCACTCACAAAAGACACACCTCACTCCACATCTAGACTCCTGGCTTCCTATGGACAGAGGCTCTCCTTAAACACCTCCAGACATCTAGCACAAACAAAAAGACACAAAACTTGCCAGAGCAACAGGACGTATATGCACACCGTGCTCCACAGCCACACAAAGAGAAGACACGTGGCGTTACCTGGCCCCAGCCTCCTTGACAGCCCAGCAAATCTCAACCCAGCCCCACCCAGTCCTGGGCAGCTCTGACAGAACCTGCTCTTTCCCGGCTCTTCCTGTTGAGGACTCAGAAACGTTTTAATTGCACTGAGGACCACATTTCATTTCTAATCTAGAAGCAGCCTGTGTCAAATGACTGTGCCTAGCTTGTCACTCCCACGAGCAAACCATGATAACAGCCAGGGCTGCAGGAGGAGGGCCCCGCCCTGCCCCTCCCCAAGGGCAGCTCACTTGTGTCCTGGGGTCATGCCCAGGGTGGCTGCCATTCCTGGCGCACACATCTCATTGTCACAAGATGCAGAGGCGTACTAGCAGGCTCCTCTCATCTGTAGCGTTTCAGGCAGGTAATAAACTACCCTTCATCAAACTCAATAGATATATTTTTTGTTAACACCTATGAATTTCTCCATTTGATGATCAAATATATGTGGAGACGTATTAATCAATGGACTACAATATGATAAAGTCTGATGCAATATCATAAAATCTATTGATATTAACTTATGTCTCCCTAAGTGGAGGTGAAAATTCTGTAATGGGGATGCAATCTAGTGTGATAGACACAAGCAGGGTGGCAAGGTGTCTGCAGGCTGATTGCTTGGATCTAAATCTGGGCTCTGCCACTGACCAGCCTTGGGGAGCCTTGGACAGGGGACCTACTCTTTCTGTGACATGGTCCCCACATCTGTTAAACGGGGTTAATGACAGGAGCTCCCACACAAAGGGCAAGAGGATCACCTAGATGATTGTCTGGTAACAAACGTGCTTAGAACATTGCCTAGCACCCTTCTTCCCTCCTCATTGCAATGTGGTAAACGGAAAGATCATGGCTGTGAAGCCACACACACTTGATTAGGATCTAGAGCCATACTCACTGCAGGGCCCTGGGCCAGTTCCCCAACTCTCTTTGAGAGAGATTATGACATTGACAAATAAGATAGTGCATTAGGGTTCTCTAGAGAAGAGGGCCAGTAAAATGTGTATATCTGCATGGAAAGAGGGATTATTTTAAGGAACTGATTCAAGCGATTCTGTAGGCTTGGCAAGTCCAAAATCTGTGGGGCTCGCCATCAGCGGGAGACCCAGGGAGGAGCTGATGGTCTCCAGGACTTACCCTGATGCTTGGAAGGAGGTCAGTATCTTCCTCTGATCATGAAGAGGGGGGTGGGAGGGCAGTCTCCTGGGAGGCTAAGGCTGCACCCACCAGGCATAAATCTGTGAAAAGTGTCTGAGCGTCTGGGGCCGCAGGTCTGCATTGCAGGCAGCAGGTGAGCAGTGCAGATAAGGGCAAGTTCAGTTTGCGTCCACAGGCGTCTGCTGGCAGAACCCCTTCCTGAGGGAGGAAGGCCAGTCTTCGTCCTGTGCAGGCCTTAAACTGATTGGATAAAGCCCCACACTATGGAGGGTCCTTTAATTTACTCAAAGTCCACCCATTGAAATGCTAATCTCATCCAAAAACACCTTCACAGAATTATCCATAATAATACTTGACCAAGCATCTGGGCACCAGGGCCCAACCAAGTAGACACGTGGCATGCAGCCGCCACGAGGACTTTGCTCCGGAATCTGTGGTCCCCGCTCCCTACCTCCAGAGGTGCTCAGGCAGACCCCAAATAGCAGCCACTGTAGCAACAGCAGCAGGGCCTGGGGAGGCCGCAGCCTGGACAATTGGAGCATGTAATGACTATGGATGCAATGGTTCAGATGCGCAGTGGACGACGAGCATTAGCTCCAGCCTCATGGAGGAGACCCACAAGCGCCCCCGCTGCAGAACCTTCTGCACGGCCTCTGTCCAGCAGCCCCTGTGCCATCCTCCCACAAGTTGACCCTTAGCTCCTGGAAATGAGGATCTGCGTGTTCCCAGCACCAGGCTGGACAGGGATGCCTGTTGGAACTACTCCGATCCCCCATCCCCTAAGCCACCGGGACCTGATGCTGGAGGACTGGAGATAATGTTGCCCTAAAGCCGAATGGCATTAAATGGTACCAGGATGGCCCCACGGCATCAAGTATCATTTTATGCTGCAATTTAAGCATTAGGAACATAACTTTTCTCTGATTTTCTTGAAATGTTTTATACACAGAAGGGCTAAAAATGAATCATTCAGCAAAACATGGGTGCTTTCTAGGTATTCATCGACTCACTTATTCATATTCCCATAAAGCTACAAGAGGCTTTCAAAAGTTAAACTACAGAAAATGTACACAGTGGAAAGCTTATTGGCTTTTCTTTTCTTCCATGACTACAGTCAGAATCACAAACCAGGCTCAGGATGAATCTTGTTGCTTCTAAAGACGGCTGGAGCGAGTATGTGCACCACCAGCCCATCCGTGAGGCTAACTAGACACAGCTGTTAGGTAAATAAGCTTCCAGGGGAACTCAGAGCACAGATATTCAACCACAACGAGGGCCCCTGGCAAACACAACCCCCAAAGGTACACCTCGCAGCCTCCCCTCTGCACATCAGATGCGGGACGAGCGGCTGCCTCTGCTCCACTCTTACAACTGATGTGAACACCCACAGAGCAGGTGCAACAGTCCAACCCCGCCCAGGCACACAGCTGCAGCTCTCCACACTCACCCATCCTCATTCATAGATATAAAGCCACGGCATTTCCCAAATAATAAAACTTTCCACACCCACAGGCTCTCTCAAGGGGGCTGTGAGCCTCATAAGCTGGAGGGTTTGCACGACTTACCTGATGCTTGGAAGGTGGTCCATGACTCCCTCTGACCATGGTCGGGGAGGGGCCTCCTGGGAGACTAAGGCTGCACCCACCAGACACAAAGCTATGAAAAGTGTGTGAGCATCCAGGGGAGGCAGGTCTGCATCGCAGGCAGCAGGTGAGCAGTAGAGATGAGGACAAGTCCAGGACCCTGAGGGCTGGCCAGATGTCCAGCACAGGCACAGCCCTGGAGGTCTTTAGGGCATCGTCTGTTGCAACCCTCAACACCCCCAAAAGAAAAGAAAATCAGGAAGCCACAGTGGTGGCCCATTTGTCAAGGTCTCTGCTTGCTGTGGAGAACGATAATTTGCTCCATAAATAATAAATTAGACGCGTGTCCCTGGGACCTGTTCCTGGAATACCTGGCAGAGCCACTGTGGGATTCCAGGTCACTGCAGGCCGCCATTCTCAGAGACATCACGACAGATCTGTTTAAAGTTCTTGCAGTTACCCAGCGTTGATGGAATGTCTTCTTGGGGTCTCACTAATTCTATCTAGATGTGGCTGAGAGTCAAAAAATGTCAAGATGTAAAAACATCCTTTTCCAATTACAAAGAAACGCAAAGGATTCAGCCCGTGTTCCATGTCTCTGGGCTGCTACAAATAGTATTTAGTGTGATTATTTTCACTGGGATTTCAAGGGTTCAAAACCAGCCACATAGAAAAGATTCCTTTTTCTCTCTCTCTCTTTCCCGAAAGCCCACTCCATCTGCCTGTCTAGGCAAGCCCGGAATGTAAGGGGCGGGCAGGGAGTGTGGCCAGAGTGATGAGCGGGGCGAACGGCCCCCAGTGAGCTCCGGAGGGATCCACACCCCGCCTGTCTGTTCCCTCCTGCCAGCAAGGAGGGCTTGGGAAGGAAACCGCGGGAGCCAGGCGAGCCGAGAAGCATTCACAGCCGCACGCCAGGAAGCAAGTTCACGCAATCGCTCTCACCCCACTCAGCAGCCAGGCCAAGAGGGACACTTAACCCTCCTCAAAATCCAGCCAAGAAAACAACGGCCCGGAAACGGGGGAGACGCGGGGCTCCTCGCCCGGCCTCCTGCAATCTCCAGGCCTGGCCAGGAGACATTCCCGAGCGCTCGCTCCGGGGGACCTGTTCACGCTGGGACCTGTTGCTGGATGGCTGAATGCAGCTGGACAGAATTCCAAAGTCACCGCCATGCTCCAGTTCCAGAGGCCCCTCTTTCCACCAAGTGTGGCTCCCCGCTGGGGTCGCCGCTGCCTCCCCCTCCAAGCAGCTCAGGCTTCCTGGGCCCCTCCGTGGCCTCCCTCCCGCTGGCTCCGGGTCCTCCTGGCTTCTCAGGTCCCTACAGGGAGATTTTATGAGCTTGGCAGGACCTCGGGTCCTGGCTGCTCTCCCTCCCTCCGGGCACCGTGACATGTAGCAGAGGGGTCTTTTCAGAGAGTTGCCGATGCTGTGGACAAGCGAGTCACGCCCAGGGTGGAGGCTCAGGCCGCGACACATCAGCTGTCACTGGAGGACCCCGCCTGCCAGCTGCCACCTCCGAGCCACATCTCGGCCGCTTCCCCCGGCCCCCGATCGAGGCTGTTGCCAGCCCAGGCTGCGGGCTTAGCAGGGAGGCCACACAGGGTCACCCGGACAAGGGGACGGTGCCTGCCTCCACCTCCCTGGGGTCCGAGCCGGCGGGGACTTGCCCCCGGAGCGGGATGGGAACACGTTTCCCTCAGGCTGAGGCCGTGCCACCCATCTGCGGGAGAGGCTCTCCAACATTCATTGTCATTCCTCGTTCTAAACAAGAGACAGACAAACGGACTGCTTGAAGGCAACTGTAAAAGCTTTTGAAAGGAAAATCCCAAGACAGCCACCGAGTCAGAGGCTGCGTGTCGTTCAGTTTCATGGAAACGGAGACCCCCGTACCACACCCAGAGTTCACCTGGAGGCGCCGGGGCCGCGGAGCTGGAATTTCAGACGCTGCCGGTACAGCCCTGGTCCTCCCCCGAGGCCAGTGGACGGGCTTGCCCTGAGACCACTCTGTCATCGCCCAGCAGACTCGAAGCCCAGTGGATCTACCCTGGCCCCAGCAGCAAGGGGCCACGTGGACGCCCCAGGGCAGCCCTGCTCCCCAGAATCTGCTAGGAGACAGGATGGGTGGAAGCCTGGCCTGTCTGTCCATCATCCCCCTAGACCCCCGGACTCTGCGGGCAACCCAAGCTCTGTTCTCCCACAGGCACCTGCAAGCTCCTTCGTGGCTGCCCCATGCCTGCGAGGCAGTTGAGGAAGACTCCACGTTTCGGCAATAGCGAGACTGCAGTGTTACTGCGAGAAACTCACGTGGCTGAGCCCGTGTTCCCTTTGGTCCGTGTCACACACATCCGAGGCTCATCAGCCTGGTTCCCTACACCAAATGTGGAGATGTCGTTACGCAGGACCGGTGGTGACCGGAGTCCCAGACATCCTCAGCCTCACAACAATGGCCCCCCATCCAGGGTGTGGCAGGGGTGGGGAAGACCATGGCACGTGGCTCCCGTGACTACGGATTAAGTTAAGTGGCAAAGATAGGATTAAGGTGCCTCATCAGCTGACCCTGAGTTAATCAAAACAATAAGCTTTTTCTGGGTTGGCCTGGCCCAGTCACGTGAGCCGTTTAAACCTGGGTCTGAGGTTGGGGAGGCTGAAGTCTGCAGCAGGTGCTCCCTGTTCCTTTCAGGAGTTGCAGAGAGGGGAGGAAAGAGACCTGCCAGCAAGCATGGGCTGGGAAGAGGACCCTGAGCTTCCCATGAGGCTTGCTGACCTCAGCCTGCCAGACCTCAAGCAGAGAGCTCCTGAAACTCTGCCCCGACTTCTGGCCCAGTCTTTTTGGGCTGAGAGATAATGTTTGTGCTAGTCAGTTATGAGCAACAGATAACTAATATAAGACCAGGGAAGTAATCACCCCAGGGTGGACATCTGAGGCGGGGCGAGTGCATACAGCGTGGATATAGGTTTGTCGTGGCACAAATCCTGGTTTTTTCCCTGCTCAACCCCAGCTTCGGTGAAATTTCTGGTAGATTCCATAGCATGTCAAGTCACTTTCATATTAAAAAAATTAATATGTAGAGTCTCTGGGTCACAGGTCAGCCTGGTCTTAGTCGTTTAAACAATGACCAGCTGGGGAAATCCACTGTGGCTGCAGCTCAGACACGCAGCAGGCTTGGAAGTCCTCCCGAGGCTGGTGCGTGGACTCCTGATCTCCCGACCTCCCGCCCCTGCCCTCATCGGCCACTTCTGCCTCCTGCAGGTGTCAGCGGGAAGGCAGAGAAGGATCCAGAAGAAAGGCACAGAGGTGAGCCAGCGGTCACGCTACTGATCTTCAGCTGGGCGGCTTCCTGCCGATTCCCCCATTTGAACCTCACTCCCAGGTTCTGGAACGCGTCTCACACCCGTCTTCTCCCAGGATGGCAGCCCGTGGCCGCTCCCAGACAGCCGCAGCCCAGCTCCCCAAGAGTGTCCCTGGCCCCCTAGGGAGCAGCCTCTGAGCCTCACCTCAAGGAAGTTCCAGTGCCACTAGCAGTCTGCCAGCGAGAGGTACTCGACCCAGCTGTGCGTCGTGCTCCAGACCCAAACGGCTACCCAGGGGGCCCTTGCGTCTTCTCACTCGGCTTCAGCTGAGGGTAAAGCCCCCACCCCATGGAGAGAGTGTGGCAGAAATGCCAGCAGCCCTCCGATCCTCTAGGAAACCACCTCTCAATTCTCTTCCGCACTCCTTCACACCGCATCCCGCTGTGCCCTAGAGAGGGCTGGGAAATGCCCCTTTCCTGCCCCACACAGGGCTCTAGCACCTGAAATGCCCCTTTCCTGCCCCACACAGGGCTCCGGCACCTGAAACACCCCTTTCCTGCCCAACATAGGGCTCCGGCACCTGAAATGCCCCTTTCCTGCCCCACACAGGGCTCCAGCACCTGAAACGCCCCTTTCCTGCCCCACACAAGGGCTCCGGCACCTGAAATGCCCCTTTCCTGCCCCGCACAAGGGCTCCGGCACCTGAAATGCCCCTTTCCTGCCCCACACAAGGGCTCTAGTGCCTGAAACGCCCCTTTCCTGCCCCATATAGGGCTCCAGCACCTGAAATGTCCCTTTCCTGCCCCACACAAGGGCTCTGGTGCCTGAAATACCCCTTTCCTGTCCCACACAAGGGCTCTAGTGCCTGAAACGCCCCTTTCCTGCCCCCACACAAGGGCTCTAGCACCTGAAATGCCCCTTTCCTGCCCCACACAAGGGCTCTGGCACCTGAAATGCCCCTTTCCTGCCCCACACAAGGGCTCTGGCACCTGAAATGCCCCTTTCCTGCCCCACACAAGGGCTCTAGTGCCTGAAACGCCCCTTTCTTGCCCCACACAAGGGCTCCAGCCCCTGAAATGCCCCTTTCCTGCCCCACACAAGGGCTCCGGCACCTGAAATGCCCCTTTCCTGCCCCACACAAGGGCTCTAGTGCCTGAAACGCCCCTTTCTTGCCCCACACAAGGGCTCCAGCCCCTGAAATGTCCCTTTCCTGCCCCACACAAGGGCTCCAGCACCTGAAATGCCCCTTTCCTGCCCCACACAGGGCTCCGGCACCTGAAATGCCACTTTCCTGCCCCACACAGGGCTTCGGCACCTGAAATGCCCCTTTCCTGCCCCACACAAGGGCTCTAGTGCCTGCTTTGGAATGTGGACCTTGGCATGTTCTCTCCGCTTTGGGGACCTCAACCGTCAGTACCGTTTTGATGCTCTGCTCAAGTCAACCTGGGAAGGGAAACTCCTGTGTCGCCATGGAACGTGTGTTAGGGTCACTGTGGAATGGCCAACAAGCCTTCCCTCCATGCTGTGCTCACACCCTGGGCCCTGTGACGTCCCATTGCCGCCCAGGGAGAGGTGAATTCTTTCTCCCCAGCCCTTCTACCAGGGCGGGCTTGCAACCTGCTTTGGCCAGCAGAATGCAGCCGAGAGTCCCTGTGCTCTGCGGTCCCATGAGCAAGACCAGAAGAGCAGGGGGATGAGCGATCTGACACAGCAGACAGGCCAGCTCCACTGAGGTCAGCCAGCCCCAGCCAACCCGAGTCTGCCCATAGCGCAGGAGAGTCCAGCCGAGAGCAGAGGAACCGCTCGGCGAGGCACAAAGGCAAATCACTGACCCTATCACAGCACTGCATGCTCAATAAATGCTTGTTGTTCTAAAGCGCCAAGTTTAAGCTGACCGGCATGCAGCAGGGGCTGACTGAGGCACAGGTTGGAGAGCCCTTGATATGAGGCCAGACCCAGCACCCTCACTTGGAGTCCATCTCCTTCCCCCGAGGTAGCACCACCAGGTCCCCCCTCTTTCCTCCGCCTCAGCTGCGCCGTGGTCACTGCTCATGTGGAATCTTCTCTTTCAAAGGCTGCTTTCCTATTGAGGGAGATACCTCATTTTTATCTTGACTGCCTGGGCCTTCCTCCAGACGCTTCTAGGCACCTGGCAGTTCTACCCAAAAAACCAGAGATAACACTGCTCTTAGGAGGAGTATCACCGTTGGATCAGTCACTTGCACACATTTGTAACCACCGAGACATGACCAGAAACACCAGTCTTCAGTGTCCCCAGGACATCAGCCTGGCTCAGCGCAGTCCAGGGAAGATGGAAGACAATCTCCCCCCTGTACCTCCCAGCCTCACCCTACACTGTCTAAGAAGAGTCCAGGGAAGATGGGAGACACTCCCCGCTGTGCCTCCCATCCTCACCCTATTCTAAGAAGGACTTGGGTTCCTTTATCATCAGGGAGAGATGAGAGGATGGAGCCCCTGCCCGGCAGACGGCCTCTGCAGATGGCAGAGAACAGCAGGGGAAGAAGAGTCCCTCCCAGGAGAGCGTTCCCGGCACAGTGGGGCTCAGCTGAGTGAGGGTCCTGAGTTGGATCGGGGCAGCTCCTCCCCGGCTAACAGCTCCACATTCACTTGAGCTGGCTCAATCCACGTGTTCATGACCACGAATGGAGCTAGAGAGAGTCCAGTGTTTACAACGTGATTCTAAAATGCATTTCTCATCTCCGTAAAGTGTAGGTGTCATTGTTTTCATTATTTACATAAAATCAATCAACTTTCCTAATACTTACTTTCTTTCACACTATCTTGAAAGCATAATGGTACATTTTTTGCCAACATTTTACCTGATTTTGTTGAAGATTTGATAGTCTTTGCCCATATTCTTCAAGCCACTTTGTTCCTGCATTTGTCATTGATTTTGGACAGCAGGGGTCTGACCTCCTCCTAATGTCTAGGGAACACCCACCTTTTTTTTTTTTGGTTGTTGAGACAGAGTCTCGCTCTGTTGCCAGGTTGGAGTGCAGTGGCGCAATCTCAGCTCACTGCAACCTCTATCTCCCAGGTTCAAGCAATTCTCCTACCACAGCCTCCTGAGTAGCTAGGACTACAGGCATGCACCACCACATCCAGATAATTTTTGTATTTTTAGTAGAGACGGGGTTTCACCGTGTTGGCCAGGCTGGTCTCAAACTCCTGACCTCAGGTAATCTGCCTGCCCAGCCTCCCAAAGTGCTGGGATTACAGGCATGAGCCACCATGCCCGGCCCACCTTCTGAAGCCTAGGGGACACAGAGCCCAGCATACCCTGGAGAAGCAGAGCTGGGACTCACTCTCCCACTGTCCTGAGGTTGCTGCAATGCCCTGCTCCAGGCCCCTCCAAGCCCTGCCCTGGGCTTTAAGTCAGGAGCTGATGTCACAGAGAGGCCAAGAGGCAGTCGCTGCAGTGGCCCTGGAAGTAGGCAGGGTAGGCAGCGGCTGCAGCAGCCCTGGAAGCAGGCAGGTTCTCCAGAGGCTTTAGGGCCAGGGAGTCAAGGCTGTGTCCTGTGGCTGAGACAGCTGCAGCTTCGCTGTCCACATAGACAGGTCTCATGGCCGAGGGCCTGGCAGCCACCTGTAGCCGCCGCTCCTACCCACCCACAACTCTCCTCCTGACCCAGTTGCAAACTCACAGAACTTCTCACAGTTCTTTGAGCCACTCCTTTGCCTTAGTTATGGATTTAACTGCGTCCCCCAAAATTCATACATTGAAGTCCTAACCCCAAGGACTTTGGAATGTGACTGTATTTGGAGATGGGGTCTTAGGGAAGTAATTAAGATTCAGTTTGTTCATTAATGTTGGTCCTGTGGTAGACACTGCTAGGATGGGTGTCCTTATAACAAGAGGTGAAAGGCCGGGCACAGTGGCTCACGCCTGTAATCCCGGTACTTTGGGAGGCCGAGGCGGGTGGATCACGAGGTCAGGAATTCAAGACCATCCTGGCCAAGGTGGTGAAACCCCATCTCTACTGAAAATACAAAAAGAAAAATCAGCCTGGCTTGGTGGAGCACGCCTGTAGTCCCAGCTACTCAGGAGGCTGAGGCAGGAGAATCGCTTGAACCCATGAGGCGGAGGTTGCAGTGAGCTGAGATCATGCCACTGCGCTCCAGCCTGGGCAACAGAGCATGAGTCCATCTCAAAAGAAAAGAAGAGGTGAGGACACAGATAGGCACAGAGGGATGAAGGAGAAGACGCCGTTGACACACCCGGGGAGAGGCTTCAGGAGGAACTGACCCTGCCCACACCTCGGTATCAGACTTCTGGCTCCAAGAACTACGTTTCTGTTGTGTGAGCCCCCAGCCGAGGCACTCTGTCATGGCAGCCAGGCTGAGCAGGATGCCTTCAGGTGAAGTCCTGCTGCTCACTGACCACCCGGCCTCAGCCCTCCTGCTTGCAGCTGCAGAACCAGCACTCTGTTGACTACTGACCGTGGCCAGGTGCTTCCTCTCCCCACCAGCGTCCTCCCCCATCACAGGAAGTAACAAGCCTTCATGCCCAGCGCTTGCCACCCTTTGCCCGTCTGTATTTGTCAGCCTCCTGGAGTGGCCGCACACCTTCATGCTACGGCTCTAGGAGTTCCGGAATTCCAACTTTCTTCCCTGACCACCTCTTTAATACGCCTTAAGTTTGATTTTTCTTCTAAGTTTTATGTTTTCTCTTCAAAAAATCACTTTCCACCGAATTTCCTTCATCCTCCTCCCCCTCCCTGCTCCATCCCAGGAACCGCCCCACCCCATTACCGAACCAGCAGGCTGTTTTCAGCAAGACCCTAGTTAGGTGTGAGGCTGCTGCCCCCCACCCACATGGCCTCTTCGAGGACTTCAACCCAGCTGTGGTGTGGTCCTGCGGGTCCTAACAAGTCCGCAGGAGTCGTGTCCTACAAGACGCCCCTCCATCTGTCCTGGGGTCAGTCCTGTTTCCCTGCAGGCTGTGCCGTAACACCTCCAGGTGAAGGCGGACCTGATGTCCAGGTGTGAGCACTGTGCTCTCGGAGCCAGTGGGAACCGGCAGAATGGAAACGAGTTAGCTAGTTGGGAGAGTGTCTGCTTAACGCAGGTCTTCCCCTCTGGACAGGATTTTGGAGGGTGTTGCTTGCTGATGACAGGTGGCCAACCCCTTTGTGGGGCGGAACTTCCCACGAGTGGAGGAGAGGGTGCACCCAGCCTCGGGGAAGCTGGGGAGAGGAGTCTTTCTCCATGCCTGCAAGGGGTCGGCTTAGACTCTTGGTGTGAGCACACCCGAGGGAACTGCTGCCCTGAACATTGCACTGAGAGGTGGCACAAAGGGGCAGGAACAGTTGAGATCTGCCCCAAGGCTCCCCACCATTGAAGCCTGGTCCTCAGCCACCCATGGCTGCTGTGACCCTGTTCACCAGCCACCCGCCATTAGACTGCGTTTGCCATCTTTTCTAAGTAAAAAAACAATGATAGTATTAGTAGGTTACCCCTGCCTCTGACCCATATAACACAAGGTCAAGACTTACACGTATGAAATATAGAGATGTAGGAATCCTTATGCGCCATCAACATTCGAGCCTAGAGTCTACTCCAACGCCACACTAAATGAGTGAGATAATCACCTGAGTAAATTGTGCATAATTTAGAAATATTGTCATAAAGAAATGCCTGTTCTGCTATTGATCTGCTAAATTTTATTTTTGCTTTTCTGAATTTAACTTTTTAGGCTGAAAATTGGATAGAGTGTGTCTCGTTTCCAGTCCAGCAGATTTCATCTATTGATTCATGCACATCATTTTGTCAAAATCCTTCTAAAGTTCTTTGCTGAACCCACTTTTTGCTTGTCTCCTCTACTTCGGTTTCAGGTCAGCAGAAAGCACACCAGCTGTGAAATTAGCCTGCATGCCCGCACATTAGCGCACTCCGAGTAGGAGGGGCAGATGTGGCAGCAGGATCAGGTACCATCGTCCCCTTCCTGGCATATGCCTCCTTCTTTAAAGCTTATACATGAGACTGAAATTTTCCCATAATTACCTCACCACAAAGGTGAGTTTGTTTGGAAAGTTTCAGCAAAGCCTGCTTGTCTGTCTTGCTATTTTGCAAGACTAAAAAAGGACAATGGAGATGAAGAAAATGTGCATGTGAATAACTGGCAGGAGCCTTCCTTTAAGTCAAAACCGTGCAGGGGTGCAGAATTCAGAGAGAAAAATATGGACAAATTAACTTATTAAAACCACAAGAAATGTGCTTCTATTTTATGCTCTGATTAAGACTTTTACCAAAACATTTCAAGCCAATTAAAAATATAATTTTCATTCTACTGCCCCTGAAGGATGGGTGGTGAGCTGAGCTCTGAAGGATTTCACAGGAGGCACCTCTCAGCCTCCACACGTTCTCATGCAGCAGGTGGTAAGCAAGATCTGAAAATAATTGCCGGATAGAATGTTTACAAAGAAAATCTCATGAATGAGTTAAGTTGGGTTTCTATTGAAGGGTACTGATTTTATTTTCATTGTTCTTGGAGAGCTTCTGGGGGGATGAGATGAGGTTTTAAAGATGGTGCTGCTTCTACTCTGAAGTCTCACCATGGTTAGAATGCAAAGGAAGAGTCCAGTGACTGTAGCCACCTCCTGCCTGTCACTCTGACCCTCTTCCATGGAGGAGACCTGGCCATAGTTCCCTAATCCTTTCCTAAGTGTCATCCTCTCCTCCGTGTTTAGAGCGAGACGCTTATTCTAGGTCAACCACAGTGATGAATATTTTGCATTTCCCTGAACTTCCTCCAAGTCTGTCTTCCAGAGTTGCATCAGGAAAACCACAAAAGAAATGCAATAAACTTTCACATCTGCATCCAAAATTCTTTTCTGGATTTAACACATTGATATATTAACTGTCCTCTTTGTTCTTCTTTTCTGACATGCTCATTCATGTCTCTGTGTTATACACAGTTCCCTTCAAGTCACTTGGTCTCACACATCCCCCGTTAAAATGTTGTCTGACATGCTTGTCCTGCTGAACCACTCCTGGATGATACAAAATATTTGTGCAAGACCTGGACAACTGTGCTCTTCATTTTCCAAAAGCAGTACATTTTCATGAAGGGATCCTCATGACCTTTGCCCATGACCATTCTATAATGATCATCATGCCCTTCATTCATGGCCATCACTCATGATCACTGCCCATGACAATTGCCTATGAACTTCACTGACAGCCATTGCCCAGAACCATCACCAGGACTTTCATCCAAGGCCTTCATCATGACTTTCTCTTGTGACCATCACCATGGCCATCACCCATGACCATCACCAGTCACCATTGCCCAAGGTCACCATCCATGAGCTTCACCATGACCCTCATTGTGACCTCCCACAGCCATCACTGCGACCTTCACCTACAACCATCACCAATCTCCATTGCCTATGACCATCACCCACAGCCTTTGCCATGACCCTCACTGTGACCTTCACCCATGGCCATCACCAATCACCACTGCCCAAAGCCACCATCCATGAACTTCACCATGACCCTCACTGTGACCTCCCACAGCCATCACCATGATGTTTACCCATGACTATCGCCAATCACCATTGCCCATAGCCATCATCCATGACCTTCACCATTACCCTCACTGTGACCTTCTCCCACAACCATTACCATGACCTTCACCTATGACCCTCATCCATGGTCATCACAGATAATCAGCACCCATGACCCTTGCTCATGACTCACCCACAACCATTGCCCATGGTCATTGCTGTGACTTTCACCCATGACTGTCACCTAATACTATTGTTCACAACCATTGACCATGACCATCTCCCATGACCATGGGCCATGACTGAAGAAGTACCCCTTGTGTCACTGAAATTCCTCCATTTGAAGGACACAATCTATGACAACAAGATAGATCTGGAATCTAGGACAAATCATTCTTAGAATGAAAATTGATGCAAACACTTTAACTGAAAGAGAGGGACAGATGTCAGCTATGATACAGGAAGTGAAGCAAGCTGTCTACATAGCCACTTCCTCTCTTGGTGCCCCACAGCTCTTAGGCATCTGCTGAAAACCTCAGGCAGAGTATGTGCCAGCCTCAAACGGGTTGCTGCCATGTCGATGTGCACCTGCCTCTCGCCCAGCACATCTAGCCAATGGCAACAGGAGCCTGGGTGCAACAGTCCCCACGGGTGCAGAAGTTTGGAAGATTTGCTTCCATTTACCATAAAATTCAGACACCCGCTTGAACATTTCACCTAAAAAGAATTAGGTTTAATTCATAATATATGAGTTTTCAGGAAACACAATGTATTAACTTGGAGCTCTCACTGGCCAAGAACCATGAGGAAATTTCAGACCATATATCCAAATACCTACCTTGTCCATTAAAATAATTGACAATGGTCATGATAAAAATTTGTACATATTTTGCTTTTTTTTTAAATACTCAGTTTTCATCAGCTCAGTACTACAGCAATTTGCCACAACTTGAAAATCTTAATCTTGGTTTTTGGATTTCAACAACCCTCCCAGTTGAGCTGCATGCTATATTTACTGTCTTTCTAATGGCGTAGTCCTCATTTTCTCAAATCTCTTCCTTTGGGCTGGTATGTCTGATTTTTAACCCTTGCAATGTCATACTTTCCTTTCTCTCCCACCCATGAGGGCAGGTGGATAAATTGAAAAATCACGCCCTGGCGAAGCTCCTCACCTTCACTTGCTCTATTTATTGATTATTTTTTATTGTTTCTCTTTGGAGTCTGATTACGTCCTGCAGAAGAAACATGACTTCTTGACCTGAAACACGAGACAGGGAGTTGATGATTTGGGGGTAAGTGCAGGCTCGCCTCTTCTTCCATCCAACCATTCTCAAAGGTAGACGGTGAGAAGCAGTTGTCAAAATGAATTCTAAAGTCATACATGACGTTAGCATATTAATACATATCTTAGCATGCATGTATAAATATATGCTTGTGTGTATACGTGTGTGGCTGTGCCTGCATAGATATGCTAATCATGTATATATGTGTATGAGTGTGATAGATAAATTTTGTTCTGTTTGTGTCCAGATGTATCCTTGATGTAAAAACTTTATCTGCCAAAGTAGGATAAAAGAAGTTATGATTGCTTAGATATTGAAGGTTTCATAAAAGAAACAATATTTTGTGACTTCTTCTTTACTATGATGAAATATATAACACACAAATATTAAAGTTACAGCTTTAATATTTAACCGGTGGTCAGCCTACTGAGATGTGCTTCTCATTTCCACAAGGGCCCTGGTACAAGCAGAGACTCGTTTTAATAGACATCACGCATTAAAAAGGGGAGGACTGTTAAGTCACGATTCAGCTAAGAGCCACGGGGCACAATATGTTCTGTGGGTCAAATGCACACGTCCTCAAGGAACAGGTGCACTAGAACAGCGTCTTTGTTATTAATCCGGAAATTGCATTTTTAGAACTGATATTGTCGACTACATAAGTCCCTATTTTTCCCCCTGTGGAATTTTTTTTCCCCCAGAAAATCAAAAAACTTTCCTTTGTTCCCTCTGAGGTAGACAGCCAGCCCCCACCGTGCCGACTTTGGGCAGTGTCCTTCTGCAGCCGACACTCTTGTGGAAACACTTGGCTCTTTAGTGTGTCTTCCCCTCAACCATAGCCTGCACAGATGGCCTCTTTAGGGAGGCCAGGCAGCTTGGCTGGCTGTGCCTCCAGAAGACAGATTGTCCAGTCAAAGGGTGATGGAGAAAGTGTGGGGCGCCCATGACTGCTGAGACAGCGGTGGCTGTTACAGAGTCCTTCCCCACCCTAAAGACTGAAGGGTGGTCCTGAACACTGGATGAGATGGTAACAACTTACCCAAGGACATGCATTGCTTGGGTCTGGTTTATTTTCTAAAAAGAAAACATAATATGTGTCTGGGACAGGTGTCCTTGAATGTTGTCCCACCCTCCAAGTCCAGCAAGATTTTTCCAAAGGTCCCGTGCACTTGCAGAGAGAAAACAGGGGCCTCAGGAACACCCATCCTGAAAGCAGGGGCCTCAGGAACCCCCATCCATGTCTGATGAATCTCCACCAGACTTGCCCCTCTCTGCAGCTGGGGGTCTAGTGGGGTTATTATGGGACAGATGTAAGGAAGGGTCTTGATCTTGAAGGATACACAGGTGCACTGCCCTGGGTTCTAGGGACAAGGCTCCTGGTCCTGGCTCAGCCACTTGGCCGCTAGGCACTTACTGTGTGAGGCCAAACCCAGCACGCCCACCCCAATCAGGCCAGCATCTCGCGCCTGCTGCATGTGGTAAACAGACAGCACAGTGTCCACTGGCAATACCTGCTTCTATGGGGAGACTGGCTAGAAACGAGTGAGAGGGAAGAATGACAAGCCATTCAGGGAAAAGAGTGGGTGTGTAGAGGTCCCCACCAGCACATATGGCTGTCAGGAATCTGTAATTGCATGAGTGCTCTTCAATTAATACTGCCTTAAACACTTCCCATTCATTTTCAGTAGAGTCATTAGCCCATTGGTGAGGCAGAGCAGGCTCCAGGATCACAGATAATGCAGGCAATCACTGAACCCCGGTGTGTTCTGGCATCCCTTCAGGCGCCTGTGTATGGTAGCTCTACAACAGTGAAATGGTTTCCTGTCATGATTTAAATGATTAGAACCCATGTTCAAAACATGTAA
Organism: Homo sapiens; assembly: GCF_000001405.40. NCBI lineage: Eukaryota > Metazoa > Chordata > Mammalia > Primates > Hominidae > Homo > Homo sapiens. The sequence goes on along the minus strand of NC_000005.10, from coordinate 1,995,218 downwards.
AACATTTCTATAATGTTGGGAAGCAATTTGCTTGTCCATGACCTTGGAGCTCTGCAGAAACAATGTTGTTTAAATTTCCTCCAGCTGGAGACTTCAAAAATTTATTCAGATTCCTGATATCATAAAGGGGAATCGGCTTGTGAAAAGTCACACAGTCCTTAACTAACACTCTGACTTACTGAAGCATCACCTTGTCCTAATCCCGCCTTCTTGTCTATATATTTGTCCGAATCCCCGCTTTCTTGGCTATATACTTGTCTGAATCCCTACCTTCTTGGCTACTTACTTGTCCTAATTCCCACCATCTTGGCTACATACCTGTTAGAATCCCCACCTTCTTGGCTACATACTTGTTTGAAACCCTGTCTTCTTGGCTATATACTTGTCCGAGTCTCCACCTTCTTAGCTACATACTTGTCCTAATCCGTACCTTCTTGGCTACCTACTTGTCCGAATCCCCACCTTCTTGGCTACATACTTGTCCGAATCCCCACCTTCTTGGCTACATACTTGTCTGAATCCCCACCTTCTTGGCTACATACTTGTCCTAATCCGTACCTTCTTGGCTACCTACTTGTCCAAATCCCCACCTTCTTGGCTACCTACTTGTCCGAATCTCCACCATCTTGGCTTTATATTTTTTCGAATCCCCACCTTCTTGGCTACATACTTGTCCAAATCCCTAACTTCTTGGCTACATACTTGTCCTAATCCGTACCTTCTTGGCTATATACTTGTTCGAAACCCTGTCTTCTTGGCTATATGCTTGTCCAAGTCTCCACCTTCTTGGCTACAAACTTGTCCTAATCCCCACCATCTTGACTACATACTTGTTAGAATCCCCACCTTCTTGGCTACATACTTGTTCGAAACCCCACCTTCTTGGCTATATACTTGTCCAAGTCCCCACCTTCTTGGCTACATACTTGTCCAAATCCCCACCATCTTGGCTTTATATTTGTCCGAATCCCCACCTTCTTGGCTATATACTTATCCTAATCCCCACCATCTTGGCTATATACTTGTCTGAATCCCCACCTTCTTGGCTACATACTTTAAGTAGATGCAGAGTCAGGTGCTTTTGCAACAACCCTGACACTCTGACTCCTCAGAGGACTGAGATCTGCTGGATTTCTAGGAAGCTGGTAGTTGGCAATCTTTGGAATCTTTGCAATAACTGAGCAGCCATTGGAATCACTTCCCACTGGCTTCCCAGAGCCTGTGTCTTCTATGCTCTAAATTAATGAAAAGACTCAACTCAAGAACCTGTGTGGCACCTGGACCAAACTCCCAGTTAATTCAGTTGTGGTCATTTGCGTAAGGAGGTAATGGTGCTGGAGTAGTTTGGCCTTGTTCCTGCAGCCAGGAGACTCTGAGACAGAACAGACCTCAGACTGGGGAAGGCAGCCTCCAGGTCCTTGGGAAGACCTGCCGCCAATAAACACATTGTGTCTTTAAATGGATATAGGGTATGAGCGTCAAAGCACAAGCTGCTACAAAGTCAGCTACACAAGGTAAGCAAAATAAAATTAAAGAATGTGGTCCAACACAATGGTTTTCCAAAATGAATTCTTCTACTAAAAGAATCTCCCAGACCGAGTTTTACGATAAAATTTACCGATATGTGTTTTACCAGAAACTAAATGATAAAATACAAAGGCAAAATAAATATATGGGGAAAATATATAAGGCAAATGCAAATAAGAAATGTAGAGAAGCCACTATTAATATTAGATAAAGTAGAAATTAAGATAAAAGCATAAAATGGGAAAAGATAATACTTCATAAGGATAAAGAATGTATGAGCCATGAATTTTATTCCCTTACCGACAGGTTGAAATACAACAAAAGCTGTTATAAATACAAGGGGAAGTGGACAAATCCACAATGATTACAGGAACCATTAACACAATTTTAGAAACTGACCAATAATACAACATATGAAACAAATGAGAATTTGAATACACAACTGAAAAGCTTGACCAAATAGATACATAAAAAATAAATTTCCTAACAGAGCATAGAAATTATTTTTAAACATCTATGGGACATTTAAAAATGGAGCATTTATTAGGCCACAAAGATAACCTCAATGAATTTCCACAGCCTATTACAATGGTATTACCTTGAAGATTAAATACATTATACCACACTGTCATTAACCAACAAACATTGTGTGGAGTGGGGAAACTAGAGGCACTGCCTTTCAAGTCAGGCTCAGGACAAGGATACAGGCCATCACTGCTCCCATGACTCTGGTCCCTGCCAATGCAATAAGACAAGAATAAAATCAGAGTCATTGAGTGTGAACTGTTGATCAGAGTGACATCTCTTATATGAATGTTAGGCAGTGTAGGCAAAAATGCATGTAAATAACTTAGGAAGAGCCGGTGGTGGTGAGTCTGAACTTGTGAAGGGAGAGAATAAATCAAAGAGAAAAAAAAGAAGCAGAACAATGGAAAGGTTTGAATTTCTTAACCCAGGAGTGAGGACTGTCAAATATATAATGGGACTCAGTAGAGTTAAAACTCTCAGTCAGGCTGGGTGTGGTGGCTCATGCCTGTAATCCCAGCACTTTGGGAGGCTGAGGAGGGTGGATCACCTGAGGTCAGGAGTTCCAGACCAGCCTGGACAACATGGCAAAACCCTGTCTGTACTAAAAATACAAAATTAGCCAGGTGTGGTGGCACGCACCTGTAATCCCAGCTACTTGGGAGGCTGAGGCAGAAGAATGGAGATTCACTTGAACCCAGGAGGTGGAGGTTGTAGTGAGCCGAGATAGCACCACTGCACTCCAGCCTGGGCAACAGAGCAAGACTCCATCTCAAAAAAAAAAAAAAAAGGGTCTCAGTCAAACCCATACCATACACACTTCCTTTTGAGCTAATGAGACATCCCCCACCTGTTTACTGTAATAGCATTATAGAGGTTAAAAACAAATTTAAAGAAAAGAAAGTATATTTAGGGGTGGGGTCCCACATAATCTGGTTAACTCTAACTTGGGTGGTTTGGCTAGGAGCTGCAAAGGGGTGTGTGTGATACACATTGGGTTCTGTTGAGAGAGGCATCCCTTCCATATGCAAACCTGAGCCTGCATGCCAGGAAAGCTCCTGGTTTACTCACCCTCTGCTCAGAGGAGTGTCCCAGCCAAAGGATGAGGAATAGACAGGGAGGCAACAAGAGATCAAATACTACAACAGTGGAATCAAAGTTCTCATAGATGAAAAGACTTGATGTTCACCTGGAAAATTGAGGATGTTCAACAGAAGACAGTAAGGGTCCCTGTGGGAGGGGGGCTACAAACCTCCCTGAAGCAAACACTCCACGTGCTCCTCGAGCCCTCTGAGGCTGTGCCCACCCCACAATCCTACCTCAGCATGAGCTGTTGTCTTTCTCTACTTTTCTACCTTAAGTGTTTTTGTGAAGCTGAGCTAGGTCGCTTGGTTCCAAACCCCTTGCCCGTCTTTTTATTGGGTGGGGTTTTTAAATTATTATTGACATTTGTGAGTTCTTTACATATTTAATGTACAAGTGCTTTATCAATATGTGATCTGCAAATATTTTCTTCCAGTCTGTGATCTGTCTCTCCATTCACTTATCAGTGTAAGTTATTTCTTCCTTCTATAGATCATGCTTTTGATGTTGTATCTAATATATATTTGACTAACCTGAAGTCTCAAGATTTTCTCCAATGCTTTCTTCCAGAAACTTTGTGGGTTTCAGTCTTTCATTTATGTTTCTAATCCATTTTGAGCAAATTTTGCATATGATAGAATGAATTTATCAAAGTCCTTTTTTTTTTTCATACGGATCATCAATTGTTCCACAAAGGATAGGAAAACTGTCCTTTCTCCATCGAATTGCCTCCATGCATTTACAAAAGACCCATTGACATACACGTGGGTCTATTTCTGGATTCCTTATCCTATTCTATCACTCTATTTGTGTGTCTTTATGCCAATACCACACTGTCTTGATTACAGTAGCTTTATAATAAGTCCTGAAATTAGGTAGCAAAAGTTCTCCAAATTCGTTCTTCTGCTTCAGACTTATTTAGCTATTCTACGTACTTTGCACTTTCATGTGAATTTTAGAATCAGACCATCCATTTCTACAAAAAGAGGGCCGCTAGGATTTTGATTGGTATTGCTCTGAATCCGTACATAAATCTGGGGAGAGCTGACACCTTGACAGTAATGAGCCTCCCAATCTATTACTGTGGTAAATCCCTCCATCTAATTAGATCTAATTCAATTACCCTCATCAATGTTTTGTAATATTCAATGTAGAGGTCATGCACATCTTTTGTCAGGTTTAGCCCTAAGTATTTCATGTTTTTTTAATATTATAAGTGGTATTTCTTTCCATTTAAATTTCTAATTGTTGCCAGTATATAAAAACACAATTGATTTTTGTATATTGATCTAGTAGCCTGCCACTTAGCTAAGCTTTATTAGTTCTAATAGTTGTTTTATAGATTTCATGGGATTTTCTTCATAGATAAGCGTGTTGTCTGAAAATTAAGACACTTTTATGTCCTCTCCAATCTAGACACCTTCTATTAATTTCCCTGAGTAATTCACGGACCTGGCGGCACAATGTCGAATGGAATGGCCGAGAATGGCTATCCTTGCCTGGCCCTGGGCCCGTAGGGGAAGCATTCTGTCTTTCACCATTAAGTGTAGCATTGGCTGTAGGTGTTTCTTCTCAGGAGATTTCGTAGGGTTCAGCAGTAAAGCCACCTGGGCCTGGAGTTTTCCTTGTGGGAAGGTTTTTACTACATATTTAATTTAATAGATATAAGGCTATTCAGCTTATCTATTATTTCTTGAGTGAATCTTGGTAGATTGTATCTTTTAAGGAATTTGTCCATTTTATCTAAGTTTTTAAATTTATTGCTTTTTTTCAAAATATCTTCTTCTTATAATTTAAACACCTGAAGACTCCGTAGTGATGTCATTTCTCTCATTTCTGATATTGGTGATTTGTATTTTCTATCCTTTGTTCGCTGACCAATCTGACTCAAGGTTTATTAATTTTATTGATTGTTTCAAAGAATCAGCTCTGGGGTTCATTGCTTTTCTCTAATGCTTTCTGCTTTTCTAATTTATTGACTTCTGTTTTGATGCTCACTATTTTCTTTCTTCTCCTACTTTGAGTTTCTTTCGCTCTTATTTTTCTGCTTTACTAATGTGGAATTTGAGATTATTTATTTTATTCATTTCCTTCTTTTCTTTTTTTTAATTATTTCTCTGCTACCTGGAACAGCATATTTCCTTCTTTTCTAATATGATCATTTAGTGCTATAAAATTTCCTGAAAGTACTGCTTTAGCTGCATCTTGTAAATTGTGATATGCTATGCTTTTGTGCTCCTTCATTTCTAATATTATCTAATTCCTCTTTTGATTTCTTATTTTACTGATGATGGATGATCTAGAAGTGTGTTATTCAGTTTCTAAGTATTTTGAGATATTCCAGATATTTTATTGATTTCTTGGTAACTTTCATTGCAGTCAGAATATATACTTTCTCTTACATAAATCCACTAAAGTTGTGGCTTGTTTTATGACACATTAATTGGCTCTATCTTGATATATGCTTTATGGGCAATTAAAAAGAATAGTTACCTTGTTGTTAGGTGAATTGATCTACAGTTGTAAATTAAGTCATGTTGGCTTACAGTGTTGCTCATGTCTTCTATATCCTTACTGATATTTTGTCTTATTATTCTATTTATTCCTGGGAGAGCAATGTTAAAATTGCTTGTTATAATTTTGGACTTTTTGATTTATTCACACATTTTCTTCAGTTTTGGCTTCATGTATTTGAAGCTCTGATTTTAGGTTCATAAATATTTAGGATTTTTATGTCCTTTTGATTAATTAATACCTTCATCATTATGAAAGGGCCTTTTTCATCCCTAGTAATAGCATTTGCTCTGAAAAATATTTTGCGTCATATTAATACAGCCAGTCCAGCTATCTGTTGATTTTAATACATATTTTTATATCCTTTTACTTTTAATCTATTTTTGTCTTTGTATTTAAAGCGTATTTCCTGAATTTAGCAAATAGTTGGCTCTATTTTATCCAATATGACTATCTCTGCCTTTCAATGAGGGAGCTGCTTTGACATTTACATTTAGCATAATTGTATAGTTGGCTTTAAGTCTATCATCTTGCCATTTGCTTTCTGTTTGTTCCATTTATTCATTACTCACTGTCCTATTTCTCTGTCTTCTTTTGGATTGGATGGTCTTATGATTGTATTTATGTCTTTTGTTATCTTATTAGTTATTATTCTTTTTGTACTGTTTAGGAAGTTACATTAGAGTGTACAGTATGCATATTTAGCCTATCACAGTCTATCTTGAAATAGTATCATACCAATTCACATACACTATAAGATGCTTGCAATCACATACCTTTCTCCCTTCCTGATCTTTGTGCTGTTGCTGTAATAAAGTTTACTTCCACATGTTGTAACCCCAAATTACATTATTTTTATATTTATATAGTTTGAAAGAGTCAATTATTTTTCAAAGAAATTTAAATAATAGAAAAATCACTTTTTGTATTTACCATTCTAGTTGACACTTACAGTGCTTTTCTTTTCCTTCATGGAAATCCAGACTTCCATCTGGTATCAGTTTCTCTTTGCCTGAAGGAACTCATTCTACCTTTTTTATTGTACAGGCTTGCTGAAGATAAATTCCTTCAGCTTTTGTACATCTAAAAAAGTATTCATTTTGCCTTTATTTTTGAAAGACAGTTTCACTAGGTAAACAATTCTAGGTTGACAGTTTTGTTCTTTTTTATTTTTTAGTATTTTAAATATGTTACTATGGTGTCTTCTCACTTGCATTGTTTATGACAATAAATTTGTTTTCATCCCTATCTTTATCTTCTGTATATTATGTGTCTTTTTTTCCAATAGCTACTTCTAAAGTTTTCTCTTTATACAATTTGATTATGGTGTACATTGCTGTAGATTTCTTCATGTTGTTCATGTGTTTTGTTAAAATTCTTGGATCTGTGAGTTTACAATTTTCATAAAATTGGGAAATGCTTCAGCCATTATTTATTCAAATATTTTGGCAGCTCCCATTTTCTGCTTCTTTCCTTGCCTGTTAGTTGTTGATTGGCTGCCAGATGTTGTGAATTTCAGTGTTCTGGGTATGGGATTCTTTTTTATTTTTATAACTGTTTTTGAATTTCATTCCAGGATGTGTTTAAGTTACTTAGAAATGGCTTGTTCTTTTAGAGTCTTGCTTCTAAACTTTGTTTGCTGAAACCAGAGCAGCTGTTAGACTATGGCTAAAATTGGCCCATTGCTAAAGTTAAACCCTTCTGATTGCTCTGCTCAATGTCCTATATAGCGTAAGGCTTTGCATTCCGGATGACAGGAAGAAGCAGCATCCTCAGCCCTGTGTGGTATCTGAGAATTGTTCCTCTAATACTTTGGGGAAGCTTTCTCATGTGCATGCACTGGTCAGATCTCCAGTGAACCCTTGAAGGCAACGCTCTGCAGCCCTCACCCCACCAGCCTTCTGACCTCTAGCTGTAGCTGCCCTTCCCTCCTTGGACTCCCGTCTCCTCACCTCAGGCATCTGCCACCTGTCTTTCCCCTCTGTATTACTTAGCTTGGGCTGTCATAACAAAATAGCACCTAGGGGGTGGCTTAAGCAACAGAAATTTACGTTGTGGAACCTAGAAGTCTGAGATTATATTAGTCCTTTTTCACACTGCTATTAAAAAACTACCTGAGACTGGGTAATTTATGAAGAAAAGAGGTTTAGTTGACTCACAGTTCTGCAGGCTTAACAGAAAGCATGACTGGGAGGCCTCAGAAAACTTATAATCATGGCAGAAGGTGAAGGGGAGGCAAGCACATCTTCACATGGTGGCAGGAGAGAGAAAGAGAGCAAACAGGGAAGTGGCACACTTTTAAACCATCAGATCTCATGAGAACTCACTCACTATCATGAAACCAGCAAAGGGGAAATCTATCCCCATGATCCAGGCCCCTTCTCTGACATGTGGGGATTAGAATGCGAGATGAGCTTTGGGTGGGGACACAGAACCTAACCATATCACTGGTATACTTGACATCTGAAGCAACTTTTAAGACCCTCTTTCCTACACAACACAATTATTTCAGGAATAAAAATGTAACAATCAGTAGTAGTAGTAATTTTCTTTATGTGTTCTTTAGATTTTAAATAACAATTTTAAAGGAATACAACTTAATTCTAAAGATCATATGCAAATTCAGTTAAATATTTCACTTCTAAAGGAAAATTCGCACTTAACTTTGCACTCAAACACAACAAAACATCTCACAAATTGCAGCTCTGCCTTACTATTCACATTTTAAATACAAAGAACAACTGAAAAAGATTGCTAGAATGACAGAATTGAGTGTCTTGAATTCTGTGTCTTTGTATTTAAAATCACTGTGCTATTATTCTCTATTCAAATCTACTCTCTAAATGCAGGAATATGTAGCACACAGGTTAGGTGACAAAAACTCAGCAATTGAGCCAAGCAATTCAGAACTATTAGCTAAATGCTTTGGAAATAAACATATAGGGGCCAATTTTATAACTGGGAGTTCTCCAAATTAATCTTCATATAGAATGTAAATATTTTATTAAAATATGTGTCAGAAATAAAATAAATAGTAGCTTAAATGCATATTATTATGTAAATCACTGTAGCAATTTCTTAGAATCAAAACCAACATTTTTTTTTTCAGGGAGGAGGATTTGACGATGGTTATGTGGTGTCTGTATTGAGTGGGTGCTGTTACTGTTATAAACCCTCCACAGATGGAATAATATATGTCTTTTTTGGGGGGACAGGGACAATTTAACCCATAACAGCAATGTTGTATTAGACAGTTTCAATTAATGTATGTATTTCAACAAAACTTGTCTTATTAAAAATTGACCACCCATTCTAATCATATAAATTGGTCAGGATTTCATTTTTGTTTTTGTTCTGTAAAAATGCCTCCTTCTAGAAGGATATCTCTCCGATGATAAAAGTTCAGGAAAAGCTCAGAAGGATTTGGTCCAGGAGGGAGGCCATTGTCTGAGCCGTATGGAAGGAGCCCAGCCATCCAGCAGGGAGGGAGGCGCTGAGCAGCAGATGCTGCGGGCTCTGGCAAGGATGCTGGAGGTCACCCCACAAGGACAAGAGGAAGGACACAGCAAATGTGCCTCTGCCTCCCCGTTGCAGTGTCATTAAACAACTCGCTACACCTACCCAGCAGCCCAGAGAGAAGCTCAGGGCCAGGACAGCATCGATGGATAAAGTCCACCTGGAGCATCTGCTGGGCTAGGTGGAGGCAGGAGATAAATCATGGCTCCTCTGATCCCTGCCGTCCAAGAGTTTAGGCTGAGGGTCAGCCTGATGGCGTGCCCAGCTGCACCACGGCATTAGTAGCACAAACTCGTGACTTTTCACATTAGAACACTATGTCAATTCAAGACACCATCTACACCAAGTCTATCGTAAGCTCACGTTTGGGGAATTAAGAAAAAATAAATAATTATGTGGTGCCAAGCTGTACCAGTTTAGATGAAATTAGTAAATACACAAATGGCATCCCATTTTTGACTATGGCTAGACATGGATCATTCTCGTCAAGATGATTCACAATAGAGTGGGGTTTGTTTTGATCATTGTCTCATGTTTGTAAGAGGAATACTTTGATAGAAAGTATTGCTTGCATTGATTCAAGTCATGTGTGCCAGTTAACCAGTGGAGAGGGCAGGAGTGGCCCCGCAGCCCTGCCATGGGTTCTGCACCTGGCTATGGGATCACTGCTGAGTTAAGAAGAGGCCACCTTTGGCTTGTGTGACTTCTGTTATTACCCACAGTGCATTCAGCCTCCTACACTGGTACCATCTCCCTCTTCTTTATCCCCCCTTTATTTTCATAAAATAATAAGGACAACAATTTAATTACTAATCCAACAACTTTATCTCCTCCATTGGACAAAACATTCCTCATTGACAAAATATTGACTAGACTATCTCAGTCACAACAAGAGACAATTGGACTCCTGCTTATTAAGTACTATAGGAAAGTGTACATTTCGCTTATGAAGTGCATTCTAAGATTTTAATCTATAATGATGAAATTCAGAGTGTCTATGGAATATATGGAAACTTAGGAAACCTAGTTTCCCATAGCCTTTTTCTTCTCAAACAATACGACCTAGGAAGATCTGTAAATATAACTACCAACCCACATTGTCACATTATTATTATTTTTATTACAATAAAAAGAAATGAAGAACTCAAAAATCAAAGCACAAGAAGCAGCTCTGCCTTGAAGAGCCCTTTTATTTTCATAAGAAAAAGAAGAATAGTGAAGTCTTCTTCGCTCTGAGGTTTCCTCCCATTGAATCCCTACAAAAACAATGGTCCCCAGGTTTATTTGGCCCCATCGTCCTGGCTAAAGGATTATTTATTGGTAAAGCTTCAACAGGGGCTCAGGGCTGAAACACATGAGGATCCCAAGTGTCTAACAGACAGCTCCACTGCAGAAAAGAATAACTAAATGTGAGTCTTGTCACTACCCAGCCAATATAGACCAAAAAATGAGTCAACTGCAACCATCTTCATCCAATCCAGAGATGAGTTCATGGATCCTGCCTCTGCAACGGCAAATAGACACTGATCCGGCCACCGCACATTCCTCCTTCTGATGTTCTCTGTGATGGCTTCAAGCATCAGTCAGCAGATGCTGAACTTGGCCACCACGTTCATGCCTCCAGCAGCCTCTTGTTACCTAGGGGACATTGTACTGCATACCACTGCTTTAAAGAAATTTACTGAAAACCAATAAAACCACCATATGTGTATGTTGACAGTTCTCACACACATTTTTTAAAGTGCCTTTTAGAATGACAATATCATTTAATAATTATCTTTTTCACAGAAGTCCTTTTAATATCCCACAGGACAATGAAGAGACTGCAGGACCCAGTATGGGAACTGCAGGCTGACACGGCGGCCGGTAGGATCCTGCTTCGTGAATTTGCCCTCTGAATACTGAATGCGAGAGAGGACGGTGGCATTGGCATTTGTTCAGGAATGACAAAGGCAAGAAGCACATTGCCTTATTTGGTCAAAGGCTCAGGACTGGGAAGATATGGGGAAGTCAAGAGGTTTCCATCTGGAATGAGATTGGAAGTTGGTGCCTTAAGACCTGAGACTTTGAAAATTATTAGGTTGGTGAAACGTAATTGTGATTTTTGCCATTAAAAGTAAATTGCAGTTTTTGCCATTAAGAGTCACAGCAAAGAGTAAATGCCATTACTCTTAATGGCAAAAACCGCAATTAGTTCTGCACCAATTTAATACAAAGAATAGGAAAAAAAATACGATGTGTACCGCCTGAGATTTATTTTATCAAAATTATCTCTATGGTATAGAGTAAAATTATATAGAAGAGGAAAGTTTTAAGAAAGTTCAGTGTAAACCAAAGATGATGTTCCGTAAGTCAACACGGTTTTATCGCAGGCCAACGGGAGGGATTCCGCAGTTCCCGGCGAGCGTGTTCCCTGGATTCAGAGCACCGCGCGGAGGGCTGAGCTCCTGGTCTTCGGTGGACCTGTGCTGACTCAGACAGCGGAGTTCCTCCTCTTCTCTCAGCAGACGGCTCCTCTTCCATCCACCACACCCAAAGACTCCGCCGACAGCCGAGGGGAAAGAACTTCCACAACTAGGATTGCCTTGGATGTCAGAAATTTTAAAAGAGCTCTTACGAGGAACAGAAAATGAAGACAATGCAGAAAGGGAAGCTTAGTAGAAAACGTGCGCAGCCGTGTTTATGTTAAGTGTATTTGGTGTGTTCCCCACATTTCCCTCTATCTCCTAAATTGAGAGATTTCTACGTCCGTTTCATCATATTAAAACATTAATTACAGAAATCCTTATTTCCTTTATTTGCCTATAATATTTCTATATTAATTTTTTATAATATTCTAAAATACTGGTTAAAAAACTGAACTTCGATATCGTATATCTTAAATTTTAAATTGAAATTCCATTAGCTAATTTTTAATTATTACTAGAATGCAGAATATATTTTCTTTAAGCAATCAATCAAAATCACATTAAGAAATATACCAAATTGCATATGCATTGTTATATTTAATAAACTGAAAAAGATCTGAAATCTCAAAGGGACCTAACAATTTAAAAATAAAAATCTTTGTTTTCTTGCAAATTTGTTGTAGTTGGTTGGTCTTTTTTAGTAGCAGCACAGATACTTTTAAGCTCTAGTCTTCACATCTCTACAAAGTGCACACTATGACCCTCACAGTTGCCCAGCGCTAGTAAGGAATTTCGGACTCCAGGGCATGGGAAGGAGTCTCTGGGGCTTGGTGAGGGATGCACCTCTCTGAGTCTGCTCTGTATCATGGACCCCGTCATAATCCCTGCACTTTGGGAGGCCGAGGCGGACAGATCACCTGAAGTCAGGAGTTCAAGACCAGCCTGACCAACGTGGTGAAACCCCATCTCTATAAAAATACAAAAAATTAGCCAGGCGTGGTGGCAGGTGCCTGCAATCCCAGCTGCTTGGGAGACTGAGGGAGGAGCATCTCTTCAACCCAAGAGGCGGAGGTTGCAGTGAGCTGAGATCGTGCCACTGCCCTCCAGCCTGGGCAACAAGAATAAAACTCTGTCTCAAACAAACAAAAATGCTGCCGCCACGGTTTAATTAGTGTTTGCAATCCTTTTTGCAAAAACTAAAAGCCAGAATTAGGACCAAGAAATAGAGAGCTTTGATAAGCATAATGAGAGAAAAGGAATGGAAGTTTGTCTCATCACAGAATGTGAGGTCCCACCATGGTGATGAACACAGCATGTGCCGCGCGGACGCGAATGTTGCAAAGTGTCTACCATTGAAGGCATCCACTTCTGAGGGTTTTCTTATGGTCGGTCTAATGTTCCGTATGCAATCAGGAACTCTTCCTAATTTCTGCAAAGATCGTGTTAAGTAACTATTTAAGTATCTTTCAATAATGCCATAAAACTAACATACTCAGTTGAACAGTAAAGTTATCAAGTGACACCTTACTAAAATGAGGATTGGCAGAATTTTGGCTAAGAATAAGGTTTAATTATACTACTAGGAAAAAAGTCCATGAATGTAATTCAATTTTCTATAATGTACTTGTTCCCTGCATTAGTGTTGAAACTCAGATGAAACATTTATTTTAAAGAACTGGCTTTCTATATGTGCTTTCTCCTTTACTAAATCAAAAGTTTTGCAGGAAAATATTTACATTTTGCTTTACCTTACTCTCCAACAGTGTCTGATATACTGTTGATATATGAATATTTTATGAATAAGCAAAATAATCAATAATTGAATGAATAAAGACATTGATCTCTTTAAAACATCGTGTTATATTACTGTTGATGAACTTCAAAAATTTTAAGATAAATCAGAATAAATAAGTCTCTTTTCTTTAATAAAATAGTCAATAGAATGAATAATTTTGAAATCCACTGTAACTGCTGACCTCAAGGAAATCAAAGGCTTATTCTGCACTTGGCATCAATTCAAAATGTGCACTGCTAAATGTTTTTGATATAGAGATTGTTCTATTCCATAGTGTTGTGTTTTTCAATTTCAAACTTAAGTTGTTAACTTTTTTTCTTATGGCATAAGTATCTGTTAATAAGCATTTGTTGAATAAATGACAACACTTTTCTTTTTTTTTTTTTTTTTTTTTTGAGACAGAGTCTCACTCTCTCGCCCAGGCTGGAGTGCAGTGGCGTGATCTCCGCTCACTGCAAGCTCCGCCTCCCGGGTTCACGCCATTCTCCTGCCTCAGCCTCTCGAGTAGCTGGGACTACAGGCACCCGCCACCACGCCCGGTTAATTTTTTGTGTTTTTAGTAGAGATGCGGTTTCACCACGTTAGCCAGGATGGTCTCGATCTCCTGACCTCGTGATCTGCCCAACACTTTTCTATATAAAAAATAAAATTTCAAAATGACCCACATTCACAGACAGTTTTCAATTTTCTTTTCCTTGGCAGTCTTGCTCCATATATATATTCTGATAGAGATATATATATATATATATATATGCTGATATATATATATTCTGATATATATATATGCTGACATATATATATTCTGATATATATATATCCCTATATATATCTCCATATATATATATCTCTCTCCATATATATATCTCCATATATATATCTCTCTCCATATATATATCTCCATATATATACACTGTATTAAAGAGTTGCTATTATAGGATATATGTGATGTAATCTGTTTTTCCCCAAAAACATAATCATTACATTTTGCTACAGCATATATAATAATATGTAAAATAGCTATGGAATACTAATTGAGTACATATTCCACAGTATTTTAACCATATATCATTGTTGGGCATTTAGATTATTTCTAATTGTTCATTGTTAAAAATAACATTCTAGTTAAGATCTTTGTACATATGATGTTTGTTACATAGGTCTTTGTATTAGTCAGGGTTCTCTAGAGGAACAGAACTAACAGGATAGATGTATATATGAAGGAGAGTTTATTAAGAAGTACTTACTCACATGACCACAGGTGAAGTCTAACAATAGGCCATCTGCAAGTTGAGGAGCAGGGAAGCCAGTCTGAATCCCAAAACCTCAAAAGTAGGGAAGTCAACAGTGCAAGCTTCGGTCTGTGGCCAAAGGCCCAAGAGCCCCTGGCAAACCACTGGTGTCTAAGTCCAAGAGTCCAAAAGCTAAAGAACTTGGAGTCTGATTGTCCAAGGGCAGGAAGCATCCAGCACTAGAGAAAGATGAAAGCCAGAAGACTGAAGTCTACTTTTTCCATCTTCTCCTGCCTACTTTATTCTAGCTTCAGCAGCAGCTGATTAGATGGTGCCCACCCAGGTTAAGGGTGGGTCTGCCTCTCCCAGTCCACTGACTCAAACGTTAATCTTCTTCGTCAACATCCTCACAGACACACCCAGGAACAATACTTGGCATCTTTCAATCCAATCAAGTTGACACTCAATATTAACCATCACAGCCTTTTTCCTTCCTTTTTTATTGAAGTGAAATTATTTTATTCTTTTCAAAGTACTCAATTTAGTGGCTTTTATACATTCACAATGTCATGCAACAAACACCACAAATTCCAGAACATTTACATCACCTCCAAAAGTCATCCCGAATCCATTAAGCAGTTGCTCCTCACTTCCCCTACCTCCAAGCTTTGGCACCCACTAATCTGCTTTCTGATTCTATGGATTTGCCTTTTCTGGACATTTCTATGAATAGAATCATGCATCATGTTTTCAACATTCATGGTGCGGTGGCATTGTCAGTGCTTCCTTTTTCTTTGTGGCTGAACAATATTCCATTGCATGCATAGATAAGTTTGTGCATCCATTTATTTACCCGCTGATGGATATTTGGGTTCTTCCTACTTTGGGCTACTATAAGTTGTGCTGTGGTGAACATTCTTGTACAAGTTTTTGTTTGAACATAAGTTCTCAGTTCCTCTGAGCAGACACCTAGGAGTCGGGTCATTAGATCAAATGATGATTCCATGTTTAACTTTTGGAGGAGCAGCTCGACCGTGCTCCAAAGGGCTCCCACAACTTATAGTCCCAGCTAAAAC
The DNA here is from genome assembly GCF_000001405.40 of Homo sapiens. NCBI lineage: Eukaryota > Metazoa > Chordata > Mammalia > Primates > Hominidae > Homo > Homo sapiens. The sequence goes on along the minus strand of NC_000005.10, from coordinate 1,979,545 downwards.
ACCATATGAGGGCTCCAATACAAATACCTATTTCCTTACTATTAGTATATCCATTCCGTTGAGTTTGAAGTGGTATCTCATCGTGGTTTTGATTTGCATTTCCCTAACGACTAATGACATTGAGTGCTTGTTAGCCATTTGTATACCTCCTTTGGAGAACTACCTATGAAAGTTCTTTGCCCACTTTTAAATTGGGTTTTTGGTCTTTTTGTTGTTGAGTTTTGTTTTGTGTATATTCTGGATACTAAACCCTTATTTTATATATAATATGGTTTGGCTGTGTCCCCACCCTGGGTGGGGGTAATTTAATCATGGGGGCGGTTTCCCCCATACTGTTCTCATGGCAGTGAATAAGTCTCAAGAGATATGATGGTTTTATGAATGGGAGTTCCCCTGCACATGCTGTCTCTTCCTGGTTGCTGTGTAAGACCTCTTTGCTCTTCCTTCATCTTCCACCATGACTGTGAGGCCTCCCGAGTCATGTGGAACTATGAGTCCATTGAACCTCTTTCCTTTATAAATTACCCAGTCTCAGGTATGTCATTATTAGCAGTGTGAGAACGGACTAATACATATTATTTACAAATATTTTCTCTCATTTGATAGGTTATGTTTTCACCTTCTTAGTAGTGTCCTTTGATTCACAAAAGCTTTTTATTTTGGTGAAGTCCAAATTATCCATTGTTTTGTGGTTTTGACTATGCTTTCAGTGTTACATTTAAGAAACCATAGTCTGATCCAAGGTCACAAAAATACACCTATGTTTTCCTATAACAGTTTCATATTTTTAGCACTTATATTTAAGTCTTTGTTCTATTTTAAGTTGACTTCTTATTTGGTGTGAGATAGGGATACACAATTGTTGTTTTGCATATGGATATCCAGTTGTTCAGTACTTTATTATCATTATTATTATTATTATGAGCCTACATCAGGCTTTGCCCCAGCACTATTTATTAAAAAGTCTGTTTTCCCCCAATGAATGGTCTTAGCACCATTGTCAAAAATCAATTGGTCATACATGTATGAGTTTATTTCTAGAATCTCAATTCTATTTCCTTGCTCTGTATGTCTATCTTGTGTCAGTACCATACTGTTTTAATTACTGTAGCTGTGTAGTAAGCTTTGAAATTGGGAAGTGTTAGCCCTCCAATTTTGTTCTCTTTTTATACATTGTTTTAGTTATTCATGGTTCCTTGCAATTCCATACACATTTTGGAGTTAGTTTTTCCATTTCTGGAAAAAAAAAAGCCCATTGAAATTTTAATAGTGATCAATTGGTCACTTTGGGGAATATTGTCATCTTTACAACATTAAGTCTCCAATCCATGAATATAGGATGTCCTTCCACTTATTGAAGTCTGTTTTACTTTCTTTCAACAATATTTTATAGTTTTGAGTGTATAAGCCTTGCATCTCCTACGCTGAATTTATTACTGAGCACTTTATTTTTGATGTTACTGTAAACAGAATTGTTTTTATAATTTCCTTTCTGGATTGTTCATTGCTAATAGTATAGAAATAAAACTGATTTAGGTATGTTGATCATGCAACCTTTCTGAACTCATTTATTAGTTCTAATAGGTTTTCACAGATTTCTTTAGGGGTTTCTACATGCAAGATTATGCGATCTGTGAGTAGAGAAAGTTTCGTTTCCTCCTTTCCAATCTGGATGCCTTTTATTTCTTTTTCTTGCCTAATTGCCCTGGCAAGAACTCTAGTACAATGTTGAATAGAAGTGGTGAGAATAAACACTCATCTTTCTCCTGACCTTAGGAGTTATGTTTTCAGGCTTCCAACACTGAGTGTGATGTTAGCTGTGGATTTTTCATATACTGCTTTTATTACATTGAAGTAATGACGGAGAAAATGATGCCGTGGTCTTAGGTCTCTGGTAAACAGTTGTCTAAACTCTTAAAAAGCAGAATTTTTTTTAATTGTCAATATGTCATTAACTGTGAGAAAAAAATCCTGTGCTAGATTTAGATAATTTAGGTGTTAAAACATGTATCACTTGACTTCCCCAAATGTCCCTCCAAAAGATGAGTCCACAACAGGACTAACTCTGATGCTCCACAATGGTGCGCCAATTTAAGAACCTTTCTAGCAAATGAGGCCCTAAGAAGACATAGGTCATCTCAGGAGCCAAGAAACATTCACTGAGTATCTTAGAAAGATTGTTTTAGAAAGCAGTCTAGACTCCAGTCTTATCAATCCCAATCCTTAAATGCTGAACAGATAACTCATTGCTTTATTCATTTACTCATTCACCCAACAAATGTTAGTCAATCTCCAAGTAGTATCTCAGGCACTGAGGATCCAAAGGGAAATGAATAGGCCCCCACCCCAAGGTGCCCAGTGTTCTTGGGGGCGAGCTTGAAGCGCACTGAGATGCAATCTGAAATGAGTGAGAGAAACAGCAACAATGCAGCTTATGGCACTCACAGATTCCAGGGGAGGAGTGGGTAGCCAGCCATTCACTCACTCACTCAGCAAGTACTGCTACGGTCAGTATAATAAAGCTCAAGATGCTACTGTCAACCAGTGGGGTGCATGGACCAATAAACAGGTGGCAACCGGTATGATCAATCAGTGGCAGAGCACAAGGAGCCCCCTTTTTGTACTATTTAGTTTTTTGGAGATCAGGGAAAGAGAATTGGAGGAATCACCAAAAAATAAATGTGAAGGCCATTGAGGGAACTGAGAACACGTGAATTAGTAGGGCGTTGGCAAACCAATGGTCAGGACATCTCTAGGATAAAATTCCATTCCCAGCCACTTGAGAAAAGCTAGGGATTTAAATACCAAGCATGAGACGTGTTCTCACAGGACCCAGAGCAGCCTGTTGAGATGGGGGCCAGGAGGGATCATCTCTACTTTGCAAATGAAAACCAGAAATCAGAAAACAAATCCAAGGGAATCGATCCAGCTCTTAGATGTGTCTTCAACACCAATTTTACCTCCACCACTCATAATCTCCCTCCACCAAGCCCTTGTTTGAAACGTGGCCATTGCAGTGGTAAGAATTGGGTAGTGCTGGATCCTGACACGATTCACCCAATCTCCTCCTCACTCTATCACCCAGCCAGGAGCGGAGGAGAAAGACAAGTCACCACCCTACTCAATGACCGCCAGTGCTTCTCAAGCTTATCTTGGGGATAGTGGTTGATCTCTCAGCTTGAAGTACATGGTGGGTTCCGTGAACGACACACGTTTCTTTTATTCTTTACTGGTTGCATTTCGACTGTCTAATTTATTTTAGTACCACTTTAATTTCTTTCAGGCCCTGGGCCTGTGCTAATCTGCGTTTCCAAAGTTAGAAGACATTTATTTATGAACTGACAAATTGTTATTATTCTTTTTCTTTCTTTTGGGTTCTTAAAGAACCATAACTAGAGGCAGAAGTTAGTTTGAAGAGCATATTCCCAGAGCACCCCCTGCTGTCAAAGAAAAAAAAATCAACAGCCACCTATGGGCCAGGAGTGAAGTCTTGAGGCACAGAGTGAAAATGAGACCTTGGGAAAATTAACTTGCATTCAAGAACCTAGAAAAGGAGATGTTATCACAGCAAGCATGTTCTTTCTATGACGACTTAACCTTCAATCTTGATCCTCCACTGTTTTACTGTCTGATTGATAACCTGATAGACTTGCTCAATGTATTTATTTAGTCTTTGCTAATAAAGTATTAAGTGCACTTTAAATAAGACAACTTTTCCCCATGCTTGCATATCCTTTGTACTGGTGAGAGTAGGTGAACTGCTAGAACAAACAGACACAAAACGTTCATGATTTAACATGCAAAACTTTACTTCTCTCCCCATTCCCAGAGCATTGTGTTGGAAGAGGTGAGGGTCTCGGCTCCACGCAGTCATTTGGGGCCCCTGGGTCTGTGGCACTGCCATCTTTAACGCATGGCATCCAAATCTACCATGGACTAGAACAGTAAAAAGAACAGATTATTTAAGCTGGAGGTAGCTTCCATCTCGCCCACCAACACAGGCTTGGGCAGAACTCACAGGTGCAAGGAGACCTTGGGCTGTAATTTGGCTGTGTGCCCAGGAAAAGGAGAAACACGGCATTAGAGAGCAACGACATTCTCTGCCAGTTTCCTGTTGTAAAACTCTTTCAAATTTCCACGCCTTCTCTTAGGTGATCTAATCCAAATCTGAACTGGCCCACTTGTCCATAAACATGGCAAAAACTTAGAAGCTGCTGAGCCCTGCCCACCCAGCTCCTCTTCTTCCTCTACCAAGAAGCTAAAGAGACACAGGTCTGAGGGTGGAAACACAGTGATGGCTTTGGTGGTGGTTTCTGGAAGGGGTTCTTGTCTGAGGTTCAGGGCACCTTCCCCTTCCTGATTCTCTCTGGCGCTGGGGTGCATGCCTTGCCTAGGATGCTTGATAGGAGTTCCAGCTGCAAAGCACATTGCTACAGCGCATGCTGACTGTGTGTACCTGAAACCGTGGTTTCCTGGCGCTCTTTGAGAAAGAAGCTTCCAGCAAAGAAGTTTCAGGTCCCAAGTTCATGGGGATGATTGGATCCCACCCCTTTCACTGAAGCCCACTGGACTGTAAGCTGTCAGAAGGCAGGTGCTGGTCTCCTGAGCTTCTTTGCGTGGGGCTGCATGGCAGCTGAGACGTCTGGAGCGGAGCTAATCGTTAATGGGTGAAGGTGGCGTGTACTCCCAGGACGCCCCGGGGAGCCCATTAAGCTGCTTCATTGGCTGCTTTTACTTGGATATGTCAGGTCTCATCCATCTATTCCAACTCTGCTCACTACATCCAGGGGCTGAGAAATCGCTCAATCGCCAGACGTCTTCCATTGCTCATTCTTGCACAATTTGCCCCGTGATTATATCCAGCGATGCAAATAGCCAAGCTCTGAGACAGGAAAGTTCTGAATGTGGTCGAGGGCGCTTGACTTGGGACTCTGCTTCTCTTGTAAATTTATTGTTTTTATGGAGATTGTATTAAAATATTAGAACATAATTCAAAGGGGCAAGGCTCACTAAAACAACTGATAAGTAGGGAGATAGCCATGTTTTCTGACCTTCAAATTGTTATCACAAAATATTTTAGATTTAACTTTCCTAAAAATCTGCATGAACTTAAAAGTTCCTGAAGAGGTTGCTTGGTAAAAGACTATTAGGAGGAAAGCCAGACCGTGCCTGAAGAGTAAAAACTAAAACTCCGTGAATCATCTCACAGGCAGCAAGACCCTGCTTGCTTAACGATGAACTTAACGAAGAACCCGGCCACCCTAACCAACACCCCAAGAATACAAAGGAAGAATTCTACCTTTTTTGAGTGAGTGTTTTTTCTAATGTCCTAAGGATACCTCATTAGGTGCTTTGTAGTATCTGATAGGACAGATACTGCAGTGTTTTTTCTTGCTGTCTTTCCAGAATTCCCTGGAGATATCGTGAAGTTAATTACAAACATAATTTCAAAAATTACATGATCTGGGCACTGCCCCTCCCCTCAGCTGAAAGCCAGTGTGGACCAGCCTTCTTTGGCTGGTGTAGACGGTGTTCAAGTCACAACTAAATCGCGCCTTCCTCCTCCGCCTCTGCTCTCCTTCCCTCCTTGTTTAATTGCAGCGTTGCTGCCAAACCGCTTTTGAAATATACCTCCACTCTCAGCACGTCCCAGATGAAGCAGGTTTAATGAATTGGTTTGCAGGGAGACTTGAATGAGTCACCAGCACCTGGGGCCCCAGGGATGCTGCATCAGATAATCACTCATTGTTGCTTTCTGATGCCAGAAAGAAACCAAGAAAACAGTTCACATTCAGAAGAAAGGATGGCTCGGCAGATGGAAACAGGCGCTGGCGGAGCTGTCGGCCACTCACAACGGGCAGAGCCCAGCCCGCGGGAGCTGGACCGGGATCAGATGTTACACACTGTGTGGGTGCTGCTTTCTTCCGCCAAAGAGGCGAGACCAAGACGGCCCAGAAAAATATCGATTATCTCTCCAAGTCTAAAGCCAGCTAATGGCTGCATTCACACAGTGAACTCCTGGACCCGCTTAAAGCCAGCAGCTGCTGATTGAATTGGGTCGCTGGTAACCTCGTCCCTAGCCAGCTTAGAGCAAGAACACAGAAGTAGGAAGAGGTTGGCTCTATTTAATACAAAAACAGAACCATCAACACACCTGAAGAAATATGGTTTTGAGGGGGAAAAATATTCAATCAGCTGTCCAGCAACAGATAGAGGGTATAAATGTATCCTTGGTATTTTGTTCTTTCAATGGGACTAACGGGGCTGACCTTTAATGCCCCTACACACAGCTGGCTAACTGTGCTAAAAATAATAATAATAATAAAATAAAGGCACGAGGATGGAAGGAAAGACAGAAAAGGAAGGACAGGAAGGAAGGAGGAAGGAGGGAGGGAGGGCAAGAGAAAGGAAGAAGAGAAGAAGGAAGGGAGAAGGAAGGAATGAAGCAGAGAACAAAAAGTAAAAACACAAAAATCTTTGTCCCCCAGGATATATTTTACCCTCTCTGACAACAAGAACAATTTCCTCCCTCAATGGTCATAAAGCCTAGAGAGAATTTTCAAGGCTGACCCCTTGGTGGGCACATATGATCCACATAGTTTAGCCACTGCCCCTCCTTCCTGAGCTGTCAACAATCATCACTGCCCTTCTCCCTGGCCCCTTGAAGGCAATGTCATGCTTGGCCAAGGGGAGAACCTAGGAGCTGTCCCCACAGTCTGTGCCATAAGACCAGGGTTGCCTTCAAGGACCCGTGGGCTTTGCAGTCACACGAGGCCCCAGGCACAGAAGGGGCTCCCACCTAGTTTAATACTCTGTCATTGCCGTCTTCAAACTCTTAACGACTTTTGAATGAGGAGTCCTTCTTTTGTCCTCTGGGTTCCCCCAGTCCATAACTGGTCCTGGGTCGGCACCACAAGCTCCAGCTCCCCACAAGCTCCAGTTCCCCGCAAGCTCCAGCTCCCTGCAAGCTCCAGCTCCCCGCAAGCTCCAGCTCCCCGCAAGCTCCAGTTCCCCACAAGCTCCAGCTCCCCGCAAGCTCCAGTTCTCCTCAAGCTCCAGCTCCCCGCAAGCTCCCATTCTCCACAAGCTCCAGCTCCCTGCAAGTTCCAGCTCCCCCAAGCTCCAGCTCCCCACAAGCTCCAGCTCCCCGCAAGCTCCAGTTCTCCACAAGCTCCAGCTCCCCGCAAGCTCCAGCTCCCCGCAAGCTCCAGCTCCCCGCAAGCTCCAGCTCCCCGCAAGCTCCAGCTCTCCACAAGCTCCAGCTCCCCGCAAGCTCCAGCTCCCCGCAAGCTCCAGCTCCCCGCAAGCTCCAGCTCCATCGCACACCCTCTTCTTCCTCCGCTAGCATCAGCACCGCTTCCAGGCCGCCCTGTGGTCAGCATGGCCCCCGGAGCCCCCGAGCAGGTAGACCCAGACAGCAAGGCTGGCAGAGAAGCCTGGCAAGTCCCCCCACCATGCCATTGCTGTCTAGAGGGTCCTGAGTTGCCTCGTGGTCATCTGAACCCCCTTCAGTTTTAGTCATATTGTGATGTATAATATTTCATGGTAGATACAATGATTTCATGAACCACGAAAATAGAAAACTCTTCCAAAATGTTGTTCCATTGAGTGTTTCAGCTTATAGATAATGTAACCTTATTAGATTGGGGTTTCAGATTCCCTTTGTGTTTTGTTTTATTTTTTGAGATGGAGTTTTGCTCTGTCACCCAGGCTGGAGTGCAGTGGTGCGATCTCGGTTTACTGCAACCTCCACCTCCTGGGTTCAAGCGATTCTCCTGCCTCAGCCTCTTGAGTAGCTGGGATTACAGATGCATGCCACCATACCAGACTAATTTTTGTATTTTTAGTAGACAAGGTTTCACCATGTTGGCCAGGCTGGTCTCAAACTGCTGACCTCAAGTGATCTGCCTGCCTTGACCTTCCAAAGTGCTGGGATTACAGGCATAAGCCACTGCGCCGGGCCTCAGATTCCCTTTGGTATCCAAATCACATCATTTGCCTAAATGCTTCATCCATGGTGCAGTTGCCGGATTGTTTTGCTTTTATAGGGGAAAAAACCCACAATTTTCTTTATTTTTTTTTTTTTTTTTTTTTTTTTTTTTTTTATTATACTCTAAGTTTTAGGGTACATGTGCACATTGTGCAGGTTAGTTACATATGTATACATGTGCCATGCTGGTGCGCTGCACCCACTAATGTGTCATCTAGCATTAGGTATATCTCCCAATGCTATCCCTCCCCCCTCCCCCGACCCCACCACAGTCCCCAGAGTGTGATATTCCCCTTCCTGTGTCCATGTGATCTCATTGTTCAATTCCCACCTATGAGTGAGAATATGCGGTGTTTGGTTTTTTGTTCTTGCGATAGTTTACTGAGAATGATGGTTTCCAATTTCATCCATGTCCCTACAAAGGATATGAACTCATCATTTTTTATGGCTGCATAGTATTCCATGGTGTATATGTGCCACATTTTCTTAATCCAGTCTATCATTGTTGGACATTTGGGTTGGTTCCAAGTCTTTGCTATTGTGAATAGTGCCGCAATAAACATACGTGTGCATGTGTCTTTATAGCAGCATGATTTATACTCATTTGGGTATATACCCAGTAATGGGATGGCTGGGTCAAATGGTATTTCTAGTTCTAGATCCCTGAGGAATCGCCACACTGACTTCCACAATGGTTGAACTAGTTTACAGTCCCACCAACAGTGTAAAAGTGTTCCTATTTCTCCGCATCCTCTCCAGCACCTGTTGTTTCCTGACTTTTTAATGATTGCCATTCTAAATGGTGTGAGATGATATCTCATAGTGGTTTTGATTTGCATTTCTCTGATGGCCAGTGATGATGAGCATTTCTTCATGTGTTTTTTGGCTGCATAAATGTCTTCTTTTGAGAAGTGTCTGTTCATGTCCTTCGCCCACTTTTTGATGGGGTTGTTTGTTTTTTTCTTGTAAATTTGTTTGAGTTCATTGTAGATTCTGGATATTAGCCCTTTGTCAGATGAGTAGGTTGCAAAAATTTTCTCCCATGTTGTAGGTTGCCTGTTCACTCTGATGGTAGTTTCTTTTGCTGTGCAGAAGCTCTTTAGTTTAATTAGATCCCATTTGTCAATTTTGTCTTTTGTTGCCATTGCTTTTGGTGTTTTAGACATGAAGTCCTTGCCCACGCCTATGTCCTGAATGGTAATGCCTAGGTTTTCTTCTAGGGTTTTTATGGTTTTAGGTTTAACGTTTAAATCTTTAATCCATCTTGAATTGATTTTTGTATAAGGTGTAAGGAAGGGATCCAGTTTCAGCTTTCTACATATGGCTAGCCAGTTTTCCCAGCACCATTTATTAAATAGGGAATCCTTTCCCCATTGCTTGTTTTTCTCAGGTTTGTCAAAGATCAGATAGTTGTAGATATGCGGCATTATTTCTGAGGGCTCTGTTCTGTTCCATTGATCTATATCTCTGTTTTGGTACCAGTACCATGCTGTTTTGGTTACTGTAGCCTTGTAGTATAGTTTGAAGTCAGGTAGTGTGATGCCTCCAGCTTTGTTCTTTTGGCTTAGGATTGACTTGGCAATGCGGGCTCTTTTTTGGTTCCATATGAACTTTAAAGTAGTTTTTTCCAATTCTGTGAAGAAAGTCATTGGTAGCTTGATGGGGATGGCATTGAATCTGTAAATTACCTTGGGCAGTATGGCCATTTTCACGATATTGATTCTTCCTACCCATGAGCATGGAATGTTCTTCCATTTGTTTGTCTCCTCTTTTATTTCCTTGAGCAGTGGTTTGTAGTTCTCCTTGAAGAGGTCCTTCACATCCCTTGTAAGTTGGATTCCTAGGTATTTTATTCTCTTTGAAGCAATTGTGAATGGGAGTTCACCCATGATTTGGCTCTCTGTTTGTCTGTTGTTGGTGTATAAGAATGCTTGTGATTTTTGTACATTGATTTTGTATCCTGAGACTTTGCTGAAGTTGCTTATCAGCTTAAGGAGATTTTGGGCTGAGACAATGGGGTTTTCTAGATAAACAATCATGTCGTCTGCAAACAGGGACAATTTGACTTCCTCTTTTCCTAATTGAATACCCTTTATTTCCTTCTCCTGCCTGATTGCCCTGGCCAGAACTTCCAACACTATGTTGAATAGGAGCGGTGAGAGAGGGCATCCCTGTCTTGTGCCGGTTTTCAAAGGGAATGCTTCCAGTTTTTGCCCATTCAGTATGATATTGGCTGTGGGTTTGTCATAGATAGCTCTTATTATTTTGAAATACGTCCCATCAATACCTAATTTATTGAGAGTTTTTAGCATGAAGGGTTGTTGAATTTTGTCAAAGGCTTTTTCTGCATCTATTGAGATAATCATGTGGTTTTTGTCTTTGGCTCTGTTTATATGCTGGATTACATTTATTGATTTGCGTATATTGAACCAGCCTTGCATCCCAGGGATGAAGCCCACTTGATCATGGTGGATAAGCTTTTTGATGTGCTGCTGGATTCGGTTTGCCAGTATTTTATTGAGGATTTTTGCATCAATGTTCATCAAGGATATTGGTCTAAAATTCTCTTTTTTGGTTGTGTCTCTGCCCGGCTTTGGTATCAGAATGATGCTGGCCTCATAAAATGAGTTAGGGAGGATTCCCTCTTTTTCTATTGATTGGAATAGTTTCAGAAGGAATGGTACCAGTTCCTCCTTGTACCTCTGGTAGAATTCGGCTGTGAATCCATCTGGTCCTGGACTCTTTTTGGTTGGTAAACTATTGATTATTGCCACAATTTCAGAGCCTGTTATTGGTCGATTCAGAGATTCAACTTCTTCCTGGTTTAGTCTTGGGAGAGTGTATGTGTCGAGGAATGTATCCATTTCTTCTAGATTTTCTAGTTTATTTGCGTAGAGGTGTTTGTAGTATTCTCTGATGGTAGTTTGTATTTCTGTGTGTAGAGGGAAATTTATAGCACTAAATGCCTACAAGAGAAAGCAGGAAAGATCCAAAATTGACACCCTAACATCACAATTAAAAGAACTAGAAAAGCAAGAGCAAACACATTCAAAAGCTAGCAGAAGGCAAGAAATAACTAAAATCAGAGCAGAACTGAAGGAAATAGAGACACAAAAAACCCTTCAAAAAATCAATGAATCCAGGAGCTGGTTTTTTGAAAGGATCAACAAAATTGATAGACCGCTAGCAAGACTAATAAAGAAAAAAAGAGAGAAGAATCAAATAGACACAATAAAAAATGATAAAGGGGATATCACCACAATTTTCTTTATTTAAGGACCCAAGGCTGTGACCCCATGGAGCAGAATTTAAGGGATAAAATTTACCTTCAATTTACCCAAAGGACTTTATGCGGAGTATGGCAACCAGCTGTTCTGCCTCCGTCTTTTGGAAAGATCAGGAGGAATGCATTTAAACTGAAAATGTGAGGAAGCTTCCTGCCAACAGCCACAACAGCATCATGACAATTCACCCGTGGGAAACTATGCGATTTCCTCCTGCAGAGATCCCCACTGTTCCGGGCAGAGTAGACAGCTCCCAGGCTGCATTTTGCAGATGTGCTTCTTGTCTGTGGGTTTAAAAACTGCCCTGACTTACAAACTTCATCATCTCTCACAGCACCACAGCCAGCACCAAAAGACCGGGAAAGGCAGGCTCAGCAAGATGAGTGGGAAGCCCCGCTTCAGAATCTGCCTTCTCACCTGGGGCCCCGTGCTCAGGAAAGGCCATCTGGGCTTTTTTTGGTTTGGATTTGAATCTCTGCCAGCTTGCCATCTTTGGACAGCAGACCTGGCACAGCCACTTCCTTCACTGCTGAGCTGCCACTGCTCTTAGTACCTTAGTACCTCTCAGCTGGCATTGGTCAAAAGACACAGAGCATGAGCCTCATGTGTATTTTTAAATTTTCTAAAGTCACAAGAAAAACGGAACGGAATGGGCATGGTGGCTCATACCTATAATCCTAGCACTTTGAGAGGCCAAGGCAGGAGGATCACTTGAGGCCAGGAGTTGGAAACCAGCCTGGACAACATAGCGAGACCCCATCTCTACAAAAAAAAAAAAAAAATACAAAAATTAGCAGAGCATGGTGGTGCATGCCTGTGGTCCCAGCTACTCAGAACACTGAGGTGGGAGGATGGCTTGAGCCTGGGAGGTCGAGGCTGCAGCGAGCCAAGATCACACCACTGTGCTCCAGCCTGGGTGACCCAGCAAGACCTTGCCTCAAAACAAAAACAAAAGCAAACAAAACAAGGGAAAGAAATGTTCATATTATTTTAGTATGTCCAAGATGTGATGATTTCAGCACACAATGAAGAGTAAACTACTCTGTGGAACTCCACGTTCTGTTCTTGCACTAAGTCTCCAACACCTGCGTGTAGATTTTCAGTCTGAGTCAGTGCACTTTGAGCACCCGATGGCCGTGTGTGGCCAGCAGCTGCCCATCTCCCAGCATAACTCCAGACAGAATTGAATGCCCTGGTATGGTCCTATTTTAAATATAAAACTATTATTTATAGTATCTGAAAACATTTCTCAGTTAATGGATTTATTTCCTTCTGTTTTTTTCCTTTGTCTTCACTGAATTTGTAAAGGAGAAAAGGGGAAACAGCACAGCAGGAGCCAAGCCTGCAGGCTGAGTCTACCAGAAATGAATGTCAAATTGGAGATGCATTAACAACCCCCGCAGTACACTTCGCCCTGCCTTTCCCTGGGCTCTCTTGGACTCTATGTGGAGAAGAGACACGTGGCTTAAAAGGTAGAGGTATGGGCTTGGGGAGGTAAGGAGGGGAATTAAGTAGCTGTGGATATAATTTGGAGATACCTGAGGCGGTGTGCAGAAAGCCCGCTTGGTTCCCAGACGCAGACTCCCGGGGCGAGGTGCTTGTCCAAGAGATGGCCGGAGCTGGTGCTCTCAGGGGAGCAAGGAGAGAAGCCGGGGTGGAGGCAAAGCTAAGCCAGGAGGTGTCTGTGCTGCAGACCAGAGCCCTCCAGACACCAAGGGACACTCAGAGCTGTGTGCCCCAATTTGAGCTGCATCAGAACCTCCTGCAGGGCTCGTTAAACACATGCTGCTGGGCCATACCCCAGAGCTCTAAATCTATAGGTCAGGGATGAGGCTGGAGAATTTGCGTCTCCAACAACTTCCCAGGAGGGACGGTGCTACTGGCCGGGTTTGCTTTGAGAACCCTGCTTCAGTCTAGAGCAGGAACAACGCCACAAAATCAGCCCTTGTGCAGTCAAGGGGTGTGTACAGTCAAGCCAGTGTGTGTCTGCACCAACCAGTCCCTGGATGTGTGTGCAGGGGTGCTCGACCCACACCCCCCAGTCCCAGCAGCACCTGTCAGCCCAGCAGATTTCATAATTCCACTGGAAGTGGACAAGCGCACGGTCATTAGGACACTCCTGGCCCCGGGGACTGAGCACCCCAGCAAGAGAGAGCATCTGGGTGGGTCACCAGCTCCCCCATCCCCCTGCCCAGCTCTCTGTCAGCGGAGGCAGCAGCTGGTGAAAATGATATCACCAGGCAGCTGTGGCCCACAGGATGCAACCTCCTCTGCAGCAGATTCGACCTACCCTCTTCTTCACTGCAGATTTCTTCAACACTGGCTGAGCCACCGACACCCAAACAGGGAAAATGTTGCTGAAGCAAAATGCCCCATTACCAGTGTTTCCAAGTCATCATTTTTAACTTTTGCAGACCGATAAATATGATCATGCATGCATGACAACGTTTTGGTCAACAGTGGACCATATATATGGTTTTGCTCCCATAAGATTATAACAGAGCTGAGAGTCTCCTGTAGCCTGGCCGCAGACCCGTGGTCACGTTGCAGTGTGACACACTCCTTATGTGTTTGTGGCGACGCTGGTGTCAATGAGTCTACTGCACTTCCAGGCATGTAAAAGTCTAGCACATACAATTAGGTAGCGTACATGATTATAAATGGCTGTTACTAGCTAATGCATTTACTGTACTATACTTTGTATTGTTTTGTGTACTTCCTCTACTTGTATTTTTAAAAGTTAACTATAAACAGCTGCAGGCAGGTCCTTCAGGAGGTGTCCTGAAGAAGCCAGCATCATCCCAGGAGATGATGGCTCCATGCCTGTCATTGCCCCTGAAGACCTTCCAGTGGGACAGAGAGGGAGGGGGAAGACAGTGACGTGCATGGTCCTGACCCTGCGTAGGCCTAGGCTAAGGTGTGTGTCCCTTAGGTTTTAATGAAAAATGTTTAAAAAGTAAAACCAAAAAATTAAAAGTTTTAAAAACAGGAAAAGTTGATAGAATGAAGATATAAATTAAAAAATATTTTTGTACCAATGTACGATGCACTCATCTTTTAAACTGTGTTATTACAAGAGTCAAAAAGTTATAAAAAGTTTATAAAGTAAAAAAAAGTTACAGTAAGATAAGATTAATTTATTATTGAAGAAAGATGTTGTAAATAGATTCAGTGTAGCCTAAGTGTCCAGTGCTCCTAAAGCCTCCCCGGTGCTGTGCAGCCATGTCCTAGGCCTTCACTTTCATGCTCCACCCACTCACTGACTCGCCCAGAGCCACTGCCTCCCACAAGCCCCACGGATGCTCAGTGTCCTATGCGGTGCACCATCTTTTTTTTTTTTTTTTTGAGATGGAGTCTTGCTTTGTCACCCAGGCTGAAGTGCAGCGGCGCGATCTCGGCAAACTGCAAGCTCCGCCTCCCAGGTTCATGCCACTCTCCTGCCTCAGCCTCCCAAGTAGCTGGGACTACAGGCGCTCGCCACCACACCCGGCTAATTTTTTTGTATTTTTAGTAAAGATGGGGTTCCAGTGTGTTAGCCAGAATGGTCTCGATCTCCTGGCCTTGTGATCTGCCAGCCTCGGCCTCCCAAAGTGCTGGGATTACAGGCGTGAGCCACTGCGCCCGGCCACAGTGCACCATCTTTTAACTTTTATGCCATATTTTCACCGTGGCTTTCCCATGTGCAGATGTGTAGACACCCATACTCTCACCACTGTGTAACAGCTGCCTGCAGTTTCAGCACAGTCCCCTCCTGCACAGACCTGTGCCCCGGGAGCGATGGTGGCACCGTACAGCCCAGGTGTGGAGAAGGCTGTGCCACCTCAGTCTGTGTAAGGGAACACTCTGCAATGTTCACACGATGACAAAGTCACATTTCTCAGAACGCATTCTGGTCCTGTGGCTGCACCATGAAGATGCATCCCACAAACAAGGTCTTCCCCAGCTCCGTGAGGTCCAGCTGCGGCCTCAGCAGGGAAGCCCTCCGGGCATTCGGGTTCTGAACCAGAATGCGCAGGGCTCTGATGCCCCAATAGGGTCAGGAGAAGCCAAGGACCTCCTGGGGATCCACGTGTGGCTGACAGAGGGGATGCAACAGCCTGTGCCCCGAGCTCCTGGGCATCTGCAGGTCCTTCAGGGTCAGTCAGTGGGATTTGGAAGTGATAGTAGGAGCCAGAAGCAGCCTCCCAGGACACCAGAGTCAGGAGGCCCCCTAGGTCTGCGGTTCTTGGGGTAGCTCCCTGTGGCCTGTCATGGGAAAGCCCTTCAGACTGAAATCTGCCGGGTCTGCCAAGGGCAGCAGGAGGCAGGGCACGGCGTGGCTGCCCGGTCTGCCTTCCTGCCACAGGCTGAGCACACATTTTTATATTCTGCCTGCAAGATTTTAAGAGGAAATTAATACTATGTTTGCAAATTAGGTCACCCAAGACATAAGTGGTAACAACCGGCAATCCTATAAAATAAAAGGTGAGACAATGGCTCTGTTCACACCCGCCATGGGAATCCCTTTAAGATCAGTGTCCATGAGCCTTACCTCGCAACTCTTCCAAGATCATAACCAAAGCCTGTTACAGCGGCGGAGGATAACAGTCAGACAGGACCAAGCTGAAGGTACTCTTTATCACCCTGACTTCAAGTAACTGTGAAGCACACCTCTCACCTGAACCTCGCCAACGAGACACACTGTGGATGAGAAGGCAGTGCCGCATGACAGGGAACGCAGGGGCTTTGGGTGACGTGGGGCCGGGTGACATGGGATGAGGTGACGTGGGCTGAGGCCACCTGCCTCTCAGCTGCTGGGTGCCTCCCTCACCAGGTGGCTGCCTTGCTTGGGCTCAGACCAGACTCACGGTTCTCAAGCCCCCATACAGCTTCTGTTTATAGGGGTTCTTCTATCTGCGTTTTCTGCTATTAAAACTGAGAAAAAAACTTATGTCTTTATTGATTGACTCACCTGAAAACCACTGTGATAAATCTGAACGTCCTAACCTATGGCTTCTATCACATATGCTCCTGTTTCTTTTGTCTACCATTTGTCACTCTAACCATCATTCTCAGCTTGTGGACCGGACATGAGCAGGCTGTGGGCCACGGCTCACCAACCCCTGCCCTCGGGCTGTGCCATCCGGTGTGGTGAGCACTGGCTTTGTGTGGCCATAGGGCACCCAAAATGTGGCCGGTTCAAATTTAGATGTGCAGTAAGTGTGAAATACACTCCGGATCTCCAAGAATTAGTACAGAAAGGACTGTGAACTATCTCACTACATGTTGATCGTAGCAACATTTTGAAATGATTGTATTTTAGATACACTGGGTTAAATGAATCATAGTGTTTCATATAATTCCATATAACCCATTTCCCTGTTTGTTTTACTTTTTTGGTTTGACTGTTCTAACACGTCCACTTATCCGTGTGGCTCCCATGGTATTTCTATGAGACAGGGCTGACTGCCACGCCTTCATACTGGCCCGGAGGCCCTACACTCCTCTAGGACAGAATGTACACCCATAGAAAGTGGCTTGCGAAACAAAGGTGTAAAACACATCACTCAGAAAAGACTAGAAAAAACTACCTCTGTCTGTAAGCCTGCACCCCTGTTAACACAAATCCACCTGTCAAGAACCAAGATATTCCCCATTTACCAGGTAATAGTCCTAAAATATTAAATGTTTTATTTTAAGGAAAGATGGAATATGTTTCACTGGAAAGGAAAAGGCGAGGGAAGGAGGAAAGGGGAGGGGAGGAGCACACCGCCGTGTGGGGGCCGCCGTTGCACCTGTGGCCGGCTGGGCGCACACTCTGGGCCTGCATCAATTGTAGGGGATGGGAAGTCGTTAGCAGTGAGCAGAGAAATGACCTCAATTCTGCTGCATGTTTGAGCAAATCGCCACAACGTCACGTTGGTTTTCCTGTGTTACCCTTTAGTGGCCTGGCAGGATGACAGATTTCAGTCCCTAAAACGCTGCCGACAGCAGATGTGTCTCTCTGCCAGGTGGGCGCCTTCTAGGAAACAAACTTTTCATGAAACAAATCAAAGGGAAGTCTTCAACGTCCCTTTCCTCCGCTAGCATCTACCGTAACACTGTGGCGACCACCATGACACGAGTCCCCAGAAACCAGCCCCTGCCCTAATGCCGCTCGTGCTTGGTAGGGGACACAGACAGGAAGAGAACAAACATGGAAACAGACGGTGCTGCCTTGGATGGAGACAAATATGGGGGGAAACGGCCCTGGGTCAGGACGCAGAGGTGCAGCAGGGGGTGCTCTGTGGAGAGGGCGTCAGTGGAGGCCTGGTGAGGAGGGGGCATTTGAGCCTCAGTGATGTGATGGGGCATGAAGGTGGACCAGACAGCCGTCCAGGGCCAAGAGACAGCCTTGAAAATGCTGCCTACTGAGGGTCATGGGTCTAGGGATGGGCACGGGTCCAGGGGGTGTCGTGGGGAGGACAGGGAAGGCAGGGCCTTACCATGAGCCTTAAAAGCTCACCCTTGGGGATGGAGCTGGCGTCTGTCTAAGGAAGATGAAGCCACAAGTTTAACCAACAGGGACGACAGGACACTGGCCTCTCTCACATGCCAAGAGGAGGCGTCACTGCCCCAAGGGTGCTGAAGAGGTGCAGGCTGCTGACCAGGTCCCGAATCCGAGTGACCAGGACGTGGCTCCACCTGGAGGTCCCCAGAGGCTCTGGGCTGTGGCCTGAAGGAGGCTCTCAGCTTCCTCCCCTGAAGAATCACCCACATTGGTGCTTTTGGTTCCTGTCATCTGCCAGGGCCCCTCGAGGCCAGGTGTCACTTTTGGTGACTCTGGAACCGTCCACGCCAGCCCAGAGTGGGCAGCTCAGCCCCACCAGCCCCCGCATCGCCTTCTCTGCCTCCCACAGCTGCTTCTGCTTCCAGTGAGCACTTCTCAGTGGAGTCTCCAAGCACCAAGAGCTTCTCCCACCAGGGAAGAGAAATACTCTGGACATGCCGGAGGGTGTGTGCGAGTGTGGTGTGTGTGTGCGCATGTGTGTGTTCAGGTAAGTGTATGTGTTTGCATGTGTGAGAGTGTAGCATGTGTGTGCATGTGTGTGATCAGGTGCGTTGTGTGTGCTTGTGTGTGTGGCATGTGTGTGCATGTGTTCTGGTGTGTGTGCGTGTGTTTCAGTGTGCCTGTGTGTGTGGTGTGTGCATGTGTGTGTTCCAGTATATGTGTGTGTGAGCATGGAGCATGTGCCTGTGTTCTGGTGTGCGTGGCATGTGTGTATCCATATGTGTGTTCCGGTGTGTGTGTGTGCACTTGTGTGTGAGTGTGGTGTGTGTGTTCTGGTGTGTGTGCACTTGTGTACGTGTGAGTGTGGCATGTGTGTTCAGGTGTGTGTGTGTGTGGCATGCGTATGCATGTCTGTGTTCTGGTGTGTGTGTGTGTGCATGTGTGTGCATGTGTGTGTTTCAGTGTGTGTGCTTCTGTGGTGTGTGTACATGTATGTGTTCCAGTATGTGTTTATGTGGCATGTGTGCCTGTGTGTGTGTGTGCTTGTGTGTGTGTAGCATGTGTGTGTGCATGTGTGTTTTGGGGTGTGTGTGCTTGTGTGTAGGTGTGGTGTGTGTGTTCTGATGTGTGTATGCTTATCTGTGTGTGGCATGAGTGTGTGCATATGTGTGTTCCAGTGTGTGCTTGTGAGTGTGGCATGTGTGTTCCGGTGTGGCTGTGTGTGCTTGTGCACGTGAGTGGAGCATGTGTGCGTGCATGTGCATATTCAGGTATGTGTGCTTGTGTACGTGTGAGTGTGGCATGTGTGCACGTGCATGTTGAGGTGTGTGTGACAGTATGGTGTGTGTGCACATGCATGTGTTTGTGTGTGTGCCCTGGCAGCTGGCTTCCCTGCACCTCCGTGTGGAGTGGCAGCTGCCACAGGAAGGTTTGTCAGCAGCATTTGGGTGGATGCCTCCCGCTGGCTCTGAGGCCCTGGGGGCACTTCTAAACAGGCACCATGTCCTGGGAAACCCAACATCCAACCCCCTTCCCTTTGTGAAACAAAGACCAAACTCAGGACACATAAAGCTAAGTTGCACGCAGGCTTTTAGCCGAGTACTGCTGAGAAGTGCAGTCGGTCCCCACCACTCAGGGTGGCTACATACTAGAGTCTGCAGACGGCGAGCCGACGGACACCCCTGCTCCTGGGGAAACGCAGGGCTCAGCTCTGGTCACAGCATTTCATCCATGGATCAGCACACAGCCTTGTGCTTCGTGTTTCTGTTTAGACACCTTGTTCACTATGCAGTGTTGATTCATCACTCGTGCTTGAGGGAAGCTTCTCAGACACGTGTTCTCCATGAGGCACACCACAGCCCCTTGCACGTGGGAACACTACAGCACTTCCACACTGTGCTCGCCCTCTTAAGCAGTGAGATCACCAGCAAAATGCACACAAATTCAAAAAATACGGCACTCAACAGACCACAGAAAGGACACCGTTTACAGGATGAGCCGTAACGGGAAGGCAGAGCTGGGCCTTTGTTCAGCCCCAGGCGGGGCTGTGCATGTCAGGCGACTCCGATTTTTTATCGCTCTGTGCACACCTACAATCTAAGACAGTGCATGAATGCTGATTTTGACGCTACAAATAAATTTTAGTGAGTAGGAGAATTTGCAATGTAGAATCTATGAATGAAGACGACTGACTCATTTGAGCACGTCAGGGTGACAGGGAACATATGAGCGGGACACCAGGATGAAACCTGGGACTGGGGATGCCCTCGGTAGAATGCAGATGACAGCAGCCTCCTGTGGGGCTTTGGGAAGGATGCCCCTCCAGACCAAGCAGCATCCCAGGGCCTCACAAGAAAGGGGTGTGGAGAGAACACAGCCTCTAACAACCTTGTTTCTGAGGTCATCAGTGCTGTGGCTCCCAGCCCAGGGGGCTCAGGATCCTAAACAACAGCTGGGATGCACGCGTGATTTTCAATAAGGTAAAAGGCCTATGAGAGAACTGCACATCCACCAGGACATGGTCGGCATAACAGAGTCATCTGAAACTCTGTGGATGACATGCAGTCACCTGTGTTGTTATGCTGAGCAACAAGTTTTACAAATAAGTAGGTATTTCTCTTACTATAATTTGTAAATAATGTGTTTGTTCTTTAATAAAGACCAGTTTCAGAATGCAAACTCCTACTACAGAATACACATGGGCAAGTGCCTTCATCGCAGGGATCAACGAGGAGGAAAACATTGGGAATCTCTGATGTCACTCCCCAGGTTCCCTGTTACGAGTTGAGATTGGGCAGTTGGTTTTTAGGATTTCTTCATACGGCTCTAAGAAAACGGACTCTCCCCACAGTCTTTCTGTAAGAAAGCATTTGCTGAGTGGAAAGCCAGCCCCCTCCCAGGCACCTTCATTAGGTGCACGTGGCCCCAGGCCTCCCTCCGAAGATGCGCCCAGCTGGGCAAGGTGATAGTCTATACCTGTTTCTGTAAGACAAGTTGCCAAGGAGAATCTAGTTAGATTTTAACTAGAAAAGGTGCTCCTTCTAGTAATCACCTCACCCTTAGCAAGGTCTGTGCAGGTGGAACCTCCGAGGGGTCCTCGCGCATGGATGGCAGCCATTGCTCCAGGTCTTCAGTGCAGCCGGAGGGGGATGGGGACACTGTCCCCACGAGAGGTGTGCATTATCTCCGGGCCATATCCATCTTCTCATCCCTTTGGGCTGCTATAATGGAATACACAGACTATGTAGCTTGTCAACAACGATTCGCAGTTCCGGAGGCTGGAAGTTCAAGACCAACTTGCCAGCAGATTGGATGTCTGATGAGGACCTGCGTCCTGGTCCACAGATGGAATCTGCTTGCTGTGTCCTTACCAGGAGGAGAGAGGGCAGGGAGCCCATTGGAGCCTCCGTCACAAGGGCAGCAACCCCATCATGAAGCCCCACCCTCAAGACCCAATCAACTCCCAAGGCCCCACCTCACATCATCACCCTGGGGCTGAGGAGTCAAACACATACATTTTGGAGGACACGGCAATCCTGATGACCACCCCACTCCAATCAACTCAGTTGAAAGGGGTCCAGGAGGGTGCACAGCCCCTGAGAGCTGGGTGGCGACGAGCCCCTCTGCCTTTGACACCTTTGCAGAGGCTGCTGAGCCCTGCCAGAGGGGTCCCTGCCCCAAAGGTGTGCAACACCACACATGTGTGATCTCCAAACTCATCTGTGTCATTGGGGGTCTCAAGCCCTTTTCTAGGCACTGAGGCAGCTTTGTCCTCTAAAACATCTATATCCACCTCTCACTATTCTTGAATGCCAGCCTCACCAATCCCTCCATCTCTGAATTTGGGAGCCTACCTTTTTCTCTGGACACCAGCATGATGGGGCTGATCAGGACAGATTGAGGGTTACCCACAGAACACAGTCATGGAGGGATGGCCTGGGAGCCAGTAGGAACATTCCAGGGTTGTCAAAACCCAAATGTTACAAAAGATCAGTTCTCCCCAAATTATTCTACAGATCCCACAGGGTCCTAATAAATAACTCAGTGGGACTTGCGTGAGTGGGTGGAAATTGACAAGCTGTTTCTAAAATTTATATGGAAACGCAAAGGGCAAAATATAGCCAAGACAAATATGAGGAAAGAGGAAAAAATTTAGACTACCAGCGATCAAGAGTTTTTACAAAGCTACAGTCTTGTATACCATGAGTGTTCCTGCAGGGTCGACAGAAACCTGCAAAACAGAATAGAGTGTCCAGAACCAAACTCATGCATATATGGACCCTTATTTTATGAAAAAGATAATATGTATTGTGGGAAATGGCATTTTCAACCGATGGGCTGTGTAAATTTGATATCCATAAAGAAATTATCGACTCTGAGCATCTCACACCATGCAAAAACCCAATTCCAGATGGAATGTTGACCTACATGTAAAAGGTAAAAATAAACATAATTAAGTCTCCCAGAGAATAACATAAGAAAAAAAGTGTTATTATTGGGGAACTGTGAAAAGATTACTTACCAAGAACACAAAAGGCACTAAACCACTGACAAAAAGATTGAAATTTAAGAGCTTGCTGTCATCCAAGGACACCATTAAGAAAGTGCAAAGGCCGCAGATAATGTGTTTTCTACATACATATAACTAACAAGAACGAGATATAAAGCAATATAGCTTATATTTTCAAAATTCTTTTATGAACCAATAAGAAAAAGATAGACACCCATGTGGCAGAACCGGCAAATGACTGAGCAGGCTCTTAATAAAAGATGCTCCCCAAGAGGGCCAATAAATAGGTGAAAAGGTGTGCAGTCTCATTAGTCTTTGTGAGTGTGCTAAAAAAAAACCAAACATACAAATAGGACTTGCTGCATGCCCACCAGCGAGGCTCAAGAAAAACACAAACAAAAAAAGATTCCCCTATCGAGGACTGGGGAGGTATTAACTGGGACCAGAACCCACGACCGGTGAGAGATAAATTCTCATAACCACCTTAGAAAAGTGAACCTGAATGTGCATGCACCAAATGACTCTGCAGCTCCCCATGTCGGTGCACACCCCACAGAGATCCACTCACCAAATGACCCCACAGTCCCCCGTCTCGGTGCACACCCCACAGAGATCTATGCACCAAATGACCCCACAGACCCCCATCTCAGTGCACACCCCACAGAGATCCACGCACCAAATGACCCCACAGTCCCCATCTTGGTGCACACCCCACAGAGATCCACGCACCAAATGACCCCACAGCTCCCCATCTCGGTGCACACCCCACAGAGATCCACGCACCAAACAACCCCACAGTCCCCATCTCAGTGCACACCCCACAGAGATCCACGCACCAAATGACCCCACAGTCCCCCATCTCAGTGCACGCCCCACAGAGATCCACGCACCAAATGACCCCGCAGCTCCCATCTCAGTGCACACCCCACAGAGATCCATCCACCAAATGACCCCACAGTCCCCATCTCAGTGCACACCCCACAGACATCCACGTACCAAATGACCCCACAGTCCCCCGTCTCGGTGCACACCCCACAGAGATCTATGCACCAAATGACCCCACAGACCCCCATCTCAGTGCACACCCCACAGAGATCCACGCACCAAATGACCCCACAGTCCCCATCTTGGTGCACACCCCACAGAGATCCACGCACCAAATGACCCCACAGCTCCCCATCTCGGTGCACACCCCACAGAGATCCACGCACCAAACGACCCCACAGTCCCCATCTCAGTAAACACCCCACAGAGATCCACGCACCAAATGACCCCACAGTCCCCCATCTCAGTGCACACCCCACAGAGATCCATGCACCAAATGACCCCGCAGTCCCCCATCTCAGTGCACGCCTCACAGAGATCCACGCACCAAATGACCCCGCAGCTCCCATCTCAGTGCACACCCCACAGAGATCCATCCACCAAATGACCCCACAGTCCCCATCTCAGTGCACACCCCACAGACATCCACGCACCAAATGACCCCACAGCTCCCCATCTCAGTGCACACCCCACAGAGGTTCATGCATGTGTTTACCAGAGGACATGTGTGAGAATGCTCCTGGGTGGAGTGTTCACAGTATCCCCACCCTGGAAACAAGTCAAATGTCCATCAGCAGTAGGAAGCATTTGTGCAAGGCAACACCTCCACAACAGTCATGAGGAAGGAGCTGCACAGAAGCAAGGGTGAATTTCATTCGTATCATTTTGAGTTAAAGAAGCCAGATGGAAAATAATACATGATACATAATCCTATTCCTAGGAAGATGCAATTTCTTCCTAGCATCGATGGTCTTTACAATTTGGCATGTTTTTGCAGTGGCTGGTACTGGTTGTTTCTTTCCATGTTTAGTGCTTCCTTCAGCTCTTGTAAGGCAGGCCTGGTGGTGACAAAATCTCTCAGCATTTGCTTGTCTGTAAAGGATTTTTTTTCTCTTTCACTTTTGAAACTTAGTTTGTCAGGATATGAAATTCTGGGTTGAAAATTCTTTTCTTTAAGAATGTTGAATATTGGCCCCCATTCTCTTCTGGCTTGTAGAGTTTCTGCCGAGAGATCCGCTGTTAGTCTGATGGGCTTCCCTTTGTGGATAACCCGACCTTTCTCTCTGGCTGCCCTTAACATTTTTTCTCTCATTTCAACCTTGGTGAATCTGACAATTATGTGTCTTGGGGTTGCTCTTCTCGAGGAGTATCTTTGTGGTGTTCTCTGTATTTCCTGAATTTCAATGTTGGCCTTGCTTGCTAGGTTGGAGAAGTTCTCCTGGATAACATCCTGAAGAGTGTTTCCCAGTTTGGTTCCATTCTCCCCGTCACTTTCAGGTACACCAATCAGACATAGATTTGGTCTTTTCACATAGTCCCATATTTCTTGGAGTCTTTGTTCATTTCCTTTTACTCTTTTTTCTCTAAACTTCTCTTCTCACTTCATTTCATTCACTTGATCTTCAATCACTGATCCCCTTTCTTCCACTTGATCGAATCAGCTACTGAAGCTTGTGCATGCATCACGTAGTTCTCGTGCCATGGTTTTCAGCTCCATCGGGTCATTTAAGGACTTCTCTACACTATTTATTCTAGTTAGCCATTTGTCTAATGTTTTTTCAAGGTTTTTAGCTTCCTTGCGATGGGTTCAAACATCCTCCTTTAACTCAGAGAAGTTTGTTATTACCCACCTTCTGAAGCCTACTTCTGCCAACTTGTCAAAGTCATTCTCTGCCCAGCTTTGTTCTGTTGCTGGCCAGGAGCTACAATCCTTTGGAGGAGAAGAGGTGCTCTGGTTTTTAGAATGTTCAGCTTTTCTGCTCTGGTTTCTCCCCATCTTTGTGGTTTTATCTACCTTTGGTCTTTGATGATGGTGACCTATAGATGGGGTTTTGGTGTGGATGTCCTTTTTGTTCATGTTGATGCTATTCCTTTCTGTTTGTTAGTTTTCCTTCTAACAGTCAGGTCCCTCAGCTGCAGGTCTGTTGGAGTTTGCTGGAGGTCCACTCCAGACCCTGTTTGCCTGGGTTTCAGCAGCAAAGGCTGCAGAACAGCAAGTATTGCAGAACAGCAAATATTGCTGCCTGATCCTTCCTCTGGAAGCTTTGTCTCAGAGGGGCACCCTCCTGTATGAGGTGTCAGTCAGCCCCTACTGGGAGGTGTCTCCCAGTTAGGCTACACGGGGGTCAGGGATCCACTTGAGGAGGCAGTCTGTCCATTCTCAGAGCTCAAACACCATGCTGGGAGAATCACTGCTCTCTTCAGAGCTGTCAGACAGACACATTTAAGCCTTCAGAAGTTTCTGCTGCCTTTTGTTCAGCTATGCCTTGCCCCCAGCAGTGGAGTCTACAGAGGCAGGCAGGCCTCGCTAAGCTGTGGTGGGCTCCACCCAGTTCGAGCTTCCTAGCCGCTTTGTTTACCTACTCAAGCCTCAGCAAGGGTAGATGCCCCTTCCCCAGCCAGGCTGCCACCTCGCAGTTCCATATTGGACTGCTGTGCTAGCAGCGAGCAAGGCTCTGTGGGCATGGGACCCACTGAGCCAGGTGCAGGATATAATCTCCTGATATGCCATTTGCTAAGACCACTGGAAAAGTGCAGTATTTGGGTGGCAGTGTCCTGATTTTCCTGGTACAGTCTGTCATGGCTTCCCTTGCCTAGGAAAGGGAAATCCCCTGACCTGTTGTGCTTCCTGGGTGAGGCGATGCCCCACCCTGCTTCAGCTCACCCTCCGTGGGCTGCACCCACTGTCCAACCAGTCCCAGTGAGACGAACCAGGTACCTCAGTTGTAAATGCAGAAATCACCCGTCTTCTGCATCGATCATGCTGGGAGCTGCAGACCAGAGCTATTCCTATTCAGCCATCTTGGAACAGACCCATATGACTGTCTTGATAACAAATGATTTCCAAAGTATGTTATAATCCCATTTTCATGAATTAAATATTTCCCCCGAGTCTACTAATTTTCCCCCAGAATTTCCTAACACAGTAGACTGGAATTCTCTAAACATCCCTGCCTTACTGAAAATGAGATGAAACTATATTAGTTTTACCCCCAAAAGGGAGAGCCTGAGAGACATGAGCTTTCCTCCTCTCCCACCCCAGGTTGGGTGCTGTGTGTGGGATGCCCGGGTGGGTGGGTGAGGGAGAGGTGTGCAGAGAGGCGCAGGGCCCAGCGCACCGGAAAGCCAGGGTGAGGCTCATCAGACAGTAAACAGTGAGGAGGGCGGTCACCAGAAAGCCCCTATTTCCACAGTGGTGTTCCACTCTGGGCCTCCGTATATGGTGATCATGGGCGCAGGTCACCATGGCTTCAGAAAGGATCAGGTCTGTGCACAGAGCCCAGTCAGAAGCTACCGGGAAGCACTGGGAGCTCTGCTGGGTCTCACCTCTGCCTCCTCCCAGCCAGCTGCACTGAGACACCAGGGCAGCCTGGAATCCACAGATGCGCGGCAGAGCCTGGCCGAGCCATTAGAACACCCCGAAAACAAGTGTTTTAAGCGGCTGACTAAATTTCAGGTCTGCTCTTTGTCTCCTTCCAGGGAACCCTGAGATGAGTCCCGCAGGAAGCAGCTTTTCCCGGCTTCCCTGGAATCCAGGGGAGGCTCTGGGCTGCCGGATTGTCATTCAGATTGTAGTTCACAGGAAGCACCAGAGGCAAGGCTCCGCTTCTCCTAAACAAACTCCTGGGATCTGCACCGCCTGCCTGTGCTTAACCTCATACAGCGGTCATCCACTGCACCTCTTTATGTCATCCTGATAAACTCCTCACTCCGCGGACCCCGGCCTGCCAGGCCCCATCAGGAGAGGCAGCGTTGGGCAGAGGAGGAAGCTCGCTGGGACTCATTTGCAATTCCTGACATTTCTAAGGACCTTAGTCCACACGGGGAGGACAAGCACAGAGCTCGTGTAACAGTAACCGCCAAGGCCATGAGAAGAGGAACAGAAAGATTAGGCTGTTTCCTTAACTGTTTTTGAAGTTTCTAGGAAGAGCCCATTCTGCAGGACACCATCGAGACCCGGGGTGCACGGTGGCCCCTCCAGCCCCGCCCCTCAGCCAGGGACCCTCCATCCTGCTCAGGACCAAGGCACCCCCCGCCAGCCACATGCCCCAGGGCCCCAATCACCTCCTAGCATGTCAGGAAATTATGAAAGCAAAATTAATTTCCATCCTCTTCAGCTTAAAGAAAGAAAAAATGCTACATGGTTAATAGAACACAGGGAGCACATGCTGACATCAAACAGGGATGGCACAGCCCCCAGTGGGTTTGGACTTCCACGCCACCCACCCCCGCCGCACAGGTGCTGACAGCACAACCCGCACAATGGGTACACAGACGGTGACCATGGAGGACGCCTCCCTAGGGGACAAAGGGTGCTGGGCTGGGAGCAGGGACTGCCACGCCTGGTCTCACAGGCCACACAGGAGATGAGGAATGGGTGGAGGTGGAACGTTCTGGAGTCCTTGGAGGGAAGGGTGCTCAAATGCATAGCAGACGATGCACGTAAGCAGACAATGCACACACACACACAGCAGACAGCACAAGCATGCACAGCAGACGACGCACGGCCCACAGCAGACGACGCACACACCCATAGCAGATGACGCCTGTGCCCATAGAAGACAATGCATGCATGCACAGCAGATGACACATGCACAACAGACAACACATGCACGCACAGCAGACGGCGCATGCATGCACAGCAGACAACACACACACAGCAGACGATGCACACAGGCACAGATGGCACACGCACGCACAGCAGATGATGCACCCGCAGCAGATGGCACACGCACAGCAGATGACACACGCACAGCAGATGACGCACGCACGCAGAGCAGACGATGCATGCACAGCAGACAATGGACAATGCACACATGCACAGCAGACGGCACGCACACACAGAAGATGACACACGCACAGCAGACGGCACACGCACAGCAAACGACACACGCACAGCAGACGACTCACGCACAGCAGACGGCACACGCACAGCAGACGACTCACGCACAGCAGACGGCGCACGCACAGCAGACGGCGCACGCACAGCAGACGGCGCACGCACAGCAGACGGCGCACGCACAGCAGACGACTCACGCACAGCAGACGACGCACGCACAGCAGACGACTCGCACAGCAGGCGACGCACGCACAGCAGACGGCGCACGCACAGCAGACGGCGCACGCACAGCAGACAACGCACGCACAGCAGATGATGAACACACCCACAGTAGAGGGCACACGCACGCACAGCAGATGACACACGCACAGATGACACACGCACAGCAGATGACTCACGCACAGCAGATGACACACGCACAGATGACACACGCACAGCAGACGATGACGCAGGCACAGCAGACGGCACAAGCACACAGAGCAGATGACTCACGCGCCCACAGCAGACGACACACGCATGCACAACAGATGACACATACACAGCAGATGACGCAGGCATGCACAGCAGATGACACACGCACAGCAGATGATGCACACACAGCGGACGACTCGCGCTCAGCACTGGGTGTGAGGGTAGAGACTACGCCATCCATCTTTGCCTCTCCCAAGCATATTCAATGCGCAACCATAACCACCTCTCTCGTGAGAGCGGCGGGCACTTGGTGAGGTCGTGAAGCTGCCGAGGGGCTGTTTCAGAGCGCATGGTGACTCTGCATGTCCCCGGGCAGGAGGCCAGGGCGGGTGCGTGGTGCGGACCCAGACGGGAAGAAGGAGCTGCCCTTTGCGAGCCGCCTGGCAGGGGTGGGGAGAGCGGCCGCAGCGGTTCCAGGACAGAGGCGTCTCCCAGTGGTTGTGGGATGTTTTGTGCCGCTTCACACAAAACAGCACAGGATGCCCTCGGGCCCAGAAGTCGTGGCATGGGCTGGGAGCAGAACCTAAAATGCCCTCATCTCCCTTGGTGTCCTGGAGACTTGGGATGTGGTGAGGGAGAAGCTTCATCATCCTCACGCTCATGGGAGTGTCCCGGGAGCCCCCTGGGGGCTGGTCAGCAGCTGCTAGCTGCACTCTCAGGACCAGCTGGGCTGGCCGGTCCCTCTTCCCTCCACACCGAGAGGCCCTGGTGGCCGATCAGCTCCCCGGGACTCTGTGAACTTGGAGCTGTCCTGCACGTTTTCTGCACCCCTGGAGCCCCGCTGAGGACCTGGCACTTGACGGAACCCCCAACAAACGATGGAGCGAGCGTGTGGTTCCGTGAGCATGGAGAGGGCAGGTGTGAACCACGTGGGGACACTTCCCAACCCGCTCATAACCCCTAGCACCCTAAAGATTTGTGAGTTAAGTTTCTAGTGTGTGAACAAACCCAAGTCACTGCCTGAAAAAAAGCTGACAAAGACCAGATTGTGATTATTGGATCGAAAAGGCCATAAGAGTGTACTTGGATGCTAACGCAGAGGAACAGAAAGTCATTCCCTCCCACAGGAAGTCTGCAAGGACCACACTGTGTTGAAAACTTTAACTCCAATTCTCCCCAAACATTTTTCAAAGGGCACACAATATAAAATCAATTTAAGAAATCATTCAATTCAGCCACAGCTCTTTTCCCGGCATTATGTTACATATGCTAACAGGTCAGCTTAAGTAGCATTTCTTACATGTTGTCCACTAGAGACACAAAGATGAACAGGACCAGGACTTGGGGCTTCCCTGAAGACCCTGGGACCCCAACCAGGGAGAGCTGCCCGAAGCCCGCCGGAGGCCGTCTGCAGGGGTCTTTCCTCACACACTCCACTGTGCCCCTGGAAAGCACCGACAGCCAGCGTCATGGAGTGGGTGCCCTGGGCATGGCAAGATCACAGACAGCACTGCCCTGGGCGGGCACCCCCATCCCAGGGTGTAGGTTCGCATCGCCCCACCCCGCAGACAGGGTACTGAGGCCCACGGTCGCCAGCTAGCCGGGGCCAGAAACTACGCTACGGTCCAGCCGGTCTGAGCCCCCGCAGGGATGCTGCAGCCCTCAGGGCAGTTCTTCAGAACTCATGATGCTGACAGCCCTAGCCGGGGTGGGACACCCAGGAGCACCCAGCTCACCTGTGACTTTCAGAACTTCCAAGGCACCACACTGGGCACAGGACCAGGGCCTTAGGACTCAGCCTGGAAACACAGAAGGAAGGACCACAGACAAACCCGGAAAGGGCCCAAGAGAATTGGCTGCATGTCATTCAGGACTTGGCTGTGCCGGAGCTCCGTGTCCACAGCTGAGCAGGCGGCCGGGAGGGCCCTGCACGGATTCAGTGTGGGCATGCAGGGTGGCAGACACTCGGCACAACTTGTCACCTGATGCGAAACACTCGCCAGGGCTAAGCCAGTCCCGTGTGACTCCCGAGAAGGCAGCACTCCGTCCCTGGCGCACGGAGCAGGCGCTGGCTGAGAGCCCGACACGGGCCCGGAATTCATCAGTCACGTGTTCCGAGGATTCACCTAAACTTGCCTGTGAATCCCCAGCTTTGCAGTGCACGGTGCCTCAGAGTAAACACACCCGAAACTTCAAGGGATGTGCACCCGGTATTTTGTTTTTTGGACCAGTTGACGTGGTAACACCTGCCCTGTTAGAGTCATCCATGACAAGTCTGAACGCTGCAGGGTGTTGCAATAATTTCTGAAAGAATGGAAAACACTCCGTGTTAGGATAATCTGACCCCGATTAATCCTGACAGAGGCTAAACTCTTGAGGCAAAAGCTGAGGATGAGAAATGAATACACATCTTTAAACACAACCCAACACGGAGGTCTCATGGCTATGCCCACGCTCTCCTAAGCACCTTACGGAAAATAAAATTCTGGGCTGATTTTTACATTAAATGAATGAAAATCTTAAAATGACCTGTGATAATATAACTAAATCTAACAGCACGCTGTTTCTTCTGGGGGTTAGTAGACTGAAATGTCTGTAACCTACTGAGGAAAAGCAGACAGAGTTCTGAGGAAGCACCCAGCCTCCCGG
The DNA here is from genome assembly GCF_000001405.40 of Homo sapiens. Classification (NCBI taxonomy): domain Eukaryota; kingdom Metazoa; phylum Chordata; class Mammalia; order Primates; family Hominidae; genus Homo; species Homo sapiens. Next base: position 1,948,348 of record NC_000005.10, on the reverse strand, counting down.
AACACAAATCCCGCTCAAAACAGGAAACCCAGCAGAACGGCCCTCCTTGATTGCTGCAGGCCCTCGGGAAAAAACCTCCTGTTGTAAGTGTGTTCTGAAGTGTTGCAGTGACAAAAGGTTTTCCCCAAGGGCGTTTTAGGTTAAAATAGATGAGACCACGGGAGAAACATTTAGGATCCTAATTAAAGAGACTGTAGAGGCCAGGCGCGGTGGCTCACGCCTGTAATCCCAGCACTTTGGCAGGCCGAGGCGGGCAGATCACAAGGTCAGGAGATCGAGACCATCCTGGCTAACATGGTGAAACCCCATCTCTATTAAAAACCTACCAAAAAAAAAAAATTAGCAGGGCATGGTGGCAGCTGCCTATAGTCCCAGCTACTCAGGAGCCTGAGGCAGGAGAATGGTGTGAACCTGGGAGGCAGAGCTTGCAGTGAGCCAAGATCACACCACTGCACTCCAGCCTGGGAGACAGAGCGAGACTCTGTCTCAAAAGAAAAAAAAAAAAAAAGAGAGACTGTAGAGGGCTGCAAATTACAGTCACTAATGATCCAGGTCAGGCTTTACCCCAAAAAATACCATCGCAAAGGAAGGAAACTGCTTTAAAGTAAGCACATTTTGTAGCTGGGCATGGTGGTTCACACCTGTGGTCCCAACTACTTGGGAGTCTGAGGCAGGAAGACCACTTCAGCCCAGGAGGTCAAGGCTGCAGTGAGCTGAGATTGCACCACTGCACTCCAGCCTGGGTGACAGAGAAAGATCCTGTCTCAAAAAAGAAAATAAAAAAAATAAGGGTATTCTGGAACTTCACATTTCTCAGAAAAAGAAAACTTGTATGATAAAAGTTTGTTCTGTGAACATGTATATCTTGGACAATCATTGCTGCTGCATGTGAGGGAACAGTCATGGTGATCATTGCTCTCAATGGGCTGCAAGGAAGAACAGAGTCTACATAAGGCAAAGAAAAAAAAATCCTACTAAATTATTATTAGCTGGGTATGTACAATCCCTTTAAGGAAATATAGATGTGAACGCCTTTCACTCTGTGATCTTGATGACTGGCCAATGTTTAGAAAGAAATCAAGCCCACTCCCAAGGTGGTTGGTGGCAAATTGTCTTGGGGAAAGGGGACCATACACCCTTCAGGGGAGGGAGGTGAGGCTGATTAAGAAATCTCTAATTCCTTGCTGCAGTTCTTGTTTGGACAATTGAGTGTGCCCAGGAGCCACCGGGGGTCTGCCAGAGCCCCTGGGAGGAGGCAGTGTCGGGGAGGAAGAAGGAAGGTGGGGGAGATGAGGGCCGGTCCACTTGAACACGGAGCGGCTGGAATAGTGATGACAGACGAGAAGCAGGGGACCCAGCCCTGTGGTCATCAGTGATGCCTCGGGCAGCACCCAGGCGTCGGTGATGTGTGGGGCAGGCGGAGGCCTCCAGAGGCTGCCTTTGGAAAACCCCCAGAAACCAGTGTCTGGAGGGTGAGGCTGGCTCTGCGGAGCGCTCTGCCAGCAACCCCATGGGAGCCCCTCAAGCTATCTCTGCAGGAGGCCCTTTTAGGGCAGAGAGAGCTCCCCGACTTGGAAAAGAAGGACTATTCTAAGGGGGATCGTATGCAAATCTTCAGGGAGACTTGGAGCTTTGGTGAGACGTGCCTGCCGCAAAAGCACAGGACACCTGGCTAAGAGGCTGGCTTTTTAGAGAATCCGTAACTCGATTTGGTCTTCACACCTTAAAAAGTAAACAGCAACAACATAAGCAGCGTACGTTTACCCTTCCACAGACACGATTCACATTGTTCTAAAAGCGGTGCTAGGTTGGTGTTCTAGAGTACGGGCTATTTTTACATTTGAGAGCTCCTCTGCACGTGCCAGCAGTGACGCTGCCGAGGGCTCTGTAGCTAGCACATTGTTCAGTGAGACATTTCACACTGACCGTACTCAGTTACTTGATTCTGGATTTGACTGATGGGAAAATGAAGTTACTCAACTGAGATGATCCAATGATCACGGCTTCGGCTGTGCCTGGGAAGGTGGTCTGGACCCGAGACACTGAACGCCGAGTATTAATTGCCTGTTGTGGAAGTAGCGAGAGCAGGAATGCTGCTCCTGACCCTGGGCTGAGAATCCAAGAGGCACAGGCAGCTCCTCTCTCTGCAGTTTTTGAGGCTCCTGGGCACACATGGACTCAGGACATCACCCCTTCCTACCCTCTGCCCTTCAAGCTTCCATCTGTCCCCTGGGACCCACACCACTCCTCGAGCCACCCAGAAAACAAGTGCGGATGTCACCTCCTCAGGGAAGACTTTTCCTGCTTTTCTTTAAAGCAAATTTAAAATGAAATGAAATCGTGGCAGGAAAGTTAAAACTTCTGCTTGGAAACAGAGGACGACCTGCAGGAAGTGTGAATGCAGCCAGCTCCGCCCTCTGTCTCCCCTCAATGAGCAGGTGGTGGGTCACGGGCGCCACTGACACATCCCTCTGCAGGCCACGTCCCAAGGGTGGACCAGAACCCCAGCCCCCCACTGGGGCTGTGAGCACATCTGCTGTGGGAGCGAAAGCTGGGGGCCGTGACGGAGAGCAAAGAGCCAAGTCAGCACGAGTGTCAGGGCCAGGGGTCGGTGGGGGGCCAGGAAACTCAGTCTGAGAAGTCAGGCTCTTCTGAGGGGTCCCCCTTGCACCCACCTGAGTCACTGTTTCCCCCACGGCCTCTGTCTCCACCGCCCTGCTCGTTAGGATGGATTCTCCACAGGCGCCTACACAGCCCCTCCTCCCATGCTCCTGGCAGATGTGCTCCCCCTCCACCCATGCCAGTTGGGCTCCACCAGCAAGAGGTACAGACTGATTTTCTGCAATATCCACTGCAAGGAGTTGGCTCATGGACTTGTGGGGTCTGGCTGCACAGGTCTGAAACCCACAGGGCCAGGCACCAGGAAGGTCAGGCTGAATCTCTGAAGCACAGCTGCGGCTGCCATCCACAGGCAAACCTGGCTCCTCTTCAAGCAAACCTCAGCTTTTCTCCTTCAACCAATTGGCCCAGGCCCACCAGGATTATCCAGCATTACCTCCTTTATTGAAAGTTGCTTGATGATGGACTTTAATCTTACCTACAGAGCACCTTCTCAGCAACACCTGGATGAGTGGCTAAGTGCCTGGGGCTGTAGCCTGCCAAGCGTGGCACAGAACCTGACCTCTACTTCATCCCACCGGGGTGGGGGGCGGGGTCCCACTGTGCCGACTGCGTCATGGCCATCACCAAGGAAATGTGGGACAGAGAAATCATTGACCCCTTAGTCAAAATATCAGCAAAACCAAAGCATCTCTCTGGCCCTTCCTAAGCCACTCAGCAGCCTGGTTTTCCAGAGATGAGAAAGAGCTTAGAGATAAGGGGTCCCAGAGCTTGGTGGGCTGTGTCTGAGAACACAGGGCTCCTTCATGAGACCAACAGGCCAGCCCTGAAGAGTGACTGGATTTGTGGCCAGGACCACTCTCTCGTGTTCTCTGCCTCAGTTTCCCTGTTTGTAAAAGGAGAATGAAAATAGTTGCTTCTGCGAGACATTCAGGACTACTTAAAGGATTAAGATTCATATAAACCTCATTTTTTGCATCAAGATGAAAGAAGGAATAGACTAAACTCACGGCAAGAATCGCGCTTCAGGGGAAAAGAGGATGCCGTCCCCTTCCCCCAGCGCTCACATGCCTACTCTGGTTCTAATCTCATTTAGAGCTCCTGCCCATTGAAAACTAGACATCCGTGTTTGTAGAAAAAACAGAAGAGCCTGCGGCCAGCCTCCTCCTGCAGCCTCCTGCTGTGCTGCTCCAGGAGAGCCAGATCTGAGAGCCCTCCTTGATCAGCCCCCAGGGCCTCTGTGCCTGAACAGCTCACAGTAGAGCAGTGCTAGCACCGAGAGCAACACGCAAGGCTGTCAGGGAGAAAAGATCCTATTTGAAGGCATCAGAGACAATCTAAGGCCAAAAGGACTTACGGTCTAACATCCAGGAGAGAAACTGTGGAGAAACTGTAAAACGAATCTGTTGGACAATGGAATAGCATCTTAATGGAAAAAAGGACAGCCTACACTAAGAGAGAAAAATGCTCTTCAAATGTGAGGGAAAAACAGAGGCTTGTAGAGAAGTGTCTAGAAAGAGTGCATTGAAAGAATGCATCTGCCGAAGGCTGTAATAAATAACACAAGAAACAGCCTTCTGGGCAGAGGAAACCGTCCCCATGAAATCCTGGAAGTGCTGAAAGGAGCGTTGGCATAGGGGCAGCCGACATGTGGATAGCTAAATGCAGGTGTTCACCGCAAGCACCATCATGCCAAGGCCCAGTGGGATTCAAATGAACGTGGGGCTAAAATGCAGGAAGAGGACAGCACGAGGAGGAGGCGGTGCACCGAGGGAGGCACTGTGAGCTCAAGCCTGTCTGGGACGTGGTAAAGGGAATGTCATGGACTGGACTTTAATAAGTCAGACACATGGTGTGCTCCAAGCATATGTGGCTACTAACATAATATCGAAAGAATGCATCAATCGCAAGCCAATAACAGAAGGGAGGCAAAAGAAAAATATGTGTTTGATTCAAAAGCAAGCAAGAAAGGAGACGGAAGAGAACATAAATCAGGGAGACAAACAGAAAATATGTGAAGGAGGATTCAAGTCCAAACACAGCACCAGTGTCATTGTCTGCACATGGTGAGATACTTCAGCTCAAAAACAAAGATCCACTGGAACACGCCCCATCGGAATGACCAAAACCCAGAACACCGACACCACAGAATGCTGGCAAGGACGTGGAGGAACGGAAACTCCCACTCGTCACTCCTGGGAACGCAAAGTGGTGCGGCCATTGTGGAAGACAGTTTGCTGGTCTCTTACAAAACTAAACATGCTCTTATGGTAAGATCCAGCAACCATGCTCCTTGGTATTTGACCAAATGAGCTGAAAACGCACATCCACATAAAAACCTGCACATGTGTACAGCCACTTTATTTATAATTGTCAAAACTCCAAGGCAACCGAGGTGCCCCTCAGTAGGTGAATGGATACATAAACCATGGCACATCCAGACAACGGAATATTCTTCAGCACTAAAAAGAAATGAGCTGTCAAGCCAGGAAAAGGCATGGAGGGGCCTCAAATGCATGTGATGAGATGACAGGAGCCAGCTGAAAAGGCCACATGCTGCTCAGCTCCAACCACACGGCCTTGGACCTGGCGATGCTTTCTTGGATGTGACACCAAAGGCACAGGCGACAAAAGAAAAAATAGACACATCGGACATGGTGACAATTTTAAAACTTTGTGCATCAAAGGCATTCTCAACAGAGAACAAATGTAACCCACAGATTGGGAGAAAATACTTGCAAATCATATATCTGATACTGATTTAATATTCATAATATATACAGAGAGAACTCCTAATATATAATAACTATAACCTATAATATAATATATAGAGAACTCCTAACACTCAATAATAAGAAGACAACCTGATTCAAAAATGGGCAAAGGACCTGAATCAGCATTTCTCCAAAGACACACAAATAGCCAATAAGCACATGAAAAGGTGTTCAACATCACGCATTAGCAGGGAAACGCAAATCAGAATGGCAGCGAAATACCATCTCACTCACATTGGATGGCTACTACTTAAGAAACAGAAACGAACAAGTGTTGACAAGGATGTGGAAATTACCGCTCTTGTGCAGTGTTGGTGAGATTGTAAAATGGTACAGCCACTGTGGAAAGTAGTGTGGCAGTCCCTCAGAAATTAAAAATAAAATTATCACATGATCCAGCATTTCCCTCCTGGGTATATATCCAAAAGAATGGAAAGCAAGGTCTCCAAGAATTACTTGCATACCCATGTTCATAGCAGCATGATTCACCATAGCCAGAAGGTGGAGCCAACCCAAGTGTCCCTCAATAGATAAACAGGTACCAAAATGTCTTCTGCCCAGATGGCGGAATACTATTCAGCCCTAAACAGGAAGGAAATTCTGATAGATGCTGCAACATGGAAGAATCTTGAGGACACTGTGCCCAGTAAAATGAGGCCATCACAGAGGGACAACTGCCACATGATTTCACTGGTATAAAGTGCTTAGAGGAAGTTAAATCATGTAGACAGACAGTTGATGGTATTTGGCAGGGCCTGGGGAGTAGGAGAAGGAATGGGGAGTTAGTGTTTAATGGGGCCAGGGTTTCTGATTGGGAAGATGAACAGTTCTGGGGATGAATGGTCGTGATGGTTGCGCGACAATGTCAATGTATTTAGTGCCCCTGAACTCCGCACTTAAAAATGGTTACAATCATCAATTTTATGGTATGCATATTTTACCATAATAAAAATTTTTTAAAAGATAAGAAGATATAAATTCCTTTATACAAATAAATTTGAAAACTTTGTTAAAATTAAAACACAAAAATTGAAAATAAAAATTATGATTACAATAGTATTAGCCCTTTATCAGGCATTTACACTGAGAGCCAGACTTTCCTGCAACAACTTCCTGATGTATTTATTTATCCTACAAATGGGCCTTCTGCCCAAAGCAAATCAGCTGATGAAAGGTTGGAGTCTGTTGGTGGTAGAATGTAGTTTAATCGCTATTTCAAACTTCTTTCTAAGATAGCAATAATACAGATATTGAATGCTTGTTTTAGAAACTCCGAAAAATTTCAAAAAGAAGAAAAAAAGTTTAAAAAAAAAAAGAAAATAAAACTCTTTCAAATGCCCTATGCAGTCCCTGGTAAGAAGACATCACTGTTTGAACATTTATCCCATTTCCAAATACTCGCTAAATAAAAATGTTGCAAACAGCATTGTCCATCCTGTTTTAAAGTTCTACGACCATTCTTTGTGTTTACAAATGAATTCATATGCACTATCAGGTGTGGAAAATACCTATGCGTATCATGTAGTTCCAGAGTATATAAGGAACTCAAACCACTCCACAGTATACAACAGACAACCTGATTAAATGGACAAAGAACTTGAATAGAAATTTTTCCGGGCGCGGTGGCTCACGCCTGTAATCCCAGCACTTTGGGAGGCCGAGGCGGGTGGATCATGAGGTCAGGAGATCGAGACCATCCTGGCTAACAGGGTGAAACCCCGTCTCTACTAAAAATACAAAAAATTAGCCGGGCGCGGTGGCGGGCGCCTGTAGTCCCAGCTACTCGGGAGGCTGAGGCAGGAGAATGGCGTGAACCCGGGAAGTGGAGCTTGCAGTGAGCCGAGATTGCGCCACTGCAGTCCGCAGTCCAGCCTGGGCGACAGAGCGAGACTCCGTCTCAAAAAAAAAAAAAAAGAAATTTTTCCAAAGAAAATAAACAAACGTCCAAAAGTCAGATGAAAAAGTGCTCACCTTAAATAATCATCAAGGAAATGCACACCAAAACCACCAGGAGAGATCACCTCACACCTGTTAGAATGGCTGTTATCAAAAAGTCAAAAGACCACGTGTTGGTGAGGATGTGGGGAAAAGGGAGCCCTTGTACCCTGTTGGCGGGAAAATGAATTAATACAGCCATTATGGAAAACAGTCTGTAGTTTTCTCAAAAAATTAGAAATAGAGCTAGCGTATGAGATCACAATCCCACTACTGGGTATATATTCAAAGGAAATAAAATCGCTGTCTCCAAGAAATACCTGCACTTCCACATTTATTGCACGGTCACTCACAATAGCCAAGATGTGGAAACAACGTACAAGTCTGCCAGCAACTGGGTGTATAAAGAAAATATGGTGCACACACGAAGATGTTACACAGACACACACAATGGAATACTACCAAGCCTTTAAAAAGCAGGACACAGACACACACAGCGGAATACGACCAGCCTTTAAAAAGCAGGACACAGACACACACAGCGGAATATGACCAGCCTTTAAAAAGAAGGGAGTCCTGGCCAGGCGTGGTGACTCATGCCTGTAATCTCAACACTTTGGGAGGCCGAGGAGGGTGGATCACTTGAGGTCAGGAGTTCAAGACCAGCCTGACCAACATGGTGAAACTTCGTCTCTATCAAAAAAAAAAAAAAAAATTATCCAGGCAAGGTGGCATGCGCCTGTAATCCCAGCTACTAGGGAGGCTGAGGCAGGAGAATCACTTGAACCCAGGAGCCAGAGGTTGCAGTGAGCCGAGATCATGCCACTGCACTCCAGCCTGGGCAATAAGAGCAAGACTACGTCTCAAAAAAAAAAAAAAGGAAATCCTGCCATTTACGCTAACATGAATGAACCTTGAGGATGTTATACTAAGTGAAATAAGCCGGACAGAAAGACAAACACTCCATGCTCTTCCTTATACATGGACTCTTAAAAAAAAGAAGTAGAAACTCATAGTCATTAAGAGCCAAATGGTGATTCCCAGGGGAAAAGAAAAGGCATTGGTCAAAGGGTCCAAACCTGCAGCTGTGGGATGAACACACACAGAAGCCTGGGTGCAGCGTGGTGACTGCAGGTACCAGGAGCATCAGAAGTGGCTGAGAGCCAGATCAAAGCCGTCTCACCGCACTCACACCATGGTGACTGCCTGAGCGATGGATGCACTTGGCTTGGTTGTGGTGATGATTTCACACTGTGGACAGACATCAAATCATCATGCTGTACACCCTGCATATACACCATTTTTATTCATCATACATGAAGCTGGGAAAAAAGTTTTGTAATAATAAAATACAGTTATTTATAACTTTATAATAAAAGTAATATTAAAATTAAGTTAAAATAAAAGCACAATGTGTTTTGTAAAAAATGGTGTCATCTTCTCCCTGCCTGCTTTAGGCCCTAGATGTGAGCGTCCATATCTGTGCGTGCAGTCTCTGCCCAGGGAGTGCCTCCTGCAGTGGGGAAGGCTCTCTCCAACACCAAGACACTAAGTACAAACCCTGAACCAAGGCCTCATGCAGCCTGACGAGGAGGGAGCTGCTGACTTCCCCAGAGAGTCCCTCACTCCCTCACCTGTCTCTCCATTCCAAGACCCCAGGGGGAGGTGAGAGTGATGTGGGGACCCCAGGGGGAGGTGAGAGTGATGCGGAGACCCGGGGGGAGGTGAGAGTGATGTGGGGACCCGGGGGGAAGTGAGTGATGTGGAGACCCAGGGGGAGGTGAGAGTGATGAGGGGACCTGGGGAGATAGTGCTCCTTCCCCCATGAAAGGATGGATTCGTCCCCTTACAGAAGAAGCCTGGGGGAGCCTGTCTGCCCTTCCACTGTGGGAAGACGCAGCAGGGGGGCCACATCTGCTTATAGGAAGGCTCACCAGATGCCCAGTGTACAGTGCCATGATATCGACCCCCCAAACCTCCGGAACTGTGAGGGATGGAGTCCTGGCATCGATAATTTGCCCAGTCTGCAGCATTCTTGTCATACAGGCTGAAGGGACCAAGACACCATGCTAGCTTCATCTTGCTGTGTAAGAAGCCATGGAAATTCAGTGGCTAAAGACCCCCGTGTGTCTGCTCACAGCACCGTGTTTGGGAGCCAGGTGGGGCTGCACTGAGTCCTCTGCTCAGGGTCTCACCAGGCTGAAGTCAGCACCTGCCAGGGTCGGGTCGCATCTGAGCTCTGGAGCCTCTTCCAAGTTCACCAAGTGCTGGCAGGAATCAGGCCCTTGCCCCTGGTCTACTTCTCTCAAAACCCTGCCAGGTATGTCTTCAACACCAGCGGGGGTGACCCCTCTGCTTTCTCCTAAAGGCACCTGGGTTAGCTCAGGTACACCTAGGATAATCTCCCTAACTTCACGTCAGAAGATTTGAGGTCTTCATGATGTCTTAAAAGTCCCCTTGTTGAATGACGGGATCCAATCGAGGGAGCGAAGCCCAAAAGACTCACAATGGGGGCGACAGTCACACGTTTAGCACAGAGTCCTCGCGTGGGAGACACTTCCTGCCGCCACATCAAGAGGAGAGACGCTTCCACCGTTTAAAGTCAAGGCTGAGCCTTCATGTAAGTGTCAATACCATAGGCACTGCCCTAGCAAGTTAAAAATCCACGTGATAATTTTAAATCCTTAGACACAAAAATATTAATAACATTCTTCCCAGAGCTCGCATGTGGCCGATGCTTGTGATCTCACAGCAGAGGTTGCTCTGCTAAATCCTAGGCTGAAGTTTTGGGAGGTCCCTGTGCTAGTTGGGGCTGGCTCTTTGCCTGGAATGGACACCGTGCCCACCACCCCTCCTGCCCCACGGTTCCTCTGCATCCGCCATTCCCGGGACCCTCCATGTTCACTCCCCAGACCTGCACTTGGGATCGTTTCCTTCTGTAGACTCAGCCCATCGCTAATTAACAGGTAGAGTCCTAGACTTTAATTTATTGCATTTTCTCCCTTTAGACAGGAAGCCACGTGAGGTCAGGAGCTTGTATCTCCTCATGGAGTGTGTGTCATGTGTCCTGAGTGTGGAGCAAGCGTGCGGTGCATGGTAGGCCACATAAAGGTCAACTCCCTGACGAGAAAAGCTCCAGTTACTATGCAGAGTAAGCTGAACTGGCAGGACGGCCAACAGGCACGCAGCTCGTGAAACGTAGTCCCCCCAACGCAAATACGTGTTCCAGCATGAGAGGAAGGGACATTCCTAGGAGCCAGAAGCAAAGACACGACTCAAAACAACAACCCGGGCAGCTGCAGCCCTGAGGCCTACAGAGGCAGGTGACAGGGACGCCAGATGGTACAAGCTTCCAGTCAGGAAAGGTCCTGAGGCCCCTGCATAGAGCCAGGTGCTGATGGGAAGTATCAGGGGACCCCACCCCCATGTGAGTCTCTCCAAGGGAAAAGCATCCCCCTGTAACCTGCAGGAGCCCAGATCTGGCCATGTATGGGTGTGGTGTCTGAATTAATACCACCCACCTTGTTTAGAATGTAAATGAAAAATGAAAACAAAAAGGGTCTGAATCCAGTGAAACTGCAAACGTCCTGGCCGACTTCAATGTGAAATTGTAGGGAGAAAGATTTCCCAGGCTACAGCAGGCAGAACTCCTGCAGAAAACCCCTCTTCAAAGGTAAGTCCCCAGGCAACAATGGACAGGAGAGAGAGATGGGGAGTTGAGAGCAGGGGAGAATGCATGCCCTCAGAAGTAGAGATGACTGAACTGTCTGACAAAGACTATAAAATCAGCACTATGCCGCTCCCTCCAGTAACCCCACTAAAGCCCAGAACCAACTCACACACGCTTCCCATCCAACCCCAAGGTGTGCTGATGGGCGTACAGAGCATCAGTGCCCACATATGCTGGCTGCACCTCTGGATGCCCGCACTGCTCCGCCCCACCCATTGTGTGTTCATGAATCAGCTCAGCTGGCTGTATTTCCAAACCTGTGTACTGCTATTATTTTTTTATTACATGATTTAATGAAGTGCCATGAAAAACAAGAAAATCTGATATAAAATGAAAAGCAGACCTCAAATGCCTTTGAAACAATGAATGGCTACAGGAGAAAAACCTCTTGTTGCTTTGTGCAAAAGTAACAGTGAGAAAAGGAACATCATCTACCAGCTAGCCTGATTGCAGACTCCTAGCCCATGCCATGGGTACCAGCAGACCTTGGGGTATCTCATAGCACCAAGGGAAGATTAACTGTCAATTTAGAATTCAGTTGTCAATCCAGACTGAGGGAAAACAGTGGCACATTCAAAGACCTGAGAGAAGGTATGACTCAGGAAACCTCACTGAAAAATCCTGAAAGAATTCGCCCTCATTGAAAGGATACACCTGAGTGAGAAAATATTGAACCCGTGAGTCAGAGGTCAGAGGCAAAAGAGTGAAGACATTGTAAACACCTGGGAGACCCTGGGAAGGGCGTCATAGCAAGGAGACACCAGGAGGCCGGGCAGTGTGGCTTATTGGATAGCTTGGTGGGGAGAGAGTTGGAATGGAAGATTCCCAGGGTCTCTGTACAATCAGAAGATTAATAGAGATACTGGCCACCTTTAGCCAACTTATGGTTAGACCTGGCATTAAAACCAGTAGTGAAAAAAAAAAGGAAGTAAAGTAAATTCTGTTAATTTAACAGAAGACGGGAAAAAGCTGGGGAGACCAAAACAAGGCGTGGCAAACAGACAACAAAGGAAAGTAACAGCGTGACTCAGGGTTGGGCAAAGGTTTCTGAGGGCACACAAAGTAATAACTATTAAAAATAGATAAATTGAACATAATTAAAATGTAAAACTTGTTTATTAAAACACATCATTCATAAATAGGTAAGCCATAGAGAAAGATAAAATATCTGAAAAGCATGTGTCTAACAAAGCACTAGTTTCCAGGATATATAGAGAAATCATCCAACTGCATATTAGAAAGATAACATAATTTTTAAAAAATTGAACATTTACTTAGGAGAGAAAGATATGGCCAGTCGTCAGCACAAGGAAACGTGTAACATGATCAGCTATCAGGGACACACCAATTAAATCCACAGTATGAAATCACCACACGCCTCTCAGAATATCTAAACCTTAAAAAGACCCACAACACCAGGTGTTGCTGAGGATGTGAGGCACACGTTACAGAGTACGGCATGATGATTCCGCATGTGTATAAATCATGTAATGACCACATCAAGGAAATCAGTATATCTATCATCCTAAACACTAATCACCTCTTGATGATGAGAAGATTCCAAAACGTCTTCCAGCAATTTTGAAGTGAGCAGTAATACACCATTGCTAACTCTAGTCACCCTGCTAGGGAATGGAACACCTGAACTTATTCCTGCCATCCAGCCACAGCTTCATACCCTTGACCAATCTCTCACCACCCCCTCACTCTCTCCTCCCCTGAAATTGTTACCTATTTGCTAGGCATGTGAAATGGTGCAACTATTGGGGAGAAAAAATTCCAGCAACTTTTGAAAATGTTAAGGATACACTCGCCTGAGTGCCCAGCACACGCCTTTCTAGCAATGTCATCCAAGAGGAGTGAATATGTGTCCATGGCATACCCGCATGTGAATGTCCACAGCAGCTCCCTCCAGCATAGCCAAAGCGGGAAGTAGCCTGGGTCTGGTGTAGGAGGATGGATGAACCACCTGTGCTGTGCTCCCCCCAGCATAGCCAAAGCAGGCAGCAGCGCCAGGTCTGGCATGGGAGGATGGATGAACCACAGCACAGGCTGTGCCCCTAGGCTGGAGCGGCGCTCGGCAATGGAGAGACCTGCACTCGGCAATGGAGAGACGGGAGCTCCTGCCACGCGCAGTGACACGGCTCAATCCCAGAAACATCCTGCTGAGCAGAAGACGTCTACACAATGCTTACACTCCACAACCCCATTTGACATGATGTTCTAGGTCAGGCAAGGCTAATTGTGATGGAAAAGTAAAACAGATGAAAACAAGAGTGGCTGCCTCTGGGGGCTGGGGGCCAGGATTGGCCGGGTAGGCCCATGAGGGAGCTTTGTGGGGTGACGGCCTCCGCGTGACGGCCTCTATGTCGTCTTTTTAAAGGTTTGGGCCTCACAGGTGTGCATTCGTCAAAACACGGAGAAGGTTTTATTAAGATTTTGACATTTTGTTACATGTAATATTTACCTTCAAAGGAAAAAAATGTAAACAAATACTGAACTCTAGATGACAATATGCATGCTGAGATTTTAGGGGGATGTTTACAATGTCTGCATTTGCTCTGATGTGCATGGAAAAAGATAGAGGCTAAGAAATGCCACAAAGCAAGTGCAGTAAAAGGTTCATGATAGACTAGAGGTATTTATTAAAAATTATAAAACACTTTCAATTTTGCTGAATATTTTTAAATTCTTATTAAAATGTTGAAAATAGTAACATAAAAAATAAGTCAATAAGATGGTAGAATTAAACCATTTATGCCTAAGGTAGCAATCAGACATTGGTGATCACCTTGAGCAGTAGGATATAAATCCGACATGCCTAGCGTTCCATTATTAGAACATTCCGTTATTGGAACCTTCCATTATTGGAATGCTAGGCATAAAAGGATTAAGACCAAGTATATTAGCCGTCTAAATACAAGGAGGCGTTAAGCCTCTGTAGGAAGTGACACAGACACAGCGACCTCCTGTCTCCTGCCATATCTTGTCCACCAGAGGCCGTCACTGGGCCCAGCCCACACACAAGGCAGGGAGCCCCCAAGGGTGGGATCGCAGGGTCACTGGGGCCGTTTTGGAAGCCGCCTACCATGCCCCATTCTGACTTGGTTGAACCCTCCCCAAACCTCCCCTGGTTCTTTCTCTCACCATGCCCACCACCTGGGAGCACGTGCTTGTCTTAACTCTCCAAGTCCTTAGTCATTTCCTTCACACCCCCACCTTCCTCGGAGGTGGCCACCGGAAGAGCTTGGATGACCAGCCCAGGCCTTTCTGTTCTAATCACCTATGTACTTGGGCACACATACCGCTCGCCGGGCTGTGGAGTTGTTGTTTTTGTTTTAATAAGGCCACCGATACTCCACGTGATGATCTGGTGGCCTCGCTGGGTGTCCTCGGGAGGCCACTTTGACAGACAGGGAGGCCGTTTCTGCACTCTGCTGCGTCAGACCTTGCTGGTAACTCCGGGCCTCTGCAGAGGAAATCTGCATGTTTAAAGAAGAGAAGGTGGTTTTAAAAACAAACCACTTTTGCACCTACAATGTTTTCAGCATTTATAAACTTTTTTCTCCACAAGCTGGATACCACCGTAGTAACTCATGATAATTATTAATTCAATTCATAACTTAGTAGGGGAGAGCTTGAGCTCTAATAAGGCTCCAGTCGTCTTAAGGGAGGGATGAAAGATAAAAGGGAAAATCTGAGTCATCCATCCAGGCTGATGTCCTGGGGCCCCACCTGCATGGAAATTGTCCCACAGGGGATGAGGGAGTCATTTGGTATCAGAGAAAAACCTAGCCAGAGCGGCCTTCAGAAGAGGATCAAAGCCCCAAGCAGGTATTTCTGGGAGAGTTCACAGAAAGTGTTCTAGTTTTTTTTGTTATAAGGAAAATTGAGCAAAAGTATTAATGGTACAAAGAATCTACAACCAAGAATTCTCCTGGCCAGAGACTACATGTGAATGAAACTGGGAAATATTCTAGTAGACAGATACAATGGTGGGAATGCCAGTCAATGGAGATGGATTTTATTTGAACCAGGCTAAGAGTGGACCAATCACAAACCAATAAGCACACTATTGGCATAAGTTAAATCCTGGGTCTCCAATTAAAATACATATATTCGTGAGAGAGCCTATTCCTCTCAGTCTCCGAGGAATGATCTTCACTGTGTTCCTTTAGAGACCAATAACCCCTATAAATTGTCTAATTGTAAACTGCGCTGATACCCGCACCATGCACTTCAGAGTTCCCAGATACTGACAACATTCTCAGAGTGTAGTCTTTACGATCATAGGAATCAGTCACTATCATATTAACTCTATCTTTATTTTAGGAGCTTTCTAAAAATTCAGTCTCCACAAATAAGAAGACAAGTTGTCAAATCATGCATTCTACTTGTGAGTTCAGGGCTGATGGCCACCAACTCCAACAGATGGGAGGTGGGGTCACATTCTTTGATGCCCCTCCCATGGAGAAAGCTTTCCAACTACATTTTTTAAACATCTAACAAAAAAGAAGATCTGTAAAAGCAACATTTTAAAAATTGGGAGCATGAGTATTTGAACTTTCTTATCTAAGTCCAACAGTCTTATTTGATGAGGATCCTAGAGCCCAGGTACCACTTCTTCAGTTTACTCTGGAGCCTGCTAGAAGAGCAGAAAAATATTTGTTGGTTTGCTTATTTACATAAAAATTGCCCCCCAAATCGGCAAGTTTTCTATAAAATAGATCTGTGGGGAGTCCTATGATGGCATTATTGTGAGGATACATATGCTTTCCCCTATGAATTTTGATATCGCTCCTAAACACAAGGGAGCAGGTAAGTCATCTAAAATTAGTTATTTTTAGTCTTTTCATGCTAATGGAAGATGTGTAAATTCTACCCAAAATTCTAAACATGATCATTCTGTACATTAAATTATCATGTAACAGAAGAGCACAGTGTACAAAGACAGATTTATTTATTAACTCAAAATTTTGGAACAAAAATGTTTCCTATATGACTTACGCTAGATATGTATTTTTGGAACCCATAAAAATAAAATTATTTTGAAAATAATATTGCAAACTTTGAGTTTCTTTGGCTTCTACTTGCAAGATTTGAAAACTTGAAAATTGTCTTCAGCTTTTGCTCGTCTGAACTGCTGAAGTTCTAAAATCCCAGTTGATTAGAGTTTTTTCTCAGTAAACAATTCTGAGAAACGGAAAGAGCTATTCGCCAGGCAGTTCATGTATTCATTTCATTCAACAACACAACCCAGGAGATTTGAGACATTTTAAAAGGAATTTTCCTGTTTTCTCTCCCCCGCAATTGATTTCCCACAGAAGAGGAACTTGGCCATGTCAGCTGTGGGCTGTGGACAACCCCAGCTGGCAGGAGGGACACCTGGCGAGCACCTGGTTTCCCAGGTCCCTCCACCGCCGGCTGCGCAGCCCAGCACAGGCCACAGGCCGGGGGGTGGGCCCGGGCCCTGCGGAGTGGGCGGGTCTGAGCGGGTTGGAACGTCCCGCCGGCTTCACCGCAGGCCGGCATCTCAGCCTCAGGCCCCACAGCGGGTCTCCCGTCTCCACCCTCGCGGGCTCTGCAGGGCTGGGGCTGCTCCTGAGTTTCTGGTAAGGCCTTCGGGAGTCCCAGCTCTGCGGAGACCAAAGCCCCCACATCCTCGGCAGAGCCCGGGCGAGTGCCCCGCGGGTGGCGGCGGCTGTGGGGCCGTCTGGGATTCTCCGCAGCACTGACCCTGCAACCTCCTGTGTCTGCGCTTCGTGGTGAGGGGCGGCGGGATGCGCGCGATCCCTTTTTGACTCAGCCAAACGGAAAAGCTCGCGCGTCCCGGCTGGAAGGTGGAGGTCAGGCAGGACCCGGCAAAGGCACATTCCAAACGAAGCAGACCCCATTCCTCACCTGCAGAGGGAAGGCGGTGTGGACGGACAGAAACGGCCCTCACAGCCACAGAACCACCGCGGCCACAGCAGCGCGGCGTCCGGCAGGGAGCGGACCGTGGTGGAGGCCTCTGAGCCGAGCAGGCCACGCAGACCCGGGAGGCGCTGAAGCGGGCGCAGCTGCGCCCTGGAGCAGGCAGACCAGGCCACGGCGGAGGGAGAGGCCCGGGGACGCGGCGCAGCCCCTGCGGAGAGGCACGGGGGCGGCGGGGACGCCCTCCCACTGGCTGAAATGCCAGGGACCGGCCTGGGCGTGGAGCAGCCGGGGCGAGCCCGCCTCCAGGCACCGCCGGCTGCCCTAGGCAGGGCCTGCAGGAGTGGCCCGGAGCCGGGCACCGAGGCACCGAGGCGGGGACCTGGAGGGGTAGGGGTCGGGGCAGGGCCTGCCAATCAAGTCTACGGGGGTCGCCGGGTGGTGGAGGTGGGATGGGGGAAGGAGGCTGAGCACCAGCCTCGGGCGATCCAAGATTCCTCCGGCCTAATCCCAGGAGGGAGGCAGCGTTGGCGGGTGAAGCCGTCACCCTCCCCCGGGAGGCCGCCCAGCAGCTGCCCCTCCACGCTCCGGGGCCACTGCGCCGGGCCTTGGTCACCACCTGGGCCCTGGCCCACGCTCAGACGAGGGGCAGCGCGACTTCCCCGTAGCCCCACCCCAGCGGCTGTCGCCGCAGAGCATGAAGAGGCCTGGCTCCTGCAGAAACGCAGCCCAGCGCGAAACCCAAAACCCCAAAACCCCACTCCTCACGGGGCACAGGGCGGACTTCAAGGGCGTCCCCATGTCCCCAGGAGCTCCCAGCCCCGCCCTGCACACCTGCACCTGCACAGCGGGGCCAGCACAGGGGATCCCAACCGCCTGAAGACAGAGAACTGGGACATACACAACACACATGCCACACAGCACACAACACACACAACACGCATGCCACACAGCACACAACACACACAACACGCATGCGACACAGCACACAACACACACAACGCACAACACACATGCCACACAGCACACAGCACAACACACGCACAACACACATGCTGCACACACACACAACACACACACAACACAAATGCCACACAGCACAGACCACACACAACACACACAACATACCACACAGCAACACCACACACACCAATAAACACACACCACACACACAACACATACACAACATACATCCCACACAGCACACACATCACGCACATATGACACAACACACGTCACACACGACACACACAACACACATGCCACACAGCACATACCACACACAACACACATGCCACACAGCACACACATGTCACACACACAACACACATGCCACATACACACCACACAGCACACATCGCACACAACACACACATGCCGCACACACCACACAAATACATATGCCACACAGTGCACAACACACAACACACATGCCACACAGCACACGTCACACACATACACACACACTACACACAACACACATGCCAGACACACAGCCAACACATCACACAACACACATGACACACATGCCAAATGCACACACACTACACATGCCACACACATGCCACACACACCACACACATGCACAACACACATGCCAGAGACCACACATGCCACACAACACACGACACACCACACATGCCACATACACAACACACATGCCACAGAGCACACACCACACACACCACGTCACACACCAAACACATGCCACACACACCACACATGCCACACACCAAATACGTATCACACACAACACACATGACACAAAGCACACACCACACATGTCACACACCACACACAGGCGCACAACACACGCCACACACATCACAACCCCCATGCCACACAACACATATGCTACACAATGTGAATGACACACGCATGCCACATGCACACTCAACATAGATGCCACACACACACCACACATGTCACACACACCACACACAATACACATGCCACACACAGAACACACATACCATGCACACAACACACACAACACACTTGCCCCACACAACACATACACATGCCAGACACACACAACACACACCACACACACAAAACACAACAAACATGCCACATGCAACACACACAACACACGTCACACACAACATGCACACAACACATGCCACACATGCACACCACACACAACACACATGCTGCACACACAACACACATGCCACACAGGCACACAACACAGAACATACATGCCACACATACACACACCACACATACAACACACATGCCACACACACCATACACAACGCACAAAACACAACACATATGACACACATGACACACATACACACACCACACTCACACTCATACTCACAAGGACAGATAGTAATCCTGAAACATTCTCTTCTAAGCCCATAAGGAAGAACTCAGATGGCAGCTGCCTCTTCCTCTTCAGAGTCAGGTTGAGAAACACTAAACTTATAGCCTAAAACCCAGGTTTTGGGCTCCACAGGCAGAGAGGCAAATACAGTCAATCACCAAGATCTCCAACACGAAAAGGCCCAGTGCTCCAGGAAGGACGTGCTTCCAGTCTCTAGAAGGTACTGAGTGATAGCAATGCACCCAAGTCACGACAGTTTTAAAGTTCTTCCATGTGCGGCCGCTCATCTACTGATGAAATTAAACCCGTCACAACTTACGTGGATATTTAGTATGTTTCACCAGAGACAAGATAATTTTTTATTTAACAAGTTATGTCAATACACATTACAACATGTGTGCACATATGTATGTATATATGACATACACACACATGCATAGTATGTATTTACATAGTTTGGTACGTATTAATATCTGTATCATATCTGTGTATCTCCCTAGGCCTAAAGCAATGCTTCTCAAAGTATTCTCTGCACCAGAAAATGTCAGATATTTCATAATCACAATAGCATATCATTATACATAAAAAATGTGAATAGATGATTAACGTTTATTTATTAGATTATTATTGTTTCATCTTATTTTTTTCCAAAACCTCTGGCAGTTACTTGTCTGTAATATGAACCTGTAAAGGGAAATTATAAAAATCTCAGGACCCCCAAACTTCTTATGCAAAAGGGAAGGTCACTGCAGCCCCTTCTTCCAAATGAATTACTGTTACTAACTTCCTGCTCCAGCCAGATCCCCGTGGAAAGGTAAAGGCCTCCGGTTTCTGGGGAGGGCTGCCCCACAGATCAATCACGAGTAAATTCTCTGCTGTCCTCCCATAAACAGGGCATTCGGTGCTGACTACAGGTCTACAGTCTAAGTCCAGCGCCTGAAGCTGAGGTGTGTGGATTCCACACTGATCGTGTCCCCTACACGCTCATCTTCCGTGTACAGAACGGAGACTCCTTCCTCCACCTACCCAGAGACGCCTGTGTAACTGACTCTTCCTTTACTCCCTTTCCCTCGCCGGTCATTCGCCTTACCTTATGGAAAGTGTAAATTAGGCACTGAGGAACGTCTCACAGGAATGCAGCCTTCAGCCTTCCTGCCTGCTGGCCCCTCTTCCTACCTGCCCCCGGCCCCGCTTAAGGAAATGCGCCAACAGGAAGCCTCCTGAAAAGCTCTTTGGAGAAACAGCCGCAGCTGTGTCTGTGGCTGGTGTTTTTCCCAGGTGAACCCTAAAGCTGGCTTGAAAAACCTAAATGAGCCGAGTGCAGTGGCTCACGCCTGTAATCCCAGCACTTTGGGAGGCCGAGGTGGGTGGATCACCTCAGGTCAGGAGTTCAAGACCAGCCTGGCTAACATGGCGAAAGTCCATCTCTACTAAATATACAAAAATTAGCCGGGTGTGGTGGTGCATGTCTATAGTCCCAGCTACTCAGGAGGCTGAGACAGGAGAATCGCTTGAGCCCGGGAGGCAGAGGTTGCAGTGAGCCAAGATCATGCCACTGCCCTCCAACCTGGGTGACAAGAGGGAGACTCCATTCTTCCAAGAGGGAGAATTTTAATTCATGTTGTTTTAGAGTCCATTTATGCCATCACAATTGATGTTTTACATTTATTTATTTTCTTTTCTCCTATTTTGCTTTCCATTAAATAGAAAAAAGAAAAACCTCCATGATCGAGACTTAAGCCTCAGTTGCTCATTTCACTCGTCAAACCCATAGTCGCATCTTCTGATTTATGACAAACTTATGTCCTAGGGACCAGGGGCTCCTGCAGATGCAGCATCTCAAGGAACCTGGCCAATGCGGATGTGGTGTTTGTAGAGGCGCAGGTTCCATTCCAACACACGCTCAAGCCCTGCTGTGCAACGTGAGCTCTCCCGGCGGCACACTGGCTATCCCGGCCCTTGACTCGTCTCTGCTGTCCTTCCTCTTCTCAACATGTGTCTCCCAAAAGGATGAAAACACTGCTTCTTTTTGAGAGCTCTCATGTGAGACGGAAAGTGCTATTGAAAGGGGGACGGATCCGTGACCTGCATGACCAGCGTTCACCCAGCACAGGACATCACCCAGTGCATCGCTGCGAGCGGTGGCGTGGAGGGGCCCATGCTCCTCTGGGAGAACTGGGGGAGAACCGGGACCCCCGGAGGCAGCCAGAGCTCGGACCCCTGGCCATGGGGGAGGAGGGAAGGAGGGCCACACCCAGAACGCCCTGAGGCTGCAAGAGAGGCAGGCCTGGGGCATTGAACCAGGGGCTGCAGTGAAGAAAGGGGAGAAGTCTGAGATCCAAAATGCAAAAACCACAGGGAAGCAGCGGGCAGGTGCTGGGGCCGGGGCTGGGGCAGGCGCAGGGGCAGGGGCAGGTGCAGGGGCTGGGCAGGCGCAGGGGCAAGTGCAGGGACAGGCTCAGGGGCGGGGCAGGGGCAGGTGCAGGGGCTGGGCAGGCGCAGGGGCAAGTGCAGGGACAGGCTCAGGGGCGGGGCAGGGGCAGGTGCAGGGGCTGGGACAAGAGCAGGGGAAGGGGCAGGCGTAGGGGTTGGGGCAGGGGCTAGGGCAGGGGCAGGTGCAGAGACGGGGACAGGAGCAGGGGAAGGGGAAGGCGCAGGGGTTGGGGCAGGGGCTGGGGCAGGGGCAGGTGCAGGGGCTGGGACAGGAGCAAGGGAAGGGGCAAGAGCAGGGGAAGGGGCAGGCACAGGGGCTGGGGCTGTGGCAGGGGCAGGGGCTGTGGCATTGGCAGGGGCTGGGGCAGGCGCACGGGCTGGGGCAGGCACAGGTGCAGGCTGCCTCACCATGCACAGCTCAGGGACAGAAGAGAAGCTGGGGGTTAGCAGGGCTGGAGGGCAGGGCTGGCTGCAGGTGGTTGAGAGTGGGTGGGTTTAGCAGGCTGTCAGCGCCAAGGCCTCTGGGTCCCTGGTGTCCAGGGCTGCTCAGTCCCTAGGCCCTAAGGGCAACAAATGCACCTTAGAAATTACTCACTTGCTGGGGAAGGGGACCAGGCCATGCAGCCACAGACCCCAACTTACGAGTCACCAGAAGGCACAGAGCTCCAGGGGGACCCAATGCACAAGTCACTGAGAGGCCGGAGCCTCAGGGAGACCCTGGGTCAGCGTTGCTTAGTGTCTTGTGATTCCACACAGAGATGACCCCGCACTCTGTAGAGAGGATCCTGACTTCCAGGGACTCTGCTCGTTGAAGTCTTAGGCCCCCTGACCTGGAAAACCACCCCCAGGTCTTGGGAACAACAGGAGAGGAGGAGCCCCCTGTGCTGTGCGACTTTGGAAGCAACCCCAGGGTCCATCCGTCAGCCTCTCTAACATTCAGCCCACCAGGAGCTCTGGGCGTCTCACGACGGGGTTAGGGGGACTGGAGAGACAACTCCCACTGTCCAAAAGATGGCAACTCAGAGCCCCCAAGGAGCAGGGTCTCTGCCTTCTGAGAGGCGCCACCCCCCAATGGTGCAATGTGTTCCCTCCTGATCCCAGAATGCCACTGAGGCCATGGAAGGAGCTGCGTGAATACTCCGTCAGTGTGACTAAGTTGCACGCACAAAGTCCCTAGAAATGCGGTGGCCGCAGTCCCAGCAAGGCCATTCTGGGAAGCCCCGGAGGAGCCTAACGCTGGAATTTTAGGGCCGGGCTGCACAGGACACTCCTCTGAGACCACCTGGAAATCACAGCTGGAGCATGGTGGGACCCGACCCCGGGGGTCAGAGCCCCCGCCTCCCGCAGTGGAAGGCAAGATCCGATCACACCGTGGTGCACACTCCTGATAAAGGAAAGCCATTACAGGGTGCTGGATTTGGGACTGGATATTCCTGGGTTGCAGAAAGGACCCTTCCTCTCTCCTCATCTGAACCTCCAGCTTCCCAACCCCAGGGGTCTTTGTAAATTCCCTTGTGGGGGCATCATTTGTTGAACTGGTCTAACCAATAATTTGGTTCTTGGATTAGTTTCCCCAGCTCAAGAACCTGATGCCACCAAGCTGCTCTTCAATTATTTATCAGTCTGGACGGGAAAGGAAAAACAGTGAAGCCCACTTAGAGGAAAACCATCCATGACGGACGTTCGCAGGCAGCAGCCGTCTCACCGTAACCGTGGTATCTGTCGGCAGCCCCCCATCAAACCCAGAGCATTCGCAGCCACATTTACAACAGTTAACTGTGGTGTCACAGTTGCATTCACTAGATAATAGTAAAACTCTTTTTCAAAACACTCTATATTTAAGTAAACCATTTACTTTGATGATGACGTTGTCCTCCTCAACCACGAATTTCAAAAAGGCTGATTAGCCGTAATGTAAAACGTCAGGATGTGGCATGGTTTTTAGAAAGATGAGAGGAGTTTGGGTGTTTGGAGGTGCCTGCTCTTCTCAAGCTTTCCTTGGCTTATTCTCCCGGGTGGGCCACAGCTTCACTGGTGAGGAGGCCACACCACGGGCATTTGGCTAAATACTGGGCCGTTCTGGCCCAAACGCCCCTCCAGATGGAAGGGATATGACTAATTAGTAAGAAAAATGCTTACCTGCTGGAAATTAAATCCTTCTTATATTATATTAACAGAGTTTACAGTTGAGGAAAGTTAATGCCGTGAAGATACCCTAAAAGGCTTTGCAGTCCCCCAAGAAGGCACTGGGCTCCTGGTCTGGGAGTGCGGTTCCCCTTCCTCTGCTATTTCAAGGGAGCAGATCAGGTAGTTTTAGAAACTGGGAACTGTATGTGTAAATGCCATCCTTTCTTTCGAGCCAAAGGACCTTGAATGCAGGCAGCTCTTTTCCCTAAATCTGGACATCTACACCATGAAATCCCGAGTTCTGAATACTCAAGCCCATAGGGTCTCATCAGGGTCGGTCTACACTGACAACCCCAGGCTTCCAGGACACCCATGTGTCCCAGGCTGCAGGGCGAGCCCTGAGGCTTCAGGCAAATCCGCTGTGCCGAGCGGAGCAGACAGAGCGTGTCAGAGGAAAGCGATCGTTGGCTGAGGGTCCTTAATTTCGCCTGAGACCCACCGGTATGCACAGCTGAGGTCTCCCGTGCCTCACTCTGGCTTCCGGAAAAACCTGGGTGCGCAGTTCCACTCACTTGGCAGCCACACCTTTGCTCAGAAGCAGGAAGGGTCCCAGTCCGAGCAGAGACCTGAGCTGTGGGGATGCCTGGGGACCCAGGGAGTGGGGGCTTGGTGTTGAGCCGAGGTGACGAGGCCCCTTCCCCCTGGCCTCCCTGCCCCAGAGCGGCACTTGCAACAAAAACCTACCTGCAAGGACAGGGTCTTTGTCATAAAATCCAGGGAAGGAAAGAGGGAGGGAGGGAAGAAATTTGTGTCTTGTAAACCTCAATGCAAATCCAGAAGTGACAGAGCAACTCAAAAGTTCAGGAAGAAACTCCGATGACGCCTTCTTCGTGCACAGCACGCCGGAGAGCAGGCTGTGGGCTGGGACAGCAGACAGGCACTAGGCGTCTCCATACGTACGTTACTGGGGACGGGCTTTCAGTCACACAGTGTGTTTAAGTTTATAGAAATGCGCGAAAACCAAACCAACAAGCAAAGCATCAAGCCCAAGACGGCACGTTCAGTATGAATGCATTTTCGCTAAAATAATTTAGATATAAAGATGGAAACGCCTGGACAAGTAGATGCCAAAATGTAGCCCTGATCATCTCTGGAGATGGGCTGAGGTGATTTTCTTTACTATTTATATTAATATTGTTGCTGTTATTTACTTCTCTGTACCGTTGACATCTCTTGCAAAGATAAAGAGGTCACAGGTCACTCAGTCCTGCAGGGAAACACCTCCGTGACCCCAACATCCAGAGAGGGCCTGGGGGACGCATGGGCAGAGCTGGCAGAGGACTGCAATTCAGGTCATTCTCATTTATTACAGTTATGATTTAATTTATGCCAAGTTTTTGCGTAGGCCAAAGGAAAAGGCCCCCCACTCCGGTCTCTGTGGAGAAGAGACAAAGAAGCCATGGGAAGGGGAGGAGGCGGCTGTTTTCTCAGAGGCTCTAGCAGCAGGCATGGCCGCCCTGGCAGGAGCCCCGATCAGGCGTGGACGCCGCATTCACTGGAGACCCTGCTCCACCGAGTGGAAGGAGAAGGCGCCTCGTGATGCCTGGTTGCCCAGACCCCATCCAGTCATTTGCTAAATTCCCACTGGCTCCGAAGAGAAAAGTCTGGAAGTGCAGTGGCTGGAAACCGGAGCCCACAGTAATGGCCCCGTGGTCTGCTGAGGTTTTGCCGATGGTTTCCAGAATGGGAGGAGGGGTCCCTGAGCAGCAGCGGTGAGTCCCTCAGAGGGCCGTGGCCGGGCACTCGCTCAGACGGAAGTAACAGGGGTTTTCTCACCTGGCGCTGAGGATCCAGGTATGCTAATGGAAGGACACGTGAGCCCAAAGTCCCTCTAGGTCAGAAACTTCCTAAGCAACTTTTATTCTTCCAAACTCTGGTCTTCAAAACTACAGGTGTAAATCTAAGCACATTTTCCAATGGATTATTTTCTTTTTTTTTTTCAGACATAGTCTCAGTCTGTCGCTCCAGCTGCAGAGCAGTGGCACGATCTCGGTTCACCGCAACCTCTGCCTCCCGGGCTCAAGTGATTCTCCTGCCTCTGCCTCCCGAGGAGCTGGGATTACAGGCTCGCACCTCCACGTCCAGCTGATTTTTTGTATTTTTAGTAGAGACGGGGTTTCACCATGTTGGCAAGGCTGGTCTTGAACTCCTGACCTCGTGATCCACCCGCCTTGGCCTCTCAAAGTGCTGGGATTACAGGCATGAGCCACCGCGTCTGGCCTTCCAGTGGCCTTCATTCCAACATTGGGGGCTGATCACAGGTGAGGACCAACTCTGGATAATTTAAGTCAGCTACGTCAACCCACCAAACTTCCATGAAAAAATACTCAAAAGACACAAGGAGGAACAGGAGGCTCTGAAGCCTCCTCGGCCAGCGTTGGCTCTTCTTTGTTAATGTTGAGACTTCCTGAAGTGAAGGTGCACACTCCTCAGCACTCTTCCGGGTGGGAAAGCCGAGGAAAAGGCGGCCACACGCAGACCGGCACACAAGTGCGCGTCACAGCGTTATTCATGACAGACAGAACGGGAAGCCAACTGAACGTCCATCAACTGGGGGATGAGTAAACAACATTTAGCCCGTCCGCCCCGTGGAACACCGCCCCGCAGTAAAAAGGAAGCAACTCTGATTCAGGCCGTGTGTGGATGAGCCTCAAAACATGATGCTAAGTGAGAACAGTCAGGTCCGTGAGAGGCCATACTGAATGACTCCAGCTATGTACAATCTCTAGAAAGGGAAAAGTTATAGAGGCAGAAAACCACAGCGGCAGATCAGCGGCTGCCTGGAGCTAGGGGCGTGGAGCGCGGATTGGGAGGGGAACAGGAGAGGTTTTTCAGGGGAGCAAAATCGAGTGTTTTAAAACTGGATTGTGATAAATTGATTAAAACCCATCAAACAGATCTCTGAAAACTGTGTGGCATATGAATTATACCTCAAGGAGACTTAAAACTATACTGAGGGACGATTGACAAACAGGACTTCTGTATCTCACCAAACTTTCCATCAAGCTTGAAAAAGTTATTTTCAGACAGCCAAGATTTAAAAACAAACAAACAAAAAATGGCATCCATACCCCGTTTCGTAGGCAGCTACTGAGAGACATGCTTTAGCAAAACATAGAAGAAAGAGATGGTAGGCCGGGCTTGTTGGCTCACACCTGTAATCCCAGCACTTTAGGAGGCCGAGGCAGGCAGATTGCCTGAGCTCGGGAGTTCTGCAACCAGACTGGCCAATATGGTGAAACCCCGTCTCTACTGAAAATACAAAAAATTAGCCAGGCATGGCGGCGTGTGCCTGTAATCCCAGCTACTTGGGAGGCTGAGGCAGAAGAATTGCTTGAACCCGGGGGGCGGAGGTTGCAGTGAGCTGAGATGGCGCCACTGCACTCCAGCCTGGCAACAGAGCAAGACTCCATCTCAAAAAAAAAAAAAAAAAGATAGTAAATAATGAAACAAGATACTAAATCAAGCCTGACAGGAGAGCCAGCACAGAGTGGAAACTCCCACAGTGGGAACTCCAGGGACCCACCAAGGCAGCGCTGCCAGAAGAAGGGGGCGGTGTTCCTGGTGGTTAGGAAGCTATCAGATAATTTAATATGTGTGGACACTTAGAATCGTTATTGCATCAGTAATTATGTGGACAGATAATAAAAAAGGAAAACAATCATGCAAATATTAATTCCAGGAAAAATGAAAAGCTATATAACAGAAGACAAAGAATCACAGTGCATAACTGAGCTTAGCAGTAAATAAATGTTATTTAGCCAAAACTAGTGATAGACGTATGAGGAAACAGGGAGAGTCGTGCTAGAAAAAAGATGTCGAGTGTAAGAGACTTAAACTTCAACTACCACAGGAAGAAGTCCATAGATACGGTCTAAAAACAAGACATCAATAAGTAGTAGGGTATTATATTATTGGAAATATAGAGACAAGTCGCTGAAGAAATAAGTAACAGAAAACAGTGGTGCTGGGGAGCAAGACTCGAGGGCATGTGGCTGGGATGAGGGGCTGGATTGGATTTTGTTATGAACCTTTTAGTAGTGTCTGACTTTTTAACTATGCTCAGATTATTTTTTCAAATAAAACTATTTTGAAAAACAATGGCCTCAAGCAAAATAAGTAATTACAATCAACTTTCTCTATCATTTCAAAAGAAAAAGGACATTTTAATGTCAAAAACACTTGGAAAAACAAAAATTAATGTGAAGAAACACCAACTCATTTTTTCTTACTTGCCTCATTCTGCTGCAGATCAATGAGCACTTCCTCAGGGACTGGTGGCCACGCCCAATCAGTGCCATCCTCAAGAAAATGGTCAAGTAGAGGGAAGAAGTCACTCCGGGGTGAGGCTTTCAACAAGGGCCTTTTTTGTCTTCCTCCCACTTTTCCCACCTCTTGCCTGGAATGCAGAGGTGGTGGCTGCAGCCTCAGCAGCCACACCAGGACTGTGAAGCACACTTAGGAAAGACGCTGGATGAGGCGGGGTGGAAGGATGGGAGGAGCCCCAACACCGGAGGAGTCTGCAGCTCCCATGTAGCCCTGGGCTGTCCACCTCCAGCTTCCTTTGGCATGGGAGAAGCTGTGTGCAGTTTTATTTAAGCTGCCGTCATTTCCAGTGTCTTTTACCAGCAGCCACACTCTCATCTTTGTGGATGTGGCTTTGTGGACCATCTGTTCTACTTTTCTTCTTGCCTAGTGGCAGTCCAAGCTTTCCCTCTGAAATCTCCAAACAGGAGTCCATTTCTTCACCAAAATCTGTGTACATCCTCAGAAGCCAGGCAAGGAGCTAAGGCCTGGAATTCATCACTCTCTAAAGTGGCACTTTCCTATTTCAGCACACCCTCATTAAGAAGCCTTTTTGAATATTGACCAGTGAACCGCATTTTCACCGATTCCCACCCACCCACTGCCCTAACTCTGTCCTTCAGCCAAAGGTGCTGAGTCACCACGCTCTTTCCCAGAGCAGCACTGGATACGGGGCTAAGCAACACCCGCAGCACTCCCAGCTTGACAAGTCAGGTGTGAGTGGTGCTGGGATGCTCCAGAGGGTGTTCTGTAGGCAAAACCAGACCTGAAGACCCTCCGGCTGCAACTCTGTTCCAGCAGAGCCGTGCCCCTCTCTGCTGAAATGGCAGCTCCCAGGGCACCTGCTCTGAGAGGTCGGGCACCATGGTCGTGTTGAACCATGGCCCCCAATAAATGCATCCACATCTTAGCAGAAGTGCTTTAGTTGAGGATGTGAAAGGGGGAACGTATCCTGGATGAGCTGCGTGGGCCCTAAACCCAGTGACAAGTGTCCTTAGGAGAGTGAGGCAGAGGTGGACAGACACAGGAAAGGGAGGAGACCACGTGAGGGCAGAGGCAGAGACAGGCCATGCAGCCACATGCAGGCACACGGAGGGATGCCTGGGCCACCAGAACCTGGGAGGGGCAGGAAGGAGTCTCCCCTGGAGCCTTCGGGGATCGAGGCCAGCGACACCTTGATTTCAGACTTGCAGACTGCAGCACCCTGGGAAGGCGATCCTGCTGTTTAAGCCCCTGGTCTGTGGTACCTGTTACATGGACACAGGGCACATGTGCACCTCCTCACATCCCCCCAGCCCCATGCACGTTTAGGGATGCTTCTGTGCTGCTGGGCCCCAGGAACCCCCGCGCTGACCCGGCTGCCTCCCTGCACTCAATCTGGGAGTTGCAGTTTTGCCCCAGGTCTGCACCCCAGTCCCCCAGAGGCGTGCAGTGGGACAAACAGCCCTCCATGGGGGGTCCTCCCTCTGGGGATCAGGGACAGACTCCCCAGTGCCAGGGGCTGCTGCTTAGGACCACACACTGTCCCCAGACACCCTCCCTCCCCGGCGCTCCCAGCATAGCACTCAGGATTCTCAGCCAGAGAGAGCCCTCGGGGCTCTGTGTCCGGGGCCCACCGTCCTTTGATCCCCTCGTGGCCGGGCATTCACATGAGCAGCCGTAGAAACTTTGGGTTCCCCACAAATGGCCTGCTCTACCCACTTGGCACCACATAGATGGCTTATAAGCCTCTATTTCCATGATTCATTATTTTTCTCATGAAAAGTTATCAGTTCTAAAGAGTCCACCTTGCAGGGATGAGGGTCTGCCTGGCAGGATGCCATCTGTACCTGACCCCGGACACACCGCAGAGACAGCCTTGAGAAGCCAGCACACCCAGGATGAGCCGAGGGCCCTGAGGAACGTGCACTCAGATGCACTGGGAAAGCACAGAGGTAAGGATTACAGAAAAGATGGAAGTCGCTCCTAACAGCTGTGTTTGTCCAGTTTAACTGACTTAAATTTCAATTATTTTAGTTAAGACAATGTTGCCTTTTCAAAGATTAGATGAATCTGATCTTTGTTTTTGCACTTCCTGTCTTTGCAAATAAAGTTTCATTGGCACAGAGCCATGCTGACGTGTCACCTTTGGCTGTTTTTACGCTACAACGGCAGAGGTGAGTAGTTTAGACAGAGACCATATGGCTCTCTAGGACAAAAGTGTTGACTACCTGGCCCTTTATAGAGAAAGTTTGCTTACCCTTACGACAGACTAACGAGAGGAGAACAGTGGTACAGGCGCAGTGCAGCCACAGCTCGGAACACCTGGCAGTGGCATCCTAGTAAATAGGGTTACATCATAGTTATTAAATAAGCCTGGAAAGGGGGGAGACACGGCCAAAGGTCTTGTCTGTGGCTCTCTCTGAATGGTGGGATTACAAAGAGCTTTTAATTTTTTCTTGAATTTTTTTCTGTAGTTTCCAAACTTTGTACAATGAGCATTGTTATTTATTTATTTATTTATTTATTTATTTATTTATTTATTTATTTGAGATAGAGTTTTGCTCTGTCACCCAGGATGGAGTGCAGTGCTGTAATCTCGGCTCACTGCAACCTCCGCCTCCCGGGTTCAAGCGATTCTCATGCCTCAGCCTCCCAAGTAGTTGGGATTACAGGTGCACACCACCACACCCAGCTAATTTTTGTATTTTTAATAGAGACGGGGTTTCACCATGTTGGCCAGACTGGGCTCGAACTCCTGACCTGAGGTGATCCACCTGCCTCGGCCTCCCGAAGTGCTGGGTTTACAGGCGTGAGCCACCGCACCCAGCCTGTAATTTTATTTTAAACAATTTTTATAACAGTTGCCATCACCTAGAACTGCCCCGTGCGGCCGTATTGTCCTTAGGAGGCAGAAGCTTTCCTTGAGGGCATCAGGTAAGGAGACCAAGGGAGAGTGGAGGTGGATGAGAAGCTGTAGGAGGCACCCTACAGAGCGGGCAGCTGGGAGGAGACAGAGGGCAGGGGAGAGCGAGGAGTGAGCAGGGAGAGGAAGAAGGGAAGGGTGGAAAGGGAAAGAGAGGGAAGAAGAGACGGGGAGAGAGACAAGGGGGAGGCACAGGGGGCGACAGGAGGGAGAGCGAGAAGCAGCCCAGGGCGGCTGCGTCTGTGAGTCTCCAAGACGAACAGTCACAAGAGCTGGTGTCCACCCGGTTCTCAGGTACCAAGTGCAGCCCATGTCCCTCCCTCTCCAGGGCACTAGCGGCTGAGGAAGTGGAGGCACGGCATGGAGGAACTTGCTGGGGCACTACACCAGGAGAGGCCAGCTGGGGTCTGAACACAAGGCCTGAGAGGGGCAGCCGCCAGGTTTACCGCCTGGCATTGCCCGGTGGCAGGCAGTGGGGATAGAGCAGAGCTGAGGGACGGAGGTCCCAGGACACCTCTGGCTTCGTGAGGCCACATTTCACGGAGAATCCGCCCCTTCTGTCTCTGGCCTGTGTCATGACGGCATCGCCCATCTGGACCAGTGGACAGGCATCCACATTGTAATCCCTGGGCCTGGCCTCGGGACAACATTCCATGAACCCTGTTTCAAAAGTGTCACCTCCAAGAGGCCTCCGAGGAGGGACAGCAGAGGGGCATGGCCACGTGGGATCCGTTCGCGAGTCCAGCTGTGGAGACGTGGGGCTGAAGGAGGTGCCCACGGCAGGGATGCCCCTCTTTCCTGGGAGCCATCACTGCTCCCCCTGGGCTCCCACTCCATGGCTAGTTCTGAAACGCCCCTGCAGGGGAAGCTGCCCCCTCCTGTGTGTCGGGGACCACCCCAGCCTCATCAGCCGGCTCATTCCAGCCCATGCTGCCTGGTGGCCCCACATGGTACGGAGCCTCCTTCTGGTTCCCGGAGCAGGGAGGGCTGTGGGCATGGGCTCACTTGCTTCCTCTTTGGAACCCCCCCACCCCAGAACCCCACACCTGGAGAGCCCTGGCCCAGCCCCTGGGACGTCCCGCCAGTCCCTCCTCTCAGCAGGGTACAGGTGGTTAGGGCACAAGCACAGGTACCCCACAGGTTGTCTGTGCACGCCGTAGGTGTGGGTGGGCGACAGCTTTGCTTGTCCCCAGTGAGCAGACCCGGTGGTCTTGCAACCTGAGAGCTGCAAGGCACCCTCCATGTCCTCAGGGCCTGATGGAGATGGGAAGGGCCAGGCCACGTGAAGGCCATCGTGCCCTCAGTATCTTGGCACTCTGGAGGGCCAGGATGTCACCCTTCAGAGACCATCTTGGGGGAAGTTCTGGGCCAAGTCTTGGGGCACCTCCCTCCCGGGGCAGCTCTGAGGCTTCTGTGGACCCCGCCCCCCACCCCACTCTGCCCCCACTGAATGAATCAAGGGCGGAGACCGAAGCTCTTACTCCGAGGCAACTCAGCTTTACATCTGGGGCTCCGGAGCCATCACGCTCCTTGCTGAGGACTTTGTGCGGTGGGGAAGCTCCATGCAGTGAGGACCCTCGAAACCTTCCAGCCTAAAGAGCCCGAGCTAGAAGAGGCCTCAGCACATGGGGGCAGGAGGGCTGCTCCCCAGACGCAGGGCGGCCCCCATGCAGCTCCTGCTCCTGTGTGGCCTGTCCCACCCATCCCCTGCTGTCCTGACTACTTGGGGGCAGCAGTGGGAGTGGGGGTGGATTCTGTCAGGCATTCAGCCTGCAGGGGCCAGGGAGGGTGGACCAAAGGCTTCACACACCACATGTCAGAATAGAGGTTCCAGGCACAGCAGAGCGTGGCCACAACTCTACTTCCAGGCCAGCTCTGGAAATAGAAGAACATATGGCAGGATTGCAGGACCTCTGGGGGTGAGGAGAATGATGGGGGACCCAGAGGTGGGGGTGAGAGTGATGCGGGGACCCGGGGGGAGGTGAGAGTGATGTGGGGACCCAGAATAGGGAAACCCCTATTCTGACATGTGGTGTGTGAAGCCTCTGGTCCACCCCTCCCCAGTGAGAGCAATGCGGGGACTCAGGGGGAGGTGAGGGTGATGCGGGGACCCCAGGGGGAGGTGACAGTGATGTAGGGACATCAGGCAGAAAATTCAGTGACTCGCACTATGGGCCACTCAGCCATAAATGTGTGCCACAGAGTCCAACAGGGACACAGCCACAGAGATCCATGGAAAGAAATGCTGGCATCTTGCTCTGTGGCTATACCTGCCCATCCCTGACTTCTAAAGGTTTTGGGAGGATTCACTTGTTTGGAGATTTGAGGCCTGCTTCACTCACCTATTGCTGTGTCCTCTCCACTTCCACTGAGTGTCCTCTCCTCAGGCCCATTGGGCTTCCTCACAGCATGGTGGTGTCGGGAACCCAAACAAGGTCTGTGACATTGTCTGCATTGGTTACTGTGTCCCTTGACCCAAGTTCCTGCCCACTTGTGCTAAGGAGACATCTCAGTGAGGGTCCGTAGGCCAGCCTGGCCCCCCACCTTCCGCAGCAGCCTCCTGGCCCAACCAGCGATCAGACGTTACCAGACAAGACAGCATTTCCAAGGCCCCAGCCAAGCCTCAGCAGGAAGTGGCGCCAGAGAAGGGAAACCTGGTATCTGCAAATTGGAAGCGGGTGGTCCCACGGCCACAGGAATCTCTTTGGGGCAGAGTAGCACATCTCTATTTCCCACAGATTGTTTTTTCTTGATTAAAAGCTGATTTTCTGCTGTGTTCTCAGAATTGCTTTCCATTGCCTTTGGAGGAATAGCACAGAGAGGAATTTAAAAACTATTGTAAATAATCTTCCCAGAGAAAGGGACTCAAGGAAAAGAAAACCTAATTTGTCTGACATCCCTTTTTGTAAAATAAGTGCATACATGATGAAAACGGCTTATGCTGCGTATAAATCATCTTTATGTTCTGGGGTCAGTGTGGAAAAGACTCAGTTTGAAAGCATCCCTGGAGTCAACCTGGGGGGGATGAGCCTGGTGCACCTCCCATGCAGCAAGTCCTTTACACACGGCGGGCACTGCTGTGTGCGCTCCCGGTAACGTGGGTGACACACACTATATCCTAACTGCACGAGTTATCATCTAATATTCTACTGTGTAATTGAAATACTCGGGAGTAAAATACACTTTGAAACCATAGATCTCCTGTTTACTATAAAAGCACAAATCCCTTTTCTGGAAGGAGACTAGCAGTTTAATCGCATCTCTCCAGGCTCTACTCAATGGGTTGCCTGAAATATGAGATTTAATAAGTGAAAAACCACCGGCATGAGGAAAACTTTCCTCTCGCGAGCTGGAAGACCGCGTCCGTGTAGCTGTGGCCATGGGATGTGCAGGTGGACGCGGTGCCGCCCTGAGGGGTCCAAGTTGGCAGTTGGTGCATCACCTTTAACCAGGTGAATGGATGGCCTCAAAGGAAGTCGTGACGCCCCAGTCTCCCCCACAATAAACCCAGACCCACCCAGGCAAACCCTGCATGACTCCAGCATGAGAGAGGCCCCGGAACCTCTGCAGGCATGCTGCTTCATAGATTGCGGGAGTCTCTAACTGTTGTACCCAGAATGGAACCGAAACACAGACACAAGAAAGAAAAGAGAGAGCTCCTTATAGAACAAGGTGTCCGAGTGCAGGAAGACTTCCTTCCTTCCATGGAGTTTGCCAGAAAATGCCAGGCAACAGGCGACAAGCACAAAGCCCAGCGCGTGTCTCCATGCTCCAGGGAGCCAAGGTGGTCATCCAGGTGCAGCCGAGGTGGGAGGAGCCAGTTTTCCTTTCTGCTGAGCCCCTGTGCCCAAGCCAGCCTTTCCCACTAAGGACCCGTTGTCTGTCAGGAGTGGGAGAACGGACTCTCGAGGGACAGGAAGGCTGTGGGAGGGTCTTGGTTTCCTGTGCACATGTGTGTTACTGCAGCTCACACCAGAGGCATCGAGGCACCTCGTGAGGAATGCTGTCCTATGCCCCAGTCCTTCCCGCCACCCCCATCTGGGTTTCACAGCTGGAAGGGAGCGGCAAAGCAGGCTTCCCAGTGTCCCCCTGCAGGGATGGCTGCAGGCCCCACCGGGGAGCACCCACTCCGTTTTAAAGAGCCGCCAGCAAGGGCCTTGCACCATGGTCCTTCACGGCCTTCCCACGCCCAGCTCCCGAGGGTCAAGGACCATCAAGGCCATCCTTTTAAACACAACATGCCTGTCACTGGCCATGTCCACATGCCAGAAGCCAGCTGCTTACTTACAGTGGACATCGCCTCTGAAAACACAGCCCTCGCTCCATTGCTTCAGATGACACAGATGGGTCTCAACCAAAGCCCATCCCCTCCCCAGATGTAGAGCAGTGGCGACCTTGCAGACCCAACACACACCACAATGCCCTCGGATTTCTCAGTGACATGGTCTGAAAAGGGCAAATCCGATATTTAAAACAGATTTAAGATGTAACTCACTCACATGAAGTTCAGCCACTTAAAGTGTGCAGTGCAATTCTGTTACACAACCATTGCCATGATCTAACCTCAGAGCATTTTCATCACCCTGAGCCCATCTGTGGTCACTCCTCATTCCCCTGTTCCCTGCCCCTGGCTCCCGCTATCTATGGGCTGTCTCTGCAGATTTGTCTGTTCTGGACACCACATATAAATGCTGCCGCACAACAGTATTAGTCCGTTCTCATGCTGCTAATAAAGACATACCCGAGGCTGGGTAATGTATAGAGGAAACAGGTTTAATTGACTCACAGTTTAGTATGGCTGGGGAGGCCTCAGGAAACTTACAGTCATGGCGGAAAGGGAAACAAACACGTCCTTCTTCACACGGTAGCAACAAGAAGTGCCGAGCAAAGGGGAGAAAGCCCCTCATAAAACCATCAGACCTCGTGAGAATTCACTCACTATCACAACAGCAGCATGAGGATAACCGCCCCATGATTCAATTACGTCCCACTGGGTCCCTCCCATGCCACATGGGGATTATGGGAGTGACAACTCAAAATGAGATTTGGGTGGGGACACAGCCAAACCGTATCACAACACATGGCTTCTCTCACTTGTACACAAATGTTCCTCGCAGCACGATTCACAATAGCCAAGAAGCACAAACAACCCAAGTGACCTCGCCTGGTGAGTGAGACGCGCCGTGAGCCCGGCCACACGTGGACATCCCTTGGCAGCGAGAAGGCACGGAGCTCTGACGTGCCACGACGTGGTGAAGCCCAGCTGTTAAAATGAGGTTACGCGATGCACCCAATGTAACATGAGCCCCACCGCCCCATGTGCGGATTCTCGTACCAGCCCCGAGAGCACACCGTGGACCTCCTCACTCCCTGCCTTTTCATCCCAGGACACGCCCCCTCAAACATCAGGACCGGCTCATTCATGGGGCCGACATTCCGCAGCAGGCCCCAGCCTTCCTGTCCCCTCTCCCAGGCTCATCCTCCTCCATCTACAGGAAGAGCTGGTGTCCCGGGGCCACAGCCAGGCCAGGAGTCCTTGGGCAGCACTAGGCTGAGCCCCAGCTGGACCGGGGCACAGAGGTCTGTGGCCAGCCTTGCAAAGTGGGCTCAGGGCTCCAAGCTCCGGCCCTGGCAGTTCTCTTGTCATCACCCACAGTCATCTCTTGGGCCTAGAGAGAAAGGAGCAAAGCCAGCTGGGGCTCTGGGAGGAACCAAGAGCTGAAGACGGTTCTCCCTCTGCAACGTCACCAGACACTGACTGCTGAACATGTTGTCATCCGTGCAGGCGGAGGCAGCCTTCTATGGATGGGGAGGCAGGGTGGTGGGGAGAGGGTCGGGGAATGGGAGCCTGGGAGACACCTTCCTTCCTGTCTAAACAGCCTGAGCAGGGGGCCTCACATGGGCCCTAATCGCGGCTCTTTATCAGCCCAAGTTCTGGGCTGGGCCCCTGGCAATTGCTTTAAATGAATTTATTTACAACAGGAATACCCATCAGAATCATGCAAAGACCCCACAGGGTCCCTATCCTAAGGGCTGGAAGCCACTGACCCTAAGACGAGCAGATGGCCTCGGATCATGCATCCACCCCTGCCGGCCTCACCTGGGAGCACAGCAGGGCTTCTCCCCATGCCAGGACCTCTGAGGCACAGTGGGGCCAGGGCACCTAACTGGGCTATGGGGCCAAGGACCCCTCCGAGCGTTCACTCCAGGTGAGTGTGGGGAATTGCAGCTGCCCCAGGCCTGTTTGTGCCTTGGGAATGACAAGCACATCTTTGGGAACAGACTGGACTGGGAGTGGCCTAGGTCAGCCACCACAAGGGCTTCCCATGTCCCCACCCTTCCCTCTGTCCCCACCCACTCCCAGAAAGGAGGTCCACGTGGCTGTCCCTCTAATGAGTGCTGCTACATCTACATTCCCACAAGTTAAATGTTGGTTCCTCTGGCTCCAGCTTGGGGAGAACCTTCACAGTCAGAAGTCCAACTCTCAGCGATGGTGGGCAAAGGCGTGTGCAGGACCAGCTGCCGGGGCGGGCCTGGCTGGCACCTCGTTTGCCCCCTGAAGTCGTGCTGCAGAGAGGACTTGTTCACCCAGCACAGGCCGCCTTCCAGCGTATACAGAAGACGTGCAGAGACAACGCTGGGCTCTGACCCCCCCAGTGGTGGATCCTCTCCTCTCCTTCGGAAGGCGCAGATATTTCAAGGCAGGAGCCTGTGCGTGGCTGGCTGGGCTCTTCCCACAGAGCATGCGATCTGGAGTCAGACACCGGCCTGGGCAGGTACAGGGCTCCACTGGGCTCTTCCCACAGAGCACGCGATGTGGAGTCAGACGCCGGCCTGGGCAGGTGCAGGGCCCCTCCACAGAGGCCCAAGACCACTCCGTGGTAATGACCGGATCCCCACCTGGGTGACATGGCATGTCGGCACATGAGCAGCCGTGTGGCCCAAGACTCTATCCCCAGAGCTGTTTTTTCCTCATCCACAGGGACACAGGCCCGATGCAGGGTCCCCGGCCTCGGACTGACCCACAGCACGGGGCTCAGATGTCACAGGCCAGAGGTCCCTCAGCCGAGGCCCACGGACACATCCCCGACAGGCCGTAGACTCTCTGAAGTGATGTGCAAAAGTTTTGTGCAAATTCTTAGGGACGTATATTTTTCTAGAATGGCTCTGTCGTTTCACTAGATGCCCCACATGGTCTCTGATCTCTGCCAAAACATGAAAACAGTGACTAGGAGAGAATAATAGCACATAAGAGCAAAGCCTTCCAAACAGCCAGAGGTGGAGTGAGGGGACATCAATGGGCAGCGTGGATCAGAGAGGCAGGGGCCAACCTAGGGAAGAGAAAGAAACCCAGCGGCGGTCGGGATGGGGAGCTGCTGGACACCACTGCAGAGAAAGACAAGCAGGCCCAAGGAGAAGGTGTCACCCGCAGGAAGGACACTAGTGAGGACAACAGGTCGCTGGAAGGAAAGGGGCTCCTCAGGCTGGCGGAGCCTTGGCTGGGGATTGCATGATCTTCAGGCTCATGGATGGAGGCTTAACGTGCTTGCTGGGGCAGGATCCTCCCCGGCGATTATTGCAGTAAGCAGCATGTGTCACGTGCGGTCTCTACGTGCTGGGCTCCATGTGGGTAGCTCTGGTCATCCTCAGAACAGACCTCTTAGATGGACCTGCTGACAATCTGCACTTCACAGAAGAGGAAACTGAGGCTCACGATGATGCCCAGTTCCTGCTGGGTCTAAGCATGGGGGAGGGGCTGGTGAGTACTGAATGACTAAAGCATCAGGTCTCCGGTCCACACCCAGGTCTGCCAACCCCAAACAAAGCCACACAATGACCCCAGACAATGTCCACTTCATTTTCCAGATGTTCACTGCATGGGAGCACCCATCAGCAGATAAAACCACGGAGAACTGCCAGCACTAAGCAGGTGAGCCCACGCCCAACCAGGGGCAGGCGAAGGGTCAGCGATTAGGACATCGGTGTAAGATGCCAAGACCCATGTGCCTGGACAGGGGGAGGAAGGGCAAGGGCCAGGTGTTGGCAGAGCAATGTGTGAGTGGTCCTTGTGATAGACAGGAGGGAGAAGGTAACTCCAATGGATACAAACCTGGAGGCACTCGTCTCTGCTGGGGCCAAAGGGAAGCCCAGGGCCCTGCCGCCCCCATCAACCCTGCTGTGCCACTGGCAGCCCTGGGCATCCGCTCTGTTAAGGCCCCATCCAGTGGGACCAGCCCATCCTCACAGGCATTGACCACTCTGTGACCACCACCTAGACATTCCCTAGGCTGGAGGAAACAGAACCCCGTATGACCCAGGGAAGGCTGGGTCTCACAACGCTGACTTACTTTCTCATTTTTAAGGGAAAAGTTTAATTTCTCTGCTCTTGGAGGCAAAGACATTGTGTTTTAGAACTCGGTTCCCAAATGTGCATGTGTGTGTGCATGTGTGCATTTGCATGTGTGAGCATGTGTGTGTGTGTGCGTGTGCATGTGTGTATGTAACAAGAAGGCAAAAACTTACCAAAAGGAAGACCAGAGGAACAGTAACCAGCAAATACCCAAAGGAAAGACTTCACTTGTTTATATAGAAAATAAATAGGAGATAATGATAGAAAATAAAGAGCAAGATGTTATATTAATATAAATACAAGGTGGTGGTAAAAAGGAGGCCTCCATAGCTGGAAGGTGTACCCCTGAGGCCTCACCTCACTTTCCCACTGCCTGGAATACAGATGTAATGGCTGGCACTCCAGTAACCATCTTGGACCACAGGGTGACCTTGACCATTAAACCCACGCACCACGATCCTAGAACGGAAGGGTAGAAGCAGCTTGGTTTTCCAATAACTTCATACGGTAGAGAGACTTGCCTTGGACTTCGTACCTCCAGATTGGCTTATATAAGTAAGCCATTTTTGTTTGGGTTTTCTTCATAGGCATCTGAATATAATTCCTAGTTCAGTTGGTAAGGTCGTTCCTGGCATTCTAGGACACAATCACGTCAAATTGGCAGTTAAAATGCGACTTCCACTGGCAGACATTGGAAGTTAATTGTAATATATTTATTTGCTTGGTAGTTTTTTAAAAGCATGCTGCAAGCACCCACCTCCCCACATACTCCAGTTCAAAAGACACTTTAATATCCCCAGAGTTTTATCTCTGATTTTTAAATTATCATGGTTTTTGTATGGATTTATCAGTTACATATTGTTGTATAACAAAGCTCCTCCAAATTACTCACGATTTCACAGACTGGCAATTTGAGTGGGCTCATCCAGGGGTCGCTGGCATCTCTCCAGGGTCCAGGATGGCTTACCTCGATGTCTAGCAGTGGTGCTGCCAGTTGGCTGGACTATGTGTCCCTGGTAGGCCAGCCCAGGCTTATTCACACAGTGGCGAAGAGAGCGAAAGCCCCAGGTGCAAGCACATTTCAAGCATTTGCTTATGTCACACCTACTAAAGCTCCCTTAGGGAAAGCAGGTCAGGTGGCCCAGCCAGCCTCCAGGATACAGGCATGAACTCTACTTCCGAGGGTGTGGAACGCTGTGACCACTTGGATGCTGTCTGCCACACTGGAGTGCGTGCTGCCCTCTAAGCTCTGTCTATTTTCAGGGTTTATTTTGAGGGACAGAACCAGAAGCCTGTGCAACTTCACCATCTTAGCAGGAACTAGATATTTGTGTAAAACGAGACTCTGTGTATGTTAGTCATCTTTGTGTTCTGTAGTGACTATCACCAAACACACTCACCACTATTTAGATATTTGCTAGCTATTAGGGTCCAAGAATACATAAGTAAATAAATGTATGTGTAAATATAAGAGAAGGACAATAAAAGAGTAAAAACAATCTCAGGGGATAGGACTACTATGAAAAGAAAATGAGGATAGCATGAGTTTGGTTTTGAGCATGCTGAATGTGATGTGTACACATTTGAAAATGGACATAACATATGTGAATTATTCTTTTTAATGTCTGGAGGATCTGTAGGAATATTCCCTTCTTGCTTCTTGAAATTAGTAATTTGTGCCTTCTAACATTTTTTGAGTCTCTGAGGACATATCAATTTTATTAACTTTTCGAGCGATCAACTTTTAGCTTTGTGTATTTTTTTCTATTGCCTCTCTGGTTTCTATCTTATTGATTTTTTCTCTTAGTTTTATTATTTTCTTCTGTTTTCTTAGATTTACTTTCCTTTTCTTCTTCTAACCTCCTAAAAAGAAAATATAATTGATTTTCATTTTTCTTTTTCTTTACTATATCCATCTAACACTATAAATGTCCCTCTAAGCACTGTTTTAGGTACACCCAACAGATTCTGACGTGTTCTGTTTTCACACATACTAAACTGCTGTGTGTCTTCCTACCCACTGTTTTAGTTGAATCTCATAAACTTTGATGTGTTTTATCAAATGCCCATTTGTTTTGCAGCTGTGCTTGTTTCAAATTTTAGCAATTGCTCTAGTAATCACATCACGCATTACTAACTTATCCCAGTGTACCTAATATCATATCACTTCCTGTATGACAGTCTTCCTCCCTTTCAGACCTGAGTGCTACTCTTGTCATATATTTCTATGTGTGTTATCAAACTCACAATAAATTTTTAAATTATTTTTGTTTAATTCAGTAGATTCTCATTAAGAAAACTGGCAAAAAATAGTATTTCTATTTATCTGATATTTATCATTTCCACTGCTCTTCATTCTTTTTACAATCAGTTAGCCTTTCTAATATATGGGTCTCATGGCAAATTATTTCCTTAGCTTTTGTTTATCTAAAAATATATTTAACCTTTATAGTTTGTGATATTTTCAGTGAATATAGAATTCTATTAGAAAACATCTTCTTTCATCTTTACATCTATTGTTTCTGATGAAGTCAGTCATCATTCTTATTGTTGTTCCCTGAATACAGTGTTTCATTTTTCTCTGGCTGCTTTTAGATTTTCTCTTCATTCTGGGGTTTCGTAGTGTTCCTATGGTATCCCCTTTGTTGTCCTTTTTTTTTTTTTTTATTTTTTCCTGTTGGAGGTTCGTTTAGCTTTTAGGAAGTGTGGGGTTGAATCACTTATCAAATTTGGGAAAGTTCTGTCCAACGTATCTACCCCTTGTATCCCCTTTCCTCCTGGGTCTCCAATTTACACACCTATTAGACGGAGTGATGTTGTCCCACTTATGTGGTTGCTCTGTTGTGTTTGCATGTTTGTTTGTTTTTTCTTTCCATTCATTTTCCTCTCTATGCTTTAGTTTGAATCATTTCTATTGATCTATCTTTCAGGTCATTTATCCTTCCTTCTGCTATGTCCAGTTTGCTTTTAAACTTTTCAAAACTTTTTTTGTAAGCAGTTGTACTTTTGGCCAGGCACAGTGTCTTATGCCTGTAGTCCCAGCACTTTGGGAGGCCAAGGCGGGAGAATCACTTGAGGTCAGGAGTTTGAGACCAGCCTGGCCAACATGATAAAACCCTGTCTCTACTAAAAATACAAAATATTACCGGGACGTGGTGGTACGTGCCTGTAATTCCAGCTACTCGGAAGGCTGAGGCATGAGAATCGCTTGAACCCTGGAGGCAGAGGTTTCAATGAGCCAAGATATCGCATCACAGTACTCCAGCCTGAGTGAGAGTGAGACTCCCTCTCAGAAAAAAAACAAAAACAGACATTGTGCTTTTTATTTCTGGGTTTTTCCTTCAGTCTTTTCACTTCTCTCTTTTTTTTTTTTTTTTTTTTTTTTTGCTAACATTCTCCATCTGCCATAATTTCCTATAAATTCTTTAACATATTTATAAAAGCTGTTTTAATGTCTTTGTCTGCTAATTCAACATCCGGGTCATTCACTTTTTTATCTTTAGAGAATGTCTAGTAATTTCTGTTTGTATACCAGGCACTGTGAATTATATTTTGTAGACACTCTGGATTCTGTTATCTTCTTCTAAAGAATGTTGACTTTTGCTCTGGCAGACATTAAATTACTGTTGATTTTTATAAGACACTCACAAATACATAGGTTTTAGTAATAAGTCCACTCAGACCTTTAATTTTTGAATTAGTATACTAAAACTTACTATTGGATTTCAAGTATTTTAATTTCAGAATAAATAGATTTAAATAAATGTAGGGAGAACTTGATAAAGTAGACTTAATTAAGAAAATGACAGCTAATATAATAACCTGGAGATTAATAAAAACTGATAGATTGAGCCTGTGGCTTCCCTGGGGGACACACGCATATGCCTTTTCCTTGGGCCATTTTGTATCTCTGTTTAATGTTCTGGTACCAAGGCAGGGCTTTATCTATGGCGTACTTGTCCAGATAACCTAGAGTAATTGCTGTAATAATTAATCCCCCAATCTAGGGATTTATGTCAACAAAGTTGGTTTGTCATTCAAGCAAAGTTTAGCACGAGTCTGGGTCAGCAGTAACAGCTCATGAGGGCAGCTGTCCTCCATGCTGTGACTCAAGGATTCCAGTGCTTCTAACCTGTGGTTCCTTCCACTCAACATGAGGCCTCCACAGCCTCCAAGGCAGGGGAGAGAAAGCCTGGAGAATTGTCCAAGGGCTGTTCACCATCTCTGCCCAGTAATGACACCAAGTACACCCCAGAACCAGCCTCCTAGCCATTCCCCAAGGTGGATGGGAATGTACTCTGGCACAAAGAATGCAATGGCTTCAGGGTTCATTGGCTCCTTATATCTGGCTTCACTGGAACCCTAACCCTAAATTAAATTACCTGCTAAGTGGCCCTGACACTCCTGCTCAGGATGGTGAGTTGTGCCAGGGTAGGAACATCTCATTTGTCTTGGTATCCTCAGCAGGATCCCCAGGGCCTGGGCAAGGTACGGGTCTTCCATGTGTCTGCTGGGTTGGGGCATCCATCCAAAATGAATAGTTCTTTCTCTTGTGAGTTAAGATGCAAGATATAAGAAGGACAATTTGTGGCTCATCTTTCTAAAGCTGGAAAAAGCATAGAAATTTGAGCCGTTGATGGTGGAAGCGGCAA
This sequence comes from Homo sapiens, assembly GCF_000001405.40. Taxonomy (NCBI): domain Eukaryota; kingdom Metazoa; phylum Chordata; class Mammalia; order Primates; family Hominidae; genus Homo; species Homo sapiens. Next base: position 1,904,213 of record NC_000005.10, on the reverse strand, counting down.
CCTGAGCGTTAGCATTCTCCCCCACCAGCCCCAGGCCCACCCATCATTGTCCTGGATGAACGCAGCTGCCCCTTGAATGCTCTCCCCTCTCCTAGTCTAGCTCATCTCCCATCCCTTCATCACAAAGTCGTGAGAATCAAATCATCTTTTTCAGAAATTCCAAATGTCCCTATTTTTAAACCTTTTAGTGGCTTCCCATAGTTCTTGGAATGAAACCCAGCTCCTCACCATCCCCAAGACTCTGCCCTCACTTCCCTCTTGCTCAATCTTATCCTTTAGATTTTGGCTCAAATATAATCTCCTCCAGGGAGATCTCCAACCACCTGTCTCAGGCGGCCTCCTCATTGCTCTCCATCCTGGACTGGTGATGTCCCTGCCCTTTAGAACATAAGCTCCAGGTGGACAGGGTCTTCCCTGTGTTGGCCACTCAGTAGTTCAGACATAAAACACATTCAGATGGGGAAATGTTTCTAAACTAACACACCTTATTTTTTGTGACACTTGTAAAGGTTAATTTTAGGTGTCACCTTGGCTGTTTTAAAGGATGCCCAGATAGCTGGTAAGGCATCGTTTCTGGGTGTGCTTGTGAGGCGCTTCCAGAAGAGATCAGCATTTGAATCAGTGGACTGAGTAAGGAAGATCCAACGCTGGGGGCCATCATTCAGTCAGCAGAGGGCCTGGGTAGAACAAAAAGTCAGAGAAGAGGTGAATTTGCTCTTTCTTCTAGAGCTGGGACACCCCACTTCTTCTTCCCTCAGACATCAGAACTCCTCATTCTCTGGCCTTTGGTCTCAGACTGAAAATTACCCCATCAGCTTCTCTGGTTCTGGAGCCTTCAGACTTGGATGGAATCACACCATTGGCATCCCTCCGTCTCCACTTGCCAAGGACCTGTCCCTATCATGGGACTTCTCATACATCTACATCTATCTATCTGTTTATATCTATTTACTCACATATATATATATATATATATATATATATATATATATATATATATACACACACACATACACATATATATGTGTGTATATGTGTATATGTGTGTGTGTGTGTATATATATATATATATATATATATATATATGTTCTGCTTCTCTGAAGAACCCTAATACAATACTCACGGGTATTTTTCATAAGACTCATATGCTTATATTAATATATATACACATACATATACACACACATACACGCACAAACACACATACACACATTGGCAGAATCCCTGCTGGTGGGCCTCTCCCTTGCATGGTGCTCTAAATGTGTGCAGGGAGCTCATAGAAGGGGAAGCCGTGGTAGTGCCTGAGAGCACAGGCTTTGACCCCAGACCAAACTGCGTTCAAATCCTGAGCTCCAAGAAGCATTCCATTTCCCTACAGCTATTACCTTACAGGAAAACTGGATCAATGTCCTTAAAGAGCTGTTTCTGGGACTGAAATATCCAAGTCACACAGCCTATCGCCAATGCAGTTCAGCAGGTGATACAGATAGGTGACCTCCCTTTCTCTTTCTCTCTCTGTCCCCTCTCTCTGTTTCTTCCTCTCTCTCGTCTTATATAAAACTACTCACTGTCCTCTCAACCACCCTGCTCTCTGTACCTAGCTATGTTGCAGAGCACAGCAGAAAATGATCAACTAAACATGGAAGAAAAATGGAGTCTAAGAACCAAATGTAGCTACTGAATTGTAATGGAAACTATTAACCCGTTCTTGACTAATTTGAGTTAGTGATGGTGATCAAACTCCATCCCAAGGAACCCAGAAGCTATCCCACGTGCTGCTGGCAAGTCTGATCGGTTAACAGGATCCAAACCCCACCAAAATGGTACATAAGGAAGATTGAGAACATGGTCACAAGAGATGGCAGTTAGAGTGTTTTGGCTGCAAGCAACAGGAGGCCGTGACTCAAATTTGTTCCACCCAACATAGACCTATTTTCCCACCCGTACTGGAAGCCTACATGCTGGGCACTGCCCAGCACAGTTCCCCTCTTCTGCCCAGCATGGTTTCCCTCCCCTGTCCAGTGCAGTTCCCCTCCCATGCGCAGTGCACTTCCCCTCCCCTGCCCAGCATGGTTCCGCTCCTCTACTCACCCCAGCTCCACCCTTCCCTGTTGGCTTCATCCTCAGCCTAGCATAACATCTGCTTGTTCCAGAGGCCACTCCAAGATATGACCACGTCCAGGAGAAAAAGGGGCCCTCCCTTCCTGTCTCTTTTTATCAGTGAAGGACTCTTTTCCAGAACACTGAACTGAATTCCCGTACTTCTCAGCTCAGCATCACATCACACACTCAGGCAGCAGCCAGCAAGGTCCTGAAACTCTCAGTCCAAACTTCCTCAAGGAACTGAATCCTGACTGCAGCCTCAGAAGTAACCTTGGGAGCAGTTCCCTCCCCAGTAGAGCCTTCAGATGAGACGGTAGCCCTGGCTGACACGTTGTGGCCTTGTAAGGAGATACAGAAGCAGAGGAGCCATGTAAATTCTGCCCACGTCCACAGCCCACAGAACCTCTGAGAGATAATGGTGTGTTGTTTTAAGCTGCCAAAGCTTAAGTCAACTGGTTAGGTAGAAAGAGATAACTAATACAAACTCGAGCCATCACTGGGGCAGGGGGTGAGACCATAGTGACTGCCTTGAGCCAATTGGACTGACCCTTGGAGCTGAGGATACGGTCACCCTTTCTGGAGGCCACAAGCAGGGAAGGTGGGCACCTGAATAAACAGGGCTAGGGGAGATCCCATTAGAGCCACTGGTTGGGATGGGAGCCACTGTGAGTACACAAATTCATTCATCTCTTCAATCTGGCTCATTTGCTAAGGGCCTACCACTCTTCCAGGCCTGAGCAAGGAAGAAAGTGTTCATCAGTGCCTGGGTGGAATTCGTGAGTCTGGGCCCTTGGGAACGGCTGGTGGTGGTTGCTTCTTGGCAAGAGGACCGTTGTTTGTCTCATGCTTGGCATCCTGCTGCACTGTGATTTAGAGCCTTTTAGATGACACACTGTGATTCGTGTTATTGGCTCTTCCTAAAGTCTCAAAATTGGGGCAATGGATTAAACCATGGAAAAGCTGTCCAGTGAATTCTACTCTTTTTTCATGTCAATTTGCTGGCAGAGACTACTGAAGAATATTTTTCCAATGAGGTGCTTACGAAAAACACTTCTGAGTACCATAAAATCAATTGAGTTTATAAGAGAAAGCTTATTGTTCCAGGGAACTTTGCTACAAATTCTTAATAAAGAGACTCAAGGAATGAGCAACAGAAGGAGAAGACAAGCCAGCAAAGGGCTCCTGCATCCCTGGGTTTTAAGTCTGTTTCCCCGGCTCTAGGTCTCGGAGAGCTCTTCTGCTGGGTTATGCACACAGTCAGACACCACGTCGCGATGTTTCTGGAAACAAGCGTCCACGGATGGGATGGTGGTTCTGTAGATTATCATGAAGGAACAACCGCAAAACAGTACACAAACCAATGAAAGGTGGATGGGAAACCTGAAGGCCTCAGAAGCTTAAGGGACACATCAACTGAGCTCAACGTCACTGTCACAGGATCCCGAAGATTCACATAAACTGGAAATGAATATGCAGATGTGGAGAGGCAGGGAGGGCCAGGATCTAACCCCTCACACAGAACTCAGAGAGGCAGAGAGGACCAAGGCGGAGAGTCCCATCACCCTGAAATGGGGGCTGGGGATGCGCAGGGAGCCACTGCTCATGGAAACAGCATTCTTTTTGGGGGGTAATGAAATTGTTCTGCAATCTATGGTCATGGTTGCACAAGTTCATGAAAGTACTAAAAATCACTCAATTGTACAGTTTAAAAGAGTAAATGTTATGCAAATTGTTTCTCAAGAAACCTGTTATTTAAAAATAAAACATAAAAACAAATAAACTGTCAAAAAGCAAAGAAACGGAAACATTGTGTATTTGAAGATATTAAAGAATTATTGGGCCAGGCATGGTAGCTCACACCTGTAATCCCAGCATTTCGGGAGGCTGAGGCATGGAGATTGCTTGAGCCCAGGAGTTCAAGACCAGCCTGGGCAACATAGTGAGATCCTGTCTCCACAAATAAAATAAAATGAAATAATTTAAAAATGTAAAAACATGAAAAGAATTGTTGCCTTTTCACATATGATATTCATATGAGTTTTGTTTTCTTTTGTTTTGTTTTGTTTTTTGTCTATGTGTTTTTTTTTACAGATATGATACCCTGAACTTGCTCCAAAGCAAATTGGTTGGGGAAAATGGGTAAGATTGGCCATGAATTATGTAAGTGCTGAAACTGGCTGACGGGTGCCCACTTCTTCTCCCTATTCAATAAGTCTCCCTATTTTTGTAAATATTTGGAATTTTCCATGAGAAATGGTTTTTAAATGTAGGTGAGATGAGGGGACACCAGCAGCTGTTGAGCTCCACACTTCTAATTTCTAGACTAAGAGTCAAAGTGATGGTCCCAGGGGAGAGCCCGGCACCTCTGGCCAATGTGGGGCCCCTGCTGGCATAACACCTGCTTGGTCCCCCAGGTCGCTTCGAGATATGACCATATCCAGGGGAAAAAGAGGTCCTCCCTTCCTGTCTCTTTTCATCAGTGAAGGAATCTTTTCCAGAACACTGAACTCACTTCCCGTGCATCTCAGCTCAGCATCACATCACACACTCAGGCAGGTGCAGCTGCATCTGGCTCTGGGCTGCTGGCCACCCACCCAGGCCGGGTCTGTTGGTGCCCCCAGACCTCAGTAATGGGTCCCTAGAACCCTGTGGCCCCAGGAGCAGGCCCCAGGGCCTGTCAGCCTGCCTGACACAGCTCCCTTCTCACATCCGGACAGCATGGCTCGGCCTGCCCTGAGAACATGCTCTGGTCCAGACCCCAGACCCCACTGCAGCTTCGGGGCCACTGACTCAAGAGGTGTCCACAATGTTGGCCCATAGTCCACAAGAGGCTGACTAGGAGGGGACTAGAGAGACACCCATGCAAAATTGGAATTGCAGGTGAACAGCAATAGTTTGAAGCCCACCACATCCTGGTAGAGGGGATTTTTGCTTTGCAGGCAGCAGTCTGGGAGCGGCCCAGTGCATTCCAGCCTTGCAAGGCACACTGTCAATGCCGAGATGATCCTGTGGGCTGGGGGAGACTTCACCGAAGCTTTAATGGAGCTCTGGAAGCAGGCAACATCAGACCTAAAAACAAATCAGAGCCACACACAAACAAGCGGAAAATGAGGATCCCGGGGGCAGTGAAGCCAGAAAGATGGACATTGATTTCCTGCTGGGCACAGGCTTCAGGGATCTGCAGCCAATAAAGAGATCTCGCTCCACTATCTGACAATAACGCTTCACTCTTCCTCGCCACCCATGGCTCATAATATTGAACCAAGTTACCACGATCTACAGGGGGAAGAAAAGCTTAAAACGATTATCAAACTGAACACATTCTATTTCTGGGTTTCCTATTAAAGCATCGCTCCTGTATAACCTGTCTCCGCTCTTCACAGCGTGTTTGGCTGTGGATAAAGGTGGCTGTTTCTGCCTCCTCTCTGGGCTTCTGTCTCACAGTGGCTGCAGAGAGAGATTTCAGCAAAATGCAAGTGTTCGAACTACCAGTTCAATGGTTTTCAAAATATTTAGCCCAAAGAAAATCAGTCTATCCACCCAGTTCTCAAAAACCTGTTAAGAATTAAACAGAAAACCAAGCTTTTCCCAATTTTGGTGGGGTGGGGTGGGGGGCTCTCCCAAATGATGAAGATCAGAGGATTCAAAATGAGATGCCTCCTCTGCCAAGTAGCTGATGCCCCAAACCCCAGAGTTAGGGCTCCTGGTGGTGAAGGGCTTCCAATCCACCCTGAGCACAAGGGAAACCACTCCGCCTCCCCGTGCCCCACAGAGATGTGTACAGGGGCCCTGAGCGTCAGTGCCTCGGTGACGAAGGACGGGGAGGTCTAAGGCCAGGTGGAACCTGGAGCACCTGCTTAGGCTGGGAGTCTAAGGCCAGGTGGAATGCCCACAGGCACATCAGAGACACACAAGTCCCCTCCCACACAGCCCAGCCCGAGGGGCTGCAGTCTAGGCATTGCGCCGGCTGCTCCAGGGGCCTGTGACTCACCCAGGATTTTAGATTGCCTGCAAAGCAGAGTCTTCACCAACTTCATCTCTCGCGTTCTCCTTGTGACAGAACGTCCTGCAGGAAAGATCCCGGGCAGCTCCTTCACCTTGTGGCAAGGCCGCCCTGTCTGGAGAGGGGACAGAGTGATCTGAGTAGTGCTCACCGGCTGAGACGGGGACTCCCCGGCCACTGGAGGCTGGGCCCGCACCAGAGTTGTGCAAGAAGCAAGGCTGTCCCAAGGCTGAGGTTTTCTTTAGGTGAGGAGCACAGAGATCCATCCCAGCCCTCCCTCAGGCACAGGCAGGCACCAGGAATAATTCCCAACGGCAACGTCCCCATGTGCGTGGGGAGTCCGTTTCACAGATGAAGAAAGTTGAACACATCCTCAGGTACAAGACTTTCAGACGTGGAGCTAGCCTCTTCGGAGCTGGAGTTGGAAGCGCATGCAAACTGTGTAACAGAGGCCAGTGTCCAGGGTGCCAGGGATGCCCAGCCTTTCCCAAGGAAGTAGCCAGCCCCCACAGGCCTGTATGGACCTTCTCCCCGAGGAAAGGCAGGAAGTGCTCTGGATGCCGGCTGCCAGCTGAGGCTCCGGCAGACACAGGTTTGCCTTCTCCAAGGGAGTCCCATGGCAGGAGTGCCTTCTCCAAGGGGTCCCATGGCCCAAAACCCGAAGCCCAGCACACAGCACGGGCGTCTGGGCATGTGTGGCTCTGGGAGCATGTGCACTTTTGCACCCAGAAAGTCAGGTGTCATCCACTTCACCCTACCAACATCCACGGTGATGTTATCACCATTATCTCATTGCATCGCACGTGAAAGAACGCAGAACAGACCTGCTTGGGAAACTCTAGCAATTTACTACACTAGGACACCTTTACAAGGTTGTTCTTCTTTCCCCGAGGAGAGTCCCCACTGCCACCTTCCTATATAAATGTAACACACAGTGAAACATGCTGGGTGAGCCATCCCTGAGGCCCGCACAAGGCCGGGGCCCCTTAGCCCCACACGGCTGCAGGAACCCCACCTTGCTGAGGCACCTACTCCCCTGGGTCGGGCAGGGCACCTGTGGCCGTTTATGCACTCTCACTGTGTCCGTGGCTCCACCAGCTGCCTCCCACCCTCGCAGCCAGAAGTCCAGGAATCCTCTCTGATGTCTCCTTCCAAGCCCCGCACCCAACCATTCACCAAGTCCACTCAGTCCCTCCTCCGATTCTTTGGCCCATCTCCACTGCGGCTGCCTCAGGTCAGCCCCGCTGCGCCACAAGGCACAGACTCTACTGCAAGGCAGAGCCCAAATGCAGAGCAGCTCCTGTGCATCCCTCCAGCCACTCCTCGCTCACTGAGAGTAGAGGGGCGGTGGCCCAGCACAGGGCGTTTCCACCCAGCTCCACAAAGGGCTTCTGCTCCGAGGTCCAAGGAGGCTGCTCTGATTTGCACCCCTTCCTAGCCAGCCAGCAGGTGGAAGCAGGGGGTCAGCAGGTTCCTATATGGGGTCTTTAATTGGCATTGTGTGTTTTGTCCTTACATTACATTTTCTCTTTAAGGTCAGGTGGAATGCCCACAGGCACTTCAGAGACACACAATTCCCCTTCTGTCTAGTAGCTTTTTCTATGTTGAAAATTATATTACAGTATGTAATCACATAATAATACACAAGTATAGTATATAATTATACAATTTACTATTATATTACAGTAAATCACCTAATATGCAATTATAATATTATGAAACTGACTTGCAAAGGAATCATTGCATCAGTCAGTAGGACAGACCGTGTGGCTGTAACAAACAATCTCCACCTGTCAGTGGCTGAAAACTGCAGCTGCTCCTGCTCTCACAGGTGTCGGCCCAGGTCCCAGGGGCTCCGGTTCACACCAGCTCATTCAGGGAGCTCGTCTGCCAGTCTCCACTGTCTGAAATGCTCCTGTTTGCCATGGCAGGTGGAAGGGGAGGGGGACTCTCACTGGGCTCCAAGGCTTCTTTATGGCTGAGACACAGTCACCTTGTTCACATCTCATTGGCCAGAGGGGCTCCAAGGGGCAGGGAAGTGCAGTCCCACTCAGTGCTTACAGCAGGAGGCCCCCAACGCAGTGAGCGGCACGGCCTGCCACCATGTCACCACAGGTCCCTGGCCACACCACAAGGGGAACCAGCTGGGAACAAGAAACAGAGAGAAAACACCACCAGGAAGGGCCCAGCTGTGCCCACCGTGGGAACTCTGCCCGAGCCCTGCGTCTGTGTCCTCGGTTTTCCCACAGCACTTCGTGCCTCGCATAATCTCCTATGTCTTTGTTTCTCAGTGAGACAGACAGGCTTTCTGGGTGGCCTGCGATCGCTGCCTCTCAACATTCACCTCTTGGTGATCCCCTCCCTGCAACTTGCTTGTGATGAACAGAATATGGCAAAGCTAACCAGCTACACATAAGCACATTTGTGTGGTTACGTTACATAAGACTGCAGAGCCCGTCTGGAGTCTGTCCCCTGCCAGCTGCAAGGGACCCAGCAGCCATGCTCAGCCTCACAAGGCCCAGCACTGGGGACGGCCTCTGGGAGCTGAGCACACCCCCAGCCAACAGCCAGCAAGAGTCTGAAGCTGTCAGTCCTGCAACTGCAAGGGGATGAATGCTGCTGACAACCACACAAGCCAAGCAGGGAAGGGAGCGGTATTAGTCCATTTTCACGTTGCTGATACCAAGACATACCTGAGACTGGGCAATTTGCAGAAGAAAGAGGTTTGTTGGACTTACAGTTCCACGTCGCTGGGGAGGCCTCACCATCATGGCAGAAGGTGAAAGGCCTGTCGGGGGATGGGGGACTAGGGGAGGGATAGCATTAGGAGAAATATTTAATGTAGATGACAGGTTGATGGGTGAAGCAAACCACCATAGCATGTGTATACCTATGTAACAAATCTGTACATTCTGCACGTGTACCCCTGAACTTAAAGTATATTAAAAAAAAATACAGAAAAGCTAAAAAAAAAAAAAATTGAACACCTTTAACGGCACCCGAGTCACATCTTAATGCTCTGCTGCTTAGAAATTTCTTCCATCAGATACCCTAAAACACCTCTCTCAAGTTCAAAGTTCCACAAATCTCCAGGGCAGGGACAAAATGCCGCCAGTTTCTTTGCTAAAACATAACAAGAGTCACCCTTACTCCAGTTCCCAGCAAGTTCCTCATCTCCATCTGAGACCACCTCAGTCTGGACCTTATTGTCCATATCGCTATCAGGCTTTTGGCCAAAGCCATTCAGCAAGTCTCTAGGAAGTCCCAAACTTTCCCACATTTTCCTGTCTTCTTCTGAGCCCTTCAAACTGTTCCAATCTCTGCCTATTACCCAGTTCCAAAGTCACTTTCACATTTTCATGTATCTTTTCAGTAGTGCCCCACTCTACTGATACCAATTTGCTATGTGAGTCCATTTTCACACAGCTGATAAAGACATACTTGAGACTGGGCAATTTACAAAAGAAAAGTTTATTCAACTTACAGTTCCACGTGGCTGGGGAAGCCTCACAATCATGGCGGGAGGTGAAAGGCACATCTCACAGGGCAGCAGCAAAATAGAATGAGAGCCAAGTGAAGCCACCAGATCTCCTGAGACTTACTCACCACCACGAGAGCAGTATGGGGGACACCGCCCCCATGATTCAATTATCTCCCACCCGGTCCCTCCCACAACATGTGGAAATTACGGGAGTACAATTCAAGATGAGATCTGGATAGGGACACAAAGCCAAACCATATCAGGAGCCCTTCCCCTGTCAAGCTCCCCGCTGAGAGCCCAGCCCTGGCTAACGTGGTGATTGCTGCCTTAGAGGCCTAAGGGGAGGATTGAGCAAAGCCATGCCTGCATCCCTGACCCACAAAAATCAGATGTGAAATGTGTGCTCTTCTCAGCCAGGTTTCTTGTAACGCTGTCATACAGCAATAGACAAGCAGTGCACCAACCAGAAGCGGTCTGCTGCTGTAACAAATCCCAGAGCTACGGGAGTGGCTTTGGGAGCTAGCAGCAGGCAGAAGCCAGAAAAGGTTGAGGACCAGGATAGAGAAAGCCAGAAGAACCTCAAGCAGAATGTGGGCAAAAACGCAGACCTGAGCATGCTGCAGAGAGGATGTGCGAGAATGGAGAGCGTGGTGCTGGGATCTTCACAGGGTGGCAGAAACTCGGCTGCAGCTCCTCCTGCAATGATGCTGGAGATGTGGTGTGATGTGATGCGGGAAGCAGCATCACAGGTGACTTCCGAGATGTTAAAGGCGCCACATGGTTCCTCCTGCTGCTTCTGGTCAAATGCCAGAGGAGAGCGCAAAACAGAGCCAGGACTGGCAACAGAACACGTTCAGTGCCCTCAGATGGCAAAAGACTCAAGCTCAGAGATGACTTTAAAGCATTGTCAGAAAACGTCATCTGGTGAAAAAGGCAAGGTGGAGCTAAGAAGACCTCAGAAACATCCAAGGTCGGAGAATTTTGGTCACACGAAGGGTCTGTTGTTTCTCAGCCGTCTCAGCAGGAGGTTAAGACAGAAGGCTCATCTCAGAAAGACCTGCAGTACGTATGTAATCTAACACAGTGAACCCCAGCTAAAGCCGAGGAAGTGGCACAAACTTCTCCAGAAAGTAATTTCAGTAAAAATCCCACCAGCTTGTGCAGGGATGGACAGAATCTAGAGAATAGGCTGGGTAGAGAGCACGGGGCCCAGGACGTCAAGCAGGACACAGGTGGATGTGCCTGTGCTGTGTGGTGAGGCTAGATTGCTGTGCAGCCACAGACAGCTGATGCCAGGCATCGCTCGTTCATCCAGCCACTGAGGTGCTCAGCCCATTCACTCGCTCATGGTGCTGATAGTGTTATGTGTCTCTTTTGAGAGCCCATGAGCTCCTGCTTACTGTCCCTTCATCGATGTATCCAAGAGGCAGCGGGAGTGCCCGGGACATGCACACACTCCATAGACACCCGTTGAATGAACAGTCTCAGGCTCCCCATCCATGACTCCCGAGAGTCTCTGCCTTACGGAGGTGCGGCTGCTTCTTTCTTTTTTGCTCTCATTTCCTGGAGATGCCACATACACTTCCTCCTTCATGCGATGGTCACTGAGCGCCCACTAAGTGGTACAGGGCACTGTCCCAGGGAAATGCAACACACAGCCCTCAGGGAGCATTCATTCAGCAGAGGAGGGAGGCAAGGACAGCCAATCAACCGCGCAGCGTGTCGGACAGCGATAAAACAGAAAGGAAGGAAGGAGGAGAGCATGCTGGGCCTCACTACCCACAGGGCTGTGCGGGGCTTGCCGGGATGCTGGGAGCCCTTGGGAAGTCAGGGACGAAGGGAGTTCAAGCCAAAAAAATGGACTCTGCCTCAGAGGTGGCATCACAGGGGACTTTTCTGTTCTGAGTTGAATTGTGTCCCCCAAAAACTCATGGGTTGAAGTCCTAACCCCATTTCATCAGAATGAGACCTTATTTGGAAACAAGGTCGCTGCAGATGTCATCCGTTAGGATGGGGTCCTACTGCAGAAGGATGGGCCTCAACCCAAGATGACCGGGGTCGTTATAAAACAGGGAAGTATGGACACAGAGACACACACAGGGGCAAGGCCCTGCGACGATGCAGGCAGGGGCTGGGGAGATGCACCCACTAGGAACTCCACAGTCTGCCGGCAGCCACCATGGCAGAAGACAGACTTGTTGAATGGCTTTGGCCAAAAGCCGAGGCTCTGTCCCAGCCTTAGACTCAGAGGCACCAGCCCTCTCCACACCTGGATCTCAGACCTCTGGCCGCCAGGACTGGGAGAACACGAGGCTCTGTTGCCAAAGCCTCCAGTTGTGATTCTTTGTTGTGACAGCCCCAGGACCCTCCTACAACCTCCTAGCAGGAAAGGGAAGAGGCGTTCCCAGTTCACAAAGCCCTGAGCCTCCAGGTCTGGTCCTGATGCTGCTCCTGACCAAGTGGCAAAACTACAGTTTCTCCTCCGGAGCTTTCATATCATGGACAATAAAAGCTTCTCTTTCTGTCATTTTCAAACAGTCAATGAAAAGGTTGCTAAGCGTATAAGTAATTTTAACTGATTCATTGATCTGAATACTTTTAAAGTAAGACAGTAAGTATTTCTACCACACTTTGAAGTCAGGCTCTGCGCTCCGTCTCCTCCCTCAGGGTTATTTTATAGCCATTAACAATGTGTTCCTTTTATCTGGGGCCTTCAATTAATTGAATTTCAAGAAATACTCTGAAATTTTTTTATATAAAAATCAGCTAACTCCTGGAGGATATTCGTGCGAGATTTACTGCCACGGTAATTAAATGACTGGTGCATTATACTGGTCACTGCAGGCGCGCTGCCACCGCCAGCACTGAGGTTTAACTTAGGATAAGGAATGCTCCCCAGGTGTCTGTGAGACCAGGGAGTGCGCTTTAATTTTTAGGACCGTCTTTGGGTCGCTGGCACATGTTCCTGGATGAGCCCTTAAAGGGAGCACGCCCAGGCTCAAAGGGCAGCCAGGTGCAGACAGAGGCCAGCTCCTCAACGCAAACGACAAAACGTGGTGCCTCGACGTGCACTCGTGTTCCCTCACTTCCTGTCTCTTTCTGGGCATCACAGAAGTGGAGGTGAGTATCACGGACCTCCCCAAAGCCCTGCTGGGGAGTATAGGGAAGAAGTCACAATGCCGTGCTGTGGCAGGACAGGACTAGTATCAGAGAACTCAGCCTGAGGGCGGCACCCAGGCCCAAGTTCCTGGGGCTGACGGAGGTCACCCTTAGGAGGGCTCTGCCTCTTCTTCTCTCCTATTTACGTACTGACCCATGAAGATGCTACATGGTGTCTTGTCACCTTCTATTTATTAAAGTACATTTTGCATCCAAGTACTAGAGAATCGTTCATGTCAGTAACAGCCCTCAGGAAGCAGCGATGCTGTTTCTCATTTCTGCTGTTTCTCATACATTCTCATTTCAGGAATGTAACCTCCCTGCAAATTCCAGGCAGGAGACCCCATTAGCTCCCAGGTTTCAGGGCCTCTCCTACATCTATAGTTCGGTATTTTTGAGGTTCCTACGACATATAGCAATATGCAAAGAGTAATTGCATTTAAGATACACTTATACATTTCTTCTCTACCTACTGAAGGTTTTCTTAATGCTACATCAAATAATTCAAAACAATATTCAAGTCACTTGGCAGTCGTACATACTGCTGCCTTTTTCTACAATTTAAAATAACTTAATCTCATGTGGATGTCTCTTCTAGCTGGGGTTCTCGTGATTTGAGGTTGTGCCAGGTAAACATTTCAAATTTAAATATACAGACTGCAGACACTGCTGGAACTAATAGCCTTTCGCTTTTAATAATGAGGCCTTCTTAAAATTGCTGATGCATTTCAGTATTATGGACACCGTTTCTTCATCCCGAAAAGAGGAGAAATAAATAACTTCTCAACTTTTGCTCCCTTGGCCTCATTCCAGCCTCACAAGGACAGGACAGCAGGAGAAGGAGAGTGAAAGGGGCTCAAGCTCCCACCCCTGGCTAGCCACTGGTGGTCACTCTGCAGCAGCCATGCGCACCACTGATCCTTGGCCACACAGCGCCGTCTCCACCCAGATGCCACTCTGCTTGGGAAAGAAACTCACTGTGTCTGCCCTTGTGCTGTACAAGGCAGGCTGCCCCTGCAGCACTGGCTGGGCCCCAAGGCTGGGGACCCCCTGAAGCAGCCAGGAGCTCAGGGAGCTTCCAGAGATGAAAGACACTGTTGTCCACGCCACACCCCTAGGGAGCTACATCCTGCAAACACTGCCCTTCTGCTGTCAGGACCAGCCTTCCAAGGACAAGAGCATCTCTGTGAACTAGTGCCCAGGATGCTTTGGAGACCATCCTCACTTCAGACAGGTTTCCCAGGCCTCCCCCTTGGCCTGGGGAAGGGCCTCCTTCCCCTCCTGGGTCTCTGGAAAGGGTGGAGAAGATGAGGCTGTGGGGCTCTGGGTGACAACAGGCACCGGGAGCTATGTTAGGACCACGCCTCAGGACAATCCTGGATGGCGTTCTCCACCCCAGATGCCTGTGCATGCTACAGCAGCATCCAGGTGAGGAGGAGGAGGCGGCAGCGTGGCCAAGCCCTGGGGGCACAAAGACTTCTATTTCAGATTGCACTCTGGGGGCCCTGCCAGCAGGAAGAACAAAAGAGGGATTGAAAGAGGATCCATGGGGGGAGCAGGATACGGAGCAGAGGCCAGGCACAGCCGGCCCTGGAGGACACTCCCCTGCAGGGGTGGCCCAGGCTGCAGACAGACTTTCTGGATTGATTGCTCGCTTGGAGGCCCCAGACAGATGTTCCCTGCCAGGCCTCCTGGCCAAGACCTGGGAATTTCCATCCTTTCCTCAGAGCGCCTGGAAACTCAGCAGGAGGGTGGGGGCAGCTCCCCTGCCCTCAAGGTCAAGGGCTGAGGGGCAGAGGGCAGCTGCAGATGCCCATGGTCGCTTGAGTCATGAAATCAGGGTAAGGTCAGGCCTGGCAGTGTGCAGAGGACCTGTGCTGAGGATGGAGCACCAAGGTGGGGGAGGACACAGCTGGCCCTGCCCTCCAGGGAAGGGGACAAAGTCACACACGGAGCCTCGCTAGGGATGGGAGGCGGGGTTGTTTCAGAGGATGCCTGACAGTCTCTGAGCTACGAAGATCCTAGCAGTGAGCCCTTTCTGGGGGGTGGTGACCCTGAGCTCCTCATCTGTGGGCTTCAGGGCCTCTTAGCCACTGTTGCTGCTGTTGAAGAGGCCGCAGTGCCTATGAAAGGAGTTCATTGCGTGAAGTCAGGTTGGAAAGGCACATACGCTTTGCTTACACTGAGCCTTAACAAGAACCTAAGTCCACATGAGCTTGCAGGCAGTCCTGACGCACTGTCCCTGTTGGTCCCGAAGGGCCTGCCAAGATCAACAGTGCGGCACGGAGGGGCCTCCTCTCCCTTCCGGGGTGGAGCCTGCTGGGCCTCAACTTCCTTCTGGCTGGAATTGAAGACGCTCTCCCCACCTCCCAAGGAGGACGATTCCATCTGACACGGAGGGCACACCCGCTCGCTCCCGCCCATCTGTCCCCCACGCTTTGAAGCAAGCTGGAGGGTAGAAACCTAGAACCAGAGCCCCCTTCCCTGTGCCCCAGAGTCCGCCCATGGGCTGCACTGGTGACTCACACGCACGGTCCGCACCATGCCTCACGGCCCACTCCACCTCCCTGCTGCCAGAGCAGGCCAGAGACCAAAGCCTCGTCCTTCCCGGGGGAGCCCCTGGAGCTCTCGATCCAGCACCTGGGCTGGACACTCTGGGCCCTCTTCTTTCCCCGTGGAAGCCCCACGGGTGGAGGAAAAGAAGGATGAGCAAGGCTTGCAGACAAGGATGGTTCCCTGTGCAATGGGGAGGCAAGCAGAGGCCTGTTCCCTTTCCCGCAGCTACAGAGAGAGCTGAAGAAAACGATGCAAATAACTTTTTCAGAGATTGTCCAAGTCAACAAATCTCAAATGTCATTGCATGACCACAGATGACAAGAAACAAGTTCATGGTTCTTTGAAGTAAAAATGATGGAGGAGGAGGGTAGAATAAAGGAAGGAAGCAAATATATGTGAGGATTGCCCCAAATACCCCATGGCACTGCCCAAAAGGACATCCTCCAGGTAGGAGTGAGGCTGCCCTGCCCCGCACATCGCCACTAATGGGGGCAGCATGGGAACCAGGGGGCGCGTCTGCAGCCCCAGCCAGGCCAGTGCCTGGGAGAGTGGCCCTCTCAGGGCCCTAGTTCCTTCATCCCCCAGGAGCCCTGGGGCTGCATCATCCTCCAGTCCCTTCTGGCTCTGACCTGGGCAGCCGGTCACCTGCTGCTCCAGCTTCCCTTCGGGGCCTGTCTTGACCTCTGCAGAGCAGCGGCTCTGTGGATGACAAACAGACCTGTGCCCGGCTGCGGGGGCGAGGTGGCGGGGGCAGGGTAGGGGCCCCCCAGCTCCCTGAGGGAGGGGCAGGGCAAGCTGCACGCAGGCGCACCTTCCCTGACTGGGTCCTGGCCTCAGGCTGCAGAAGCGGAAGACCCTCCAGCCCTAGTCTGACCCCAGGCCAGAGGTCCAGCCCCCATGCCCTCCCCTAACCCTGGCGGCTGGGACCAGGCTCCCCACCAGGGCATGCCCCCCTTAGCCCGGGCAGGTCACAGACTCATTGGTCCTCGGGCGGCTTATCACCGTGGTCCATTCGCGCCCACTTGCCCGGGTCCTGGTGCCCGGACCTAGGCTTTGCCCCTGCCACAGCCTGCTGTTTTGAGAGTGAGCCGGCTAGGGACTAGCGTGGGCACCAGGAGAGAACCCAGAACTGGGCCGCTTAGCACGGAGGGGCTTGGGAGAGGGGCAGGGGAAGAAAGGCAGGACCTGAGCGCCCTGCAGCCAATTCCGAGGGTTGGCTGGAGCAGCAGCCTCGCCCTCCACAGGCCTTGGGGGGTGGGGGAGGGGGGAAATACTAAGACCTCGGAGGGAAACCGGGCCGACGACAAGGGTGGCTATTTCCGGGCTCTTCGCGCCCGGCCCAAGCGTCCCTGGGTGGGGCAGCCCAAACGGGGAGAGGGGCCCCGTGGGCCGAGGGCCCGAGGCCGCAGCGAGCTTAGCGTTTGGCCAAATCTGGCTCGCGCGCCTTCCCACTGTCCTGTTAGGGCTGTGTGACCTCCCGGAGCCCTACGTCCCCGCCCAAACAGCTCCCAGCGCCCCTGCTGGCACCCGGGGCGCCCTCACCCCAGCTCCTGCACCCGGCGCGCCGCGCGCAGACCGGACGGAGGGGAAAGTTGGCAAGAGCGCGGCGCCCGCGGGAGAAAGCGTTAATGGGCGGCCGGGTGGGAGCAGCGCGCTCGCTCGCCCACGTCACGCCGGTGCGGGCTCGGCTGACGACCGCGGCGCCTGGGGACGCCGGCGCGCTCCGCTCGCCAGGTGCTCCGCCTGGAAATGTCTCCATTAGTTGTCGCCGGCTCCCCGCTGGAGCGCGCGCGCCGAGCTTCCGCGCGGAGCCCTCGCGGGCTGCCGGGAGCGGCCCAGCGCCACCGCAGGTAGGTGAGGTCCCCCGCTCCCGCCCCCGCCCCGGGGTTCCGAGACCCCTCCCCCCTTCCGAGGAGGCGGAGGCTCCGCGCGGCCGCCGAGGGGAGCGGGCGGCGGCGGCTGCGGCGACTCCCCGGTGCGTCCCGGGCTGCGAGCTGCTCCCCGCGGCCCCGGCAGCCACACGGCGCGGGCGGGAGCTTCCCCAGCTCAGGTAGGGAGTGGGCTCCGCCGCACAAACTTTGCGAGGATTGCTCTTGCGCTTAAGGGGACAAAGTTTGCTACCCGTCGCTAGGCTCTCCAGAGGCCGCTGCGTTTGCTGCAAGTTGCGGGAAGCAGGGTGCGCGGGCCGGCGCGGGGCGGGGGGTGGGGGGCTCGGAGTGGCCAGGCCTGAGTCCTGGACGCCCGGACGGCGCTCCGTCCAGCCTCAGGCCGTACCCAGGGAGCAAGCGGCGGGGGCGCAGCGGGAGAGAGGAGGGAGAGGGCCGCGGGCCCCCATGGAGGGCGGTTGGGAATCCAGAGATTCACCGCTTGTCCCTGTGGCTCCTTCTCCTACCACTGGCTCCGAGGGGGCCTCGGGGCTGTGAGGAAATGACCTGCCAACCTCGAGGTTCGCCAGTGCGGCGTCAGCGACCGTGAGGCCTCTCAAACCCACACCCCAGCCGGGTGTCCCGAGCGGTGGGCGGGCACAGGCGCCCCCAAGGTCTCTGGCCCCAGGTCTCAGAAAGAAAGGCCCTTGCCTGGTGCCCCGGGCTCCCGGCTTCGCCTTTGGCTGGAGTTAACTTCTCTGGGCTGGAAGGAGCTCCCTCCGGACGAGCTCTTGGTGCGGGGAACTGGTGGCCCCCAGGGTAACTCCTGAAGCACCAGGGCTAGGCTGGCCGAAGAAGGGTCAGGGCCCGGCCTGTCTCCCCGGAGGCCTTCCATGGTTCCGACGGCCAACGGTAACCCCGTCAAAATAGGCGACCCGCCTGCGCTTCGCGTTAGGGGCTGACCATCCCCTGCCTCCCCTGCGGCCTGCTCCGGCCCTGGTCCTCCGCTCTTCGGAGCGCTCCAGGCCAGCGGGAGCACCTCATCTCCCCGAAGCTGAGCCGGTGCTGTGTACTCCGGGAGCCGGCTGACTTCTGGCCCACCTGCTCACGGGTGTATTTAGTACCGGGGGTCCCTAGAGGGAGGAAGGCTCAGCACTCCGAGTCTATGCAGACGCGTTCAGCTGATACCTGAGATGCTGAGCGTCCTATCGTTGGTGAAAGGGACACTGGGTGCCTCCGCTCCAGGCTTGGCCTTTTGGTGAAGGCACTTGGAAAATATTCCAGTATTATCTATGGGAGAAGGGTGGCCCAGTGAGAATCCCCGGTTTGGGCAGGCGGGCCTAGGCCAGGCTACAGGGTTTCAGTGAGATGTCCCGGTGGTCGCCAATCCACAGGCTGGATTGACCCTGTGTCCTGGAATGAGTAGTGGGGCCTGGGTGAGGCCGGGCGGGTCAGGAGGCCTCCTGGGCAGTTGCGAGCTTCCCGAGGCAGGGTGACTGTGACTGGGCCCGGACCCCAGGCGCTGGGGCCTGCTGGCGGGCAGGAAGTGGAGCGTGTGTGTGCGGCGGCCTGGGAAAGCCGATTCAGAGGCCAGGTTTCTGGGTCACGGAGAAAGGGTCGCCCGCTGGTGGGGACTGGAGCGTCGATTTATGCACACAGGCTGGAAAGGCAAAAGAGAACAGGAGAAGGTGGCGGTGGTGGTCAAAGGAAGCCCCCGAAAGGGCCCCCACGTACTGGCTGCCCTGGGAAGTGGAGGCTGCTTCTCCCAGACTCTGCTCAGAAGATGAATGGCCGCCTGTTCTGGGGCTTCGGCTCCAGTTAAGCCCCGCCGGGTCTGGAAGGAAGGAAATGCACCAGCCTCAGGTCTGGGTGGGCTGAGCTGTTGCACTAGAGCCCAGAGGTGCAGGGCATAGGTGGCTGGGCCCCTGGGCCCTGGCTCTCCCCCTCAGCCGGCGGAGTGCTCACAGTCGCCGAGGCCAGGTCCCCGAGTATAGGTGAGGAAAGGACAAGCCACAGCTGAATGCCTCCCCTCTGGGGGTCTCTACTCCCCATCCCAGCCCTTGGCCCGGCTGGGCTCACACCCCTCCTTCAGCCGGGCCTCATTACCTGGAGAGAGCGAGTAGTTTGTAAACAATAAATAATGGGAAGTAGAAGGATGCTCGGGAAAAACCAGAAAACTGCAAGGAGTGGGGAGGAGGGAGGGTGGGAGAGGGGAGGAAGGAGGGTGGGGGAGGGGAGGAGCAGGAGGAGAGGGAAAGGGGTTGAGAGATTCATTTCTAGCGAGAAACCCCGGTGGCTAGTTTCTTATTATTTACAGGAAGGTGATATTAGCGATTCAGGTGAGAAAGAAAGAAACGCGGCCTGCCGCGAAATCAATACAGAATTCAGAAACAATTATTAATGTCATTTGACTCGTGTTCTTTATATATTTCTCGCGGCTACCGACGCTAAACTGTCTGAATAATTTGCATGGAGCGGCTATTCATTATTTCCGATGGTTTCCCTCTGCAAGCAGCTCGGACGTGGCCCGCTCCGGTCCAACGCGATCGGAGAACTCGTATTTTCATCTGTAAATTAAAGCAATTACGCAGCAGATATTATATGATGTGTACTGTGGTCTCCAGATAGTCATCAATCACCTTCAACCGAGCTGTCAAAAGAGCAGGCAGATTTCGTTTCTGGGAGGCAGGCTTGCAGCTGGGGAGAGGGCGAGGACGTCATCATTAATTAGAGGGTGACCCTGGGGCGATTCACAGGTCTGAACCCAGGAATCTTTCTGAGCAAGTCTGCACAACGCTGCCTTGCACGGCTTCCTTCCCAACTTACCACGGGAGGCCGGCCCAGGGGGCGAGGGCAACCGGGGCGAGTCCCGGTCCCGGAGGGCGATGGCGCAGAAGGCGGGGAACGGGTTCGGGATGGCCCGGGCGCCCCCTTGCCGCCCCCTTGCCGCCTGCTCACTGGCCTCCGCTTTGAACTTGGGCAAGGTCCCAGGGAGGGTACTGGCCGAGGGAGTCCTGGGGTGGGCGCTCGGTCCCCTCTTCCGATTGCTCCGTGCGCCCCAGACAGAAAGCTGGGCAAAATGGACAGGGGAGGGCGCCTCCGCCAGGCACCCAACGCCCCCTCCCTCGCAGCCAGCCCTGCGGGGCGCCGGGAGGGACGAGCTTAGCGGGAGGGGCCGGGGCCTGGGTTGAGGAACCTGCTCTTCCGAGCGCGCAGGGCCGCCCGGCAGTCCCCGGCTTAGCCGCGAGGGGCAGGGGGAAGCCGGCGGAGCACGGCCGGCGGAAAGGGGATCGGGGAGGAAAGTCGGGGAGGCGAGGTGGGGGCGGTGGGCTGAGCGGGAACTTAAAAGACCGCGGTGGAGAAGATGGGGCGTTCTCCGCGACACTCGGCTGCCCAGAGGTGCAAAGCCGGTGGGCGCACGCCCGGGGCGGCCCTACAGCCCTCGGGCCGCCAGTCTCAGGGTGTCGGGCTCCAACTAAGGCCCCGAAGCCCCCACGCACCTGAGGGCATTTTGACCAGCTCTTGCGGGCTGTCTTGCGGCCGCAGTGGGTTCTGAAAGTCCATTCCGGCGTAGGGTGGAAACCGGCGGGAGGCGTTGCTGATTCTCGATTAAACAATAGTGACGAGACGCGTGCGGGGCGCCTGCGAGCCCCTTCCTGCCACTCGGAGCAGAGCGCGCCAGCGCGAGGCCGGGCCGGCCGCCTGCGCAGCGCCGGGCTAATTTTAACTGTTGATTACATCTTCAGCGTGTCCTTTCATAGGTCTCATTTGTAATTGAGACGAATGATTACAGTGGGGCGGGAAGGAGCAGCTGCTCATTAATTAATTTCTAATTAAAAGTGCCTCTCGTTCTCGGGTGACTAAAGAGAAACACCGTTCGCTGGGCGATATTGACTCGGATGGAATTTATTTGCTAACGCCCGGAGGAATGGCCCCTCCGTCCACCGCGCGGCCGGGACTGTCCTGGCCCCTCCCGGCCTGAGCCGCCGGCGAGTGACCGGCGAGTCTGCGGCCAGGCCGGGCTGCGCGAGGTGGGGCTGACGTCAGAGCCTCCTCCGCTTCAAGCCGCGCACATCTGACTTGACGGGTTCGCGCGACTCGTTTTTTTTTTTTTCTTTTTCGTAAAATATGTATTTCTGTCGCCGCTGCGAGGCCGCTCGGTCCCAGAGCCCCCTCGAGCCTCCGGAATGCGAAGTTAAAGGAATCGCGGCGGCCACCGCTGCTCACTTTGTTACCCGGTTAGAAAAGTTTGCGGAGCGCGGGGATGGACTAACCGGCTCTCCTGCTTCGCCCTCCCAGCGCCTAGAAGCCTGCAGCTCCGGAGCAGTGGCCGCGCCACGCCGGCCCCAGCGCGCAGAACCCTGCAGGCCCCGCCCGTCCGCCCCGGGCCGCGCCCGCCATGTCCTACCCGCAGTTTGGATACCCCTACTCCTCGGCTCCCCAGGTAAGCGGAGCCCCGCCCCGCCCAGGCCACCGCAGGTGCCGGTAGGGCGGATGGGGCGGGGACGGGGGGTGGGGAGTGTCCGACCTACGACTGCCTGCGGCTTCCGAGCTAGCAAGGCCTGGGTCGCGCGCCCCTCACGCCCAACCCCTGCTCCCCAAACCCCCGGGGAAAGGCCGAGGCGCTAAGAAAATCCGACGGGCCGGGCCCGGGTTCCCTGATGTTTGAACCACAAGGCTCAGGCTGTGCCCCAGGGGAGTCCTAGGACCCCAAGGAACCCCTGGGGAAGGAGGCTTGGCGCGCAAATGGCGTCAGAGGCCTTGGAAACCCTCCGGGGAAGGGTGTAGGTGCTCGGCTGGGCCCCACGTGGCGGAGGAGGCCAGACGCGCACAAGCTAGTGGAAAGGGGCGAGCATCCTGGTGTGGACGGCGGGAGGCCCGGGGGTACTCGGGGCACGCCCTCGTGGGCGGCGCGCGGGATTGGCAAGGCCCAGGGCCCCAGCCTCCAGCCCGGCTTCCCGCCAGTCCTCGCGGCCTCTCTCTGCAGTTCTTGATGGCCACCAACTCCCTGAGCACGTGCTGCGAGTCCGGAGGCCGCACGCTGGCGGACTCCGGGCCCGCCGCCTCGGCCCAGGCGCCGGTCTACTGCCCGGTCTACGAGAGCCGGCTGCTGGCCACCGCGCGCCACGAGCTCAACTCGGCCGCGGCGCTGGGCGTCTATGGGGGTCCCTATGGCGGATCGCAGGGCTATGGCAACTACGTGACCTACGGCTCGGAGGCGTCCGCCTTCTACTCGCTGGTAAGTGGGGCATCCCTAGCCCTTGCCCTGCCCCTGGCCCTCGATTTGCCAAGCCCACTTTTGCCCCAGTAGGCGCGCCAGTCCGGGTCCCCGGACTGTCACAGAGGGGAGGCGCTCACCTTGGCTGCCTTCAACTTTGCGCCTCCCAGCCGAGACCCTCAGAACCCCACCCCCACCCCCTGGGACAGATGACCCGGCAGGTGGCCACTGCGTTTCTTGTTTTTGGTTCCCTACTAAATCCTCATCAGCTGGCAGATTCGGTCTGCGTGTGTTTCCCGCTTCTTCCCTCCTGGTAGATTTCCCTCCCTCATTCCCTGACCCCATTCTCCTCTCCCCGCCTCCTTCAGGCTCCTGGCCTCCCTCTTCCTGTCCTCCCAGCCCCTCTCTGACTCATCCTTCCTATCTCCCTCTTCCTCCCTCTCCCCTGCTTTCGCCCCCTCCTTGTTCCTCCCCCTCCTTGCTCCTCCCCCACCCTTGCTCCTCCCCCCGCCTTGCGCCTCCCCATTTCTCTCCTCCCTTCTCCCCTCCTGGCTTCCATCCCCTCGCTCAGCAGCCCCTCCCCTTTCTCCACCCCTTTTTCCTCCCCACTTGAGTGCATCCCAGGGCATCCCCAGCCCTAACAATCCCCACTCCTTCTCCCAGCTGCCCCCTATTGCCGGCCCCCAGTTCTTTCTGGCTTCCCTCCAACTTCCTCCTACTCCACATCCCCGCTCCCCACACTGCACCTCCTCCCCCCCGCCCCCCCCCACCGGCCCGCGCTCCACCACACACTGCTTCTGCAACTCAGAACATCCCCACTTCAGGTTTGCGAGACCAGGTTTTAAAGCAAGCGGGAAATCAGCTCCTTCCTGCCGGGGCGTAGGGCTGCCCAGGAATCCTTGCCAAGCCTTTGGGAGTGGGGGGCTCCTAGGAGAGAGGCTGGAGTGGGGTTGCCTCCCTGGAAACTGCGACCCCAGACTCTTGGCTCCCACAGAACAGCTTTGATTCCAAGGATGGTTCGGGATCTGCGCATGGGGGCCTGGCACCAGCCGCTGCCGCCTACTACCCTTACGAGCCAGCTCTGGGCCAGTACCCCTATGACAGGTGAGGACCCACCCCTCCTAACCAGCACTAGCCCCACGGGCCCTCTGCACTGTCAGCCACCAACTCCCCTCCACCATCATGCCCCCTTTCTGGAAGGCGGGAGGCAGGAAGAGAGACACTCTTAGGTCAGGCATGACCTGAGTCTGTGGTCTGTGGGGTCCAGCCTCCTGTCCCACCTGCTCCTGCACAGCCATGGTTAAAATGCTCCCCAGTCTCCCCGTCCCCCACGTTGTTGGGCCCCAGAAGTCCTAAATGTGCGGCAGCTTTCAGGGAAGTCGAATCTGGAAGGCCCAGTTCACGGGGCAGCCCGCTCTGCAGACTCTGGGCACCTCCTTCCGAGTGTCCACACTGCCCCTACAGTGGGAACAGTGGGGAACCCCTGGTGGCCCTCCTTTCTCTCCTGTCCCACTTTTGGACAGGATGCCCCACTTTCCTCAATGCAACCACTACAAATTTATCCAAAGACGGTACACTTAGGCCCCTTGGGTGCTTTCTCCTCCTGGGCAGTAATGACCCTTCCTGCCACACGTGTTACATCTCAGGGTGTGGGCTTACCTGTCTATACCTTTTTATGGTTTGAGGATCAAACGGCTAGGCGGTCATCCCCATAAAGGAATTGGCCTGGACCTCTCTGGCTTGGGAAGGAGCCCAGGCTCCCTGTAAGTTTAGTCAAATATAATCTTTGCCCTTTGGCCACAGAAGACAAGTGCCAGCAGGCAGCGGCACCTGGTTGGGGCTCGGGTCCTACCTGGGCCTTATGACCATGACCACAACCCCACGACGGGGAAGCAAAGCCCATCCTGGCATGCCCCTGGCCGACCCCCACCCCTATGCCCATGATGCCTGGGGCCCAGAGGGCCCAGCCTGAGCCCATTGCAGAGCCTGTCTCCAGGTATGGAACCATGGACAGCGGCACGCGGCGCAAGAACGCCACGCGCGAGACCACCAGCACGCTCAAGGCCTGGCTGCAGGAGCACCGCAAGAACCCCTACCCCACCAAGGGCGAGAAGATCATGCTGGCCATCATCACCAAGATGACCCTCACACAGGTCTCCACCTGGTTCGCCAACGCGCGCCGGCGCCTCAAGAAGGAGAACAAGATGACGTGGCCGCCGCGGAACAAGTGCGCAGACGAGAAGCGGCCCTACGCGGAGGGCGAGGAGGAGGAGGGGGGCGAGGAGGAGGCGCGGGAGGAGCCCCTCAAGAGCTCCAAGAACGCAGGTGGGTTGGGAGGTTGTCACTGGGGGCTGAGGCCCTGGAGTGCAGGCACAGTGCCTTCTCTGCGGTTCTAGGACGTCTTGGGGGTCCCAAACGCCGAGCCCCATGCCTAGGCGGTCACCGTGCAAACCGGTTCTGCCTCAGGCTACCAATGTGGGGACTGTGGTGGTGACCCCTGAGCATTTAAAGGAACTCAAATCACGTATAAAAATAGTAGGCCGGGCGCGGTGGCTCACGCCTGTAATCCCAGCGCTTTGGAAGGCAGAGGCGGGCGGATCACGAGGTCAGGAGATTGAGACCATCCTGGCTAACACGGTGAAACCTCGTTTCTACTAAAAATACAAAAAATTAGCCGGGCGTGGTGGCGGGCGCCTGTAGTCCCAGCTACTCGGGAGGCTGAGGCAGGAGAATGCCCTGAACCCTGGAGGCGGAGTTTGCAGTGAGCTGAGATCGCGCCACTGCACTCCAGCCTGGGCGACAGAGCGAGACTCCGTCTCAAAAAAAAAAAAAATTAGACACCCCCCTCCCCCATTGGAGGCCCCTGTGTTGCCAGTTTGTGACCTGGTGGCCTCTGGAGGAAATGGGAGACGCGAAGAGAGGCCCCGAGTGCTTTTCGTAGCGTCGGGAACAGGCCTCATAATGGTGGACGGGGACAGGGGGTCTGATTCACCTACCAACCCTCTCCCTCCACTGGCCACGCATTCTCTCCCGCAGAGCCCGTGGGCAAAGAGGAGAAGGAGCTGGAGCTTAGTGACTTGGACGACTTCGACCCGCTGGAAGCAGAGCCGCCGGCGTGCGAGCTGAAGCCGCCCTTCCACTCCCTGGACGGCGGTCTGGAGCGCGTCCCCGCCGCGCCCGACGGCCCGGTCAAGGAGGCCTCAGGCGCGCTCCGGATGTCTCTGGCCGCGGGTGGCGGAGCTGCTCTGGACGAGGACCTGGAGAGGGCCCGGAGCTGTCTCCGCAGCGCGGCGGCCGGGCCGGAGCCACTGCCGGGCGCAGAGGGCGGCCCTCAGGTCTGCGAGGCCAAG
The DNA here is from genome assembly GCF_000001405.40 of Homo sapiens. NCBI lineage: Eukaryota > Metazoa > Chordata > Mammalia > Primates > Hominidae > Homo > Homo sapiens. The sequence goes on along the minus strand of NC_000005.10, from coordinate 1,878,478 downwards.
CTGGGGTTTGTGCCGGCGGGGGCGTCGGCAGGCCTGGAGGCTAAGCCGCGCATCTGGTCCCTGGCCCACACAGCCACCGCCGCCGCCGCCGCCGCCACCTCCCTGAGCCAGACTGAGTTTCCGTCGTGCATGCTCAAGCGCCAAGGTCCCGCGGCCCCTGCGGCTGTGTCCTCCGCGCCCGCCACGTCCCCGTCTGTGGCCCTTCCCCACTCTGGCGCCCTGGACAGGCACCAGGACTCCCCGGTAACCAGTCTCAGAAACTGGGTGGACGGGGTCTTCCACGACCCCATCCTCAGGCACAGCACTTTGAACCAGGCCTGGGCCACCGCCAAGGGCGCCCTCCTGGACCCCGGGCCTCTGGGACGCTCGCTGGGGGCGGGCGCGAACGTGCTGACTGCACCCCTGGCCCGCGCCTTTCCGCCTGCCGTGCCCCAGGACGCCCCAGCTGCAGGCGCCGCCAGGGAGCTGCTCGCCCTGCCCAAGGCCGGCGGCAAACCCTTCTGCGCCTGAGGCGGGCGGGTCCCGAGCCCAGGAGGGAACCCGCGCTCAGGCGGACGGCGCCGACTCTTTTCACTGAGTTTCCAGAGGAAGACTAGCGCGGCCACCGCGAAGCCGCCAACCCACCGGAGAGGGGGCTTCTGAACTTGGACTCCTGGGAACATGGACAAGCCCGGCGCTGCCACGCCGGGGCCTCCACCGCCTGGGCCTGAGCCTGACCGGGCCATTCCCAAATTTGGGACGCGGAAGGAGAGGCTCTCGGAGCAGAAGAGGCCAGATACCCTGAAGCATAAAGTTTACGTCAAAAGTTTACATGGAGAAGGCGGTTCCGTTCTGAAGCGTGGTCTGCTGTCCCCTGGGCGTGAGGCCTCCTGGGCCTGTCGGGCCTCCGATTTCATCCTCAGCACGTAATGCTCACCAACAGCACTTGCACTGAGTTGACTCTTGCACACTCTTGACTCCATAATATGATGCTTTTTAAGATGTATGTTCACACCAATAATTGCCTGCTTCAGAGGCTAATATAACAAAACCAATAAAACCGAGTGATGGTGTTTGTATTGCAAAATGAACACATTTAAAACCAGGGGATTTGAGAATTCCCAAGGGAAAGCGGTGCTAATCCGGGAGGGAAGGAGTGGGGAGCAGGAACTGACCCAGACTCCACTCCCCAAAAGCAGCTGGTTCAACCCAAGACTTTAAGCCACTTTTAAAAGAACTGTCGCTGTAGAGTTTGAGGGTTCTGCTGAGCTCCCTAATAGAAGTGGGTGTGAGACCCAGAACTCGTACTTCCCATCACCCAACTCTAGAAGTTTGAAAAAATAGGGATTTCTTTGATTAGATTTTAAACTTTCTAAATTCCCAGAGCCGTGTCCCGGGGGGGGGCGTGGGAGCCCATCGTTGCTTTTCTCTGTTAGCGGCCTCTGCCCATCCTAGGCAGGAGTTAGGGCGGCCTCGACGCCTCTGCCGTCTCAGCCACCTCCTAACCTCGGCTCTCCTATTTCCGGGGACCCGCCGCTCCGCAATCAGCTCTGCTCGGAAAGCCGGCGAGCCGCGGCTCCGCGGGGGGAAATGCTCAGAGCTTCACAGGCCGCCGACCGGAGGCGGGACTGGGAGGAAAGGCCTCGGGGCAGGGCGGGAAGGGCGTGTGGAAGGAACCCGCGGAGCGATCCGGGGCTCGGGGGGCCCGGCCAAGCCGTGGCTACGCTCAGAAATCCGGGCTCCCCTCCCCATCCCCGCGGCGGAGGCGGTTCCGCATCCCCCGCAGGCGCCTGGCGGACTTGAGGCCTCTCCTCTCGCCCCCCACCCCCCACCCCGAGCCCTCCGCCCGAAGCCCTGCTGGGCTCATCAAAGGCCCAGGTGTCCCAAGGACTACGGGAGCGGCCCGGGGGCGGCGAGGAGGCGACCACAGGCCCTTGCCTGGGACAGGATAGCCGGAGACGCAGGACTGTCTTGCGGGCGGGCGGCCTTGGAGGGACTCACTAGGCTCGGCTTTCCTCTAGGAGCCTGGGGCTGGGCGGACCCGGACTGCGGCCTCGTGGGGACCCCTGGGCCACCAAAGTCCCCCGCGTGGTGGGGCCTGCCCTGAACCCTGGCGACAGGGCCTGGACCGGGCCCTGAGGGGGACCCTCGGCCGCCGGACCCCGAGCCCCAGGAGCGCCCGGGCAGCCGAGCGTAATTGGATTGTATCCGGCCGCGCGCTGTCACCGTATTGACTTTCGCGCTCGAGATGATATTATCGAGGTTCGGAAGCTCGCGGCTCATGTGCCTGTCAAAAGGCTGCGGCGGGAGCCCCCGGCCTGGCGAGCGAGCATCAGCCAAGGTAATTTGAAGTGAAATTTTCATTTTGACAGTAAACCCCTCAATTTCTAAAGGCTCCGCGCTCCGAGAGCTCGCTGGCAGGGGGAGGCTTTGCAGAAAGCCCACGTCTTAGACTGAAAAGGGCAAAAGAACTCGAATTAGTTGTAATAGATAAAAGGGCAAAAATAAAGAGTCAAGGGTACTTGACAGTAATAGCGAAAGTGGCGTCTCGGGGGACAGCGTTGAGGCCCGAGGCTGGGGCGCCAGGAATTTTAATGTGGCCGAGGGTGGCTGCCCAGACGCCCCCACCCCAGCCCTAGACAAAGCCAGGCATTTTCCGCAAAAACAAGGTTTCGCCTTGCGTCGCAGATAGGCGGGGTAGGGGCTGCGGACACTGAAAATCGAGGCGTGGACCCCGGCCTTACGCTCCCGGCCGCGGGCAGCCTGGCGGGGCTCTGCAGCCCCCAGTGCGCGCATGGGTGGCGCAGGTTGGCGGGTTGGACTTGGTCTGGGCTCTGGGTCCCTCTCCTGGGGAGGACCCAGGGCTCCTGCCGCCAGCCAAGCTTGCTGCCCTCGGGACCCCAGCCCCTCCCCGTGGCCCTGGCCATAGGAATTCCATCTCGCTGGAGCCCCCGGATCTTGGTGGAACTGGCTGACAAAGCTGGCTTATTTGAATAAGCTGCGAGATTGTGTTAAATAAAGACGTCGGGTGGGGAGGCGGATTCAGCCACATTCTAAGGGGACGCGCAGGAAATGGCATCCCCTCGCTGGGCGCTTCCCCCACACCCTTCCCTTGGGGCACAGTCCAGCCGGTTTGCCTTAGGCGCCCCCAAACACCCTCTGGCTGATCTTGTGGGGTGGGGAGGTGTCAGGCAGGACAATTCCGAAGTCGGAGCGGGGTGGGGAGGGGGCGTTTGCAAAGAGGTGACACGGAGGGGGTGAATTTTAGGTGTCTGAGTGGACGCGCCAGGGAGGTCGATGTCAGTGGGGCGGGGGCGTGACGGGGAAGGGTCGGGGCGGGCGACTGGGCTCCCAGGGAGATTGTCAGAGAAGGGCTGGGAAGGCGCCGGGAGGCCGGCAGGGCCGGCGCGCTCGGTTATTCAGGCGTGGCGAATTCAAACACACCAAGGAGGGGATGCAAATTAACGGCGCTCTTTACATAGAGCCCAAATAAAACTGTAATCAGCGGTGCGTTACTTTTCATTAAGCGAGTCTGACAGCAGCATATTCAGGCTCGACAAGGGAACAGGCGCGGGAGATATACGGCTCTCCCGGCCGCCCGGCCTAAGATAATTCCTTAAGCTCCATTAACAACTCTTAGCCGCAGGAAATGGGCTCCCGGAAAACGTCTCCAAATCTAAAAGCTTTATCGACCTCTCAAACCGCGGCTGATGATTCCATTTTTTTTTTCTTTTTTCTTTTCTTTTTTTTTTTTTTTTTTTAACTTAAGGGAGAGACGTCCAGCAAGGTAATAGAGTTTGACACGACACCTTCTTAACTAGAGAGAGAGGCAGGGAAGCCAGCCCTTAAATGATATTTAAAAGGCAACCAATTAAGATTTAAAGTGGCCGTCTCCTGAGATTATGCATGCGATGTATGCCACCTGCGTTTCCCTGGGCACGCCTGCTGCTGACGAGACAGCCCGGCCTCCCTCTCTCTCCCCATCCCGGTCTCCCAGTCCCTCACCGTCTCCCTCCAACTCCACTCTGCTCCCCTCTCTCCCTCTCCTCTTTCTCCCTCTCTCCCTTACTCTCTCTGTCTAGAATAATCTCTCTGTCTCTCTTCCTCCCTCTGTCTCTCCCCCCACCCCCCATAAAGGGAATAGCAGAAGGCAGAGAAGCAGCCAGGTCTCCCCTGATCCATCCCCTCCCGGTGCAAGGACCCTGCAGGTTTCCTGGTAGATGGGCAGCCTGCCCCATCAGAAGAATGGCGGATTAAAGGAAATTGAGCCTCACCCCCCACCCCATAGACATCTGGCTGGCCCACAGTTTCTCCATGACCTAGGCACCCCCACAGTGGTCTCTCACTGGGTTCAGGCCTTGCTCCCAGGCCTCCAGCATAGGGACAGATGGGACGGAGGGGGCAAAGCGGGGGGGGGGGTGGGAAAACAGTTAACAACAGAGGAGAAGCTGGGAGCTGCCTTGAACCCCTCCACCTGGTGTGACTGAGGCAGGGGCTCCCCACCACCTCCTCACCCTTGCCACCTTCTTGCCAGCTTTTTGGGGTCCCTCTAGGGAAACCCTTGCTCTGGGGGCAGTCACATCCCTTTCATACTGTCACCTCCATGGAGGTGATGCCCGCCTGGGAATTTTTTCCCATCGGAGCCACCAAACGGACCTTTACCCAGGGTCACACTGTGAAGAGCAGCCAGGCCCAGGGAGGGAACCACCACACCCTTTAATTTACCCCTGGGGAAGTCCCAGCTGAAAGGGACCTTGAACAGTGGGGCAGAGGGAAGAAGTGGGGGAGGGGAGGGCAATTTGAGGGGTAGAAGGGACAGATGGGGAGAGGCTGGGGGAGAAGGGGAGGCTAAGGGGAGGAGGAGAGACCTAGTAGTAGGTGGCAGGGGAACCGTCTTCCAAGATGCAGGGCCTCAGCTTTATGAAGAAATACTTGGGAGCAAAATGTCTTTTCCCAAGAGGATTCTGGAGGTGGGATCCCGCAGGACACCAGAGCAGCCCTGAGCAGGAGCTTCGGCTCCAGTTTCCTGCTAGGGAAGGGAGGGAGTGGACTTTACCCAAAGGTTCTCGGGCGTCCGCCAGACCCGCTCTGGGCTTTAAGAAGGGGGAGTCCCCTGAGAGCCGCTGCTCCTTCTAACAACATCAGAAAACCAAGAGTGGGTTCTGGAGGCAGCTGCCTTCCCCTAAAAGCCTTCATGATTCGAACTGAACCCACCAACGTGTAGGAAGGTACCAAATGCCCAAATAATTGAATGGAAGAATGAGGGGTTTTCGAAGTTCTGTCCAAACTCTCCCCAGGTGAGACGTTCAGGCAGCTCAGAGCACCCCTTGCTCCTTCTGTCTTTGCGACAGTGACGTGGTCATTTCAAGGCCCCCCTCGGATTTCCACTCACTGCTCTGGCGCAGACCTGGACTCAGAAGCATTGCCCACGTGATGACAGACCCTCAGCTCATGGAGAAATCATGAATGACAATGATAGGTGGAGAGGTGGGACCTTCCAAAGAGGAGTGGTGTCCTGGCAAGGACATCAGCTGAGCTCATTTTAAGTCTTTGTTTTTCAATGTGTTGCATGATTTTAAGATGCATGTTCATAACATGTATGGCCTCCTCTGGCCGGCGAAGGATAGGGCAGATGAACCCTGTGTGTACATCTGTGTGTGTGTGAGGCCCCATTTCCGCTGGACCATGTCCTTCCTTCTCGGGGCTCCATCCAGGGCCTGCAGGTGCTGGTCCAGCCCCTGAGCAGGGCTGAGCTGTCTCTGTCCCCGGCCCAGCAGGCAGCAGGGCAGGGTGTGCCGAGGACACAACCTCCAGGCTGGCAGGAGCACCAGAGCATCCCTGCAGGATTCTGGAAGCATTTCCAGGAAACCCGAGCCAGTCAAGCACACCACACAGGCCCTGCCTTTGTCCGCACACCCTGCCACCCCCCCTACCACTACACACACACACACACACACACACACACACACACACACACTAGTCCTTGCTGAAACCATGCCCCAGGCTGTGGTGAGCGGGGTGGCACTGCAGATGGCCCCAGGCTTGAGTCTTGGGGGTCAGGTAAGATTTTGACCAACAGAGCAAGAGGAGGGAGGTCGTCCAAGGGTGGGGTGTGGGCAGAGCCCAGAGCAGGGGCCAGGCCACGGGGGGCGGGGGGGTGGGGGGACAAGGCTTACTTTAACTGGAGCACAGGGATGAGGGGAGACAGGGGCCCCAAGGGAGTCATGTGGGCTGGAGTTGGGGAGAGCCTGTAGGTGGGGTTAGCATCGACTTGCTTGCCTGTGAAACCGACTCTGTAGTGTAGACAATTGCCATCCAGTGACAGGGCTGGAGGGAGCCTTAAGGAGACCCTAGAGCAAAGGAAAGGCGTCTAAGGAATGGGCAGACTTGGAAGGGGGCCTGGGCCGGCTCAGGCCTCCGGGAGCAAGCACGGCTGCAGCCCCTGGCGTGAGGCTCCCAGGACCCAGCCAGGGCAGCTGCAGCAGGCAGAGGCGGCTGGCTCAAACGGGTGAGGTTCCCCTGGCATGGGGAAGCAAGAGGTTGAAAGAAAATATCCAATAATCCACCTGCGTGAAGTTAGCAGGAGCAAAAAGTCAGAGGAAAGGTTGCTTTCATGTGATATTTAACACCCCGTAGGCACCTAACTGGATGTGGCAAGGAGAAACCTGCTATGTTTTTGTGTCAGGAAGCCTCACAGCTAAGCTAATAAATTTGGGGGTGTCCGTGGTCACAATGAAACAGAGACCACTGTGCGTGTTGGCACGCGGGCGCCCTGGGGCAGGTCTCCCTCTGCCGTGGCTTTGGCAGTGCATGCCCTGCCTTCCTGAGCACCAGATTGGTGTGTGGTCAGAGGAGACACAGGGCACCAGCATGGAGCCAGGTGCCTCTCGGGCCTCCTGACCACACCACGGGTGAAGGCCCAGGGGCCTCTGCAGGCTCTGTGCTGCTCTTAGGGTGGCCCGGCTGAAGGGAGTGAGCACGGGGGTGAGGTGAGATTCTGTATCTGAAGGCGCCGGGAACGGCAAAGTGCTCCTTGGTTATCAAGGTCCCCAGGCGCAGTTGCTGTCCCCCAGGGCAAATGGCAGGACAGGGAGAGGCACAGTGGAGTGGGCAGGAGAGAGCTGGACAAGGCAGCAGCCCCAGCCCCTCTGGCAACCAGGGAGGCTCTAGGAGGCTCGAGTTGCTGAGGAGGCCTTTTCTCACTGTCTGCACGTGCACACCCCCTTGAACAGATACACACACTCTCACACTCAGGCACGCATGCACTCACACTCACACACACAGGCACGCATGCACTCACACTCACAGGCACGCATGCACTCACACACTCAGGCACACATGCACTCACACTCACAGGCACACATGCACTCACACAGGCACGCATGCACTCACTCACAGGCACACATGCACTCACACTCACAGGCACGCATGCACTCACACTTACAGGCATGCATGCACTCACACAGGCACGCATGCACTCACACTCACAGGCACGCATGCACTCACACAGGCACGCATGCACTCACTCACAGGCACGCATGCACTCACAGGCACACATGCACTCACTCACAGGCACGCATGCACTCACACAGGCACGCATGCATTCACAGGCACGCATGCACTCACAGGCACACATGCACTCACACTCACAGGCACACATGCACTCACACACTCAGGCACACATGCACTCACACTCACAGGCACGCATGCACTCACACAGGCACACATGCACTCACACTCACAGGCACGCATGCACTCACACAGGCACGCATGCACTCACTCACAGGCACACATGCACTCACACTCACAGGCACGCATGCACTCACACTCACAGGCACACATGCACTCAGGCACGCATGCACTCACACTCACAGGCACACATGCACTCACACAGGCACACATGCACTCACAGGCACGCATGCACTCACACACTCAGGCACACATGCACTCACTCAGAGGCACGCATGCACTCACACTCACAGGCACACATGCACTCACACAGGCATGCATGCACTCACACTCACAGGCACACGTGCACTCACACAGGCACGCATGCACTCACAGGCACGCATGCACTCACACACTCAGGCACACATGCACTCACTCAGAGGCATGCATGCACTCACACTCACAGGCATGCATGCACTCACACTCACAGGCACACATGCACTCACAGGCACGCATGCACTCACACAGGCACGCATGCTCTCACACATACACAGGCATGCATGCCCTCACACACACACTCACCGGCATGCATGCAATCACACACACAGGCACGCATGCACTCACACACTCACAGGCACGCATGCACTCACATTCACACAGACACAGGCACGCATGCACTCACACACAGGCATGCATGCACTCACACAGCCATGCACTCACACACAGGCACGCATGCACTCACACGCACATGCACTCACACTGACACACAGGCACTCATGTACTCACACACAGACACACATGCACTCACACTCACACACTCCTCCTTCTCTCTCCGTTTGTTTCCATGTGTCCCTCTCCCATTTTCTCATGCTCATACACACACATGCAGCACACAGGCACACGTGTGGGAATACATGCAGGCACTCAGGGACACACACATGTGCATGCATCCACACATATGCACATCTGTTTGCACAGCCTCCTGCAGGCTCAGAGTGGGCTGGAAGAACCATCAGAGGCCTGCACCTACAGAGGGCCCCGGGGCCTATTTCATTTTTTGGAGGGAAGGATGGAGTTGCCCCGCCCCATGTGGGACCAGGTGTCAGCAGGCAGCCCTGGACCAGCGCCCGGGAGTTCAGCCATTCTGGACCCCCCAGTGCTGGGGCCCGAGCTTGCTCTTCCCCAGAGGCTGCTGCTCTCCAGAATGAAGCGCCCAGGTGCTCACATGCACCGCCTTCCTGTCCCAGACAGTCCGGGAGAGGGAATGACACCTGCCAGCCCAGCCTCCTCCAGGGCCCGGCCACTGCACTCCCAGCCTCAGAGCCTAGGAGCCCGGGGCAGCCTGCAGGCTCCCGGCAGGCCGGTGAGGGCTCTCTGCGTCTGGCTGGGCTCCAGGGGCTCCCCTCCTTTCCTGCCCCCTGCTCCTGCCCAGGCCCCTGTGTTCACAGCACACGGGGCCTCCCTCACCCGCAGTGGGCAGGGACAGTCCCAGGGGCAAGTGGCTCCCATTCACCAGGGAGCCATAAATGGGCCCTTAATGAATGAATCAGATAATAGAGACTCTCTTCGTGGAACATTAGCCCAAGTTCAAGATAATCAGCCTGAACACAAACTCCAGCTTTGCAACAGCACTGGCCTGGGGCAGGAGTGTACCTGACATCAGACGAGGGGGTGCATGGGGCACCTCCGCCAGGGCAGCCACGAGCCTGTGCACGCGGACGGTTCCAGGTGTCTGGGGACAGTGCTGCTGCGGTGGCATAGCCAGCACAGATGCAGGCACCTCGCCTGATCTCTGGGTCTCCACTGCACGGCACGGGTGCTGGACTTGCCTCTGCCTCTGCCCATCTGCAGGTCCTGGAGGATACGTTGGAGTCTCTGGGTCTTCCCCTAGCTCTGTGAACACGTGACCCGGAAGGAGGCAGTGGGGACGCCCAGGACTGGAGAACTTCAAGGTTTAGGGGTGACACCGCTTCCTGCTTGGCAAAGAAATTCAAGGTTTAGGGGTGACACCGCTTCCTGCTTGGCAAAGAAATTCAAGGCTTAGGGGTGACGCCGCTTCTTGCTTGTCACTTGCATACTGAAAATTGGTTGTCTGCTCAGTGAGACATGGGGGCCATCCGAGGCCCCTGCGGTGTGGCACAGCCCCTGAGACCACTCCAGGGACCATAGCAAGGGCCCTGGACACAGCAGGATGCACCAGATTCCCCGGCCAGAACAAGGGCTGAGCTTCGAGTGAAAGGCGGGGCCTGGACGTTGGCTGTGGTTTGCAGGGAGGACGGCATGGCAGGCGTCCCACTCTGTGCCCCGTGATGGGTACATCAGCCCACAGGAATCACCAGGAAAGAGCTGAGGCCCTGACGAAGTGGACGCCTACGCCAAGCTCCCCCAACAAAGCCCTTCCTCCCTGGCTTTGGGTACTCATTGTCCATCTGCAGGGGTGGCTGACTTCTTGAGGGCAGCTGATGGCCAGGAGTGGAGAAAGAGGCACATGTGGCCATGCCGAGGAGCACGTCAGACTCCAAAGCCCCCATGCTTTGTGGTTGGAAAACCCCACATACAGTCTCCTGGGCTGCTCCACTCACAAGCGCGGTGGGGAGGAGCTCAGAGGTGAGAGGGGCCGACGTGAACACAGTCACACAAGGCCCTGCAAACGTCCCTACGAGAGCGGCACAGATGCCCCATGCGTCCTTCAACAGAGGAGCTGCCAGGGACCCCCCGTAGTAAAGCAGGAGCCAACTTGTTAACCTCTCACACTCCAGTTTTTACCACCTTTATTTTTTAAACAAGACACTCACTTAGAATGTCCCCGCTGCAGAGGATGGGGAGGCTGAGCCCTGGACAAGGACACCTGAGGGCCCGCAGTCAAGCCACGCAGAGCTGAGCACCTTCACGGCGGGGACGGCGGGGACGGCGGGGACGGCGGGGACGGCGGGGCCTGTGTGAGCAGCGCAACCCGGCAAGTTCTGCGTTCTGGCTGGACGTGGACGCCCAGCCCTGGAGTGAATTTGCCGCAGTCAGTCCTCGTCCAGGCAGTGCAGGCCTTCCTCCGCCCTCAAGTTGGACACCCACTGGCTTCTCGCGGGAGCCTGGGTTTGTTGCTCTTATCTTGATTTCTATCCTAAGCTGCTCCTTCACCTACAGCTGCAGCAGATCAGGGCATTCTCAGAGCAACTCTTCACCTGTCTCTGCTGCTCAGCAAACATCACAGCAGGCTGCAGGGCTGCAGACTTTGTTGACCAGGATTCCGGATTAGCCACCTGTGTCGGGAGCCTGTGGAAGGAAGCATCGGACACACTAGGATTGATCTAGAGGAGAGGGCACCTCACACACCCTCTCTCCACACTACATATCCGTCTCCACACACCCTTCTCCACACACAACCTCTCCCACACAGAAACCCTCTCCCCACACACCTTCTTCCCACACACCCTCTCCCCACACACCCTCTCCCACACAGAAACCCTCTCCCCACACACCTTCTTCCCACACACCCTCTCCCCACACACCCTCTCCCCACACACCCTCTCCCCACACACCCTCTCCCACACACCCTCTCCCCACACACACACACTGTCCACACATGCCCTTCTCTCCACACCTACACAGAGCAGGGTGCTGTTCTGTTTTAGTTTAAATGCTTCAGGAAATCAGGGATCATTCATTTTCTTCTGCTTTCAAGCACAAAATAATTATCCCTGACATTTACCATTTTCTTCCCTCATTGAATGTAACATGTCCCTTTTAAAATGTCTTTTTTAAAAACAGACCTATTTTAGAGAACATAAAAATCTGTAAAGTAGGCAAACGTTTTCTTATTTCCAATGAGTCCTCACCACACTGAGTCCTTAAAACTGCTGTCCTTGTATTTAAAATCAATGTTGGTCCCAAAACCTCAGTCACGGAAACTTCCAGAGAGCGAGGGTGTGTCTGCGTTTCTTCACCACAACCTTATCCATCGTTTGATGCGTTTCTTCACTGCATCCTTATCCATCGTTTGATGCGTTTCTTCACTGCATCCTTATCCATCGTTTGATGCGTTTCTTCACTGCATCCTTATCCATCGTTTGATGCGTTTCTTCACTGCATCCTTATCCATCGTTTGATGCGTTTCTTCACTGCATCCTTATCCATCATTGACAAGTGCTGTGAGTCAGACCAGGTCCTGCCCACCCAGACCCTGGCCTGTGGGGGGAGGAGGGGTCCCGCTTGGCCGATAAATCGGACGATTATGGGATGACATCCATGTGGGATGGTGTGAGATACAAACACACAGATACTTAAAATAAATCATCACGCCATTTAAATGTAGGTACGGAATACATGGAAACCAGGGAGAAATCGTATCACAGGTCTTCCTGGAAGGTCATTTTAAAGTTGTTTAGACTTGTTCACTGCAATTCAATATTCTGTATTACATTTTATACATCTGTGTGATTGATCCCTCCCCTATCAAACCGGAAACTGCTGAGTTCCAAGGGCCCCGGCCCTGGATCCTGGAGAGGCCCCTCCTGTTCCCTGCGACTCAGCCTTGCTGACCTGCCCACAGCTGGGCGGCGAAGCGCCCAGGGGCTGCTCGGGGACCTGCACTTTCTCCTCACTCCTCTCAGGCCTCCAGCGGCCTCCTCTGCATCAAATATGCTCTGCAAAGGGACATAATGAATGTCTTCACTGTAAAGTGACACCAGCAGTTACAGCATCAAATATGGCCCTCCGGGGACCTTGATATTCAGCTAGACCAGCGCTTACAGGAAGGTGGCGGGGCCCGCAGGCCGGCAAGCCTCCCCCTGGGGCATGGCTGAGTCGCCAAACCCCTCTCCAAGCATACGGGGCAGGACCCAGAGACACGGGGCCCATCTGTAGTGTTAGGGCTTTGAGGATAATATTTCCTTTGTCAGAACAATGTTTAATCAGAACCACGGGCGAGTGCTTCAGCTGGCTTTGAGGGCTTTAGTGTGAAAAAGACTTCAGGAGAGATTAGAACCCGGCGAGATGAGAACCAAGGGAGACCGGCCTCCCAGCCTATATCTATCGCACCTGCCCTGGCTCAGGGCTGGGCTGGACGTGTTCATTCTCATCTTTCCCACCAGCTGTCCCTGAGGGCCGGGCTGGCCTGCCGGTGAGGGAAGCTCAGGGGAGGAGGGGGAGGCCCAGGTGAAAGGAAGCCTGAATTTCCAGGAGGCAGACGGCAGACTCCGGACACCGGGCCCACCCAGAGCTCGGGGCCAGCGATGGTCCCCTAGTGGATGGCTTTCCTCTCCTCCTCTGGGGCTTCCGGTTGGCATCGCCTGGACCATCTCCCCAGCCCTTTGATCAAGGCTGTCCTGAAATGCCCTCCCCAGCAACTCCCCCGTGTAAACCCTATGTTCCCATAATCATAATCGCGGTGGCTTCGTTTTTCTGACTGAACATGATCTGAGTGCCAGATGTGCTTCCAGGGTGGCAGCGCCTCTAGGAGAGGAGTCTGGAGTGATCCCTGATCCGATGGGTGGTCCTGGGACCTGTGGAGAAGGTGCACTCACACGTGATCCCGGAGTGGTCACGCGGTTATCACTGCGATCATCTGGAGCCTGGCGCATGTTTACACATGGCGCGGCTCTCAGGACCCATGGCTGCAGCTTGCACCAGGGTCATAAAATTGCAGGGTGCAGGGACTGGATCGCCCTGGGACTCTGAACACCCGCTCCTGACTTTCTGTGCTGGCCTGAAGGAAGCCCTTATCTCCAGGATCCACAGGTCTGCAATTTCTGGGAACCAGTGCAACAGGCTGAGTCAGCCGTGCGGGATTCACAGCCCTGCAGGTTCTCCAGGTGGAGGTGACATAGGTGGGGAGAGGCAGGTGGGCAGAATCTGAGAAGCTGAGACCCTGAATTCCCCAGTCACTCAGGGCACCGCTTCCTGCTCTTGCCCCGACCACCCTCTCCTGGCCTGAAAGACTCGAGTCCACTGTCACCTCCTATCACCTAGCACCAGCCTTAAGTCCCAGGGTCAGAGCCAGGAGGAGGGACCATGCACACAAAAAGAACTGCAAGATCTTGCCTGTTTTTGTCAACAGAAACACAGGGAATATACGTGGCACTGGCTCCTAAGGGTGATGGACCAGGGTGGAAGACGTGGAAGGTTCGGCCACCGGTGCCCTGACTGCGTCCGCTGGCTTGTGTTGGTCTGAGTGACCATCAGTGGCTCTAACAGTTCTGAAACACAGACTTGATGGTTGCCATCGTAAGATGAAGCCAAATGCTACCAGGAAAGACAAACATCTCAGGAGAGGGAGCTGTCGCCGTGGCTGGGTTTCTTACGCATGACCTTCTCACCCACCGCGTCACTTCTCCTCCAGAGTCCAGAGGACCCCCTCCCCACAGCATGGATGAGAAGAGAGCCCCCACTGTTAGACTCCACCACAGCCGTGACCTGAGGCCGCCGTCACCGTGAGAGATGCTGCCATTATCTCAGAGCCCCCCAAATTCGATGGGAAAACGAAATCTCAGAAGGGCAGGGGCCCGGGGCGAGTCGTCGATGAGGTGGCTGTGGTCACGCAGTGGGCAGCAGGACTGCCCAAACACGGCCATGGCTTGGCCCACAGAGATCTCTGATGACAACCCGTGAATCACAGCATTCCTGGGACTCAAGGAGAGAGCTGTGATCGTTTGTTCTCTTTTGCTTGTAACAGAATACCTAAGCCTGTTACAGTGGGCAGCCCGTGTGGTGTGAGCAGGGCAGAAGAGGGTCCACTCACCCCAGGAGCGTCAGCGACCATCAGGTGCTGGTCAGGCGGTTGTCACACTGTCTCTCTAAAGTAATAACTGGCCACAGCCGGGGCCAGGGAAAGCCAGGCTCCTAATAGAAAACACCTGAAGCTGGTGATGAGCAGCTTCCTGATAAGAGCTCAGGAGTGGGGGAAGGTGACCCCAGAAGCATGCCGATGCATAACCCTGAGTTGAGAGGCCAAGCCGCACACTTGGTCTCTCAGGTCACCCACTTGACCTTCTTCCGAGTGGACTTTCCTTCCTCACATTCCTTCTCTAGAGATTTTTAATAAATGTTCACTCCTGCTCTAAAACTCGCCTTGGTCTCTCCTTCTGCCTTCTGCCTCTCAGTTGAATTCTTTCTTCTGAGGAGGCCAGAATTGAGGTTGCTGCAGACCCATACCCATAAGCACCACTGCTAACAAAACCAGGTAATGTATAAGAAAAGGAATTTACTTCTTACGCTTATGGAGGCTGAGAAGTGCAAGGTCGAGGGGGCACAGCTGGTAAGAGCCATCTTGCTGGGGGGATTCTCTCTGCAGGTACCTGACGCAGCTCAGGTCATCCCATGGCAAGGGGCCCGACCCTGCTAACGTGCCAGCTCAGGTCTCCCTTCCTCTTCTTATCGAGCCACCAGTCCCCTCCCATGGCAACCCATTACTCCCTGAATCCATGAACAGGTTAATCCATCCCCCAGGGCAGAGCCCTCAGGATCCAATCACTCTTCGAGGGCCCCCCACTTTCAACACTGCCACACTGGGGGCTGCTTCAACAGTTTGGGGGGAGACATTCAAACCATAGCAACAGCCAACTCAAATCTTACTTGATTTGTATCATGAAAAGGAAAAATAAAACAAGAAAAAGCAACCTCCAACCCTGATAAACTGAGGTTTGACCTGAATCACGGCCTCTTAACCCCTGGCCAGACTTAAGCCAGATCAGGGCCCGGGAACGGGGTTCTGGGCTCCCTCGAGTGAAGACACTGCTACACCACAGAAGGAATCTGTGCTACCTTCCCCAAAGGGAGCCTGCAGGGGCCATTTTCCAGGTCACTGCACTGCGGGAAGACACATTCCACAGGCCTTCTGGCAATTTCTAGACAGTGGCTCTGAATCAATGCTAACTCCTGGAGGCCCAAAGGCAGGAACTCTTGGGGGCCAGACGGAGAACTGGGTCTGGGCTCCACTCTCCTCGCAGTGGCCTGTGCTTGCCTGGCTCATTCCCTCAGATGCAGAATGTGGGCTTCGTGTGAGTGACCAGCAATGGGAAGACCCTTGTGTTGGTCTCTTGACTTGCAGAGTGGGGGCCATGATGGTAGGAAAGGCCAGGGGGGGTCAGAACCGCCTCTTCCCGCCAGACAGGAATGCAGTCACGGCGCCATCCCGGAGGACTGTGAAGACAGGCACCATGGTGGGAAACGCCGGCCTCAAAGCTTGTAAGCTGCCCTGGAAGAGCCTTTACCACGTGCTAAATGGATATCAGGAGGCCGCTCCCTGAGCCTGGAAGACAGGTGTGCCTGCCTGTTGAAAGCCTGGGCTCAGCTGAATTTCCAAACCAGGTGTAACTTACTGATACCTGACGTTTCCACTTCATGGAACTTCATGGGGCTCTGAGCTGGCTGGGCTCAGAGCTGTGCTTAAATTGGCCACAATGTTGTGGCCTCTATTTAGAAAGCATATTGATGTCTGGGAAACACTGGCGACTCTGCCCAGTGTGTCACGTGGAGCATCCAACTACTTACAGGTGGAAAGTTGTGATTCTCCCACCAGCAGAGCCACCTCTGAGGTGCTGGATGGTAGGGAAGGTTATGATTCTCCACCAGGTCCCTCTCAGCTGCTGGAGGGTGGCGGCCCCATGGGATTCTGGGTGACAGCCATCGTTGGGGCAAAAGCATCCACTCCTGGGTCTTCCAGCCCATGGTCTCCTAAACACAGCAGATTTGGGATGGATGGTGACCACTTAGGCCATGACCTCCTGACCCAGGACAGGAGTTCCGGGGAAAAGGACTTTGTTTTGTTGACTGATGCAGCCTCAATGCCAGAACATGTGGGGCTCTCAGCGGCCCCCACCAGGAAGATGATAAATGAATGTTCTGAGCCCACTTTCTTCTGTGCTTAGGAGCAATTTGCTGGGAGAGCTTGAGCAACATGGTATTTCTGTAGAAGAGAGAGCAAATTATGCTCATAAGCAGCACCATCGTGTCGGCCAGTCCCTGCAGGGGACATCCATGCAGAAGAAGCCACTTTTGGGCCCGGGTGTCACAGCTGATGGTAGAATGTGAGTGAGCACCCTGGACTTGGGGCTGAGCCTGTGGGAGGAGCTGGGGGAACAGCCCCCCAATCCTGGCATACCGGAACTAAAGGTCCCTCCTGGAGCATAAAATAGGTAAACCAAGGACAGGTCAACAGAAATGAAACTGCACGTGGGTGCTTTAGAGCTCACGGGCCTCAGGAAATGCAGCTGACATCAACAGTCGTACAGCTCTGAAGAGTTACATAAAACATCCCGGGTCAGAGACACTCAGTGAGACATTAAGGCCAACTAGGGATGCTTTGAGCTTGATCACAGAGGATGAGCTTGTCCTACCGCAGGGCTAAGGGGACCACGGCAGGCTTCAGCGGTCCCCCTCCCGGGGGCCTCAGTACAACTCAGCCATGGTCCCCTCTGCAAGACCCGTACCCCTGGACGCAGCCTGTCCCATGACAAGTCACATGCTGACTACAGGGGCCTTCATCTCCCTCCATCCCCAACTCCAGCGGAAGCTGCTAAAAGTCCTGGCATTCACTGCTGTGCCATGCCCCAGATGGAGCCTGGCACTGCTGCGTGGATTTCAAGAGGCCCCATGGAGGGAGGCGTGGATTCCCCTGGCTGCTGCCCAAGCCTTTCTGCCAGATCAAGA
Organism: Homo sapiens; assembly: GCF_000001405.40. Lineage (NCBI taxonomy): Eukaryota > Metazoa > Chordata > Mammalia > Primates > Hominidae > Homo > Homo sapiens. The sequence goes on along the minus strand of NC_000005.10, from coordinate 1,861,189 downwards.
ATGAAAAGTCACTTTAAGTCAGTGCTTCTCAACTGGGGGGAGTTTGCCTCCCACAGGGGACACTCGTGACATCTACAGACATTTATGGTCATCGCCACCCTGGGCTGGTGCTGCTGGCCTCTGCAGGGTGGGGGCAGGCTGCTGCTCAGCATCCAATGGTGCCCAGGACAGGCTGGCAGCAAAGTGAATGGGCCCACAGGCAGTCGTGCCAAGGCCGAGGAAGCCTGACATCAGCAAACCAACCACCCCAAATGTGAGGCTCATAGATGGCGCCTATTAGGGAGCGCTTGGTCATTTTGTGGAAAGATTTTTCATTTTGCAACAAGGTTTGTCCTGGGATTCCATAAAAACAGGCCACTCCCTCAAACATGTCGATGGTTCCATTCTGAGATCCTGTTTGCACATTTCCTGTGATGTTCTTGCAGAGGGCGACCGCCCTAAACCCAAGGCAGCAGACGCTTCACCCCATGACCTCAGGACGAGCATCACGGCACCATGCGGATGGAGGACAGTGGGAACAGCACGGGCTGGGTTTGATGTCACCCCTGCTGCACCCCCTCAAGAAGCCACGAGCTCCTAGCCCAGTGACCCCCTCACACACAGGATGAGGCTCGATGCAGGCTCACGGCAGGGCAGGCTGCAGGCCCAGAAACCCCAAACATTTGTGGCGAAGAAGGACCAGCCAGCAGAGCCTCTGGAGTGGATCTGAGGAAGGATGGCCGTGCAGACCTTCAGGACTAAGGAGCCGATCGATGCCGATCGATGCTGTCCTCTGCAGAAAGATTGGACCCTGTGGGAAAACCACCCCTGGCTTCCTACTAGCCCCTGGTCGAGACTGACTGCCCATCACAGGCCACCAGGTGATGGACACACACCGCAGAAGCTGCCCCTGGTGAGCCCACCCTGCAGCGAGGCCCCGCGAGCACAGTGGCAGCCTGCCCTCCAGGAGTGGCAGGTAGGGCACAGAGCTCAGCAGGCCCGGAAGGCATGAGGCCGGCCCAGAGGGCTCAGAAAAGTGGCACAAGTCTGGGACTGGGACGCACCGGTACCTCTCACGTGGAGTTGCCTCCACACCCAGAAGATGCCTGGGGCACCGCAGCAAAATGGCTCACCCTGTTGTGTTCTCACCCCCGCGAGCCCAGGCTGCAGGAGCAGATGACCCCAAATCGAGGAGCCCACCAAGAGTCTCTGTGGAGAAGGCACCTGCTTTCCTTGCGAGGCCGTGAAAAGGACACCTGTGCTTCCCAGGATTTGTGGTCTTGGCGCTGGAGCGATTTAAACACACTACTTCGGGATGTTCTTTCTTCTCATCTTTCTGTTACACTTTTATTGACCTGAATTTCCCAGGTTGAAGAAGAAAAACAAAACAAAACAAAACAGCCTCACTGAAGCCATTTTGCTTTCCTGGTTTCTACTTTTGTTGCCATTCATATAAATGGAACACACAAGACAACGGCACAGAGGATGAGGCAGGGACCATGGTGGGGACTGCAGGCGTCATTAGCTGTCACGGCTGCGAGGTGGCGTGGCATCCACAGCGACTCTGCCTCCTCCAGGTGTCACGTTAGGAACAAACGAATTGGTTCTTGTTCCAAACATGTTGAAGCACAGGGGGACCTAACATCCTTGCCGGAGACAATCAAGGGTTGGGGGCTGGATTCGCTGAGAATCTTCCCTCTAAATTAGTCTAGGCAGAGAATGATCCAAACATTTTCTGGGTGCACGTTGCCTTGGTCTCTAGAAGGTTTACGGTGTTGTGAGTTCGGTGGAAGTTGTCTCATTAGATGGGAAAGCTGGGCCTTTGTGCCATCCCATTGCCGAATTCACCTCCCAGGGTGTCTTGCTCAGTGGCGTCGCCCCGCCAGGGGCTGGGGATGTTCAGGCAGGATGCTCAGAGCCAGGCTCCCGCTCACTGGGCAGGGCCCAGGCACACACATACCTCTGGGCCATGCTCCAGTTGCAGGTTTAAAACCAAGCCCAGAGGGCTGGCAAGCTGCTTCTCTCCCAGGGATGCTGGAAAGACGTTGCTAACAGGGTAAGGCTCCAGCTTCCTGAAGAAGTAAGCAGAGGCCAGGGTTGTTCAGTCGTCACCAAGGACTGGGACCTGAGCTTCAAGAACTGCAGGGCCACAGGGTTGAGGGGGTGACAGAGCCTGGTGAGGCCAAGACACTGGGCTCCTATGATTCCTGGACATTGAGTAGCGTCATTCTGGAAGACCCTTGGCCAGGATCAGCAGCCCCAAACCTCTCTTCCAGGGCACTGCCCCACCAGAGCCAAGTGGAGGCTCTCAGAAGGTTGGTGGACTTAAGGGGGGCTTTTACTGAGGTCAAGGGGATCCCTGAACGATAGAGACTGGGGGCTCCTCACAACCACAGCTCCCAACTAAGGAAACCGCAGTGCGGGCTCTGCCTCAGGGCTGTACAGGAAAGAGGAGCAGAATGATTTTCCCACAGAGCAAGAGCCTCTTTCCGGCACGTCCTGGTGGGAACAGGCCCCAGGCCTGGACAGAGCAGGCAGACGCATCCGCCTCCCATCCCGGCAGCTGCTCTCAGAGCCCCCCTGCCCGTCCACCTGGGAGGCCCCCGTCCAGCCACACCGGCCCTGGGCCCCGCGCCCCTCCTGGCCCAGGGAGGAGTGGGCTTTCGTCAGCGAGTCCCATTCCACACTTCACCCCTCACTGAAAGCTCATCCACTCTGCAAAGGACTGCTGGCCTCGGGTCACCCTGCAACCCTCACATCGTCCTTTGACCTTGCCTACATGACCTCGGGTCACCCTGCAACCGCCACATCGTCCTTTGACCTTGCCTACATGACCTCGGGTCACCCTGCAACCCCCACATCGTCCTTTGACCTTCCCTACGTGACCTCGGGTCACCCTGCAACCCCCACATCGTCCTTTGACCTTCCCTACGTGACCTCGGGTCACCCTGCAACCGCCACATCGTCCTTTGACCTTGCCTACGTGACCTCGGGTCACCCTGCAACCCCCACATCGTCCTTTGACCTTCCCTACGTGACCTCGGGTCACCCTGCAACCGCCACATCGTCCTTTGACCTTCCCTACGTGACCTCGGGTCACCCTGCAACCGCCACATCGTCCTTTGACCTTGCCTACGTGACCTCGGGTCACCCTGCAACCGCCACATCGTCCTTTGACCTTCCCTACGTGACCTCGGGTCACCCTGCAACCCCCACATCGTCCTTTGACCTTGCCTACGTGACCTCGGGTCACCCTGCAACCACCACATCGTCCTTTGACCTTCCCTACGTGACCTCGGGTCACCCTGCAACCGCCACATCGTCCTTTGACCTTGCCTACGTGACCTCGGGTCACCCTGCAACCGCCACATCGTCCTTTGACCTTGCCTACGTGATGGCCCCATTACTCCTTCGGTCGGAGAGAAATCGTCCCCAAACCCTGCCCCGCCTCCCCTCGTAGCCCTCCTGGCTCTGGCTGAGCGGGGCCGGTCCACACGGCTCAGACCGTGACAAATGTCCAGCAATAAATGCAGCCCTGGGGTCGGTGGCAATTCCTGTCTTTCTTTCAGATTGTTTTTCTGATGGTCACTACAGACACTTCTACAGAAGATCTGAAAAACACAGAGGAGTTGAAGAAAAATACAGCTTGCGTGCAAAGCCGTCCCTCTGAGCGCGGCCGCCATGATTCCCGGTGGCTTCTTCACGCGAGTCCTTGCAGTTGCTTCTCGCCCGACGTCCCCGCCTTCGGGGGAGCCCTGACTCGGACGCACCCGGCGGGGGGCGGTTCTCTAGGAGCCTGGGCTCGGATGTCTCTGGAGCTCGGTTCAGGGGCGTCTGGGGCCCCGGCGTCTGCTGAAGGCCCAGAGCCTCGCTCCATCCCGGGGACCCCGGGTCGCCGAGGGCCGTGGGGACCCGGCTGCTCAGGGACCCTAAGGACGTCGTCAGGCCCAGGCCCTGTGCGCCGCCCCGGGGTGTGAGGGCCGGCGCCATGTGGCTGCTGAGGAGCTGGGTGGGGGCCGCAGCGGCCTCCAGGGCCAGGGCCAGGCAGGGTCCGCTGGGCCCGAATCAACCAGGCCGGCCGCAGAGGGATCGGGCTCTTCCGCCCGCCCCACGCCGCCCCAGCCTGTGCGGGGAGCCAGCGGCCCGGGTTTGAGGCGGAGAGGCCACGTCAAGCCTGGGCTCCTGTTGTCTCCTCACGCGGGAAGGTCCGGAGCCCACTCCGACCAGCATTCCCCGTGGAAGTGGCGGCCCCTCTGGGTGGGGGTCCCTGAGCTGGTCCCCACCGTCTCTCACCCGGCCCTGGGAGCGGGGGCGTTTCCCCTCTGTCCTTGCCCCCTGCCTGGCAGGCACTTTGGTTTTCCTCCTCCCTTGGAAATGCTCCCTCTGGAACCCGCCTGCCCCTGGCCCTGTGCTCAGCCCGGGGGTGCCGGCCTGGGAGCCAAGGTGGAGCCGGGGTGGGCTCCGGAGGACGGACCGCAGAGGTGGGCCGGGAGGCGCTGGCGAGCACGCAGCTCCCTCAGGCTCGTCCCAGCCTCACGTCCGGAGTCACCGCAGCAGAATAGAGTCACACCTGGGTGTGGGCTCCTGGACCTTCCCGCGTGAGGAGACAACGGGAGCCCATGTTCATCATTTTGAAGAACCACAGATTTTGAGTCATGCCAGGGGCTCCGGTGAAAATGTCATGGGAAGCCAGCCCTCCGCGTCTAACATTTCAGCTTGAGGGTGACCGGGAGCTCTGGGGTGGCCCTAGACCTGGGAATGGACTCCCAGGCGCAGTGGCAGGCATTTCTCTTGCTTTTTCTTTATGAGTAAGTGGCCTGGCTATCCAGTGAGCAGTTTTCACGATTCATTTTATATAAGAAAAAAAGTAACTTTCTCTTTATCCGTCCCCTACTTTTCTCCATCTCTCCCCAGTTGACCTGGGCTGGCCATGTCCCCGTCAATGCAGCTGGTTCTCAAAGGCCCCACTCTTCCCCGCGGCTCCGTTTACCACCAACGCGCTTGTCCCGTGGCACTTAGAGGGAGACCTGCTCCTCCTGAGAATCCAGGAAGGAACTGAAGAGACGACGTTGCTTTCTGATCTTTCTCAGGCCAGAGGAAGTTTGTGGGCCAAGTGATATTCCTAATTCAAACTTTATTATGTAATTATAGTACAAAACATATTATTTTTCTCTTTATTTTTCCTCTCTCAGTTAATGGTAAATTGTATTGCATAAATAAATTACACATGCTGTAATTCATGCCTCGCAGCCTACACACCAATTAAATCCGAAGCTGACACAGTCCACGCACAATTACATGGAATCTGCAAAGTGAAAGGATCATGTATTTGCGCTGCGGTAACAGGCAGAGCCATTTAGCGACGTGACGGCTGTAAGTGCAGGGCAAGCGGAGTCTGTGCTCAGGGATGACTGATGGGCCCCGCGAGAGGCATGGGGACAGCGCGTTGCCTCACATCGAGCTGGGCAGCACGTACAGGACATCGCACATTTCAGGACTCACAGGCGGCACCCACAGAGTGTCCCAACAGGCAGGAGGGGTGTCCAGGCTGAGCAGAGGAGGCAGCTGCTCTTCTCCACTCCAGAGGGACCCTTAAGGTCATAAATCCCCAAATAAACGGCCGTCTGAACCTCCAGCTTCAACTGCCTGGCCAAATGTCCCTGTCCCGCTCTCGGGATGTGGGCCTGACTGCCAGCCTCTGCAGAGGGGCCCTCAACTCAGGCCACCCTCAGGATGGTCCCCGGTGTCCTGGGGAGGGAAGATGGAGGCCACACTATGCTAAAAGACTCCTCCATCCCTCCTTCTCCCTCCCCACTTCTGAGGATGCCTCGTGGGTGCAGAGGGTGCACAGCACAGACCTGCAGAGAACAGGTATCTCCTTTCAGCTCCTGCTGCCTCTGGCTCCTGCCTCTCCCTGGGATGCCTCAGGGTCGCCCCAGCCAGTGTGCTTCCTGGCATGGTCTCCCCCCAGGGTCACTACTGGGGGTCAGTGCCTGGGAGGTGGAAGAAAATGAATACAAAAAACCATGGAAGACAGGGAAGTGGTGTGGAGGGACAGTGTACACCCAAAGTCAATCACTGGCCCCTCCTGCAGATTAAAGGGAATACCAGTGGAGTTAAGGAAGGAGCTGGAGCTGCACCTAGGGCAGGGAAGCCACAGGACGCAGGTTTATCTACAGTGCAGGAATGTCAGCATGAATTTGTAGAACCTGATCTGAGCTCAGGGTGTAATCAATTGTATTCCATGGGACCCGACTAAAGCCATTCTATGGATAGGAATCGTAGGTGTTGCTCTTTTCCTAAGGTAGCTCCTATCTGGATAGAGTCATGAAATAGCTGAGAAAAGAGGCTCACTGCAAGGGTCAGACCACGCCAGAGCCCAGCATTCCACGGACGTGATCTTCAGTAAACCCATTGCCCATTCCAAAGTCCTGGCCATCTCTTGCCACAAGGAAAAAGAAAGATGGCTGAGAGTCCCTAGGAGGGAATTAGAATGGGGCCGCAAACAATTGTCTGCAGGTCACACTGAGTGGAGTCAGAGGCTCAGGCTGTGGCTCAGGCTAGAGAAAAGTCAGCCCCATCCAGGAAGGTGACCGCTGCCATTCATGGCCACAGGGCCCATGTTGCCAAGAAAGTGCCCACACAGCCCTCCAGCTGCAGAGCTGCAAGCTTTGGAAATAAGAGGTTGCTTTGTTTATCTTTTCTTTTTTGAGACGGGGTCTTGTTCTGTTGCCCAGGCTGGAGTGCAGTGGCACAATCATAGCTCACTGCAGCCTTGAAATCCTGGGCTCGAGCAGTCCTTCCACCTCATCCTCCCAAGTAGCTAGGACCAAAGGCATGTGCCACCATGCTTGCTAATTTTCTTATTTTTAGTAGAGACAAGGTCTTGCTATGTTGCCCACTCCTGGGCTCAAGCAACCCTCCCACCTCAGCCTTGGCGAGGTTGATCAAGCGTGAGTCCTGAAGGCAGCTTATTCTCAATTCAGTCAGAGATGCAATCTTTACGTGTGCCTGGTCTCCATGCCCTGAACCACTGGGAGCTCCAGATGGAGTCAGGAATAGATTTTATGCCCAGAAAAACACCTGTGGTAGAGGCAGGGAAGAGGCCACAGTGAGCCACCAGGCGACAGAGGAGATGGGAATGCACCCTGAACCCCAGAGCATGAGGCAGCAGGGGCCACGAGATGGCCCTAGGCACAGCAGGTGTCACCCAGGAGAAGCCATCAGGCAGGGAGGTAAACAATGAGAGGCACAGAGGAGCCCTCAGTGCCTGCTGCTGAGGGAAGGAGCCAGTCTGGGAAGGATGCACACAACACGATCCCCACCCTGACCCCTGGGAAAGGCAGAACTCAGGAGACAGCAGGAAGAGCTGTGGTTGCCAAGGGCTGAGGCAGGGGGATGAGCGGGCAGAGCCTAGAGGGGTTTAGGTGGTGACATTCCCCTGTGTGATGCCATAGTGGGGAACGCATGTCACTTTCCATTTGTCCAAACCACAGGATGTGCCGCAGCAGGCATGAGCCCTCCGGTGCACCACGGACTCCAGTGAATGACAGCAGCATTGGCAGGACTATGACAAACGCTCCACTCTAAGGCGGGACACTAGTAGCAACCAGGGAGGCAGGTGGGGCATATGTGGGAACTCTGCACTTTCTGGTCACTCTTTCCATAAGCCCAAAAACACTCTAAAAACTAAAGTCTATTACAAGGAAGGGAGGGAGGGAGGGAGGGAGGGAGGAAGGAAGGAAAAGAGAGAGGGAGAAAGATGAAAGAAGAAAAAGAAAGAAGAAAGAAAGAAGAAAAAGAAAGAAAGAAAGAAAGAGAGAAAGAGAAAGAGAGAGAGAGGGAGGGAGGGAGAGAGAGAGAGACCAGGTGCGGTGACTCACACCTTCAATCATATCGCTTTGGGAGGCTGAGGTGGGGGGGATCGCTGGAGCTCAGGAGTTCGAGACCAGCCTGGACAATGTTGTGAGACTCGTCTCTGCAAAAAAATGCAAAAGTCAGCGAGGTATGGTGCGTGCCTGTGGTCCCAGCTACTCGGGCAGGAGGATCACTTGAGGCCAGGAGTTCAAGACCAGCTTAGGAAACATAGTGAGACCCCATCTCTATAAAAAATAAAACAAAAATGTTTAAATGGGAAAGGAAATGGGGAGCAAGGTGACGGTGTCTTGTGGTGGGACCCACGATTTCATTCTTCCTGCCAGGAAGCTACCTTCAATTCTTTCTCATGATTTTTAGAATATGGATTGCTCTTTTAACATGATGAAACACATGCTTGCTGGATAAAAATGTAAAAAGCGAAGATAGATGGACTGGATGTGGCCCCTCCCCTTCTCTCCAGGGGTTGCCAAGCATGTGCCCACCCTCCCCCATAGGGCCGGAGAAGCCGCTAGGAGGGGCTGGCCCTTCCCGGGCCTCTGGTGCCAGGGGTGTGTGGTGTGTGTCACACAGTGGCCTCAAGGAGTCTCGGCCAGGAGGCACCTGAGCCGGGTGCAAAAGGGAGGCCAGCAGGCCCCTGCAGGCGGTGGTCACTGCCACCGGGAGAGTCACATTCCTGTCCCCATGTAGAAGGACGGGAGGGCAGCAGGGGCTGGGCATTTCCACGTTCACACGGGGCCCAAGGATGCAGGACCAGCCCATCCTGAGCGTGGGCCATGAGGGGCGAGGGGAACCTGTCACCACCCAGGCCGGGAGCCTCTGGGACATGCCAGATGGCCACTGCACGCTGCCTTCCCCACCTGCAGAGCCTCCAGTGCAGGCCAGCGAGGTCAGGCGCCCGCTCTGGCCAGCAGACAGGTGTCATCTGGCAGCCGCCACTCATGTCCTGCGGCAGAGGCAGCGGTGTGTGTGTGGTGGGCGGGGGGGCGGGGGGGCTTCCAAATGCCATAGGGGCAGAGGCGCAGACGTGCCAGGGAGAGGTGAGGAAAGGTCACCGCTCTGAGTCCAGGCCTCCCAGCTGTCACTGCAGACGCGGGGCCTAGAAGGGAAGGAGCTCCCTGGGAAACAGAGTTTCCCAGGAAATGCAGAGCTCCCCGGGAAGCTCCTGTCACTCCCTGGAAGCTCCAGAAAGTTCCGTGAGCATCAGGTGTTGAAGGCCTAGGCTGCAGGTGAGGGTTGTGTGTACCTGAGTGCGTGTGGGAGGCGGCTGTCTGCGGAGCTGCGTGGCCAGTCCCTCCGCAACTCTGCGAAGTATCCAGGGATGTGGAGATTCCTACCCATTCAATTCATTTGGAAAACGCCAGGTGTGACGTTCCGAGTGTCACAGTGTGGCTGCCCAGGGCCTTGCTAGAGTAAGGCTGTGTAAGCAGCAGTGGTGACCTGCAAGTGCCTCCTGAGCAACGCGGCCACCCCGCGCCACCGTGCAGACCCCGCACCCGTCATCCTTCCTTGCTGTGGGAGGGAAGCGAGGCACGGAGGGCTGTATGAGCAGCAGGGCCAAGAGCAAGCCTCACGGTCCCTGAGGCTCAGCTCGGACGGAGTGCCCCTTTCTGTGTTCACCGTGAAAACCTCCAACGTCACTCAGAGAAGAGCCCTGCCCCGAGCACCCTCATCAGCGGCCTGAGCCACTCCACCAGAGTGGGATATGGCTTCCTGAGGACAAGGAGGGGCGGAGACAGGGGACGGAGGAGATGGGGGAGGTGGGAGGAGAGGAGGGAAGCGGAGAGAGGAGCGGGGAGCAGTGCGTCTCTCCTGCTCCTTCCTGCAGCAGCACTCACCCGCTGTTCCCCAGGGGGCCAGGTGTGGTGGGACAGGACCCTCCCTGCGCAGGTGCGCTCCCAGCCGGAGGAGCCCGACATTCCTTCCCTGTAAATCCTTCCGCACCAGGCCCCAGCGCCTCGTGAGAGGGCGCAGGAGGAGGCTGCAGGGAGGAGGATGACGACCGGCTGCCTGGGAAAATGCTGCTGGCGCGGCCCCTGGAGTAGCAAGGAATGGGGGTGAAAGACGAACGGACGGGGTCCTGCTGACTCAGGACTGCCTGGACGCGGGGAGGCTGCTCCCTACAGAGCAGCCGAAGAACCTGATCTTCCCCCTAGAAACAAGAAGAGCAAAGGGCTTAGTCAGGAAAAACAAAACAAAACAAATAAAGCAAACAATAAACAAAAGCAGTGGGCCCACCCCTTCCCTCACCCCTCCCCTCACCGAAACCCACTTCTCTCTGGGCGGCCCTCCCAAGTCCGGCTGAGTTTGCAGAAGCGGAGCCTCCGGGCGGGTCTGGGCTTGCTGAGGCTGATGCCCTCTGCTGTGGCTCAAGACCCGCGCTCCCTGGGAGAGAGCTGAGCAGCCACAGAAAATTCCAGAACAGGCGCTGCTCCGCATTTCAAATCCTCTCTGGACACAAGGACACAAAGTATCAGCCTCTAAGTAGACCCAAGAACCAAACACCGGGTCAGCTGGCGACACACAGAGTATACACACATTCCTACATGCACATGTGCATGCACACAAGCCCACGTTCACACGTGCACACATGCTCATATGTTCACACACATGTGCACACACAGGCTTGCCCCATGATTCAGTCGAACACCGAGAGGGCTGATGACTCTTGTGTTCCAGGTTTTCCATGTCCGGGGCAGGGGAGAGTCGCTGCTGGCCCTGTCACGGTGCATCCCGACCCACCCCAGGACCCCATTGTGGAACACAAAGCTTGTCCATAAATGAATGCGCGCTCGGTCTGATTGTCAAGGAGCAGCTCTTCTGCTCTGGAGCACCAGGTTCCGGTACTGGCTGCAGGCCTGTCATCCAGCCTACGCACTGGCAAACATGTGAGCAAAAGGCTCAGGCTTCTGCAGGCCAGGCTTACCTGAGAGTCGGGTTGTGCTGGATGTGTGTGTATCAGCGTGTCTGGGTGTGTGTGCATGCTTGTGCAAGTACAACACACGCGCAGTGTCCTGGGGATTACATGCTGAGGACTGCGGTGAAGGCTCTCCCGGTTTTGTGGGCTTTGGAAAGAGGCACAGCCACAGCCTTCTCTTGGCAGCAGCCACCAACCCAAAGGCCCCGAGGAGGAGGGAGGGGATCCGTCCTGGATGACTGTCCCCAAAGCAACACTCCTTGGGCACAGCGACAACCCCAGCCAGAAGCGCAGGTCCTGTGCTGTTTAGTTTGGTCTGAAATAGCCCATCAACCCCCTTTGGCAATCTCTCCATCTCTGAGACACTGTGACAATCCCTCCATCTCTGAGACGCTGCGACAATCCCTCCGTCTCTGAGACGCTGCGACGGTCCCTCCGTCTCTGAGACGCTGCGACGGTCCCTCCGTCTCTGAGACGCTGCGACGGTCCCTCCGTCTCTGAGACGCTGCGACGGTCCCTCCGTCTCTGAGACGCTGCGACGGTCCCTCCGTCTCTGAGACGCTGCGACAATCTCTCCGTCTCTGAGACACTGCTGGTTTTAGGCTCAGTCTTCCAAAAAGACATTGGCGAGGTGGGGGGTGTCTCACCCAGCACTGGGGCACCTTGACAGTGAACTCCCAGCATTGAAATACAAGGTGCTGTGTTGAAAAGGTGGCAAAGCTTCATGGCAGGAAAGAGGGTGGATGCCGGGGCTCTGGCTGAAGCATGCTTTTCTTTGGCCACAAAAGGATGTTTATGTTGGATTTCTTACAGACAGTTGGTAATTTCTCTACATAGGCTTCCTTCACACCATTAACTAACACAGATAAACTTTGATTAACAAAGGATACAGCCACATTTGGTGTGATGATTCTGATGTAATTGCCACACATTCTACTGTATGTCTAAATGACACCCGTGCTGTGCGCACATGAGGGAAGGCGACAAGGAAGCTGTGTGGTGTCTGCTCTGTGCCTGTAGCAAAATGAAGAAGATAATTGCTGTGATTGTCCTTGCAGCCCCTTTTCAGGGTTGAGCTCAGGATGCTGGGAGGTCATCGCATGGGACCTTAGCTACTTCCGGCCCCATGGCCCTCAAGTGGTTACCTCCTGCCCTGTGACTCTGACCCTGCCAGAGCCTCGTCTCAACCTCCTGTACTGTTGCCTGATGAGTTCAGGAGTCAGAGGAAAAGGGACTCTCCCCAGCACACCCCAGCCCAGCAGGGGCCACTCTGTCTTGTCAAAGCTCTTTCCAGCCTGACCAAAGAGCCTCCCGACCAGGCTTCGAGCCTGTGTGCAGTGCCCTGGGGAGGACAAGTCCCTGCTACTTTCCTTTGCGGGGAGGCAGTTTGCAGGTGGTGTTTAGAAAGAGGCAAAAACCCAAGGAGGTGGACCTCACTTTGCCAAGCAGATGCAGGAGAGGCTGGAGCCTGCACAGCAAAGCGCCCCTCAGGGGCCTGCGCTGTGGCATCGGTCGGCTTCGGTACAAAATGCTGTGTGGATGGGGAAGTCAGGCACAGTGAGGAAGAAGGCAGTGGAGGAGGGGGTCACAGATGGAAAGGCAACCAAGCTGGCCAACAGCTGGGATAATAGGTGAAGCCACAAGGGACATGGCTGAGGAGGCAACCTTGGCGTCATGGGAGAGTTCTCCTTTGGGAGAACTCTTTGGGCCCTTCTGAGGCCACAATGCTGAGCCTCGAGCCTGGCCCCCACTTGTGACAGCCCTGAGGTTCTAGTTGAACGTGAGTGTGCTCCCCACCCAGCCTCCTCCCACCACTAAAGTGAACACCAGAGTGCTCCCCACCCAGCCTCCCCCACCACCAAAGTGAACACCAGAGTGCTCCCCACCCAGCCTTCTCCCACCTCCAGGGTGAACACGAGCGTGCTCCCCACCCAGCCTCCTCCCACCTCCAGGGTGAACAGGAGAGTGCTCCCCACCCAGCCTCTTCCCACCACCAAAGTGAATATGAGAGTGTTCCCCACGCAGCTTCCTCCTATCACCAAAGTGAACACAAGAGTGTTCCCCATCCAACCTCCTCCTGCCATCAAAGTGAAGTCTGCTCCCCACCCACCTCCTCCTACCACCAAAGAGAACATAAGTGTGCTCCCCACCCAGCCTCCTACTACCAAAGTGCACACGAAAGTGCTCCCCACGCAGCCTTCTTCTACCACCAAAGTGAACACAAGAGTGCTCCCCATCTAGCCTCCTCCTACCACCAAAGTGCACACGAGTCTACTCCCCACCCAGTCTCCTCCTGCCACCAAAGTGAACACAAGAGTGCTCCCCACCCAGCCTCCTTCTACCACCAAAGTGAAGTGTACTCCCCACCCAGCCTCTCCTACCAGCAAAGTGAAAACGAGAGTGCTCCACACCCAGCCTCCTCCCAACACCAAAGTGCTCACAAGTGTGCTCCCCACCCAGTCTTCTCCTGCCACCAAAGTGAACACGAGAGTGCTCCACACCCAGCCTGCTCCTACCAGCAAAGTGAACATGAGAGTGCTCCACACCCAGCCTCCTCCTGCCACCGGGGACACGTCCTGAAAAGAGCAGCCACCAGCACATGGCGCCTGCTGCGATTTGACCCTCTATCCAGGCCAGGGCTCAGCCCACAAAGCCGCCTGTTGTGCCGTGGGTCTACAGCAGAGCATCCCACACGCCTCGCCTGCAGAGATCTCTTCTGCACCCTCCAGAGAAGCAGGCTTCTTTCTGCTCTCAGGAAAGGGACATGAGTGAGCAGAGGTCTTTATTTTCCACCCACAGTGGCCAGGTGGGCATCTGCCTCAATGGAGCCTCAAGGTCCTGGGCAGGGTAGCACATTTTCCCTTATTATTTCAACACAACAACTCACAACTCATGCTACATCCCATTTCTCATTCATTCTTCGTGAAAAAAATAAATCAGACTCAAGAAGTGGCTCCCATCCTGATCCCTGTATTCTCGAAGGGTCTCCAGTTTAAGCAGCCATGTCACAGTGGTAAAGCTAGGGGCTTCAGACCCGACCCCTCTCCAGGGAGAGAACGTAGTGAGGGGTGGGCTTTCTCTTGCCTCCACTCCCTCTTCTGTAAGGCGCACACTGCCTGCCTCGTCTGAGAGTCACTCCCACACCCAGTGCGTGGGGCTGCCCTCCTCTGCTGTGCAGGGAGGCAGGGGCTCACAATGTCATCTTCTCAGAGCACGCAAATCGCCTCACAGGGAGTGCGGGGCAGGCGAGGACAGGCTTAAATTCAGACTCTGCCACAACCTGGCCCCAGGTGCCCAGAAAAATCACTTCTCTCTCTGAACATCTGTCTCCTACCCTCAAAATGAGGCCACTGGACTACAGATACCCTTCAATTCCTCCATTCAGCATCATATTTGTTACCTGTTGCTGCAGAAGAGAACGCAGCAAACATAGCTGCTGGAAACACAAGTTTCCTCCCTTGGTCCTCGTGGGCCGGAAACTGGGCGCAGCCAAGCTGGGCCCTCTGCTCGGGGTCCCTCAGGCTGTGGTGCAGCCGTTGGTCAGGCTCTTCACTATGCATGTGCCTGTGTCCCTGTGCACGTGTGTGCTGATGTGTGCTTGCTCGCATGCGTGTGTGAGCCTATGCACGCATGTGCACACATGTGCGTGCACACATATATGCATGTGCCTGTGCCTGTGTGGGGGCATGCATGCACACACGCACTGTGGCAGGAAGGTGTGGTGGATACCTCAGGTGGGCGGCTTGCACTGTGACACCTCCAGGCCCCCAACATGAAGGTAGCCTGCTGGCACAAAGCCTGCCCCTCTGAGAACTACACAAGTCCCTGAAAGGCGAGCCACCCACCGCCCTCCCCACCCCTGGGAGGGCCTGTAATTTCTGGGGGAGTCCATGAGCAGCCCCTGGTCCCCAGCCCCCTCTTTGTGAAACCTCACACCCCAGGGACCCAATGTGAGGACACAAAGCACTGGCCAAGAGAGCAGGAAAACTCTGGGAACACTGGAGGGGGTTGACTCCATGTAGGCCTGAAGACTTTATGTGTTTCCACAAATGGCGTCTCAAGGGACAGCGATTCCTGATGTGTAAGACTTTGATCTCTAACCTAAAACATCACACCTGCATCTATCACTCAGCCTTCCATACTCTGCAGCAGAAAACAGCCCGAGAACTAGACACCCCCAGACACGACAAAACGAGAGCCCCACAGGCACCGAGGTCCCATCCTCACAGACCCAGGTCAAGGTCTTCACTCTTAAAGCCACTTGGAGCTTTGATTGAAGTGGTTCCTTCAGTTTAATAAGTCGCCTTAAGGCTGTGTCCTAGAGTGGGAATGAGTGCAAGAAGCTAGGTTGGAAAAAAGGCAATAGAGATACATAGAGCTAGAGATAGAGCCTGAGATAGAAACAGAGATGAAGATAATAGAGATAGAGACAGAGATGGAGACAGATATAGAGATAGAGAGAGGTTAGAGATAGAGATTGAGACAGAGATAAAGACAGAAATAGAGATAAAGATGATAGAGACAGAGATAGAGATAGACATGGAGACACATATAGAGATAGAGACAGAGACAGATATAAAGACAGAAATAGAGAAAGATGATAGAGATAGAGACAGAGATGGAGACGGAGACACATATAGAGATAGAGACAGAGACAGATATAAAGACAGAAATAGAGACAAAGATGATAGAGACAGAGATAGAGATGGAGACACATATAGAGATAGAGAGAGATATAGAGATAGAGACAGAGACAGATATAAAGACAGAAATAGAGATAAAGATGATAGAGATAGAGACAGAGATGGAGACACATATAGAGACAGAGAGAGATAGAGAGATAGAGACAGAAACAGAGATAAAGATGATAGAGATAGAGACAGAGATGGAGACACATATAGAGATAGAGAGAGATATAGAGATAGAGACAGAGACAGATATAAAGACAGAAATAGAGATAAAGATGATAGAGATAGAGACAGAGATGGAGACACATATAGAGATAGAGAGAGATATAGGGATAGAGACAGATAGAGATAGGGATGGAGACAGATAGAGATGGAGACAGATATAGAGATAGAGAGAGGTTAGAGATAGAGATAGAGACAGATATAGAGATAAGGATGATAGAGAGAGAGACCGAGATAGAGATAGAGATGGAAACAGATATAGAGATAGAGAGAGGTTAAAGATAGAGATAGAGACAGAGATAGAGATAGAGATAGGGATGGAGACAGATCTAGAGATGGAGATAGATATAGAGATAGCGATAGAGACAGATATAAGACAGCGATAGAGATAAGGATGATAGAGAGAGAGACAGAAATAGAGATAGAGATAAATAGAGATGAAAGAGGTAGAGACAGAGACAGAGATAGAAAAAGAGAGAGAGGTGTAGGGGTAGGTGTGGATATATTAATACAGGTATAGCTGTAGGTATAGATGCAGGTGTTAGTTTAGGTGCAGGTGTAGGTGCAGGTGTAGGTGAGGTGTCGGCATAGGTGACATAGGTGTAGGTGTAGATGTAGATGTAGGTGTCTGTATAGGTGTAGGTATAGATATAGACAAAGGCATAGCTATAGGTATAGATGTAGATGTAGGTGAAGGTGTAGATATAGGTGTAGATACAGGTGGAGCTATGTGCGTAGGTATAGATGTAGGTATAGGTATACATGTAGGTACAGATACAGGCATAGATATAGATGCAGGTGTAGGTATATGTGTAGGTGTAGAGGTAGGTATATATATAGACATATAGATATAGATGTAGGTGTAGGTGTAGATATACATACAGGTGTAGGTACAAGTGTATGTATAGGTGTCGGTGGAGAAGTAGGTACAGGTGCAGATATAGACATACAGACATAGCTGTAGGTATAGGTGTAGGTACAGGTGTAGGCGTCCGTGTAGACGTAGGTACAGGTGTAGATATAGACATATAGACGCAGGTGTATACACATACAGACACACCTACTTATAGAAAGTGGAAAGTGTGGGTTAAGTTACCATGGGATGATTATTAATGCACTAGAGCGATGCTACTGTTTTGTGGAGAAATCTGTTCCCGTGTCTTAGTCTTTTCAAGAAACACTGGCTTCCAGCAAACAGCACCTGGGACATGGGAGTATGCAGAGCCAGGGAATTCCCTGTCGTTCATTTTCCATGTTTCCAGAACATGGTTAGAACTGGGCACACACCTGGAGATTGAAGGGTCTCCATGGGTAGCTTGAAGGGATGAAGGTGTGTAGGTCATTGTTTCCAGAACCATCCAGGGTTCTGATCTATGATTCGTGTGGGATTCGGGAGCAGGCGCTAAACATTTGTGTGTCAGCACTTATAGCTGCCAAACAGAATTCATCAACTGTGTTTCCTGCTTTTATTTCACCTTCATATGTGATCTTCAAAATATCAGTATATTTTGGCTGGGCTGGGCACGGTGGCTCATGCCTGTAATCCCAGCACTTTCGGAGGCCAAGGCGGGTGAATCACCTGAGTGTGAGACCAGCCTGGACAATGTGATGAAACCCTGTCTCTACTAAAAATGCAAAAATTAGCCAGGCATGGTGGCAGGCGCCTGTAATCCCAGCTATTTGGGAGGCTGAGGCAGGAGAATTGCTTAAACCTGGGAGGCGGAGGTTGCAGTGAGCTGAGATCGCGCCACTGCACTCTAGCCTGGGTGATAGAGCGAGACTGTGTCTCAAAACAAAACAAAACAAAAAAAACCCAGCATATTTTACTTTACACAAAATAGGTGTTGTGTGTCTAAGTGATGCTTATACGGGGAGAACGCGAGATGGTGACCGGCAGGATCTCTGGAGGGTGGCACTGAGGAACCAGAGAGCTCCCAGGAGACGAGGCATTTCCCACCAACGTGCCGAAGTCCTGCTTTTCTAATTGAGGCATAACTTTAAAAGCAAAGATTCTCAAGGGAAAAGGGGAAAAAACAAATCACCATTTTAGGAGCACATGGTATAGAGTTATCAGGTGAAGCCTGCAGAGAAAATAATAATCATAAAGCATTTCCAGTTGAAATCCATGCTTTACTGCATTTCTGGCCTCCCCTCTGTCTGCAGCCACAGAGGTTGCACTTGGTTTTCTGGGGTTCTTGTTCCTGTTTTTCCCACTTGTTTACGACCCACCCACCCCCAGCACATATCACAACAGACACGAGGGTCCTGAGTTCACGACCCACTCACCCCCAGCACACACCGCAACAGACAGGAGGGTCCTGAGTTCACGACCCACTCACCCCCAGCACACACCGCAACAGACAGGAGGGTCCTGAGTTCACGACCCACTCACCCCCAGCACACACCGCAACAGACAGGAGGGTCCTGAGTTCACGACCCACCCACCCCCAGCACACACCGCAACAGACAGGAGGGTCCTGAGTTCACGACCCACCCACCCCCAACACACACCGCAACAGACAGGAGGGTCCTGAGTTCAGTTCACGACCCACTAACCCCCAGCACACACCGCAACAGACAGGAGGGTCCTGAGTTCAGTTCACGACCCACCCACCCCCAACACACACCGCAACAGACAGGAGGGTCCTGAGTTCACGACCCACTCACCCCCAGCACACACCGCAACAGACAGGAGGGTCCTGAGTTCACGACCCACTCACCCCCAGCACACACCGCAACAGACAGGAGGGTTTTTAGTTTTAAAATATCTTGCTCTTCCTATGGCCGTGAAGTATTTGCACAGTGATTTTCGTATTATTACAGGGGCTGACTCAGCTGCTCTTTGACGTGCAAATAGCAAACACGTTTCTTGATTCACTGGAATTGCCGCCTTTTCCTGAGTGGAGATTTCTGAAGGTGATGCACAGGTTTGTATTGGTGAGAAACACCTTTTCCCCCTTGTTGCCTATCAGGGCATCATGTTTTCTGTTATTTTGGTAAGTGTTTAAACTAGAATGGAATTTAGAAGCTAGAAAACTTCTCATTAAAAGATTATAAATCACGGGCCGGGCGTGGTGGCTTGCATTTTCTACCCCGAAAAATTATTTCACTTTGGCAACACGTGTAGATATGAGCAATAAAATGTGCCTTATACAAATATTGTCAAAGTGCATTTATGGTGATATAAAACCCTGTTGTAATTCTAATCAGTAACATTAAGTCACTCGTATTGTGGAGTGAAATTCAAGGATGAATTATGCCCCTCAAGTGTGGGTTGCTTAATAAAATAGAGTGCATTTTAGTGTGCTTCCAAACTGCCTGAAATTCAGATGAGGCAAAGTCTTTCCCACCCACCCTGTAGCTCCCTGAGTGCTTTTCATGTAAACATTAATACGTGGGGACTCGCGCTGCTGCGCCTTCAGAAAGTCATCCTTAATGTGGTGCAATTGTATTGAACTGTCCACTCTGCTATTAAATCAATCACAGGGAATTACAAAGCAATGATTATCTGGGAAAATTTCAGCTTTCTGATTCTTCCCATCAAATGAAACAGCAATACTGTTCCTGGGGCTCCGTGGGTCTGCGTTTGGGATGAGCAAGTGGAGATTCTCTTAGTTTTTTTATATGCAGGTGATGTTTGTTCACAAATGAATGAAGAAAAAATTCATGAATGAAAAAACGAATGAAGAAAAAAAGTTTCCCCCCCTTTTTTTTTTTGGTTAAAGAAGAAGCCACATCCGCCTTTCTCATATTCTTGGTGTTACCTGGAAAATGAGATAACCCAGATTTAACTAAACCCAATGAGAAGCTGATTCTGCCAATCTGATTCTGCCGATTGCCCGGCAACGTGATTTCTTGTGTCCATCATTATTTTAAACTGCATGTCTAAATAAAACAGCTGGTCTTCTCCTTACTCCCCAGTGGCAAGAGGCTCCCCTCTCCGGGTCTCCAGGCCCTGTCTTGCATGGTGGGTGTGTGGCTCGGCTGTGCCTCTGCATACGTGGAGACCGTCCAGGCCCTGGAGCAGCGGCTGCCCAGCCTGCAAGTTCCTTTCAGAAGCAAAGGCACGTGAGCGCTCATGCATGCCCCAGGCCGGCACAGCTGGGTGTCTGGGAGCCGCGCAGGGATGGCGCTGACAGGCCAGGCCAGTGCCCCAGTCCAGGCTGTCTTCGCAGGGCCCTGCCCCTGACCACTCAGGAAGGCTGGAAGCTGCTCCCACCAGGCGACCCTCTATCTCCTCTGGGTGACAACACTCCCCTCTCGGCTTCTCCAAAGGTCAAGCCAGATAACCCGGGGCCCGGTGCCTTATCTGCACCCTCCCCCTCCTGTCCCCTGAGGAGGGACAGAGTGCAGAGGGGCCTCCTCAGGGAGCCGGCGCTGGGGATGAAGCGTGAGCCTCAGGTCCTCAGTCCTCAGTGGGAGTCGGCCCAGGGCCTGCGGAATCCTCAACTCAGGGGTCGCCAGGCCCCGTGTCCTTGCCTCTCCCTGCGTCCTTGCCTCCCAGTCCCCGTCCACACAAAGTCACATCACTAATTCACGTGGCACCGAATGAGGAAGCAGGTGCAGGTGGCTTTCCTGGAAATGGGGATCTCAGATGCCTTGGGGCGATGTCTCCCCACAGTGGGGCCAGTTTGCCTGCCAGCTTCCCACGTGCCTGTGTGTCCGGCTGGCCTCACTCCTCCCAGCTCCGGCAGGCCTCGGGTTGCCTTGCTGTCGCCATGCTGGCCTATCTCTGCCCATCTTTTTGTGAGTGTCTTCTTCCTGGATGTCTCTGTGTCCACACTCCCCTCGTGTGAGGACACTGGTCTTATTGGATTTAAGGCCCCACCAGTCCCAGTCGGTAGGGCCTCATCTTACCTTGATTACATGGGAAACAGCCATGTTGCCAAGTGAGGCCACATTACAGGCCCCAGGTGGATGTAAATTCTGGGGACACTATCCACCCAGAGCAGGTGCCGACACACTCGTCCCAAGGCCTGGCGAGCCCGACGCCCTCAGCTCAGTCCACCTTCAGGTCTTGGGGCTGTCATCTCTGCCCCCCTCCTGAAGGCCTCAGCAGGGCTGGGGTGCACACAGGGCCAGGACTCTGCCACGGAGCAGCAGTGCCTGCTAGACGTGGGGCACCCCCTCGTGCCATGCCTCACCCAGGACCATCTGGGCCATGTTCAGTCCCTGAGCAGCAGGAGTTGGCACCAGGGCCTGGGTCTGTGGTGTCAGCCCCCTGCCAGGTGGTGAGGAGCCATCTTCCCCACAGAGGAGGCGGCTCCAGCTCCCCGGGGCTTCACGTGGGACACCGCAGGGGGAAGGGCTCAAGAAGTCGCCACCTGCGTGGCTGTCTGGGCTGCGCGGCGGTTCCCTCCAGTGATGTGCAGGAAGATGGAGGGTTAATGCCCGCGGACGGCAGCTCTTTCACGGCTCCAAGTTGTGTGTGACCCAGACTCGGGAGCACAGCAGGGAAATCAGGAGCCGGTCTTGTCCCAACATTAGAGAGAGTGAGGAAGATCATGGATTAATTAAATAAAAGACTAAGCAGGACAAACCTTTGAACAGGAGGCATAACATTTAAGAATAAAACCAGCGCGGACGGGTAAAGGTCGGAGAAGATCAAGTAAGGTGCTAATAGTTGCACTTTTTCCATTTTCCTATCGATCAATATTACATTTTTTCCAAGCTAAAATGCAGTCGCAGAGTTATTGCTGACCTTTTCCTCACCCTTCCATTGTGTATAAAATCACAGCAAAATAACAAACGACTTTATAAGCCACAGAATTTTTCTGATCCAAACCCCTCAGGTGAGCTAAGATCTCCCTCAAAATCTCTTTCTTTTAGAAATAGGAGGAATGGGCTTCTCTCTGCTAATTTGCTGCTGGAGAACACTTGCCTTTAAAATAAATCACCGTTTAAAAACTGGTTTCATCATCTCCGCCAGCCACGCTCAGAGGATGGTCGTGCCATCCTTTCTGAGTGTTGACTGCGTGGTTCTAGAAGGCCGGGTCTGATCTCACACAAATGTAGACATCGTACCCACGATCAATGCTTTCGGAAGCAGGGTTATGAGTCCATGCTTTGTCAATCGCAGTTGATCAGATCATGCTTTTTCTGTCGGAGAAAGTATTTAGGTCACTGTCCAAAATACTTCTTAGGAGCTGCAGAGGAAAAGTCCCGCGCAGAGAGGAAAATCCACACGAAACCCGTCTTCAGAGTCGCGTCCTGGGCCAGGCTTTAGGGGAGAGACTGACCCACAGGCCAGACACACGACCATCTGCTCATTTCCACGGAAGCTGAGCTTGCTGGCTGTGGTCGTCAGGGAGTCTTGGTGGAAACCGTGCACGGGGCGTCCGCATCACGTGATCCCAGGAGAACAGAAGAGGGAATTGCGGTTTAAGATCCAAACAAGTGGCAGGGCACAGCGGCTCACGCCTGTAATCCCAGCACTTTGGGAGGCTGAGGCTGGCGGATCACCTGAGGTTGGGAGTTCGAGATCAGCCTGACCAACACGGAGAAACCCCGTCTCTACTAAAAACGCAAAAAAATTAGCCACGCGTGGTGGCGGGTGCCTGTAATCCCAGCTACCTTGGAGGCTGAGGCAGGACAATTGCTTGAACCCGAGAGGCAGAGGCTGCGGTGAGCCGAGATTGCACCACTGCACTCCAGCCTGGGCAACAAGAGCGAAACTCTGTCTCAAAAGAAGAAAAGAAAAGATTTAGATTTTAAGTTTTTTAGTGATTGACCTAATCTAGAAACTGTCCCTGTTACAGGACAGACTCGAGTGACTGGATTAGCAGAGCTCATAGTTTGCGGCGCCTTTGTGAACTGTACGGCACTGTCCACAGCAGGCTTTTCTGTGGGTGCTCAGTATGATTCTCACACGAGCAGCCGGTGAACTGAATTCCCACACACTAGGATCCA
The DNA here is from genome assembly GCF_000001405.40 of Homo sapiens. Classification (NCBI taxonomy): domain Eukaryota; kingdom Metazoa; phylum Chordata; class Mammalia; order Primates; family Hominidae; genus Homo; species Homo sapiens. The sequence continues at coordinate 1,838,599 of NC_000005.10, read as the reverse complement.
GTCCATTAACACGAAGCCTCTCCTATTTTGAAGTTAGTATAATATTTTCAAGAAGGCAGGTTAATTTTTTTTAATACTGTATTCATTTAGTTCTGCTTAAAACTAATGAGGAGTTCCAGTAATCATTTATCTTAAGTAATTTTTTAAAAATGTATACATGCAAGCATAGCTTGCCAAGTAGATGTGGCTGTTAATTGGAATTTATATTTGCACTTCAGGACTCAGGATTGGGTTAAAAGGTACATTTTGCTAATTACAGTGGGTTCAAGGTGTTTGTTGCGCAGAATCCTGAGCCGTGGCTGGATGGCCCTGCGGCAGTGTGAGTGACAGAGCAGCATATCCACAGGTTCACCCCCAGCAGCGAGGGGACCTGCCCAGCTCCGGAGAGTTGACAGAGAGCTGAAGCAGGAACGGGGCTGGGTCCCGCCGCAGCCCCTAGTTCAGTCCAGGTGGGACCCTCCCAAGGCTGTGGGGAGGGAGAGTGGGGGCTGGGAGACAAAGGGCAGGTGGGTATTAGTGAGCGCTGAGTCCTGGGGCAGGGCTGGAGAGGTCTGGAGCCATTTGGGTTCTGAGATAATGCAGGAGTCCTCCCCTCACCCACATGCCTCCTCTTTCCTGAAGGGTTCCAGGGACAGCCTCCAGGAAAAGCCAGGCCAGGAGTGGGGAGCGAGACCCTGGGCCTCTGCATGCCAGTGTGGGGGCGGCTCACTCTCCAGGCTCCTGTGGGTGAATCTGAAAAGAGGAGCCCCTTCCCTCCAGGGCTCAGAGCCCTGCAGGCCCCGCCAGAACCCCGAGCAGGGAGCAAACCACCCGCTGGCCCTAGGGAGCCTCTCCCCTCCCGGGGGAAGACTGGCTGACCCCTGCAGGCCCAGGCAGCTGGAGGCAGAGGTCGTCAGGCCCAGGTGGCAGGGGGCCGAGGTCACCGGGCCTGGGTGGCAGGGGGCCGAGTTTGTCAGGCCTAAGCGGTGGAGGGCAGAGGTCACCAGGCCCGGGCAGTGGGGAAGGGAGGTCACCAGGCCCAGGAAGTTGCAGGGGGGTGGAGGTCACTAGGTTTGGGCAGTAGGGAACCGAGGTCACCAGGCCCGTGCAGCGGCAGAGTGGAGGTCACGAGATCCAGGCAGTGGGGGGTGCAAGTCACCAGCACTGGCAGTGGGGAATGGAGGACACCAGGCCCAGGCAGTGGGGGACAGAGGTCACCAGCCCAGGTGTGTGCTGATCAGCACAGGCCAACGAACTCTCTGAGCAGAGTCAGACGTGGCCCTTGTAAAGACCTCACTTCGGGTGCTGGGGGGGCACTTCTCACTAGTACCAGCTCCTTGGATGCCTCCCACCGCAGCTGCGTTGTTCCATGCAGAATCGCAGCCAGGCAGAGCCTCGGGGAGCCTGAGAAGGTCCCCTTAAGCTCGAGGAGAAACTGTCCCGAGGGTCCTGGATCATCACCATTTATTACAGACATGGCTACAATCAACTGAACAGCCGAGCTCGATTCTGGGTCCCCCGTGGCACAAAACGCTCTTAAGTATCACCCGACACAGGTGTCAGCGCCCTGTGTCTGGGGTCCACAGAGAGGAAGGAACACCCAGTCCTGCCCTGGAGACGCCCACCAAGAAACAAGACCCCCACCTGAGAACCACACGGGCAGGGACAGGGAGGCCTCCACCAGGGAGCCCTGCCAGCTGCAGCTGGCTTCGGGGGAGGGCTGGAGAGGGACACTAGGACAGGGGGCCCCACCGACAGGACAGTGTGGAGGGAGAAGAGAGGAGAGAAAGACCAACCCAATGGGGACCCACGGAAAGGCCCCAGGGGGAAGAGACAGGCTGCGGACAGGGGCCTGGCCTCTGGGACACAGAACAGCCGTGGTGTGAGAACAGCCTAGAAACAGTGTCCACAAGTGTCCCCGACAACACGCAGTCAGCCCGCGGACAGCGAGGGCCCCAGAACGGGCAGCTCCAGAGCAGACCAGTGCTGTTTAAAGATCGCCAGTAACAGCTCTCGCAACCAGAGCCGAGTGCCCCGGAGGCCTTGAGGCTGTCATCGTCACCTGCTGCCTCCAGGAAAGAATGCAAAACCCTAAAATAGGAAATGTGGGGCCAGCAGAGGAGGGGCCGGCACGCAGTCCTTGAAAGTGGGGGCTGTTGCCCGCCGCCTCTTCTTAGGGTAAGAACGGGGAGAGTCATCAGGCCTCTGTCTGTGGAACAGCAGCTCCATTCAACAGTCATCAAAGGTAACAGACAAATTAGCATTATTAGTACAAAGTATACGGTTCAGCAAAACTAACAACACACTGAAAGATGAAAAATGATGACTCGTGCATGTGGCTTTTATTTTTAATGACACAAATCTCATCTCTTTGCAGAGTTTGCTATCTTCTTCAAACTTTGCAGCCAATCTCACCCACGGATTGAAGAAGACAACTTGTAAATAACAGGAGGAAACTTAAGTAGAGCATTTAATTTTCTCTTCAGTTAAAATAAAAAAAGTAAATGCTGGAAATGGAAATGATGACGAGAAATATGCAAGAAAATAAGCCATGATTTTTCTGGCACAGCACTTTATCTTTACATAAAATTGGGATTTTGTTGATAAGCATTTTTACTGAAGCCAAAAAGACCTCTCCTTCAGTTATGTTTTTAATCCTAACATCTGGATAGAAATTAATTGTTCCATTTACAAATTAAATGAATCTTGTGAAGAATAATGTTCACCAATAAAATGTGCCTGAAAGATCTGGAACATCAGAATTTTTCTTCCTGTAAACCACAAAAAAGAATTTTTCATATGAAAGAAAACCATGAGGTTTATGGAGCTCCAGAGCGTTTGTGAGCAAATCCACCGGGGAAGCCCATGGTGGCATCTCTAGACTCAGGTGAGGGTAATGCGTCTGCAGAGTGAGCCTCAGCATTGGGACCCTGTGTGACCAAAGGCAGGACACGGCCATCGCAGCACAGAGGGGTCACCGACGCACAACAGGGCTCCCGGTGCACCCGCAGCAGCTTTCTTCAAAATTACCCAGACATTAGAGCAATGCTAGCCCCTCAACGTGGGCTCCAAGAACGTGGGAAGTCAGCCTGCCAGCCACAAAGCTGCCACGTCCTCCCATCCGGGTGTGAATAAAGCACCCACAAATGCCTCCTTAGTTGGAACTGAAAAAAAAAACAAAAAAACATTCAAATACATTCCTGTATTTTATTGTTAGATGCAACATTCGCCTTGGTTTATATAAATGGTGAGATTTCCCGATGCAAAGTTTTCATCGTGATTTTCTGGGGACCTGTCATGAAGATGGAGATTACGTGACACCACGTCTGAGCCCCGTCAGCTGCTGCCACACCTGTCTCCCGGCAAGCTGACCTGCCCCTCGTCTCTGTCTCTCTCCTCCAGCTCCGAAGACTCGGCCCTCACTGGTCGCCCTTTGTCTGGGGAAGGACAGATGAGGCCCCGGGGGGCAGACTATCTCATTTCCCTTCCATTTACCTCGTAATAGTGTCTACAAATAATCTCCCGCACTGGAAAAGAGGCTGCCTGTGACTTGTTTAGAATCTCAGTCTGCCAATTTCTCCATCCACATTTCATCCCGAGGGGTCTAATCGCTCCCAACCCTCTGGAACCTGTGGGGTCCACACTGTTCTGTGCCCCAGGCTCCATCTCTGCCCGGAGGGTTCGGGGTTGTGGGTGAGTTCTCCTATGGGCACCCCCAGCCCGGGACGGAGCCATGATCCATTTATGAGCCAAGGCTGTGCCATGCCTTGCTGATTTATTTTCCTCTTTCAATAACATCATAGCATCTGAGAAAACACTTCACTTGCCCTCATTTTAAAAGATATAATGAAATCTCATTTTTAATTACCTGAACAAAAAGGTTTCAACTCCATCAGATCGCCTCTCAGGGCCCGCAGAGGTATTAACAGTCTCCAGAACCAATTACCTGCATTTCCTTTTTACTTATTGCAAATGTGACCTTTTGTGAGAATTTGATTGTGAGCCTCCCGCTGTGAGAGGGTAACCATGGGCGGGGGCAGCGTCTGAGGCCCGTCTCCCCTCACGTCCGAGCTGCTGTTAATTTTAATCCCCTCTGATGGCTGCAGGACAAGCAGGTGTCTGAGACCCAGTGCAGAGCGGGCGGCGGAGGTGCCAGCTCAGGAATGAGAGGAACCGGGCTGTGTGGTCCTTCCAGACACAAACCCACGCCCACGACTTGGAGGGAGGGGCACCTGCTCCGATCTTCAGCAGGAAAAGAAAACGCTGTTCTGCCTGTGGTTCCAGAATCACCTCTGCCACCGTGGAAACATGGATGGGCCGGGGCGGCAGGCACGAGGCTGAGGGCCTCAACTGGGTTTCAAGCCAGAACTCCAAGACGCCAGGTGGAGCGAGAGGGCGGGTGTCCTGGCTGGACCCTTTAAAAGGTGCAAAGAAGGGTACACGTTGACCCCGCATCCGAAATGGCACAGGCGGCAGAGGTAGGCCTAAGAAGCTCTGAATGCCCGGAGTGGTGGGAGCCCTGCCAGCTCTGCAGACGCCCAGGGAGGCAGGAGCAGCTCCCAGCAGTGACTTGGAGAAAGGCGAACTTGATGGGGGAGACACCACTGCCTGGCCCAGGGCAGAGAAGAGGGAGCAGCCGGGAGGTGGAGGGTCCCACATCCCTGCCTGACAGAGGGCTATAGGAAGGGGCTCCGGGGCCCACTGGTGGATCCCTGCCACCTCCCTGGTCCTAGGTGGGCTCTGCAGCAGGGGGCCTGGGTAGAGACGGGAAGCCACCCGGAGGGACAGGCAGGGCGCACGAGCCTGGATTAGCGAGCAGGCACGGCCCCAAGGATATGCCACAGGAGGGGCTTCTCTCACCAACCCCCAGGCTGGAAGTCCAAGGTCAGGGTGCGGCTGGGCTGGATCCTCCTAGGGCCTCGATCCTGACCGTGTAGACTCCCTGTGTCCTTGCAGGGTCTGCCTCTGTGCCTGTCTGTGTCCTCACCTCCTTCTAGAAGGACACCTGTCCTAGTGGATCAGGGCCCACCCTAATCTTTAGAGGGCCTGTCTCCAAACACAGTCAGGTTCTCAAGCACTGGGTCAGGACCTAAACATATGCATGTGGGGGGCGTCATTCTGCCCATGACAGATACAGAAATGGAACCCAGGCTGCGCTGGCCACTGACCCCTAGTCCATCCCACAGCTCTGAGAAGGCCAGGCCCCAACGGGTGAGCCACAAAATTCAGTGTACGCATGCAACTTAAGAGGCTGGGGCCCTCTTTAGGATAAAGCTATGAGGATCGGTGATGAACTCTCCAATTCTCAACTCCAGCCTTTTCTACCACATTTGGCAGTTTTTCAGGTTAATCAGCACAGCCCTTGAGCAGGGAAATGAGGATGTGCTGTGGGCCTTTGAGTTGCTTTCACACGTCGGACACCCCCGAGAGCCCGGACTCCAGGAATTTCACCTTCGGAGGGGTTCAACCGAGGCTGAGTTCAAAGCCCCACCTGTGCCCCTTCATATTAGTAAGACAGTCCACCATCACAGTGGGGCTGCAGCAGACCCTTCGTATTAGTAAGGAGGTCCCCGCCATCACAGTGGGGCTGCTGCAGATGCAGGTGCGGTCATGGGACCAGTCCACGATGCTGTCACTTTTACCTATAGCTCCAATTTTTGACTTGTGTGCAAATGGGCCAGCGTGGCTCTCCTGGCCATGGGGGCCTCCCAACCATTCCTTCTCAGAGCTGGGCTTTGGCGCCAGGCTCTGCTCTCAGGGACTCACGCCCATGCCCTGTGGGCTCTGTGGCCGGAGGAGGCGGAGGCAACACCCAGCACCAGGTCCTCACAGTCTTTGCAGCGCGAGGTGCTCAGCGGAGATCAGAAGCCACCGTCCTTTGTTCACACCTGGGCTGGGCAGGCCCCTGCAGCTGGTCTGAACATGGGTCAGATGTACTCAGAAGGGGCCACCGGGATGTGTTCCTGGCCTCAAGCACACGGTGTCCTGTGTGGGGACAGTTTATCGCTGCTCCTGGCACTGCTCACACCGCGGCACGTGCAGGTTGCGTTTTGCCTTCAGTTGAGCCCTGGGCGTGCCCGGGGGGTTTCTGAGGTTTCTTGGGGGTCTGGGCTCTCATCACGTAAACAAACAGCTCAACGGTCTAGCCAGGAAGTGTGAACCCAAGTCAGGTGGGATGAGGGCTACTTTAAACAAACAAGCTACTCTGTTTTGTTTTGTTCTCATAGGGATTTACTTTAAGTATTTCTAAACATAGCTTTTGGAAGATTGTGGTTTTTTAGAGAAATAACTAATTTTATGATTCAGACACTACAGTTTGGTTACAAACTCACCCGTGTAGTGGAAACAGATGCCTGTAATAGGCTCTCGGAACCGCAGGTGCCTTTTAAGTGAGAAGGAAGGAAAACAGCAAGGAAGTTTCCCTTTGGATGCCTCCTCCCGGAATCCCTGCGGCTGGTGATGGTGAGCACACAGAGGTGCCATCCTCTCCTGCCACAGAGCTGATGATGGCTCTAGGGTGAGGAGCGACTCGATCTCCCTCCTGACCTGACTCCTGAAGCAGCCCTCTTGGTGCCCCTGCAACAGCAGGAGTGGAAGCACAGCCCACTCCCGAGGGAGACGGCACTCTCTCAGGAAGGAGGCAGCCCCAGCACCCCTGCGGGCCTCAAGGACAGATTCTCAAGTCCCCCTGACCAGACAGAGATGAGACACCAACACCCAGAGCTGCCCGAAGCATTCCAAGAAGCTGGAAGGACCGGGTTTTCTCCACAGAGGCCGGAGGCAGGGAAGGTTCAGCCCAGCAAGGAGCTGGCAGGAGGAGGAGCCGGGGGAAGGGGGCTGGGAACAGGGAGGGGCACAGAGAGGATGGAGAGGGTGTCCCCTCCAAATCCCTTTCCAGAGCCACCTGCTCCTGCTGCTTCAGCACAGCCAGCCCCAGAGTGCCTCTCATCCACAGCGCCAGGCCCCAGGCCCCAGGCCCCCTCTGGGGATCTCCTTCCATCTCCCCTGCCCCAGCAGCACCAGGGAAGATGCCTTTCTGGAATGTTCGCCTGGGCCTGGAGGGAATTTCACTCACACTAAGTGACATCTTTTCCTATTAGAAAACACACAGGGAGTGGAAAGTACTGGCGCAAGCACACACAGTTCTGGAAGCGACCCATCGTGGGCCGGGCACCTCCAGGGCGCTCCACGGCCATTCTCACGGCAGAACAAGCTCCATTCATTAATGAGGGCGCAGTAACTCACTTGGAGTATGCAAATGTGTTTGCAGAGGAAAAAGGCATTCTCAACAGTATATAATAAAATTAAATTAACAGAAACATCAGCAAAATCAGTGACACTAATAAAGTGCCTCCCGTCCCCGCACTCAGGGGAGAGGCCAGGAAACACTGAAACACACCAGCCTGCAAGCAGCACCACGACCAACGACCCCTAAGTACTCTCAGTAAAATAACGAGCCACCCAGGAAAATGAAGGCGAGAAATGAGAACTGCTGGGCTCCACCAGGACTGTGCTGGACATTTGTTTCCGAAGTACATGTCCCATGAAGAGATGACAAGACAGGGAGCAGTCGGCCCTGGGGGGGTTGTCAGGTGAGGCTGTCGCCCAGCACAGGGAAAGGGCCACCTTCCTGGGAGCCCAGATTCCAAGAAAACAACGCACTCTGCTTTAAATGGTCAGCGTGTCTGGCTTTCGTTCTGATGCGTCCACGCAGCGCTTCCATCAGCGCCCAGAAGTCAGGTCCACACATATTAGAAAGAGCCGCAGAGATGGAGAAGGAAGCAGAGGTGGCTACAGAGAGTGGGAGGGAAGGAGAGGGCTGTAGCCTGCCTCTGCCGGCACTGGGGAGGAGGAGGGGGAGGAAGAGAAGGAGGGATGAGGGAGGAAAAGTGGAGGAGGGGGAAGTGAGAGGAGGGGTGGGGAGGGGAGGGCCAAGGGCATTGGGACCACTTCTGGTGCCTGTGGAGGTTTCTTCTGGTGAATCTCCACCTTCAGCGTGAACTTGCTTTTCTCTGTGAAGCTCTATGCAGGTATTATAGCAATGCAAATAGTGGCCTAGGAACAAAGTTTTCGGATATCAAGAGTAACTCAGAACCACATGCCAGACCATGAAATCACGACTCACATGTTTTGGGGGAAATAAATTGTGACCTTTATTTTGAACATTTACATGAAATAAATGAATGCATTGCTAATTGTTAACCAGATGAGAAGAACATGAGTGAGACTGTATAAAGACTCAGTGGAATGCATTTGACTGAAGATGATGGTCAATATGAGAGTTACCAAACACAGCCCTTCCCTGGTTTAAATGGACAGTGTGCAGACGTTTCCTCTTTTTATCTGTCAAAAACATGGACGCTATCAACGTGCTTCATGTGATTTTTAGAGAACTCCATTTAATAAAAAGGCATGTCCCACGAAACACAGAGAAATCCCCTTATAACCCTGAGTTCAGAGGACAATCAACATCTTCAAGGAAATTACGCGACACCAATGCGTTACTGCACATTTTTAGAAGGTATTTATTTTCCTACTTAACACATACTTACATTTTGCTCGCCCTGGCCAAGTGTTCTCACAAATGCTTTGTAGATTTTAAACATGTATATAATTGGGGAAGAAAACTGTCCCTAAGTGAACAAAATAAAATCTCCTCAAGAGAACAAACACATCTTCAAAGCTGCAGTTCTTAAGGGTTTCGGTCTCAGCATCCCTTACAGTTGTAAATATTACTGAGGACCCTAAAGAGCTTCTGTTTATGTGGGCAATGTGCGTTGATATTTACCTTATTAGAATTAAAACCGATCATTTAAAATATTTATTGCCAGGCGCGGTGGCTCACGCCTGTAATCTCAGCACTCTGGGAGACCGAGGCAGGTGGATCACGAGGTCAGGAGTTCGGGACCAGCCTGACCAACATGGTCAACGCTGTCTCTACTAAAAATACAAAAATTAGGTGGGCACGGTGGTGCCCTGTAATCCCAGCTACTTGAGAGGCTGGAGCAGGAGAATCACTTGAAACTGGGAGGTGGAGGTTGCAGTGAGCTGAGATGGGGCCACTGCACTCCAGCCTGGGTGACAGAGCTAGATTCCTTCTCAAAAAAAAAAAAGTATTAATTCATTTTAAAATAAAAAACTATTACGTGTTAAATAGCAAATTTTAAAAAAATTATTCAAAGGAATGAAAAGAATGGCAGTGTTTTACACGTTGCAGTCTCTGTAGCGTCTGGTTCCATGGAAAACAGCTGCATTCCCACGCACGCTTCTGCATCCAGTCTGCTGTGATGTGTCGCTTTGGTTGGAGTAGGCAAAGAAAATCCAGCCTCACACAGATATCTAGTTGGAAAAGAAAGATCTATTTTATAGTATTTTCTGAGAATTTGGATTCTTCTTTGATATTACACTAAAACTCAACAAATTACAGTTTCCTAAAGCTTGGTCCCAAAAATAAAATCTGAAACATACCAGTGAACTTCATATTCCATTGTGTTAAACTCCACTGGTCTATAGTGCACTTTGTTTATTTTTTTGAGACGGAGTTTCACTCTTGTCGCCCAGGCTGGAGTGCAGTGGCGCGATCTCGGCTCACTGCAACCTCCACCTCCCGGGTTTAAGCGATTCTTCTGCCTCACCTCAGCCTCCCGAGTAGCTGGGATTACAGGCGCGCACCACCATGCCCAGCTATTTTTTGTATTTTTAGTAAAGACAGGGTTTCACCATGTTGGCCAGGCCGGTCTCAAACTCCTGACCTCAGGTGATCCGCCCACCTCGGCCTCCCAAAGTGTTAGGATTACAGGCGTGAGCCACTGTGCCCAGCCTCATAGTGCACTTTGACTCTTTTAACCACGCATAATTTTGTAACAGCTTGCACTGGTCATTAGCAGATACTGGGTCACTTAGCTAAGCAGATCTCCGTAAGTCAGCACATTCTACTTCACAAGGTGAGTAAGTCGCATTCATCCTCATTCTCACCGAGCGCCTCAGGAGTCTGTACATGTTGGGAAACTGCCAAACTCACAGTGGGGGATACTCGTTCCCCAAACTCTAGCATTTGTTTGAATGCTCAGATGTTCTGACGACAAACAGAGCTGACTGATCTCCCCAAAGTAGTGGGCTCACTTCATCTGGCTTCAGAAAACGTCTGGCGACAGCCACGTGCAATAACCACAGTGGCGTCCTTTCTTTGCAAGGGAAAATGGTGCTCCTGGAAGCAAGCAGCTGGGGCAGCCCACAGCCCAGGGCGCGACCTCAGGGCGACCTCGGAGCCAGCACAGGACTAACCTGCTCCCATCTCCGCATTCCTAAGCGGGGGCCAGACCTCAGTCCACCAGGATTCCATCCAGTGAATGGGATAAACACCAAGCCCAATCTGCCTAACAGAATGAGAACCCACAACCGGGCTCAAGCAGCATCCAAGGGCGCAAGCAGTGAAATCGGGCTCTCCCGCCCCTCTCATTCCTGCACACGGCTCCGCCCCTCCCAGCGCGCGGCTCCGCCCCTCCCAGCGCGCGGCTCCGCCCCTCCCTGCGCGCGGCTCCGCCCCTCCCTGCGCGCGGCTCCGCCTCTCCCTGCACACCACCTGCTCCGGCTCCCGCTGCGGCTGTGCCTCTCCACGCAGACAGGAAATGCCCACGGAGAGCCCCAGGACACGCAGGATCAGGCCTCCGGCAGGTTTCGTGTCCCCTGAGAGCTCCGAGTTCACGGACAGCCCCTTCTCGCTGTGTCCTCACTTTGTGGAAGGGGCGGGAAGCTCTCTGGAGTCCCTTTTATAAGGGCACGAATCCCATTCCTGAGGGACCCTCCTCCTCATACCACTTCATACCCGCCTCCTCATAACCCCACCGAGGGTTTCAACACTCGGATCTGGGGGGCTCAGCCATGCAGACCACATCAGTCCCGGCTGTTAGACGACATTGCTGAGCTGACCTGGCGAGATGATGCGAACATCCGGGGAGGGGGGGCCCCACAGGCCACAGGGCCAGGAGCATGTTTCCATAAGAGGAGCCGCAGTGTGCTACCAGCCGGTTCATCTACGCAGTCAAGTCACGCATCCTTCAGCCGGTTCATCTAGGCACAAAGTCAAGCTGGGAAACAGAGCTCCACGCGAGGAGCGTGATGGGGCAGGGGATGCCAGGCGTGGCCCCCGTGCCTTCAAAGTCCTCTCCACAGTGGTGAACAGCTAGCTGGCTCTTCCACCAGAGCCTCTAAATGATGAAAGTGCCAGAAATCCCCAAAAAGAAAGGTAAAAAAGAAAACGTAATTATTGTAAGACATGAGAAGTTTAGGTAGATAAAAAATAGTCCAGGAAGTTGAGGCTGGATCAGTTTTCAATCCCGGATCTGCCTGGTTTGAATCTTTCTTACTGTTACCTCCTGACAAGACCAGCCCGAAAGCAGGTCCCCTACATGGAGATGAAGCTGTTCTTAGAGTTCTTATGACTCACTCATGTTATTAGACTTCGTGCATTTACAATTCTTTAAATAAATCAACTGAAATTTAATTGAGTTAGACGTTATCGTTTTAAATTTTAAATAACTGCACTAAAATGAAATTTAAAATCTCCCTGTGTCTAATAAATTAGTACTGTAATGGTGATATTAGCCTGAGGAACAGCGCAGTTTAGCGTGAATGGAGAGGGCTGACGGGAGGGTCCCGAGGCTGGGCCGCGGGAGAGCAGTCACTTCCACAGGGACTGGGCCTCCCCATCTGGAAGCAGACACGCTAAAGGTTGGGCGGCTCCGTCTTGGGAGAAAGGCTGAACAGTCACACATGCTGCACTGGGAGCACCCCGGCATACCTCCTCCCCACCCAGGAGGTCACCCTTGAGGTGGGGCCTCCAGCCAGGCAAGGTCTTTTCTAGGCCAGGCCAAGCCAAGCCACTCCCCAGGTCAGCGGGCACTGTGGACACTGGCTCGTGGTGGAGACAGCCCCGGAGCCGTGAGGCTGATGTGGCGAGGCCGTCCTTGGGGCCAGGTTTGCTGGGGTGGGCGGTGGTTCTAAGGGCCCCACCCCTCTCCTGAACGCTGCTGCCGGCAGAACCAGAAACACACCTGTGACCAAGGGTGGTGTAGGACTGCCAAGGGTCCCTCCCTGAAAATAACCGTCATTCAGAAGCAATGGCGTCCCTGCCTGCTGGCTTAGTACGCCATGCTTGTGTGACAGGATGAGAATCCCAGATGGACGCCCCTCCCTGGCCACAGAAGCAACCACAGGAGGAAACTTGCTTCCTGACTTCCTTGTGCTGACCTCTGAAACCCAAGGCTGGGAACCACCAGTGTCCGGGTCTGGACACAAAATGGAAAACGATGGTTGACTGTTGACCAGTTAATTCACTCTGGAACGACATCTCCTGCTCAGCTCATCCGTCGTAGATGATTGATTTCTTGGAATAAATCATAATCAGGTGGAATATGGATTCACTTTGCTAAAAGAACTTGAAGTTAAAAAAAAAAAAGATGCTTCAACATAATCACCTGGGTCAGTTTAGTTCTCCTGATACTGTATTTTTTAAATTGTGGTGACTGTTGAAAGCATGAGAAGATACATTCATACACTGCTTTCTAAGAAGGCCAGCAAGGATGCTGCTCCCACTATTTTCATTTGCTTCTTGGAGAGCAAGGTCACTTTCTCCGTTTCTAAATTGTCACTGGCTTTTGTAGAAAAGACAACTTGGGATCTGAGAACACGAATGCTTGCTTTGTGCTACGCCTACTTGTTGAGAACTTACCAGAAGTGGTCGCAGAATTCACAACGGGCAGTGTCGGTGCCTCAGTGTGGCTTCCCCGCAAGGAGAGCCGGGCAGAGGCAGGCACCCCCAGGATGCCCTGAGCACCCAGGAACGGAGAGTGCAGAGGACACCCTATCGCCCTGGCCACTCCCCAGGTGGCCCCTGGAGGACCCTTACAAAATGCATTGCGGAACCAGTGCTGGGACAAAGGAAAATGCCACTGCCAAGACAGTCACACACGCTTCCTGGCCGCAAGCGGGCAGGTGGTAAGCAAGCAGGTGCTGCAGGTTCCCATGGACGTCTTGGGCCCTGACCTTGCAAAGCCGAGCCGTGAGCTGGAGCGCCCAGCACTGGCAGGGGAGAGGGGGACACACTGCCTGGGGACAACTGGGGAAGCCCAAGGGCAGCAGTACCAAGCTGGGGCCCGAGAGAGAGCTGTGGCCACTGGAGTCCACTGCTGCCCTTGTTGGTTTCCTCCTGCCTGGCACTAACCCTGTTCTGCCCAGAGCCCCTCCCAGGTCACGGCACCATAGAGAGCTAGCAGAGGAGGCTCTGCAGGGCCTCCCAGTGCATGCGGCTGCAGGTTACCATGTGGTGTGAGTAGCGTGCCTCATCTTCCATGGCCACTCTCAGCCGGAGAAATCGCCTGCCGGGTGGGGGAACCAGCTTCACCCCTGAGAGTTGGGTTGCTGGGCCTCGGCCACTGTTGGTCCCCAGGTACCCATGATCATCACTGTGGCAGCAGAGACACGTGCTGGGCTCCAGGCACCTCCTTACCTGGCGGTGCCCAGGTCCTCACAGGACCCTCTGTCACTGCCCCCCACCCCGCCCCGCCCCACCTAAGCAGCTCTCTTCTTTGCCTTCTGCCCACCAGCACAAGGGCTCCAAAGTGGCCAGGCGGCCCTCACAACTGCAGCTCCATGGCTGCCTCACTGAAGTACGGGGCGGAAGCAAGACTAGGGGGCCAGCAGCTGAGGCTGCAGAAATGAGAAGCACAAACTCCAAGTGTGTCCCGAGATGGGGCAATAAGAAGGGCAGGTCCTGCTTCCCTCCCCACCCTCAGGCCCTTGAATCCAATGTTTGGCAACTCAGTGCCACTGTCTGGGGCAGAGACACCTCAGCTGAGCCTTTGTCATCCCGCCTGCCTCTGGGAGGGGACACCGCAGGACCACGCTTCTGCAGAGTGTGCACGTCGCCTCGAAATGGGGCCCTCGGCGTCAGCAATGCTGTGTGGTCCCTGGAGACAGGTGAGGCTTCTGCGGTTCACAGGAGTGCTGGGGATGCTGCAAGTGCACTGGGACCCGTGGCGCGGTTCAGCTGGATCAGGCCGGGAAGGGCGCCCCCATCAGGACATGCGTCGCTTGCTCCCCTGCCTCAGTGACCCCCGGGCACAGGGGCCACGGTGCAGGCTAGGGGGCCAGAGCCCACACCTGAACAATACCTCCCTGTTGGTCCCATGTATCCCTCAGCAGCTGACATACACGCTCCGCACCTGCCCACACAGGACACCCTCTCAGACCTTCTCCCAGGTCAGCTGCTCTTGCCTCCACCAGGCCCCTGACCTGCCAGCCACCTTTCATCATCCCCAAGAAGTCCAGGCACAGCAAAGTCTAAGTCTATGCTTCCTTCCTTTAAAAGTGAATGGCCAGTCCGGGAGCAGCGGCCCATGCCTGTAATCCCAACACTTTGGGAGGTCGAGGCAGGCAGACCACTTGAGGTCAGGAGTTTGAGACCAGCCTGGCCGACATGGCGAAACCCCATCTCTACTAAAAATACAAAAATTAGCCGGGCGTGGTGGTGCGCGCCTGTAATCCCAGCTACTCGGGAGGCTGAGGCACGAGAATCACTTGAACCCGGTGGGTGGAGGCTGCTGTGAACCAAGATCGTACCATTGCACTCCAGCCTAGGTGACAGAGCAAGACTTTGTCGCAAAAAACAAACAAACAAACAAACAAAAACCAAAACAGTGAATGGCCAGGTCTTTTGCTCACAGAATGTGGAGGATATGAGCTTTCCCCATGCCTCTTGCTAAGTGCAACCGTGAACCCTGGACCCTGCACAAAAAACAAGCACAAGACAGACACTCTGAGAGGAGGGGAGGAGGCAGCCCCGCTGGGCTTGGAACCTGAGAAATGGCATTCTGGGGAGCCCTGGGCTTTTTCCTCATAGATCCCTGACAGATGAAGAAGCCAGCAACACAGAAAGACCAATGGATGCAAACCGCACCCCCCAACCCCCAAAAATGTCCTGCAAAAGCCTGCTGTCTCTGGCCGGAGACCCAGGGAATGAGCAGTATAACAGGATGAGAAATGTCCGGATGGGAACTGCTCCATCCAGCCAGTCACCAGGGGCCACACTGCACCCCACCCACGCCAGCAAAGGCCAGCGGGGGAGCCTGGACTCCACCTCCGCCAGGCCGCAACACCACACCTCAAACCCTACTAAGGTGGCATCAGGAAGCCGTATATGCCCATGTGTAAGATAACTCCCAGAGCTGCCCACACACAGAGACGCTCAGAACACCACAGGTATGAATCCTTCCCTGTGTGTGTCATCAAAACATCACAGAGTATCCTATGAATATTTACAATTATTTTTTGTCCATTTAAAGTAATTAATTAAAAGAAACACTAAGCACAGAACAAAAAAACAAAAAGGTGGATGTAAGCCCTAACATATCAATAATTGCATTCAATGTAAACAGTACAAAGACATCAATGAAAAGAATAGAAAAGGGCTGACGCGGTGGCTCATGCCTATAATTCCAGCACTTTTTGGGAGGCCGAAGTGGGCGGATCACGAGATCAGGAGTTCGAGAACTGCCTGACCAACATGAAACCCTGTCTCTACTAAAAATACAAAAAATTAGCTGGGTGTGGTGGCACACGCCTGTAATCCCAGCTACTCAGGAGGCTGAGGCAGAACTGCTTGAACCTGGGAAGTGGAGGTTGCAGTGAGCCGAGATGGCATCACTGCACTCCAGCCTGGGCAACAAGAGTGAGACTCTGTCTCAAAGAAAAAAAAAAAATAGAAAAAAAATAGAAAAAGTAGATTAGAAAAACTATGTGCTGTGTACAAGAAACTCACTTCAAATATGAGGATGTATACAGGCTGAGAGGAAAATGGTGGAAAATAACACATCAGGCAAGCATTAACCAAAGAAAGCAAGAGCTACTATCCTCGAATCAGATAGTGAAGGCTTTGGAGCAAAGAACATGACCAGGGACGGAAGGGGAGGCCACCGTGGTGTTTTGGGTCCCCTGGCATCAGTGCCAGCTCAGAACTAACATTCAGCCGTCATAGAAGAGTCTAATTATTCTCCTTTCCAGGTCACCATTACTCTGGAAAACAGTTAAAAGTACCTTAAACAGGTTGGTGGCTCCAGACTTCCAGTCCCCCTTCCTCAGCAGGCTCCAAGTCTGTGAACGTCTGATACCTGCAAACTGGGGGTCTTGTTTGCATTCTAGTGAGAAGGGTTGAGACATACACCCTGGTCTCCCACACTGGGATAAGTACGGCCCACCAAAATTCATGCCTGCTCAGAACCTCAGAATGTGATGTTGTTTGGAAATCAGGTCTTTGTAGATTTAGTTAAGACGAGGTCATACTGGGTTAGGGAGGGCCCTAAATCCAATGAATGGTGTCTATTATAAAGCCATATGAAGACAGACACACACAGGAAGAAGGCCACATAAAGACGAACACAGAGAATAAAGCGATGAAGACACAAAGCAAAGAATGCCAAGGAAGTCCAAGGATGACTGAGGAAGGACGAGGGAGGCCAACAAAGGCCAAGGACACCAAGGATGGCCAATGAAGGCCGAGGAACGCCAAGGAGGGCCAAAGAATGGCCAAGGAAGGTCAAGGACAGCCAAAGATGGCCAAGGACAGCCGAGGACAGCCAAGGACAGCCCAGGAATGCCAAGGATGGTCAAAGAATGGCCAAGGAATGTCAAGGACAGCCAAAGATGGCCAAGGACAGCCGAGGACGGCCAAGGACAGCCCAGGAATGCCAAGGATGGTCAAAGAATGGCCAAGGACAGCCCAGGAGCACCAAGAAAAGCAAAGGACAGCAAAGGAAGGCCAAGGAATGTCAAGGACAGCCAAGGATGATGAAGGATCGCCAAGGAAATAAAAGGAAGGCAAAATAAGACCAAAGAACGCCAAAGAAGGCCAAGGACGGCCAAGGAACACCAAGAAAAGCAAAGAATGGCCAAGGAAAGCCAAGGAATGTTGAGGACAGTCAAGGAAGGCCAAAGACTATGAAGCACACCAGCATCCACCAGAAGCTGGAAGAGAGGCTGGAATGACCTTCCTGGAGCCTTCAGTGGGAGCAGGGCACTGTCAGCACCTTGGTCTCAGATTTTAGGCATCTGTGAGGGAGTGGATTTATTGTTTGAAGCCACCCAGTTTGCACTAGTTTGTTAGGCAGCCCTAGGAGATCAGCACACACCTTCCAAATTCATTTTATGCCTAGACTACCAGATGTGTAATACCCACACTTCAGCCTTACTACAGGATTGGAGAAATGTATCTGATTTTCCATAAAACTAGGTGTTTGGTATGCACATACAAAGCAAGTAAAAAACCAAAACAATAGGCACTCCTCCCCCCATGTCTCTAGGACTAGTGGCGACCACCCCCCACCCTCAGGGCCAGGTAGATGAAGAAGCAGGGAGAGCTCAGGGAGCTTCATGTTCCATTGCAGGGTCCCCGCCAGGCCAGCCATGGGGGTCTGTCCTAAGTTGAAACACAGAGACTTCCTCAGAATGCATGGGCCACCTGTGGCTAAACTCCACCTGCAGGATTGAGAACAGAGTTATGAGCCCCCACACTTCAAGTCAGCTCGGAGCAACAGCACCACGGGTCTATGTGGGAGTTGAGCAGTCAGCCAAACATTTATTTACAGCCCCAAAAGGATGGAGGGTGAGCAGCTGTGGTGAGGGCTCTCCCTCAGGGCCCCAGAGTCTCACTCCAGCTTCCTGGTCACCCCGGTCCCAGCAGGAAGGTAAAAGCAAGAGCTGGAATGTGGTTTCCATGGGAAACTTGTTTTAACTTCCTAACACTAACTCAGTTGGTAGTATTTGTAGGAGGACTGTCTGGGACAAGATTCCGTAATATCTAAGTGAGCCACGCAGAGGGAATGTGTGGTGGTGGAACTGGCATGTGTAGGTAAAGGCAGGCTGAGTGGGGAAGAGACGGGACCCTCAAGCTGGCACAGGAGCAGCCGCCTCCCCTGGCGCAGCCAGCGCCCTATTTCCTGGCGGAGCAAGAAGCACCATGGTTGAAAAACCAGAGCTTGCCCGCTCTCTACCTCCAGGACCCAGGGCGAGTGCAGACGCTCTGCAGGGGAAGGCTGGGCTGCTGACTCAGCTGTTCCTCAGGGTGCTGCAGAAATCCAATCAGGGTAATTGGCTCTGAGAGTGGCCAGCTGCCCTGTGCATCCACCTTAGAGATTGCAGCCGGGACATATCGTTTCTGTGAACAGGTCTAAGGACACAGATTAGAATGACAAATTTTGGATGCTGTAATGTGAACATAGCTGCTGTAGGTTTTGTAAACAACAGAAGCTGAAACTGGTCTGCTTCATGAGTAATATTAGATCTTTTCTTCTCTGAAATTCTCAATCCATTACATTGATAAGAATATTATTTCCCCATGTAAAATTTTGTATGGAAAACATATTTACCGTGACACATTTATTATAATAATCTCAAAAAGTACAGAAAGGGTAGTAAAAATCACCCAAATCTCATTCCCAGAATCACAGTCAATGTTTTGGTGAACCTCTTTATACATGAATGCTCAAACAAGTTACAACTACAGCCGCAACCAGTGGGCATTCTATAGAACTATTCTGTTACTTGCTTTCTTAATGCAACCGTATGTAACATACTCATTCCACATCAATGAATATTGGTCCATATTATTATTTCCAATGGATTCATACTATCTCATTGAATTAAGCAGAAGAAAAAGAAACCTATTTAATCAGGCCTGTATTTCTGTATCATTTGCCTACCATAAGCAGTCCTTTTATGACAGCTTTGTGTATAATTTTCACACTTGACAACCAACTCCTTAGGATAAATTTCCAATACTAAGATACTAAGATGCTCCCTCCACTTCTGGATGCACAACTGACCCCCAGCCCAGACATCCAGAGCCGCTCCTTATACTGCTTTGCCCACGGGGCCTCACATCAGCTCATCATGGAAATGCAACACCTGCCTTTACACATGACCACTGGCCTTTGTGCTTCCTCTTTCATAAACTATCTTTATGCTTTTTCCCATTTCCCTCAAAGGCAGCTGTCTTTTTAATGTTGATTAATATAGGTTATGACCTATATTTTGCTATATGAGAAATTTTTTTATTATTTTCATTGTCAACAATTTCTCCAGTTTGTATGTGGCTTTTCTGTTTTGAAGAAAAAATAACTTCTAAAGTATTAGGAGGGAAAGAGAATGATAAAATAATTCTGCCAAACAAAGGAGACACAGGAGCATGGAACAGCTGGGACAGATGGCGGCTTGAAACTGAAGCAGGCCAGCAATTACACTAGACAGAAATGGACTAAAATCTCAAGGTAAGAGACAAAGAATTTTAAACTGGTAGCACATATTCAGCTATATTTTCATAGGAGATGCAACAGAAGCAAAGTCTACATTAAGATGCAGGTGAAAGGACTCAACAAACATAGTAAGCAAAGGTAACCAGACCAAGCCAGCAGAGCCCAGTTAAATGCTGGCAGAACAGACTTGAAAGCAAGTTGTTAAAAGATTCCATTCAGTGAAAAGATAAAGCCATTTTAAAATGAAAGACACTATCAGCAGAGCCTCAAAGGTAGTTCTTTAAAGAGGCACAAAAGAAGAGAGCAAGAACTCTGGGAGGGGCCCTGGGAGCCCGCAGTGGGAGGTCTGGACAAGGGTCAGCCTGCACTGAAACCCGAAGAACTCACATTCTGAGCAGGCGCAAGACGTTTCTAGAAACGCATGTGGTGGACCATGGAACAAGTCTCCACAGACTTCCCACAAATGAACTCATCTGAGGATGTTCTCAGACCACAATACAAATCAGCATAAAAGTGTAAACCCCATACACTTTGTTTTAATAAACACGCTTTTGTAAGATATTTAAAACTGAATGGTAATGAAAAAATAACCTACAAAATTAGGGGAAATGCAGCTGAAACAGAGATTAGAAAGAAATTTAGAGCATGAAATACACATGAAAAGAAGAAAAGCTGGGAACAAAATAATTAACCCACCTCAGAAAGTTATAAACAGAACAGTAAAATAAACAGCAAGAATGTAGAAACTGAAAATAACGAGCAGACATTAAGTAGAAACCAAAAATACAACAGAGTGGATCGCCAAGCTGAAGGTCGCTTAGAAATACAAATGTTACTGACAACCTCTGGTGAGACTTAGGAAAAAACAAAGGCACAGACGAACATTAGAAAAGAGGGTGTCACTGTGAACCCGAGACACTGAAAAATCTTGAAAATACTTGAGCTTCATCTCCATGCCAGTAAAACTCTGAAAGTCTCGGCAAGAGAGTCCAAGTTTTAGAAAAAACACAATCTACAACACTGGCTCAAGAAGAAGGCTGAACGTCCTGTAACTACTCAAGGAGACTTGATCTTAGATACCCACTTTCCCACAACAAACCCAGGCCCAGAAGACTTTCCTGCGAGTTCCACCAGGCAAGAAACAGGAATCCCAATCCTACACCTTCTCTTCCAGAGAACAGAAAATGTGGGCAGTTTCCCAACTCAAAGTGAGCACGGCCCTGACACGAAGACCCAAGGAGGACAGTGTTTAAAGGGGAATTAAAAGCAAGACTTGCCCCTACACTCAGGTCCACCTTGGAACGTGCAGGACTGACTAACGTCACTCACCATGTCAACACGTGTAAAGAAAAGCAGCATGGTAGCCCAACAGATGAAGGACAAGCATGTGGTATATTAGAGACGGTGGGGGTGCATCCGTAGCCCAGGGTGGAGCTTTGGGGCCTCATCTCCACCAGTGGCTCCCCCAGGGGCTGGCCTGGCTCCTGGCTCTGAGTCCTCGCTCCTCCCTTCTCTCCCCCTTCCCCTGGCCCCACCCCTTCACCTCTCCCCATCCCTGGTTATTCTGCATCCACATTTTCAGTTTCCTGGCCTGCTGCTCTTCCCTCTCTGGGCCCTCACGGGGACAGCTCACAGATGTCGCCACAGTTATTTCGAATCCAGGTGGCATCAATGTACTCCATCACATCTGTCTCCATTTTGTTTTCACGCCACTCCAAGAGGGAGCTTCAGCCTCCTTCCACCTCCACCCACCCAACCCAGAGACCTCCTGGATGCCTGCATCCCCTTCTTCCCTCTCCCCCTCCCAGACCTCCCAACTCAGCACCAAGGGCAACATGATTGGACTGTCCCTGCAGCCCGGGAGCATGGCCTCACACGCATGTCTGGGTAGCGTGCCACTGGAATGAACTGGTTCCCACTAGCAGCCGCTCCTGCCTCAGCCTCCCTCCCCACACCGAGGGCTGTGATCATGTCTGCTGGGTAAGGCCTTCTCCTCAAGGTATCTTCCCCAGTGGGGTCCAGGATGATGACCTCTGAACTCTCCCACATCCAAGAATGTCTTCCTCTCAGGATAAGGAATTTAACTTTGGTTATGCATGAAGATTGTGGACAATGTTTCACTCTTCCAGCCTCCAGCATCAAAGACAAAGAGGTGGATACCTGATCGCTGATCACTTTTCCACTACAATTTGTTTTCATCCATGCGCTTAAAAGGTTTTCTTTTTTCTAGACTCTAAAGTTTACAGCTTAATTCTTTTCTTAAACCAGAATATGCCTAGTTGTCTTTTCTCACCAATACTGCTAGGAACTTGGTGAGCCCTGTGATCTGTGGGTTTTTCTTTGGCTTGGGAAATGTGTTTCTGCTGTTTCTGCCTCACCTTCCCTCTCACCATCCCTCTCACCTTCCCTCTCACCTTCCCTCTCGCCTTCCCTCTCGCCTTCCCACTCGCCTTCCCTCTCGCCTTCCCACTCGCCTTCCCTCTCGCCTTCCCTCTCGCCTTCCCTCTCGCCTTCCCACTCGCCTTCCCTCTCGCCTTCCCACTCGCCTTCCCTCTCGCCTTCCCACTCGCCTTCCCTCTCGCCTTCCCACTCGCCTTCCCTCTCGCCTTCCCTCTCACCTTCCGTCTCACCTTCCCTCTTACCTTCCCTCTGCTCTGGTATTTCCTCCTCTGGAATTCCCGTTACTCACAGGCCAGACTCCTGGATCATTCTAGCAAGACTCCTTTCTCTTCCCTCAAAATCTACTTTTATTTTTATGTTACACTACATTATAATCCTTACTCTTTTAAAAACATAGACTGTCCTTAATGTGGCCAGTATGTGACTTTCGATGCCTTCAAACCAGTGCTTAAATTCTTGGGTTTTAAGATCTGACATTTCAACATAGGGACTAGGACGGACGGATAGACCAGCTCTGCAAGCCAGCAACAGGAGAGAGGCTGACCTTCCCATAGGACCAGTTGAGGCCTGGGCACCCTCCTTCACTATGCACCTCAAGACCCACCTTGGCTCTCTGAAGCACAGTTGCATCTGCAAAACAAGAGGCACTTCTCCTTCTCCTTCCCTGCCCCCCGCCCATTCCTGCAGCCCACGTGGCCCCAAGGATAAGAGGAGACACACAGAAGCAGCCGGTAAGGCAGGCAGCGGCCGGCAGGAGGCAGCTCAGGCTCACTGGAGCGGGCACTGCTTCCACTCGCATGTCTACCCATGTCCACGTGGATGTTCACTTCCAAAGCCCAGACTATGAAAGAAACAAACTTACAAATTGTCAGCCTTGACAGCAACACCCTTTATTCAGCACCAGGAATACCCTTCGCACAGAACCAGCGAGCTTCACGTGCTCAGCTTCCCCGCGGAAATGCTCACAGGATGCTGCGGGACCCCCGGCGTGCCACACGCTCTAGTGGTGGTGCTGTCTGAACTGGAGCCCACAGTAACCGCATGTGCCGGTTTTTGTTTCTTTGTCCTGAAAAAATTCAAAAGGAATGATGTCATATTTCCATATTCTACTTCAAATCTAGATATTAAGCATTGAAAATGTATGTATAAAACTTAGACTGTCAGAAACAAAAATACGCAGTTACTACTGAAGTAAGAATGCAGACTGTCGATCTCGGTTCCAGGCTGACCGAAGCCCCTGGCCTCAGGCTCCCACCCCGGGCTACGCAGCCATCCCCTAGGACCCCCAGGGACATCACTGTCAGCCTGCAGCTCCATTCACTCCCCACACCTCAGCGGCCTGGAGCAGGCGGTGGGTGCTGCACACGACAGTGAGGCACAACCAGGCTTGGCCTTCAGGGCTGGAGCCCAGGAGGGGACATGCCGGGTGCCCAGTCCCACTCTAGGCTGCTTAACCATTTATGCCTGTTACACTGTCCCCTTTTCAGGACAGGCAACAAGATAATGACAGCTTTTAATAAATGTCAGCTCTAACGAAGTTAAAGTCCCTTAACCAGGACTCTGCTTTGGGGAGAACACCAAGCCCAGCAGCCGCCTGAGTCCCTGAGTGCTCCACTGTCGGTGGCCTCCCCCTCTCCCTGCACCCCAGGTCAGCAGCCGCCCGAGTCCCTGAGTGATCTGTGGC
The DNA here is from genome assembly GCF_000001405.40 of Homo sapiens. Taxonomy (NCBI): domain Eukaryota; kingdom Metazoa; phylum Chordata; class Mammalia; order Primates; family Hominidae; genus Homo; species Homo sapiens. The sequence continues at coordinate 1,815,232 of NC_000005.10, read as the reverse complement.
AGCCTCCCTCCCACCCTGCACCCCAGTTCCACATCCCAGCTTCAGCCCACGGTCTCTTTCTCCGGTCCTGTGTTCTTTTTTTTCTCAATGGTCCTGTATATGACACTCATCAACAGGCATAAAAGATTACATAGGGATTGTTAGAAAATAAACCGTGTGCCCCCCAAAGTCCTAACCCCCGATGTGACTGTATTTGGAGATGGGGCCTTTAAAGAGGTGATGAAGGTAAACTGAGGTCACATAGGGGCCCTGAGCCAATCTGCCTGGTGCCCTTATAAGAAGAGGGGATGAGGAGTCTCCCACAGAGGGACGGCCCTGTGAAGACACAGGGAGGAGACCTCATCTGCAAGCCCCGGAGCGAGGCCCCAGGAGGAACCCACAGAGCGGCACGGTGGTCTTGGGCTGCAGCCTCCAGCGCTGTGGGAAATGTGTTTGTTGTTTTCGACCCCAGCCTGCGGTGCTGTGTGTGGCAGCCTGAGCTGAGATGATGACCAAACCGAGAAGGGCCCAGAGAGGAAAGACGCTTGGGCGTCCGAGAAGAGAAACATGCCGCCCACCACTTCACAGTTGAAAGGGGGTTTTCGGACAGGCGGCTCTATGTAGGCCCTGTAGTGTGGCGCTGTAGGGTGAATGTGCCAGCAGTGTGAACCCCGTAAGGGCCGCCTCGGGAGCAGGTAGAGAAGAGGACAGAAAGAACAGGCACTGGGAGTGAAGGGGAGTATGAGGACGAGCAGGCTGCCCTAACATGTGCACAGGTGGCCAGCTACGCACCAAGTTTATATACACTTTTGGGTGGCCAAGAGCTCCCCCGCCGCCATCGCACGCTATCACCCGAGTCTCCACCTCGCTCACGGGCTGCTCTGCTATCAAATCAATGGCAAAGTTTTCATTCACCTGGAACAAGAAGAAAGACTTACGTAAACAAATACACAAACTTGCTAACTACATACAATTTAACCCACCACACACAAATTCATGTACCATCAGCACGAATCTATGGTGCATGCTTCATTTAACTATTATCATTGTAGACCTTATTAAATTCAGGGCCTACACACACATCTACTTTTCACTGGAATAAAGTTCCAAACGCGGAGAGGCACTGCAAGAATCCCAGCAGCACAGAGCCTTTCCCTTCTGTCCCCGTGGACCCAGCAAATGCTGACACGTGCCCCGTGGGCTCTGCCACGCCCTCTTCTCCCCACCACATCGTTCTGTCCCACCTGAGGACATTTGTATTGCTCGGGCCTGTCTGTCACAGGCTCCCATGTGCGTTTCATAAGAACATTCTCTCACAGAACCTCCATGCAGTTATCCACCTCAGTAAACATGATACCGATGGAATAGATTTATCTAAAATGCCAAAAATGCCAGTAGCTCTGCAATCCGTTAGACCAACAATGTCCTTCCGGCTTTCCCCTTGGGCCACAGAGGTCCTGAATGCCGGTTAGGTTGTTCCTAAGTGTTTTCTCTTGTTTGCTGCTACCGTACACTGGGTCTCCTCATCCACTGTGTCTTCCACCTGGTCATTTATGACTCATAGGCATGTGCGGGAAAGACTCTGGTAACTTCACGTCCTGCTTGTGTGCTGATGCTTTCAGTTACTATCAAAACGGAATGAAAAAAGTGTCTCCATAATACCGCGATGGGGTGAAGGAGGACACAGGACTACGTGGAGATGCCAGGCAGTGGGTAAGTGGACAGGAAGCTTCCACTCATCCATGTGGGGAATACCAGGGGTCCGCCTACATATTCACTGATTTACATGAAATCCAAAGGAGAAAGCACTGAACAGTTACTACTGTGAGGTGGAAAGGAAGGAGGACGCGAGCACGATCGTTAGACTTTCTTCCAAGTTTTATAAATCTGACTGAGACTATATTTTATATTTTTCAAAGTTAGAAAACTAAACTTTTAAAAGAGACAAATGGACCTAAGGAATTCCCAACACTTTAAGAGAGTAACAGGAACATTTCTAACAGGACACACCTTAAGAATAAAACCGCTTCCAAAGCAAATGAAATTATTATTGAAAAATCAGGATTTTCAGTGTGGGGAAGGAAATAGAGAGGTCAGCTCACTGGTTCAGCAGAAGTCTTGTAACCCTGAACTAAGTTTGGAAGGATCAGTGTGACTCATCCCATGTCTGATGTTCACACACACCCTTTCTTTTCTTTTTTTGAGACAGAGTCTCACTCTGTCGCCCAGGCTGGAATGCAGTGGCGCGATTTTGGCTCACTGCCACCTCCGCCTCCTAGGTTCAACCAATTCTCTGCCTCAGCCTCCCGAGTAGCTGGGATTACAGGCACCCGCCACCACGTCCGACTAATTTTTGTATTTTTAGTAGAGACAGGGTTTCACCATGTTGGTCAGGCTGGTCTCGAACTCCTGACCTTAGGTGATCCGCCCGCCTCGGCCTCCCAAAGTGCTGGGATTACAGACATGAGCCACTGAGCCTGGCCTACACACACCCTTTCTAGCTCCATCCCCAGGACCATGATTAACTCAGGGCAATGAGGACCCCTGCTGCCCACATGGTGGTCTCTAAACACCATTTCACACCGAAGGGAAGGGACTGGATTCTTTCAAAAATGACTGATTCTGGGTCCAGGACAGGAAATGTTATAGAATGAACTTCAGACACTCTACTGTGGCACAAGTCAGGGAAGTTTTTAAGGCAACTAAGGTTGTGTTAAAAGAGGAGTCAACCCGGGGAAATTTGCCACATGGGATAATCTGGGATACAGGGAATTGGAGGGACAAGGGGATTATAACTGCAAAATGTGGAAACACAAATTTTTACACTCATGATTTCATAAACATATTTTAAAAACTCATTAATTACCTTACCAGGTACTATGGTTTGAATGTGCTCCCCCAAAGTTCCTCTGTTGGAAACTGAATAGTCAATGCAACAGTGTTGAGAGACAGGGCGGGGCCTTCAGAGGTACTGAGGTCATGAGGGTTCTGCCTCATGAAGGATTCTGGCTGCCCTCACAGGTGGTGAGCGGGCTCCTGGTAGAAGAAGGAGTTCAGTCCCCTTCATGCACACTCTCCAGTCCTTCCACCTTCCACCCTCACCAGACACAGCCCTCAACCTTGGATTTCCCAGCCTCCAGACTGTAAGAAATAAATCTCTGTTCCTTATAAATTATCCAGTCTCAGGTACTCTGTTATAGCAACACAAAACAAACAGAAACTAGAGAATCAACCCATTAAAGACTGGTAAATATAGGGAAAGAATCAAGTATTTCTTCTGATTTTCCTACAGAAACTTTACCTCAGCACCAAGGTTTCTTTTGATATAAGTATTCAACCTAATAAGATGGATAATATCATTTTACAACCCCTTATGAAATCACAGATGTAAGAGACAATGATCAAAGTCTCTTACTACAACCAGAACCAATTATATTATGTGCCTCCTGATGGACGGATACATCACCTATGTAGCAGTCTCACCAGGAACAAAACACTGACCCTCAATCTGATCAAGTCTTGAGATCCAACTAATTTCAAAACATGCAGAGACAAGAGACATGTTCAACAACACTACAGTGATGCGGTCAGTAGAATCCAGCTGTGGGTGACTCTACAGAGGAAATGACCCAGGTTCTTTAACAAATAAAATTCTCCAATGAGAAAGAGAGTGGGAGACCGATGGGAACCTACAGATTAAAAGAGACATAAGAGACACCAACAGCTGCATGTAGGAACTTACCTGGGCTCGGAGTCACACTGTAACATTTTTAAAAACATGCATGATCAAGAATATTTAACACCACTTAGATATTTAACTTAAAGAAAGTATAATTTTTAAGGTGTGATAATTATATTGTTGTCATGTTAATATATTTTGTTATTTTGTTTTTTTTTTACTTCCCTGTAAGATCTGAATGTTAGTATCTTTTGAAGGTACAGTTAATCCTTGAACAACTCAGGGGTTGGGGGAACCACCCCCAACACAATTGAAAATCTGCATATTATTTTTGACTCCCCCACAATTTACTCATAGCCTGATGCTGACCAGAATGTTTGCCAATAACATAAATGGTCGATTAACATATATTTTGCATGTTACAAGTATTATATATTGGATTCTTATAATAAAGTAAGCTAGAGGAAGAAAATGCAATGAAGGAAATCACAAGGAAGAGAAAATGAACTGACTTTTCATTAAGTGGAAGTGGATCGTCATAAAGGTCTTCATCCTCATCATCTTCACGTAGAGCAGGCTGAGGAGGAGGAAGGGAGGGTTGGTCCTGCTGTCTCAGGGGTGGCAGAGGCGAAAGAGAAGCCACTTAAGTGGACTCACAGTTCACACCTATGTTGTTCAAGGGTCAACTTACATACAGATAAATTTAGACTCAGTAACATGATGTCAAAGATTCACATCAACATTACCAGGGGCTGGGGGGCCGGGGGAGAGGCAGAGCAGAGCTGAGCCAGACTGGCCACTCCGACAACGATTAGCAGAGCTGAGCCGGACTGGCCACTCCGACAACCATTAGAGGAGCTGAGCCAGACTGGCCCCTCCGACAACTACTTCGGTTGGTAATTGTTGAAACTGACTGCCTGGATACATGGGAAAAGGGAATCATTAGACTATTCCCTCTGTTTCACAGAATTTATGTTTTTTAAAAAGCAATTAAAACATCCTGGCTTGGCAAATAATGTATTTGATGATGCTCACGATGGCAAATTTGGGAACTTGGAAAGGGGACATGCCTTGATTTCCTCTGACTCTGTAATGAGCCAGCCCCTTTCAGCTGCCCCTGGGAACAGTCAACGATTAAGTGCCAGGAAGACAAGGCACGAAGAACCGGGAAGCTATGGGAAGTAGAGCGCCGGCATCTGTGCATGTAGAGGGAAGGAACTCAACTCTACACCCCCAGCAGGCCTCTAAGCCCAGGGATGTGGGTCTACCTGCATGTCCCCTCCTGGAGGGCCAGCCCCGCCAAGCATGACACAACCCTCTGCCTCGGATGTTGCTCCTGGGGTTCCCCTGCTTAATGGCACAGCCTGAAACTTTGTGCTCCTTCTACAGCGTCCCCGCCCCAGAGTGGAAGCAGCAACAGGGCTCATCACAAAGTCACTCATTTCTGGAGACTAGAGGCCCATTCAATGCCACACAGTCACAGAGAACACACACGCAGTGGGAGGCAGGGCACCACTCTCCCTCACAGATATGTTTCGGAAAGGTTTATTTTTCAAGAGGTTCTGTCAGTTACAGATGACCATTGTGTAAAGCTTTTCCTTGAAGATCTATTTCCAGAAACACAGTAGGAAGTTAGTGGAAAATGAAGCCACATTAAAGCAGAGGCCTGAGCCGTGTGGCGCCGCCCAGGTTGTTCCACACGCTCCAGCAACACAAGCCTCTGCTGCCGGCCCGGCGGCTCGCCTTGTCGCAGCGCCTTACAGAGGGCTCTGGAGTGAGCGATGTTCTGCTCACCCCTGCTGCAGGCGATGCAACTAACCATACAAATTAAGCCTTATGGTGTAAATAATATGGTGTCTGCCTAAGTGACAACGTGTCACAAAGGCCGCACTAACAAACTGCCAGGCCCCGATCACGGCAGTCAAAGAGACCGGCCACCTCCCTGCAGGGAGGGCTGCTGACGCCTCGACACTGGCGACTGACGCGGGATGCCCTCCCGTCATTTAGTGTGCGCAGCTCAAGGGTGACCCTGACCGCCCATCACCAGCAAACGTCTGGCTCCAGGAGCTCAGTGCAACCGCAGGAATACAAAGAACCAGCAGTGAACACACCCAGCCACGACACAGAGCCCGGCTCCGGGTTCACACGGCCAAGCTCCGGCAGTGAACACACCCAGCCACAACACAAAGCCCCGCTCTGGGTTCAGACTCAAGGCTCCATTCTCACCTGCTTTCACCTGGGGAAAGGTGAGAAAAACTGAAGAGCGCTGCTGCACTTCACGAGGGAATCAAGGGAGAACCGTCACAGCAGCCCGCACGCCATCTCTTGTTAAGCACACGGCACATCATACACAGTGAAGTGTCCAACCTCTGTAAAATGAGTCCCTCGCCCGTCACTAATGTAAAAAATAGGAAACACTCTTTCCATTGACCTCTTGATGATCAAATGATTGGGCATAAAGATATGTAGGTTTAAATCTTTAGGAGTCAAAGTCCTATTGTGTCAAACTGAGATTACATCTATTAAAGATAAAACATAAAATATGTGATTCTGTGACACAGCATCAAAACCAACGCAGAAGGGAAAAGTCCACCAGCTGGATCATCGACACTGTAGAATACCGACCCCATTCATGGACATTTAAAATAAAAGTTTAAAATAAAGTAAAAGCTCAGTTCAATTATTTAGAACATCAGGCATTCTGAACATGAATGCCAATAATTATTTAAGCTAAACGTGTGTATACATGTCTATATAAGTATATAATTCTTAAATCACAGGCAAAACTGAAGTTTTCATTCAAATTAATTTTTAAACTAAGTAACTTTATAGAAAATGCTCTAAAAACCACAATTGAGCTGTCTGTACAACATGTTCAAACTTGCTTTGAGAATGTTGGAATCCAGTGACTAATTTTGCCAGTGCCTTGGAAGAGAAAGAACCACAAGACACAAAGACACAATAGAGAAGCAAAGACGAAGCTGGGGAGCTGCATGAGGGAGGAAATAAAGCCCATCTCGCCAGCTCACAAACAAAGCCACCAGCATGTGAACCTGGGGCTCGTGAATTCACAGTTCCAACTATTTTCCTCTGGGTCCTGGGATAAATAAACCTCACTTTATAACCATTATTTCTGACAGTCCAAGCCTTTCTAAAGGAAGCAAAGACCCACGGTTCTTATCCATCCAGAAGATTTCTTTTAAAATCCGATTGCCTTCACTCCACTATAAAGATGGCGTATTTGGGAGGGAAGCTCAGGAGGAGGAGCATGCAGAAGCGGGAAGCCACACAAAAGCTCTGGAGAGCAGCCATGGCGCACATCGCACCGCCCGCGTCTCAAACACCCCCTAAAGGACGCCCAGGTTGCTTCAAGACAAGAGAGACTCAGGCAAACCTCCCCTCTTAAACCCTCTAAGGATGAACCTGGAAGCAAGCACAGAGCTCCACCTCTGCCACCAACCAGATGACCTGCAAAGGCGGAGGGTGGAATTCCGAGGCCCCTCAATTCAATCTTCCTCTCACGGAGGACCTTCTCAGCCACCACTGTCTGGCTGGGGGCCTCACCCTAGCACCCATCCCCGACTCCCAGTCCTGTCTCCCACCTGGAGCTCCAGCGGCACCACAAGGGCACTTTCACAGCTCCCTCCTGGTGACGCCACCTCTTCCTCCTGCCCCCCAAGTCCTAGGAATAGTGGCTGCTTCCTGCAGCTACTGACCCCTGGGTACCTCAGCACTCCCTCTCAGCTCTCTGGTGGCATCCCTCCTGTGACCAACAGTGTGTGTGTGCACGCACGAGAGCCAACATGGTTCGGGTGGTGCTGCGCTGGCCTCAAGAGATGGCTCAATGTAGACGAAAGATGTCACAAGTTTCTTCCACTGCTGATCCGAGGAGTGCGCTTGTCCTGGGTGATAACACAAGTTACCACCACGGGTGTGCAGAGCCTCTGGAGGTGCCGCGTGGGCCCAGCCTCAGCCTCACTTGCTTCCCCACCCGAGTGTGCCCTGCCCTGCCGGCCTCTTGGGAGAAATAAGAATGAGCGACACCAGCCACAGAAGCCTCAGGGAGGAACCTCTGGTCAATTCCTGCGTGGGCCTGAAGCCACTTCCCTCTTAATTTTTTTTTAATTGTGGTAAAATACACATAACATAAAACTTGCCATCTTTACCATTTCTAAGGACACCACGTATATTCACATTATTGTGCAACCATCACCACCACCCATCTCCAGAACCTTCCACCTTCGTAAACTGAAACTCCATTTCCATTCAACACTAACTCCAAATTCACCCCCCGCCCCCGGCAACCACCAACTACTTGCTACCTCTAAGAAGCGACTGTTCTGGTCCCCCGTATCAGAGGAATCACACAGTGTTCACACAGTACCTCTGAGTACCTCACGCAGTACCTCTGAGTACCTCACGCAGTACCTCTGAGTACCTCACGCAGTACCTCTGAGTACCTCATACAGTACTTCTAAGAAGCGACTGTTCTGGTCCCTCGTGTTAGAGGAATCACGCAGTCTGCTTCTGTGACTGGCTCACTTCACTGAGCGCAACGTCCTCCAGGCTTATCCGTGTTGTGGGGCGTGTCAAGCGTTCTTCCTTAAGGCTGAATAATATTCCACTGTCCATGGACAGATCACATTTTGCTTATCCGTTCAGCTGACAATGGACCCCCAAACTGCTTCCAGATTTGAGTTATAATGAATAATGCTGCTATGACACGAGTGTACCCCGGACCCCGCTTTCAGTTCTTTTGGGCACACGCTCAGAAGTGGAACCGCTGGATTGGATGGAAGTCCTAGTTTCAACTTTTTGAGGAACCCACACGCTGTTTTCCTTCACGGCTGTGCCATTTTACATTCCCAGCAGCAAGGCACAAAGTTTCAGTTGCTCCACGCCGTCACCCACGCTTGTTTTCTGTTTGGAGGGTCTTGGTAGTTTTCCTCTCTCGTGAGCACTACTCAATTATTTCCATTAACGAAATCTACACACTCTTCTCAGAAGGATAAAACTTCACATTATCGCAACAAAACAGCACGCCAGGTAGACATTTGCACCGCGTGCAACTGCTCCTAATCCTGGTGGCACCACGCACCTTGAAGTCTGCTACTGAAGAACTGAGGGCCAGGCAGGTGAGGCCACAGGGTCACAACTGGACTCAACCCTGCCAGCCTAGGTGTCTCAGAAAACGTGCAGAATCTCGCTGACCCAAACGCCCAGCTGTGGGCTGTGCGGGTCAGGGAGTGACTCCGCCCTGCCGAGCATCTGAGGAGAGAATCCATCCCACTGGCGGGCAGATGAAGGCACAAGCTGAAGCCCCCAGCTGTTCCGTGATCCTGACACACACAGGTGGAGAGGGGTGGCACAGAGTCGCACTCAAGGGATCCCAGCCTCCTGATGTTCCGGGTTTGCTGCCTAATTCCTTCTTTTCAAAAACTAAAAGTAAAGACCTTGTGTATAGACACTAACGTTTAACTTCAGTATTTTAAAAAAATCTAAAAGTGAAGCCTGCCCTCATGGTGGTGGCGAAGGCAGCAGCAGAGTAAGGCGAACACACACTAGAGGCTTCCCTGGGACAGGCGCTGCTCCAAGCCTTTCCTCATCTACACGGACTCAGTGCCCACGAGCCTACAAGCTAAGTCACTGAAGCACACAGCCCTCATAAGCCCATCAGCGCAGGAGCCTGAATCCGGATGCGGCCAGGCAGGGCAGCCCCAGCTACTAACCAAAAAAGCAAATGATGTCGCCAAGTACCTGGCTACCAGGCTGTTGTTATTGCTGTTATTATTACCACACCTCACTGCAGACCTCCCCCAGTCATCCCTTCTATTAGGGGACAAGTCATATCTGCTTTTAATTTTACTTGTACGACTATAAAGCAATGAAAATATTTCCATCAACAGCAGAGAAATACCTGGTCACTTCCAAGTTTGTTCCAGTCCCCCATCTGACTTATGTGGCCCCAGAGTGCCACCTGCTCCAGGACCATGTGAGGCCTGACTTCTGGCTGGGGGTGGCTGGCACATTCTTTAGCACGTGAGGAGTCTCCTCACAGGCAGGCCCGTCACAGGCCCAGGGGCCATGGATTCCTTTGAAGGTACCCCCGGTCAAAGCTGGGCAGGAGCCACACAAAGATACTTTCCACTGTTTTTCTGCAAAGACCAGCTCAATTATCTAGCTTCCTGCTATGCTTGTTCTACAGGTGAAGTTCAGATTCAGTTTATTTTTTTCTTTTTTTTCTGGAGATAGAGTCTTGCTCTGTTGCCCAGGCTGGAGTACAATGGCATGATCTCAGCTCCCTGCAGCCTCAACCTCCCAGACTCAATGACCCTCCCACCTCAGCCTCCCACGTTGCTTGAGCTACAGGCATGTGCCACCATGCTAGGCTAATTTTTATATTTTTTGTAGACACAGGGTTTCACCATATTGCCCAGGCTGGTCTTGAACGCCTGGGCTCAAGTGATCAGCCCACCTTGGCCTCCCGAAGTGTTGGGATGACAGGCATAAGCCTACTGTGCCTGGCCCAGTTTACTTCTTAAAGTATTACTTGACAAAACTAGAGGACAGTACGATCAGGGGCTGCCAGGGGTTGGGCAGAGGGAGGGATGAACAGGCAGAGCACAGAGGATTTTTAGGGCAGTGAACTCGGTACAACACTGTCACAGTGAATACATGTCATTACACATCTATCCAAACCCTAGAACATACAACATTAAGAGTGAACCTGTGGACTTGAGTTAGTAATAATGTATGAGTATCAGCTCATCAACTGTGACACAGGCAGCACACTAATGAGAGATGGCAGTAAACAGCAGAAACTGAGCTGGGGGGCTGTGAAAACCCTACTTTCTTCAGTTTTTCTGTAAATCTAAAAGTGTTCCAAAAAATTAAGTCTCTCAGAAGCCAAACAACTACTACTAAAAATAGTACTAAACACCAAATTTGTGTTGAAAGAAGGAAAGCTTGGGCAGGATGCCCACTCATCATGTTATCAACATGCCTTGAACCTCCAAGGTGTGAGGCCAAGACGTGCCCTGGACACTCAGGATGCTGAATGGGGGAAGGCACTGGAGGCTAGGCCGGCTGGAGCGTTGAGGTCACAACCAGGACGCCCTGGGTGAGCTGCCGGTCACAGACACTACTATCACACTATCCCGTACCCACCCCTCACTGGCTTCGCCAATCCTGATTCTGTTTGGTTTAAGTTGTTTCCCACTACCCTATGCTACACCAACCAGAAACCAGAAGCTACACAAAGAATGTTCAGCAGAGAGGCGTTTGTGACAGGGACCCACATACTTGCTTCGTCACTACAAGAGCTGAGATAGGGAGCTGGGCTGGAAGCCAGATTGCATGAATGAGCCCAAGGGCTTCAGGACCAATCTGCTCCAGAACTGCTCAATCTGGGGCTCCTACCTTGCCCCCACGACCGTGCCATAACACCCACAAAGCAAGGATGTAGAGTCCAGCCACTACCTCAGTAACAACCACCCATCGATGCCCAGGAAACCTCCGTCACCACGGTCACTGCCAAAAGAAACCAAAGGGCCTGCGAACCCTCCCCACATCCATCGGTTTCTCCCCTTCTCCACGGTCACCACTAAAAGAAACCATACCGCATCCACACTAAGAGAAACCTCCCCTTCTCCACGATCACTGCCAAAAGAAACCAAAGGGCCTGCAAATCCTTTCAACATCCATCGGTTTCCACCTTCCAAATGTCAAGTTCATATACCTAACAAGAATGCCCAGGACAGCCTGCACACGGAAGAAATGTCCCATTCGCAATGCCATGAGCTCCTTTGTGTGAATCACTGGGATACAGCATTGGAGAATGTGGCACATGGAACAGATGCTTCTACTGGGAATACACTAACAATTCAAACAACAAACAGAAAAGGGTTTCTGAGGATGGAGAGAAAGAGCACTTACCCTATACACCACTTACTCGACAACTGACAGTGTGATATCACTGGAGACTTATGATTCAATTAAAAATATTCACATGGTTCCATTTCACAAATGAGAAAACTGAACCCATGCTGTGATTCAACCTCACAATTTTTAGACTGCAAGTCCACACAGCTTCTACTCCGAGAGGCAAACCCACCAGACACAAGCCCCTCTCCACCACCATGATCCTGGTAGACATCACTAATCAATCATGGCACACTCTTCCACTGAATGTGCATCAGGCCTCAGGATCTTTCTCAACCCAACACTCAAGTGGCATTGCCAAATAATCAACCACTATAAAACAAACTTTTCTGACACCCACCCATCAAACCACACAACAGTGAACCAGCTGAATTTTGAGAATGTGAATTTATAGTCAATTCATGATCATGTGAGCTTTTCTGGAATGCCCTGTAGCTCTGGAATAGACGTACAAAAACTACACACTGGGAATGGATAACGTAACCAAGATTGAAGGAGAAGGGAAAATACATGATTTAGGGATAGCTACGGTGTTAACAAGAAGAACACCAGGCTAACCAAAGTGGGAAAAAGAATGAATAAGGTGGCTGTGAAGGACACTTCACAGCATCCTTCAGGAAGCAAATTCAGGAATCATGGAGGCATGCCTGATCTAATTACGAATTCAGGAGCTCATTGACATGAGTGATAGAGAAGGAGTCAGGTAAAAAAAAAAAATAGGCTGATTTAGGCAGAAGGATTCTAATTTCAACATTCTTTCTCCAGTGGTCACTCACAGGCACCTGAACTGATCTTCCCTTACAATGCATAGAGCTAACAGACCCACTAAGGGAAGAAAAACTCATGTGCCATTTTCAGCTTGTCAGTGTAAGTCCCTGTAAAAAACACACACTAATTTATTTGGTGAAAACTATAAAAAACACACCTCCAGGTGGTTAAAAGAATAATTTTTTTAAAGTTGATATGATTTACTTAAATCTGAGAGTCTCAGGAGAATAAGGGACAAGAATTTTAAAAAAGATCACTTCCATTTATATGCAAACCAGAACTACGGCTACAATGTTATGTATTTCAGGGGGAAACAAGTCAGAAATAGACACAATTAAGATTTTAAGAAAGGAAGAACCCCATCCAGAACTGTTAGGGTGCTTGCAATATGGGGAAAATTTATTTAAATCTTATATATTAATTTTTATTTCTTGTTGGTTACATAAAAGTTTTAGGAAAGCTTACCTCTCTTCACTAGATTTTTTACTCACCTCTTTCTGACGACCTACAAACCGAATTCTCCTGTAGTCTTTATCATCATAAACCTGGAAAAAAACAAAAAGACCATGTGTGACTTTTACGGCCTAATTCTGAAAGTCACTTCATATCAATCATAAATATTACAGGAAAGTGTTTTTCTTAACTTTTAGGCCATTGATGAAAAGTCAAACAAGTGCACAGTACTCGGTGTAATCAGGGGCATTTTTAGCGAGATACCTGGGATGAAAACGGGTGGTCACCTGGATCAGAGAGCAGCACAGAGACATAGCCCGGGAAGGTGGAGCTAAGGAGGAGAGACAAATCCTGACCGAGGAGAACCGCCCCCAACCTTCTTTGGCATATGGCCTGAGAGCTTTACTATCCCCCCATTAAATCTACTAGGGCACATTCCAGTATACACAGGTACCTTTGTTCTTCATTTTGGCTTAGGGCTTTTTTGTGCCTTGGACTACAACCGACTTCTCAGGTTACTAAAATTTATTATTGAATATTACACAAATTCTAAACGTTCTGACCCAAATAATCGGCTGCCACAAATCGCCTATGGGCAGCCAGTCCACAGCAAGTGCTGCCCGCTGGGGAGACTTCCCGTTCCAGAGCCCGCAGGCCCTGGAAGGACGAGACCCACCGCTACAGGCTGCCACCACCGTCCCGACTCGCGGGCGTCCTCCCCGGCGCGTGAGCGACAGCACAACCTTACCACGACCTGCGCTGCCGGCGCAGAACCAGGGCCGCGGATGCCCGGCGAGCCCACTGCCACCAGTCGCCCGAGGTGCGGCTGGAGGAAGGTGCATCCTGTACCCAGCGGCCGTTACCTGGCCAGTGTGCGTGACCTTCTCCCCGGTCGGCGAGACCCGCACCCCGAAACACCTGGCGCCCAGGGGCAGGCTCCGCGCCGCCTCGCCACACCGGTTCAGCAGCCGGCAGAAGGTCATCGCCGCCGCCATTTTGCGCCGCTGGCCTTTGACCCGGCGCAACGTCCCGCTTAGCGCTAACGCATGCGCACGGCTTCTGGCGGCGCCAAACACCCGGTATTTATTTCGCCCTGGGGGCGGGGAGCGCGGGTCGGGGCAGAGGGTGCGCCGGAGCTGCTCTCTGATTCAGGTGGTCACCCGTTTTCATCCCAGGTATCTCGCTAAAAATGCCCCTGATTACACCGAGTACTGTGCGCTTGTTTGACTTTTCATCAATGGCCTAAAAGTTAAGCGGCCCCGTTGCGCCGGCAGGTGCAGCCTCATGCAGTTGCAGCCGCAGGCTAGAGCTAGGGCCCTGATGAGGCAGGCAATGGTGTGCGAAACCTTCAGCGATTAGGAGTACCCAGTGGTTCTTATTTAGCGGACAGGCAGGGGAGGATGTAAACTGAAAATACATTGTTTATATTCTTATGGTAACCGATAATCATGAGACATTTAAATATCAAAATTATTGGGTGAAGGAGTCAACTGCTTAGCAGACGAGACTGGAAGTGCATTCTCCTCGTTCAAGGCAAGCGTTCCTGTGTGTGGTTACGGGGAGCCGCAGAGGAAACGTATATTGGGGATTTCTGCAACAAAGCCTAGTACACCGACTGATTTTACAGCATGCAAATACAGCCTCTAAAAAGGCCCGTTTTGCTTAGAGTTGACTTGGGTATAAATCCCAGCTTAAGCTCCAGCATCCAGCTTTTCTTTTGCTGTGGTCAGAGCCTGAGGACCACGTGACTCCAAGAACAAAACACTAGAGATGGATGAGTGGCGGGGAAGATGATAAAGAGGAGGAAAGGCATGAGAAACAAGAATGCACATGAAAACCTCCGGTCCCAAAGATGTCCCAGCAAACGTGGTGGTCAGAGGCAGATTTGTCCTGGAGCTGATAAACTCCAGCGGCCCGCCCGGTGTTCGCCGGGTCAGGTGGAAAAAGTGGGCGCTGCGATGAAGCGTTGGGGCCTGCAGGGAGCGCGGAGTGGACGCAGCCACGTCTGCAACTCACCCGGACACACACAAAAAGGAAGGCGAATGGAGTTACGGGTAGATACCTGAAAAGGCAGGGATAAGCGAGCTAAGGGTAGAATCTAGGTGGCAAGTATATGGGTGTTCACCGTACAGTTCTTTCCCTTTTTCTCTATGTCCGAAGTTTTTCATAATGTTGGGGAAAACAGCCGTAACCAGTTGAAACTACTGCCCGTCTCCACTCGTTTCCCGGAGCCTGTTTACATTTCTCCTGTCCACTTAAAAACATGTCCTCTTTCTCAGTTTGTTTTGACATTGGTATTTGCCAGTTTTTTCTAAGGCCTAAGTGGTTGTAATTTCTTTTTCGTTGCGGATATCCATTTTCGTTCCTGGTTTTTGCATTTTTTTTCCCGAGAGCGCTCCAAACAGCACGACGATCCCGGTGGCCCGCAGAGTGCGCGCAGTCGGGGAGTGATACGTCGCACTCCAGCGCCTGCGCACTCGCTGCTGCGTCTCTGCGCCCCGCACTGGACGTGGGCACGCCACGTGACCCCCCCCCCCGCCGCCATCTTCCTTCCTGGCAGCAGCGTCCGCGTGCCAGTGCGCAGACGCAGGGGTCGGCGCCGGGTGAGAGCGTGCGGCCGGGTAAGGGAGCCGTCTTCTCAGGTCAGGGGTCCCGGGTGTCTTGAGAGTGGGGGCTGCGAGAGGGTGGGGCCGGCCACCTTGGGACCCTCGGGCGTGTCTCCCCGAGTGGGCTGCGGTCAGAGGAGCGTGGGCCGGGGCCTGGCGGTCTCAGAGGGCCAGGGTTGGGGGGTGCGGGTCCGACCGTGGGCGCCCGACCTGGCGACAGGAGGGGGTGTCCAGCGACCCCGGGGCGGGAGAACTGGCGGCTCCCGAACGCGACCTCACAGCCCGCGCGCAGGGCCGGCTCCGGTGCCGCAGTGTCCTCCGGGCCCTGCAGGCCCAGCTCTTCCCAGCCGGGGCCGCTGAACCCTAAGGGCCGGGGCGCGTGGGGAAGCAGGGGCGGGCGACCGGGGTGCCAGAGTTCCGTGCTCTTCCGGAGCGGGGGCCTGTCCCGAAACTGGCCCGAGGGAGGGCCCCTGGGTCTGGGAAGAGTTGGAGGGAGGAGCTCATCAGTTGAACCGTCCTTGACCTGGTGTCTGTTTGGAAAGGGATGCGGCCTAAGTTTAAGCTCCCTCCCAGCCAAGTGAGCGGCTCCTCAACATCGCAGGGCTTTGCACACTCACCTACACTTGCAGCAGGCGGGAAAGGGAAGGAAGCCACCGTCCACTGCCCCTTATTCTCCTGGCACACTTGGCTGATTAAGGCAGTGTTCAAGCTCAGGTCGAGGCTGCAGCTGGTATGGGAACACCCTCAGTCCCCGAGGTCCCTGCCTTCCCAAGCCTCAGTGAAACAGAGAAAAGGAAGCCTTAAAGAGCAGGTGGAAGTGCAGGAGAAGCTATAACTCCTTTTTTTCTCTCTCCCATAGATTCACCACAACATGGCAAATCTTTTTATAAGGAAAATGGTGAACCCTCTGCTCTATCTCAGTCGTCACACGGTGAAGCCTCGAGCCCTCTCCACATTTCTATTTGGATCCATTCGAGGTGCAGCCCCCGTGGCTGTGGAACCCGGGGCAGCAGTGCGCTCACTTCTCTCACCCGGCCTCCTGCCCCATCTGCTGCCTGCGCTGGGGTTCAAAAACAAGACTGTCCTTAAGAAGCGCTGCAAGGACTGTTACCTGGTGAAGAGGCGGGGTCGGTGGTACGTCTACTGTAAAACCCATCCGAGGCACAAGCAGAGACAGATGTAGACCCTTTCCCTCCAGAGTCACGCACATACTCGTCATCGCATCACTTGGGAGAATGGTTGTATCTTATGGAAGGAATTATCACATCAAGGAGTCAGGGGAAAGTGACTGGAAGCAAACGCCCTAAAAGTTACCCATCACGTTTCAGTGTAAATGAGTAACTATAGAAGACATTGCGTTATCTTATTTCCAAAACGTTCCAACTAAAAAACATTTTCCTATTAAAATAGACCTTCCGAATAGCTTAGTTCATTCATTCTCTCTGAACTCAGGCTGCAGGTAGGGATTGGATGGTGCTGGGTGAGGCTGGGCAGGACTTCTCTATGTCTCCGTGAGGCTGCTTAGAGCCTCTTGGAAGAAGTGGTGTTTTGGTCACCCGTCGCTGTACAAGCCAAGGCTTGGTGGCTTAAATCAGCCATTTTACATTGTTCACGATTTTGTGAGGCATTTGGGATGGGCTCAGCTGAGCAGTTTGTCTGATCTGTGTGGCATTAACTGCAGGACCCACTTCCAAGATGGCACCGGCTCTCCTGTCTGGGGTCTCAGTGCTCCTCAGGCTGTACGTAGCACCTCCTCAGGCAGGGCCCACAGCGTGGCTTGCACTGCCCCACAGTGAGCTTCCCGAGAGTGTCCCGAGAGACCCAAGCAGATGCTACGAGGCTTCCTATGACCCAGCCTCAGAAATTCCAGCGTGTCATTTCTACCGCACTCTTTCAGTCCCTAGGGTGAGCCCAGATTCAGGGGGAGGCAAGGAGCTCCCCTTGCTAGAGGATGACCACACCTACAACTGGTAAGGACTTGGAGGGATGGAGTGGGCTGGTCCTTCCCTGGTCATCGGGATTCATAGTTGAGTGAGCCCCATGCCTTGGGGGAGCACTGTCATCAACATGAATTTGGGGGTGGGGAGCACAGTCCAACCCAGAGCAGATGCTGAGATGCGACAGCCTTCTCACGGCTCCTTTCCTCCTGGCCAGGGACACCTCCCCTTCTCCCAGAAAGGAGTTTTGTGAGACAGGAGACCACGCAAGAAGCCTAGCGCGGGGGGAGCGCCCTCCTGCCCAGATCAGCAGCAGGGGCGCAGCAGGGTCACCCAGAAAGGCCTGGTGGGGCGGCAGAGGGGGCAGCATGGCCACATGAGGGCCAAAGCTCCTCCCCAGCACCCACATCACTTCTCCAGGGGGAGCAGACGCCGGTGTGTGTTGCTGTGAACTCTGTGCTGTGCCCATTCACCCTCACAAAGGGCCTCTGCAAGCAGCTTGACATGGGCATTGCAGCCCGCAGGCGTCTGGCCAGTTGAAGAAGGTGGAGAGCGTTATTACCTGAAAGAAAAGGGAACCAGCTCTGCGAAGAGCCTGCTTCTGTTGTGCAGTGAAAGGGAAGCCCTCTCTCGAGCCGTTCTTAAGTGAGGAGTTGATGCACTAGAGTGTCTGTCACGGGGGCCCCTGAAAGTGTCAGAAGCCAGACCCCACTAGGAGACCTGTTATGCACTGGGGCTGAGAATAGTTCAGCAAGAGAGAGGACTTTCCTCAAGCGTGTGTGTGTGCGTGCATGTGTGTATATGGCACGTGTGTGTGCATGCATGAGTGTGTCCACATATATACGCGTGTGTCTGCATACACTACCTGAACAGGCAGTGTGGGAGGGTGTGATGGGTCAGTGGCACCGCTGTAGTGACCCTCAGCAGACTGCAACCTTCAGCCAGCGTGTGCTGTCCATGTCTCTGATCTCTCACGGGGTGGGTGATGTGGTTTTGAGAACCACAGGGTCCTGACAGCCCCCAGCATGGCTTGCTGATGCTTCCCGAGCACCCTTAGCCTGGGCCCTGGGGTGAGGAGGAGAAGAGGTGCTGCTGCCCTCACACCCTTACTGCGTAGGAGCGTGTGAAACAGGCTGGTGAGTGCTGTGTGTGAAGCATGCCAGGCCCTCCAAGGCAAGAGGTCAAGGATGCTCCCTGCAGGGGATGACGGCCAAGCTGAAACTTTGGTTGCAGGGGAGGCAACCCGAGGAGGGGCCTGAGGCTGGGCACGGGCAGGGGGCATCCAAGCCATCCTGCGTGGATGAAAACTGGGTGTGTTTCTGCAGTACGCAGTGCTCTGGGGGGAGACCTGACCACCGGCTGCATGCCTGCAGTTGGGTGTGATGTGCTTACGTGCCATGCAAACGTGGGCACACAGTCGTGGCCTCTTGACAATTGCACAGACAAATCCCCAGCAAGGCAGCGTGGCACAGGAGCCAACAGGAAGGAATAAAGAAGGCATGGATTTCATGGCACGCTTGATCCAACGGGGAAAGGTGGGATTCTGCTAATTTTGCTTGAGTAGAAATCTAAGGCTGATAATTACCTATCCAGGCTTCAGTCCAGAATAAGTGATTAATAAAAGAATTCTGCAGAACCAGGCCAGGAATCCTGGGCATCGGCACTGTGGACATCTGGGGCTGGGTTGTGCTCCGGGCCCATCCTGGGCACTGCCGGGTGTTCAGCATCCCTGGGCTCCACCACAAGATGTCGGGAGCACCCCACACACAAGCAGGGCCAACCAAAAGTGCCCCAGACACTGTCAAGCACTCCCTGGGGGGCAACACGTTTCCCCATCAATGAACCAGGGTTGCTGCCGCCTGCCATGACGAGGGCTGGGATGCAGGTGCACCACTGGGAGGTGATCTCGGAAGTCAGGATGGGGAGTGGGGATGTGAGTCAGGGAGGGAGAGGAGCTTCCAGGGCACAGAACCAGAGCGACACCGGGTGCCACCTTGTTGTGTCCCCTGAGCTCTGGCGGAATGGACCTTGGTGTCCTGTAGGGGATGAGGACTGGGGGGGGGGGGGCGTTTATCCACAGATGCTCGTCACTGGTGGTTGAGGGTGACCGTGTGGGGACTTAAATCCCAGGCACTTCCAAGCCACCCAAAGGTGGGCTGAGCAGGTCCTCATGGGCACAGAGAAAGGCGACTGCAGAGAGAGGAGGAGTGGGCACGTGGGCCGGCAGGGTCATCCTGTCAGGAGCTGTCCCTGCACTCGCGAGACCTACGGGTGGCCTGGGGCCCTGCCAGATGCCAGCCCTGTCTTGCCAATGTCCTCCCTGTCTCCTGAAGGTGTGGTGCCAATGAACTGAAAGACGGATTGAAAATACTGTGAGAAGTTAGAAGTGCTATTCAGGTGTACGTTATTAGGTTATTCTCTGAGGGACTTTTAAAGTAAGATCAACTGGGGACAGCAGTGCAAGTGAAGGAAGAGTAAATGATGCCCAGATGGAGAGAAGAACATAGGAGCTGTCTATGCATTTCCAGAAGGAGGCGAGGTGCTCTGTGGGACGCTGTCATGTTTGTATCCACCTAGGAGGCTACTCACGGACCAGGTCTAACTGATGGACCACCCACCTGGCAGCGTCGCTGTCACTCACCCAGGAGAGTGGGAGGCGAGACCGGCACTCCCAGGGTCCAGGTCTCCTTCCTGTGCCGGACCGGTGGGGGCTGGGGCTTCCCTGCCTCCCTGCGAGTGGGCATGGCTGTGAGACCTGCTGTGGCCTATGAGGCTGGCTGAGGGTCACCAGCAGGGTCTCCGAGCAGAGGTGATGTGCTGCTTTGTGGCGGAAGCACTCCACGCGGTGCATTCGTTCTTCCCCCAGCGATGGTGGAAGTGATCGGGAGGTGGAAGAGCCGGTGGAAGAGTGTTGATCCTGTCCATTCCTCAGTGTCCAGCCTCCGGCAAGAAGCTTCCATGGAAGCCTCGTGTTTAAAAGGGGGCAGGCGCGACCCAGCCCTCCCACAGGGTTCTGGGAACCCAGAGAGCTGGGTGCTGTGGTCTCAATGTTTGTGTCGCCAAAAATTCCTGTGTTGAAACCTAATCCCCCGTGGGAGTGCTTTGGAACGGGGCCTTCAGGAGGTGACTCAGTCCTGCTCCAGGGCCTTGTGATGGGGTTTGGGCCTGAGAAAAGGGAGTCCAGAGAGCCAGCTCGCCCCATCCACCATGTGAGGAGGAGCCCTGTCTGTGAGCCAGGAAGCCCCACCAGACACGGAAGCTGCCGGCGCCTTGATGCTGGACTTCAGCCTCCAGATCTGTGAGAAACCAGTTTCTTGTCTGTAAGCCGTTGGTGGAATTTTGTTATTGCAGCCCGGACAGATGAGCATGCTGCGTGGAGGCAGAGCCTGCTTCCCAGCCGTGTTTGTGTCCGTACGTCTCCCACCAGCCCAGCCTGCAGCGGGCACTCGGCCAGCGAAGGCAGACCAGCACCTCCGTGCCTGCTCATGAGAGGAGGCCCGCCTCCTGCTTGCTCACCCCTTTTAAGGCCAAGCTCCCATTTTGCTCTGTGGACTTTGCTGAACGGTCCTGCCCAAGAGAACCCTCAGCACCTCTGGCACTGGAGTGTGGGACAAGTTTGACACTGGATTTTTCTAGAAATACACGTTCAGCGAAGGGCAGATGTGAAGTCAGTGGTCACACAGGCTCCTGGTAACCACAGAGCCCTGCAACAAATGGTAACCAAGCAGCCCTAGGGCAAACGGCGTGGCTCGCCACAAGCCATCTCGAAACTCAACGCCAAGACATATTTCTGAATATTAAATATGCAAAAAAAAGTTGTACAACCGTGTGCAAAATACGTTTCCATTTAAGTAAAAAACATAAATCTAAGCACGTTTTTCGAAGCCACCGTATTTAGGTAACTTTGTAAGAAAAGTTCTGCAGCAACACACTGCAAGACAGTGGTTGTTTTTACTTCTCAAGGAGAGGGGAGAACAGACAGGTGGGAGTGAAATGTGAGGTTCCCTTTCTGTGGGTTTTAATTTTGTTGAGGAGTTGTGTTTATATCTTACTTTTATATTGATACCTAGAAAAACATAAAAATTCGTCAACAATATGCTTTGCCAAAATAATCTGAGCAATGAAACAACTGTCAAGGAAAAGTGAAGTCCCTGCCCACCCACTCCACGCCCTCCCGTTTGCCAGTCAGGCTCAGCCCCTTCTCTGGGGCTTCCTTCCCATCGCAGCCACTCACCATTTTTTCCGCTTACTCAGATTGACCATGTGTCTCCCACACACAGAGATGATTCTCAGCCCCATGGAGCTCGTTTCCAGGCCTTGGAGAAGAGGAGCTGAGGGCCCCGCCAGGAAGCTCTGGGCAGAGGCTTGTGCCCAGGAAGAGCCCAGCCTCAGGGCCCTGCTCTCCAGCTGGGGCTGCAGCTGCCTTCCTTTCCCATCTTGCTGGTGTTAAACAGAGTTCATGGGAATTACTGAGCTGGATTCCAGCGCTTCCTGCCAGGAGGCAGCTCCCCTGGGAAACCTCCTGCCCCCCAACCCGAGATGGCTGCACGGTTGCTTCTCCCGCAGCTGGCTGCTGCGTTCATTCTCTTTTTCTTCCTTTTGGGACTGCAGGCTCACCAGCTCACCCAGCACATAACCCGGTAAATACTTGAACTAGTATCACCTGTTGCTGAGCATGTCTTTAATCTTAAAAGGATGGAGTGGAATCCACGTTCTGCCTCATTACCACGTTGGCGTGTCTGAGCTTCAGTGTGGCCAACTGCATCAAATGATGGTCTCCTCCACAAGTCCATGGCTGGGCCACTGCCAGTTGTTGTTGATAAAGTTTTATTGGCACACGCCCCCTCGCTCATTTATGCATCCTGTGGTCTGTGTGTGTTTCCTGCTGCCACAGCAGAGTTGAGTCATTGCCTCAGAGCACAGAAAGGTTTTGCTCTCGGGCTCTTTGCAGAAAGCATTTACCAACCCACTTCTATTCTAGGACATTCACCGCAGCAAGTGAACCCTCTGCCATCAGAGCTATGCTGTGTGCAGCTGTGTGTGAGCAAGGGTAATTCCACTCTGAAAGCCGTGTGTGCAGAGATTTGGGGAGCCCTGAGACTCTCATTTCTGCTCTAAAGACCTTTGAACAACCGTTACTTATTTTTAAAAGTCAAAAAGTTTAACTAGGCCAGGCACAGTGGCTCATGCCTGTAATCCCAGCACTTTGGGAGGCCAAGGCGTGGGGGTTCACTTGAGGTTAGGCGTTGGAGATCAGCCTGGCCAACATGGTGAAACCTTTTCTCTACTAAAAATACAAAAAAAAAAAAAAATCAGCCGGTCATGGTGGTGGGCACCTGTAATCCCAGCTACTCAGGAGGCTGAGGTGGGAGAATTGCTTGAAACCAGGAAGTGGAGGTTGCAGTGAGCCAAGATCACACCACTGCACTCTAGCCTGTAGGACAGAGCAAAATTCGGTCTCAAAAAAAACAAAAACAAAAGGATAAATAAAAAGAAGATTTAGAGAAGATGCCATAGTCTCTCCTTCCTCCCTATTGGGAGCAACACTCGTATGTTCACATCACATCACACCTTGCACATGTGCACGTGTTCTGCACATGTGTCTTGGACTGCCTGGACGCAGTCCCAGGCAGGATGACACTCTCCTTCCCTTCATTACTCAAATTATTTTTGACTTGTGTTGTTGCAAAATTTAAATCTTGAAAGAATGTGCTCTCCCTAAATTTAAGGTGTAAAACCCTAAGAACTCAGGGAATCAGTTTTCATATAAAAGTACTTTGGAAAAAACTGTGACAGATACTATTTATTTATTATTGTTTTTCTAATTATACCAAATATAGCAATTCTCTTTGGCTTTTGTTGAGTAAGTGGCTGGGTGAGAAACAAATTGTATAATATTTTATTATTGTGCATTACATGCCTGTCGGCTTTAGAAAGACACCTCTCTTGTTCATCCCAGATGAAGACAAATTTAAGATTGAAAAGTGGGGAAAGGCCAGGCACAGTGGCTCATCCCTGTAATCCCAGCACTTTGGGAGGCTGAGGCAGGAGGATTGCTTGAACCCAGACATTCAAGGCCAGCCTGAGCAACATGGTGAAACCCTGTCTCTACAAAAATACCAAAATTAGCCGGGCATGGCGGTGCACCTCTGTGGTCTTAGCTACTTGGGAGGCTGAGTTGGGAAGATCATCTGAGCCTGGGAGGTTGAGGCTGCAGTGAGCCATGATCGTGCCATTCCACTCCAGCCTGGGGGACAGAGTGAAACTATCTCCAAAAACAAAAAAAAAAAGGGGGGGGAAATTTATTTTGTTAATTACACTTCAAGTATACTTCTTTAGAGGATAAGATGATTTAAAAAGGAATGAAGTGATATGTTAGTTGCTTGTGACTGCCATAAAAAATTACTACAAACTGTAACATAAGAAATGTATTCTCTCACAGCTCTGGAGGCCAGGTGTCCAACATCCAGGTGTGGGCCAGGCAGTGCTTCCTCCAAAGACTCCAGGGGCGGATTCCTCCTGCCTCTTCCAGCTTCTGTGGCCCCAGGTCATTCTGGGCTCTGGCCACAGGGCTCCAACCTCTGCCTCTGTCTTCGTAAGGCCTTCTCCTCTGTTCTGGGATCTGTGCCTTCTCCTCTTCTTAGAAGGACACCCGTCATTGCTTTAGGGCCCACCCTAATCCAGGATAATTTCATCTGGAAATTCTTAATTACATCTACAAAGACTCTATTTCCAAATAGGATCACATTTCGAGGTTTCAGGTAGACAGGAATTTTGCGGGGGCTGCTAGTCAACCCACTACAGTGGTATAGAATGTTTTTGAAAATAATTTTAATTTAAATTAGTATTACTAGATAATGTGTTCACATGGTTCAAAATGCAAAAGACACCTGAGTTGAAGTTCTCTCCCGAATGCGAGACCCAGTTTCTCTCCCTAGAAGCCAGCAGGATTATTGGCTCCTGCAGGACCTCTGGGCTCTATCCTGTGAGTCTCTAAACAAATGCCTATAATTCTTGTTTCTTTCCTGTCTTGTGCACCGTCTTGCAACCTGAGGCTGCATCTGGACAGCAGCTCCTGCCGGTGACCCAGGGGCATCCCCATTCTTCCCCCAGGTGGCTGCATCCTTCATTTTCTGAAGATGGTTTAGGATATGGTGAGCATTATTTATGACTGAGGGTGTTTTTCAGCATTTATGCACAATTTTATCTTTTCTCACTCCTCTTTTTGACTTTTAAAGCATTTTCCCCCTATTTTATAATTAGTGGTCATGATTCCCAATTAGAGGTTAATTGTTTTTTTCTCCCAGTTCCCACTTGTCATTTCCTATTTAAAATGCATGGAAGAAATGAGGAATGCATACAACAAAGAAAGCTGTTTTGCATTGCATGAGAAATTGACTCTGGCTGTGTCAGTGTTCAGAAACATGCTGTCAGGAAGCCAGCCCCGGGAGTCTTAGGACCCACCCAAGCAGCTCCCCAGGGTGGAAATGAGAATTGCTTCCCCTGGCTGGCCACCACTAAAGATTCATTGTCTTTTCCTCAGAAAGCGATGCATGTTTTTCCTTACAGAGTGATGCTGTTAGTCAACACAGGATGAATTGCTACCCAGAAATCCTGGCGGCCTGTCTGCCGTCTCTCAGGAAGTCTGGAGGCACGCTTTCTCCTAAGGTTTCTGTCGAAAGCATAATGGTTCTTTCAGTGGTTGAGAATGCAGTCACCTATTCCAAAATTGTCATCGATTTCTTATGTATAATTTTTATCAGTTTAAGTAACTAGCATGCTGTTTGAGATAGGATAAAGGCATTTCCTGTGGTCAGTGAATCAAACTCTAAGTCTTTACTCATCCAGCCAAGTGTTTATTAAGCTGTTATCTTGAATCACGCACTGTGCCAAATGCATGGTATGTATATAGATTCACGTATTAGGAGAGTCCTGCCTGATCATCCAAAGATGAACAGCTGGTTATAAATTGTGTCCACTTCAAACGAGAAGGGATGAAAATAGCAGTGTTACTGGTGGAGGGTGCCCAGGTTCTTGGTGTCTTGAACAAAGAATTGGACAAACAAAGCAAGGAAAGAATGAAGCAACAAAAGCAGAGATTTATTGAAAATGAAAGTACACCCCACATGATGGAAACAGGCCTGAGCAAGCGCTGGAGAGCCCAGTTACAGAATTTTCTGGGGTTTAAATACCCTCTAGTGGTTTCCCATTGGTTACTTGGTGTACACCCTATGTAAATGAAGTAGTGGCCCATGATCTGTCTGACTGGTTGTGGGAGGGGACCAATCAGAGGCTGAAGCAAAGTTGCAAAGTTACAAAGTTATACCCTATGCAAACGTCTGATTGGTTGTGGAAGGTGACCAATCAGAGGCCGAAGTGAAGTTACAGCATTATACTCCTATGCAAATGAAGACTTAGCCCTAGACCAGCCTGATTGGTTGCAGGAGGGGACTAATCAGAGGTATTTTCAATTTTTCATCTGCCACTCAGAAAAAAGGGAGAGGGGTTGCAAAGAGAGTAGCCTCTGGTCCTTTGGTTATTTGGGCATGGAAAGTTGGGGTTTTCCTTTTGATTTAGTTCTAGGAAGTCAGCGTGAATCAGCCTTAGGTTCCCCGCCTCCAGACCCTCTTCTCCTGCCTCAGCCGTGGTTTAAACCAAACATGCAGCGTATTGTCTGCCTACCTCAAGGAAGGCCGTCCAAAGGCTCTCTGGGCGGCTAGGACATCTCTGTGTTTGGACTTCCCGGTCTCTTTCTTCCCTTCTCCCTCACCAGCCAACCCTGGTGCTTACTTTCCATCCTTATGACAAACTCCTGGCACGATAGGGTGGCCAGTGCTCTAGCGGTTACTCCCAACCTTGCAGGCAGTCAGACGCCGAAGAGCTGGAGGACAAAGGAAACACCCGCTGCCCCTACTCCTCTCATCCTTCTAGGCAGCTCTCCCGGCGTCACCTGGACATTGCTTTCATCAGAGGCTGCTTTGAGGAAAGGAGGGGGGTCGCTCTTAGCTGTTGGCAGCTGGATCCGTCGGTTCTGGTGCTCTGTGGCCAGAACCTTTGAACCTTCTCATAGGACTTGCAGTAAAACTTGCTTACGAAGAACTGCACATGGTAAGATTCCAATAATTATTGTTAGATTTTCTAATGCTTTTCATTGGAAGGCTTTTATTAACAAATGGCTTTCAGCTCTCAATACCATCAGAATTTAATTTGGATTTTTTACTTTTACTATTTTGAAATGCAAATTTTGCTGTTCGCTTTAGTATTTATCGTAGCTGCTGAGTTCACAGGTATCACCCAGGCTACCGTGAAGTTGCGCCTCCCACCACAAAATGTAATCTCTGTCTCTACTCACAGAGAAGGCAGCCCTTGTCATGGTCAGGTGCTAATGGCTCACAGTCTGGAGGTGTTGCTATGAATATTGTTTGATGTTTCCCAAGTCTCAGCCACAGGAACCCCACAGGAGCCACACGTGCCTGGGTGCCCTCCAGGACCTGGGTAATGGTCACACCAGCATTTACACGGGGCCCACTCACGAGGCATTGCTCAGGGTGTATTCATCAATTCAATCCTCAAAGTGACTCCAGGAGGCGGATGTCACCCGTACTCCCACTTTACAGATGAAAGCAGTGAAGTGATTTTCCCCAGGTCACCCCATCTGCAAGTGGAGGAGCCCCCGTCAGCCAGTGATTGGATCTGCCCCCCCATCTCAAATCCACTGCATTGCACCACACCATCTCCCCACCAAGTGTACCACCCCAGGGCGGGTGGAGGGGGGACACCCCCGTTAAGCTGATGGGGACCCCTGGGGGATGAGATGCAGAGAAAGAGACAGAGACAGAGATAGGCATAGAGACATATAGATACAGAGAATGAGATGGAGACAGAGAAACAAAGACAGAGATAGATAGAAATGGAGACAGAAAAAGAGCAGGAGGGGAGGGAGGAGGGAAGACAGGATGAGGTTGCCACAGCTCCCGGGCCACAGGGTGTCAGGGAGACACTGAAGGCAGGTGCTGGGCACGTGGGTAAAGGCCATTTGGTCCACCGGAAGGCACTCCTCCTGGTCTGGGCCCTGCAGCAATTGGGGGTCTCAAAAAAATCCAGGAGCCCGCCCCCAGGAGGGAAGGAAGACTGGTTTCCAGCCCCTCCTCTCCTGTCCAGCGCCCCAGTCCTGGCCAGAACATGGGCGGGGTGGGCTCTAGGGAGGGGGACCCACACAGCCCTGCCCTCCCGGGGACCCAGTGGAGGCAAGGCAGGATTCAGACTCTGGCTCAGCAGCTTCGGGGGCAGCAGGGGCAAGGGAGGAGATGTTCCTGGGAAGAGAGGACCGACCCAGGGCAGGTCTGCTCTGTGTGGGGAGGTGGCGGGGACAGAGGGGGCCAGATGTGGGCGGCGAGGCAGCCCTCCAGGACAGGGATATGGAAGATGGGAGGTGGCTGGGGGTAGGCTGGAGGCCATCTCTGATGGAAGAGTGCGTGGCAAAGGAAACTGCCGCACAGCGAGTTTCCTTGTGTTTACCTCGGCCTCACCTGGGAAAGCCATGGGCTGCGTGGGGAATGCAGGCAGAGCAGGCCTGGCCGGGAGGCACCGCCCAGCTCACACTCACCTGCCCAGGAGCTCTGCTTCCCCCAGCCTCAGCCTGCCCAGCAGCCTGGGCGCCTGTAAATCTTTGCTGCAGCCTTGCTGGAAGCTCACCTAAGGACAAGCAAAGGACCGGGGCTGCCAGGTCTGCCAAGAGCAGCTTCCCGCAGGGCAGGCTACCCACGAAGGCACCTCCTGCAGGCTCCAGCCTCATGGACGGCCTCCTTCCAGGGCCTCCCTAGGAAATCCGGGCCCTGCTTAGGCCCCTGACAGCCTCGTGTGACCCCAGACAAAGCCCCATCTGGAGAGACCCTGGAGCACATGCCACTCACAGCCTTGGGACTCACAGGCCTCAGGAGCATGGATCAAATCAGGCCAAGCCCGGGTCCCGTTCCCCAGTGGGGGCCTGATTGGGTCTTCTTTACTCCCAATGTTGAGCAGAGCCATCAAACCCAGAAACCCGCTGGGTGGACACTGGTGTGACCTGAAAACAGAAGGGCCACGCAGCACGGGCTCCACCTGAAACCGGCACCCCCTGTGCTGAAAGAAGAATCGGACAAAGGCAAGAGCTGCAGGTGCACGCGGGACGCCCCTGCCCGTGACACGGCCACAGAAATCTCCAGAACACATCCACAGCATCTCACACGAGGGGTGCGGCCTTCCCTCGGCCCCGTCAGGACGCATTTAGGCAAGCAGGCAGGTCATTTGTAGAATGGACGGCCGCCAATGGCGCAGAGGAAGAGCCTCGAGACATGATGATTTGGTTTTAGATGTAGGGGAGTTGCTCCTGTACTGTTTGTTTGGACTCAATTAATAGTAAATGATGCAAAGTTGTTTCACGTCCCCAGCCTCGCCTTCTACTTTTCCTTCTTCTGCTCTGGAATGCCGTCAATGCCGGCCCTGTGTGCAGCTTGCCTCTTTCTGTGCTGGTCCTGGGAGGTCTTCCCAGCACGCACCCCCACCCAACTCCCCCTTGGGGTCCCTTCCCATGAGGGTCACCTGGGACGGCATGTTTCTGGGGCTAGGTGGCGGCTGGAGCAGGGCAGGGAGCCAAGCTGGGGGGTCAGATGGGGCAGGGCCTGGAGGCTGGGCATGGGTGGGCGTGGTCCCAAAGGTGACGGGAAGCCCTATGGGTGCTTCCAGGGGTCATCCGGCCCCATGTGTGGAACAGACGGCAGGAACCAGGACTGCGGCAGGAAGTCAGGTAGAGCTTCTGTGGTGGCCCAACCAGAGGGCACCGTGGCTGGCAGGGGACGACGGGAAACCCCTGGACCCGAGGCAAGACCCAAGTGTAGGCCCCAGCGTAGACCCCAGGGTAGACCCCAGGGTAGACTCCAGGGTAGACCCGGGTGTAGACCAGACACACCTGTGCATTGGCTGTGTGGTGATGAAGCAGGAGAATTTGCGCCTGGCCTCTTCATTTTTGACTGGGCGCCTGAGTGCATGGTGTTTCCTTCTGCTCAGTGGGGAACTGGGAAGAGGTGAGTTTGGAAGGAAAAATGGTGCCTTCAGGCTGGGTCCCATTGTGGTATTCAGAGAAACAGTGTTGGTCGGGGCAGGCAGGAAAGAGATGGCACGTGGGAATTGGGTGATGACAGGTGAGCTTTAGCCAGCATTTTTTTTTAGGTGGAGTCCCACTCTGTTGCCAGGCTGGAGTGCGGTGGTGCGATCTCAGCTCACTGAAACCTCTGCCACCCAGGTTCAAGCGATTCTCCTGCCTCAGCCTCCCAAGTAGCTGGGATTACAGGCACGTGCCACCACACCCGGCTAATTTTTGTATTTTTAGTAAAGATGGGTTTTATCATGTTGGCCAGGCTGGTCTCGAACTCCTGACCTCAAGTGACCCGCCTGCCTCACCCTCCCAAAGTTCTGGGATTACAGGTGTGAGCCACCGCACCTGGCCACCAGCTTTCATAAATATAAAAGCAGGGTTTAAAAAGAGTCACAGGACAGGCAGGGGAGGGGCAGCTCCCGGAGCCGAGGGCAGCTGTGTGGAGGGGCCCCCGAGACGCCCAGGCTTGCTGCATGCAGGGAAAGCTGAAGCAAAGCCTCTGTCTTGCTCTGATCTGCTAGCACCTGCCACCAGCTAAACCCACAGTGAGCAGGAAACTGAGCGGGAGGAAGGCAAAGCACCCTCAAACAGCCCATGTGGGTGAGCCCCCGAGACAGAGGACCAGAGGCTGGACCTGAGTCTGGAGGTGAAGATCAGGGTGTCTAGGCCACAGGAAGAGTGGGAAGTTTTGCAATGTGCCCAGAATTCTTGGACCCTTCTTCCTTGAGGAGGTGAGGTCTCTGCCCCCACGCCACCTGCATGGATGGGCTTCTGCGACCATCTCCATCAATACAATGAAAAGTGAGCTTAGGAAACCAACGAAGCCTCTGTGGGCTTGTCCTGGGGCCCTCGCCCCGGGACCATTCAGTGGCCAGACCCGGAGGCTGCTCCACGGAGAGGCTGTTGAGACAGAGGTGCGCCAGAGGAGTCCAGGTATGGGAGCCTCAGTCTGAGGACCAGGTGAGATGAAGGAGACGACCCCAGCCACAGCCACCATCTGACCACTGCTGAACAAGAGCAGCCCTGCTGAGCCCAGTCACCCCAGACCTGGGAACAACATGCAAGGTCATTACTATTTGAATTTGAAGTCCTGCCTTAGGGTGGCTTGACTGCAGCATTAGACAACCCAACAAAGCATATTGAAAGCCAAGGGCTGGACTCTGTCCCCCAGGAGAATGTGTAGGTAGAGAAGGGGTCCCGGCTCCAGCCCTGTGGACTCCCACATAGAAAAAGATGGTGCCACAGCAGGGGAAAAGCAGGTGCCCAGGCACTGGAGGAAGACTGGGAGCACGGAAGGCTTTGGGTGCCGAGACGGGAAAGAGTTGCAGGGTGGAGGGCGTCTCTGCCTCAGCGAATGCCACCAGGGGACTGGAGTGACCAGGAGTGGGCAAGGGAGGGCCATGGAGGGGCCTCCACAGGGTGGGCTGCTGAGGGTTGCGTGGAAGAATTTATGGGGAGTCTGCACGCCTGTCCCTCTCCATGCTGGACCAGGAAGCCGAAGCACGCCCAGGTCCTCCGGCCTGCACTTGTCCTCAGAGTGGGGCTTCCGATCAGGGTACTCCCAAGGTTTGTCTCTGAGGGTTATGAGGAACTGCATGTGGTTTAAGGCAGAACACTCCTCTTTCCATTTGGAATACAATGATGACACAAGGAATTTGGAGACCAGGCGTGGTGGCTCATGCCTGTTACCCCCGCACTTTGGGAGGCTGAGGAGGGTGGATTACCTGAGGTCAGGAGTTTGAGACCATCCTGGCCAACACGGTGAAACCCCGTCTCTACTAAAAATACAAAAAAAAAAAAAAATTAGCCAGGCTTGTTGGCGCCTGCCTGTAATCCCAGCTACTCAGGAGGCTGAGGCAGGAGAGTCACTTGAACCCAGGAGGCAGAGGTTGCAGTGAGCCAAGATCGCATCACTGCACTCCAACTTGGGCGACAAATTGAGACTCCATCTCAAACAAAACAAAATGGAATTTGGAGATTTGGAGATATGTATGCGGAGCCCTGAAAGTGGGCAGTGGGGTCCATCTGGAAAGTTAGAGGTGAGAAGCGCAGCCTTCCAGGAAAGCACCTCTGGGCTGGGCGGCTTCCCTTCCTTAAACATCTCCCTGCTGTCTGTTAGTTGTGTGCGTCTGAGAGAAGATTTCACCAGGCTTCCCAATCTTCACTCTCTTTTTTAATAAACCAGCATAAAGTAGAATTTATTTACATAATGCAATGATCCATGAAGGTTACCATAACGCCGAGGGACCATATTAGCCGCTTGAGTGGAATTCATTAGAAATTAACTACCACTTAAATTAATTTTCCCACAGTCACAAGGCTGTAATGGCGGGAGAAGGGGCCGTCCATCAGCGGGTACTGACAGGGGACCTGTCACCGCTGTTATTTATAGGTGCGCGTGTCAACCCCTAGAGCAGGCGCCGGGCCAAACTCAGAGCCTCCAGACTCACAAAGCCACTTCAAAAGGCCCAAAAATTCCCCCACTGATAAGTAATCCAGCCTTACCAGCCTCACCCTTCCTAGCAGCCAGAGGAGGAGCAACCTGGGCAATGCTGGTCATGGCATCTGACAGACCAGAGGGACCCGTCTTTGTTTTAAACCCACACTGTGACACACAAGTCCTTACAAGCTGCTGAGAGTCCTGTGGCCTTTTCAAAGGCAGGGGACCCCTTCCAGAGCTCTGTGTCCAGAGCCCAGTTTCAGACAAACTGTGCGTGGCTGTTTCTTAGGGATCTCTGGGGACAGGGCCCACTCCAGGGTAAGAGCTTGCAAGGGAACAACTGAATCTCATGTGGAAGGGCAGAGCATATGTGTGCACAGATGTGTGGTGTGTGTGTGTGGCATGTTTGCATGCTGTGCATGTGTGCACATGTGAGCACGTGTGAATGTGCGTGTGTGAGTGCATAGGGTGCACGCATGCGTGGTATGTGTGCTCAGACGTGTGCATGTGTGGTGTGTGCATGCACACATGGCATGTCAGTGCATGTGTAGTTCATGTGTGTTCTCATGGTGCGTTTACATGTTTGCATGTGTGGTGTGTTTATGAGTGTGTGTGTGTGCACACATATGTACACTGGAGGATCCCTCCCGTTTAGGAAAATGAAAACACTGAAAAAGGCGTTAAGCATTTCCGGGGCTTCCACTTCAACAGTCCAGACCATATTTTATTCTGAACCAGTGGGCAGTGATCAACGTGAGTTTCCTGAGACAAGATGGGTGCTCCCATGGGGAATGCTCACAGTTCCCAAGGGTGACGGTGCAATGGCAGAATTACTCTAAGGCCGAAAGGCTCTGAAGTGATCACCCAAGTTCTGTGAGGGGCCTTATTAACCCCTTCCAAGGAGACTGACATTATTTAGGAGTTGTCTAGGGGAGTACCAGATGAGGCAGGGGGGTTCTTCTGAGGGGTACGTTGGGTGACATTTTTGTCTCCTGCTGAGACACAGCACCAAGGATGCACGAACCGGCAGTTGCATGGACACCACCACCCCCCCAGGCTCCTGAGCGGTGCCTGCAGTTGCCACCTGTGCTTCACACATGAGGAGGGGACAGCTGGATCAGGAACCGCCACACACAGCCCAGGAGATTGGGGAACTTGGCCTCAGGGGTCTCACACCAGCTCAGCAGCCCCCTCAGCTAAATGGCCCCAGTGAGAGGCCACCTTGGCGGGGAACCAGGTGAGCAACCAAGCCCTGGAGTTTCCCTCCTGGTCTGGGCAGCTGCAGCCCTGCTTCCCTCAGAGGTGCCTTCTCAGGTGTGAGTCCAGAAAGTTTTGGGGACCAAAAAGTCACCCAAGCATTTGCAGCCTTTGCTGTTTGAGATCGTGGGGAAGTGGTGGCTTGGCAGTGCTGTCTGCAGCCTGGCCCAGGAGAGAGTGAGCACAGCTCAGAGCTGTCCTGGGGCTTGGTGGAGTTGCGGGGGGGAGCGGGTGAGGCTGAGGCTGAGGCTGAGGGTGAGGCTGAGGGTGAGGGTGAGGGTGAGGCTGAGGGTGAGGCTGAGGCTGAGGCTGAGGGTGAGGCTGAGGGTGAGGGTGAGGCTGAGGGTGAGGCTGAGGGTGAGGGTGAGGCTGAGGGTGAGGCTGAGGGTGAGGGTGAGGCTGAGGCTGAGGGTGAGGCTGAGGCTGAGGCTGAGGGTGAGGCTGAGGGTGAGGCTGAGGCTGAGGGTGAGGCTGAGGGTGAGGCTGAGGGTGAGGCTGAGGCTGAGGGTGAGGGTGAGGCTGAGGGTGAGGGTGAGGCTGAGGGTGAGGCTGAGGCTGAGGCTAAGGGTGAGGCTGAGGGTGAGGCTGAGGCTAAGGGTGAGGCTGAGGGTGAGGCTGAGGGTGAGGCTGAGGATGAGGCTGAGGCAGCTACACCGTCCTCCAGCATCTGGGGTCTGTCCCAAGGCTGCTCTGCCAGGTCCTTGTGAAACCAGGTCCCAGGGTGTAGGCCAGGGTGAGATGGCGGTGGGAGAGCAGATACAGAAGAACCTTCCAGAAACAGTGTCTCTGCCCTTCCCACCTCTGACAGAGGGAAGGGCTGAGCTGAGAACGAGGATGCATTATCCATTCAGTCGCCTGCTTGATGTTCCTAGAGAAAGATCCTGAAGTGCAGCGAGGCACTGTCGGAAGACCCAAGAAGACATCTTGGGGAAAGTGAATAAAAGAGATTCCTGCCAATGTGAGTTTCAAAATGCACGGTGCTAAATCAACTTTAGCCTAAAGCTGCCTCCTTACATATTTTAAGTTCGGCCTAAAGGTTTTTCTGCATATTGTCAACTATAACAAGTGGAGGTGTAAACAGGCCAGAGCCTACACTTGTGCCTATCACTGAGATTTGGCCGATCACATGTAGCCAGCTGTTTGAACTGTGTTCAAATAAGGCAAACACCAACCTGTAACAATCCGGCTGTGTCTGGGCCTCACTTCCATCTTCTGTGCGTTACTTTCCTTTTTCTATCCAAAATTATTCTTCTGCCCGAGGGTGCACTGGAGTCCTGGAGCCTGCTATGGCTGGGAAGGCTGCCCGATTCACAAATCATCCATTGCTCAATTAAATTCCTTTACATTTAATTTGGCTGAAGTTTTTCTTTTATCAACGGAAACTGATTTGTCCCCCAAGACTGGATGTTGAAGGCCTCAGGGAAGTGGCGAGGCCGGAGTCCAGCAAAGGACACCCGGGAGCCACCCCTGGCAGGATGCTGATCCCTGAGCCAGGGGCTGCCAGCCGAGTCCCTCCGCGGGCATCTCTGATGCCAACAGCAGACCTGTTTGGGGTTCAGTGTGATCCTCTTGGAACTGAGAACAGAGCGTCCCTCCTCCCACCCTCCCTGGGCAGTGGTGGCAGCCATGCTCTGGAGGGGAGGGGTCGCAGCGCCACCTTCTTGCTGGACCAAATCAGCCATCACGCAGCGTGAATGTATGACAGAGACAGGGATGGAGAGAAGAGACAGAGTGGGAGAGACACCATCCCCACAGGAGCCAGGGTGGCCGGATGCCTCTGGGAGTAAAAGGCACATAGCCTAGGAAAGAAGAAGGGAAGCTGGGGCCAGCATCGGACTAGAATGTTCTGTGGGCAACTCACTCCCTGGGCCATGTTTCCAGCTCCCTTCCAGATGCTGCTGAGAATTTCAGAAGGATGGTAAAGGGCCTGTGCTCGGGAGGCCATACTGGCAGGAGGCGGGAAGGAATGGGACCCGTGGCCAGGGGCCCCTCAGCCTCACATCGCCCTCAGGATGGGGCAAGTGCATGGGCTGGGGTTCCCCTGCGGGGGTCCAGGAAGGCCTATGTGTGCCCTGCTGGCCCTGCTGCGGCCCCTGGAAGGACAGGCTGGGTGGGGGAGGGAGGCTGACAGGCAGTGGGGACCAGGGCCAGTAGCTGCACACTTTGACCTCTTGCTGAACTCTCACAGGGCAGGGACCCCAAGAGCCCCTGTTCTGAGAGCCCTCCCCCAGCATCAGCCACGTGGGCTGGGTTTTCATGGGGGACTGTGGGCTTAGAAATCCTGAAGCTTGGCCCCAGGGTCAGCGATGAAGCACTCCTAATCCCATGGAAAAGAAGGAACCTCGAAGTGGAAATCCCAGGTAGGGCTGCCTCCTACCAAAGCAAGACTTCCACGCCCCACCGAAAGGGCGCACATGGGCCTGCCTCCCAGCGGGAGAGGCTGAGGTGGGAGTGACCGAAGGCCAAGCTGGATAAGAGACCCCGAGGTGGGGCCACACACACCCCGAAGCAACAAGTGCCCTCCGGAACCTCGGCCCTGCGGCCGCTACGCTTTTATGCAATGTGTGCGTCTGGGCTCACTTTGCGGAGCAGTCGTAATTCCCACCACATTCGCAGGAGGATCTGGGACAGCCCCGGTGCCTTGGCCCTGATGGTGCCGTCTGCCTCTCAGGACCTGACTGCCTAAGTGCTCCTCGACGGGGACTTCTTGGGGAATGGACTCTGATTAAATGACCCTCGGCTTTCCAAGGAGCTTCCTTCTGCACGTAAGCATTGTTGGGAGACCTGTGAAGGGCGGCTTCCTGATGGAGAGGGACCCAAAAGAGCTCCAGCCCATGGCACATCCACAAGCGTTTGCCACCGGGGCAGTGACCCTGGTCTGGCCCCTCGTTGCTGCCACCTCCGCCTCCTTGCCTTCCCGCAACTCCTGGCGCCCAGGCCTTCCGTCCTGCCGGCTGGCAGCACTCTGATTTCTGCGTGCTTATGATTAACCTGTACAATATGTTCCTCTTAATGCAGGGCTGTTTTCCTCTCCTCCAATTCTACAAACTGGAAAACAGCATATAGCCCGAGGCCACCCGGAATAATGCTGGTGTCAAGCATTAAAAAACATATTTGTTTTGTGTCCTCTAAGGACGAATGATAGACATGTAAAAATGTTTCCCTGCTTTCCTTTCAGGGAATACTTAGTTTAGAATTAACTTCTGTCAGAGAAAACACAATTTCCCGCACCCACTCTGTATGACTTCCCACCATTTCTATTTTGCGGGGGAAAATACCACACTGTGTTTGACACGTATGATTACAAGTTTACAGAATCCACTTACGTTTCTGCTGTTATTATTGTTTCTCTTTAGGAAAAGCTACTCATTAGAACCAAACAGAAGCCTTCTTTCGGGAGAAACAAATAAATGCAGGAAATTGGCTGTCCCCAGCTGAGCCGGCCTGATTTGTCCTTGTGTCTGGGAAAATGGGCTCCCCCAGGGGTTAGGGCAAGGGAGCGCCCATACCCCCAACCAAGCTGAGACCGTGGAAACTGGCCCCCCGAGGGGGGTGAGGGGAGCTGGCATGTCGCTTTCCTGCTGGGAAGGTGCCCGTAACACACATGCACACACATGCACCCTGCCCTCTCAGAGACAAAGGGCTTGCTTGGGACAGACAGTGACAGCCAGTGCTGCCCTCATTGTGACCGTTGCAGCCTGGGTCACCCCACAGGCCCCCAGCTTTCAGCTGGAGGGCACAGGAAACCCTGGGCTGCTCAGGCAAGCACGGCCCAGACCAACCCTCATCTTCACGCCAGGCTGTGGCTCGCTGCACCTTTGCCAGTGTTCCCAGGGAGGGAGAGGCACTTGGTGTTTTGCATCCTGGTGCCATAGCCGATGCCCCTGGGTCTCTGCCTTTCTTTGCAGTCGCACCAGGGCAGCAGGTATGGACAGCAGGTGTGTGTCTCCCGACTCTGACTTCTGGGTGACCAGAGGCCCAGGGGGCTTCAATGCAGGAGGGTCATCTGCTTTGCTGCCCACAAGGTAGACAATGAACACAGAGCCCCGGATGTCAGCTGACTCACCAGCACTACCCAGCCAGGCTGAAGACAGGACCTCCTGACACCAGAGCCTCCCCGGCTGTGCAAGGCCCACACACACCTGGCACACTGCTGTCCTTCCTCTTCATCTGGCCTTGTTGGCTCAGGCAGTTGTAACAAAGTACCACGGGCCGGGGCTTCAACACCAGAAACTGTTCCCTCCCAGTCTGGGGGCCGGGAGTTCAAGACCAAGGGGCCACTGGGCGGTTTCTCCCGAGGCTTCTTCATGGCCTACAGACTGTGGCTTCTCCCGTGTCCTCCCACGGCCACTCCTCTGCGCACGCGCATCCCTGGTGTCGATTTCTCTTCTTACAAGGACATGTCCTATCGGGTCAGGGCCCTCCTCACAACCTCATTTAACCTTAATTCCCTCCCTAATGTCCTAGCTCCAGATACAGTCCCGTGGGGGCTGGGGCCTCACCTATGACTTTGGAGGACACGGCTTAGTCCACAGTGTCGCTCTCTGCCGGCGGCATCCACCATAACAGACGCCGCACGGGAGGCGCAGGGCTTTCCCCGGAGAGGGCGCGGCTTTTCTCAGCCGAGCTCCTGGTCTCACCAGGCTGCTGTCCTTAGTCTCCCTGCTCAGCAAGGCCGGTGTCTGCTGTGGGCTGTGTCCACTGCCCCTCAGGACAGTCCTGGAGGAGACAGCTCCATGTGCTCAGAGGCTCCTCGCAGCTCCCACTGCCCACTGTGTCCTGCCCTGAATGCATCCAGAAGGGGTCAGAAAAAAAGGAAGCTCCGAGAGGGGACAGGGAGTGACAGGACAGACGGGATCCCATGTGTCTGTGTCACCAAAGCAATTGGCACAAATCCTGGGAAGAGAGTGGGGCCTCAGCCCTCCAGAGGCAAAGACCTGGGAGAGTTGCCGCCCTCCCCACGGAGGCATGGGTGGGTGGGGATGGGAGAAGAACTGGAAGGCCATGTGGTGTTTGAAGATGCCAGATGCCCGATGCCCAGGGGAGCAGCAACAGAGGGAGCTCCTCCTGCGAGGCTGAGCCCAGGAGGTAACTGAGGACATGGCAGGAGGAAGACCTCAGTGAGGACTTTGTGAAACTTAGGAAGAAAGGAACTGTGACCCAAAACACATGGAGAAGAGGAAGAACAAAGAGTCAAGAAGCCAATACAAGGCAGCTGCCTCCAAGGCTGACCTGAGAGGAGTAACTGACCAACCTCGGGCCTGGACCTTCGAGGTTTAGGGGCCAATTTCTTATTGACCAGATGCCCTCCCAGCCCCAGGCCTTCATTATGATTATGAATCCTTTCTTCTGTTACCCAAGTTCATTGTAAGAACATCTTCTAGAAAGAGCTCATCAAATAGCTCAGAAGAGAGCTAGGCCCTACATCACTCTTTGCTAAGCATTTATACCTTGAGATAATTTTAGGTCGTATTTTTACTGTTTGGACTACATTGGATTAGTTAATATTTTGATTTACCAATGTAATACATAGTCATTTCAGAAAACTTACAAATAAAAAAAGGATTGAACAATAAAATATGATTAAATAAAATCCCACCATTTGTAGAAAAACCAATGTGGATATTCTTGGAAACTGAGAAATGATTTCCATACAGGGACGTGCTCATGCCTTCGGAGTGCTGTTCAGTCACTTCAACAGGCCCCAGGTGTGACGCAGGCTCCCGACACCTTTTCCCATCACTGCCCACATGTTCCCATGAATCTGATCTCGTCAACAACAAACAACCAACAACAACAAAGTTTAGTCTTACCTGTTCAAGACTTTCATGTAAATGGAATAATTCAGTATAAACTAGTTGGCATTCAGCTTCTTTCCCTCAGCACTTTTACTTCTTTATTTTGGATTAATATGACTTCCATTTCCCATTCATGTCTTACTGCAGTGGCTAGTACCTCTTGTACTATACTGAGAAGAAGCGGTAAGAGCTCTTTATCAGGTTGAAAAATTTACCAACTATTTTCTACCAACATTTGCTAAGAGTTTTTAAGTTATAAAACGGTGTTATATTTTCTCAAATAATTGATTTGCATCTATTGAAATGACAATATAATTTTTCTTCTTTAGTTAATTTGGTGAACTACATTGATTTATTCTCTTATGTTAAACAGATGTTGCATTTCTGGAATTTTCTAGAATCATGATTAAGTGGTCCAACTTAATCATGATATCTTATTCTTGTTACTTATTGCTGAATTTGATATGCTTATGTTTTGTTAGTGATTTTTGCATCTATGCTTATGAAGGCTATTGGTCTGTCAATTTCTGACCTTATAATGCCTTTGTCTGGTTTTTGAATTCTGGTTATAGTAACGTCATAAAATACTTTAGGAAATGATAGTTCCTCCTCTAGTTTATGAGTTTATATAGAATAGATGTTACTTCTTTCTTACACACTAGATGGAATTTACTAATGAAGTTGTTTGGGCCTGGAATTTTCTTTATAAGGAGTTTAATTATGAATTAATATCTTTAACAAATATAGGGCGATTTAAATTTTCTATTTTTGCCTGGGTTTATTTTGGTAATGTGTGTCTCTCAGGGAATTTGTCCATTTTATCTAAGCTGTCGAATGCATCAGCATGAAATTGTTCGTGTCATCACTCATTACCCTTTGCGTGTCTGCAGGACCTGTTGTGATGCCCCTTCCTGGTTCCTGACATTGATGATTTGTCTTGCCTTTTTTTTTTTTAAATAATCAGTCTTGTTAAGGGATTTTCAATTTTATTAATCTTTTGTTTTTTTCCTTGAGAAAGAGTCTCATTCTGTTGCTTAGGCTGAAGTGCAGTGGCATAATCTTGGCTCACTGCAACCTCCGCCTCCTGGGTTCAAGTGATTCTCCCACCTCAGCCTCCCAAGTAGCTTCCTTCTACAGGTGTTCAAACCACCATGCCCAGCTAATTTTTGTATTTTTTGTAGAGACGAAATTTCGCCATGTTGCCAAGGTTGGTCTTGAACTCCTGAGCTCAAGCAATCTGCCCACCTCAGACTCCCAGAGTGCTGGGATTACAGGTGTGACCCATTGCACCCGGCCTTAATCTTTACAAATAACAAATTTTGGGTTTGTAAATTTTCTCCGTTGTTTTATATTTCATTAAATTTCCTTCTGTTTTTATTATTTCTTTTTTTTCCTGCCTACCTTGACCTTAATTTTTTTCTTTTTTAACTAGCTCCCTAAGGTGGAAGCAAAGATAATTGATTTAAACTTTTTCTTCATGTCTAATATAGGCATTAATCAATTTCTCCTTAAGGACTGCTTTAGCTCCATCCCACAATTTTTGTATTTGATTTCAATGTTCCAAGTTGATTTTCTTGAGTATATGATGGGCATCTTTCAATAGGTAGAATTAAATTCAGAAAACTTACAAAACACAGACAGGGTTGAACAATAAAATATAATTAAATAAAATCCCACCATTCATAGAAAAACAAATGTGGATTTTTTGGAAACTGAGGAATTATTTCCATACTGAGAAGTGCTCATGCCTTTGGAGTGCTGTTCGGTCACTTCGATGGGCCCCAGGTGTGACACAGGCTCCCGACACCTTTTCCCATCACTGTCCGCAAGTTCCCATGAATCTGATCTCATCAACAAAGTATATAAAAAATATATATATATCTACTGGGTCTGGCTTTGTCATTCAGACTGCAGTGCAGTGGTGCAATCTTGGCTCACTGCAACCTCTGCCTCCTGGGCTCAAGCCATCCTCCCATCTCAGCCCTCCCAAATAGCTGGGACCACAGATGTGCACCACCACACCTGGCTAATTTCTATATTTTTTTTAGAGACAGGATTTCACCATGTTGCCCAGGCTGGTCTCAGACTCCTGAACTCAAGGGATCCTCCCACCTCAGCCTCCCAAAGTGCTGAGATTATAGGTATGGAATTATAGTGTTTGTTTGCTTTTGTTTCCTTGAGATGAGGTCTCACTCTGTCTCCCAGGCTGGAGTGCAGTGGCACAATCCCGGCTCACTGCAACCTCCTCCTCCCTGGTTTAAGCTATTCTCCTGCCTCAGCCTCCCGAGTAGCTGGGATTACAGGTGCACGCCACCATGCCCAGCTATTTTTATATTTTTAGTAGAGACAATGTTTCACCATGTTGGCCAGGCTAGTCTCAAACTCCTGACCTTAGGTGATCCGCCCGCCTCGGCCTCCCAAAGTGCTGGGATTACAGGCATGAGCCACTATTCCTGGCCAGAATTATAGTTTTAAATATCAGTTCTGTTCCATTGTGTTAATTTAGTCTTCATTTACTCCAGTTGCATCTGTGTTGTATATTCTTTGACAGGCTTTTATATTTATTATTTTCTCATATTTTTAATTTCCTTTATTTTCATTTTAATTTCTTATTTGTATCTTCTTATTTCTGTTCTCTAAGTCTCTTACTGTGCTTTTGGTTATATATGTTTTCCCTTGGGCACCCCATAATTTGTCCTTACTTTCTGTTATGATTTCTGTCTTTTTCTTCAGTTTCTTACTTGAATGTTGCTAGCTGTAATTTTATACCTTCCAGTATTTATCTATTTGTATTCTGAGTTTTTGAGCCTCTGATTTGTGATGACCTTTTAAATCTGCAATTGCTTGTTTATCTTGGAGGGTTGTGGTACACTTTTCATTAGCTTTGAGGATTTTTTGAGGTAGGTTTTTCTCCTGCTGAAATTTCTATTCTTATTCTCAATTTTGGCTCTCTTATAGTCAATTTTTATGGCTGGACGCTGATTTCTTATTTTGTTCAGGATTATTTGTGTCAGATTTTCCTGAACCAGTGGTAGCTGATGCCTTGTGCAGGGAGTCTGGGTGTTTTACTCCATTTTTTAGTTTAAGAGCACCCTCTTATCGGCTACAGTAAAGTCCAATTTGTTTGATAAATGACAACTTTGGGGGCCTGTTTCTTTCTGATTCTTCGATAACACCCTGGGTCAGTAGCGCCCTTATCAAAGCGGCATCTCCCCCTTCCAAGAAGCTTTCCTCTCCCCAGACAGTTGTCCACAGGATTGCATCCATGGGTCCTGTGCATATTCCAAGCATCGTCCTTTCAGCTCCCAGCACAGCTTTCTGATCTGCCTTAGACCTCCTCTTTGTCTCCCTCTCTCGGGGAGCAGACGTCTCCTCTGGTGAATGTCATGGGTTTCCTCCTACACGTGGGCACTGCAAACCCTCCTGTCTTCCAAGCACACTCCAACTCACTCTGCTCTGCTGTGGGCCCCCTCGCCAGCTCTGATGGGTTCAAATGTTTGTTTCATCTTTTATGTGTCAGTTGAAGTTTGTGTTATTTGTTCTCTGTGTTCTGTTTGGTTGGGGGTGGTTTTGTTTGCTTTCTTTGTGCTTTTATAGAGGATATGTGGACAGATTTGGATCTAAGGGACAGTCATTATCCAACAGGTCCCAGAAGCTACTCCTTCCCCTTCTTCATTTCCTTTTTCAGTTTCCCTCACTCATATTGAACACTGCACCCGGGAGTGTCTGCAGCTGAACTCCCAGCAACCCACCTGTGTGGCACATGGGACACAGACTGAGAATAATGAAGGCCCAGGTGTGAGAACTGATTTGATGAGGGCTGCGGGTGTCCAGGCCTCCCGGGTGTGGCAATGGCTCTGCAGGCTCAGAAAAGCACTGTGGAGTGACTGCACTTGGCCTCCCTGGACATGTGCTGAGGATAAACCACACCAGTGAACCTTTTGGCAAGATGCATGAGCCACGTACACAAAATGGGTCCACGTCCCCCAGAACCCGGCAGCCACGTGGGCTCAGCCCATGGCAACACATTCATTTCCAACTTTGCACATAATTCTGGCTGAGGCAGGATTCACCATGCCCAGCTTATAGCCACATCTGGCCAATCTGGTTCAACATCCGTGTAATGGAGTTGTGACTTGTTCTTCAGTTGCCGTGGACCCCCAGGCTGAAGGTCATATAACCTGAGCATGCCCAGACAACCCACGTGTGCAACATGGGGGAACCTAAGTGCTGGGGCTGGGGAACGGGGACCGAATGAGGATCCAGGATCCAATCAGTGGAGCCCCAGCATCAGCCCCATGGCAGCACAGCTCATTAGTGCATACTTGGAAGACCTGGTCCAACCCCAGCTCGGGGAGGCAGATCTGGGCACTTCCTCCTGTCTCCTGGCCAGTCGACTCGCAAAAAATCTTTCTTGCTGCAAAACCCAGTGCTTCGGTGTTCGGCTTTCCACTGTGTGCCGGCAGACGGACCTGGTTTGATTCGGTGACAAGCCTGAGAGCATGCATCCTGCAGCTCCTCCTACTACAACCTCGGCGCTGTGCGGCAGCTCTCAGGACTCACCTGCACTCCTGCCTCACCCCCGCGAGCCCTCCCTGAAAGCTGAGCCCTCACATGGCTGAGATCTGAGCCGGGTGCTTGGCCTGGATGTGCCCCATGAGGTCCTTCTGATCCTGGGCCAGTCTCTTGTGATCCATAACCTGTCCTGCTGCTGACAGAGCTCCCAGCCCTGCCAAGGGGACCTCCTATGGGGCTGCCCCTGCTTTCCTAAGCAGCTGGATGAATCTTGATCAATCACATCCTGTAATGACTGCAGTGTCACCTTACATTTACATGGTGCACATTGTTATTCTGCACTGTAAACAACAGGCATAGAATTCAGTTGTCGACTTGGATGAGCTAGTCCACACCAACCGGAATGTCCACAAAAATGTGAGTGTACTCGTCATTGCTCCATGATCTCATATCATCCCCACTAAACACTGTGAGATGAAAATTATGATCCCTGTTTTATAGGTCAAGAGCACCCTCTTATTTGCTATAGTAAAGTTCAATGTATTTAATAAATGGCAACTTTGGGGCTCTGTTTCCTTCCGACTCTTTGATAACACCCTGGGTCAGTAGTGCATCATCATCAGCTACTTTCTCCTTTTCTTTCACCATCAACCATCTAAAGTACATCTCCCCCTTCCGAGGAGCTCCCCTCTCCCCCAGACAGTTACACATGAGAACAAACTATGGAACAAGCCACAAAGAAACTGAAGCTTGAGGAGGTGAAGTCCAAGGTCAAAATCATAGTGAGTGGCAGAGAAAATGCCAGCGTCATGGAGCCGATGCTTTGGGACTGGTGATTTGTTTCACAAATGAATTCTTTCTTTTCCACAAAGGATAGGTTTGATTACACACTGAGGTCTCCTCCATCTGATATTTAAATGTACATGTAGAAGATTTTTCCCACAGCTTTTCAGAAACCTGCACTATGGACAGTGAAGGGAACTTGTGTTCACAAAACAGGCATCCCCAGAAGCCTGGAGAAAGGAGAGGCTGCTGGATGTGCCTCAGGACACAGCCAGGGTGTCATGCCCTGACTTTCACCTTTCTCTAGGAAGCCGTCCAGGTTTTCTGCCACCAGTGCTTGCTGTCACAGCGGCTGCTGCTGCCACACAGGCACCACCCGGCGAGGTGGGGGTTATGTGAATTCAGGTTTCCAGCCCTTCTCAGTGCTCCTTAGAAAAACCAGACGACGTGCCTCAAAACAAGGAAAAATAAAACAAGCAAGCAGTGTCTCAGCCCCTGGGCCC
Source organism: Homo sapiens (assembly GCF_000001405.40). Lineage (NCBI taxonomy): Eukaryota > Metazoa > Chordata > Mammalia > Primates > Hominidae > Homo > Homo sapiens. The sequence goes on along the minus strand of NC_000005.10, from coordinate 1,770,440 downwards.
ACACATAACCACCACTTTTCTGTAAAATAAAACTTGAATACATTAAAAGTGTCTGGAAAACACTCCATGGGGAGCCTCCGAAGCATCCAAAGCGCATGGTGCTTGCTGGCCGGGGCTGTGCTCGCCCCAGAAGGGCAGAGCTTGGGTGAGCCCTTTGCACGCACATTTTATACCTCCAGGGGTCATGGTGGCCTCGGGAGACCGGGCAGAGTCCTCTTCTTTTTAAAACTGAGGTGAAATTCACACAACACAAAATTAACCCTTTTAGAGTGAGCAACTCGATGGCATTTATCACACTCGCAGTGGGCAGCTGCCACCTCTGGACACTTCAGGGCAGCTTCATCACCCCAAAAGGAAGCCCCGCACCCATGAGCAGTCATTCCCGTTCCTTTCTCCCAGCCCCAGGCAGCCCCCTGTCACTGCGGAATTACCGGTTCTGGATATTACATGTAAAAGGAATTGTGCGCTCTGTGGCCTTCTGTGTCTGGCGAACCCCACTGAGCACGGTGTCTCGAGGTTCACCCGTGCGGTTCCCCGTGTCAGTGCGGCGTCCCTTGCTGTGGCGGAAACATATTCCCTTCTATGGAGGCCCCATTATGCACTCAGCCGTCAAGGGGACGTCTGGGCTGCTTCTGCCTCTCGGCTGCTGCGCATGCGGTTTCTATGCGCATGTGTGTACTCGTACTTCTTGGAGCCCCTGTTTTCGATTCTTTTGTGGATAGGCCTGGAGGTGGGATTGCTGGGCCCTATAGAGATTCTGTGTTAACTTTCTGAGGAGTTGCCCTTTGGTTTTCCACAGCAGCGGCGCCACGTTCCATTCCCACCCACGGTGCACGAGGGCCCCAGTTCTGCGCAGCCCCCGGGTCCGTGTGGCCCTGCATGGCCGCGGGCTCCAGCGAACACTGCGGGAGGTGGCGCCAGAGACGTTGGCCTCAGGGAGGCCCTCCTGCGGGGTTCCGCCCGGGGCCGGGAGGCCTCTGCTCCTGCCCTCGGTGTGAGCTGCTTCGTGGCCAAGGGAGAGCCCAGACAGCTGCTCCTCGGACTCAGGACCTGGCCCCAGGCCACTCCGTCTCTCCTACGACTCGGTTGCTGAGCCCAGAACAGAGCGTACATGTGACTTTACCCGCAGGGGCGCTCCTGGAAGTCTGACCAGGGTCGTCGCCAGGGAGCGCCAGGCTCCACGCTCACCTGCCAGGACGGTGGTGCGGTCCAGCGGTGCGGTCCTGCGGTGCGGCCCAGCGGTGAGGTCCTGTGGTGAGGTCCTGTGGTGAGGTCCAGCGGTACGGTCCTGCCGTGCGGTCCAGCGGTGCGGTCCAGCGGTGCGGTCCAGCGGTGCGGTCCTGTGGTGAGGTCCAGCGGTGAGGTCCAGCGGTGCGGTCCTGTGGTGAGGTCCAGCGGTGAGGTCCAGCGGTGCGGTCCTGTGGTGAGGTCCAGCGGTGCGGTCCAGCGGTGAGGTCCAGCGGTGCGGTCCTGTGGTGAGGTCCAGCGGTGAGGTCCAGCGGTGCGGTCCTGTGGTGAGGTCCAGCGGTGAGGTCCAGCGGTGCGGTCCAGCGGTGCGGTCCAGCGGTGCGGCCCAGCGGTGAGGTCCAGTGGTGTGGTGGGTTCTGCCAAGTGATCGCGTGGGACATCACTGGCGTCTCGCCAGGCACCAATTTCTTATGACCACCGGGGCTGGGCCTCATCAGCGGGTTGTTCAGAAATGGTGGAAGGCACGTGGTGCGATCTCTAGGAAGTCAGCTCCCCTCCCCTCATCAAGGCCTGGCTAGCAGCAAAGGGATGGCAGGAGCCCCTCAACCCCACCCACACACCCCACAGCCTCCATGACAACGAGGGTGTCTGTGAGCTCATCCCCCCGCCAGCATCTGTGGGCTCCACTCCGCCTGGACGCCACGCTGGCTGCAGGTGGGCGGGTATTGTCTGCTCCTGAATTCCTTTCCCTGGACAGAAGTGACCCTGTGTGACCTTCAGCTGCAGAGCAGCCCCCTCCACACATCTGAGTTGACCCTGAACGCCCCGTGGGCAGGGCTCGGATTCAGCCTTGATGCCCAAAGCAACAATGCCAGTGCAGCGCCCCTGCAGCCGGGCACCCCCCTCGTCTTCCCTCGTTCCTGATCCTGTCTGGCTGGCCTGTGCCACCCACCTGGCTTCTGACCCACATACCTCTTCTTCCTTGGGTTAGATGGGGCTCTCTAGACCCCATGGCAGGGGTCCTGCTCCACCTGGGTGGGCCTCCAGAACCCAGACTATGGCCTTCCTAAAACTGCCTATACCTGTCCATCACCCACAGTTCAGGGACCAGCACCCCATGAGTCCCTGGACAAAAGCAGCTGTGGGCAGCTGCACCCGGGGGTCCCTGGCTGGGCCCTGCATGCTCCCTCAGCCCAGGGCTCCCTCAGCCCAGGGCCCCAGACTGGTGAAGGAGGGGACCTGCAGGTTGAGGACGGGGCATCGGGCTGGCCTCCCTTTTGGGGTGAGGAGGGGCATCAGGCCGGCCTCCCTTGCGGGTTGAGGAGGGATATTGGGCCGACCTCCCCTGTGGGTTAAGGAGGGGGCATCGGGCCGGCCTCCACTGCAGCAGCCCACCCACCCTCAGTGGGGCTCCTTCTGGCTCACTCTTCGTCTCTGTAAAATCCATGTAAACCGTTAAAAATACAGAGATGCTTTTAAGTATTCCCCAAGGAACTCTCCCCTGGTCCTTCTCTGGCCTGGTGGGGGGGCCGCCCCACACACAGGGCCCTCCCAGGGATCAGCCTTCCTCCATGACAGCCGGCCGGGCACCTGTCTGCAGTAGCTCATAGCTTATCCTTTCACCTCTGCATGGAACCGGAGAGTTCACATCACCTAGAAGGAGCCCCACGCACCCCGGCCAGGGAAACCCCCACTTGGCTGTGAGCTCTCTCTCCAGATGTGGCTCTTATTTTTACAAGATTTAATTTCTATTGGTTTTGCTGAAAACGAGGAAATTTTTTTATCTCTTTTTCTCACTCCCAACCAAAATAATATTTTAGCCAAACTGAAATGTCTGTTTCTCTACTTCAGAAGAAAAAGTAAATAAAGCTACCCTTTTATACCATCTCATTTTTCAGAATTTTAATCAACACAGAAAATTCTGTGTGTAAAACATGGAGTTTATTTTGAAAATGACCATATTTTCTGCTTGTTTAGAGTACCAGCATTTTCTGTGTATGAGCAATACTATGCTAAATTAGCCTTGTGGATTCTATTTATAAGAATATTTTATTCCATTGATATGAATAAATTATTTACATATCTAGAAATACAACAGATTCAAATAAGAATTAGTTTCCAGTTCAATCAAAAATGTTTCTTTTTTTCTTAAAATGGTTTTATTGTTTTTTCACACATAGTCACACGTGAAGGAAAGTGATGACTGTAACAGCGAAAAGAACTTAAAACTGTATTAATCCCCTTCTTGGTGAGATCATGTGCAGTGAAGCAGAAACTGAATTTTAGGGACTGGGAAATACTGGAAAATCTTGCTATTTTCCTAGTTATCTGAGCACTTTGCAAACAAATCTAATACCAAACGCTCGGGGAAAATTTCCAAGCCTGCAAGCTGGGTTCCTGCTTTCATGTCTGATTTCCCGAGACCACCCTGTCCGTGGTGACGCAGCGTGGTGATGACTGAGGCATGGGACTGTCACCCCACCATGACGTTGGGTATGCTGTTGGACTTGGGGTGAGGACACTCTGGATGCCCTGGTTCTCTTTGGTTCCACCACATCTGGATTGCAGACCTGGGGGAGGAAACCAAAGGACACCACAACCCCTTCTTTCATCTCCACCTTGGAGGCGGGACAGGTGCGATGACACACCTGAGTTTTCCACAGCTGGGATGGGCCACCTGCCCTCTAGGTGGGAGCAGGAATGGATGCAGGGCTGACGTAATCAGAGCTCTCCAGAGAAAGCTGGAAATTCAGTAAGAGTGGATGTCACACTCTATTTTTTGTTTGTTTGTTTGTTTGTTTGAGACAGAGTCTCGCCCTGTTGCCCAGGCTGGAGTGCAGTGTTGCAATCTCGGCTCACTGTGATCTCTGCCTCCCAGGTTCAAGTGATTCTCCCGCCTCAGCCTCTCGAGCAGCTGAGTCTACAGGTGCATGCCACCATGCCTGGCTAATGTTTTTTGTATTTTTAGTACAGACGGGGTTTCACCATGTAGGCCAGGCTGGTGTTGAACTCCTGACCTCAAGTGATCCGCCGACCTCAGCCTCCCAAAGTGCCGGAATTACAGGTGTGAGCCACCACACCCAGCCCAGATGACACTGCAATCTTGAGTCTAGAATCTGCTGGGTTGACTAGTAACACAGGCAGGAAGTCTGTGGTACAGGTTTGAGGAGAAACCTGTCTTTGCTCCTAAGACCTTCAACTGATTGGATGGGGCCCACCACACAATGGTGGGAGGGGAGGTGGTAATCTATTTACTCAAAGTGTGCTAGCTTAAATGTTAATCACATCTAAAAAATACCTTCCCAGAAACATCTAGGCTGGCATTTGACTCAACAGCTGAGCACCAGGGCCTCACCAAGTTGATACATAAAATTCACCGTCAGAAGGGCTCTGACAAAAGGGAGATGTGGCCCACATCTGGAGCTCCAGCAGCCATTTTGCAACTATGAGGAACAAAGGATGACGGGAAGACCAAGAGACAGACAGCGTGGTCTTTAACTCATGGAGCACCAGACCCAGCCCTGGCAATGGCCCAACTCCCACCCTGTAGGAGGTGTGAGGGGTGACAGACCCCTAGAGGTTCAAATCCTTCGACTGGGTTGGTCTCTGGGAGTCCGTCATACCACTGAAGTCAGCAAAAACATCTTTAAAAACATAACCTCCCTAACTGTTGAGAGGTGGTGGGAGAAACAGGCTGGGACAAGACCCGTGAGATGTGCAGCCAGCAGCGGGCTGTGCTGAACAGAGGCTGGCCATCCCCCACCTGTGCAGTGGGCCGTGCTGAACAGAGGCCGGCCGTCCCCGCCACCTGGCCAGAGGGGTGTGCAGCTCCCACCTGGGCTGCTGCAACAGCCCCCCCTCCTCCTCCACCATGGGATCAGTGGCACCAAAGAGAACATTTCCACCTGACACCTGGCCCCGTGAAGCAAGTTTCACTCAGGGGGAGCTGAGAGGTGCCCGTGCTGTGGCCCCACCCTATGTGGTTCTGTAGCTTTGCATACCTTCCTCCCTGGTGGAGACAGCTGCAGACTAAGGCGACCACCCAGGAGGAATGCGGAGAGCTTGAGGTCCAGCTCATGCCTGATGCATTCTTTCATAAGTCAGTCAGGCACCACATTGCTGCCACTTTTTGGCACTGGTCAGATGCTAAGACCATGCGCATTGAGCCCCTGCCTCAGGAACCCAGCACCTGTGGGGGAAGAAAGACAGGTGGGTGTATCACCCCAAATACCTGCAGAGAATCCAGACATGCCAGGAGGAGGAGGAGGGGCTCCTGGGGACGCTTCTTTGGAGGGTTAAAGAGCATCTGTGCCAACCAGCCAGCACAGGGCAGGGACCACAGCCCAGCAAGTGGCCAACAGTCCTAGCTGTGCTTGTTATTCTGGGACAAAGTTGGAATTTGTAATGAATGAGGTTTTGGCAATGATGTTGGAGAAGCAGAACCCAAGGGGAGGACGGTCGGGCTTGTGGCGTTGGAGGCGGGGACGTGAGGAGTCGGGGACGACCCCAGGACTCCCACTCAGGCGACCGGGTGAAGAGAGCGAGGAGGTGCCAGAGCCATGGGGTTATTTGCTCCCCGCTTGTTTTTAGTAGTAAAGAGCAGTACAGGAATGTAAACAGAAATCATAAAAGTCAAATGTAAAACAAGTGGGGCTGCATCTCGAGAGAAAAGCAACCAGCTCTCCGGCTGCGGCTCCTCCTCCAAGGCAGCCCGTGTCTCGTGGAGTCCCAGGAAGGAGCACGTCCTTTCCCGAGACTCATCACTTTTCTTTGCAACCAGCTTTCTTTAACTACGAAGCTTGCTCGTGGGCCTTCTATGATTTTACAATCAAAGGGCTACCCGGCTAAAACGGCAGCACGTGCTGACTCCCACGGGCCTCGCGTTTGTGGTCAGGGCTCCACTTCACTTTATAGCCGCTCATCTCCGGCCCTGTCCTCAGCCTGGGGCTCCTGCCTTGGTGTCCTCAGCCTTGGCGGTGCCAAGGGACGAGCTTTGTCCTCCTGGGGCCCCACGGAGGAGGACATTGCAGGAGAAGACAACAGGGCTGTGGACATGGAGGCTTTCCGCCCGGATTCCTCCTCTCACGGACAGCAGCTTCGCTCACTCTACTGTCAAGGAAGAAGAGGCGACGAGCGGCTGCCTCCCCATTTTCTTCTATCAAGACCCGGTGCGCTCAGGGTTTTCTCGCCATCCAGCAGCGTTCAACTTTTTCGCTACTAGGTTTCATTTCAAACCAACATATGCTATTTCTGCAGCAGAAGGGGAGTATTGTTTGTTCTAAAGGAACAACACACAGCTGTAACAGAAACACAAATAATTGGCTGTATGACATTCTTCATAAAAAAGACATGTTGATTGTGTTGTAATGGCAAATTCATAGCATATTTTTCTACTAAGTGAGAACAAATGCAATTTGGAGTGTAGTATCCGTTCGGTAAACCAAGACTGCCCTCTATGGACACGCGGGGCCTTGCGGCTGACCCGTTCTCTAGCTCCCTGTCCTCCAGCTGGACAGGAGGCCGCATGTGAACCCGAAGAAATAAACGTCGCTTCCTGAATGACACAGCCTCCAGCAGAGAGGGGCATGTTCTGCTCGTGTCTCTCAGGACCCCCAGCAGGGCTCGGGGGTGTGGTCTCCGTCCATTTTCACTGGAGCAGGACGCAGAGGGTCAAGCCCTCATTCCATGGCTCTCGGTGGCTTGTAATTCTCAGACTTCAGTGGAGATTCTCAGGCCAACAGGGCTCCAGGTTGAGACTCTCAAACAGCAGCAGGATTTGGGGAATGCCTGGAGACCCCAGGGAGAAAGAGCCTTTTCTCCATACGCATGACACACAAGGCCACCACACGCCGTGCAGAGCTGGTCCCGGCCACCCTCTGTGTCTAGAGAGGTATCCACAGTCAGAGAGAAAGGACGAGGAAACGGGAGGAGGACAGGCAGCTTTTCTGAGGGGTCGATCTGGGAGTCCAGAACAAGATACGCAGGTCAGTGTCATACAACCAAATGCACCTGAGAAACAGCTGCTGCCTGCATGGCTGCAAACTCAATTTTAAACCCAGGGATAGGAAGAGAAGGCTATGAGCTGCCAGGTCTGGAGACACCAGTGCCACCGCTGCTCCCTCTCCGAATCTGGGGGGACGTTTTGCTGCAGGAGGAAACCCCAAACCCAGCAGGTGCTTCCTGAGGGTCCCTGTGGGGTCCTCAGTGTGGGGTCCTCAGTGTGGCTTCCAGGGAGAGGAGGGAGGCAGCCACACCTAGGGCTGAAAATCTCTGACTTCAAGTCTATATTTGAGACTTAAACTGTCCTCATCTTTTGGGCACGGTCACTGGCTGGCTTTGCCGACCTTGCCAGGCCAGGGTGTGACCCTGGTTTGTGACCACTCCCATTTCCTTTCCCTGGGCCCAGCCAAATCCCGGATCAGAGCCCATCTCCCTGATAGGGAAGCTGGTCAGTTGGAAATCTGTGCCCCTCCATGCTACGTGCTGACTGTCAGGAGTGGGGGGCAGTCACGAAAGCTTGGGCAGAGCTGACAGTCGGCTGCACACACCATCTGCCATGCGGAGATGATCGGTGTGGTGAACGGGTAAGGAAACCGGGCATTGCTTTTACACATCCTGACTGGGAGAAGGTTGCTTGGAAAATACACACGAGGCCAGTCCTCTCCTCCCCTTAGTTCACGGCCCTCTGCGGGGACAGACCTCTACACAGGAGCCACTGTCACCAGCAGAGCCAGCTCTGCCTGTGTCCAGCCTCCGACAGGGACCCCTGGGCTTCAGCAACACCCCTGCCTCTGCCTCTGCCTCCTCCACTCAGCGCAGTGGCTCCAGCTCCCCTCGACTGCTGTGCCGAACCCTGGCCGTGAATAGAGAAAGCTCCACCAATGTTGCTGAGTCCATACGATGGCGGGTCAGGCAGCCATTTAAAAGGACAAAACAACTGTGCATGCTGCTGTGGGAGGCGTGTTGAGAGGGTAAACACGTGAGCTACAGAACAGTCAGATCCCATTCATACTTAAAAAGAGATTTTCACCTGCACAAGCACATACACACGGAGATGCACACAGGGGCCGAGTGCGGGGGCTCATGCCTGTCAGCCTAGCACAGTGGGAGGCCGAGATAGGCGGATCAGCTGAGGTCAGGAGTTCGAGACCAGCCTGGCCAACATGGTGAAACCCTGTCTCCACTAAAAATACAAAAGTTAGCTGAAATCACTTGAACCCAGGAGGCGGAGGTTGCAGTGGGCCAAGACCGTGCCACTGCACTCCAGTCTGGGCAACACAGGGAGACTCTATCTCAAAAAAAAAAAAAAGTGCACACAGAAGAGCTACCGGAGGCCACTTCTGGGGAACCTGGTGATTTGCCGGAGGGTGTGAGGATTGGCTCTCACTTTTACTTGGTAAACTTCTAGATCATTTAAATGTTATGCTGAGAAAAAATAAAACAGTGTTAATTTTTAAAAATATCTAATACACCTCATTCCTTAATCTGATGGGTTCTGACACTAAAAGCCATTGCCTCTGGAACCTAAGACGACTGTGAGAACACAAGTGACCACAGCTGTGGCCAGGTGCCCCTCCAGGAGAGCAGGCGATGGGGGAGACTTTGAGCTCCGCCTGCATGGCCGGCGAGACAAACGGATGGCAGGTGCAGTGGGCAGGTGGGAGTCGGGCAGTGGTCACCACGTGGAGAGGTGTTTCTGACTCTGAGGGTCACAGGGTGCACAGGAGGCTTTGGGGGTTGGGAGCGACTGCCTCCGAGGGCTGGTGCAGAAGAAGCCAGCGGGGGAGTCTGAGGGGGAGCTTCAGATGTGGAAGGTGGACCTTGTTGAAATGCATGGGCTGATTTGGCGGGTTCCAGGTGAAGAGACGTGGCCACCCAGGGACCACACCATGAGCAGTGAGCCACATGATATTGCCTGGGGCTCGAGCAGATAACCTGGGAGGAGACCACCCGGCCCTCGGTTATCAAGTCTGTAGATGGAGCAACCAGGTGACTGGGGCTGCCGCGTGAACTCGGTGTGATCCTGCCCTTGCCAAGCCTATCAGACCAGCCTCAAGCGCAAAGGGCTGTGGACGCCCCCAAAGAGTCTGTGACGTGCAGAACCACAGGGTCCATGCTGCCTGGGAGAGCCCCGACGGGATCTGGGAACTCAGGACCTGCCCCAGAGGCACTGCTGGATCCTGAGCCGAGACAGCAGCACAAACCCCTCTCCCCGCCCCGGGGCCTGGCCCGGCGCTCCTCACCCAGACCCCAGTCGGAGGAGCGTGGTTGAAACCTATAGGGAAAGAGCAGGTTTTCCGGTCTCAGCACAGTGAGTCTGTGTAACTCTAACCTGGGCCACAGAAGTCACGAGGATTTCTCCTTCAGTCCTCGCTTGCAAACAATGGGAGAGCAAGGGGACCGATGAACAAAATCCTCCCCCATGAGGCTGCCAGGGTCCCTGTCGGGAGGCCACAGCCCTTCTCCCTGAGGACTCAGGGGCCTCCAGCGGGGTGTGCCCTGCTGAGGACCGCGTTTGCAGCTTGTTGAGAATACTTACTTTTAGTGCTCCCTTTTTGTTTCAGTACATTTCTAACTATTACATTTACTTTTATTAATTAATTGTACTGGTTTTTCAAGTCTCGTTAGTTGGGTAGTTCATATTGGTCAGGTTTTAAATCAGCCGACTATTATGGGCTGCGCACTCCACATGGAGTTGGCCTTCACAGTCTGCATTTTAGTATTTCCTGAATTTAAAAATGCGTTGGATTGGATTTCTTGTTATAAATTAAACCAAATGTGATTGCCACCCCCTCCCCATCCCATTGACTTTGCCAGCTTTTCATTATGGAACTGAACATGGTAAAACATTTCATTTGGATGGGATTTCATTTTGCTCTGCTGCCAAACTCTAAGCAAGAATGGACTTTTTAAAACAATATTTTTTAAACCATTTTGTAAAGACTTAACACTGTGTTCACATTTTGGATGCAAAATGTATTTGGAAAGAAAGGAGACTCTTAAAGAGTTCAAATAGTGTGGAATTTACTAGTCACGTGCAATAATCACTTTTCAGATTTAAACTTAATATTAATTTTTAACAGTTCTCAGTAAGACACTGCATTTGTCAAAATAAACACCCTCTCATTGGAATGGGCTGACAGCAGCAGGAGAATGTGTTGAGAATGTGGGCTTTACCACGGGCTTGGAATAATTAAATCATATTGTATAATCCTTTTTATAGAAATATAAAGTTACTTTTCTTTGCAAAAGTTTCCACTCCTGGGGTCCTGGAGGCTCCTCCCTGAGACTCTCGGCACCCGAGGCGTGAGTTGGAGGTGACCTGTAGCTTCCACAGGACACAGATGCCCTGGGCAGGCGAGCAGGCCTGTTCCTAAACGGTCAGAGAGCAAGTACTTTCCACCTCGCAGACCACACAGTCTCTGTCTCCACTGCTCAGCTCTGCTCTTGTTCAAACGCAGCCTCAGACGATGAGTGAACGATGAGTGTGGCCACCTCTCAAGGTGATTCCATCTACAAAAGCAGGTGGTCACTCCCCAGCCCCACAGTAGAGGGGGCCGCCCCTTCCTGCCCACTGAGGCTTTGTCACAGGGCCTTTGTCACAGGGCCTGATGGGACTTGCTTGGGAGACCACCCTTGGAACCCTTGGAGTTAGCAAACACCTGCCTCAAGCCCCATCCAATCCCATCCACCAGGCTCCCTGGCATCCTGAGCATTCAGTGTGTGCAGAATTCAGACCAGCAGGACGTTTCCCAAAACCTCCACAGGGGACCTTAGTAAGCATCGAAGGGCACCTGTAATCCCAGCTACTTGGGTGGCTGAAGCATGAGAATTGCTTGAACCAGGGAGGTGGAGGTTGCAGTGAGCCGAGATCACACCACTGCACTCTAGCCTAGGTGGCAGAATGAGACCTTGTCTCAAAAAAAAAAAAAAAAAAATATATATATATATATATATATACACATATATGTGTGTATATATACATATATATAAATTTTGGATATATTTAAGTATATTTATTAATATTAATATATTTGTAAAAATATATTTTAGATGGGACCTGACTTCTCTGTAGCTCATTGGCTGTCATGACGATCCCGCCCCAGCAGTGTGTGCAGTTCTACTTTGTTCTTTTAAACGGCTGCCTGGCCCTCCATTGTACAAACCCAGCAAACCTGATGTAACTTTCCCTGTTCACAGCCATGTGTGTGCTAGTTTTTGTCTCACATAAACAAAGCTTCAAACAGCAGCCTTGTAGATCTCTCTCTTTTTTTTTTTTTTTTTTGTCCATTTGCAAGTATATTTCTAAGGAAGTTACCTAGAAATAAAACAGGAAAAGATGAGACTGATTTAATTTTAATGGATACCGAAATTGCCCCTGGACAGGCTCACTGTTCTTCCTGGTACCCAGTGTCACAATGAGGAGGGTCTGATGTATGTGTGGTTTTCTTCCTTTCTAGGTAAGCTGTCTGTTCTCTCTGGAAGATGGCAATGCTTTCTCTTGTCTTTGGTGTTCTCAGTCTCAGGTAGAATAGAGACTCAGAGCTTACTGGTCTGGGACTGGCCTGATTGTGTCGTTTAACCCCTTTACCCCTGTTGAGTCAAAGCCAGTGCTTTGTATCGTATCAGCTCTGAGATCTTTTATTAATTCTCTGTTATTCTTCCTAGAATTTTCTGTTTTCTTTCCTGGAAATCCTAGAGAAACACTGGATACCCTGGATTGCATGTAAGTGTCATCTCCTCTGAATTTTCTTTATTGTGGTAAAACACACACAGTGAACATCAGTGTCTACTTATCTCTCTGCATTCTGAGAGATTTCTTTGATCATAACTTCCAGTTCATTAATCTGGACTTCAGCCATGTTCATGCTGCTGACTTGACTTGTTCTTGCATTTTTTGCTGGAGATGTTCAGATTTTTAATTTCTGATAGTATTTTCATCTTTGTTTTTGGAGGGGCCCATCTGTTTAATCTTATGAATGCATTAGACTCTTGGATATCACTTCTGATACGAATTAACATTTTGCAATAATGGGCTGGGCATGGTGGCTCACACCTGTAATCCCAGCACTTTGGGAGGCAGAGGTGGGTGGATCACGAGGTCAGGAGATCGAGACCAGCCTGGCCAACATGGTGAAACCCTGTCTCTACTAAAAATACAAAAAAAAAAAAAACTTAGCTGGGCGTGGTGGGACGTGCCCATAGTCCCAGCTACTCGGGAGGCTGAGGCAGGAGAATCGCTTGAACCCAGGAGGCAGAGGTTGCAGTGAACCGAGATCGCACCACTGCACTCCAGCCTGGGTGAAAGAGCGAGACTCCGTCTCAAAAAAAAAAAAATTTGCAATAATGTTTCTGGGTCTCCATATCACTTCTGTTTCCCAGAGCCATCTGCTGTGCTTGCTTACCCCGTTGCTTCTCATGTGTGCCGGGGGGTGGGGCTGATCCAAGTATTTGGAGGCCCTGATGCTTACGCTGTGGAACACAGGACTAAGTCGATCGGCCGCCCTGGCTGCTGTGGCATCTGCATTTATGTGGATCTACTTTACTAACCTCTTGTGACTCTGGACCAGAAGAGACTGCTGGCATGGGCCAGTTAGCCAGGAGAGGCTGGACCCGGGGCAGCTGGGCAGGGGCCAGGCAGGGGTCCCGTAGCTTCGGGCTCAGCCACAGTGAGAGCTGAACCTTGCAGTGGAGCTTCCATTTCCTCCCCTCCTGGGGACTACCAGCTTTGCTACCCATCCGTACATTTAATTGCCTCTGAGTCTCTAGTAAGTGTTTCAGGAACTCCACGCAGCTCTTTCTCCCTGAGCCCCTCTGCTCACCCCATGGTCTTCTGGAGACAGGTGGTGAGCTCTGGACAGCATTTCCCCGCTTCTGCCTGGTGGAAACACCCCGTCTCATTGCTCGCGATGGGAACTGGGCTTCGATTGGCTCCGTTCTTCCAGCGCGCCTCCAGTCTCCTGATTGGCTTCAACCTTCCCCGGGGCTTCTTTCTCCCATATTTTGGGCTGCAGTCTTCTCTCTTCAGCTCAGTCGGATTCTGTCTTCATTTCTCACGAATGTGTCACAACTCCTGGACACTGATTTCCAATGTTCCTAAGGATTTATTATTATTATTATTATTATTATTATTTGAGATGGAGTCTCATTCTGTCGCCCAGGCTGGAGTGCAATGGCATCATCTCAGCTCACTGCAACCTCTGCCTCCCGGGTTCAAGCAATTCTCCTGCCTCAGCCTCCCGAGTAGCTGGGATTACAGGCACACAACACCACGCAAGGCTAATTTTTTGTATTTTAATAGAGACAGGGTTTCACCATGTTGCCCAGGCTGGTCGCGATCTCCTGAGCTCAGGCAATCTGCCTGCCTTGGCCTCCCAAAGTGCTGGGATTACAGGAATGAGCCACTGCGCCCGGCCAGGATTTATTATTTTTAACTTATATTTTCTCACATTTGGAGAAATGTTGAGTGGAAAGGAACCGTATGCACTTACTCGGTCTTCCAGTTTGATTTGGATCAAGCAGGAAAAGGAGCTAATTAAGTTGGGCATTCAAAGCTCTGAGGAAGTGACTTGGGATCTAAGACCCAAGGCACGAAATGCAAATTAAACATTGTAGAGGAAGGCGATGGGCTGCCTGAGCACTGAGGCGTCTTCCGGCTGAACGGAAACAAACGTAGGCCTCTACTTTAGAAAGAAAAAAGATGTAACAGCACGAAAGCTTAAGTATGCTACAAATAGAACAACAAAATATTAGAAAGAAGTTTTGAAATGCTACTTTTGTAACCTGGAAGTTGGGAGATCTTCCCTTAACCAGAACAGAAAACCCAAAACCTTAAAGAAAAGTTAAATATATTTTACAGTATCAAATTAGGTATTTTTACATGGCAAGTACAAATTATAGCAATCTAACAAGTGATAGACTGAGAAAAATGTCTGCAGTTCATATGATAAAGGGTTAGCGTCCTTCATAGACCAAATTCTCTTACTTCATGTTGAGAAAAAGTCAAGCAATGCAATGGGAAAAATAGCAAAGAACAGGAACTAGCCATGTGCCAAAGACGATCTACGGACAACTAATAAGAATTTAAAATGAGGCACAGTGCGGGGTTAGGGAAATGCGAACTCTGGCAACAGCAGAGCCTGCTTCTCCGCTTTGGAACAGCAAACATCAAAACTCCGCACCTCTGGAGCTGCTGAGGGTGCGGGGAATTAGTTCACGTTTCTGGCAGAAGTGCATACTGAAATGATCTTTTGAGAATCTTATCTGGCCTTGTCTGCTAAATTAAAAGTGAATGTGATTTATCCAGCGATTGCTCAGGGGGGCGGGGGCCGGTGGCTAGGGGAAAAGTATCACGCAGGCATTTTAGCATTTGTGTGCATAAACCTAGGGGTTTAGGGGTGTTTATTGAAGCCTTTTTATGAGGACAAAACCTTGCACCCCTGCCAGCTGCCTGCCTTTAGCAGACGTTGAGTGGAACACGGCGCCTGTCCTCAGCCAGCCTCAGGAGGAAGAGGCTTTCCTTTATGTGAAGCCATGGCTGACCCCAGGGTCCCTGGTCCCCATACTGTTGATGTGCAAACAGGCACTTTCCCAAGGCAGCTGTCCACCAAAAGAGCTGGCTCAGCAGCAGCTGGAGATGTGAAGTAGCAGAGAAGGCCGTGTTCTAAGAGTCCGGTGTGGGACGGGTCCTGGTTTTGCTTAAAAATAATGAGACAGAAAAGAAGCCCACTGGTATGTGTAATGTGAGGTGTGTGTGTGTTTGCACACACATAGAGAAAGGCACAGAGACAGATTAATGATAAACCAAGTTTCTCAGGTTGCACCTCACAGGTGCGTTTGACGCAGGAGGGAGATCGCTAACTTTTCCATCACATTATCTGACTTGCTACAATGAGCATACGCTACTTTGGTAATTAAAACATCAGAAAGCAAAACAGAGCAAAAATCAAGTAGAGCGAAAAAAAATCGTAAGGTTTTAGATTGCTAGATTAGGACGTTAGTCTCCAAGCCAAAAGTAGAGTGTGGACTATTTTTGGGGAGAGGGGACAAAGTCCTCCCTTTCTGGGGTATCTTAGCCAACTCAGGCTGGAATAACAAAATGCCATAGGCTGGGGGGCTCCAAGAACAGACGTGGTTCCTCACAGGTCTGGAGGCTGGAGGTCTGAGGTCAGGATGCTGGCAGCGGTGGGGTCCAGGGAGGGCTCCCTCCTGGTTCACGGACGGCCCCTCCTCCCTGTGTCCTCACACAGCAGAGAGAGGAGGCTCTGGTGTTGCTTCTCATAGGAGCCCTAATCTCATCACGAGAGCTGCACCCTCGTGGCCTCGTCCCCTCCCAAAGGCCCCACTTCCTAACACATTGCAATGGAGGATAGATTCCCCATATGAATTTCATGGGGCACAAACGCTCCATCCTCAGCAGGGGCAATAGTGGTTTGAGTTGGAGCCAAACTCTTGATCAGAGAAAGGCAAGGGAGAGCAGGTCCCTGGAGAGATGAGTCCACAGCACAGGCCAGCTAAGGAGACAGCCAGGCTGGCAGGCTTTGTCAAGGTCAAAGGTGCCAGACCCTGTGTGGGCACTGAATAAAACCAGCCACCCAGGCCAGGCGCGGCGGCTCATGCCTGTCATCCTAGCACTTTGGGAGGCTGAGGCGGCAGATCTTCTGAGGTCAGGAGTTCGAGACCAGCCTGACCAACATGGCAAAACCTCGTCTTGACTAAATATACAAAAATTAGCTGGGTGTGGTGGTGGGGACCTATAATCCCAGCTACTCAGGAGGCTAAGACAGGAGAATCGCTTGAACCCAGGAGGCAGAGGTTGTAGTAAACTGAGATCGCACCATTGCACTACAGCCTGGGTGACAAGTGAGACTCCGTCTAAAAAAAAAAAAAAAGAAAAAGCAAAAGAAAAACACAAGAGGCCCTTGAAATGGCCATGCTCTCCAGCTCAGGTCCTCCCAGCCTTTCCCTGCCAAAGTCCAGCTCAGGTCCTCCCTGTGTCTCCCTGCTGAGGGGTTGGATGATGAATCACTGGTGGGTCAGGTTCCTCTGTCTCCTGTACTTTGTATAAACTGGTGCTTTTCAGAATAAAGACACCGTCCTCGTTCATTATGTTTTATTAAGAAACATGGCCAGGCGCAGTGGTTCATGCTTGTAGTCCCAGCACTTTGGGAGGCCAAAGCGGGTGGATCACCTGAGGTCAGCGGTTCGAGACCAGCCTGGCCACTATGGTGAAACCTCGTCTCTACTAAAAATACAAAAATTAGCCAAGTGTAGTGGTGTGTACCTGTAATCCCAGCTACTTGGGAGGCTGAGGTAAGAGAATAGCTTGAACCCAGGAGGCAGAGGTTACAGTGAGCCGAGATCACACCACTGCACTCCAGCCTGGGTGACAGTGAGACTCTGTCTGAAAAAGGTTCTAGGTAACTCCTCGCCTCCTACTTTGTGTCTTTGTTCTCCTGAGCTGAAAACCTCTATTCCCAAGCAGACTGCCCTGAGGACCCGGTTACTTTCCCCTACACTTGCACCCAGGGCCCGGGGCACCAGCACCAATGCTGCCCATAGTAGCATGGACCCCGGACACAGCGGGATGTCGAGGGCCCTTTGTTTTCTATTTTCCCAGCTTTTGTCCCATCTGGGAGTTCCAGCCACATCTCCGTGTTTTATTGTCTTTGAAACAGGAGTCATCAGCGTGGTTTTGCCATCACTTGGTGCATAGTTAGGCTGTTGCTTGTTTTTGCTTTCCATTTTTAGGGATTGATCCTTTCATACTTACGTAAAACACTGATGAGGGGTCAAAGTTGCCTCTAAACAAAGCTGGGGCTGCCCAGAGAACCTGAGCTCACATCCCCTCCACCCTTTCCCCTTTCGACCCTCAAAGGTAAAACATTCTAAAAGTTTTACAGATCGTTCTTTCATTTTTACAATTCTACATACTTGGATACAAGATGCACGTGTGTATCCAGATAAAACCACTCGGTTTGCTGAAGGCAAGGCGGCCAGACGGGGCTCCCTCGGAGCGCTCAGGCTCTGGCCGGCACTTAAAGGAAAAGGACCTTCGTGACAGACCGGGAAATACCAGGAGCCAAAGCCCCCTGGTCAGGGGTGACCACCTCATTTCAGGACTGAGGATGAAGGCTCCCCAGGCCCAGAGGGAGCCGGTGGAAAAGCTCTCGTCCTAGGAAATCCTGTCTGCAGCACTCCCCGTGCCCCCAGGGGGGTAGGTATCTCCTCCCCATTGGGGTCTCTCATCTTCTAGGGGCCTGTGGGGCGCCTCCCACCGCCTGGCTGTCCTGGCCACCATCTGGGCTCGGAGGGAGAGGTCCACGGGGCCAGTCCCCACGGGACAGCTAAACCTATCTGGGTGGATGGAGGTCTAGGGAGCTCAGAGTGGAAAGAACAGTTTGCTCTGGCCAGGATTCCAACCGGGGTCCTCTTATGTTATCACTGAAGGTTGCGGGGTCCTGCCTCTTGTCCTGCAAAGTCACGTTTTCGTGGAGTTTGTTCGTTTCCTTGTGAGGGGACTAACTCGCTGTGTGTTTTCCCATCTCACCCTCTCCTCTCCCAGCTCTCGTTTTCCCAAAGAACTCACATGAGAGCCTGGTTTCCCATGGCACTGGAGGGTCCAGTTCTTTGTTACGTGGTAGAAATGTGTGTGGGAAGAGCCAGGCTGGCAGAAGCGGGCGGCGAAGGCTGGGATGGCGTGGTCAGCGTCATGAAGGCAGCATCCCTGGAGAAGAAGCTCCTCTGAGCCATGATCACAGCAAAGTGGCACTCCTCTGCGCTAAGACGCACTCCACACCCTGCTCTGTCATCTTTGTGGTGAAAGAGTGGCTTCAAAATGTCATCGGAGCAAACGGGGACAAGTCGTACCTGGCAGGACACTGAGCCGTGCACGGCTGCCCCCCCCCCCCCCCGCCCCCAGCGTCTGCAGTGGAAACCGAGTCCCTGGGGAGAGGAGAAAAGCTTCCTGGAAGGAGGAGGTGTTCACTTTCTACCCAAAATATCCCACATTCTCCAGGTCCCTCTATTTTTCTTCTTTTCTTTGCCCATGGGGAGAGGTCCTAGGAGGGTGTCGGCACAGAGCAGGGGCAGGGAGGGTTGGACCAGTCCCATGCCTGCTGGGCTGGGTCAGGGTGTCAGTTGTGGGGGATAATGTTGGAAAAGCACTGAGAATCAGCCAGGCCCGCCTCACCAGGACTGGGAAGAGGGATCCCACGGCCTGGGGTAGGGGCCCCACTGCCCTGGGCTGGGGTCCCGGCTGCCCATGGGACCAGGATCCCGGTCGCCTTAAAGGGGGTGCCAGCTGCCCTAGGGGGTATCTCAGCTAAGAGGGGAAAGGTCTCAGCTGCACAGGCTGTGGGGAGGTTTCAGCTGCCTGGGGGTCGGGGGTCCCCACCAGTCACAGCTCCCGGGGGTTGTTCTCAGCACCTGGAAGGCATGCGTGAGCTTTTGCCCCCAGGCCTCGCCAGGGCCAGTTCTAGGTGCTATGACGCGTCGAGAGCCAAACAAAGCCCGTGGCCCTCACAGGACTGCACATCCAGCAGCAGGAGACAGGAGGAGGCAAGGGACCTGCGAGAAGCGGGAAGACCCAGGACTCAGCAGGGTGAGCAGAGCAGACTTGCTACGACAGCAGGGCAGCCAGCAGGGAGCTGTCAGCACAGCAACGCAAAGCCCAAGGCCTGAGTGTGAGGGAGGGGAGGGCGAGGGGCCCAGGTGGGGTGGCAGAGGGAGGGGAGGGCGGAGTTCCCCATGGAGGAAGGAGAGGGACCGGGGGCGGAGGTCCCTGTGGAGGAAGGAGAGGGATGAGGGGGTGGAGGTCCCTGTGGAGGAAGGAGAGGGACAAGGGGGTGGAGGTCCCCATGGAGGGAGATGACAAAGGCGCACCTTTCTCAGCAAATCCGGGAAAGGCTCCTGGCCAGGCCACCTGTGCAATGGGTGTGTAAGCTCCCGTGCAGGGCAGTCTCTGGGGGGCTGGGAAACGGTGTGCACACTCTCAGCTTGGGGTCAGTCAAGGCTGGAGGTGGTAGGGTGAGTGTGGAAACTGTCCCCACAGGGCTCGTAGGAATGCAGGAAGGCAGTGCCCATGAACACTGGGTGTCCCGAGGCCATGGGAGGCGCCCATATCCGGCAGCTGTCACCAGGTGGCCGGGCAACAGGGAGAGCCAGAGTGACGATTCAGGTGTCGGTAGGCAGGAAGGCAGATTGCTAACTGTGGTCGCCCAAAATCCTGGCAGGATTTGTTTACTTGCAATAGGTAAGAGGCTGGAATCATGGAGAATGTGTCAAGCATGGTATCTGATTGCCTCGGATGCTTTTAATTTTGGAGAAGCAGCTGCTGCCGAATGCTCGGGGAACACCCCACTGGCCTGCGCTCAGCAAGGCCACAGACCCCACTTTAGTAGCCACACTTGCCATCCTGAGCCCGAGAAATCCAACCTGCTCCCTGCAGGAGACAATGAGGTGAGCTGGAAGAGGCTGTACAAGCCCCAGCCCCCAGAAGCCATGATGTCTCCCTACAGCTCAGTCCCCTCATCTTCAGTTCCCAGCGGCTGAGTGGCCGCCTTCCTTTATGTTTGATTACCTGGGCATGCGCTCCCCATCAATACAATGTCAGCTGACTGCAGGTGACCGTGTGATGATGGCCATGTGGCGGTGGCCGTGTGGCGATGGCCATGTGGCAGTGGCCGTGTGGCAGGTGACTGGGTGGCGGTGACCGTGTGACGACGACCATGTGGCGATGACTGTGTGACAATGTCCGTGTGACGATAACCGTGTGATGCCCCCAATTTCTTCAGGTCTTCTTTTGTCCCGATGCCATTTTCTATGGAGGACTGAAGTCAAAACGCTGTGCTCCAAAGTCACTTGAAGCAATGCTTTTCTCTCGGGATTTGTCACCAACTTGATATATCATTAGGTTCTTTTGTCTTGGCTTGTTTTCAGTTTTCAGGACGGCATTTTCTTCTTTTGGCTTTAATTTTATTCTTGTTTGTACAAAATATAATGATTCCAAGCTGAACTGTGTTAACAGGATATGCCACGAGAAGGTCCTCTCCCAACCCTGACCCCTCTGACCCCTCCCTGACACCCCCACTTCAAGATAGATTTCTTAATTTTTTTTTTTTTTGAAACAGGCTTGCTCTGTCCCCCAGGCTGGAGTACAGTGGTGCAATCTTGCCTCACTGCAGCCTCAACCTCCTGGGCCCAAGTGATCCTCGCACCTTAGCCTCCTGAGCAGCTGGGAACACGGGTCCGAGTCACCAGCCTGGCTATTTTTTTTTTCTTCTTCTTTTTGTAGAGACTGGGTTTCTCTGTGTTGCCCAGGCTGGTCTTGAACTCCTAGGCTCAAGCGATCTGCCCGCCTTGGCCTCCCAAAGTGCTGGGATTCCAGGCATGAGCCACGGTGCCTGGTAGATTTGTTGATTTTGGGTTTAGCCTCCCAGCGTTTCTTTTTACAGTGTATGTACATATGTGTGTCCACAGCACTGTGGTCATGGTTCCGGTCCTCCACTGCCTCAGAGCACCATGCTTCAAATAACAAGGTAATGAGCCTTGCTCTTTCATCCAGTTTGGACAGACATGGGCTCTGCCCCTGAGGCAGTGGGAAGCTGGGTCCTCAGTCCTAGGAAGGCCCATCACACATCCTACAGGTGCTCGGTGTGTGGTGTGGCTGTCAGGGGGACCCCATGTGGGCTGTGGCCGGGGGCTCTGCGTGGTCTCCCCGTGGCCACCTGGCTTCTCGGTGGCACAGCGGCTGGGTTCCAAGGTGGACGTCCCAGATGGACCAATCTCTGGCCATTGATCACTGCCTTTGGTGACCCAGCTTTGTCAAGGCCACATCCACCCCAGTCACAGGTCTGCTTAGACGGGAAGTGGGGCATCCACCCTCTCGGGGCGGGATGAACGTGTGTGAGGTGGGGATACTGGTGCAGCATAGCTGAAAATACATGGTTTGCCCCATTTCCACATAAAAGAGGGGACGTCGTACACCAACCCTTCTGTGCCCAGCTTTTTTCTCTCCTAAACCACGGAAGCCGGGGCTCTCATCAGTGCACTCCGCCGGCCCTTTATGTGTTGCACACCTTTTCACTCCGTCCAGCGAACAGGTCTGGACACAAATCATCTGGTGCCTTTCTCAGCATGCCTTCACAATCGAGTTTTAAGTGTGGGACTGCCAGGCCGAGGTCATTCACTGTGCGGTTTTTCATTCCCTGGTGATGCCAGGCTTTACTCGTCCATGCACTTTTGACGGCAGCCTAGTGGTTTCCTCGGGGTCCACTACAGACAGGCGGTGTGGACGCCCCATCCGTGTGCACAGGGATCTCTAGGATGAGAGCAGACGAGGCGTGGACTTGCTGGAGGCCCAGACAGCTCCTGCAGTTTCCAAGGTGGCTGTGCCAATTCGCACGCAGAAGTGTGAAGGAGTTCTCAGTGTCCCTCATTCTGGCAATATTTGCACATCAACACTGTAGTCTTGAACCCACTGTGGGTGTGACAGTGCATTTCTGTGACATAAATTGGATGTCCCCAACAGCTCACAAGACACCACCTCCCTGGGTGCTGAGTTTCTGGTTGGCACTCCTTCAGTCGGGAAGGGCCCTGCCAGCCTTTGGGCATCTTTCAATCAGGCTGGCTCTTTCCTGTTCATTCTAGACCCCAGCCCTTCATCCGCTGTTTATATCTCAGACACATCCTCCTGCTAGGTAGGGTGTCTTTCACTCCTCTTATCAGCCCTCCCTTTTCTCCATAGGTAACAAGAAAGCCAAGTCTGGCTGCGTCTGTGCCCAAAGTACCGCACTCCCCCACATAGAAGAAGCAGGGCTCTTTTCGGCTGCAGCCGTGGGGGCCGAGCACATCCTGAGTGAGTGCTGGGCTGGGCGCCTGGGACCCCCATGACTTATAGATGCCACGCTCACAGCAGAGCATAAATACTTCACTAACCCTCCATTTGTTATTCGTGCTGAACGCTTCGGAACTTATGCAATATGAATTACGTTTTGTAATGGCCCTCATGCTGGGGTCTTCTGGGAAAATATTGTTTTCAGCAAGACAAAGCAAATTGCAGATGTTCCTGAAGGAGCTTCACTCTTGAACAAGGAAATACATTTACTCTGACATAGTTGCTCGAATGATCTCTTGTGTTATCTTTTATTGAACACAAAATGAGGGCTGCTCATCCAAGTTATGTGTGGCTGGATGTCCTCGAACTGGAGTCCGAACTTGAGCAAGCAGAGGTTGAGAGAACTCCGGGTGTGTCTGTGGGGATGCAAGAGGGCAGCAGTGGGGGCCCCTGTGAGCCTGAGTCACTCTTGAGATGGACACACAGTGCCTGGGGTCCTGGGGCCCCTTGGTGCCTGGCGGCCCTGGGTGGCTGCAGGTGGCGATTGGGCTCCTCCAGGTGCCCCAGGCCCAGGCCCTCAAGTCCCCACTCCCCACAAGGGTTCACAGCTGCCAGCCCTTAGCAACTCTACTTCTTCACACACAAGGCAAGGGCAAGGTTGTAGCGGGGCAGGGGGCGGGGGGGGTCCCTCCGGATCAGTCACTTGAGCTGAGATTCCGGTAGACACCAGGAGGGGCTGACCAGTGGTGGGAAGAACATACATCCATGGGAAGGAGGCTGACAACCAGAGGCGATGACCCCTCGGCATGGTTAGGGAGGAAGAGGACATGGTGCCAGTGGCCCCAGAACAGGTGGATGGGAAGGACTGACAGGCGAGGCTGGGTCAAGGTGGGGGCTGCAGCGAGGGGTGGGGGCCTGAACGAACAGCCTCGGTACTCGCTCGCACCTGCTTCACTTTCCTAGGTGGTAAATCTGTCATTTCAAATACTCAAAAATACCAGGATGGCCGTGGCAAGTCTACAAGCCCCACATCCAACTTTAGAAGCAGTGGCCACCCTGAGGCCCTGTCAGGGGCGGAATGGAGTCCCCCCAAAAACACACCCAGGTCCTAACCCCTCCTGCCTGGGAATGCCACCTTGCTTGGAAATTGGGTCCTACAGCTGTCCTTAAGGTCAGGACTTTGAAATGAGAGCCTCCGGGAACAGGGAGGGCCCTAAATCCAAGGACGCGTGTTTTTGCAAGTGACAGAGAGAAGTCCCCAAGCCGGGGAGGAGGCCGCCACGTGAGGTGGGGGTGGGCTTGGCGCAATGCTTGGCCGGGCAGGGGCGCCGAGGGGAGAGGCCGGGGACAGAGCCCCTCAGGGCCCCCGGAAGGACACCTCGCCCTCAGCCGCGCGGACTCCAGGATGAGAGAGACCGACTTCCGCTGTGGTGAGCCAAGCAGCTGCGGCCACGTGTCCCAGCAGCCCTGGGAAAGGGTGACGCCCAGCAGGCGGCATTGCGCCCTGACGCCGGGGACCCAGCACCCAGCCGTCCTCGCCCGCAGGTGCCCTGGCTCTGCCCCGGCCCTCCCTGGTCTGTGTCCTGACTCTGTTTCCCGTCGCCCAGAACGCCGCAGCCAGGGCGGCACACAAGCCTCGAGGGGCGGGGTCCGGGGGCCCCTCTTCCATCCGCCTTTCGTCTCCCTCCCTGCTGGATCTGAGGCGCCGCTCCCGCCGCGCTGTCCTCGCGCCATGCCACGTCACGTCACGTCACGTCACGTTACGTTCCCACGTCACGTCCACGTCACGTTCCCACTTCCCGTCCACAGGGAAACGGGCCCCGGCGATGTGAGGGCGTCTGCCGTGCTTGGTGCCTTCACAGGGGAGCTTCCTGCCTTGGCCGCGGTTCCAGGCTCTGTGCTGACGCAGCAGGAGGGTCCCCGGGCAGCCCAGGCAGGCGACGGGGAGTGACGAGGGTCCTTCACAGCCATGGGAGCCGAGCCCAGAGCAGGCGGCAGCAGCGTCTTTGCCACCCCTGGCCTAAAAGCAGCCGTGTGGGGCCCCTGACAGGTGCCCCGGAGCGAACTGCCCTCCTTGGCCCAGCCCTCAGGGTCCTGCCAGGGCCCTTGCTGCCCAGAAGGCCCGGGGCCCGGCTGACGACCCGCTACACCGTGGGCCCCCGGCTGAGTGTAGGATCTCAGATGGAAACACCCTGAACTGCCACCGGGCGAGTTAAAGGAGCACCAGCTGCTCCCCTTCCCGAGTCCCACACCCTTCCCTGCTCCCTGCCTCGGTTTTCCAAATTCCACGGGCGTGAAGTGTCCCCTGCGTTTAGGGATTCAGCCCCCCAACAACTTCTCCAAAACATCTTCCTTCACTGCAGGCTGCCTCGGCCCGAGGCCCACACAACCATGGAGAGGTTTACAGACAGCTCTCGGCGTCCTGCGGGCTGAAAGCCCCCCTGGACCAGGCAGCTTTCCGACAGGCTAATGCCCCCACCAAGTGGACGGGGCGTGCTCGGCTCAGGGACACCGGGTGCCTTTGTCGTCAAACGATGGAGCGAACGTGCTCATTCTGCAGTCCCACAGGACTCCCAAAGCACCTGGCAGGGCCCTCACCACACTCAGCCACCTTCCTCTCCCACAACCCTGGCTCTGTTGCTCCAAGGCCTCTGCCACCTCCTTCCTCAGCACCAAAGAACGAGGAGACGCGCACCATGACCCCCAGGGACGGCCGTTCTCCTGCCCACTATCTAGGCATTAGTGAGCGTGGGGTCAGCTGCGGGGAGATGGAGCGGCGTCAATGGAGTGATAAACAGTTTATCCGCACGATATGCCAGCTCCAGCCCATCTGTCCTAGTGCCTGCTGTCTGCAGAGGCACCGGATGGATCATGCGACACGGAAATGCGGGTGCGGCCAGCCAGGATGGATGCTACCCGACCTCCGAGGGAGATACAGCCGTGATGGAGACCCCGCTAATGGATCAGAAGAGGAATGGGGCCCGCACAGGAGCGGCGAGGCTCATGCATCTTGTAGAGGAGCTGAGATCCTAATCTCTCAGCCAGCCGCTCCCTCACACTCTCCTTTCTGCCCTCCCCCACCCGGGAAACAGGCAAGCCACGAGCCCCGGGCCTGGGCAGGCTGCTCTGAGGCCGCTCGCTGGCACATGGGGTTGCTCTACAGGGTGTGGGGTGCAGGGTGCAGAGTGCGGGTGGCACCCCAGTGAGTGGTTTGGGTGCTGTCTGCAGCTCTCCCAGCCACCTGGGCCAGCAGGGGCTTCTTGCTGGGGAAAGGGAGACCTGCTTGGGGGGTTCCTCATGTCAGTGCCCCCCACATCCCAAGGTGCTGTTGGTCAGAGTGGGAAGGCCGTGACGAAACCTGTTCTTTCTCCAAGCGTAACAAGACCATTCACTCCCTCCAGCTGTTGCTTCCCAGGTGAGGCTTTCCTCAAGAGGGAAAGGAAGAGAAGAGCCAAAAAGTGGCTCTCGTGGCCATCGTCCTGAGCTGAGCTTCTTCCTGAACCGGTGCCAAGGACAATGGGTCAGCTGCGAGGTCGGCAGATGAACGCTGGGAGCAGCCCCTACTTATGCGGGCTCTGCCTTTTGGAGGAAACGCATTTTCCCACCTGTCACGCACCCATTCCCAGGGCCCCAGGACCATTTGTAGGCAGTGACACTGGCCGAGCTGCCCATGGCCACCCCCCAGCACCCAGAATTAATGCCAGGGGTCAGTGACTTGGGGATTGCATTTCTAGAGTTAGCAAATGCTGACGAACCATTCCTGGGACTTTGACCTCCTCAGGCTCTACCAACAGCAGACGGTCAGCAAGACGCCACATGGAGCATGGAGGACAGCGGGTCATCAGCTGGCAGAGCGAGCCCCGAGGCCCAGGCCACAAAACCACACTGGGAGTTTACAGAGAATACTGCCTCCACTGTCAGCGGCTTCCAGAATCAACGTGGAGTCAGCTTGTTTACTAGAATTTCAATAATGAACTCTCAAACTCCACATCTGACTATCAGAGAGAGTAGATCAGAAAAAGCCTCGTATATTCAGTAGTTTCTGCTCTTCACAACTCTAACTGCATTTGTTTCCTGGGGATGGGGACTTAGGCAATGGAAGTTTGTTTTTGCATGGTTCTGGAGGCTGGAGGCCAAGATCAAGGTGTCAGCATGGTTGGTTCCTTCTGAAGGCCGAGGGAGGCCCGGCTCCAGCCTCTCAGTGACTGGAGGCTGCTGGCCATCCATTGTTCCTCGGCTCCCGGCAATATCACTCTCCATCACAGGGGTCTCTGTGTGTTTATCTGTGTCCAAATATCCCCTTTTTATGAGGACGCCGTCATATTGGATTGGGGCCATGCTACTACTGTATGAGCTCTGTCTCCAAATAAGGTTGTGTTCTGAGGAGCTGGGGGCTACTGCTCCAACACAGTGTGTATGGGGGACACCACTTAGCCCTCGGCACTGTAGGGAAATCCTGACCATCAGCTTCTGTGAAGACAGCAGCCTCGGCCCCCATGGATCCCTTCAGCAGAGCTCCAGTTCCAGGCAGGAGGCCAGGGCCAGCGGCCTGAACCATTTTATTTTAATCTTGTTTCTGTCACACTCCACTGGTTTGCCAGGGACGTTTGGGGAACTCCTGGGCACCCGGGAACTGTCTTCTGGCTGGGGCTGAAGACTGAGAGTGCCCCTGTTGGTGGCACTGGGTCCTCTGTCTCGTCTCCCAACTTGTCCTTTGTCCTGTGAACAACCTCAAGGTCGTTAACATCCTGATGCAGGCCCCTTGGTGATGCTGTTTACCTCTGTGCCCTCACTGCAGTGTGTAGGACCAGCCCTAATGAGTGCTTAGTGAACACCTGCTGAAGTATCCAACCCATTGGTCATCATTTTGCTGTATCTAGCATTGACGATGTAGAAAAAGATTCCAGCTTGGCATAGACACAGTGAAGCTGTAAAAAAGAGTTATGGAGTCTGGCATGTAAGGCACTCAGAGGTCTCCCATCAGTCCTAATGAAACAAGTAAAATGCTGAACAAACTGAAAATCAACAACTCTTCTTAGACTCATCAGACAAGTAAGGTCACATGGCAAGCCCCTGCCTTCACAATTGGAGAGACAGGTGGATACAGAGAAGCACAACTTACCTGAGCAGAAACACATGAGCAGAAACCTCTTGAGCTGCTGGAAGCTCAGTGCGGACAAGTCTGAGAGTTATCAACTCCAGGGGACCCGGGCATTGGGGGCACACCTTTGTGAGTTTTACCTCCAGGAGCCCTGCAGTGCCCACAGTGAACATCAGAGAAATGTCCCCTGTGCTTTAGGCAGGGGAAAGGTAAAGGGGCTGTTCTGAGTTACACCAGAGCATTCTCTTCTTAGCAAAGCTTCAGGAGAAACTATTTAACCAGAGCCAGACCTGCTACAGTTTTATCAGAGCTGAGATTGGAAACACCCAACTCCAGCCCACTCTAGCCATCCTGTTCCACCTAAGGGAGGAAGAATCTGAGAGGTACTTGTGTAGCTCATGGCCCCAGTCTCACTGGGGCTGAGACCGAGTCATAGGACCATAGACACTCCCCCTACAGCATGGCCACTTCACTAAAGTCCTATTTACAGCAGTTCCCTTTTACCCTGTACAACCTGTCCACCTTTCAACAAAAAATTACAAGACTAACAGGCAAAAAACACTGTTTGAAGAGACTGAACCAGCATCAGAATCAGTCAGATATGGCAGGAATGTTGGGATTCCTGAAATTTTTAAAGCTGTGATTAATATACTAAGGCTTTAATGTAGACAGCCAACAACATTCAGGGGCAAATGAATAACATAAGCAGAGAGGTAGAAATTCTGGCAAAAACATGCTAGAGATCAAAACCACTGCAACAGAAATAAAGAATTCCTGTGATGGACTCATTAGTAGACTGGACACAACGGAGGAAAGAATCTTTCAGCATGAGGATATGATAATAGAAACTTTCAAAACTGAATAGCAAAGAAAAAAACACACTAAGAACTGTGGGACAACTACAAAAGGTATAATATATGCTTAATGGAAATACCAGGAGGAAAAGAAAGAGATCAAGAAACAGAGGCAATACTTAAAGCAATAATGATGAAGAATTTTTCTCAAACAAATATCAGACACCAAACCAAAGATCTTCAGGAATCTGTGGAGGTCAGAGAGCACCAAGCAGTATAAATGCCAAAAACAAAAGAGACACCTATTCATATCATACTCAAACTTCAGAAAATCAAAGTAAAAGAAAAAATGTTAAGAGAAACAACATGGAAAAAACCCTTCCCTATAGAGGAGCTGTGATAAGAATCACATCTGACTTATTCTCAGAAATCATCTAAGCAAGAAGAGAGTAGAATAAAATATTTAAAGTGTTGAGAAAAAAGAAGCTCACCAACCTAGAATTCTATACCCTGTGAAACTATCCTTTAAAAGTGAAGAAAAAATAATGACTTTCTCAGACAAAATTGAGAAATTTCTTGTCCACAGACCTGCTTGCAAGAAATATTAAAAATTCTTTAAAGAGAAGAAAAATTACGGAGGTCAGAAACTTGAATCTTTATAAAGAAAGAAAGGACACCGAAGAAGAAATGAGTGAAAGTTAAATAAAACTTCTATTTTTCATATTGTTGGTTGATCTAACAGGTAACACTGTGTTCAAAATAATGGCAATATAATAGCAAAATAATGGCAATAAAGCAGTGCTTAGATGAAAATTTATAGCATTGAATATATTTTAGGAAAGAAGAAATATCAGCCGAGCACAGTGGCTCATCCCTATAATCCCAGCAATTTGGGTGGCCGAGGCAGGTGGATCAATTGAGGTCAGGAGTTCAAGACCATCCTGGCCAACATGATGAAACCCTATCTCTACTAAAAATACAAAAATTAGCTGGGTGTGGTGGCACACACCTGTAATTCCAGCTACTTGGGAGGCTGAAGCAGGAGAATCACTTGAACCCAGGAGGAGGAAGTTGCAATGAGCTGAGATCGTGCCATTGCACTCCAGCCTGGGTGACAGAATGAGACTCTGTCCCCCCAAAAAAAAAAAGAAATATCTAAAATCAATCATCTAAGCTTCCACCTTAGGAAACTAGAAAAGGAAAAGCAGTTAAATCCAAAGTAATCAGAAGAAAGAAAACAATAAAAATTAGAGCAGAAACAATAACATTAAAAACAGAAAATAAAAAAAGAAAATCAAGAAAATCCAAAGATGGTTCTTTGAAAATATCAGTAAAATTGATAAGATCTAGCCAGGATAATTAAGAAAAAAGAGAGGACACAACTTACTAATATCAGAAAGGAAAGAGGAAACATCACTACAGATCCCATAGCTATTTAAAGGATAATAAATAAACATTATGAACAACTCTATGTCTACATATTTGATAACCTAAAGGAAATAGACCAATTCATTGAAAGACACAATTTGCCAAAACTCACAAAAGAAGAAATAGACTATCAGGTCTATAGTAAAGAGATTGAATCAATAGTTAATAACTTCCCAAAACAGAAAGCACCAGGCCCAGATGGGGTCACTGGTGAATTCTATCAAACATTTAAGGAAAAATTGTGCCAATTCTCTACAATATCTGCCAGAAGATGGAAGCAAAGCAAACACTTCCTAACTCATTATATGAGACCAACATTACCTTAATAGCAAAACCAGACAAAGACATTACAAGAAAAAAAAAACAAAGACCAATATCTCTCATAAATATAGATGCAAAAATACTCAACAAAATATTAGCAAATCAAATCCAATAAAGTGTAAAAAAATTATACACCACAACCAGGTGGGTTTTATCCCAGGTATGCAAGTCTGATTCAACATTCAAAGTTCAATTAATAAAATCCATCACTCAACAGACTAAGAAAGAAAAAACAGATGATTACATTAATAGATGAAAATATTGGGGTTTTTGTTGGATTTAACAAAATAATAGCAACAATGCGTTCAGTTAACAGTGCTTACATATATGCTTATGTATAAGAAATGAGTAACAGCAATGATAACAAGGGATGGAAAAGAAAAGTTAGGGTTATTTTGTCATATAGGATACTTGCACTATCTGCAAAGTGCTATAGTGTTATTACAAAATGGACTTCATGATTCATTTCATTCATTTATGATAAAAACTCTCAGCAAACTAGGAATAGAGGGTAACTTCCTTAGCTTAACAAATATTTTCTACAAAAACCTACAGCTAACATCGCACTTAATAGTGAGAAACCAGAAGCTTTCCCACCAAAAGCAGGAAGAACGCAGTGATGCCACTTCTCACCACTGTTTTTCAGCATCATACTGGAAGTCCTAGCCAGTGCAATAAGACAAGAAAAGAAAATAAGAGGTATACTGATTGAGAAGGAAAAAGTAAAACAAATAATGTCATCTATGATCATGTCTTTGTTCACAGATGACATGACTATCTATGTATAAAATCCAAAAAAAAAAAGACTAAAAATCCTCCTGGAATAAATCATAGCAAGATTGCAAGATATAGGATTAATATAAAAAGGCAATCACTTTCCTATATACCAACAATGAACAGTGGAATTCAAAATTAAAAACACATCACCATTTACATTAGCACCCCCACAAATGAAATACTTAGGTATAAGTATAATAATATCTACAAGATACATATGAGGAAAACTACAAAACTCTGATGAAAGACATCAAAGATTAAATAATTGGAGAGATATTCCATCTCCATGAATACAGTCATGATGTCATTCTTCCCAAATTGATCTGTAGATTCAATGTAATCTCAATCAAAATCCCAGTGAGTTATTTTGCAAATGCAGACAGATTTTTAAAGTTTGTATGGCAAGACGAAAGACTCAGAATAGACATGTCAGTGCTGAAGGAGAACAGCAAAGTCCTAGGACTGGTGCTACCTGAGGTCAAGCCTTACTATAAAGCTCTAGTAGTCAAGACAGTGTGGTAACGGCAAAAGAATAGACAAATAGGTCAAAGGAACAGAAGAGAGAGCCCAGAAATAGACCCACACACATTTAGTCAACTGATCCTTGACAATTCAATTCAATGGAGGAAGGATAGCCTTTTCAACAAATAGCTACAGACAAAATAATAAATCTAGACACAGACATTCCACACTTCACAAAAATCATCTCAAAATGGAATTAACTCAAAATGGATCACAGAACTAAATGTAAAATGCAAAACTATGAAACTCCTACAAGATAACATATAAGAAAACCTAGATGACCTTGGGTATAGCAATGGCTTTTTTAGATAAAATGCTAAGGACATGATTCATAAAATAAGTAATTGACCAGTTGGGCTTTATTAAAAACTTCTGCTGTATAAATGACAATGTCAAGAGAATGAGAAGCCATGACCTGGAGAAAATATTTGCAAAAGGCATACCTGATAAGGACTGTTATCTGA
Organism: Homo sapiens; assembly: GCF_000001405.40. NCBI lineage: Eukaryota > Metazoa > Chordata > Mammalia > Primates > Hominidae > Homo > Homo sapiens. The sequence goes on along the minus strand of NC_000005.10, from coordinate 1,739,009 downwards.
AATATACAAATAACCCTTAAAATGCAACAAGAAGAAAATGAGCAACCCAATTAAAAATTGGCAGAGATCTGAACAGATACTTCACTACAGAATACATACAGATGGCAGTAAACATTGAAGAGCTATTCCACATCATATGTCCTCAGGGAAATGCAAATTAAAACAAGGTCATACTACTACACACCTATTAGAATAGCCAAAATCCTTAACACTGCAAACATCAAATGCTGGCGAGGATGTGGAGCAACAGGAACTTTCATCCATTGCTGGTGGGCGTACAAAGTGATACAGCCACTATGGAAGACAGTTTAGTGGTTTCTGAAAAACTAAACATACGCTTAACCTGTAATCCAGGATCCATACTCCTTGGTATTTACCCAAAGGGGTTGAAAACATATGTCCACACCAAAACCTGCATGTGGATGTTTATAGAAGCTTTATTCATGATGCTCATAGAAACATTGTTCATTATACAAGCTTTATTCATAATGTTTATGGTATAAAGCTTTCATTCATAATTCCATTCCTTACCTAATAATTCTATATTTGCTTGGAAGCAACTGAGATATCTTTCAGTAGGTGAATGGATAAATAAACAGTGCACATCCAGACAGCGGAATATTACTCAGCCCTAAAAAGAAATGAGCAGTGAAAAGACATGGAGGAAACTTAAATGCTTATTAGTAAGTGAAAGAAACCAATCTGATAAGCTACACACTGTGTGATTCCAACTCTAGGACATTCTGAAAAGGACAAAACTGTGGAGATGGTAAAAAGATCAGTGGTTCCAGGCATGAGTGGGAAGGAAGGATGGATAGGCAGAGCATGAAGGATTTTTTAGGGCAGCAAAAATACTCTGCATGACACTTCCATGGTGGACACATGTGGACACTTCAATGGTGGACACGTTTATCCAAACCCTAGACTGTACAGTGCCAAGAGTGAGCCCAAATGCAGGCTGTGGACTCTGGGTGATGATGATGGTTTGGTAGTAACACGCCCTCTAGTGGGGAAATCTGTAGAGGGGAGCCTGTGCCTGCCTGGGGGCAGGAGGTCCCTGGAACTCTGTACCTTCTGCTCAATTTTGCTGTGAACCTAAAACTGCTCTAAAAATAAAGTTTATTAATTTTAAAAAGAGAGTTGTGTAGCACATTAATCCCTAAATTTTCTGAAAACAATAGACATTTGATCTCAAAAACAAGTTGTTCATAAATGGAGCAGAGCCAGGTATGGGACAGGAAGAAGGCGCCTTTGTAGGGTAGACATGTGCAGCTGGCTCGGGGTCTCTGGGCTGTCTGAGGACAGGATCCTGAGGCTGACCACAGGGAGGGCACACAGGGAGCTCCAGCCTCCCAGGGTCAGGTGAGGAGGCACAGCGGGACATGATCCTGGATGGGATGCAGGGGTCTCCAAATTGTCCCGAAGGGGGAGACTGCAGCGGGTATCCAGGCCTGGCTGGTGCTGGGGCAGCATGGAGGGAGCAGCAAGGAGGAAGCAGCACGGAGGGAGTGGGCACCAAGGCACTGTGAGGATGCTCACTTCCCTGAGGGGCCTGGCAGGGCCGCCCACGGGAGGACTTTTCCAGAGCTGCAGAGTCTGCTGCCTGCTGTACTGGGCCGTCTCTGTTCAGTGCTGAGGGGCTCCTTGTCTGGGACTCCTCCCGGGCGGAAGGGGGGTCATCAAGGCACTGGGCCGGTTAACGCTCATCATCCCCACTAGGGGGTCCCTGGGACCAGTGGTCCATCATCTTGGGTCCTCAGCTTTGCACATCCTGGTCTCCCTGTTTCAAGGAATTTGGAGAAGCAGGTAGAGACACAGCTGCCACCTCTGCCAGGATCTCACCGAGCTGAGGGCCAGCAGGGCCTTTGCTCTTGGGCCTTGGCTGGGCCCACAGTGGATATGGGGTCACCCCTGGGGTTGCCACGGCCAGGCTCCCCATGTTCAGAGTGGCCTCTTTATCTGGGAGGCAAGGGCTGCTGGAGAATGAGGACAGCAGAGGGAGGCACCCGCTTCTCCCCCACCGGCTTCCTCTGTGCAGACACTTTGTTGGAACCCTAGAAAGTCCAAGGGATGCACTTTGTTGCAGAGATGCAAATGACTACAAGAAATAAAAAGAGGAAAGGACAGATCTTCAGATACAGAGTGGGAAAATCTTGTTTCTAAAAAAGAAAGGAAAGGCCATTTCGATGTCAGTTTTTCCAATGAACCCCATATACTTAGCACAGAGAACAAGGCTCAGAGCACCAAGATCACATGCCCAGCTGAGGAGGTAAGGACGGAACCAAGTTGCCCACTGCAGAGCCTGGGACAGAGGAGGAGGGCCGGCCCCCTCCCCTCCCAGCCTGGATGTTACATAGAACAGAACAGCAAGGTGCAGAATGAGGACCATCATCCCGAGAATGGGAACTGTCATAAAAGTCACTAAGGCAGCCAGAACCTCCTTTATCCACATGTAAAAGAAAATAACTGTGAAATCAGATTCTAGTTTAGTTCCCAGAAGTTCCTCTCCGTCTCACTGAATAGCAGCTCAAATGAAAATTAATTTACGCAGATGCATAGGATGTGCAAGGCATCTGATTTGACTTCTCTCTTTTTGTGTGAGACTCAGAAGCCCAGGGAGGGGCCTGGTCGGGTCACAGAGTCAGCATGGGCACCACCAGGACCAGGACCTACAATTGCTTTCCTGCCCCAGGGACCAACTGTGCATTGACCGCAGCTCATGACAAGGAGACTGGGGGAAGCCGGGTGGCTGCAGGGCTGCTCACCCCTCCTTCATACCCACCAGCTCCAGAGTTGTCTATCAGGACCCTGACCTTCTTAAAAGTGGTTTTAAGATGTCAGCTATATGTTCCCAAGGAAGCCTGGTGTATCCCCCTCTACACAGCCTCATCCCAGGGTAAGTATTCCATGGCAAGGCTGACCAGGACTCAGAGAAAAGCTCTCCATGCACCAAGCCTTTGTCTCTGATCAATCGTGATTTGAATAGGGTTGCCAGGCATAGCAGAAACACACCGACAAGAACAATGACAAAAGACAGGACTCCAGCTTAAATGTGAAATTCAGATAAACAACAAATCATGTAGTGCTTTAAGTATGTCCTAAATGCTGCATGGATGTACTTATCTTTGCATAGCAATCCTTGCATCACAGCTGGTTTTGCCCTTGCTTTGACCAATGGAGCACCCTGGGAGGGACTTCATGTCAGGGCAGAGCCTGGCCTCAGGGGGCCTTGGAATTGCTGCCCCTTGTCCTGGAGCCCTCCCCAGAAGCCACCAGAATGAGTGGATGAGACTGCCTGGGGGTGAGACCTTGGACCAGCCACATCAGCTGCTTGTTCCAGCCCAGGTTCCAACCCACAGAGAACTCAGCCACAGCCACATGGTCACATGGTCATGGGGAGGTGGGCAGAACTCCCTGTTGAGCCCAGGCACCCCTGCTGCTGACCACAGAGTTGTGAGCTAAGGACATGGCTGCCATCTGCCATCTGAAGGTGCTGCCCCTGGGGACATCTGTTAGGCAGGAGTGAACGGCGGGCACTGCGCTGCTGCCTTGTTCTGTGCCTCCCTGTATGGATGCTCTCCGCCTGGCTCAGCTCCGACTCCCCAGTGCCAGGGTGAGTGTAACGCGCAGCATGCTGCCCGAAACATCTCCGGCACCTATGAGCCCACCTGCCCAAACACACAGGAGTGCAGGGCTAAGGAAGGTTGTGCTCAGCCTGCCAGCTGCTTATATGGTGAACCAAACCTTAGAGCTGTTAGGCTGGAGGATGCCCTGGTAAACGTCACAACGTGGGCAGCATGGGACCAGCTTCTTCCTGTCCCTCCCTGGGCCCCCCATCTCTAAGAGCTGCCGGTGCCTTCCTGCTGGTGTCTTTGTGCAGGACTCCCTGGCTGTGGGATCCTCTTATCAAGGACGGGATGCGGGCGCATCCTCTGGAGTTAATCACAGGCTGGGAATCTGCACTCCCACAGCAAACATCACATCGCCAGCCTCTTGGGGCTGCAGGGCTGAGCCTCCCCCGGGATGGATTTCCCTCCCTTTGCTATTAAATTGAGTTTAAGACTGCAGTTGTCTGAACGGGTTTGCCTGAGAGGGCCCAGCCCACAGCTAGAGCTTCAGCCCGAGGATCCCGATCGGGTCCCATGTCTGCTGAGCTTCGCTGGACGCAGGTGCTCATGACACCCAGGGCAGGGTCCCCATCCACCCACCTCACTCATCCCTGCCGGCTGCAACCTTTCTCCCTGATGCCACGGCCAGCACAGTCCCTGAGTCAGCAAGACCTGGCACGGCATGACGGGGAACCCTGAGAGCTGGGCCCTTTCCCTTCCCCCGCCCCCACCAGAACCACAGGGCGTTGTGGCCAGCCTCTGGCTGCAGGTTTGCAGATGGGGGCTTGCAAGGACTGTATCCCTTTCGGGTGAGGGCCAGGCAGCCCAGCCGGCCCCAGACAGGTCTCTTGCCTGTTGAAGGAGGCCAGCAGGTCCGGACAAACCCCCAAAGCCAGGGCTCTGCCACCTCCTGATTATGGGAATGATGAACCTCCAGGAACCCCCGCCCCCGAGTCCCCACCCCAGAGGGACTGTCCCTGGCTAATGACAGGGCTCACCCCAACCCTCTGGCAGCACCTCCTGGGCCCCACCCCATCACACCAGCCCCAGCCCACACCCTTCTCTTGCCCACACTCCTGGGGTCCCTGCCTGCCCCGCAGCCAGGACAGCAGATGGCGGCAGGGCCTCCCAGCCATGGTTAAGAGCATCGTCTCGGCCAGGCACGGTGGCTCACACCTGTAATTCCAGCACTTTGGGAGGCCAAGGTGGGCGGATCGCCTGAGCTCAGGAGTTCACGACTAGCCTCAGCAACACGGTGAAATCCTGTCTCTACTAAAATACAAAAAATTAACCAGGTGTGGCAGTGTGTGCCTGTAGTCCGAGCTACTCGGGAGGCTGAGGCAGGAGGATCGCTTGAACCCAGGAGGCAGAGGTTGCAGTGAGCTGAGATCGCGCCACTGCACTCCAGCCTGGCAACAGAGCAAGACTCCATCTCAAAAAAAAAAAAAAAAAAATCATCTCTCAGGAACGCATGGCTTGGTGAGAGCTCCATGTCTCAGCCATGCCCCCAACACAGGGTCAAATCCTGCTAATCCACCCCACACGCCACACCCTCTGCAGTAACACCCTGGTCCTCAGGAAGCCCCATTCATGGAGGGCACATCTGTGGAATTCCCCAACCAGGTCCTAGTGGGAGGAGGAAGATGAGGGAGCTCAGTCCCAGGAGAGCCTGAGGCTCCCCCAGCAGTGATGCCTGAGGCTTGGAAGTGGTGGAGAGTGGGGAGGGGTCACTCCAGGGGCGCAGGGGCCCTCTGCAGAGAGTGCCTTGGGTGAGACTTCCTGAGCAGAAGGGATGGTGGCTATGCTGGGCGGACCGGGCAGGCTGCTGAGGGGCCCCTGAGGGCAGGGAGGAGATGGCTAAGAGGGCGGCAGTGAGGGTAAGGGAGGTGAGGGCGAGAGGGTGGGATCCAGGGCCCTGGGGGTCAGGGAGGAGAGGGCAAGCGGGTGGGGGTCAGGGACCTGGGAGGTGGGAAGGAGAGGGTGGCCCCACCATGGGTCAAGGCCGTGAGGGTGGAGAAGGGAGGGCAGAGTGGGAGTCAAGGCCATGGGGGGTGGGGAGGGGAGGGTGGTGAGGCCAGGGGTCAGGGCCATGGGACCAGTGCCCGAGGCAAGGAACCTGGATTTGTCCTGAGAGCCATGGGTGCCCCTGCAGAGCCCAGCGAGGGAGTGGTGAGTCCTGCCTGGGTTTCCCACCATCCCTCCGGCTGCTGCAGGATGAGATGGGCAGGTAGCGGCAGGAGGTGAGGGGCAGTGGACTCTCTGGGAATGAAGGCTGGGAGGGGTGCTCAGCTGGTTAAGGGAGAGGGTCCCATGGCAGCTGGCTGGGGGTGGGGGGCTGTGATAGATTATCTGTGGTCCAGACTGCAGCTGCTCTCCTGAACCTCATCTGCCTCCTTCCCTGTACAATCCAGTTTTAGCACTCGGTCAGTGTAGCAAGAACCCCCCACCCTTGGTACCTGGCCACGGTCAGTGTCTGGAAAATTCCTCTCTCTGACCCTCAGTACCTGACCCCCAGCCTCCAGTCAGCAGGAATTCTGTGAGGTTGGTTCTGCCAGAAAAAGGGGGGCTCCATGTCTCCTGGTGGTCCCTCCCCACCCACCAACTCCCGCTCCCTGGCCACAAGTCTCTTACTGTCCTGCCATGTTTGCCACACAGCCCAGCTCCACAGTGGGCCCCGCCCCTCATGTGACTGCCCTGGGTAAAATCTGTCTTCTCCACTTGTCTGGCGCTGGTCTTCCTGGGCAGCAAGAATGAGCTGTCATGGGCAGTGGCGCCTCACCCAGGCAGCAGGGCAGGGAGAAGGCAGCCCTGCAGGCTCTGAGAGAGCAGGAACCAGGAGACAGTGGTGTCTACTGGGCCAGGGAGGCAAGCAGCCACCCAGGGCCTGGCAGTAGCACAGGGGCACCAGGACCCAATGCAGCTCCTCCTGCCCCCACCCTTGCAGAGCCTCTCTTGGGCCAGGCCCACCCAAAGGCCAGAGGATGATGGGCCCAGGTCAGCCTGGGGGGTGCCTGGGCCTGGTGGGAGCTGGCGAAGGGTGCTGGTGTAACTGCCCAATGGGTTCTCCTTGCCCCCTGCCTAGACAGAGCTGATTCATCAAGACGGGGAACTGCAATAGACAAAGTAATTCACACAGAGCCGGCTGTGCAGGAGAACGGAGTTTTATTACTACTCAAGTCAGTCTCCTTGAGCATTTGGGGAGCAGAGTTTTTAAGGACAACTTAGTGGATGAGGGGAAGCCAGTGAGCTGGGAGTGCTGAATAGTCAGGGATGAAATCACAGGGGCCTGGAGCTGTCTTCTTGCGCTCAGTCAGTTCACAGGGGCCTGGAGCTGTCTTCTTGCGCTCAGTCAGTTCCTGGGTGGGGGCCACAAGATCAGATGAGCCAGTTTATCGATCTGGGTGATGCCAGCTGATCCATCAAGTGCAAGGTCTGCAAAATTTCTCAAGCACTGATCCTAGGACCAGTTTAGGGAGGGTCAGAATCTAGTAGCCTCCAGCCGCATGACTCCTAAACCATAATTTCTAATCTTGTGGCTGTTAGTCCTACAAAGGCAATCTAGTCCCCAGGCCAGAAGGAGGTTACCTTGGGAAAGGGCTGTTTTTGTTTTTGTTTAAACTATAAACTAAGTTTCTCCCCATGTTAATTCAGCCTACGCCCAGGAATGAACAAGGAGAGCTTGGAGGTTAGAAGCAAGGTGGAGTTGGTTAAGTTAGCTCTCTTTCACTGTCTCAGTCATAATTTTGCAAAAGTGGTCTCACTGGCAGCTGTGCCATGGGAGGAGATGTGTCTGGGGTGGGGCTGACAGGACGGGATGCGGGGAGTTTGGTGGAGCCCCTTGTTTCCCTCTTTCCTTCTACCTGCGGGGAATCTGTGTGTCTGGGGAGGGAGGCGGTGTCCAGCAAGGAACTGAGGGTCACTCATCCTCCTTGAGGACCACCTTGGCCCCTCAAAGCCCTTAGGGGATGGTTTTGGGGGGTACTGAAGCATCTTTCAAAGGACCAAGGCTAGAGTAACACAGGTGGCCTTATAGAACTGGATCTGGGCCAGGCCAGCCCATGGCCCCACGCCCAGCATCCCTGGAGCCTTGATGGAGTCCAGGCTTAGTTTGCATAGGAATCTCATACTCAGTGGTCTCAACCGGGGCTGCAAAGTTCAAGTCCCCTGGGTAGCTTTTAACAATCCCCATGCCCAGGTTGTACTCCAGACCAGTTGATCATGAATCCCTCTGGTGAGACAGCGGCGTCAGTATTTCTAAAGCTTCTCGGGGCGGGGATGGGGTGGGGGGATTCCAAAGTGCCACCGAGTTTGAAAATTAGTGCTGTCCTCTAGAGAAGGTCAATGGCTCTGACTGCGGGTTAGAATCCATCAGAGAACTTTTCAAAACTAGAATGATGCCCTGGGCTGCCCGCTACCCGCCTTGTTCTTCCTCCAGGGGCCCCAAAGTGTCCTTGATTGAACACCCAAACTCATGAAGCACTCCTCCGCTTGGTGACACAGAAATGGGCTTGGAGGTCTCTGAAGGGACGACCACGAGGCTGGATGGTCCGCATCCTCCCTAAAGTCAGCGGCTCCATCCTGCCAGTCACTGAGCAAACACTTCCTCCACAGGTCATTGATTCTTCCAGCCTTCCTTGCGCACCTGCTGCAACCCTGTGGTCCTGCTGTGGGCGGATATCGAGGCAGGGGAAGCTCTGCTCAGCTTCAGGGAATTCAACCCTGGGGGAGACAGGCAGAAAACAGGGAGAAAAAGGAAGGAAGTGCAGGACCCATCGGATCGCACAGGGTCCTGGAGGAAGGGCTGCCTGCCTCCTACCTGATTCTACCTGCCTCTGACCCCCGCCTGCTGGGGAGCACCAGCCCTGTCTGCTGTGGACACAGATGGGCTCCCTTGATGACAAAGTCCCCTCTGTGGTCACCTCCCCTGGGAGGGGCAGCTCTCAGGAACCTCCTGTCCCCACCCTATCTCCCCATCTCTGGCCATCTTCCACACTCCAGTGAGCAGCGTCCCCTGCAGAGAGCATCTGTCTGCACAATGAGGCTTCCCTTCCCCCTGACCTTAGCCTGCTCTGAGCCCACCCTCCTTGCTGGGCCAGCAGGGAGATCCCACTGGATCCCAGGACAGCCATGGTCACAGAGGACACATAGCCCTGAAAAGCAAAATGTGGGGGAAGCAGTTCACCCCACTCTGTGAACATCCATAAAAGCGCCAAGGGAACAGCTAGAGTGAGCCCCAGCCCACGCGCGGGTGCCAGCCTGCCAGGCTCAGGAGCCCTTCGGAGCCGGGGCACCCTCCACCACCCGAGGCCTATGGCATCCCCGTGTCCTGAGGGCGTCTTCTGAGATACCCCTTTCACCTATTGCTCTTAAGCCGCCACGTGCTCCAGCATAGACGCTGTCAACCGCACGTTACATCTGAGCAAACCAACATCAGAGAGGTCAGTTGGCTTGCTCAAGATCGGGACCCAGAAACTCGAACAGGATGCACAACACAGATAGAGTGAGGTCCCGCCTCACTGGAGCTGCCGGCCCTCGCCCGGCCTGGACACACCCGAGGTCCATCGGCAAAGGCCAGCGAGCCCGGCGTCCGAGCTCCGCCAGCCCCTCTGCACACAGGCTGGGTCTGGAGGCAGCGCCTCCGCCCGGGCTGGCCCGGGAGCTCCAGCCACCCACCCTCGCTCACGCGGCACTTGGAGACTCGTTCTGCACCCAGGCCCCGGCGCCTCCTCTAACACAGCCGCGGAATCTTACAGCTCACATCTGTCTTCCCAAGCATTTGTTTTAAGAGAGAGAATGGGAAGGAATAAAAAAAAAGAAGAAGGAGATTCAGGAGATAAAAGGCACACGTGGGTGACAAAGGAGCGGTGACAGTCCAGGTTATTAATGGCCGGTCCATATGCATCCGGGGTAATTAACTATTCACAGGTGAAATTAGCTGATAGGAGTGGCTGTCGCGAGGAAATCGAATGAGCTCCGATTATATCAATAGTTTTCAACCAGTGTCCCTGGTTATCAAACCATCAAATAAATTTGTCCACTCTCTTCCTTTGGGGGAAAAACTTTAATTACCCAGCCCTCGCATATGGCAGGTCATTAATAAAGCCTCGTTATCGGGCCGCAGGTTCGGGAGCTTGACCGTTATCTATCTTTTATCTAAATAAACATTTGGGAAATGTCCTTAAAATTATTATAGATACTTTGCCCCTGCCCCCAACAGAAATTTCTAAATGGAACCGGCTGCATTTCAGCGCGCGGTCCGCGGCGTCCTCCTCGCTCTGCTCCTCCCTCCCGGCCTCCGGCGGGTCTGAGATCCGGAGCCGGCCGCCCCTGCAGTGATGGATCTAGCCGACCTGCACATGCAGATAAGGGCACGCGGGCCGGCGCTCCTTAATGTGCGTTTACTCCGCCTCTGTGTTACCAGCGCTCCCTTTATTTCCACGCCGCATATATCAATGACAAGCAGGAGAATGGAGCAGCCAGTGGTGACACAGAGTGGGCCTGGGCTTGCCTCTCCAAGGTCCCAGAGTCAGAACTCTTTCATTAAAACAAAGAAAGCCTAGCCTGGCCAATATGGCAAAACCCCGTCTCTACTAAAAATACAAAAATTAGCTGGGTGTGGTGGCGCATGCCTGTAATCCCAGCTACTCAGGAGGCCGAGGCAGGCGAATCGCTTGAACCCGGGAGGCGGAGGTTGCAGTGAGCCAAGATCACGCCACTGCGCTCCAGCCTGGGCAAGAGAGTGAGACTCCATCTCAAAAAATAAATAAAAAATAAATAAAACAAAGAATGCTAAAATACCATTTATGACTCCATGTCTAATCAAGTAATGGTTATTCTGGAGAGAATTTCAGGACAGGCCTACTGTGCGTTGTTCTACACGAGTAATAGATTACAGTGTGGTAGGGTCTGTTTCTGGATATTTAGTGTTCTAGGTAGGATTTACGTTCACCAGAGGAGGCAAGGGAAGAAACGGGAGAATCACACCAAGGGCACGTGCCGTCACCTGTCCCCGCGTCAACATCATTCCCTTGTGTGTTCAGCCAGGTGCTACCAAGAGCCCGTGGGGTCACCCCGACTTCCGCTGTAACTGCAGTGTTTCTCCGACCTCAGCACCTGGGCTAGCGCAGAGCACTGCCCAAGAAACACACATTGAATGAATCAAATTGTAAGAAAATCACATTTCATTCTCATTAATAGTGCTTAAAGGAAGAATGTTGGGAACCTGCATGTTGGGTTCATTTTATTTTATTTTTCTTTGCCCCGTTTTCTCCGGTTTCCTGGACTGCTATATGGAGACAAAAGAAATGGAAGGAAAACGTGGTGAGAGGAAATTTTCCAGAGGGAACATTCTCCCAATTTCCAGGCTGCAGAACTTTCAAGTTGAAGGCTCGTCTTTGAGCAGCTGGAGCCACAGGCTCCCACCCAGCGGACGCCCTGGGAGAGCACAGAGCTTTCTCTTGTCTTTTCATTGCGGAAATACTAAAGCTGAAAGCAAGCTCTTGGCTCAGCCGTCACTTCACTCGAAACCAAGATGGGAGGCGGAGTCCGATCCTCATGCACCTGTGAGCAGGGACAGAAACGCCCCCGGGAGAGGTGTGGTCAGACGTCAGCTCTGAGACCACCTGTGCACCCGCCGAGGCAGGTGTGAGGCGGGAGACTTGGAGAAGCAGAGCAGAGGGAACAGTCCAGGCCCAGCAGGCCTAGGCCTGAGAGACGACCGCGGAGGAGGGGCTCCGTCATGGGTTGTTCCCAAGCCCCCGCGTGGGGCCCTCGGTTTCCCTGCTTTGTAAGCAGGCCGTGGGGACTGCAGTCCCCTCTAGGGCTCCCTTGGCAGCTGATGGGTGCTTGGACTGTAAATCACCAACATCAACCATTCAGGCCAAAATGTTAGACGGTACTGGGTATGGTGGAGAGTTCACAATGCATTTCTGAGAGTGATTTTCTTCTTTGTTTTTAACTTAACTTTGGTGGTTTTCTGCTGCCCAACAATTCAGACTATCTTCCGTAGTTATTTCCTGATACTGTAAAGATCCCAGAAGTTAAACGATGACTGCACCAGTGAGACCTGGCACAGGGGAGGGGATCTCACGCAACCTCAGGTCCAGAGTCACCGGGATCTCTGAGATCAAATTCTGAGCACCAGTCAGTCCTCTGTGGCCTGTTGGGTCTCGGCATGGGCATCTCTGCATCTCCTTTGCCTCAAAAGTTTTAGACCCCAAGAGAGGCCCTGGGTCCAGGTCCCCACAACGGGAGGCTCAGCCCCGGCCCTGCGCCACGTGAGGCCCCAGGATGACAGTCACCTCCTCCCTCAGTCCGTTCCCTGATGTGGAGGGTGCAGCGGTTCCCACATCTCGAGCTTGCTGTGAGGAAAACCAGGGGGGATGTGGTGAGGCCTTTATCCTAATACCGACTGTCCTTCTTGTAGGAGTGTTTGGGTTTGAGAGAAAACACAGTTTGTGTGTCCAGAGGATTGCCTTTTCCTTCTATGGCTGCTCACCCCTCACCCCACCCAGCTCAAGCCTGAACACATGCCTGTGTCTACAGGTATCCGCAGGATCTGCCAACCCCAGAACTAGCCGTGAGCATGAGTTAGCAGGGCTGCCCTGGAGAAGCACCGAAGCCAAGGCAGCTGAAATGACAGCAGCTCATCCTCAGCGTGCTGGAGGCTGGTGTCCAAGGTCAAGGGGTGGCCAGGCCGGTTCCTTCCGAGGCCTCTCTTCTGGGCTTGCAGATGGTGTCCTCTCCCTGTGTCCTCACGGGGCCGTCCCTCTGTACATGTCTGTGTCCTTGTCTCCTTATTAAGACACCAGACCTAGCAAATCGGGGCCACCCCAATGACCTCATTTTACCTTAATCATCTCTTTAAAGTTTCTATGTAGAAATGCAGCCACCTTGGGGGCGCTGGGAGTTAGGACGTCAACATATGCATTTGGGAGACACAGTGACCCCATGACAATGAGTAGTTCTGAGCGTGGTGTGTGCAGCCGGCCCCGAGACCGTGCGCCCCAGGAATGCAGTGTTTGCACACAGGTTCCCTCCTCTGGTGCTCCCCTGCTCTGTTGGATGAAGCCGTCAGTCTGACGCAGGTCACAGGCATTGTAAGGCCTCCAGAGCCCTGGGACACAGGCGCAGGCTTTTGTATGCACCGTAGCAGTGTTCTTAAATGTCTTCATGCAGGTCCTCAGGTTCCGGCCCTCCCCACACGCCGCGGCCGGCGGAACGGCGGAGGAGGGCTCAGGCACTAACAGAGTCAGGGTCAGCGCGCTGGTCCTCGGAACCATTCCGGGTGAGTTCAGATGGATTTTCCTCTCCCAGCCAAGGCCAGCTCTAAAGTTGTATGGCTGCGCGATTCCCCAAGAGTGCCTCCTGACGGGCCCTGTCTCCCTCCACCATCCAAACAAACCCGTACGCCTAGGAATTCGCGTGGGCGTGTAGAGGAAGGCAGGGCTCTAGGGGGCGAGGGCGGCCTTCCTCCTTGAACACTCACTCCCTCACCCTCAACCGCGGGAAAGAAATGCAGGGTCCTCGCGTGCTGCTGGGCTGCAGCTCTCAGGTAGGGGCTGGCTTTCTGGAGATGGTGGGCTCTGTCCCTGACGGAGCTGCAATGCCGGTGAGCCTGTCAGGCCCCAAGAAGAGCAAGGCGGGAGGCCCACCTGCCAAGCTTGGGCCAAAGCCAGAAGGAGCCTAAACACCGAAGTGCCATTAACCTCAAATCGGGGGAAGGGCTTCCGACCTTGTGTTCTGTTGGAGATGGAAGCCATGCCCGGGACGCAGGGCTGAGGGCAAGGGGGAAGCCGGGGTATACCAGGAGAGGAGGGGAGGGGAGGGGAGGGGAGAGAGCCTGCTCGGCCTCGTTTATCTTCCATGTGGCAAGGCTGCGTCTCCCACCCACAGTGGACGGCCCTGATGGCCTTGGCCAGCTCAGCTCTCGGTTTCTTGCTGGCGGTTCTGGGAGGAGCTGCAGCAGGCGGGGAAATGCAGCGTCTCAAGATACAGAGGAACCGCCCAGCACAGCCCGAGCCTCGTCCCCGCCCCTGTCCCTCCCAACTTTAGAGGTGGCCTTGCCCTCAGAGAGGAAAATCAACCTGAACTAACCCGGAACGGCGTTGAGGACCAGCAGGCTGACCCTGACTCGGTCTGAACCCGAGCACTCCTCCGCTGCTCTGCCCGCCCGGGCCTGCCGGGAGGGCTGGTGCATGAAGATGTTTAACAACACAGCCGGCGAGCACGCGGGAGCCTGCGCCTGTGTCCCTGGCTCCTGAGGCCGTCCGAGGTCTGTTAGGTAAGCAGATCAGGGAGGAGCTGCCGGGGACCACGCAGACCGGGGACCACGCAGACTTTGCTCCTCCCTCCCCGGCAGCAGGAGGTCCCTCTGAGCGCCGCCCCTGAGGTGTAGAACCCGGTGGGCTGCCTTCCAAGGTCCCTCGGCTGTGGTGCAAATGGGGCATACACAGTGGGGACTCTGCGCCCCAGACAGCTTTCTCAGGCCTTGGGGGACCGGCTCATGATGAGTTTGAGGCTTCTTTTGATCCTTGCTGCCCGTCTGTGAGTAGTAAACCCGCATCATGCAGCTTGTTGTGAGTTTATTCTCTCACTGGGCTCAGGTGTTGCTCACCCTGCTGCCGGGATGCCGTGGGCAGAGCTGCCTCCTCCTGCTTCTAGCGGGTGGCCCAGTGACACTGTGTGCTTCCTCCATGCCGCAGGAGTCCTCCCTGGGCCTGGCAACAGTGAGCCTGCATCACATGCACCTTCTTCAGTCCTGACTCAATCCACACCCCTCAGAGGGGCCTAAGGATAAAGGTGGCCTGTGCATAATTGTCTGCCCACGGCTTTCATGTTGGAGTGACACTGGTGCAGTCACGAGACGGCCAGTGGTGCAGGGTCGGCATGGCCGAGGAGCAGGGCCTGGACAGACCCAGTGGTGCAGGGTCGGCAAGGCCGAGGAGCAGGGCCTGGACAGACCCAGTGGTGCAGGGTGGGCATGGCCGAGGAGCAGGGCCTGGGCAGACCCAGTGGTGCAGGGTGGGCATGGCCGAGGAGCAGGGCCTGGGCAGACCCAGTGGTGCAGGGTGGGCATGGCCGAGGAGCAGGGCCTGGGCAGACCCAGTGGTGCAGGGTGGGCATGGCCGAGTAGCAGGGCCACCGACAGGCCTGGACGGGCCCCGTCCTCACCACTTCTGCAAAGAAGCTCCTCACACAAGCTCATTGGTGGGGTTACTGTGGTTCACACCCAAGCCACACTCTGGTGGCCTCTCTGCCACATTTGGAATTAGCTATGGGTGAGTTACTTAATCAAGCAGGCATTGAACTGGCTTGGGCCTGGCTTAGGCTCACTCTCCTCCAGGGTCTACAGCTGCCCACCGCGGCATCACCAGCCCCATGGCTCCCGAGCCTGCCAAATGTGGCCATTTGAACTAAGGGTGCTAAGGTTCCAAAGATTGTACAAAAAATAAATCAATAAAATAAGAAGAAGAATGTGAAATAGCTCAATAACAACTGCATATTAGTACATGTTGAGTGATCATATTTTGGAGATGATGAGTTAAAAAGGATACATCATTAAAATTAATTTCACCTGTTTCTTCTCACAAACCATGCACAGGTGGCTCGTATTACATTTCTGCAGTGTCAGGCGGGGTCTATAAACCTCTGGATAGAGGAAGGCCTTTCACGCAGTAAAGAGACGCGCTGGGCCTGGTCACCATGGGAGAACCACACTATGCCCGCCAGCCTGGTGCCCAGCAGGCAAACCAGGTGAGCTGTGTGATTCCAACCTGACGCCACCCAGAGGGGGTGTGGGAGGGAGAGACAGGGGAAGAGGGGTGGAAGGAAGGAGGGAGGGAAGGAGAGGGGGAGACAGGGAGAGAGAAGGAGGGAAGGAGAAAGAGGGAGAGGGAGAGGAGGGGAAAGGGAGAGAGGAAGGGAGGAGAAGAGAGAGGAGAGAGAGGGAGTGAGGAAAAGAGAAAGGAGGAGGGAGAGAGAGACAGAGGAAGAGACAGAGGCAGGGAGGGAGAGAGGGAGGAAGGGAGGGAGGGAGGGAGAGGGAAGGCGAGGCTGGACAGAACTCCTCCAGTCACCAGCACGAGTTTCCCAAACATTCTGTTTCCTTCCTCTAGTTCTGATGGGCCTAGCGCAGTGTGCCATTGGGAGGGGGCAAGGAACACAGGTGTATGTCACTTTATCTTAACATAATTCTCTAGGGGGTAAGTTAAAATGGGAGGGGAAAAGGCAGAGATGAGGGGAGCCACCGGCACCCTGTCCAGGGGATCTGAGCTGCACGTCTGTCCAGGGCTGAGCCCCACGGGACCCGGGAAGGGCCTGCTCTTTTGAGATGAGACACTCATCCCATTAGGTGGTAACGAGACCAACATGGACTTCCCTCCATGTGGCATGTCAGCAAAACGTGAAGAAATGAAGACTTGGATTTGAGGTGTCTGTGGCGGAGGACGTTGGCGTGACTGTTGAAGGCCAGTGCCTGCGTGGCACGTGTGTGGTCCTGCCTCGCACTTCTGATGCTAGGTGAGCAATGAGGGATTTACTTACATATGAGCACAGGTGGCTTAATCACTCCCAGAACATCTTAATTCAAAAAGAAAATGGTGGGGGGAGGGAGAGCATTGGGAGATATACCTAATGCTAGATGACGAGTTAGTGGGTGCAGCACACCAGCATGGCACATGTATACATAGGTAACTAACCTGCACATTGTGCACATGTACCCTAAAACTTAAAGTATAATAATAATAAATAAAATAAAATAAAAATAAAAAAAATAAAAGGCAGTTTCTGCCTAAACCAATAAACAAACTTAATACAAGAGATGCCAATTAGGTTAAAGTTATAAAGGTTCTAAAAGGTTAAAGTTAGAAAGGCTCATCCAATATAAGTCATTTAAAAACAGCAAATAAGTAAAGAATTACAAAACCAGGACATAAAAGTTGGTAAAAATTAGTGTCAAAAGAGTTAGAATAAAAGTTGATTAAGCATGATATAAAGTTTCAATAATAAAAACTACCAATATTCAATTTAAATGGAACCATAAAAATGGATATTAGAAATGTGAAATTTTCTATTACTATAGGATCTTTCATGTTATCGAGAACTGAATCAAGCACAACTAAAAATCAGTTTTTACTCTCAAAAAAAAAAAAAAAAAAAAGAAAATGGCAGCTAAGTATAGGACTCACACCTATAATCCCAGCACTTTGGGAGGCCAAGATGGGAGGATTACTTGAGCCTAGGAGTTCCCTGCTAGACTGGGAAACATAGTGAGACCTCATCTCTACAAAAAATTTGGAAATTAGCCAGTAAGTATTCTGCAAATAGATTCCTTTAAAATTAAAAATATAAAGATAAAAAAGTCTGCTGGATGTGGTGGTACACACCTGTAGTCTCAGCTACTTGGGAGGCTGAGGCAGGAGGCTGTCTTGAGCTCAGGGTATTGAGGCTGCAGTGAGCCACAATTGCACCAATGCATTACAGCCTGAGCAACGTAGCAAGACCCTGTCTCAAAAAAGAGAGAGAGAAAAAACGGTTAATGTTGTGGACAGGTAGGCAAGGGCACAGGTGATCCTCTGAGGGTACTGCCCTTTGAGACATAGTGGCAGCCACACAGGTAGGCAAGGGCACAGGTGGTCCTCTGAGGGTACTGCCCTTTGGAACATAGTGGCAGCCGCAGCTGCACACCCATGCAAGGCTGTGGCACAGGCTGTGTGTGCATTTCTAATAACGACAAACAGAAATAAACCCCAGTCTCTTGCCCTTTGAATACAGCTCTTTTTGGTTAGAGGGAACTATTTCCACTCTTTCTATAATTCCATCTTCCTAATAATGCTTCTTATGTTAATCAATTTGACTTAAAATTACAGTGGCTTGTGAGCCTGGAGTGGGCACAGTTCTGCTCCAGGCTTTACCTGCTCTCCCTGGCAGTTACATGTTGACACGGAAGGATCTGCTATGTTCTCAAGCAAACCATTTCTTATTTTGCAATTATAACTGCCCTACTCACTGCATGTTGTCTTTGGTGGTTCTATAATTAAAGAGCAGAGAATTTTTCTTCCCCTCGCTGCACAAGGTGAAAAATGTTAGTTATTTTCAGAGACCCAGCTGCTACAAGCATTAAAAATTACTTAAAACATAAATGTATGGCATTGTGATCACAATGGATTGTGTTGTTGTAAATGAATTACCCTGTAAATTGCTGTTTAAAATTAAAATATAGCTTATGAGGAATGGCAGGAAAGTAATACAGAAGGAAGTATGGTTTCATATAATTGTCTCCAAAAGCCTGTCCCTGACAGAAGTGATGGCAAAGGAAGTGCCAGAAGCAGCTACCCCCGCCTGGCAAAGTTAAAGTCTGCTGGCCCCCGCGACATGCTTCTTTCCTTGTATCTCCCTGAAGACCTCCCCGCCTCCCACAGGTCCTGAGCCTGTATTGAGGGTCTGCACTGTGCTTGCTCCAAGGTGGCTAGCAGGTGCATAAAGATGAGTGAGCACTGCCCTCCCTCAGACAGCGTGGGGCTCATGGGGAGCCAGGCACCGTGCAGACAGGCAGGAGGAAGGGGCCGTGGTGAAGATGTCTCGGGGTCTTATTTGGGCAGCCGAGGTGGAAGCGGTAATATGCCAGTACACACGAAAGAGATGATTGGTTGATTTAACTTGACTGATTGATCTATGCCAGCAGATTGTTGAAACTCACAGGAATTTAGAAGCTTGGCGTTGGGAGGAGCCTCTGGGAGGTGAAATGCCCCCGCCAGCTTTCTCAAGCACTCGCGGGAGACGGTAGTCTGTTCTCTACTTGGACGCTTCCAGAGGTGGAAAATTTGCCACTTTGTGACACATCCACTGCCCGTGGGGGCAAATTCAAGCCTTCTCCCAACCCAACAACCCGAAGGTCATGTATTCGATTTGGATATGTTAACTTGGAAATCCCTGGTGACTCCCAAGAGAAGGCTCACAGCAAGTGGAGGAGGCAGGAGCTGACGGAAGCTACTGGCCATGCTCAGAATGGCCTTGGCACATGGGGACCAGGGGAATCACAGGAACAAGTTTGACTCTCATGGAGGGCTTTTATAAAATGGGGGTTTGATTTAAAAGGCAATGCAGCATGTTTGGAGGGTTGTGAGCAATGGAGTAAACTAATGCTGGAAGTATTTAAGAAGATTAATTTATCAAAAGGAGGATGAACTGGAGAGAGAGAGACAGTGGCCTCCCAGGCACTCCCACGGATCCTGACTCTCACGTTCAATAGAGACCTGGAGGTAATCTTTTCCACCATTAGATAAGCGAAGGGCTCCACACAAGATTCCTACCAAGAGCCTGCACAGATGCTCCAGCTGCAGTGGCCTCCCCCTGATCTGAGCATCACTTGCTGGCCACCTAGGCATTCTCCAGCCCAAACACCCCAGCGTCTTGTCCTCCTTTGACAGCATCTCCTGGTCCTTCTGTATCCTGCCACATCCTGCTCCTGCTGCTTCATCACACATCGGTCCAGAAGTTTAGATGTAATCATAGAAAAAAAATTCATTAATTTATTTCCACATTCCTCTGATATCTATATGGCAGCTCATCAATGTCAGGTGTTACATGAGGCACCAAAGGTGCTGAGGAAAACAAGCAGTTCTTGCTCAAAAGAAGTCTCAGCTGAATGGAGGGAGATGGACAAAGTGAAAACATCCATGGGAAAAAGACCATTATCAGTCATGGTCCAAGTCTGTACAGGGGTGCTGGGTCTGCAGTTGAAAGACCTGTCCAGGGTGAGAGGTATTATTCCCACAGCCTAATAGCGAAAGGACCCTTCGATGTAGTCATGAACAATGCGTAGGCTTGACCCAGAAGACAAGGACATCAAAGTCTTTCCAGCAAGGCAGGCTGAGCTTCTGAACTGAGAGACTAGACATGCAAGACAGAAGGAGTAAAGTGCCCAGAAGAAAGGAGGAACCACTCCTAAATACATGGTGGCAATTCTTGCTCTGAACTTGAAAGAAAGAAAGGAGAGTAGATGCAGAAATGAAAAACAATGTTGGTCTGTCTACCACATTTGGGGGGATTAAGGGAGTTCCCATTTTTACCCTAAATGTTCTCTGAATTTTTTTTTTACCCTAAGGGATAGAAGTAGTAAAGTAGAGAATTCAGGAAGAACACAGGATGAAATAACTGTCTCTCATTATTTTTTATCCACATGTGATGCAAGTGAGACGCATTGTTGAGTTTAACATGATAAAGACTCTGGGATAGATTGTGCTAGGAAGAAAAAACATATTTCGAATAGCACTGGTAAGTTGAAGAGTATAGCAATGGTGATGTTTTTAGAGGGTGAGAAAACCACTTCAAAGAAGGTAATTTTGGCCTTCGTCTCATTGTTTACATTTGTCTGAATTGTTTTCTTCTTTAATATGAAACTGAAAACTTCTTGAAAGATAGTTTTTATGGGTATATGAATAAAGGTTGACATTACTTAGTGTCCGCACTGCAAAGATGTAATTCCATTGGCTCCTGGTTTCCATATTGAGGATGGAGAAGTCGGCTGTCAGTCTAATTGCAGTAGTTCTTTAATTTCTTTAACCAAATGACTTTATTCTGTTAATCCATTATCAATCTTTAATGAGTTCTTTATCTTTTCTCCAGATACTTTTCAGATCTTCTATTTATCCTTAAATTTCACTATATTGCACTTAGGTGCAGACTCCTTTTTATGTATCTTGCTTGAATTTGTGTTTCTGAATCTAGGCATCCATGTTTTTTATAAATTTTAGATAATTCTCAGCTATTAACTCTCTACATAGTTACTTCGTTCTCTGAACTAGTTCCTTTGTGAATTCCAATAACATATTAGAACTTCTAACCCCATCTGTAATATCTTTCAAACTCTATATGACATTTTTGAAATGTCTGACTTTATGTTGTGTTCTGAGTAATTTTTCAGCATTATCTTCTAGTCCACTTATTCTCTCTTTATCTGTGTCATCTCTTCTATTTAACTCATTTATCAAGTTGTGTTTTGTTTTTTGTTTTTTTAGATGGAGTCTTGCTCTGTCACCCAGGCTGTAGTGCAGTGGCACAATCTTGGCTCACTGCAACCTCTGCCTCCTAGGTTCATGTAATTCTCCTGCCTTGGCCTCCTGAGTAGCTGAGATTATAGGCACCTGCCACCATGCCCAGCTAACTTTTGTATTTTTAGTAGAGATGGGGCTTCACCATGTTTCTCAGGCTGGTCTCAAACTCCTGACCTCAAATGATCAGCCAACCTTGGCCTTCTAAAGTGCTGAGATTACAGACATGAGCCACCATGCCCAGCCTATCAAAGTTTTCTTTCTACTGTTATATTTTTACATTTACGGAAGCATTTGTAATTATTCTGTTTGCAACATATATGGTTGTTTTCAGATTTTTGCCTATTAAAATAAATTTTTTATTATACTGTTACATATTGTAGCACCTTTCCTAAGGTATAATTGACATACGATAAATTGCAAATATTTAAGTGTATTATTTGACACATTTTGGCAGATATATACAACCATGAAACCATTATTACAATCAGGAAAATGAGCATATCCTCTGTTTGTTTATGCATTCACTTAATGATGAACATTTGGTTGGTTTACAATTTGGGGATACTACAAATAAAGTTCCTATAAACATTTAAGTGGAAAAGTCTTAGTGAGAAAACATAGGCTTTCGTTTCTCTTGAGTAAATGCCTAGGAGGGGAAGGCTGGAATACATGTTAGGAGTGTGGTCAACTTTTTTTTTCTTTCTTTTTTTTCATTTTTCTTTCTTTTTTTTTTTTTTGAGACAGAGTCTTCCTCTGTTGCCCAGGCTGGAATACAATGGTGCTATCTCAGCTTACTGCAACCTCCACCTCCTGGGCTCAAGCAATTCTCCTGCCTCAGCCTCCCATGTAGCTGGGACTACAGACACCTGCCACCACACCCGGCTAATTTTTGTATTTTTAGTAGAGATGAGGTTTTACTATATTGGCCAGGCCGGTCTCGAACTCTTGACCTCAGGTGATCCACCCTCTTCAGCCTCCCAAAGTGCTGGGATTACAGGCATGAGCCACCGTGCCTGGCCATCAACTTTTAAATAAACTGCCACACTGTTTTCTATAGTGGCTTCACTGGTGAATCCTACTAAACATTTAGGGAAGAAATTATACTATTTCTGTTAGAAATGCAAAATGTTTGTTCTTCAGTGCTGCAAGGAAAAATTAGCATTTAGACAAAAAGGTTTTTTAGTGAGGTAACTTTTATTTTTTGCAGTAAGAGTGCCCTTTGCAGATGGAATAATGGCAAGGGTACATATAGAATAAGGAGACATTAGAATATTTATTCCTAATTGAGGTCTTTATTGCTGTGTCCTGTCTCTGTTGGCTGGAGCTAGACCTCATAATTTAAACTAAAACTCGATTGGCTAATAATTAAATACTTTTTAAAAATAGGTATAAATGTTATAACATTTCTAAATAAGGAAGGGGCATAGGCTGTGAGCTGGGACATGCCTATGAGCACATCCAACACAAATATCTTGGTTAAGGTACAAGGACATAGAATGTACTATGTGCCTATGTGCATGTCTAACAGCTACATAGGATAGGGCTTAACAAAGAGTTATTAGTACAAAGCAAGGAGGCTTGAAAGAAGTTAGTTTTAAAAAGAAACTATTATTTCTAACACTTATGATTTATTCTTAAATTTTGAGGGGGAAAGTGTTTACTTTCTACAATTTCTACACAAACTCTTTTATAAAATTGAAGACAGAATTTCTTTCCCAATTCATTTTTAAAGTCAGTATTACCCCAATACCAAAACCACACAGTCTTAAAAGTACAGAAAAAAATAAAAATAAAAAACTCTCATTAATATGGATGTACAACTTCTGAACAACATTCTAGCAAATTCTATCCAGTTGTGTACAACAAGGATAATACATCATGACTAGGTTCATGCCCATATTACAACACTGACTTAACATTAAAACCCCAGCAAGGGGCCAGGCACAGTGGCTCACTTTGGGAAACTGAGGCAGGTGGATCACCTGAGGTCATGAGTTCGAGACCAGTCTGTCCAACATGGTGAAACCCTGTCTCTACTAAAATTACAAAAATTAGCGGGGCATGATGGTGGGCACCTGTAATCCCAGCTACTAGGGAGGCTGAGACAGGAGAATCACTTGAACCCAGGAGGCAGAGGTTGCAGTGAGCCAAGACTATACCATTGCACTCCAGCCTGGGTGACAACAGTAAAATATTGTCTCAAAAAAAAAAATTAGCCAGGCATGGTGGCAGGCACCTGTAATCCCAGCTACTCAGGAGGCTGAGGCAGGAGAATCGCTTGAACCCAGAGGCTGTAGTGAGCCGAGATCACACCACTGCACTCCAGCCTGGGCAACAGAGTGAGACCCTGTCAAAAAAAAAAAAAACCAGCAATGTAATTAACCATATTAATAAAACAACTTCAACAAGTGAATTTTGCGGAATGATTCAATTCAGTCTAT
This sequence comes from Homo sapiens, assembly GCF_000001405.40. Lineage (NCBI taxonomy): Eukaryota > Metazoa > Chordata > Mammalia > Primates > Hominidae > Homo > Homo sapiens. The sequence goes on along the minus strand of NC_000005.10, from coordinate 1,715,906 downwards.
AACAGGATGCCAAATATTGAGAATCGTACTTTGCTGGGTGATGGATATTTTTGTACTTCTGTACATATTCTTTTTTTTTTTAATTATACTTTAAGTTTTAGGGTACATGTGCACATTGTGCAGGTTAGTTACATATGTATACATGTGCCATGCTGGTGCACTGCACCCACTAACTCGTCATCTAGCATTAGGTGTATCTCCCAATGCTATCCCTCCCGCCTCCCCCCACCCCACAACAGTCCCCAGAGTGTGATGTTCCCCTTCCTGTGTCCATGTGTTCTCATTGTTCAATTCCCACCTATGAGTGAGAATATGCGGTGTTTGGTTTTTTGTTCTTGCGATAGTTTACTGAGAATGATGATTTCCAATTTCATCCATGTCCCTACAAAGGACATGAACTCGTCATTTTTTATGGCTGCATAGTATTCCATGGTGTATATGTGCCACATTTTCTTAATCCAGTCTATCATTGTTGGACATTTGGGTTGGTTCCAAGTCTTTGCTATTGTGAATAATGCCGCAATAAACATACGTGTGCATGTGTCTTTATAGCAGCATGATTTATAGTCCTTTGGGTATATACCCAGTAATGGGATGGCTGGGTCAAATGGTATTTCTAGTTCTAGATCCCTGAGGAATCGCCACACTGACTTCCACAATGGTTGAACTAGTTTACAGTCCCACCAACAGTGTAAAAGTGTTCCTATTTCTCCACATCCTCTCCAGCACCTGTTGTTTCCTGACTTTTTAATGATTGCCATTCTAACTGGTGTGAGATGGTATCTCATTGTGGTTTTGATTTTCATTTCTCTGATGGCCAGTGACAATGAGCATTTTTTCATGTGTTTTTTGGCTGCATAAATGTCTTCTTTTGAGAAGTGTCTGTTCATGTCCTTCGCCCACTTTTTGATGGGGTTGTTTGTTTTTTTCTTGTAAATTTGTTTGAGTTCATTGTAGATTCTGGATATTAGCCCTTTGTCAGATGAGTAGGTTGCGAAAATTTTCTCCCATTTTGTAGGTTGCCTGTTCACTCTGATGGTAGTTTCTTTTGCTGTGCAGAAGCTCTTTAGTTTAATTAGATCCCATTTGTCAATTTCGGCTTTTGTTGCCATTGCTTTTGGTGTTTTAGACATGAAGTCCTTGCCCATGCGTGTGTCCTGAATGGTAATGCCTAGGTTTTCTTCTAGGGTTTTTATGGTTTTAGGTCTAACGTTTAAGTCTTTAATCCATCTTGAATTGATTTTTGTATAAGGTGTAAGGAAGGGATCCAGTTTCAGCTTTCTACATATGGCTAGCCAGTTTTCCCAGCACCATTTATTAAATAGGGAATCCTTTCCCCCATTGCTTGTTTTTCTCAGGTTTGTCAAAGATCAGATAGTTGTAGATATGCAGCGTTATTTCTGAGGGCTCTGTTCTGTTCCATTGATCTATATCTCTGTTTTGGTACCAGTACCATGCTGTTTTGGTTACTGTAGCCTTGTAGTATAGTTTGAAGTCAGGTAGTGTGATGCCTCCAGCTTTGTTCTTTGGCTTAGGATTGACTTGGCGATGCGGGCTCTTTTTTGGTTCCATATGAACTTTAAAGTAGTTTTTTCCAATTCTGTGAAGAAAGGCATTGGTAGCTTGATGGGGATGGCATTGAATCTGTAAATTACCTTGGGCAGTATGGCCATTTTCAAGATATTGATTCTTCCTACCCATGAGCATGGAATGTTCTTCCATTTGTTTGTATCCTCTTTTATTTCCTTGAGCAGTGGTTTGTAGTTCTCCTTGAAGAGGTCCTTCACATCCCTTGTAAGTTGGATTCCTAGGTATTTTATTCTCTTTGAAGCAATTGTGAATGGGAGTTCACTCATGATTTGGCTCTCTGTTTGTCTGTTGTTGGTGTATAAGAATGCTTGTGATTTTTGTACATTGATTTTGTATCCTGAGACTTTGCTGAAGTTGCTTATCAGCTTAAGGAGATTTTGGGCTGAGACAGTGGGGTTTTCTAGATATACAATCATGTCGTCTGCAAACAGGGACAATTTGACTTCCTCTTTTCCTAATTGAATACTCTTTATTTCCGTCTCCTGCCTAATTGCCCTGGCCAGAACTTCCAACACTATGTTGAATAGGAGTGGTGAGAGAGGGCATCCCTGTCTTGTGCCAGTTTTCAAAGGGAATGCTTCCAGTTTTTGCCCATTCAGTATGATATTAGCTGTGGGTTTGTCATAGATAGCTCTTATTATTTTGAAATACGTCCCATCAATACCTAATTTATTGAGAGTTTTTAGCATGAAGGGTTATTGAATTTTGTCAAAGGCTTTTTCTGCATCTATTGAGATAATCATGTGGTTTTTGTCTTTGGCTCTGTTTATATGCTGGATTACATTTATTGATTTGCATATATTGAACCAGCCTTGCATCCCAGGGATGAAGCCCACTTGATCATGGTGGATAAGCTTTTTGATGTGCTGCTGGATTCATTTTGCCAGTATTTTATTGAGGATTTTTGCATCAATGTTCATCAAGGATATTGGTCTAAAATTCTCTTTTTTTGTTGTGTCTCTGCCTGGCTTTGGTATCAGAATGATGCTGGCCTCATAAAATGAGTTAGGGAGGATTCCCTCTTTTTCTATCGATTGGAATAGTTTCAGAAGGAATGGTACCAGTTCCTCCTTGTACCTCTGGTAGAATTCGGCTGTGAATCCATCTTGTCCTGGACTCTTTTTGGTTGGTAAGCTATTGATTATTGCCACAATTTCAGATCCTGTTATTGGTCTATTCAGAGATTCAATTTCTTCCTGTTTTAGTCTTGGGAGAGTGTATGTGTCGAGGAATTTATCCATTTCTTCTAGATTTTCTAGTTTATTTGCGTAGAGGTGTTTGTAGTATTCTCTGATGGTAGTTTGTATTTTTGTGGGATCGGTGGTGATATCCCCCTTATCATTTTTTATTGCGTCTATTTGATTCTTCTCTCTTTTTTTCTTTATTAGTCTTGCTAGCGGTCTATCAATTTTGTTGATCCTCTCAAAAAACCAGCTCCTGGATTCATTAATTTTTTGAAGGGTTTTTTATGTCTCTATTTCCTTCAGTTCTGCTCTGATTTTAGTTATTTCTTGCCTTCTGCTAGCTTTCGAATGTGTTTGCTCTTGCTTTTCTAGTTCTTTTAATTGTGATGTTAGGGTGTCAATTTTGGATCTTTCCTGCTTTCTCTTGTGGACATTTAGTGCTATAAATTTCCCTCTACACACTGCTTTGAATGCGTCCCAGAGATTCTGGTATGTTGTGTCTTTGTTCTCATTGGTTTCAAAGAACATCTTTATTTCTGCCTTCATTTCGTTATGTACCCAGTAGTCATTCAGGAGCAGGTTGTTCAGTTTCCATGTAGTTGAGCAGTTTTGAGTGAGATTCTTAATCCTGAGTTCTAGTTTGATTGCACTGTGGTCTGAGAGATAGTTTGTTATAATTTCTGTTCTTTTACATTTGCTGAGGAGAGCTTTACTTCCAAGTATGTGGTCAATTTTGGAATAGGTGTGGTGTGGTGCTGAAAAAAATGTATATGCTGTTGATTTGGGGTGGAGAGTTCTGTAGATGTCTATTAGGTCTGCTTGGTGCAGAGCTGAGTTCAATTCCTGGGTATCCTTGTTGACTTTCTGTCTTGTTGATCTGTCTAATGTTGACAGTGGGGTGTTAAAGTCTCCCATTATTAATGTGTGGGAGTCTAAGTCTCTTTGTAGGTTACTCAGGACTTGCTTTATGAATCTTGGTGCTCCTGTATTGGGTGCATATATATTTAGGATAGTTAGCTCTTCTTGTTGAATTGATCCCTTTACCATTATGTAATGGCCTTGTCTCTTTTGATCTTTGTTGGTTTAAAGTCTGTTTTATCAGAGACTAGGATTGCAACCCCTGCCTTTTTTTGTTTTCCATTTGCTTGGTAGATCTTCATCCTTTTATTTTGAGCCTATGTGTGTCTCTGCACGTGAGATGGGTTTCCTGAATACAGCACACCGATGGGTCTTGACTCTTTATCCAATTTGCCAGTCTGTGTCTTTTAATTGGAGCATTTAGTCCATTTACATTTAAAGTTAATATTGTTATGTGTGAATTTGATCCTGTCATTATGATGTTAGCTGGTTATTTTGCTTGTTAGTTGATGCAGTTTCTTCCTAGTCTCGATGGTCTTTACATTTTGGCATGATTTTGCAGTGGCTGGTACCAGTTGTTCCTTTCCATGTTTAGCGCTTCCTTCAGGAGCTCTTTTAGGGCAGGCCTGGTGGTGACAGAATCTCTCAGCCTTTGCTTGTCTGTGAAGTATTTTATTTCTCCTTCACTTATGAAGCTTAGTTTGGCTGGATATGAAATTCTGGGTTGAAAATTCTTTTCTTTAAGAATGTTGAATATTGGCCCCCACTCTCTTCTGGCTTGTAGAGTTTCTGCCGAGAGATCCGCTGTTAGTCTGATGGGCTTCCCTCTGTGGGTAACCCGACCTTTCTCTGGCTGCCCTTAACATTTTTTCCTTCATTTCAGCTTTGGTGAATCCGACAGTTATGTGTCTTGGAGTTGCTCTTCTCGAGGAGTATCTTTGTGGCGTTCTCTGTATTTCCTGAATCTGAACGTTGGCCTGCCTTGCTAGATTGGGGAAGTTCTCCTGGATAATATCCTGCAGAGTGTTTTCCAACTTGGTTCCATTCTCCCCATCACTTTCAGGTACACCAATCAGACGTAGATTTGGTCTTTTCACATAGTCCCATATTTCTTGGAGGCTTTGCTCATTTCTTTTTATTCTTTTTTCTCTAAACTTCCCTTCTCACTTCATTTCACTCATTTCATCTTCCATTGCTGATACCCTTTCTTCCAGTTGATCGCATCGGCTCCTGAGGCTTCTGCATTCTTCACGTAGTTCTCGAGCCTTGGTTTTCAGCTCCATCAGCTCCTTTAAGCACTTCTCTGTATTGGTTACTCTAGTTATACATTCTTCTAAATTTTTTTCAAAGTTTTCAACTTCTTTGCCTTTGGTTTGAATGTCCTCCCGTAGCTCAGAGTAATTTGATCGTCTGAAGCCTTCTTCTCTCAGCTCGTCAAAGTCATTCTCCATCCAGCTTTGTTCCGTTGCTGGTGAGGAACTGCATTCCTTTGGAGGAGGAGAGGCGCTCTGCTTTTTAGAGTTTCCAGTTTTTCTGTTCTGTTTTTTCCCCATCTTTGTCGTTTTATCTACTTTTGGTCTTTGATGATGGTGGTGTACAGATGGGTTTTCGGTGTGGATGTCCTTTATGTTTGTTAGTTTTCCTTCTAACAGACAGGACCCTCAGCTGCAGGTCTGTTGGAATACCCTGCCGTGTGAGGTGTCAGTGTGCCCCTGCTGGGGGGTGCCTCCCAGTTAGGCTGCTCCAGGGTCAGGGGTCAGGGACCCACTTGAGGAGGCAGTCTGCCCGTTCTCAGATCTCCAGCTGCGTGCTGGGAGAACCACTGCTCTCTTCAAAGCTGTCAGACAGGGACATTTAAGTCTGCAGAGGTTACTGCTGTCTTTTTGTTTGTCTGTGCCCTGCCCCAAGAGGTGGAGCCTACGGAGGCAGGCAGGCCTCCTTGAGCTGTGGTGGGCTCCACCCAGTTGGAGCTTCCTGGCTGCTTAGTTTACCTAATCAAGCCCGGGCAATGGCGGGCGCCCCTCCCCCAGCCTCGCTGCCGCCTTGCAGTTTGATCTCAGACTGCTGTGCTAGCAATCAGCGAGACTCCGTGGGCGTAGGACCCTCCGAGCGAGGTGCGGGAGATAGTCTCGTGGTGCGCCGTTTTTTAAGCCCGTCGGAAAAGCGCAGTATTCGGGTGGGAGTGACCCGATTTTCCAGGTGCCGTCTGTAACCCATTTCTTTGACTGGGAAAGGGAACTCCCTGACCCCTTGCGCTTCCCGAGTGAGGCAATGCCTCGCCCTGCTTCGGCTCGCGCACGGTGCGCACACACACTGACCTGCGCCCACTGTCTGGCACTCCCTAGTGAGATGAACCCGGTACCTCAGATGGAAATGCAGAAATCACCCGTCTTCTGCATCGCTCACGCTGGGAGCTGTAGACCGGAGCTGTTCCTATTGGGCCATCTTGGCTCCTCTGATTCTATACATATTCTTGAGGGTTGTCCAAGGACAACGTTGAGTTTCTTTGAAACAAGATTGAGCCTTTTGGATCTTGCTTTTAAGCTTTGTTAGGCAGAACCTGAGAGGTGAGCAATTAAGGATGAATTATTCTCCAGTACCGAGGCAACACTCTCCTGTGTGCTCTACCCAATGCGTATTCAACTTTGCCTGGCAGGAGAGGCGGCCGGCCCAGTGTGAGTGCTGGGCATTGACCTCTACTCCTTCCCAGAGCCTCCTTCCCGTTTCGTGAGTCTTTCTCTCGTGCACCGAGCAGCACTCTGTGGCCTGCTCCACCCAGACCTGTTGTGGATCCCAGGAGCTCGTGCCCCACGCCTGTCTCTTTTCTGCAAGACTCTGTAGGGCAAAGGTCACTTTCTCTCACCTCCACAGACTCTCGGCTCTGTCTCCTGCGTTCAGCCAGGCTGTGGGCCGTGCCTGGGCTCCTCTGCCTGTGTCATGGCTCAGAGATTCTCTTCAGGCAGGAAGCTGGAGAGCGTCAGGGCTCAGCTCACTTGCATGTCATCTGTCATGGGTCACTGCCCTTTGCTACCCTATGTGCAGTGTCCTGAGAGCCATTAACAGGGGAGAGACAATTGTGGCCAGATGGGACACCGTGGGATGCCAGTGTGTATGTGGTACCACTGTGGGTGCATAGGTGTGTGTTTTTGCTCTGAGTGTGTGCAGTGTGTGTGTGTGTTATGTGTATGTTATATGTTGTGGAATGTCCAGGTGTGTGGCCTACGGTGTGGGAGGGCAACACTGCAGGGGTACTTTCTGTTCATGGGAGTGGCCAGGTCTGTGCTGCTCCTGAGAGTGGGGAATGTCCAGGCAGCAGGAAGTGCCTTCCCTCCTCCTCCCCTGCGGGTCCTGCCAGTGCTTAGCAGGGAGGAGATGGGGCTGTGACTGCCCGGTCACTTGTCTGGCTCTGGGTCGAGGCAGTTCTGAGCACAGTACACTGGGCTGCCCCCACTGCCCAGTGCCCTGCTCAGCTCAAGTCCTTGTGCCCCTCCATGTCTAGACAAAGCTGCCCCTGGGCGGGCTCCAAGTGGGGGCAGGGGCCGCCTGACAGTGGGGGACAGCAGTGGTTCCACTTGACTCAGCCTGTCTCTGCCTCTTCCTGATGAAAAGCAGCCACTCTGATATCCCACTCAAGTGTGGCTGCCATCTTCCAAGGAGAGCGGGACAAGCAATTGGGTTGGGACAGCAGCAGGGGGCTGGCAAAGGGGGCTCTTTTGCTGAGTTTGGATTTCATGCCTGAAGTGCTCAGCAGAAACCACCCTCGTCCCTGTTTCATCAATCACATATGCTGCACCTCAGCATTCCAGGTGGTTAAGACCTGAGTGGAAAGTCCAGCCAGGCATTAACAAATTCATCTTCTGTGTGCGACTGCAAATTTTGGTTGTCCTTTTCTGATTGAGAGCTGGGAGATTAACCTGATTCTTCATTCCCACAAAGCTCCACAGAGAGATGCACCATGCACATAAACTCGACACACATAGCGAGTACCCAGTGCAGACACACACAACACACACAACAGTGACCAATCACATAGATATGGGCACACAACACAGGCATGTAACACACACAGACATGCCACCTGCACACAAGGCACACACACCACATAACACACATGGGCATTCCACAACACAACACATAACATACACATAACACACACACCGCACACACTCAGGGCAAAAACACACACCTGTGCACACACAGTTGTACCATGTACACATTGGCATCCCACACATGCACACTCACACACACACACACACACTTCTCGATCATGTATGCACAAAACATGGAAGGATGACAATAAAATGTGCAAACTTTGCATCTGGGAAACCCAGCTACAAGCATTAGCCCTCAAAATACCTTTGTTTTCCAAAATTATGTGCCACCGTTTCTTTTACTACAAACATTTCTTCCTGGTAAAGAGGAGAAAATAACTTCAGAAGGTACTAGGCGCTCTGGGCTGAGCTGACCAGCCCCAAGATGGGAGCAGGGGTGTCCAGGAAGGCAACAGGCCCCTGGGCCCCTGTGTGCAGACTGCACATCACCTGTACCCCTGGGGAGTGGCAGCTGGCCACATGTGTGGAGAGGCCAGGCTCAGCCCCGCCGTCCCACGGCACCCAGAAAGCCAGGTTGCAGAGGCTGGCTCCCAGGAGCACGGCCCTCCCTGGGCCCTCGGAGTTAGTACACTGTCTCCAGAAACACCAGCCCCCTGTCCCGTAGCAGAGCGGTCTCTTGCGGGTCTCAGGCCTTCCAGCCTGACTGTCCACCTTTGCAGCCAGCTCCCCTCCCTTGCCGTCTGCTAGGATGACCTCCCACATTGCAAGTGGACCACGTGGGAGCCCTTGGCCATTTGAGAGGTGGTGCTCAGTAAGAGGGCACGTCTTCACATCACTCTGAAAACTCATCGCATGGGAAATAAGGCCACATGTCTTCTCTCGCTGCCTGGTACAACACACGGCTTCACCAGTTTCAAACAATGTGTCCTGTGCTCTGAGCTTCACCTCAAGACCAACTGCACGGTGAGAAAAAGGAAGAGCCATTTGCTATGACACCACGGACAGAGGAGAGGATGTGCAGCTGCCTCCTCAGTCCTTAACCAGCGAACCTGCAGAAAAGCAGCACCTTCAGTCCAGGTGGGAGCTGGCGCAGGCAGTCAGGGTGGGAGGGAGGCACTGCCTGGACCTCTGAGCTCACACAGCCCCTCCCTCTGCAGAAAAGGTCTCCTGTGGCTTCATCTCTCACTGATGCTGAAGTACAGAGGGCTATGCCCCAGGCCTCTCAGAGCACGTGGCTAACCCCAGTTGGGGCTGTCTCCCTCTTGCACACGTGGGCCCATTGAGGGCCAGTGCCCTGTGGCTCTCTCTGGGGTCCCTTGTTCCACAAGGCACGGTGGCAGAAACCAGTGTCCAAGACCTGCATTCCATAACTCCCCAGAGGGTCTTCCACAGCCTAGTGCTCAACTCTGCACTTATGAAATTATTAAAGTGAATCAATGTGTGATTTTGCAAACCCACAGTTTCGAGGAGAGATTGAGTGATCTCTGTAGACAATTTCTTGGCGGTATCAGGGGAGAGATCGTCAGCATCAGAGAAACAGTCCGTCACCATCGAAAGGGATTCCCGCTCCTTCTCCACATCATGAGTTCTGCTAACAATGACTAAGCAATGGCAATTTGTAGTCAGCATTACAGGCTAAGATTATGAACAGGGTTAGCCTGTGTTACACACTGCAAGACTGCAAAGGGGAACGACTGTGCGTCGTTTAAATCAATCGGGAATACGTAAAACACCTACTGAAACTGTTCATGGGACAAGGCAGGTATAAATAAATTGAATATGTAACCCAAATCATCAATTAAACGTACTGACCATTGATAAATGTCACTTCCTGGGAGACACTAGAAAGATCAAGAGAAAAGAAATCTTTCTTATTGGCCACCGAATCAACACGAAGCAAGTGAGGCCGCACGATGCCGTTCACCACTCAGTAAATACGTGTCCAGGGAAGGCGCCCGCGGAGGAGGCCCCCGACCCGTGGCTGATCTGGTTCTCTGGAGAGCTTACCTGTTTAGTGACCGGCCTTTGCTCCGGCCAGCGGACGAGGGGCTCTTACTGAGACTCACTTCACGTTTGCAGATGTTGGGGGTGGTGTTTGGGATTTCTTGCTATGCAAGTGTCTTCAACACAACTCCTTGTGTGGAACTTAATATGGTTTTTTTGTTTTTTGAGATGGAGTCTCACTCTGTGGCCCAGGCTGGAGTGCAGTGGTGCAATCTCAGCTCACTGCAAGCTCCGCCTCCCGGGTTCACACCATTCTCCTGCCTCAGCCTCCCGCGTAGCTGGGACTACAGGCGCCCGCCACCACGCCCGGCTAATTTTTTGTATTTTTTAGTAGAGACGGGGTTTCACCATGTTAGCCAGGATGGTGGAACTTATGTGTTAAAGAAACACTCACTACCCACCACCTACCCTAAAAAAATAGAAAATCGCCAGGTACTTAGGCATTCCCGCATGCCACTTTCTCCCACTGGAGAGAAGGACTCTGAGCCTCCCAGAGGTTCTGCAGCATAACTGGGTTGCCTCAGCTTCTCTCGCCCAGACCTAGAATTTCACTTTCTTGGTTCTGCTAAGTAAGTCTCCACTTCTCCTGCTTCCTAGCTTCTAAGGTCCTGTTCTGTTGATATTGACTCTCTTGTCCTCTCTGTTACAGCAGGTCTGCCTTTTCGTAAAAACTCTCTTTCCTGCAGTTTGGTGTTTTGGGGGGAATGAGATGGGACCCATCTGTGCAATCTGCACCTGACACCTGAAGCCCAGCGTAACTTCCCAAGGTGACAGCTTCAGGATTCATCAAAGCTGGAGCTGAGAAACCAGGAAGACGGTTTACTCTGAAGAATTCTGAGGCCATGCAAAGTATTTGTGAAAAGTGCAAAACAATTCCAGTGACTTCTATAGCATCAACACAATCATTGCTGCAATATTAAAATTTCAAGTCTTTGAGCAACTAAACCCACAGGAGAAATATGAAATGTACACGTTGATCCAACAGCTGATTTGTAACTAAAGTCACTCTTGTAAGTTTAGGCAGGAAAGGAACTCTTTCTTTATGTCCACACTGGGACCAGTCGAACACAGAAGCACCATCTTCAGATGTCGCAGTGCACGGCTGGACTGTCCCTGCCTTCCCAGTGCGGGGCCTTGAGAGGCATCCCAGTGGGTTCTGTGGGCCCCAACACACCAGGCAGAAGCCACCTCTCCTGGGCAGGGCCATCTATCCTGCCCCACACAAAGGAACTGACTCAGATCTGCAACAGAGGGGACACAGGGCATGTTCTGGAAAGGTGCCCAGTGTGACCCCAGCTGGGGTCTGGAACTTACGGGGTCCAAAAAGAGTCACCACCCAGGCCACCCAGGGAGCAGTGAGTACACGGGGGACGGGCAGGGGGATTCTGGACACTCGCTGTGCATTCATTTAACTCATCACCGGCAGCTTGGAGACAAAGGAGGGAGGGCGGCCTTGCTGGGCCTGGGGAAGAGCTTCTGGGACACCATGCTGGCCAGAGAAACATGGCAGTGACACACGGAGAACTGTGAAGAAGGGCCTTCCTTCCCTGGCCCCACTTCTTCACGAAGCCCCCAGCCAGGTGCAAATCAGCCCAGAGAAGGCACCTGTGCCAGCAAGGCCTCGTCCCCTCCACCTGGTCAGCTCTGCGCAGTGGGGATTGGCGGCAAGCATTGCACCTTCAAGCATTGCACCTTCACGGGGCTGGAGCCGGATCGGCCCACAATCCCAGGATCTAGATGGAGGGTGGGCACCTGCTGGGAAGAGAACGGAGAAGGCAGTGGGGCTCCCCCGGCCTCCTGTGGCACTCAGGGCCAAGGAATGGCTCTTTTCCAGCCAGAGCATGGGTAGAGGCCACCTGCGTTCACCTCAGAGTAAGCGAGGTTAGAAGGGGCTTCTTCCCATGACAGCTGAGCGAACAGGGGACCCCAGACATGCGAACACTCTGCTCCCTTCACATCCCAGGCACACCCCACACAAACTGGGCAAGTCTATTTTATAACAATAAATATGATTGTTTCTTCTTCGTGTCCACATTGATGTCCATTGGCCACAGCTCAGGCTCACTTATTTTGTATGGGAAGCAACAAGGATTCATTTTCTAAAGACTCAGCTCAGCTCAGCTGAGGGGAAGCTCAGGTGCTCATCATTCAAGTCCATATGGCTTTTGCAGCCACCGCATCAGGCAAAGCCATGGGCCCCCATGTAGATCTGCAGTCCCCACTAAGGAGGCAACGACGCAGTGCCCTGACCATGGGGAGCTCATTCGGCCACAGCACTGGGGCTTCGGGGCTGCTCTAAGGAGGCCTAGACCATGCCGCCCCCGCCCGTCCAGACCCAGGCCTTGCAGGTACGCACAGTGCCAGCGTGCCAAGCCCCCGCACTCACAAGGCCAGTGCTCACGGCTGCACACCAAGTCCTTGCCGGCTGGCATTGCTGTTTCTGAACACACCGTCAGGAAGGCTCCCTAGGCAGTGTAGCCAGCTGCCTGGCTTGAAGCGACGGCCCGATGGGGAGAGCTTGGGCCACCTGCACCCTGTGCTTCCTGGCTGGGTGTCCAGGAGGATCATGGTGCTGGGCTGAGTCCTGCCACACACAGGCAGAACTGGTGTCCTTCGAGTTGTGAGGAACCCAAGTCACCGCCAGGAGGGGTGTGGAAGATGTTGGGAAGACCTGGGAGGGCTGCACCTTTGTGAACACGTGGAGCCCTGGGGATGGGCTGAGCTGGGCTCTGCAGACCCTGAGGGCCTGTGCACATGGGCAGGGCCCTGACAAAAGGGAGGTGGTGCAGCCTGGCTTCTGGAGGCTGAGGCAGCCATCGGGATTAGAGAGCACAGCAGTCACAGATGGTGACAGGACAGAGCAGGAGAGAAAGTGGGGCCAGGGACAAGGCTTCACAGGGAAGCCAGAGGCAGCCTCAGTTCCGTGAGTGCCCGTGGGAAATGAGACTTTCTGGTTGAAATAATAGCACTTTAGGAAGGTCATTTAGCCATCCTGAAGTCATTTTGAGGAGGGGGTGATTATGAACCTGGACACTCTAGGGCACTTCCATGGTTAGCCTTGTAGGGAGTGCACAGATGTTACTGGAGTATGAGCCTTGGCTGCTGCAGAGCTCCCTGAACACCAGAGTTCTTCTTCCTTGATTGAGGCTGAGTCTCCAATCGTGAAAATCGAATGTGTGCGCTAAGTCTCTCTCATATTCTCTTTGGAAGTAGAGTGGAAGAGTTTGTGCAAAGAAAAACGTTGTCAAACACAATAATTGTGTGGATTTGCAATAGAAATATTCCTTTTTGCCCCAGGTTGTGGGCCCATCTGCTCTATATCTGCTTGCCCCTGTCAGTTTAGAGTCCTGGAGGTCTGTACAATAGTGGTTCGTGTCATCGTGGGCTCTGCTGCCTTCCGATCATCACAGCAGGCTCCCAGCCCAGTCGCTGGATGGGGGAGGGTGGGGACATGATTGATAATTGAGATCCCAGAGGAGGCTTGGTTTCTAGAGCAAGCCCTCAAGTCCCCGTGGAGAACCCAGGAGCGGACCCATTGCAGTGCGCACGATGGGTCTGAAAAGGGCCTGGGTGGGGGATCCCTTGGGCCAGAAACACTTCTGGTTTCCCTGGAACAAAGGCCTTGCTGCTGGGCTCACAGACTATCAGTCAGAGAGTGGGAGGCGTTGGAAAGACCCGGCGCGTGAGAAACCAACAGCTGCGGAAAAGGGGATCCCTGCTCCCACCCCCACACAGAGAGGTGAGTCAGGGAATCACGGCCGCACTCAGCACAATCGACAATGACTCGGCAGCTCTCTCAGCTCAGGGGCTGTGTTTTCAACCACTCGGCTCTTTCTGACCTCCCGAGCTCCCGGCGTCTGTGCGCGCCTGGAGGACTGCTCTTCCGCTGCCGTGTGGCCTTGAGCTTTATAAATGATCCGCTCTCCAAAGGCTTTGACAGACCATTAGGATCGAAGAAATCGGACATCGCTTCAACCTGTTGTCCAGTCCTGGGCACGCGTGTAACTTTCAATGACGCATCGGCACAATGGGTTCGAGCTCCCCATCGGGCTCCAGGCTTGAGTTCAGAGCTCAATGCTAGCGTGGCTTGACCAGAAAGCTCTCAGCGTGGCAGCCAGGCCCCTAAGCAGCCACATCCTTCCATTCTGAGTGAGTGTGAGCCGTGCCCGGGAGTCGCTGAGGGGCTGTGGGCTGGTTTAGGTGCGTCAGGACTCACCCGGCCCCAGACGGCCCAGTCACAGACCCCATGGCAGATACGAATAGCAGCGGAAGATTTTCATTGCTCAGGTCCATTTCGGATGAATGAGAACGTCGCCTTCTGGTCTTCATCCACAAAGAGGCTCCCTTTGCATATTCATTTAATGTTAAATTGATGGATTAAATTATACCAAGTTCAAAATCAATCCTGCATATATTCATTAGAAAGGACTAAACCCCCCAGTGGGGACAGAGCACAGAAAATGCATTTAGAGACACTGATAAGTCCAGGCCCATTATATGTCATTTTAAACAAAGAGCAGAAAAAAAGCCCTTTGGAGACGCTCTATCAGCTATTAAACAGAGATGCCGCGTGCTCTGGGAGATTGATGGCTGGTGTCTCCATCCTCCACACAGCTCTCCCTAGGCTGATGATAACAAGGGGACACTTATCGTGTCTCTGTCGCAGTTCACAGGCAAACAGACGCCACAGCACTGGTCCTTCCTTTTGTCTTTCCCGGGGTGCAGTCAGTTCACAAGTGCCAAAGTGCCAGGCACAGAACTCCTGCCACGTGCCAGCACAGCAGGCCGACTCTGCGGTGTTGGAGACCACCTCTCCATCTCCTGAACCGGAGGCGAGTCCCCAGAGCCCAGGAGGAGCACACAGGGCCACGTCGGGAGAAGAGAGTGACCCCAGCCACCATTGCACTCTGGGTTTTCGTGGGACACATTAGTTCTTGGTTATCACCTCTGGTGGGGAAAACACTCCAGACAGGCCCTCCTGTGGTTTTTATTTCTCTTCAACCTTGTGGATTTTTCCACTGCCCCCCTTTAGCACTGCTCCCCTCTCCCCATCTTCCCAGGCTTCCTCCTGCCCACGCTGATGGTAGCCAGAGGGAGCAGAAGATGCAGCCACGCTTAGGGCGATGAGCAGGCCTTGGAGAGGGCAGGGCCAGCGGCCCTGGGGCATTTTCCATTTCTCCCACGTCCCAGCTTTCATCCCATAAATGTTCAGTGTCTCTCTACAAACACAATGCTTTTACTTTTTACTTAGTCTACTAGTTGGCCCGAGTAACATTTATGAAGGAAACCCCAATATTTTATATAACTTTTTTTTTTTGAGGTGGAGTCTCGCTCTCTCGCCCAGGCTGGAGTGCAGTGGTGCGATCTTGGCTCACTGCAACCTCTGCCTCTCAGGTTCAAGCGGTTCTCCTGCCTCAGCCTCCTGAGTAGCTGGGATTACAGGCACACACCGCCACGCCTGGCTAATTTTTAGCGTATTTTAAAAAAATCAGTGGGGCTTTCACTTCCGAGTAAGATGAAGTAAATATCAGCAGAGTGTACTTCACTGTAAAATCTAGGGGAAAAAAATGGAATAAATTACAAAAACCATAGTTTTAAAGACTTTAGAGAACAATAAAAGCAATGAGAACCACGTGAACCAAAATTTCAGTGCTGGGCCAGGAAGATAAAGTGGAATTTCCTGTTATCTCACAGTACTCAAGAGAGAAAGCCCTAAAGTGAGGGGCCTGCAGCAAGGGTGGCAGCTCTTCTCACCAAGATGTTCACTAGATTGTAGAATGGCATGGATGGCTCCCAGCTAAATCCCCAGAAGGATATAGTCTCTACTAAAAATAAAAAAGTTAGCCTGGTGTGGTGGCAGGCACCTGTAATCCAAGCTATTCAGGAGGCTGAGGCAGGAAAATCGCTTGAATCCAGTAGGAGGAGGTTGCAGTGAACTGAGATTGCACCATTGCACTCCAGCCTGGGTGACAGAGTGAGACTCTATCTCAAAAAATAATAATAATAATAATAATAATAATAATAATAATAATTCATCAGATGGGTTCACCAATAAACTGACTATAGTTGAAAATGGAATTAATTAATTGAAAATGGAATTTGAAAGACAAATCAATAAACAGTACACTAACTGAAACCCAGAAAGAACAGAAAATGAAGAAAATGTAACAGAGTGTGAAGGACATGGGGAAAATATTTTCAACAATCCCATCCTGCAAGGAGAAAGGAACATGATGGAACTATTTGAAGAGAGAATGGCTAATATTTTCAAACCCTTAAAGACATCAACTCACAGGTTCAAGAAATTCAGTAAACACAAATAGAATAAAGACAAGGGGAAAAAAGCTTAAGATTGGCAAAAGAATGATTCCATGGTACTTTCAAAGGAGAAAGAAAACTGGACACATGAGTGACTTTCCACAGAAATTATGGAAGTCGTGGGGCAATGGAATGCTACCTGTGAACAGTGAAAGGAAAGGAAAGAAACCACCAGCCTAAAATTCCACCTGCAGCAAGATAGTCTGTAGGGCAGGGGCCCTCAACCCCTGGGCCATGGACCAGCCCTGGTGCATGACCTGTTAAGAACTGGGCAGCACAGCAGGAGGTGAGCTGGGGCGAGTGAGCAAAGCCTCACCTGTGTTTACAGCCACTCCCCATCGCTCACATTACCACCTGAGCTCCACCTCCTGTCAGATCAGCGGCAACATTAGATTCTTATAGGAGCACGAACCCTATTGTGAACTGTGCATGTGAGGGATCTGGGTGGCACGCTCACTGTGAGAATCTACTGCCTGATGATCTGAGGCTACTGCTGGGGAGCTGCTGCAAATGAAGATTAACATTAGCAGAGAGGTCTGACTGCACAGAGACCCTAATAAATCAATTGGTTGCAGACTCATAGCAAAACCCTATTAGTGATTGGCAAGTGACAATTAAGCTGCATCTGGTGGCAGGCTTTAAGTTGGAATCCTACACTTATTTTAGTCCATGTGAGGCCCACCCATTATTTTATTTACCACTTCTGTTCATGCCTCTTTCCCGCACTGCACGCTTGTCTCAGTCACAGTTTTGGTAAGCCCACGAGCTAACCCTAGCCAAAACGAGTAAAAAAGAAACATCACAGGAGGGCTTTGAAAAGGGGGAAAGTCCCAATGGTTAGGCAGCAGAAGACTCTATGACTGCCAATGAGAAGCAAGCTGCATTTAATAGAAAATACCACGAATCCCACTTAAATTGCAGGTTCATTCCAACAGGTGATTCACATTTTCCAAGCCCACTTGCAATGTAATATGTGATGACTATCCAATGAAGCCATGAAACCTTCAAAACTGCTTCGCCATATGAAGACCAAGCACCCTGCGTTAAAAGACCAGCCTTTGGAGTTTTTCAAAAGGAAAAAAGAAAAGTGTGACCACGAAGAACAGAAGCAATGATTGAAGGCCACCACTTCAAATGTGTCTGCACTGAGAGCATCATTCTTACTGGCTAACTGCATTGCTAAAGCTAAGAAGCCCTTTACTGTTGGTGAACAGCTGATCTTGCCTGCGCTAAGGACATTTGTCGTGAACTTTTAGGAGAGGCTGCAGCTCAAAAGGTGGCACGTGTTCCTCTTTTGGCTAGCACCGTACCTAGAGGAATTGAGAAAATTCCAGAGGATATTGAGGCACAATTGTCAGAGACGATTAATGAGTCACCGTGGTACACAAGCCAGGCTGATGAGTCTACTGATGTTGACAGCAAGGCAACAATGCTTGTTGTTGTGAGATCCGTTTTCAGGAGGCTGTGCACGAGGTTATGTTAGGTGCACTTTTGTTGCCAACCAACACCACAGCTGCAGAACTATTCAAGTCTTTCAATGATTATGTATCAGGAAAACTGAACTGGCCATTTTGTGTCAGTGTACACACAGAGGGAGTGGCTGCCATGACTGGATGGCTTTCTGGTTTCACTACTTGTGTCAAAGAGGTCGCTTCTGGATGTAAGTCTATGCACTGTGTCATCCACAGAGAAATGCTGGGTAGCTGGAAAATGTTGCCTCAACTTAATAAAGTTTTGCAGTATGTGATTAAAGTTATCAACCTCATTAAAGTACATGCCCTTAACTCATGTCTGTTCACGCAGCTCTGTGAGGAGACGGATGCAGAGCACACACGTCTTCTCTGAAATACATGTGCTTACAGTGACACATGTGTGACAGGAGTGAGATGGCTCCTCTGATATGCAGAAATGAGGTGGCTTTCTAAAGGTAGATCACTGGCCGAGATTTTGAGTTATGAGAGCCACTCCAGAGATTTCTTTTAGAAAAACAGTCACCACTGGCAACACATTTCAGTGACATAGAATGGGCTACAAATGTTGCTTACTTGTGTGACATATTCAACCAGCAACACAAACCGTCACTTCAGGGAGAGGGACAACTGTGTTCAAGTCAGGAGATAAAGTGGCTGCATTAAAAGTCAGACTGGAATTATGGGTCAATGAGTGAACACTGGGACTTCTGACATGTTTCAAACATTAGCGGAGGTTTTGTTTGGAAAGAGACTGAGCCAGGGCCTTCTTTCCCCCAGCTGGTGCATGATCACCTTTCAGCTTCCAAAAGAGCTTGAGCATTACTTCCCAACTACAAAAGAACCCCGAACTGGGAAGGAATGGATCCGTGACCCATTTGTGAATAAGCCAGGTGAATCGACTTTGTCCTTGCTAGAAGAGGGTCGGCTGCTTGAGATCACAAATAATGGTGGCCTTACAAGTGTGTTTGAGACAACTTCAAATCTCCATATGTTCTGGACTAAAGTCAAGGTGGAATATCCTGAGATTGCCACAAACGCACTGAAAAACCTGCTTCCATGCCCAACATCCTGTCTTTGTGAAGCAGAGTTTTCTGCAGTGACAGCAACCAAAACGAGATTACAGAGTACACCGGACATAAGCAACACACTTTGGGGGTGACTGTCTCCATCACTCCCAGATGGGACCATCGAGTTGCAGGAAAACAAGCTCAGGGCTCCCACTGATTATACGTGATAGTGAGCTGTATAATTATTTCAGTATATAATACAATGTAATAATTACTAGGTTGGTTCAAAAGTAATTGCGGTTTTTGCCATTAAAAGTAATCTCTGGTGCCAAAAAATGTTGGGGACTGCTGCTTTAAATCATGCAGGTGGAATAAAGATGTGGTTATTTAAAAAGTTGAGAAAATTTATCTGCAACATACTTGCCTTACAAGGCATACTAAAGCCACATTTTTCAGCTCAAGGAAAATGTTCATGGGGGAAAGGATGAAAGGAATGAAGAGCACCACAAAGGATAACTGTTAGGGGCAGTGTGAGTGTATGGATTGTTTAAAGTGATCTTCTGGTGTTTGCAACGAACACAGAAGTAAAATATATGACTACAATGGCATTAAAGGAAATGCGAGCGGGGGCACGACAGACCACTCATAAGATCCTTCAACTGCTTGGGAAGTGATAAAAGTATTCGTTTCAGGTAGGTGTTTTGTTTTGTTTTGTTTTTTGTTTTTTTTCCCCCCACAGGGTCTCGCTCTGTCACCCAGGCTGCAGTGCAGTGGCACAATCATGGCTCACTGCAGCCAAAACCTCCCAGGCTCAGGTGATTCTCCTTCTCAGTCGTCTGAGTAGCTGGGACTACAGGTGCCCACCACTATGCTTGGCTTATTTTTCTTAACATCTTTTGTAGAGAACAGGGTCTTACTTTGTTGCCCAGGCTGCTCTCAAATTCCTGGGCTCAGGCAATCCTCCTGCCTTTGCCTCCCAAAGTGCTGGAATTACAGGCGTCAGCCACTGTGCCTGGCCTAAGGTAGGTTTTTATACTTCAACTATGCAAATAATAAACTATAGGGAAATAAAAAATATATAACTATAGTGCCAATAAAGTGGGGATAAATAAAGTAAAGAAGACACATGGAATAAACAGAAAATAAATTATAAGATTTTAGAATGACCATTCAACTATGAATATAAGTAAATTTAAAGGACTAACTTCATTATGACCAAGCTTGCCATATTGGTTTTTAAAAAGTAAAGAAAAAAAAATCCCACCACATTTGTAAGATGATGTTCTGAGTGAGTTTCCAATTTTCAGTCTTTACTGGGGTCAGGTCAAAGTCATCACCATGCCAGACAGATAAAACTTTCATAGAAAATAGTGTTACTGGCACAAAGAATCAGGGACAGAGATTGTGGAGACCTCAGCAGATGGAATTTGGCAGGATGAATTCTGAAAAACAGAGAACTACAGAGATTGATACCTGAGTTCTGTGTGTTAGACCTTTCCAAATCTCCAGCTGAGCTCTGAAACTGTGATTACAGTAAATGTAAAGAAACTGAAAATGAAAGAAATAAGCAGAGATTTCAGCTGTTTGCCATTATTATAAGGAAAGTGTTTGGAGTTTACATTCAGGCAAATTAACTGCCTCTAAAAACAGATAAAATAGCAACAGTATTCCAAAGAACAAAAAGAATCAAGCTTTTACAATGTTTAACAATAATATCCTGCTATAATCCCTAAAATTTGTAGATATTATATTTTTCTAAAAAAGGAAAACCAGAAAAATGTGACCCACAATAAAGAGTAAAGGCAGGGCCAGGCGCAGTGGCTCACGCCTGTAATCCCAGCACTTTGGGAGGCCGAGGCGGGCGGATCACGAGGTCAGGAGATTGAGACCATCCTGGCTAACACAGTGAAACCCCGTCTCTACTAAAAATACAAAAAATTAGCCGGGCGTGGTGGCGGGCGCCTGTAGTCCCAGCTACTCGGGAGGCTGAGGCAGGAGAATGGTGTGAACCCAGGAGGCGGAGCTTGCAGTGAGCCGAGATTGCGCCACTGCAGTCCAGCCTGGGCCACAGAGTGAGACTCCATCTCAAAGAAAAAAAAAGAGTAAAGGCAAATGACAGAGGCCAACTCCAAGATAACTCAGGTGTTGGAGTTACTACACAAGAATGTTAAGGCAGAAATGATAACAATAACACTCAAGGGCATAAAGAATGAATGAATATTTGAAATGAATGAACAAATAGTAAATGTCATCAGAAAAATTAAGAGAACCAAATATAAATTACTTAAAATGTATAAAATATAAAAGAACTATATGAAATTCTATAACTGAAAAATATAATATCTGAAATGGAAAATGCAACATGTACACTTAGCAGCAGAATAGGGATGATACAGGAGCCAGTAAACTTGGAAGATACATTAACAGAAATCATCTAATCTTAGGGAGAAGAAGAAAAAAACTGAAAGACATCAATGCAGTCTCAGAGACCTGAGAGATACCATCAAAGGGTCTAATAGTGAAATGTGAGTCACAGGTGTACAGGAACAAATGGGGGAGAAAAACATTTTTGAAAAGTAGAGGACACATTTTCTCACTTTAGTAGAAGACATGAGATTAAAGAATCAAGAGGCCGGGCGCGGTGGCTCACGCCTATAATCCCAGCACTCTGGGAGGCCGAGGCGGGCGGATCACAAGGTCAGGAGATCGAGACCATCCTGGCTAACACGGTGAAACCCCATGTCTATTTAAAATACAAAAAATTAGCTGGGCGTGGTGGCGGGCCCCCGTAGTCCCAGCTACTCAGGAGACTGAGGCCCAAGAATGGCATGAACCCAGGAGGCGGAGCTTGCAGTGAGCTGAGATTGCGCCACTGCACTCCAGCCTGGGCGACAGAGTGAGACTCCATCTCAAAAAAATAAATAAATAAATAAAAAAGAATCAAGAAACCCAAGTGAACCCAAAGCAGGATTGACAGAAAGAAAAGTATCCCAAGCACATTAGGGTCTAAATGAGGAAAGTCAAAGGTAAGAGGAAACATTAAAAGCAGCTGAAGAAAAAGCACACATCATACACAGGAGAACAACATGCAAACAACTGCTGGACTTCTCAGCAGAAATAACGGAAGCCAGAAGACAGGAAAATGACATCTCCAAAGGGCTAAAAGAAAACACCGAGAATTTTATACTCCAGCAAAATATCCTTCAAGAATAAGGACAAGCAAACATGCTCTCAAAGAAGGAAAATCTAAAAAAACATGTGCCTAGCAAATCTACACTCCAGAAATGCTAAAAGCTCTTCAGGCTGAAGCCAAATGACATCAGATGGAAGTCAGATCCTCCAGAAGGTCTGAGGAACACCAGTTTCAATAAATACATGGGTAAATGTAAAAAATTATTTTCCTTTGAATTTTTTAAAATTAACGTAATCGTTTAAAACAAAAATTATAAGGGGTTTTCAAGGCTAGTTTGGTAGGCAGGGGACCAGGGAATGGGGAATATTGTTTGGGGATGAAATCATAGGGGTGCACTGAGTCTGCCCCTGGGGGGACCACAGGATTGGTTGAGTCATGAGTCAGGTGTCCGGGTGGGGTCAGTCTGAAAGATATCTCAACACATCAATCCTAGGTTCTACAATAGTGAAGTTGTCTATATGAGTAATTGGGGAAGTCACAAATCTGTGACTTCTGGCCACATGAGTCCTAAGCAGCAAGGGATTATAGAAGATACACCTATCTTGTGACCTTTCATTAGTTTTACAAACGTGGTTTAGTTTTGGGAAGGGCTATTATCATCCTTGCTTTAAACTAGAAACTAAGTTTCTCCCAAAGTCAGCCTGGTGTACACCCAGGAATGACCGAGGACAGCTTGGCAGTCAGAAGCAAGACAGAGTCAACTATGTCAGATTTCTCTCACTGTCATCATTTTGCAAAGGCAGTTTCAGTAGCCTCATTTATGATAGCCAAATGAATACTACTCAGCAGCAAATGAAATAAATTACCAATAAACACAACTACATGATAACCCTCAAAACATTATCTCAAGTGAGAGAAACCAAACTCTAAGTACATGCTATAGGATAACATGATGCCATGTAAGTGACATTTTACAACAGGCTACACCAGCCTATGAAGAATGCAAATCAGAATGCTGGTTACCTGGCAAGGTATTCATGGACGAGAGCGTGACAGAATCTTCCATGGTGGCAGTAGCGTCCTACCTTGACAAAGGTTTGCCTCATGCAGGGATGTGTATTTGTTAAAACTTTTCAAGTGGTAAGCTTAAGATTTGAGCATTTCACTCAAAACAAAAATATAATTTTCAACTCTAGTGATACACGTGCTAAAATTCATAGGAGCAGCAGGCCGGGAAATTCTGGGTAGAAGAGGGTAAGCCCCTGGCAAGAGCCCCACCTTCTAGCCCAAAAGCCCGGAACCACAGCCCAAAGTGAGACCACACATCCATGCTTTCCTGCTCGAATTTTGCCTTTTCCAAAACCACCCACCCCGTCCCCCATCCTGTGCCTATAAAAATGCCATAACTCAGCCAGCAGAGAAGAGAAGCAGCTGGATGTCAGAGACTATCATTGGACATTGGAGACAAGTGGCTTGACTTCAGAGGGACAGCTTAATGGCATAGCTTCAGAGAGGAGTCCAGCCTCCAGGGGAAGATCACCTTCCTGCTCCATGCCCTTCTCAGCTCCCCTTCCTGCTGAGAGCCACGTTCACCAGCAATAAAATCCCCTACATTTACCACCTTCAATTCTTTCATGCAACCTCATTCCTCCTGGACACCAGACAAGAACTCGGGTGCCATGAGCATGGGTGCAAAAGGCTGTCACACTGGCCCTCCACTGAGCTGTTAACACTTAAGCCATCCATGAGCAGCAAAGCTAAAAAGGCACTGTAACACTTCCTCTGGGGCTTCAGGGGTTGTGGGCACCCTACCCTAGATGTTGCTGCAGGGCTGGTACAGAATTCACTATTGCCAGTCCCCAAAAAGTGCTCACTCCAGTCTCTGCACCCACACACCTGCACTCCCCCTCCCACGATGGGTGGAGCAGTGAGTGAGTGGAGTTCACCCCTACCAGCACCTGTGCACTCCGGTTCCTGCCAGTGGAGGGGGCAGGGAAATATCCTGCTTCAAAATGTTTAAGGATCAACTGTACTGATGTCAAAAGACATTGACATACATCAAAAATAAATAAAATACGTTGATGGAAAGATAGTTGGACATACACATGATCAATCAAAGATATAAAAGCAATCTTGCCATGGGCATTCACTCTACAATTCTTTTCATTTTTTGTATGTTTGAAAATGTTCACAATAAAATTTTAGGAATATAAGCCAAAATTATTTATACACA
This sequence comes from Homo sapiens, assembly GCF_000001405.40. Taxonomy (NCBI): domain Eukaryota; kingdom Metazoa; phylum Chordata; class Mammalia; order Primates; family Hominidae; genus Homo; species Homo sapiens. Next base: position 1,692,055 of record NC_000005.10, on the reverse strand, counting down.
TTAGAAAAATAAAGGTAAGGCTGGGCGCGGTGGCTCATGCCTGTAATCCCAGCACTTTGGGAGGCCGAGGCGGGTGGATCACCTGAGGTCAGGAATTCGAGACCAGCCTGGCCAACGTGGTGAAACCCCGTCTCTATTAAAAATACTAAAATTGGCTGGACATGGTGGCAGGCACCTATAATCCCAGCTACTCGACAGGCTGAGGCAGGAGTATCACTTGAACCTGGGAGGCAGCGATTGCAGTGAGCTGAGATCGTGCCACTGCACTCCAGCCTAGGATAGAGCAAGATTTCTTCAAAAAAAGAAAAAATAAATAGATAATTTTTTAAAAAGACAAAAAAAGAAAAAGAAAGGTAGAAAGCCACATGATTATGTCAACAGATGCAGAAAGAAAATTCTGCACCAGTTCATGTTTAAAATTCCCGACAAACTAGGAACAGGCACTACAACAGCTAACATCCAATTTAAGAATTTAAGGATGAAATAACGAACACTTTCCCTAAGGTCAGGAACAAAATTAGAATGTCTGCTGGCCAGGCACAGAAGCTCACACCTGTAATCTCAGCACTTTGGGAGGCTGAGGCAAGCTGATCACTTGAGGTCAGGAGTTCGAGACGAGCCTGGCCAACATGGTGAAACCCTGTCTATAATAAAAATACAAAAATTAGCTGGGTGCGGTGCCAGGTGTCTGTAACCTCAGCTACTTGGGAGGCTGAGGCAGGAGAATCGCTTGAACCCAGGAGGCAGAGGTTGCAGTGAGCCAGGATCACACCACTGCACTCCAGCCTGGGTGACAGAGCATGACTCTGTCTCAAAAAACAAACAAACAAAAAACTTCTATGAATCTTGCCCAGTACAATAAGAAAAAATACAAATTTAAATCATGAAATCCATATGTAATACAAGTTGGAAAGTAAGAAGCAAAACTGCCATTATTCACATGTAACTTGATTATGTGCATTCTAAAAGTCTATAAAATATTAGAATTAATGAATTTACAAGGCCAATAAACTAAACTCAATTAATGTTTCTATTTGCTATCAACAAAGTAACTGGAAGATGAAATTAAAAACAATACCAATAGCATAAAAATACATTGCATATGTGGAAAACCTACAAATTTAAAATAACAAACATTGGCCAGGTGCAGTGGCTCATGCCTGTAATCCCAGAACTTTGGGAGCCCAAGGCTGGTGAGTTGCTTGAGCTCAGGAGTTTGAGACCAGTCTGGGCAACATGGTGAAACCCTGTCTCTACAAAACATAGAAAAATTAGCTGGGTGTGGTTGTGCATACTTGTAGTTCCAGCTACTTGGGAGGCTGAAGTGGAAGGATCGCTTAAGCCCAGGAGGCTGAGTTTGCTGTGAGCCAAGATTGTGCCCCTGCATGTTAGCCTGGTGACAGAGCCAGACCCCGTCTCAAAAATAAAAATAAAAATAAAATAAATAAAACAACAAACATTGCTGACAGATATGTCAGCAGACCTAATCAATGGAACAATATAACATATTTATGGATTGGAAAACTAAAAAAAGTTAAGAGGTTAATTTTCCCAAAATTTCTCTATAAGTTTAATGACATTTCAATCGAAATTTCAACAAGGTCTTTTGTAGAAATTGTGTCTGATTCTATAATTTAGTTGGCAATGCAAAGCCCCTAGAAAACCAGGATTTTTTTTTTTTTTTTTTGAGACCAAGTTTCGCTCTCATTGCCCAGGCTGGAGTGCAATGGCACAATCTAGGCTCACTCCAACATGTGCCACCACGCCTGGCTAATTTCATATTTTTAGTAGAGACGGGGTTTCTCCATGTTGGTCAGGCTGGTCTTGAACTCCCAACCTCAGGTGATCTGCCTGCCTTGACCTCCCAAAGTGCTGGGCTACTGGCATGAACCATCATGCTCAGCCAGGATGATCTTAAAGAAAAAGAACAAAGTTGGAGGTCATAAACTACTTGATTTGGAGACTTACTCTAAAGTTGTACTAATTAATTAAGGGGTTATTGGCATGAAGACAGATAAATAGTCCAATGGAATATGATAGACTGTTTAGAAATAGAGTTGGTCATAGTATTCCGTTATTATCTTGTTAATATCTGTAGAATCTGTAATGATGTCCCCTCCCCACTCCTGATATTGGTAGAAATAGAGTCATTCATAGCATTACCTTATTATCTGGCTAATATCTGTAGAGTCTGTAGCGATGTCCCCTCTCCACTCCTGATATTGGTAGAAATAGAGTTGCTCATAGTACTCCCTTATTAACTTGTGAATATCTGTAGAATCTGTAGTGATGTCCCCTCTCCACTCCTGATATTGGTAGAAATAGAGTTGCTCATAGTACTCCCTTATTAACTTGTGAATATCTGTAGAATCTGTAGTGGTGTCCCCTCCCCTCTCTTGATATTGATAGAAATAGAGTTGCTCATAGTACTCCCTTATTAACTTGTGAATATCTGTAGAATCTGTAGTGGTACCCCCTGCCCCACTCCTGATGTTGGTAGAAATAGAGTGATTCATAGCACTCCCTTATTAGCTGGTTAATATCTGTAGAGTCTGCAGTGATGTCCCCTGCCCCACCCTGATACTGGTAGAAATAGAATTGCTCATAGTACTCCCTTATTATCTTGTGAGTATCTGTAGAATCTGTAGTAGTGTTCCCTGCCCCACTCCTGATATGGATAATTTGTCTTCTCCCTTTTTCTTTCCCCATCAGTCTCGGCCCTTGCTGTTTTCAATACATTCTCTCTATGGCCTATGGATTGAAGACTGAGTGGACTGATAAAAGTTAGTGAAGTCTTTTCTGGGTACCTGAAGATTTTAAGGGAGCAACTGAGGGTTCCATCTTGACTAGGGAATGCTCTCATTAGTGGGTTTAGGGTGTCCTAATTTTCAGGAATCTCTGTGATGTTAATGAGGTAGTTGGAGACATTTGCCAAGGGTTTGTTATAAAGATGTGGCTGGAGATTCATGCTTGAGTGAGTCATCTGTGAGGCTAGGGGCAGATAATGGAGTGGGAGATGAGAAGGTTCAGGACCAAGGCATGCAGCCTGCATTGATGAGAGTGGAGCATGCCCGACCACTCTCCAGACCCAATGTCTCATTCGTAACACTCAGGTTTAAGAGCTGTGAGCAGGGCATGGCTTCTGAACCTCTCCACGACACCATGACTCCAACCTCTTTGCCTTCAGGGTCTCTTGACTTGGACCCAGAGGTGGATCTAAGTTTTTCGGGGCCTGACGCTGATACACTATGGGGTCCTCTTTAGGAGAAGCCACTGAAAATTGTGAGATCAGGCATGGCGGCTCATGCCTGTAATCCCAGCACTTTGGGAGGCTGAGGCAGGCAGATCATGAGGTCAAGAGATTGAGACCATCCTGGTCAACATGGTAAAACCCCATCTCTACTAAAAATACAAAAATTATCTGGGCGTGGTGGCGGGCGCCTGTAGTCCCAGCTACTCAGGAGGCTGAGACAGGAGAATTGCTTGAACCTGGGAGGCAGAGGTTGCAGTGAGCCGAGATTGCACCACTGCATCCTAGCCTGGTGACAGAGTGAGACTCCATCTCAAAAAAAAAAAAAAAGATAAAACAAAATTATGAGTAGAACATGGGCCTTGAGAAAGGCCACGCAGCTTGAACTTGATGGCTTTCATGATAAATCCATCTGTAGCCGGAGCGATGGGTTTCCTTCACCCTCCCTTGCCATGGTACACACACACACACACACACACACACACACACACACTTGTTCACACACGCACACACACTCATGCACACACACTCATTCACACATGCACACACATCCGCACACTCGCATACACATCCACACACACACACACTCAGGCATGAAGAGTTGCACCCAGTCCTGCATCAAGGTCAGAGTGAGGGGAGCAAAGCCAGTGTCCAGGTCTAAGCAAGGAGGCTAAGGATGCATTCCCACCCCGCGGAGTTCTGCAGCCTGTTAACCTCTGCAAGCCCTGAGGACGTGGGTGTGCAGGGCTGTGACATCTTCAGGGACATCCGGCCCTTGAGACCAACTTTCCCACTACCCCACTTTGTTCTCATATTGGAGTCCTATGCAAGTTGGAAAACTACCCCTCTCTCTATATATATATTTTTTGATAAAAGTTCCATAGGAAGAGGGAAATAGAAAAGGAAATAAAAGAGAAACACCCGGGGAAGGGCTGGCTCATCTCCACTGAGGTCTCACAATGCTTCGCTGTGGAAGAAGGTGCCCGTGGGCAATGGCTCCACAGAGTGTGGTGTGAGGGCCTGCATGGGGCATGAGTGAGGCGTGGTGGGCATGGAGGACTGAGACCCTCAAGGCTGCCCTTGCTTTAGGCCTCAGAAAAACCACTGGAGTGGGTGAGCTCCAGAAGCTACGGCCTTTTTAACCCCACATCACCACTGCCTTTGGCTCTGCAGTGGCCACTGGCCGTGCGCTGCCCATGGGGCAGAGCCCCAGCCTCACACTGGATCCCCAGCCCGGGTGCAGGCTTGCCCTGCAGAGCCAAGGTTGCCTCTCAGCATTTTTCCAAGAGAAGCTTCCCGGGCATCAAGGCCAGAAGGCAGACCACGTTGCAGAAAACGCAGCCCAAGACGTCTTCCCTGAGCCCCAGAGGGGTGTGCATTGTTCAGGCTGCCCCACATGCAAAGACCCCACATGCAAAGACATAGGCTTAGGCATGAGGGTGGAATAAGCCATGCTGGAGGGTGCAGGGGAGAGCTCCTCATGCTTCAATATAACGTTGTGATGTAGGGGCTGAGAAACGTGGGCCCAAAACAGCACTGTCTGGAGACCCTGAAGAGACGCAAGTTCCCAGGCCCACTCCCAGAATGGCCCAGGAACCAGAGCCACTGGAAGCTTCCTGGGCCATGCCTGTTGGACTGCTGTGTGTGGTCACGCTCCTCTTCTGTTAGAAACATCACCTGTCCCATGCGGCTGGAGTGATGGGGCAGGAGAGGCAGGCAGTGGATTATTTATAAGATGGTACTTCACACCAAGGCTGTGCAGGAGCCTGCACCACACGGCATGGGGTCCCTGGAGAGGAGCGCAGCCTGGAAATGACAAGTGCGTCCAGCTGCAGCAGGCGCAGCTCTCAGGTGGGCTTCCCTCCTCCAGGGTTGACCAGGGAGAGTACTTGGATCCCAGGGAGAGAGAAAGCGGGCAGAACGTGGGTCCCCCTCAAGAGTGGTGTGCAAGGGCCAAGGCGAGACCTGAGCATCAGGGAGGGTGTGGACTCGCCCCACCTTGGCTGGGGCACAACTGGCTGAACTGAACCTCACAGGTGCCCCCACTCTTCCTGCCCCTCGAGATCCACCAGCACTGGGGCACCCCCGACCCTGCCCAGGGAGAGCAGCTCTGGGTGCCCCTTTTCCAGCAGAGCATCTTTCAATCAGCCATGCGTGGGGCTCACACTCCCTGTCACCAGGCAGCTCACCTGGCAGGACAGCCTCGCCCGGCCTCTCACGCTCTTTGAGGTCATGTGCCCTGTGGCCATGCTCCAAGGCCCCCCTGTGGCTTGGGGATACCATGTGATTCTCTCTTCCTCCAGGAGGCCGAGCCTGCTGTCACTTGCTGGTTCCCGGAGAGTAGGGAGCCAGCAGCCCAAGGACATTCCACAGCCTCGGGGGCTGCCCTACGGCCTGGTTGCTCTCAGCCCACACTGCTGTTCAGCCTCCAGACATCCCCAGTGGGAGGGGTCAGAGGCACCTGCTGGCCAGGTGAGCTTCCCAGATCAGCAGCGCCCTGTCCCCAGCTCCTCCAGGTCCATGCATTCCTTGCTCCTACCTCAACGCAGGAGACAGCGGAAGGGGCCCGGCCAGCTGTGCAGGCCAGTCACAGGGCAGCTCCAGGAGTTGGGTGTACTCTGGGATGTTGCTAAGAGTGACACCATGGAGACAAGTATGCCTTCTCACAGAACACCCCTTATGTCACCGTCAGAGTCAGAAACCCGGGCTGTGTGGACACAGGGATGACTCCGCTGCGATATTCTTGCATAAAGGTCATCTGGTATGTATCTCAACAGCTACAACTTTTTCTGATGGAGAAAATAATTAAATTATTTATTTCTGGTTATGCACTGATGCTTATACATATACCCTCACCACACACGCACCTGGGCTCACACACACGCATCTGGTTACGCACTGAGGCTTATACATATACCCTCAGCACACGCGCACATGCACTCACACACATGCACACACAACCACTCACATGTGCACTCAGAGGCCGGAAAGTCTGTGTCTTTTCTACAATTTTCTATTTATTGCAGCCATCTTTCTTCCCATTTGTCATCTCTTAATCTTACTCACTGGTATGCAGTGCTTAAGGAAATAGAATGTTTAGGATGTGAAGTGCCTCCGCAGAGCCTGCTTCAACAAAGCTTATCGTAAGAGGCCTGGAAGCATTTAGAGTTAAAAGAGACAGAGCGAATCATGTCTGACAGTTCGCCCTTCCTGTGGAATGCTCAGGGTGTCCCCTAAGAAAAGCCTTGGACAAAATCACCATCCTCGGCTCATCTCCTGCATAAGGTTTCCTTCTGCACTTCAGAGATTCATAAGATCAACTGATACACCTTTGTGCCCAGCCAAGAAAGAAACCAACCCAAAACACTACAGCAAAATATTAGCACAGAACGGGTGGTTCACGGCACTGAAGTACACATTTTGTGGATCTCAGTGTGAAGCAGGTGCTGCGCGGCAGTGGTGTTGGGAAACTTCTTACCGTATTTGCATCTGTGTTTCAACAGATGGGGCTCACGCCTGAGTGGGTGGATATTACCAGACCACGTGCTCATTGTCCACACAGGATGCTCACGCTGATGCATCTTGCTTTGCGCCTCTGTCTCTGTCAGGCTGAGAGAGACTGTGATAAATGGATCACAGGGAGAGTTGGGCTCTGCTGCAATTTTCCTGGCTGTTCATATAGGCCAAGCTGCTTTCAGGGCAAAAGTCAGACTTTGGGGAACCCACGCTGATTTTGTTTCATTTTCCTGAACACCGTTGAAGGTTAATTGTAAGATTTCTGACATCTGATACTGGGAAGAGAGAATGATATTTTTATTTAATCATAATGGGCAAGTCTCAGTCTGACACTGCTTGAGTACGTTTTTATGGGCCACCGCTATAGATCAAATAAACTTGGACATAAATATAAGTCGGTGTTCAGACAAATGGGGACCCCTGAAACAGCACGATTTGAGCTTGATTCTAAGCACACACAGAAAGAATCACGGTGAAGGTGGTTATTCCCATGGTGAGAAATAGGAGAGAACTCAAAATTATAGATAGCAGCAAAACACCCTAGAAAATGCACACAAACAGGCGTTTCTTTTCTTTTAAACACCAACAAGGGTATTTAGAACTTCTCTTTTTCCCGGAAGTGTCAGTTCTGGTCACTTGTGCCTTGCAGTGAATTTGTCCATTTCATCCAAGTTGTTTAATTTTTTGTCATAATTTTTTCATAATGTTTCCTTATTATCAATTTAAGATCTCTAGTGAGTTCCCTGCTTTCAGCCCTGAGATTGGTAATTCATGTTTTCTCTTTTTTCCTCAATCACTTTAGCTAGTTTGTCATTTAATTGACCTTTTCAAAGAACCTTCTTTTCTTTCCAGTGATTTTTTTTCTACTTTCTGTCATTGATGTTTTATTTTATCCTTGTTACTTCCTCTCTTCTACTCACTTTCAGTTCAAGCTACATTTCCTTTACTTGAGTCTTTAGGTGCAAGCTTATGTCATTGATTTCAAACATTCCTTTGTTTCTCTTTCCTTCCTTCCTTCCTTCCTTTCTCTCTCTCTCTTTCTTTCTCTCTCTCTCTCTTTCTTTCTTCTTTTTTGACAGGGTCTCTCTCTGTCACCCAGACTGGAGTGCAGTGGCATGACCTTGGCTCACTGCAACCTCTGCCTCCCGGGTTCAAGCAGTTCTCCTGTCTCAGCCTCCCTAGTAGCTGGGATTACAGGCATGCACCACCACGCCCAGCTAATTTTTGTATTTTTAGTAGAGACGGGGTTTCGCCATGTTGGCCAGGCTGATCTCGAACTCCTGACCTCAGGTGATCCACACACCTCAGCCTTCCAAAATGATGAGATTACAGGCGTGAGCTACCGCGACAGCCCAACTTTCTTTTTTACGTAAGTAGTTAACATTATCAATTTTTCTCTGAGCACTGCTTTGTGGCAATCCTTACATTTTTATATGTTTTGTTCTCAATTATCACTCAGTTCAAAATATTTTCTAATCTCAGAGTGTCTTCAATACCACAGTAACTACCTAGAACTGTGCTACTTAATTTTCAAATATTTGAGGATTTCCCAGCAGCTACTTGTTGTTGATTTCTAGTTTAATTCTTTTGTTGTCAGACAACATACAGCACCCCTGTTTCATAGCCCAGCTATGGTCTACTCTGGTGAATGCTCCACATGGACTTGAAAAGAATGAGTTTTGCTTTTGCTAGGTGTAATGTCCTATAAATGTCAGGTTGGTTGAGAGTGCTGGTCTAGCACTCTATATCTAGCACTTCTATATCTTTACTGATTTTCAGTCTACTTGATCTATCAATTTCCAAGAGAACAACGTTGAATCTCCAACTGCAATTGTGCATTGTCTATTTCTGTTTTTGCTTCTGCCAGTTTGTCATATATGCTGTGACTCCATTGTTAGGTACCTACATATTTATGATTATCACGTCTTTTTATTGAAAGGTCTCTCATTGTCCTGATATTAATATTATACTACCCCAGCTTGTTTATATTTAGTGTTTGAATAATATAACATCTTCCATCCTTTCACCCTTATGTTTAAAAACTGTTGCTGATAGACAGCACTATTTCCTAGTTGAATTAGATCTGCATTTAGATGTGTGTGTTTAGTTTATTTAATTCATCATTCATAGGCTGAATTTAAGTCCATCATCTTGTTGTGCGTTTTCTTAGTGCCATTTGTTCTTTCTTGTTTCTTTTTCTGCAACCATATGGATTGGGTATTTTTCAGCATTTCATTTTGCTTTCTGTTGACATATTAGTGATTACTCTTCATTTTATTTGTGTAGTTTTGATGGTTCAATGTATCTTTTATCCAGTTTACCTTTGCAAAACATTACACCACTGCGTGTATAAAAATATAACCACGTACTTCAATTTCCTCCTTCCTGACCTTTACACTAATTTTGACATACGTTGTACATCTACATATGCTATATGTTATCCAATACATTGTCATCATTTTTGCTTTAAATTGTCAATCATTATTTTAATACACTGAAAGAATGTTTAGAATATTTTAAATTTACGCACATATTTATTATTCCTAATGGTCTTAATTCCTTCAAGTAGATGGAGTTTTGATCTATCTTTTTCTTTTTCTACCTTGAAGAAATGCCTTTAATGATTTTTTTTTTTTTTTTTTTTTTGAGACGGAGTCTCGCTCTGTCGCCCAGGCTGGAGTGCAGTGGCGGGATCTCGGCTCACTGCAAGCTCCGCCTCCCGGGTTCACGCCATTCTCCTGCCTCAGCCTCCCAAGTAGCTGGGACTACAGGCGCCCGCCACTACGCCCGGCTAATTTTTTTTGTATTTTTAGTAGAGACGGGGTTTCACCGTTTTAGCCGGGATGGTCTCGATCTCCTGACCTCGTGATCCGCCCGCCTCGGCCTCCCAAAGTGCTGGGATTACAGGCGTGAGCCACCGCGCCCCGCCTTAATGATTTTTGAATTACCAGTTCTGCTGGTAGTAAAAGCTGGTATCAGCTGGAATTCACTTTATTTTGCCTTATTTCTATAAGGAAATTTTAACTAGATATAGAATTCTGAATTGACTTTGTGAAAAAAAAAATCATTACTTTGGGAGGGATCTTCAAGATGGCTCCAAAGGAACACTAGAGGCCGCTGACACTCACCCCATCCACAAAGAAGGACCAAAGCAGAGAGCAGATAGCCACGTGTCAAGTGGAGCATCTAGGAGGGACACTAGAGACCAGGAGGGACACGGCAGGGGAAATCTGAGGCACGGAAGGAGAGGGTAGCAAGTCACTTCCCTGGCTGGGACTGGCAAGGAGCCTGGAAAGTGTCCGTGTGAGATTTCCCACGCTCCACATCCCGACCACAGACCCTGCAATCCGAGTCACAGGAGAGCCCCTCAGCCTCATGGGCACTGAGTCTAGTACAGAGAGCTGCCTGGAGTCCATGTGACACCACTGTTCCTGAGAGGAAGTTCATGCAGGGTCCCACATACTCCCAGGGACCCAAGCAGCTGCAGCACAGCACTGTTTTGAGAGCCCAGCTGCCACCAGGCTGCATTTTGACCTGGGGCCCAGCAGCCCCTGCCTCTTCACATCTCCAGATCCCCAGTGACACCCTGGGTCCACTCACCCTGTCTATCACCATGCACATGTGTCCAGACCATCAAGAGGCCTGAAAAAAGTCCCAGGACACTAGCCACTGGCACCCAAGCAAACTGCCTGGAGGTCCAAGAATCAGCCCACCTGGACCCACTAACACTAGTGTTCACCTGTATCATCCAGGGGCTGAAAGACAGACATGACTGGCCTGCTGCCACCAGGCTATACTTATCGGATAAAACAGACTTGATATACTTTGGATTTTTTTCCCCACCCAAATCTTATGTTGAAATGTAATCCCCAATGTTGGAGTTAAGGCCTGGTGGGAGATGTCTGGATCATGAAGGCAGATTCCTCATAAATGGCTTGGGCCATCTCCTTGGTGATAAGTGAGTTCTTGCTCTGAGTTCACATGAGATACAATCATTTAGAAGTGTGTGGCACCTCCCTGACCCCCGGCTGTCTCTCTCTTGCTCCTGGTCTAGCCATGTGATGTGCCTGCTCCCTGTCATCTCCCACCATGATTGTAAGCATCCTGAGGTCTCCTCTAGAAGCCAAGCAGATGCCAGCACCAGGCTTCCTGTATAGTCTGCAGAATCATGAACCAATTAAACCTCTTTTCTTTATGAATTACCCTGTCTCAGGTATTTCTTTCTTTATAGTAATGCAACAATGACCTAATAAAACACTTTAAGTCAAAAACAGTCAAAGAAGACAAAGAAGGTCATGACATAATTTAAAAGGGTTCAATTCAGCCAGAGGATATAACAATTCTAAATATATATGCACCCAACACGGGAACACCCAGATACATAAAGCAAACGTTGTATTTAGAGGGAGAGATAGACTATAATACAATAATATTTGAGGACTTCGACACTCCACTCCTGGCATTAGACAGATCATTGAGACAGAAAATCAACAAAGAAATGTTGGATTAAAACTGCATATTAGATGAAATGGACCTAAGCAACATTTACAGAATGTTTCATTCAATGGCTAGAGAATACACATTCTTCTTATCAGCACATGGGCCATTCTCCAGTATAGACCATAAGTTAGGCCACAAAACAAGTCTCAACAAATTTTTAAAAATCAAAATTATATCAAGTATCTTCTTAGACTGCAACATAATAAAACTGGAAATCAATAACAAGAAGGACTTTGGAAACAGTACAAATATGTGGATATTAAACAATATGTTTCTGAATGCCTATTGGGTCAATGAAGAAATTAAGAAAGAAATCAAAGAATTTCTTAAAACAAATGTAAATGGAAACACAGCACACCAAAACCTATGTGACACAGCAAAATCAGTGCTAAAGGTAAGTTTACAACAATAAACACTTACATCACAAAAGCAGAAAGATTTCAAATAGACAACCCAATGATAAACCTCAAAGAACTAAAAAAGCAATAACAAACCAAATCCAAAATTACTTAATCATAGATAAAAAAGAATAACAAAGATCAGCACAGACCTAAACAAAATACAGACTAAAAAAAACAAAAATCAATGAAAAGAGTTTTTTAAAGAAGATAAACAAAATTAATTAACTGCTAGCCAGATTAACCAAGAAAAAAGAAAGAAGACCCAAATAAACAAAATCTGAAACAAAAAGGAGACATTAAAATTAATACCACAGAAATAAAAAAGACCATCAGAGGCTACTAGGAACAATTATATTTTAATCAATGGGAAACCTAGAAGAAATCGATGACATACAACATACAAAGATTGAACCAATAAGAAACAGAATACCTGAACAGACCAATAATGAGTAACAAGATTGAATTAGTACTAAAAAGTCTCCCAACAAAGAAAAGCCTGGGACAGGATGGCTTTACTGCCGAACTTTACCAAACTTAAATTTAAAAAACAAACACAAATCTTCTCAAACTATTCCAAAAAATTGCAGAGGAAGAAATTCTTTCTAACTTATTCTATGCGGCCAGCATTAGCCCCATACCACACCAGACAAAGACACAACAGAAAACAAAGCTACAGGCCAATATCCCTGATAAACATAGATGCAAAAATTTTCAACAAAACTCAGGCAAACTGAATCCAAAAATGCATCAAAAGATAATACACTGTAATCAATTGGGTTTTGTCCCAGAAATGCAAGGATGGCTCAACACATACAAATCAATAAACATGGTGAATATCACATCAACAGAATAAAGGACAAAAATCACATGATCAATAGATGCAGAAAAGTATTTGACAAAATTTAACATCCTTTCATGATAACAACTCTCAACAAATTAGGCATAGAAGACATCAACATAATAAAGGCCATAAATGACAAGCCAAGAGCTAACATCATGCTGAATGGGGAAAAGCTGAAAGCCTTTCCTCCAAGAACTAAAACAAACAAGGATGCCCACTTGTCACCCCTCCTATTCAACATACTACTGGAATTCCTAGCTACAGCAATCAGGCAAGGGAAAGAAATAAAAGGCATCTAAATTGGAAAAGAGGGAGTCAAATTATCTCTTTTTGCACAAGATATTATCTTATATTTAGAAAAACCTAAAGACTCCAGCAAAAAAACTCTCAAAATTGATAAATGAATTAAAATTTCAGAATACAAAATCCATAGAAAAAAATCAATATCATTTCTATAAACAATAACAAGCCAGCCAAAAGAGAAACCAATAAAGTAATCAAATTTAATGAAGAAGGTGAAAGACATCTCTAAGGAAAACTGCAAAACACTGATGAAAGAAATTAAAGAGGATACAAACAAATGGAAAGACATCTCATGCTTATGGATCAGAAAAATAATATTGTTAAAACAAGCAGAATACCCAAAGCAATCTACAGATTCAATGCAATCCTTATCAAAATACCAATGACATTCTTATAGAAATAGAAGAAACAATTATAAAATTCATATGGAACCAAAAAGATCCCAAATAGCTAAAGCAATCCTGAGCAAAAAGAAGGAAGCTGGAGGTATCACACAATCTGACTTCAAAATATACTATAAAGCTAAAGTAACCAAAACAGTATGGTATTGGTATAAAAACAGACAAATAGCTAAATGAAACATAATACAGAAGTGTTAAAAGAAAAAAAAACTACTAGTCAAGAATACTGTAGAATACTAGTCAAGAATACTTCATAATGGAACAGAACAGAGACCCCAGAAATAAATCCACATATTTTCACCCAATGATTTTTGACAAAGGTGCCAAGAACATATATTGGGGAAAGAACGCTCTCTTCAATAAATGGTGCTGGGAAAACTGGATATATGTAAGCAAAAGAATGAAATTAGAACCATATATCTCACCATATACAAAACTCAACTCAAAATGGGTTACAGACTTAAGTGTTGGACCTGAAACTATAAAACTACTAGAAGAAAACATAGAGGAAATGCTCTGGAACATTGGTCTAGGCAAAGATTGTGTGGCTAAAACCTCAAAAGCACAGGCAACAAAGCCAAAACAGACAAATAGGACTATTTTCAACTAAAAAAGCTTGCTCCCAGCGAAGGAAACTATCAACAAAGTGAAGAGACAACCTGCTGAATGGAAGAAAATATTTGCCAACTATTCACGCAACAATGGATTAATATCCAGAATATACAAGGAGCTCAAACAACTCAACAGCAAAAATAATAATTTTGTTTAAAAGTGGACAAAGTATCTGAATAGACATTTCTCAAAGGAAAACACACAAATGGCCAATGGGTATGTGAAAAAATTCTCAACATCACTAATCATCAGGGAAATGCACACCAAAACCACCATGAGATATCATTGTATCCCCGTTAGAATGGTTATTATCAAAAAGACAAAAGATGACTGCGCATGGTGGCTCATGCCTGTAATCCCAGCACTTTGGGAGGCTGAGGTGAGCAGATCACATGAGGTCAGTAGTTTGAGACCAGCCTGACCAACATGGTGAAACACTGTCTTTACTAAAAATACAAAAATTAGCTGGGCTTGGTGACACACTCCTGTAATCCCAGCTACTCAGGAGGCTGAAGCAAGAGAATCGCTTGAATCCGGGAGGTGGAGGTTGCAGTGAGCCAAGATCATGCCACTGCATTTCAGCCTGGGCAACAGAGTGAGACCCTGTCTCAAAAAAGAAAAAAAAAAAAGACAAAAGATAGCAAATGCTGGTGAGGATGTTGAGAAAAGGGAACTCACACACTGTTGATAAGAATGTAAATTAGTGCAGCCACCCTACTACTGGGTATTTATCCAAAGGAAAGAAAATCAGTATATGAAAGGGATATCTGCACCCCTATGTTTACTGCAGCAGCAACACTATTCACAATAGCAAAGATATGGAATTACACCAAGTATCTATTAGCAGATGAATGGATAAAGAAAAGGTGGTATATACACACAATGGAATACTATTCCACCATAAAAAATGAAATCCTGCCATTCATGGCAACATGGATAGAACTGGAGGTCACTGTGTTTAGTGAAATAAGCCAGACAGAAAGGAATATTACATGTTCTCACCCATATGTGGGAGCTGAAACAGTGGCTCTCATGGAGATTGACAGCGGAATGATAGTCACCAAGGCTGGGAAAGATTGGCAGGGTGAATGAAGAGTGGGAGGTTAATGAGCACAAAAACACACAGTCAGAAGAAATAAGTTCTAGTGTCTGATAGCACAGTGGGGTGACTATAGTTAACACAATATGTTGCATTTTTCAAAATAGCTAGAAGAGAAGATTTAAAATGTTCCCAATTCAAAGAAATGATAAATGTTTGACGTGATGGATATTCTGAACCCTGACTTGATCATTACATATTCTATGCATGCATCAAAATAGCACATGCCCCATAAACAGGTATTAATATCATGCATCAATTAAAAACATTTTTTTAAATCAGCATTTCAGGTTGGAATTCCATTGTCTTCTGTCTTACATTGTTTTTGATGGGAAGTCAGTCATTATTTCTGTCTTTGTTATTCTGTATGTAATATGTTTGCCTACCCTGGACTACCTCTAAGATTATTATTTTTATAATTCATTGTCAGTAATTTGATTAAAATGGGCCTTGGTGTGATTTTCTTTGTTCTTTGAGTTTCTTTATCCATGGGTATATATCTTCTCCAAATCCAGAGAAATTTCAGGCATTATTTCTTCAAATATTTTCTGCTCTCTCCCTTTTTCTTGTATTCTCACTACACACGTTAGGCCTCTTGATATTAGCCCACAAGCCAAAGAAAATCTGATCTTTTTTCAGCCTTTTAAAAAAGTTTTGTTCCTTCTGTTTGGATGATTTCTATTGATCAGTCTTCAAGTTCATGTTTCTTCTGCAGTTTCTAGTCTGCTCTTAAGCCCATTAGGTAACTTTTTATTTCATATAGAAGGTCTCTAACTCATGGTGGTTTAACTTGATTTTTGAACATTACGATGGTGTAAAAATGGTATATAATCAGTAGAAACCGGACTTTGAGTGCTTAAGCAACCCTTCTCTTTTTTGGCTTTTAGTACAGTATTCAATAAATTACATGAGATATTCAAGACTTTATTATAAACTAGGCTTTGTGCTAGATGATTTTAGGCTAATGTAAGTGCTCTGAACACATTTAAGGTAGGCTAGGCTAAGCTATTATATTTGGTGGTTAGGTGTATTTACTGCATTTTTTATTTACAATATTTTCAACTTACAATGAAGTGGCATCTGTATTTGTTTTTCACCTCTGTAATATTATTTCTTTATATTTATATTAGTATTATTTATACTTATTGTAAAGAAATAGTATTTTGTTTTTCATCTCTGTAATACTATTTCTTCATATAGTTTTTTTCCTGTTCATTATGTGCAATTTTCCTTAAGTTCTTGGATCTACTTCTATTTTATTTTTGAGACAGAGTTTCGCTCTTGTTGTCCAGGCTGGAGTGCAATGGCACAATCTCGGCTCACCACAACCTCTGCCTCCCAGGTTTAAGTGATCCTCCTGCCTCAGCCTCCTGAATAGCCGGGATTATAGGCATGCACCACCATGCCTGGGTAATTTTGTATTTTTAGTAGAGACAGGGTTTCTCCATGTTGGTCAGGCTGGTCTCGAACTCCCAACCTCAGGTGATTGCCCACCTCGGCCTCCCAAAGTGTTGGGATTACAGGCATGAGGCACCGCGCCCAGCCTCTTGGACCTATTTCTAACTGCTATTTTCAATTTCTTATCTGCTATTTTAATCATCTTTGTCATTTCTGGATCTTTTTCTCCATGGACTGGGTCAAGTTTCCCTGATCTTTTGCATGCCTAATAATTTTTATCGGGTGATGTGCATTGTGACTATTACGCTGCTGAGTGGCTGCATCTCACTGCCTTCCTTTAGTACACGTTGAGGACATTTCCCCCAGAAGGAAGTGAATTTCCTCGTGGTCCAGGTGCTTTCTTTGAAGGTTGATTTAGGCTTTATAGAGTTGGAGATAGATTAGCCTTCACCCTAGATCTGGTTTGGCCCTGATACTAAGGTATGCCTTTTCTGGGATCTTTACTAAAAGTCCTAGGCATTCAACAAAGTATTTCTACCCTGCCTGGTCAGAACTTGAATTTGTCCCAGCCCTGTGCCACCTCTGATAGTTGTTCCTTGTCCCACCTTAGCAACATTTCTTTGTCAACAGAAATAGCAAAGGTGGTGGAATTAGCAGGGAAGCACTTTTAAAAAGCTCTTATGAATATGTTCAAGGATTCAAAGCAAACTGAACACGATTAATCTTTATTTTTGCTGATTCCTATTTAGGATTTTCTCAGACTTTGTTGTTTTAAAGCTTCATTTTGATGTGTCTAAGGATGGATTTCCTCTTGTCTAAATGTTTCTTGCGATAATTGGGATTCTTAAATGTCTGTATTGGTGTCTCTAAAAATTTCTGCACATCATTTCTTCACATGTTTTATCTGCCTCGTTTTCTCTTAGCCCTTCTTTCATTAGACAAATCTGTTATTTCCTAAATCCTCCTGGGAAAGTTACCTCTTCTTCTATAGTGTCCTTTTAAAATATTTCTGTTTGGGGAATATTTTTAGCTGATTTTACAATTTGCCAATTCTCTTCTCTGTTGTGTTAATTTTCTGTTACACCCATCTATTGAGGTTTTTTGCTATTTTTTAACATTTTATTTCTGGAAATTCTACTTAATTATTTTGCAAATTATCTATTTTTAAAAAATTTTCCTGATTCCTGCAGATATTTTTAAGACTATTCTTAATTTTTTATTTTATAATCCATGTTTAATACTTGCAATTTCTGGATTCCTTAAGGGCCTGTATTTAGGAAGTCTTAGTTGTACAAAGCTGTGTGTTTCTAGGTTACTCAGAATACAAAGAGAGTGGAGGTGGCTGGGCACGGTGGCTCATGCCTGTAATCCCAGCATTTTGGGAGGTCAAGGCAGGTGGATCACCTGAGGTCAGGAGCTCGAGACCAGCCTGGCCAACATGGTGAAACCCCATCTCTACTAAAAATACAAAAATTAGCCAAGCATGCTGGCACACGCCTGTAATCCCAGCTACTAGGGGGTGCTGAGGCAGGAGGATCGCATGAACCTGGGAGGCAGAGGTTGCAGTGAGCTGAGATCGTGCCACTGCACTCCAGCCTGGGCAACAGAGGGAGACTCCATCTCAAAAAAAAAAAAAAAAAAAAAAGAGAGAGAGAGAGTGGAGACAGGGCGGGGCACAGGGGCTCACATCTGTAATCCTAGAATTTGGGAGGCTGAAATGGGAGGATCACTTGAGCCCAGGAGTTCAAGACCAGCCTGGGCGAGACGAGCCTTAGTGAGACCCTGTCTCTACAAAAAAAATAAAAAAAAAAAAACCAGTCAGGCATGGTGGCATGTGCCTGTAGTACTAGTTACTTGGGAGGCTGAGGCAGGAGGATTGCTTGAGCCCGGGAGATGGAGGCTGCAGTGAGCTGTGATTGCACCACTGCACTCCAGCCCAGGCCACAGAACAAGTCCCTGTCTCAAAAAACAAACATATATATATATATATATATAGTGAGAGTGGGATTGAAAAAGGACTTTATTTCTCTAGAGAGTTCAAAAGTATTTCATAAAAGGGGATATTTCTGTTAAATTCATAATTCATTTTTTAACTTTGATGTCCACAAACTCCTTGTATGTTAGAAACTTTACTTTGTCTTTTGTGGATGAGGAAGCTGAGGTCTGGGTGAGATAACGTCTTGCTCGGTTCTCCCAGTGGCGAGGCCTGGACTCACTCCAGCTGCTCTGATTACAGTTGGATGACGTTTAGGACACAGGCTAAGAGACATGAGACGGCCGCCCGAAGGTGAGAGGGCGCCAAACAAGCGTGCGAAAAGGAAGAGCTGCTGGGAATACCCGAGCTTGAGACCAAGAAACTCACACGGGCTTCCCTGCATGTCACCAGAGGGTGGCACGGAAGTGTCAGGACAGGTGGGGAGATGGATTAGGACGGGAGGCCGAGGAGTGGCAGAAGACAGGACAAATCGGCCTGCATGCTCCTCCCCGGCCCTTCATGCTCCTTACCGCCTTCCGTGCTCCTCACCACCTTCCATGTCCCTTCCCAGCCCTCCATGTCCCTCCCCGGCCTTCCGTGTCCCTCACCAGCCTTGTGTGTCCCTCCCCGGCCTTTAAAGTTTGCAGGGGCTGCCGCCTGCTGCTCGCCTCAAGCCACGGTATGTCACAGTGACTGAGTGATGAAAAACACCTCTCAGAAAAGTGAAATACCATTTCCTCATCTCAGTATGTTTTGCTCAGAATTTGAGGAATTCACACCTAAACTTCTTGTTCTCGCATACTTGAATGTTTAAAAAAAGAGAACCACGTTGGTTTCTGTGTGAACATTTATAAGATATGCCCCAAATCCCAAACATTTATCTGAAAAATAAACCTCGAACTCTTTATCATAGCGTAGCCCTCCCTCCCCGTTTGGCGGATGCCACCCCCACCTCAAGACCCACTGCATACATCACACACACAGCGGCTATGACTCCTCCTGCCCCGGGGGTCCCTGCACCTCGGGCAGCCCTGAGCTCTTAGCCCACTGAGAGACCACTCAGCACCACACCCCGCGCTCTCCCCGACACCTCTATACCCATCACTCCCCTCCACCAGGCACCTGGCGGCAAGGGAGGGATTTACATCCTTCTTAGGTGCTCTGAGTGAGTTCTGCAAGCTGTCCAAGGCCCTGGGGAAGAAGGCAGATGCAGATGCAAGCTGGCTCCCCGAGTGTGGATGCACATCAGGCCCGGGCTAGGCGCTCGCATTAATGACCTTCGCAGCACCAGGAAAGGCAGGCATTCCGGGCTGGGCATTTCGTGTCATATTCTCAAGGTCAAGCAGCTATTAGATGGCAGAACCCGAATTTTAATCCTGGTGCGTCTGACCACCCCAAAACACCAGACTCTTTGCAATCTACTATGTTGTTTTAAAAAAATAAATTACTTTTCAGTGATGGTGAATGAGCTAATAAAAATTACACTGCGTGGCAAAGGGCAGTGATGGTTCCTTACTCACCCCCGTGGGGCCGACTACTTTGTTCCCTCAACCCCCGGATAATGTTGACTTGTGCTGATGCTGTCAGATTTCCTATGGTCAGTCCTTTTTTGGAAAAACAAGGCTCCCCTGTAACCAAAAGAAAAGTTGACATGTCCCCGGGGCCTGCAGTTATGGGTGGGGCTTGAACGTCACCCGAGTCTAAGCAGCTCTCTGCCCGTGAAGCTGGGGGTGGCACAGCCCCTCTGCCCCTGAGCGACCCCACGCACACCCCTAATCTCCACTCCTCGCTCACAGACGTCATGTCAGCAGCTTGAAATGAGCCAGGGTGGGGGTATTAACACCACGGAAGTCAGCGCACACTGCAGATCAGGGCTGTCTTCCCCAGACATAGAGCTTCCCAATATTTACAATCACGCCACGGGAGTACACTAGGAAAAATATGTTGAGAGCCCGGGTGATCTTCCTCATGCATTGGAAATATAAAATTAAATCAAATTTAAAAACTAGAGGGTCAACATTTGACAACGGTTCATACATGAAAGCATAAGAATAAAACTACTATAAAGTAAATTTTAGTGACAAGTTTTTTTAGTGGCGATAATACGTACGAGTCCTTTTTAATGCTTTAACATGGGGATTGATGCCACCGTCACAGGGCAGCCACGCCCCTCGCCCGAGACTCTGGGAGTTGCTCTGCAACAGCACTTGGGAGGCCTGGGGTGCCTCCCATGGACACAGCACCATCCGTTTTCAAGCGATCACTTTAAGAGAAGCGCCATGAATGAAATCCATCAGCCACCCTAAGTTTCTCCAGCATATGGCTGGCTCATGAAAACAGAAATGCCCTCCAACTTCAACCTATGAGGCCTTGAGCCTGTTTGGGCAGGAGCTGGTGCTTCTGGTGCTGCGGCCAGATGCTGTGCCTGGTACCTCAAGCATGAAATCAAGAAAACTCTTCCAGCTCAGGTTTATGACATTACTGGTCAATGTCACAGAGGAATACAAAGCTTCTCTATCTTTCCTAACCACGCAGTCCATGCTTGGGCAATTCACTGAACAATGGCGATGAAACACCCTCATCTCTATCTCTGCACGCCAAACACAGAATTCTCTCTTGGCCCCCTTACAGGGCTGATGTATGAGCCAAACCTGGCCCAAGGAGGAGTCCCAAAAGGTTGCAGAAGAGCCGATTATCCACCCCATGATACCCACATTCCCACCCGCCTTCCATCTCTCAGGAATCAGGAATCAGAAGGGGTCTACTTTTCCCAGAAAACCTTTATTGCTTCTACCTGGGTACTTTCACTGGTCCCAGGAAGGGAGAACACATTCAGGTAGGATTAAGTTCTACTGTTTCCAAATTTGGAAAGGAAAGTTCTTTTGTCCTCCAACATTTGGGAAGGAGAAGTGATGCTTAAAAGAGAGCCCCTCAATGGAGTATCTCAAGGCTCTTCAAACAGGTGACTTCGTCTTATGAATAAATTATGGAAACTCCTTCTTCTTCCAGAGTTAGCAATGTTACAATTAATTATGTACCTGATGACAATGGATTTGGAAATATGGAAACGTGTCATGAATGTCTCAATGTGTGATCAAGACTTTTCTGTAAGTAGCTGAGTCACCATCACCAGAACCTCTTCCTCTTGCAAATGAGCCTTCAGCTGCAGACTAGACTCCCAGGATGGTGGGCAGGTCAGCTGATGGGGTGAGTGCATGTGCATGTGGGAGCCACACACGTGTGTGACTAACTGCATTTGGCACTATTTATTGTCTGTGCTTCTTTTCCTTTGTAAGAGCATTAAAAATTGACCACAGTATGTCATCATCCCAACTCTCCTTAAGAAGCTTCACTTTTCTTTCATGCTGCTAGCCTGCTGTAAGCATTTGTCTTGCTTTTAGATATTACCTAAGATAATAGAATTCCAAAGTAGACACCTACATTCTCAGCTTTTGAACTTTCCCTGTGACTTATGTGTCCTGAGCACAAGGCCATCTTTATATTGCGATGAACAGAATCTGGCTGAAGATTTCTATACACTGTCTCCTTCCCACTCCGTGCAGTGCACATCTGTGCTTGGCAAGCCTGCAATGCTCACAGCCCCTGCTTGAGGGTGGAAAGCTTCAAACACCCAGGGAGTCCTGTGCCTGAGCCAGCTTTGCTCGTCCAGGTCCAAGGTAGACAAGTGGGGTTTAGGGGTGAATGGGGGGTGGGCCCTGCTCATCACCTTCCTCAAGCTGAGAGTGCTGATGGACAGGGCCTCCACAGTACTCAGCCCTTACCCTTCACCCTTATCCTCAGCTTTACACAATGGACGTGACAAGGCAAACCCTGGCCTGAGGAAAGGGGGTCCACACTCTGTCCTGTTTCCAGGCCTGGGAACCCCCGGCTCTCTGTGTGCTGTGGAAAGGGCTGGAGGGAGCCGGTGTGCAGCTGCTGGGCTTCTGCAGATGTGCGTCCTCAGAGCTTGGTGCCCCCGGCTTTCTTTGCCGTGCCGTTCTCTGTGGCACAAGTCTTCTTTTTAGCTGAAGCCTCCTTCTGTAGACCCCAGGCCCCTCCCTGTCCTCTCCTCTGAGAGGTATGGCACTTGACTAGGCAGCCAAGAAATCCTGATGCTGGCAGGGTCCACGGGAACAGGCTGGGCAGGACCATGGTCAGGGGTCTGTCTTAGACACAGCCCTTACCAGATAGCTGAGGCCCTACAGAGGCGTAGAGGGCCAGGGAAGTCACTGCCCTACTGCCACATACCCAGGATGCATGGTTCACCATGCCCCCAGCTCTGGCACTCACACAAGCCCACAAGTTCAGGGTCCCAGCTCTCTTGCACAAACCCTGTCCCCACCCTGCTGGCTCATCATGCCTCAGATACACATGAGCCTCAGATTCATGTGGCCAGATCTTAGCCTCCTTCATCACCAGGTCTGCTGGCTGCATGCTGTGAACCCCAAAATTCTGAGACAGGTCTCAATTTAGAAAGTTTATTTTGCCAAGGTTGAGGCTGCGCAGCTGTGACAGCCTCAGGAGGTCCTGCCGACATGTACCCAAGGTGGTCAGAGCACAGCTTGGTTTTATATATTTTAGGGAGATATGGGACATCAATCAGCATGTGTAAGATGAACATTGGTTTGGTCTGGAAACGTGGGACAATTCAAAGCAAAGGCGGGACAACTCGAGGAAGGGCTTCCAGGTCAAAGGTAGGTAAGAGACAGATGGCTGCGTTCTTTTGAGCTTGTGATGAGCCTCTCCAAAGGAGGCAATCAGATCTGCATTCATCTCAGTGAGCAGGGGGAGACTTTGAATAGAAAGGGAGGCAGGTTTGCTCTAAGCAGTTCCCAACTTGACTCTTCCCTTTAGCTTAGTGATGTGGGGACCCCAGACTTATTTTCCTTTCACAATGCCCACAGCACCCATCCAGGAAGACACCTCATCATAGAGAGGGGTTCAACGTGGAGCTGGGGACACTGGTGGGGACGTGGGAGCCTCGACATTTCCTCCACAGCTGCTCACTGCCCTCGACAAGCTTGGGTCTCTGCACACAGCTCTAACCCGCAGAACACGCTGCGGGATTCCTGTGTCCCACGGTCCCCAGCGCTGGCCCTCCTCTCCCGAGGCCAACAGCGACCTTCCAGCTTTCGGAGCTTGTTGCCGCTCTGCTGTCTTCACTGGCTAGACACCCCCACACTCTCTTCCCTGTCAAGGCCACCCTCTCCTGCGGGCGGGGCTCCGTGAGTCACACTCTCACCCCCTCCCCCAACACAGCCGCAGCACGCAGCCCCCACACCTGCCAGCCCCCACGCCTCCCTGCACACCTGCTCTCTCTCAGGCAGGAGAGCTCACTGCACCTGCAAGGTAGGCAGAGGCCAGGCTGGGGAGGACACACCTAGCCCTGTCCTGCCCTCGCCCCCAGGGTGGCCAGAAAGACTGCAGAAGGTCCCCGCAGGCAGATGTGAGCACTGCGGGTTATTCCAGGCACTGCCCCAACCCCTACTGAAAAGCCCATTTTCACCACAACCCCAGGCTGGGCCACAACCCCCCGGATCACCCACGGCCGCGAGAAACCTGCAGAGCGCCCTGCAGACAGGGCAAAAGGGAACCCAGGCCCCAAGGGGGACTTCAGGCCTCCAAACCCAGAGATTTCTCTGCAAGCTCGTGCCCTTGAGGGCTGGGGGTGGGGAGCCCAGCGCCAGGCCTGGCCGCGCAAATGCTGGGGGACAGGAGCCTCCAGGGCCGGGGAGAATACCCGCCTGTCCAGGGTACAGAAGTGGAGGTCAGGGGAGAACCTGGAGGTGGGAACGCGGAGTTCCATCCGGGGCGAGACCCCTCTCCCAGCGCAGGATGAGGGGGAAATTCTGCCATAGACTCCCGGGACACCTCTCCCGAGCCCGGGGCACAGCGGAATCCCTGGCTTGGCCCTACGCCCCCTGCGATCTCCACGGCGGCTGAGAGTTGGAGCAAAAGCCCAGAAGCGAGGCGGGAGGGCGAGGCCAGCGTACACGCGGGACCCCCACTGAGGCTCGGTCGGGCCCACTGCCGTCCCGGGGTCACCGCCGCCTCTTCCCAGCGCCCCTGAACCGCTTTGACGGACGCGTTGGCTGCATCTACCGCCCACGAGGCTGCCCGGAGGGAGAACGCGCGCCCCCGCCCCGCGCGCCCCCTTCCTGCGCGCCCCCGCCCCGCGCGCCCCCTTCCTGCGCCCCCCCCAGGCTCGGGGGGGGTCTCCTATCTCCGCCCGCACCTCCGGGAGCCGCTCGGACCCTCAGACCCAAAGGCCTCGCTTCCCCGGCGGCGCCCGCGGTCCTGCAGGGGCCGGAGCCGAGACCCCGAAGTCCGCGGCTGCAGTCCCCGGTTCCCAGGGCAACGGCGCCACCGCTCGGCGGGCGCGGAGACTGCACCGCTGGGGCGAGACCCGCGGGGAGGGGAGGAGGGGAGGAGGGGAGGGGAGGAGGGAGGACGAGAGGGGGGGAGGGGGGAGGAGGGGAGGGCGGCGCCGCGGGGAGGCCAGGAGTCCGCACTTAGTCGGGGAAGAGCGCGAGAGAGAAGTGTCTGTCCCAGGCCTGGGTTGGGGCGCAGGAGGAGGGCGGGAGACGCAGCCCCGGGGCCACCGCCTGCCGCCTGCGGAGCGCCCTTTAGAGGCCCGGGAGCCCAGGGACCATTTAGTTCCCGCCGCCCGCCCCTTCCCTGCAGCCGCTGGAGTTGAGCTGGAAGGTGCTGCCTTCTAGGAGGTGCCACAGGCAGGCAAGAGACACGGGATCCCCCTGTCTCAACCAGTCCGGGCTGGACGGGGACACCCTCTGCCCCTGCCCCACCCTGCCTACCCCTGCTCTATAAAGAGTTCCCCTTAGGACAAGATTGTCCAACCCACCGCTGGGGCAGCATGCGGCCCAGGATGGCTCTGAATGCGGCCCAACACAAATTCGCAAACTTTCTTAAAACATTATGAGATTTTTTTCAGCAAGAAAAACACAAACAATTCCATCAACAAGTGGGGTAAGGACATGAATGGACAATTTTCAAAAGAAGATATACACATGGCCAAAAAGCATATGGAAAAATGCTCAACGTCACTAATGATCAGGGACATGCAAATCAAAACCACAATGTGATACTGCCTCACTCCTGCTAAAATTGCCATAATCCAAAAAATCAAAAAATAATAGATGTTGGAGTGGATGGCCCAAGACAATTCTCCTTCCAGTGTGGCCCAGGGAAGCCAAAAGATTGGACACCCCCATCTCACAAGAAGACCAGGGACCCTCCAGGGGCAGCCCAGGGGCAGCCCAGGGCCAGCCGCTTTGTGAGAGACACCTGACACAGGATTCCCACGTTCTCACCTGGACCTCCACATCCTCACCAGGAGCTCCATATCCTCACCTGGACCTCCACATCCTCACCTGAACCTTCACATTCTCGCCTGGACTGCCCCACGTTCTCACTTGGACCTCCCTGTATTCTCACCTGGATCTCCACTTTCTCACCTGGACCTTCACGTTCTCACCAGGACCTTCATGTTCTCACCTGGACCTCTATGTCCTCACCTGGACCCCCACATCCTCACCCGAACCTCCACTTTCTCACCTGCACTTCCCCATGTTCTCACCTGGACCTCTGCATCCTCACCTGGACCTCTGCATCCTCACCTGGACCTCTGCATCCTCACCTGGACCTCCGCATCCTCACCTGGACCTCCACATCCTCACCCGTCCTTTTGCATCCTCACTTGGACTTCTGCATCCTCATCTGGACCTCCACATCCTCACCTGGACCTCTGCATCCTCACCTGGTCCTCCGCATCCTCTCTTAGACCTCTACATTATCACCTGGACTTCCATGTCCTCACCTGGACTTCCCCTACGTTCTCACCAGGACCTCTACATTCTCACCTGGACCTCCACATGTTCTCACCTAGACCTCCCCATATTCCCACCTGCACCTCTATGTCCTCACCTGGACCTCTGCATCCTGCCTGGACCTCCCCACATCCTCACTTGGACTTCCCCATGTTCTCACCTGGACCTCCACATCCTCACCTGGACATCTACATCCTCACCTGGACTTCCCCATGTTCTACCTGGACCTCCACTTTCTCACTTGGAACTCCACGTACTCACTTGGACCTCCACTTTCTCACTTGGACCTCCACGTACTCACTTGGACCTCCACTTTCTCACCTGGACTTGAGTGTTCTCACCAGGACCTCCACGCTCTCACCTGGCCTTTCCCTTGGCTCTCCAGCCCTCAGCACAGAGGCCAGACAGCCTGCTCCTGGAGGGCTGCCATGGTGATGGTGAGCACTCCCTACAGCTGCAGGGCCAGGCGGGACAGGGTATGGCGGGTGTACAGAGGAGCCTGTGGCATTCCTCCATCCCCGGGGGCTCCCAAACACCAGCCTCAGCATGCTTCCTTCTCCTGTCAGCAGAAGGAATAGAGCATCTTCAGGCAACAAGGCCAGAGGATGTCTCAAGGCAAAGCAGCTCACGTTTGCATCATTGGGGCCACCACCCACTGAGAAAACCAGCTCCCTTCACTGGAAGCTGCCTCTTCCTCTGCAGACCCAGTTCAGCAGGAACACAGCTTGACTAGATGGAACGCAAGAGGCCACCTTTTGCAACTCACCTGCTGTGGGGTCCATGAACCAACTCACCTTCATTCATTCATTCATTCACTACCAAATGTTTTTGCAGCCCTCACTATACAGTAGAAACCAGGCAAAGCTCTGTGGGAGGTACGGCATGCATAAAACTAGAAAAAGAAGTCCCTGGCTTTGAGGACCTTGCACTCCCAAAGGGGACATTTGGGGTAACTGTTGCCATGGCAAGGCAGCATGGAGGAGCAGTTTTAGGGCACCCTGTGCAGTCAGATTGCCAGGTTCAGCAGCCCCTCTCTGCCACCACCCATGGCAAACTTAGGCATGTTTCTCAGGTCTCCCTGCCTCAGTTGGGGATAATCACAGTGTTTACTCCCTGAGACTGGGGATTACATGAGCTGATCCAGGAAGGGCTTAGTAAATATCTATTTGTATTGAGGACTGAGAAATTATTAAAAATAACACCATAATATACCATGACAATATTTTAGGAAATGGCTACTATAAGACAGAGCAGATGAGAATCATTCTCTCAGACAGACAGAACCTTTCAATAGCCATGTGCTCTTGGATCAAAACAATAGTGCAGGGGGTATATTGACACCTTTATGGCTGTCATGTCCAGTCTGCGGAGTGACAGAGAGCTAACTGTAGACTTGACATAACCTGCATAGACAAGTATTCCCTCCTGCTGTTACTTTTGTGTCTACCTTCCTTGAAGAAATAAAACACAGGTCCTGTGGTTCTGAACAAAATGTTGTTTCAAGAAACTCAGCAGGAAATTCATCAAATCTTAGAATCTTAATTTGAAGGGATCTTAGTGTCTCATGATGTGACACAATGTAACAAGATGCAGCCAGTGGAGCCCATTGTAATAGCATGAAAGAGAAGACAGGCCACTTTGCCAAAGCCCCGCGGAGGCTGTCTCCTGCTCACCAGGAGAACCCCTCCGTCCACTCACCGCCGCCCCTCGCCAGGAGGACCCCTCCGTCCACTCACCGCCGCCCCTCACCAGGGGGACCCCTCCGTCCACTCACCGCCGCCCCTCGCCAGGAGGACCCCTCCGTCCACTCACCGCCGCCCCTCGCCAGGGGGACCCCTCCGTCCACTCACCGCCGCCCCTCGCCGGGAGGACCCCTCCGTCCACTCACCGCCGCCCCTCGCCGGGAGGACCCCTCCGTCCACTCACCGCCGCCCCTCGCCGGGAGGACCCCTCCGTCCACTCACCGCCGCCCCTCACCAGGAGGACCCCTCCGTCCACTCACCGCCGCCCCTCACCAGGAGGACCCCTCCGTCCACTCACCGCCGCCCCTCGCCAGGGGGACCCCTCCGTCCACTCACCGCCGCCCCTCACCAGGAGGACCCCTCCGTCCACTCACCGCCGCCCCTCGCCAGGGGGACCCCTCCGTCCACTCACCGCCGCCCCTCGCCGGGAGGACCCCTCCGTCCACTCACCGCCGCCCCTCGCCGGGAGGACCCCTCCGTCCACTCACCGCCGCCCCTCGCCGGGAGGACCCCTCCGTCCACTCACCGCCGCCCCTCACCGGGAGGACCCCTCCGTCCACTCACCATCTGGGAGGGACTTTGGAGGTGGAACCAGCCACCCCCTGACCTCCCAGCTCCTGCCTCTCACACCTGGGGACACAGGTTCGTCCTCACCAACCCCGAAAGCTCAATCTCAGCGCCAGCCCTCAACCGTAAGGAGACACTCGCCATGGGGGTACACGGCCTGTGAGGAGGGCGGGACACGTGCCACCCTTACACACTGTGGGGGCAGCAGACCGGAGAGGGATCTGGCTCAGTGCGGCCCCTCCAGGTCTCAGCCCCGCCCAGGTCAACTGGGCCACATCACAGCACATGGCCCTCAGGGAAGGTCAGGACCACACTCACAATGACCGTTTGTCAGAACAGCTCAGAATCGGGCTGGGGTTGACCTGACACACCTGGGCTCTGGTGCAGGAAGGGACCAGACACACAGACATGCAGACACAAGAACACACACAGACACAGGGACACACACAGACACACACAGACATGCAGACACACATAGAAACATGGACATGCACATATACACAGGGCACACAGACACACGGACACACAGACACAGGGACACACAGACATGGGGACACACACGTGGACACACAGACACAGGGACACATACAGACACAGGGACACACACGCATGCAGACACACACAGACATGCGGACACAGAGGCACAGGGACACACAAACAGACACAGGGACACATGCACACGGACACACACAGACACGCAGACACACACAGATACAGAGATGCGCAGACACGGACACACACAGACACAGGGATGCACACAGACACGCAGGCACACACAGACACAGGGAGACACGCAGACAGAAAGACACACACAGACAGGGATGCACACAGACACAGGGACGCACACAGACAGATACACACAGACACAGGGACACACTTTGTCTGCGTGTCCCCAGCCTGCGGGAGTGTGGGACACGTTGCTGTGTTCTCGGCCCCACCTGTGCACTCTGTCACGCAGCCGACTAGCACTGGGACGGAGTGTCTGCTTCCCGGTATCTGGAATGCTGTCTTGCGGAAAAGGACTGGGCCTGCTGTTTTGCATCCCGACAGGCAGGACTATGTACAGAAAGTAAAAGTGTCCTAAAGATGGAGCGGCATCCACTCCCACCCACGTGCTGAGTGGTGCCCGGCGCAGAGGGGCGGCTGGGCAGGCAGAGGTCAGTTTCTGATTCTCCCTCCTCAAAGATGTCCGGTCCAGCCAGCAGGACTGGCAGCACCACGGGAAGGCCACACGTTTTAGGCCGACATGAACTTCGTTGACACGACCCAGGAGCACGACCTAACCCTGCCGAGGAGGGACGCCTTTGGAAGGGTCAGCAGCGGGTGGTGGCAGGCTGTCCAGGGGCAGGGACTATGGGGTGAAAGTTTGGCATTTCCAGGGCCGGGAGGTCTCTGTGGGCATGAGAAGGTCACCTGAGTTTATAGGGAGGTCAGCTTATGACAAGCCTTACTGGACACGCATTGCTGGTGCCCTTTATTCTGCCGGGAGCTGGGGTGGCCCGGATCACAGCAGGGGCCACAGGAGGCTGTGGCCATAGCTCATGGACCCAGACCCCGGGGACCGCGGGAAGGTGTGCAGGAGCAGGCTGGTCCAAGGCATCCCCTACCCCTGGAGTGCCTGGCACCCACTCTCGGGTCTGCTGTGGGAGAAATCCCCCAGCAGGGGCTAAACAGGCTCCTCAATCCCCCCTGGCTCAGACACCACAAGTTAGGACCTTGGGGGCTCCTCAAACCAAACTGCTCAGCCTGCAATGGACCCCAAGAGTGGAGGCCAGAAGTAAAATGACGTAGGTGGGAGAAACAGGGGCTCTGAGGGCCAGCGTGTCTGCGAGGACAGAGTCCTCTGGTTCCACGTGTTTCAGAAAAGGAAAGTTGCACTGCTGAGGGCTCCTGATAGCCACCCCCCGACCCCCGACCCCCGAAAACAAAGTGCCACAAACAAAGCAGGTTTGCCGTGGAGAAGGCCCTTGTGTGGATGCTGACAAACGCAAAGCCCCGTGGAGGCCTGAGCTCGGGGCTGCCAGGAGCAGCTGAGCTCCCAGGGGACCTTGGTGCCAAGGCCCACACCTGCCGCTCCACAAGGCCAGCATCCCTGTGGTCCCTCCCCAGCAGCACAGCAGCCAAATGGAGGGCCCAGAGCCCCTCTCAAGGCCAGCATCCCTGGGGTCCCTCCCCAGTGGCACAGCAGCCAAATGGAGGGCCCGGAGCCCCTCTCAAGGTCACGGCTGTCGCTGTGCTGAGTGGGTGGGGACAGCCCGCTCCACCTTGGCACCCCTGAAGAATCGTGTTTCAGTCCAGCAGCCTAGTGTCCTCTAGGCTACATGGGTCTTGGTCATTTTAGAATCTAATCATTTTGGTCTCTATCTCACTTTCAGGGGCAAAACAGGTGTGTAAGGACTCGCATGGCTCGTGGCAAAAGGATGGGGTGGCCAGGAGTATTTTGGTAATGACAGAAGGCTGGTGCTAGGGGACAGGGATTCTCTCGTTTGGAGCCACCTGCGCTTCTGGCCAGCGCATCCTTCTTCCTCTTGTTTGTGTGCCTCACAGCTTAAAAATTAAATGTAATAACCCCAGCACGAATAAACAAAACCTGTCTACCATTTGAATCTGTTATTTGCCATGTTGTTTCAACTTTTGTTGATAATAACATTTCCCACCGTATTCCTTGATACTGGTGATAATAGACACACATACACACACACACACACAACACAGAGTCAACCCAGCCTCACACGTACACACACACACAACACAGAGTCAACCCAGCCTCATATGTACACACACACACACACACACAACACAGAGGCAACCCAGCCTGACCTGATGGCACCACCTGAGGCCCGCGGGAAGAGTGGGAGCTGAGACTTGGGGTTGTGTCCGGGGAGGGGAACCTGCTCCTGACATCAGGACACTCAGTAGGCCTCTTTGGCCTCCGTCCCTCGGTGAGGAGGTGTTCTCGCCTGTCCTTCCGCCACGTCCTGCTGTGCAGGAGGGAGCCACGAGCCCTTCCCTGCTCCTGCCACAAATAAGCCACAGGCACAGAGAGTTTGCACAAAGTGGCAGAATGTCTCAAAAGTTGGAAGATTTTTGTTCATAAATGTGCGGATCATTCTTCCTGATTGGAGGCCTTTTCCCACAGACACCCACGCAGAGCGGCAGGGAACCCCCCATCTGGTGGGTGACCTCTCGGGGGCAGAAGCTGCCACCCTCAGGCCCATGAGGTGGTTAGGAGAGTGCCAGGAGCCCAGGCGGCAGACAGCCTCCAGCCAGCCCCAGCTCCCGGCCAGTGGGGCAGTTCGAGTGAGTGCCACCCATCTGCCTCCTTGTCCCTAAGGCAGGGATGATGGCGCGTGTCCAGTGGAGTCAGGGCAGCACCCACAGAGACTCACTCTGGGGTCCTGGGTCACAGGCACAAGGCAGCTGGGCAGCCCCTGCCGGAGGAGTGCGCTGGGCCAGGCGGGGTCGGGGTCGGTGGGGGGAAGGGCGCCTGCTCTTTCCCTCAAGCACGTCACCGTGCCCCTGCCCCAGAATTCACACGCTGAAGCCCTCGCCCCAGCAGGACGGCCTCAGTGGTATTTGGGAGATAACGAGGGTTAGATGAGGCCATGAAGGTGCAGCTCTTGTCATGGGATTAGGGCTCGTATGAGAAGAGACACCAGAGCCTCCTCTCTCTCTGCCGTGTGAGGACACACGGAGGAGGGGCCGTCTGTGAACCAGAAGGGGGCCCTCCTCGGACCCCAACCCTGCCGGCACCCGGACCTCAGACCCCCGGCCTCCTGTGAGAAACCCACATCTGTTCTTGGGGCCCCCAGCCTGTGGCATCCTGTTAGGGAGGGCTGAGCAGACTGAAACAGCCATGAAGTCTAAAGTCCTGCAACTCTTGCCTCCAGCTCAGCCTCCCTTGTCTACATAGGAGAGTTTCTTTAACGCTGGCTTTTTATGTGCCAAAAATGAGAGACCAGCAGGAAAGCTGAGCTGGAAGAGACAGGATTGGAGCTAGGAATGGAGCAGCCGGCACCAGCGAACCCACCGGCTCGCGGCCACCCTCCCTGCCCCGGGAGAGGGCTGCACTCAGAGCCCACGGGAAGGACACAAGTGTGGTGGTGAGCCCCGGGCCACATGGGTGCAGGAGTGGGCAGAGGCTCAGCCTCAGCATCACTGGGTTCACCTGTGACTAAGTCGGTGCTTCCCGATGGAGACTTTGCTATGAATCCTTCCAGCCTTAGAGAGAGAACCCTTCTGGGGTCAGAAGCAGAGGTGCTCCTGCCCGTTGGATTTTTCCTTTGAATGACTGAGTCAGCACAGCCTGCTTGGGAGAATCGAATATGCCCTTCCGTAAAAAGCAACCTCAAACATCCATGCACCTGAGATTCCTCACAAAAATTATAAAGGAGTGGCTACTCCTCTGCATATACTGAGCATTTTAAAAGTTAAAAACAGAATTTTGCTTTGTTTCTAAGATTCCAGTCTATCCAAAAGATCTCATTTTAAGCCTGTTACCGTTTTGATGATCAAGGCAGTATCCATTGTTAAAATTCATTGCCCTTGAGCTATGAAAAAAATTAGACGCCCTCCTTTACATGGATAACGCAGGCAAGAGAGCAGGTGGCTGGTTTTGTGTTGGTAAATTGCGTTTCTCTTTTTTAACAATTCAGCTGTTGTGAGGTGGCCTGATTAGATCTCCGCCCGCCATCAACCTGACGCCCTGGGGCCTCTGCCCTCGCACTCCACCAGACTCCCAACCCGCCGACCGGCCTGCTAGCCGCGGACACAGTTATCTCCTTCTAAATTAAAATTGTAACTCGTTCAGTCCCATTTACACAAAGCCTCTGCTTTGACACATGCAATTACTATGAACATAGGGGCAACATGATTGCTAAGGGCCCCAGAAAGAGAGTTTAATCAGAAAACATGGAGTTGTTCCAGCCGATTTATAATTCCACTACTTGGTATTCCTTTATGTTCTTATGTGTTCAGATAATTAGATACACTAGTTCCTGCTTCCCGAGAGGCCAGAAAGGGCAAAATTTCTATTCTTTTTACATTAAAAAGATTAAATTATAATATAGAAAATCTGTAACTTTTGGTAGAAATGACAAATTCACACTACATTAATTTCAGTGCTTACAAAATGTTACAAATACTTTGTGCATTCTTTGCTTTCTCGTGTAGGTGCACGTGAATTAATTACCTATCCAATTTCAACGTCTTTCAAGTCCGCTTTCCCCGGACAACTCTGAAATGAAAAGGAAATGGGTTTGATTTCCATTTGCTGAGCATATTTGTTTTAAGATGTTTAACCATTTAAGCCTTTGTGCATGAACAGAAGTACATGGGCATTAACAGGCGTGTTCACTACGCAAACATGGTGTGGGACAACAGAGTCCATGGGTAATTATGAAGCAGAAGGGACACACTTCAGTCCTGATACTTTGCAAAGCAGAGCAGGTACACTGTCACCTACGAGGGGTGAGCTCACACCCCAAGTCAGGGGAATTAGAAATAGGAGGTTTTGGCCAGGCGCGGTGGCTCACACCTGTAATCCCAGCACTTTGGGAGGCCGAGGTCGGTGGATCACCCTAGGTCAGGAGTTCGAGACCAGCCCGACCAATATGGTGAAACCCTATCTCTACTAAAAATACAAAAATTATCTGGGTGTGATGCCGGGCACCTGTAGTCCCAGCTTCTCAGGAGGCTGAGACAGGAAAATTGCTTGAACCCAGGAGGCAGAGGTTGCAATGAGCTGAGATTATGCCACTGCCCTCTAGCCTGGGCACGAGAGTGAGACTCCATCTCAAAAAATAATAATAATAAAAGAAAATAAAGATAAAAATAAGAAATACAAGGTTTTAAGGGGACTTAGCACATGTGCCCCACACAGGGGGCTGGACAAGTTTTCGTCAGGAGGTGGGGACTCCAGCTTCACTTATTTTTCCAAACAGTAACTGATTGAGTGTCCAACCTATGGCAGGCATCCACCCACCAAGGACAGCTGGCAGCACCAGGGCCTGGGAGAGGCCAGGAAGGGACTCCCTGGAGCTTCGGGAGGGTCATGGTCCTGCCCACACCGTGATCTCAGCAAGACAGCGTGACAGCACAGTCTGTTACTTGGGCCACCCGATCAGCCCTGGGACCCAGACACAACTTGTGCCCTCATCGGAAGGGCAAACAGAGACACAGAGTGAAGACAACGTGAAGAGATGCAGGGAGAAGGAGGCCGAGAAGGCAGAGGCAGAGACACAGCCACGGGGCGCCACGAACTGCTGGCACTGCCAGAGGCTGGGAGAGGCATGCAGGCATCTCTATCAGTTCCGGCAGTCAACAAACGCCGACCAGAGGCTCAAACAACAGAGGCTGACTTCTCACAGTCCCGGGGCCTGCACATGCCAAGATTAAGGTCCCAGCCCACTCAATTCCTTCCTCCTGGCTTGGGGTAGGCGCCTTCTCACTCTGTCCTCACATGGCAGGGAGAGCCACAAACAGAGAAGGAGAGCCAGAGACAGAGAAAGAGAGAGGGGCAGAGAAAGAGGGAGCGCCCTGGTGTGGTCGTCCTCTTACAAGGACACAAATCCCATCTTGGGAACTCCACCCTCATGACCCCCCATAGGCCCTGCTTTCTAAGACCATCACTTTGGGGGCTGGGGGCTTCAGCTTACAAATCTGAGGATGACATTGAGTCCGTAGCAGAAGTGCCTCCGGAAGGAACCAGCCCGGTGGCATCCTCGTTTTGGACTTCTGGCCTTCAGAGTTGGGAGAGAATGAATCCTAGTTGTTATGGCAGCCACAGGGCACCGAAGAGAGACTCAGCTGAGGTTTGGGAGTTGAGAAGCCCTTGCCAGGATAGGACAGTGAGGTGGGGACCGCAGGTGGAAGGCACATTCTGGGGAGAGCCACACTGTGACTTACAGTTCCCCCAACACCACGGACAGGGAACACTGTGCGCATTGACACCCACAGGATAAAGATGAAACATTATTTTTTAGAGTAAAACATTGTTTTGACCTAAAAGTTTATATTTTTCTTATTTTAAAAGAAATGGAAGCACTTTGGGAGCCCCTAAGAGTACCATGGGCCCCCACCTTCTGCCCACAGCGCCTCCTGGGCAAGTGGCTTCGGTTATGGGCCATGGCACAGGAGGGGCCGCATGTTTAGGAAGTACGGGGGCAGCCCCAGGGTGGACCGGAGGGGATGGAGGAGCTGAGGGCATCGGGCAGTGCCTAAGCGGCCCGCACCTGCAGGCCGGGCCAGAGCTGATGGATCTGTAAACCCAGACATGCAGTGGGAATGTGAAGGACTGAGGGTCACCTTAGCTGCTGTACAGGAAATAAGTCACACCACAGTCTGTCCCTAAACAGAGGTGGTTCCCAAAAGCCTTCTTCGAAGGAGTTTCCACAGAAGCAGCTGGTTCCACTCGCAGAGTCAGCCGCACAGCGTCTTCCAGTTTCTCTCCACTTCCATCCTCGGTCACCGGCCGCCTTCTCCTGCCTCCTCCTTGCAAGGACATTGTCTTTGCAGTGAGGACCTGTGTGAGTTTCCTGGGTGGCCACAGCAAACCACCCACACCTGCTGCTTGCAACAGTGCACGCCTGTCTCGCAGTTCTGGAGGCCAAGGTCTGGAATCCGTAGCTGTGAACTGGGCTGGTGCCTCCTGGAGGCTGAGAGTCGGGCCGGCTGCCCTCCAGCATCTGGTGTGGCCGGCAGCCCCTGGTGGCCCTCAGTGGGCTCCTGGCCCCGCTGGGCCTCTCTGCTCATGGCGCCCTCCTCCCTGCGTTCTCCTCTTCTCATAAGGACACGGGTTATACTAGATCAGGGCCTCCCTATTCCAGGATGACCACGTCTTAATGAATCACGTCTGCAATGCCTATTTCCAGATAGGGTCCCATTCTGAGGTGTGGGGAGGGATATGAATCTGGGGTTGGGGGGGCCACTACCTGGCACAGCACAGGGTGCAGGTGGGTGACCCGGGAGACTCTCCCCGCTCCAGACCTGTCATCATGTTGCCGTCTAAGGCGGCACTCACAGGTTTGCGGGGCTGCACATCTTTGGGGTCCTCCCCTCAGCCTGGCACAGTGTGTGCCCAGCAAGTAGACGACCGCATCCTCGCCAACACACATGTGCTAGAAACTTCTGTCAGGAAATGCTGCTCCTCACAGCCACGGGTGGAAACTACTCAATGCATTGCAGAGCTGACACCCTCTCTCTGGCCTGGCTCCGAGCTGTGCCTGGTGTGGTGGAGGGGTGGAGGCCACCCTCACCCGGCCCTGTGTGCTGCTCTGATGCGGCTGAGGGGACCAGGGCCTGGGTGTGCCCTCAGCGCGTCCACTCCAGAGGGGAGCCTGCGTCCACATTTTGGCCCTGTGGGTAAAGGTGGCTTCCCCCTGAGCTTGTAGGGGTGTGGGACACTGCCTGATGCCACCTGCCATGATTTTACATGAAAAGCCGGGAAGAGGCACTGAGGAGCCACCTGACCCCATGGAATGCCATTTCCTGGGGTCGCTTGGCCAGAAGTCATTGACACAGCCCTGCCAGCCAGAAGCTGGGGCAGGGACGGGGTCCTGCCTTCTGGAACAGGCTCTGTGTGGAGGTGACCATGTCCCAGAGGTCTCTGCTCAGCCCAGGGGGCGGGTGGGGGTGGAGTTGCAGGGTGGATGGTGGGGGTGGGGCCAAGCTGGCCCGAGAGGTCTGTGAGGTGAGAAGAGCTGGGGTCTCTCCTCCTCTGCCACCCCTGCCCCACCTTGCTCTGAATCTCTCCCTCTGTCTGTCTCTGTCGGTCTCTTTCTCTCTCTACTCCCCACTCTAGTGTCTTTAGAGCTCTGGATAAGGTGTGTGCTGAGTCCGGTCTGGTTTGGGGTAGATGTTCTTTGATCTGTTACCACTCCTGGAGGGAAAGCCCCTGGTCCCCCATTCCTGTAGAGCCAGGCCCCGCCCACCAATTGCCCCCATCTGGCCCAGGGGGACCTTTCCTCTGCTCTCCAGGGACCACTGCAGGTGGTGTGGCCCCTGAGGGGAGCATAAGGGTGCAGTGCCTGACTCAGGGGACACAGAAGCCCCGCCCATACGGCCTTTCACACAGCACAGCACCCAGCCCTCGGCAGCCCAGAGCGGGAACCAACAGGGTAGGTGCCCAGGGGCCCCAAAGGTCAGAGTTCCTCCCACAGCTGCCAGGGAGCACAGGGACCGCAGCACGGGGTCTTCTGCTCAGCACCGGGACCCCGCTCGCTGCAGCTAAAGAAACAAATAAGTCCAAGGGCTCCATGGCCAGGGCCGGGCACCTGGAACAGGGTGGTCCTGGGGCGGCCACATCCACTCCTTCCAGGTCAGTTCCTGGTGACCCTCGGCCTGCAGTCGGCCTTGCTGAATTCTTTTAGGCCACCCGGATACCCCCTGCTACGCGTCCAGCTGTTGATCGCCCACTGACCTGTAGAAGACCTGGTCAGCCCCTCTGTCTTCCGTCACCCACGGAGGCGTCCGCAGATGCTCAGCGCAGCCCGCCCGGCCCTGCACAGACCCGAGGCGGCACCAGGGGGCGCTGCCGGCCCGAGGACGCGGGCGCGGGGCGGAGGCTGCGGGGCAGGAGCCGCTGTGCGCGTTCAGGCAGCTGCCCGGGACCCCTGGCACCGACCGCAGCCCCCAGAGGCCCCCGGGGGGTTTCCGCCTGAGCCTAAACCGAAGACAGGGCCTGTTTTCAGTCATCCCGACCCCACAGACTCAGCCCGTTAGTTCCCGCGCTGCCCGGCGCCCTAGTACCCAGAGCTGGTGGGGACTCCAGGCCACCAAAGGCAGGGGCGGGGCGGGCGGTTGAAGGAAGATTGGGACACGGAGAAGAGGGACAAGGCCTGGGGCCCGAGGGGTCAGGACGCTCTGCCAGCCTCACCACCCGCAACACCCAGGCACGGACGCACGCACACACTCCACACGTGTGAACACGCACGCATGGCTGCACACACGTGCACAGAGAGGCACAGCCTGCAGGAACACAGTTGCACGCACACAGGCACAGGCACGCTCCCTCCCTCATCCTCTCACACACACCCCAGGTGCAGACACCCCCACCCAGAGGACGCAGCTCAGATGCAGAAACAGGCTGGGTCACAAGAGCTACGGGAGGCGGCCCCTGCTGTCCGGTGTCTTCTCTGGGGAAAGCTTTTCCGGAGCCTGATGGAGGAAGACAGAGGAAAGAGACCTGTGTTCCCTGATGCACTGGCCAGCCGCTTCCCGGGGACGGGGAGGCAGCAGCCAGGTCCATCCGTCTGGGGAGTCAGGCGCGATGTGTGGCCCCCACAAGGTCCCCCCAAAAAAAAAGAACCTGAGAACGCTGGAGCACGGAGGGCCCAGAGGCGTGAGAAGCTCAGACCCCTGGACAGGGGACCCCACCCCACACGTAAGGCCACACGCCATCGGCTGACCTGGCACTCCGAGAGGACCCAGCTCCCAGTCTCCCCAGCTAGCTCTCAAAACACGAACGTCAAGTTTTCATCGGGAAACCGGCGCTGTCAGTGGCTTCCACCACCAAGCTAGCTCTGCCTGGCTGTCACCCAAATGCCAAGGGCCTGTTTTGGAAAGCATCAACCACAAGTTCCTTGTGAGGCCTCGGCGTGGCCTGCCAGGGTCCCTCCCCTCACAGAGAGACACCCGGCCCAAGCTGGCTCTTCCCCACCGCCCAAGCCTCAGCCACGCCCCATCTTCCTCGTGTCCCCCCAGCAAGTCACCAGGCTGGTGGGGGCCCAAGGAAGCAGGAGCAGAGTCTACTCTGATCGTGTTCATTCCTAAGTCCCTCCCTCCTGCCCCAACCTAAAACCCACTTGTGGGGAAGGAGGGCCAGTCCAGCCTCCAACAGGGAGGGCACTCCTGATATCCTCCCCTGGACCCTTTGCCCTCAGGGCCCCCCACACTGGGTGTGACATAGGGTGGCCCCTGGGAGCACTTGGCTGCTGTCCTGCACAGGGCACCTGGGAGACCCACAGCATCCTCCCTGCACCCGGCCCTCGCCCCACCTCACAGCATCCTGCGAGGCTGGCCAGATCCCATGGCCACACGGCCAGATCATGGATTTCCAAGCCCTGGCTCTCTCCTACATCCTGTTACACTCATGTGGTCCCTGGAGTGGGTTAGGGACAGCATGGCCAGCCTGGCCCTCTGGAGAAGCACGGAACTGTGGTGGGAGCAGGCAGAGGGACAGGCCGCCATGGATTGTTCCAGGACCCCCCATGGCGAGGGACCCCATTCTCCCTGAGAATTTATCTGTTCTTGTCCCACTCTCAGGCTCCTCCTAAGAATGGGCCCTGCCCTTCCCTTGCCCAGCACCTCCCCCACAGCCTCTGCTTGTGCACCCACCCTGCCCCACATTCGGGGGCCTGAGGAGCCCTCACCTTGAGACCCCTCCTCTCGAAAGGTCCCTGACCACCCACCCACTCCAGGCACCCCCTTCTTCCCCAGGGAACTTCCACCCTGTCTGGGCCATTGCTCCAGACCCTCCATCCCCTCATCAACCTTCGGGGCAGGAGATCAAAGAAAAACCAGGCTGCCTTGTTCTCAGCAGGAGCTCAGCAGGAGCCCAGGGCCTGGCAGAGGCTCTTCGGGTCACAGGATGAGCCAAGGAAGGGAAGAGTGACACTGTCCCAGGCCCCGAGGACCCAGGCCCCATGCCCCCATAGGCCCTGCCCCACAGGCCGGTCCTCCCCCAGCCCCACCCCTCCCCAGACCTCATCCCTCCCCAGCCTTACCCTCCCCAGCCCTGACATCTCCAGGCCACCCCTCCCCAGGCATCATCCCTCCCCAGCCTTGCCCTACCCCTGCCCTGCCCTCTGTGGCCCCCCCCTCCCCAGCCCCACCTTCCCCAGGCCTCACCCCTCCCCAGGCCTCATCCCTCCCCCAGCCCCACCCCTCCCCAGCCCTACCTTCTTCCAGCCCCACCTTCCCCAGGCCTCACCCCTCCCCATCCCCCACTCTTCCCAGGCCCTACCCTCCCCAGGCCTCACCCCTCCCCATCCCCCACTCTTCCCAGGCCCTACCCTCCCCAGGCCTCACCCCTCCCCAGGCCTCATCCCTCCCCAGCCCCGCCCTCCCCTGACCCCACTCTCCCCAGCCCCACCCTTTTCTGGCCCTGCCCTCCCCAGGACCCACCCCAGCCCTCACGGTGCGTCTGTCCAGCGAAGCTGTCTGGATCCCATGGCTGCACTGCCAGGTGGTGAGCTTCCAAGCCCTGGGCTCCCAGGACTCTGTCACTTTAGGGATCCCCTCCCACCCACCTCCAAACTCCTCATACCCCCCACCACCCTCACCCGAAGCCCCTGCTTCCCCACACCCGGGATGAACACCCAGTAATTAAGATGTTCAAGTATTTTCTTTCTTTCCATTTCTTTCTATTTACACACCTTCAAATTAAAATTGGAATAAAGTCGTCTGTATAACTTAATGCTCTCACTTAGCACGACCCTCTCATGAGTGTTTTCTCATGTTACTGGAAGTTCTTCAGCAGCACTGTCTACCTGTAGCGGCTGCCGAACACGACAGGATTTGCATTTGCCAGAATCGATTGAACTACTTCCATGAGGTTGGAAAGACGGACATTTAGGCCCTTTATTTCTTTATTTTATTTTTACCAACATTTTCTAAATGCTGCAAAATGAACACCTGGACCGTTTTGTTGTTTACTTGTTTACTCCTCCACATAGATCAGGGGTCTGCAAACGTGCTCTGCAGACAGCTAGAGAGTCAGTATTGTGCTGGGGGCGGGGACGGGGAAGATGGTCTCCACCGCACACTCTTCCTTATTCGCTAATCGTTTTCACAGTAACGGACCATTCCGAGCTCTTGGCCGTGCAGCAACAGGCCACAGAGCGGATTTTGACCACTTGCCAGTTTATCACCCTAAAGGCAGCATTGCTAGGTCAGCCACATTGGAAGGCTTCTGGTGCATATTACCAAACCCCTCTCCAGAACAAAATTATGCTGATACTTTTGCTACTAGTATCTGAAAACGCATATTCCTCTGAATATTTGCCAACATTGACTATTACTATTTTTAAGCAAATTGCTAAATTCATCGTTAAAACTCAAATTGCATCTTCCTGGGTTGTTGTGATTCTATTTCCACATCTAACTTCATTCGATTGCGCCTTCCTTCTTCCCGTAAGACCTCTAGACACTGAGGACATCAGATGTCAAAACCGTCACAGCGTGCTTCCGGTTTTTGTTGGATTTTGTTTGTTTTGTTATGGTGTTTTTTGAAGTGTCACAGGGTTTAATGTCTTTGTAATCAAATCTAAAATTTTTTGAAAAGTGTTTATTGATACATAATAATTGTACATATTTACAGGGCAGTTGTGATATTTTGATTGTGCACACAGCATGTAGTGATCAAATCAGGGTATGTAGTATATCCATCACTTGGAACATCTACTCTTTCTTTCTGTTGGGAAGATTCCAGTTCTTCTAGCTATTTTGAAATATACAGCGGACCAGGTGCAGTGGCTCACACCTGTAATCCCAGCGCTTTAGGAGGCCAAGGCAGGTGGATCACCTGAGGTCAGGAGTTCGAGACCAGCCTGGCCAACATGGCAAAACCCTGTCTCTACTGAAAACACAAAAATTAGCCAGGCATGGTGGCACACACCTGTAATCCCAGCTACTCGGGAGGCTGACAGGAGAATCGTTTGAACCCAGGAGGCGGAGGTTGCAGTGAGCCGAGATCATGCCTCCACTGCACTCCAGCCTGGAGTGAGACTCTGTCAAAAAGAAATAAAGAAAGTAAGAAAGAGAGAAAGAGAGAGAGAGAGAAAGAAAAAGAAAGAGAGAGAGAGAGAGAAAGAGAGAAAGAAAGAGAAAGAAGGAAAAGAAAGAGAGAAAGAGAGAGAGAGAAAGAAAGAAGGGAGGGAGGAAGGGAAGGAAGGAAGGAAGGAAGAAAGGAAGGAAGGAAACAGTAAATGATTGTTGCCTTTGGTCTGTGAACTGTTCTATGGAACATTGGAACTTACTCCTTCCCCTGACTGCATGTTTGTGCCCCGTAACCAGCCTCACTTTCTGTCTGCCTCTCACCCACACACCCTGCCCAGCCTCTGGGAACCACCAGCCAACTCTCTGCCTCTGTGAGAGCCACTCTTTCAGTGCCCACAAATGAGTGAGAACATGGTACATTTGTCTTTCTACCCCGGCTTACTTCCCTTAACATGACAGCCTTCAATTCCATCCATGTTGTTGCAGACGACATGATTTCATTCTTGTGTATGGCTGCAGAGTATTCCATCGCGAATAGATATCACGTGTTCTGTATCCATTCATCCATTGATAGGCACCTAGGTTGATTCCATATCTTTGCCATTGTGAACAGTGCTGCAGTAAACAGGGGGGCCCAGATTCCCTTTCACACAGGATTCCCTTTCCTTTGGATAAATACCCATCAGCGGGGATGGCTGGATCATAGGGTAGCTCTATTTTTAATTTTTTAAGAACTCAATCCTGTTGTCCATAGCGGCTGTACTCATTTACATTCCCACCTACAGTGTGTATGGTTCCCCTTTCTCCACATCCTCGCCAGCATTTGTTATGGTTTTTGTTTTTAATTAAAGCCATCTGAACTGGGGTAGATGATACCTCATTGTGGTTTTGATGTGCATTTCCCCAATGATTCATGATGTTGAGCATTTTTTCGCTTGCTTTTTGGGGCCAATATCCAGAATACACAAGGAAATCAAACAACAGAAAAAAATAGATAAATAAATAATCCCATAGAAAGTAGACAAAAGATCATTTCTCAACAGAAGACATATAAGTGGCCAAAAGGTTTATGGAAAATTCTAAGCTTTTAATCTTTGTGTTCCTTTCTTGTTTCAAGCAGTGTTTCTCTTTTTCTTTCCTTTTTTTTTGAGATGGAGTCTCACTCTGTTGCCCAGGCTGGAGTGCAGTGGTGTAATCCTGGCTCACTGCAACCTTTGCCTCCTGGGTTCAAGCGATACTCCTGCCTCAGCCTCCCAAGTAGCTGGGATTACAGGCATGCACCACAACGCCCAGCTAATTTTTGTATTTTTAGTAGAGACAGGGTTCCACCATGTTGACCAGCCTGGTCTTGAACTCCTGACCTCAGGTAGTCCTCCCACCTTGGCCTCCCAAAGTGCTGGGATTACAGGCATGAGCCACTGCACCCAGCCCAAGCAGTGTTTTTCAAAGCCACGTCTCAGGACCACCTCAAGAATGCAGACATGAGGGTGGGATCAGCAGTTCTGGGGGGGGTGGGGGAGCTGAGCGCCCCACCAAAGAAACGCTCACCTGTTTTGCAGAGCAAAGGATTCCACAGGGGGAAAAACAAAAAGCAAAAACAAGAACTTCCTGATCACCTTTTATTTTTGAGACAGTCTCAGTCTGTCACCCAGGCTGGAGTGCAGTGGTGCAATCCCAGTTCACTGCAACCTCTGCCTGCTGGGTTCAAGTGATTCTCATGCCTCAGCCTCCCAAGTAGCTGGGATTACAGGTGCAGGCCACCACGCCCAGCTAATTTTTTTTTTTTTTTTTTTTTTGTATTTTTGGTAGAGACAGGGTTCGCCATGTCGGCCAGGCTGGTCTCAAACTCCTGATCTCAAGTGATCTGCTCGCCTCGGATTCCCACAGTGCTGAGATTACAGGCATGAGCCACCACGCCCGGTGGCTGATCACCCAAGTTCTATCTGCTCCTCCTGGAGCCTGCCAGAGCCTTCCCACCTGGAAGCATCCGAGGGACTGAGGCTGGGATTTGGGGGAAAGGAGGCTGTCTGAGGAGGCCACAGCTGGTGAGCTGCCGGGATAGACCCACAGGGCCTGGGGTAACAGGCAGGGGTTTGGACACTGTCTTTCGAGTGACAGGGAGATGCTGGTGGGCACCAAGCAGGGTGGTGGTGCCATTACCTTGGAAAGTGGAAGGCTGCTTCTGCCTCAGAGAGCCATGGGCTGGAGAGAGGCGCCCGTGGGCTAGAAACCTCACACGATTAAAACGCCTATGACAGAAGGTTGGAGGGTGGCTTTTGCTTGTAAACATGATTTTTATTATCATTATTATTACTATACTTTAAGTTCTAGGGTACATGTGCACAACGTGCAGGTTTGTTACATAGGTATACATGTGCCATGTTGGTGTGCTGCACCCATTAACTCGTCATTTACATTAGGTATATCTCCTAATGCTATCCCTCCCCTCTCCCCCCACCCCACAACAGGCCCTGGTGTGTGATGCTCCCCTTCCTGTGTCCAAGTGTTCTCATTGTTCAATTCCCACCTGTGAGTGAGAACATGCAGTGTTTGGGTTTTTGTCCTTGCGATAGTTTGCTGAGAATGATGGTTTCCAGCTTCATCCATGTCCCTACAAAGG
This sequence comes from Homo sapiens, assembly GCF_000001405.40. Classification (NCBI taxonomy): domain Eukaryota; kingdom Metazoa; phylum Chordata; class Mammalia; order Primates; family Hominidae; genus Homo; species Homo sapiens. The sequence goes on along the minus strand of NC_000005.10, from coordinate 1,647,267 downwards.
ACATAAACTCATCATTTTTTATGGCTGCATAGTATTCCATGGTGTATATGTGCCACATTTTCTTAATCCAGTCTATCATTGATGGACATTTGGATTGGTTCCAAGTCTTTGCTATTGTGAGTAGTGCTGCAATACACATACGTGTGCATGTGTCTTTATAGCAGCATGATTTATAGTCCTTTGGGTATATACCCAGTCATGGGATGGTGGGGTCAAATGGTATTTCCAGTTCTAGATCCCTGAGGAATCGCCACACTGACTTCCACAATGGTTGAACTAGTTTACAGTCCCACCAACAGTGTCAAAGTGTTCCTATTTCTCCACATCCTCTCCAGCACCTGTTGTTTCCTGACTTTTTAATGATCGCCATTCTAACTGGTGTGAGATGGTATCTCATTGTGGTTTTGATTTGCATTTCTCTGATGGCCAGTGATGAAGAGCATTTTTTCACGTGTCTGTTGGCTGCATAAATGTCTTCTTTTGAGAAATGTCTGTTCATATCCTTTGCCCACTTTTTGATGGGGTTGTTTTTGTCTTGTAAATTTGTTTGAGTCCTTTGTAGATTCTGGATATTAGTCCTTTGTCAGATGAGATTGCAAAAATTTTCTCCCATTCTGTAGGTTGCCTGTTCACTCTGATGGTAGTTTCTTTTGCTGTGCAGAAGCTCTTTAGTTTAATTAGATCCCATTTGTCAATTTTGGCTTTTGCTGCCATTGCTTTTGGTGTTTTAGACATGAAGTCCTTACCCATGCCTATGTCCTGAATGGTATTGCCTAGGTTTTCTTCTAGGGTTTTTATGGTTTTAGGTCTAACATTTAAGTCTTTAATCCATCTTGAATTAATTTTTGTATAAGGTGTAAGAAGGGATCCAGTTTCAGCTTTCTACATATGGCTAGCCAGTTTTCCCAGCACCATTTGTTAAATAGGGAATCCTTTCCCCATTGCTTGTTTTTGTCAGGTTTGTCAAAGATCAGATGGTTGTAGATGTGTGGTATTATTTCTGAGGCCTCTATTCTGTTCCATTGGTCTATATTTCTGTTTTGGTACCAGTACCATGCTGTTTTGGTTACTGTAGCCTTGTAGTATAGTTTGAAGTCAGGTAGTGTGATGCCTCCAGCTTTGTTCTTTTGGCTTAGGATTGTCTTGGCAATGTGCGCTCTTTTTAGGTTGCATATGAACTTTAAAGTAGTTTTTTCCAATTCTGTGAAGAAAGTCATTGGTAGCTTGATAGGGATGGCATTGAATCTATAAATTACCTTGGGCAGTATGGTCATTTTCACGATATTGATTCTTCCTACCCATGAGCATGGAATGTTCTTCCATTTCTTTGTATCCTCTTTTATTTCGTTGAGCAGTGGTTTGTAGTTCTCCTCGAAGAGGTCCTTCACATCCCTTGTAAGTTGGATTCCTAGGCATTTTATTCTCTTTGAAGCAATTGTGAATGGGAGTTCACTCATGGTTTGGCTCTCTGTTTGTCTGTTATTGGTGTATAAGAATGCTTGTGATTTTTGCACATTGATTTTGTATCCTGAGACTTTGCTGAAGTTGTTTATCAGCTTAAGGAGATTTTGGGCTGAGACGATGGGGTTTTCTAGGTATACAATTCTTACAAACCCACTTTCAACTGAATTTGAGAGCGGGGAAGCTGGGAAGGAAAGCCCAGGTGTAGACGGCCTGGGTCCGCTAGCCCCGGTGCTGGCTGGATCCGGAGGCCTGGTGGGTGTGCGAAGAATTTCTGTCTCGGTCTTTCCCGCCAGGATCACTGAGGCTGAGCATGACCGTGCTGGGCGCGGCTTCCTGCTGGCGAGTTGGATGTCTGCCCCTTCGCCAGCTTTCCACAGGGCCGCTCACGACTCTGGTCTCCACCGCCCTCCAAGGGGTCCTCCCTTCTGTCCCTGCACTGGCGACGACAGCGGTCCGTCCGGCCCCGACAGAGCTCTGAGGCCTCCTGCAAGCCCCGCCACTGCCCAGGATGGAGGAAGGCTTCGGGGAAGCCTTCCCAGGCGGGATTCCGCCGGACCCGGGGGACCATCCACAAGAGAGTGTGGGCAGCACGCAGGACGTCCTGAGAAGACGCTTGCTCAGCTGGAGTGTTTAAAAACAAACCGAATAGCGTCAGCTCCTGGGGACTGCAGGAAGGGAACAGGCTCAGGGCCAGCAGCGCGTAAGCTGCGGCTCCGAACTGGGGACGCGGAGACCACACGGTGGCGCTGTGGGCCGTGTTTCCCGACACTGCAGCGCGTTAGTTCGTTCCCGCGGTTCTCACCCTTAGCCCCCAGCAAACTCTGCAGCAGAGGAAAATCAGATCCACCTGCCTGCGGGGTGCGGGGGAGCTCGCTTTCAGCAAACTCTGCAGCAGAGGAAAATCAGATCCACCTGCCTGCGGGGTGCGGGGGAGCTCGGTTTCAGCAAACTCTGCAGGAGAGGAAAATCAGATCCACCTGCCTGCGGGGTGCGGGGGAGCTCGGTTTCAGCAAACTCTGCAGCAGAGGAAAATCAGATCCACCTGCCTGCGGGGTGCGGGGGAGCTCGGTTTCAGCAAACTCTGCAGCAGAGGAAAATCAGATCCACCTGCCTGCGGGGTGCGGGGGAGCTCGGTTTCAGCAAACTCTGCAGCAGAGGAAAATCAGATCCACCTGCCTGCGGGGTGCGGGGGAGCTCGCTTTCAGCAAACTCTGCAGCAGAGGAAAATCAGATCCACCTGCCTGCGGGGTGCGGGGGAGCTCGCTTTCAGCAAACTCTGCAGCAGAGGAAAATCAGATCCACCTGCCTGCGGGGTGCGGTGGAGCTCTGTTTTATGCCTTGAAATGCATTTGCGGCATCCCGTTGTAAAACTGCCCGTGAACGCAGCGTCAGGCGCTCGTTTAAACAGGAAGGTAGGTGCTCTAAGACATCACTGAGAGAATTAAAAGTAACTACATAGCAGGAACAGCACGATCTCGTTTGAAGATTTTATTTAGAAACACCAAAAAAGGTAAAACGGGTAGTGTTCTCTAGATGGAGGAATAGGAATTCGTTTATTTTCTTATTTTTGCATATATATGTGTAACTTTAACACCAGTACTCTGAAAATCACTGAATATCAGAACATCTTCTTAATATCTGAGTACCCAGGGCGGGTCCGAGGACGTCCCCAGGGAAACTGTCCCTTGTCGGGGTGAGTGGCCCAAAGGGGCCCCTTTGGGATGGGGGAATGGGGACCCTCCCTCCCCAGGGTTTCCCATCCAAGGAATTTCACTGGAGGCCGGAAGGCTTCAGAACAGTTTTTCCTCCACTCTTGGATGATTTTCTTGGACTGCCCCAGACCATACAGCCCCTGTCACTGAGCAGTGTTTTGATGCTGACAGCCAGCTCCAGTTTCTGAGCTACCAGCTTCAGCCTTGCTCCCGGGCACTTGTGAAAAAACCCTACCTGGGCCCCGCGAATCCACATTCTCATGCTCATTCTGATCCCCGGTGACTCAGGGCCACATGGGAGTCTGGGAAGAAACAGCTCTGCCGGGGCAGGAGCATCTGCAGCCATGATGCCCCCAGCCAAAGCACAGAGGGTTGTGCCCTCTCAATGGGAGTGTCAGGGGCAGGGACTGCATCCCCACCTGTCACCTGTCCACCTGCAGCATCTGAAAGAGGTGTAGTTGTTAGTATATTGGCATTACTAGAATCTCATTGCAAAACATTTCTATCACCCTGAAAAGGAGCCCTGGATTCACTCCCAGCTCCCTCTCTCCGCAGCCTCCGGCTGCCCCCAGTCTGCTTTCTGCCTCCATAGAGCAGCTTATTCCCAGCATTTCATATGAACACCATCACAGGACACGTGGTTGCTTTCATGTCTGGCTCCTTTCATCTAATAATTTTTTTTTTTTTGAGGTGGAGTCTTGCTCTGTTGCCTAGGCTGGAGTGCAGTGGCGCAATCTCGGCTCACTGCAACCTCCGCCTCCCAGGTTCACGCCATTCTCCTGCCTCAGTCTCCTGAGTAGCTGGGACTACAGGCACCTGCCACCATGCCCGGCTAATTTTTTTGTATTTTTAGTAGAGACGGGGTTTCACCGTGTTAGCCAGGATGAGTCTCAATCTCCTGACCTCGTGATCTGCCCATCTCAGGCCCCCAAGGTGCTGGGATTACAGGCGTGAGCCACTGTGCCCGGCCTCACCTAATAATTTTTCTAATAATTTATTCAAATAGGCATCAAGCTCCACACAGGCACAAGGGCCAAGAGGTGCCCCCAAGGGCTCGTGTGTGGGGCGAGGAGGCAGGTGGTCCTACAGAGGGGGTGGTCCTGCAGTGCAGGTGAGTGCCGCACATGCTGGTGGCATCACCAAGGCCGGGACTGCGCTGCAGTAACACCCACCTCCCACTGGCTCAAAGCAAAGGGTCTGTGTGTCACTCATGTCGCTGCTGAACCCGGGCTGGGTGGCCCTCCCACAGCCCCCAGGGCTATGGTCTCTGGGTCACAGAGTGTCGCTGCTGAACCCGGGCTGGGTGGCCCTCCCACAGCCCCCAGGGCTACGGTCTCTGGGTCACAGAGCAGGCATAGGAGCTGCCTCAGCCCAGCCTGACCCCCAGCCCTTGTGCCCACAGTTTGCTGGGCAGAGCTGATGGCGGCCCCACCCTGCCTGTGGAGGAGTCCTGGAGGTGTGGGAGCAGCAGCAGGCCAGGCTGGCCCAGGCCCCTCCCTTTTACTAAAAGAAAAGCATCTCATGTGGGAGGTAGAAAGGGCAGAGCTGGGGAGGGTCTCATTGCTGGTTTCAAACTCTTTTTGCCAAATACTTTTTGTCCACACCTAACCCTCCACAGGAGAGTGGCCAAGATGCCCGGCTGCTCATAAAAGAGGCCCCAGAGCACCCCTCCCCCGTCCGCCATGTGAGGACGCAGTGACACAACTAGGGAAGCCGGTCCTCGTCCTCACCACACACGGAATCTGCCGGTACCTTGATCTGAGACTCCCCAGCCTTCAAAGCTCTGAGAAATGCATTGTTGTTTCTAAGTCCCCCAGTCTATGGCATTTTGTTATGGCAGCCAGAACTAAGCCAGGCTTCCACATGTGCATTCTGGGAGGACGCAGTTCAGTCCCTCACACTTGCTCTTCTCTGTTTTCCTCCTTATGTTCCTATCCTTCATTCTGAGAATTTTCTTCTGACCTACTTTCCAGTTATTCATTATTTTTCAATGACATCTAAACTATTTTTAAACCCACTTATTGAGTTCTGAAACGTTGCTTGTATTTTTTCCAGGCAATCATTTTTGTATTGCATTTACAAATAGGCACAGAGATAGAGACTGCAATGAGAAAACAGAGAATGCAATGAGAAAAGTTGGAGTTCTAGAAAGAAAGTGGAGGGAGAATAGGAAAAATACAATCAGAAAAAAAAAATACAAATCTTTCCTTTTCGTGTAATTTTTATTTCTCCACTGAAGTTCTTGACCTTGTCTTTTTCTTCTCATGGACAATGTCTCCAGCGCTTTCTGCAGCCATCTGAGGGCGCTGTGTCTGCATTCTCGTGTAGACGTTTTCATTTGCAGTGTCTCCAGTCCTTTCTGCAGCCGGCCTCTGAGGGCGCTGTGTCTGCGTTCTTATGTAGATGTTTTCATTCGCTGGGTTTCTCACCACTTACACTCGCGCTGCCATCTCTCCATGTGTGCCTGGCTCTTTCTTTCTTTGCCTGACATTCTATTTGCAATGTTTTGGAAGGAGAATCTGAGGCCAGAATGATGGCTCCTCCAGAGAGGGTGAGCCCGAGTGCCAGCAGCTTGGAGGGGCAGGGCGGCGGCTCTGGTGTCCTGCGGTTTGCGTGGGCTCTCTCTGCACTTACAGTCACAAAAAGACAGTATCTCAGGCAGGAATTCTCGCAGGGTGCATGCTTCTCTTTTGACAGTTTAATGTCACGCATGGGTTCCTTTGTAAACATCAGATCAATAGCAGAGTTCCAAATTAAAACATTAGGATAAGAAGCCCATGTTGATTCATCCGTCCCTGGAATGGCCTAGAAGACGGGGCACCTGGTGTTCGGGGATGCGTCTGTCTCAGGCCGGTCTCCATGGGTCAGGTAGCCTAGGGTGGGAGGAGGAGGGCGGCGGGCAGCCTAGCGTGGGAGGAGGAGGGCGGCGGGCAGCCCCACAGCCGGGATCCAGGAGAAAGGAAGGGCCACTCACTTTCTCTTCTTCACAAAGTCCTGGGAACGCAGGGAGGGGAGACGGGGTCTCGCTCTAAAAGGCAGCTTTGTAGCCAAACTGCTCCCTCCAGGCAGGAAGAGAATCCCCGCTCAGAAGAAAGGTGGGCCACCCCTGATGACGGCAGGTGGCCCCAAGTGTTTGGATGCGGTGGGCCCCACTGGTTTGGGCCTAACCTCAAGCGGCTGCTAATGGTTCCATGATACTTTTCCCGCTAACACTTCACAGAGATGTCTGACTGATGTCCACTGCTCAGCCGCACCCCCTGAGCTGGTGAGCATTCAGGCAGAGCACCCACCTCTACTTTTCTCACCCCTAAAATCAGAGACTGGTTCTAAGCTGGTGCAGCCACCGCCCCTGCGTGCCGGATGCAGGACTTTCCCTGCCAACACTGGACAGTCCCAGCAAAGCAGACGGTGGGTCGCTCTGTATCTCTGAAGAACAGCTGGGCCTGCGTGTGTCATTCTCAGGCATCTGGCCCAGGCCTTCTCCTCCAGGAAGGTGGGGAGGGGCTGCTCGGCTCCGGGCACTGCCAGGGGCCGTGGGCCCCACATCCTTTCCAGGCTGTTCCGCAGCATCTGCCTTCATACTCACAGCCACCGCGGCGTGCGTCCCAGGGGTTCTCAGAATAGAATTCTGTGCCTCTCTCGCCTCTGGAAGTGACCGTGCTCTGTAGGAAAATATCACAGCACGCCGGCCTCAAAAGGCCATGACGTGGCTCCAAACGCTGTAAGTATGTCAGTTGCTTAGAACAATCAGAAAGGGGCAGAACAAGCTGAGGTATAGAGTCGGGGGTCAGGGAACAGACAGCATCTCTTGTCTTGCAGAGAGACTGCTAGCAATTTGCAAGTTTACGTGAAAAGCTTTGTGATTTTCCAACACCCTGAGTAGTTCTAGCCAAAATGCGTGATTGGCCTCACACTAGACGCTTGCTGTAATTGTGTCTCTGTATTAAATTGACCGTCCTTTGGAGCTTCAGAATGGACCAGGAGGAAAAGGTAAATACCAAGCTCGCTACAACCTCAGAGGCATCAACGCCCTCCTGCTACAGACGCATCTGTTCTCACCTGGCTCCTGCCAGCTGCCCTGGGAGAGGCCACAAAATGCCCTCCATGGACAGAAGACCTGAGAACCTTCGGGGCTCCTGCTGTCACTCACTGTGTTGAAGAACCGCCCGGTCAGCACGCTGGGCCCTATACACATACACACACGGCTCTGCGGAGGACGAGGAAGGGCCGTCAGATGAGACTTCACCGTGAAAAATGTGCAGAGACACAACAATCTCGCTGAATGAAAACTACAGACTCTAATTTATAAAAACTGTCTGTTTCAAAAGCCCCAAATGTTTACATTCTCCGATTCATCATTCCTTCTTCTAATTTATTTTAGGAAATAATGCAAAGTACTCACAAAAAAAATTTATACAGAAAGATGTTCATTGCAGAATTCATTATAATAAAGAAAACCTGAGTACCCAGCGTCAGCGTGGTGATAACATGCATACAAGGGAATATTGTGCAGCTTCAGTTAGTTCTTATTACATTTCATAGGCATCTTAAGTGCTTTGTGAACATTGGTGTATAGATTTTTTTGTTTGGTGTAGATGGCAATAATTAGATGGGTGCAAGTAATAAAAACAGGACGTAATTTTAAAAAGATTGAGTGACAGAAAAAAATGAAACAATGTTTAAAAAACTTTTTGGTTATTATATTATCACTACAAGGCCCTGTCTCCTTGCTCCCTTCTTTGGGGACGGTTCTGGCCTTGCCTGGCCCGTGGGTGGAAATTGTGGTGCTCCAAGTGCCTTCAGCTGCTGCTGGGGTCCCAGGAGCCCAGCCTAGGTGTTCTTCCGTCCTCACCACCCCATGGCCTCCATGGAGCCCCACAGCAGCCTCAGGAAGGAGGGCAGTATCGTCAGAACAGAGTCCTCATGGACCCCCAAGAGACCCTTGTACAGAATGCCCCATCCAACCCAGGTCCAGCTTCACTCAGCTCCTAAACAGGAGCACGGCTGCAGGCCGGCTCCACGCACCCCGTCCCCAGGGAAGCCACAGCCTCCATCCCACACATCCCAGGCAGGCATCTGTAACTGAAGGCAGCATGCTCGGGTAAGCAGCGAGGCACACACCAGCTGGGCGGGGAGGGGTGGCCCTGAGTGGTCGTCTTGCTCAGTGCTGGAGGGGCTCCGAGCCGAGGGTCCAAGGGTCCTGGAGCTGCCATGGCAGATCCCCACAGCCTGGGCAGCTCGAAACAACAGGGGCTCATTCTCTCCCTGCTCAGCAGCGAGGGGTCTGAAATCAAGGAGTCCACGGGCCGTGCTCCCTCCAGAGGCTCCAGGGGAGGACCCTCCCACCTGTGCCAGCTTCTGTGGCTCCAGGCGTCCCTGGGCCGCGGCTGCATTGCTGCGCCTCTGCCTCGGTCTCCAGGTGGCCTCCTACTCTGTCTGCGTCTAACCTCCCTCTGCCTCTGTGTAACCTGCCTCTGCCTCTTGCCATGCGTTTAGGGCCAACGGGTTAATCCAGAATGACCTCCTTATCTCAAGATCTTTAACTTAATCACGGCCACAAAGACCTGCCTCCTACCTGAAGAGAGGTCCTGTGCACGGTTCCAGGGTCAGGAGGTGAACACCCGGTGGCCCAGCCTCAGCCACCCCAGTGAGAATGTGCGAGGTTTCAGAATGGCCGTGCTGCCCTGTTAGGAGCTATACACGCAAAAAGGCAACTCCGTCAGCGTCAGGGGTGCTGGATGCGTGCGGGGATCAGATGGCGTCGGATTTCCCAGGAAGCTGGGGAGCAAGGGTCCTGCACCAAGGGAGGGAGGAGGCCGGAGACCAGCCCAGGCCCAGTCCAGGAGGAGCCTGGCCAGGAGTCCCACCAAAGCCACTGGAGCCTCCAGTGACCCAGCCCTGGAGGGTCAGCGCTGTCCCTCAAATGGATTCCACTTCACACACAGGTCTCCCTGTCTGTGGGGGCTGCAGGGCCGGTGCCTGGGGAGCCCAGACTGCTGGAAACCTTCGGGGTGGCAGGCTCCAGATGGGACTTCCTGGCTTGTGTTTATGTGGAGCCCAGGCTGTGGGCGCCACAGTCAGGCACAGGTTAGGGGTGAGTTGTGGGTGATTTAAGAACTAGAAGCACAAGTAATGGCCTGACCCCCATGTCCCGGCTGTGCTGTGCGGTGGGAAAGACACGGGCTCGGGCGGCTGCTGGGGGTGGCCTGGCCTGCACCTGCTGGGGGTGGCCTGGCCTGCACCTGCTGGGTCCACCCCTGGCCACTAGGCTCACCCAAGGACAGTTGGTGACTGCCTGCCTCACTCCTACCGACCCTCAGGGGCCTAGGGGTCCCGTGACGGGGGGGAGGCTAGGAACCATGCTGGAGGACATGCCTGTGCCAGGGCCACTAGGATGTCTACAGCAGGAGCCGGTGCTAGCAAACCCCACACCCTGAGCCCCAGAGCCAGGCTCCTCAGCCCAGGAAAGGGATCACAGGCAGGAAAACCACACGGAAAAGGCTGTCCCATGCAGTCATGGCTCCCCCACCACTGCCCACACATGGAAGGCAGCCGCGGCTGGGAGAAGCCATCTTCACAGACATGCCATCCTTGATGCTCTCACACATGCGCACAGACGCGCCATCCTCTCCCACAACCCCGCCACCCCGGGCAGGCCAGGAAGTCCCATCTGGGGCCTCCCACCCCGAGGGTTGCCGTCAGTCTGTGTGCCCAGGCATCAGGGCCTGCCGCCCCCACAGACAGCGAGACCTGTGTGCGAAGTGGAATCTGTCCTAGGGACAGTGCTGACCCTCCAAGGCTGGGTCACTGGAGGCTGCCCGGGTCCAGTGGCTTTGGTGGGACTCCTGGCCAGGCTCCTCCTGGCCTGGGCTGGTCTCTGGCCTCCTGCCTCCCTTGGTGGAGCACCCTCGCTCCCCAGCACCTCCCAGGTTCACACAGCTCCTCCCTGGGGCCACACACTGACGCAGGGGCAGGAGGTGGGCCATCCTCTCCATGGACTGAAGACCTTGTCCGAAGGGAAAGAAAGGCCGGCCCAAGGCTTGGCTGGAAGAGTGGGTCTTGGTAGCAAAGGCGGCTCGTGGGGGCAGCCCACGCGAATGCTTCCCCGGCGCCCTGAGCCCCTGACCGCGGCTGAGCCTGCTGTACTCTGGCCCCTCTCATGGAAAGATGACCTGGGTCTACCATGCTCAGTATCACCCAAAAATTCCTACAGAAGTCTCTTGGGACAAGAAAAGGCCTTCTTCCCTCCCTCCTCCTTTCCTCTTCCTTTCTTTCATCAGGGAACAGCTTCCGGCCACCTGCACTGTTTGGGCGCCATCATAAGGAGCCGTGACGGCCTTCACAGAGCTCCGGGGCTCACGGGTGTGGCTGACCTGCCACAAATGGGGCGACAGAGGAGAGGGAGGGTCAGGCACCGATGGCTCAGGAGGGAAGAGATCCCTTCTGTATGGGGAGATGGGGGCTTCCTGGAGGGAGCCGGGGCGAGGGGCTCACCAGGGTGAGACATCCAAGGGACCTGGGGGACCGGCCATGGGACACTGTGGTCCCACGTGGCTCCTGGATGCGCTGTGTGTTTGCTGAGCTGGAGGGGACAGGGAGCCCACGTGTGGGAGAGGGAGAGGCCATGCACGCCCTGAGTCGGGCTTTACAAAAACCTTCTGGCGGCAGCAGGAGAGGAGCCACGCAGAGGCAGAGCCAGGGAGAGGCGGTGGGGTAGTGAGGGGGATGTCGGGGTGCACGGGTTAGGAGACCCCCAAGCCCTGGGACCTGCATGCTGATGGTCAAGGTTGCAGAGGCGGCTGCTGTGGTGACCACAGGGCAGGGAGAGGCAGTGGGGTAGTGAGGGAATGTCGGGGTGCACAGCACCAGACCCTCCTAGATCTTCCGATTCAGTCCTGGGGGGACCCTACCCCAGATCTTCCAATTCAGTCCTGGAGGGACCCTACCCCAGATCTTCCGATTCAGTCCTGGTTCGGCCTGAGAATTTGCATTTCTAACATGTCCAGGGACCACAGTTTGAAAACCTCCATGGCTGACATGTAATGGGATGACATGGTCCAATAAATGAAGGAAAAGTAACAGGTGGCAACCTCAGGCAGCTTCATCCCAACCAGTAAGAAAGTAAATCCTTTTGTAAACTAAGAGGAAGTATTAATATGGGCGTTTGAACAAACATTTAAGTGTTAGGACAAAGAATTAAAAACTAGCACAGGCACCCCTGAAGCATGATAGGATGGCAACAGAAGGGCTGATTTAGTTTCCAAGAAATAACTGACAGGCAGTGTTGTGTGTGTGTCTACTGCTTAGGAACCCAAAACAAACCTTCAGACCATTTTCATGAGTACTGAGACCAAGAAAACCACTGGGCAGTGGGTGGTCTGGAAATGTAAATGTTTATAGTACTCCACTAATGAGTCATGGAACGATGTTTCCTATTGAAAATGTTTTTGTAAATGTGGGTTTCAAGGTTTCAAAGTGAACCCATATGTTTTAGGAGAAAGGACACACCAAAGAAGTAAAATAATTGGGTCAATATAAAAAGAAAGTAGAATACTGCCCAGAGAGAAGATGTGGATAATTCCTAACACGGATCAAAGGCACCAAAAAGGTGAGCTGTGAGTAAGATATTCAGACCTGCACCGTCCCCTGCAGTAGACACAGTGGCTGCTGTGAGTAAGATATTCAGACCTGCACCATCCCCTGCAGTAGACACAGACAACATCTTGGTAGGCAACTGGGTGAATATTCAGAGACAACCCTAGGAACTAGGAGGATGAAAAAAGCATTCATGGAATGAGGCACTGAAGAAACTGAAAAGCTGGAATAACCCCATGAAATAACGAGAATAATTGTAGTATTCTGAACCGGGGCACAGGACACAGGACTGGAGTGGAAGGCCGCATGAGACCACCCGTGCGGGAAAGACCCAGGGATCACACTGGCCCAAAGGTGGGCACTTCCCAACTCCGGGATTTGTGCTACAGGCACTCCAGGCTCCACCACAGAACTGTGTCCAGCACGAAGGCAGTGCTGTCTTGAGGGAGGCAGGGCTGCACCACCACCGGGGCGGGAAGGGGCGCGGCAGGGAGGCGCCCAGTGTTTCCAGCTGCACGGGTCGGGGACCGCGCTGATGCAGAGCGCGGGGCCGCAGGTTAAATCTAAAGGAGGGAAGCTTTTGGGGGCGGAACAGACAACGGAGAATGCTGCACACTGCCCTTCCCACGCGAATTGTGCTTTGCCTTTTTTTTTTTTTTTTTTTTTTTGAGACGGAGTTTTGCTCTTGTTGCCCGGGACTGGAGTGCAATGGCCTGATCTCGGCTCACTGCAACCTCTCCCTCCCGGGTTCAAGCAATTCTCCTGCCTCAGGGTCCCAAGTAGCTGGGATTACAGGCGTGCGCCACCACGCCCGGCTAATTTTGTATTTTTAGTAGATACTGGGTTTCTCCATATTGGCCAGGTTGGTCTTGAACTCCCGACTTCAGGTGATCCACCGGCCTCGGCCTCCCAAAGTGCTGGGATTACACGCGTCAGCCACCGCACCCGGCCTGCTTTTTTTTTTTTTTTTTTTTTTTTTTTCATTGTCTCGCTATCCACCGGGCTGGAGGGCAGTGATCTCGACTCCCTGCGGCCTCGACCTCCCGGGCTCAGGCCATCCTCCCGCCTCAGCCCACGGAGTAGATGGGCCCACAGGAGCCCACCACGCCGGACTACTTTTTGTAATTTTTGTAGGGATGGGGTCTAGCCACGCTGCCCAAGCTGGTCCACGCTGCCCAGGCTGGTCCACGCTGCCCAGGCTGGTCCGCACTGCTGGGCTCAAGAGCTCCGGCCGCCTCCGCTTCCCAAAGCGCAGGGATCACAAGTGTGAGCTACCGCGCCCCGCCCAGAGTTTCCGACTGTTAGCGTGAATCACATTCACCTCAAAACTTCTTTTCATACAAGAACTAAAAGGCAAACTAAGTCCCTGCTCCATCACTGCCTGTCCCGGGTCGCAGCACGGGACATTGTCTCCAAGCGCCTTCCCGGCCCGCGCGCAGGCGGCCTGTGCATCCCGGACAACGCGCATTTCCTGCGCCCCCGGAAGTGGCGGTAACGCCCGGCCCTGCCCCCAGCAGAGGCGGAAGCGGTGTCGCTCTGAGGGGTCGCCAGTCGCCGCAGGCGCTTCAGCCCAGCGGCGGGCCTTGGCCCTTGGCTGCCTACTCCTACCGCCCCAGCCCCGGGCGGCCCTGGGCCTGCTGCGGGCGCGGCGCTGCCCGACCAGAGCTTCCTGTGGAACGTCTTCCAGAGGTGCGGGCTGGCACCGCCCCGGCATCTCCCGCCTCCCGCGCAGCCGCCCCGGACCCCTGTCCCGACCCCCGCGGCCAACCCCGTTCCCTGCCGGTTGCCCCGCGGCCTCCCCCGTCACCTGCCGTGTCCCCAGCGGCCTCCCCCGTCCCCTGCCCCGACCGCCGCCGCCTCCCCCGACCCCTGCCCCAGCCGACGCGGCCGCCCCCGTCCCCTGGCGGGTCCCCCGCGGTCTCCCCCGTCCGCTGCCCGGTCTCCTGGGGCCGCCCCTGCCTCCTGCCCGGTCCCTGTCCTGTGCGTCGGCCCTTCCCAAGATGCAGAGTGCGCCACTGCAGACCCGAGGTCGCGGCCACCGGCTCCTGGGCTAGGCCCTTTTTCTCGCCTCAAGAGCCGCCAGGTGGAGGGTCTCCAGGGTGCTTGTTTGGGGAAAGCGGAAACAGACTGTCTGGGCCGCTGTTAAAATGTCAGCAGCCAAGGAAGAAGCAGCGACCTGGCGTCTGCTCGGGCCAGGTGACCTTTATGGTGGCGCCTTCTGTCCCTGGTCGCTTTTCCACCGAATGTCCGAAACTGTAGTGACTGATGGCCAGGGAATGGCTTAGTTATCTGAGGGAATCTTTTCTTGTCTGTGAAAAAGGGAAACTGGTGCAAATGGGAATTCAGACAGGCCAGGAGAGGAAGGAAGGGAAGGATTGAGGTGAAGATGATTGTCCTCTTAGGGGAAGACCACACTGGACGTCGGCTCCTGGGGCACTTCCTTGATTCCGCTGTACTCCTCAGCGGGACGGGAGAGGCGGAGGTTCCAGGAGGGAGCCTTCCAGAGTCGGTGCAGGGTTGACAGGAGACGTTTGTTTTGCTTTTCCTGAACTTTCGATCGCCAGCTTATTTGGTCTTCTTGATGTTATAGGGTCGATAAAGACAGGAGTGGAGTGATATCAGACACCGAGCTTCAGCAAGCTCTCTCCAACGGTGAGTGGGCCAGTGGGAACTGGGTCTCCGGACCAAGAAGCCGTGAGCCTGCCCTGTTCACAGTGGATAACTTTCTGAAGTTGTTTTTCCAAGGACAAAGGAATCATTAGGACAAATTGTTAATACTGCTTCATGGTGGAGATGCTTCTGGTTTATTTTGTGGCTACCGCTGTTACTGCTTGGAGTGCCTCACCGAGCCAGGTAACAACTGCGTGCGTGAGCACAGGGAAAGGCTTCTTGAGAAATGAAAACTAGATTGTAGGTTTAGGAGGGGAATAGGAAGCTTAGCTCTGTACAGCCGAAAGCCTTTTGGTAAGTTGGAGGTCCTTGAATTTCCTGGGTGACTGCATCTTGGTGACTTCTCTGAATAGACCTTCGAGGGCACTGGGGGGTGATTGTTGGAGGGCTTGGGGAGCTCAGGCAGCCCTTGTGTGGGAACGTGGCTGTTACAGGAACTGCAGAAACTGGGACTGGGTTCCTGGGGAAAGGATTGGGGGTGTTGGAGGCGCTGGCAGGGGAGTTATGGGGAGGTGTTCTTATCAGTGTGCGAATACTGGGCGTTCAGGCAGCGGGAAATCCGGGTCCTTGCGTGTTGTGAGCTCCCTGGAGTTACGTTCTTGCCAGTTTCAGCTCAATTGATCCCCCTCCCCTGAGCTATCATTGGATACATTTTACTTCATTGAACACCTGACTACTGCTTTAGATTCTGTGTATAGTTTGCCTTTCCAGATCCGTGCCATTTAAGCTAGAAAAGGGGTCAGTTTTGAGATGTTGTGAAAATGTTGAAAGGCTCCTCGTTATTAGTGGGAAGTATCTGATGTTGCCGGAGACTGAACTGGGACGCGGGGAGCACTACGGCTGCTAGACACTGCCTCACTGCGCTGTGGGTGGGGGGGGTGCTGGATTCAGCCTTACTGCCTGATTTGTGAGGATTTGTGTTTTCAGAGTAACATGTTTACCTTATATTATGACATCCGTTCCTAATATGTGGCGTGTGGGCCACAGATGCTGGTGTATTATTTCACATGCATTTATATAGATTGTTTTCAGGGAATTCAGAAATGCTGTTATCTCTACACTAGTGATTGTGCTTTCTTGATTTTTCTCTTTTCATTATTCTTAAATCCTCCTTTTTTTATTTGCATCTCAGTTCATTTATACTCGGGAAGTGCAAGACATGGCGACTAGAAAGAGATGTCAAGAGAACCCGGAATCCAGTAGGCTACAATTTGGCAAATCTTAGCTTAAAACTTCCTAAATGTTGACCACAGTGGATGCAAATGGCTCTGTGCATCGTCTGTTCAGTATGGTCAGATGACCACCCAGGTTCAAGTGGTTTGTCAGCAAGGTGATATGAGCCACACAGAGTGCCCTCCTCAGAGGCCATGTCTCAGAGACGTTTATTTTGAGTGGTTTTCCAGCGAGTGATGCAAGATTTATGATCCATTTTAACAGCCTGCTTTTTATGCATTTGCTCAAATTTTTAGATTTTAGGTTTAGTTTTAGGTTTTCTGTTAAACTTGCTCAACTAGGAGTGGTGGTCAAATACTGGACCGCATTAGTATGGTAGCCTGCCCACCTTGGCAGGCTCCACTGGAGTGCTTTGGGGCCGGCCTGGATTCCAGTCCTGGCTCTACCAGTTTTGTGTCCTTGCTGTTACTGGGAGGGAGTATTGAGGAAATGCATGCGAGGTGCTTCCGTGATTCCTGGCACGGAACAAGTGGTCAGTAATTGTCAGCTGTGAGTATTAGTAGTAGCTAATACACTGCTACTATTCTTGGCTAACAAGCCAGCTCAAAGCTTTGATGGTTTTCCATTACCTGATGATGGTGATGATGGTTTCCACTTACTGAACACTCACATGCTGGGCTAGGCACTTAACCCAAATCCAAGGTCAGCATTATTGTTTGGGGTTTGGGGAGACACCTCCTGCTCTGACTTGTGTGTTTGGGTTCCTGTATTTTCACCAGAGGGCATTAGTCCTGCCCCAGTTCAGCTGGTCCTCAAAGCATATATAGCTCTTTAACCATCAGCAAGTGTCAGTCAGAACATAATCTTGATTTCAGCTGCTACTAAATATCTACCAGGAGACTGCTTGAGAGAGAGAATTGCCTGACAGGTGCTGAGTCCACCATTCCTGAGATACTTTGAAATCAGTGTCTGGCTTAACCCAAGCTGTGTGTCGGGACCCTCTCACTGTGGTCCCAATGGAGTCGCTTTTGTTAGGCGCCCCCCTTTACCTTGGGCTCTGAGCTTCCTCTGCCTTTCATCTCTGCAGGATGAAGCTCCACCCGCCCTTCAGGATGCAAAGCCCTCCTCTATAAAGTGCATGCGGGGCCAGATGCAGTGGCTCACATCTGACCTCCCAACACTTTGGGAGGCCGAGGCAGGGGGATCGCTTGAGCCCAGGAGTTTGAGACCAGCCTGGACAACATTGTGAGACCCTGTTCCTTGAATTGCCCTGGGAGATTTCCTCAGCTTGTACTGGAGGCGTGTGGCCCCATGAAGCCCGTAGTCACCGTTCACCCTGAGAGACGCTGGCTTTGGGGCTCACACGCCTGCTGTGGGGCAGCCCCAGGAGATGGCCACCCTGTTTCTCCTGGAGCTGGAGCTGCGTGTGTTCTCAGAAACTGTGGTGGCTGTTCTCTTTTGTTTGCATCTTATAAACCTTTACCTGATTACATTTTCCTCTTCAATTTAGCTGGTAGAAAACTTAAAGTCAGATTGGTGGCTCGCCAGTAATGAGAGTTTAGAGTAGAGGTAAACTTTATGACATAGTCTTAGACTCTTCACTTTCTCCTCAGCCAACATGATTCACATTTACTTTATTTTGCTGTACTGTGAGTGTCTTTGTGTTCCCTGAATTCTTTCTGGAATAAGGCAGGTTGTTAGTAAGCACAGGTTTCTGGTCCATCTCATAGCCTCAGGCAGTGGGCGGTGCTGTCCGTGCTCCCTTTCTGGGTTACCTGCGGTAGCTCTGAAGTTGCAGGGCTGCGATTTGAAGCCTGATTTAGTACACCGTGTTTCTGTTGTGTTCTGTGGTGGTTTGCTCCTCACATGTGAGCATTCACCGTGGCCCTGTGTTTTTCCACCACACCTCTGCCTGGTGGCATCCTACTGGATGTCTCAGCCGAGCCACTCTGTTCTGAAGATGCCCTTGTCCTCCACCCCTTTGCTTTGGGCTCTGAGCTTCTTCTGCCTTTCATCTCTGTAGGATGAAGCCCCACCCGCCCTTCAGGATGCCAGCCTTGGCAACATCGTGAGACCCTGTTTCTACAAAAACTAAACAAGTGTAGTGGTGCACGCCTGTATTCCCAGCTACTTGGGAGGCTGAGATGGGAAGATCACTTGAGCCTGGGAGGTTGAGGCTGCATTGAGCTGAGATCAAGCCACGGCACTCCAGCCTGGGAGACAGAGCGAAACCCCATCTCAAAAAAACAAAGAAAGTGGATGCGTGCTGCTCCTGCCATTGGATCATCGCAGCATTTTTCTTTTCTCTGATATGCGCCTTTTTCCTCATCGTGGGGGCTCATGTTTTCGTAATTCCCTCTCGCTACTAGATTGTGAGCTGTGTGAAGGAAGGTTCATAGTTGAGTTGTATGTACAGGCACACAAAATTTGTCCTTGGATAGACACATATCAATCCACTTCCTTCTCCTCTCTGAATTTCTTTATTTAAAAAAAAAAGTAGAGATGGAGTCTCACTGTCTTGCCCAGGCTGGTGTCAAACTCCTAGGCTCAAGTGATCCTCCCACCTCTACTAATATGAATTATTAGGCTATGCTAATATGAATTTGTATACTAATATGATTGAAATTAGTTTGACTTCTATAATAATTGTTCTCCCAGATTGGGCTTCTGTTTTGATAGTAGAACTAAATTATTAGGCTATTTCAAGAAATTAATATATTACTGGTAGAAAAACTGAAGCTACAAAATGGCCTGGTTTCTCACTTCAGTTAAATTTGTGCTTCTGAGTGCTTGTATTCTAGGTGAAACCGCACTGAGAAGGTATTTGTGGCCTATACGCTGATTCATTGATTAGACTTCTTTGCACAGGAGAGCTGCTAAAAATTACTGCGGTGAACAGGTACGAAGAAAAAGACTGTTCTCTGCCCTTCTTTTTGCAATAAAATGTTACAAACTATCTTGAGTTTGATCCCTTTTCGGGTGTTTGGGTTTTTTTTAACATTCACATATTTCTTGGAATTATAAGAAATTAACTTTGTGCTTCTGAAGTGGGTTTGCCTTAATATAACACTGATGTATTTGTAAGGGGCATTTTTAAAGCTGTACTTTAAAAAATAATAATTCTTACATTCATTTGAAGGTTTTTTGTTTGTTTGTTTGTTTGTTTGTTTTTGAGCTGAAGGCTTGCTCTGTCACCCAGGCTGGAGTGCAATGGCATTGATCTTGGCTCACTACAACCTCTGCATCTGGAGATCAAGCGATTCTCCTGCCTCAGCCTCCTGAGTAGCTGAGGCTACAGGCACCTGCCACCATGCCCAGCTAATTTTTTGTATTTTTAATAGAGATGGGGTTTCACCGTGTTAGCCAGGATGGTCTCAATCTCCTGACCTCATGATCCGCCCACCTCGGCCTCCCAAAGTGCTGGGATTACAGGCGTGAGCCAGGGGGCCAACATGGTGAAACCCTATCTCTACTAAAAATACAAAATTAGCCGGGAATGGTGGTGTGCGCCTATAATCCCAGCTACTCGGGAGGCTGAGGCGTGAGAATCACTTGAACCTGGGAGGCAGAGGTTGCAGTGAGCTGCGATCGCGCCACTGCACTCCAGCCTGGGGGACAGTGAGACTCCATCTCAAAAAAAAAAAAAAAACACAAAAAAAGAATGGACTAACCCTTGTTTAGGTGTTACAAAATCCAGGCCAGACCAGTCTAAACTTTAATCTCATACCCAGTTCCTAGATGAGTCCCTTCTCCAGCTCAGGTTCGGCCTAAGCCTCAGGGTTCCTTACTTGGTGGGCACCACCTGCTCCCTTCCCCGCCTTTGTTCCTCTTTTTCCTCTGCTGGCTCCTCCGGGGTTGGGTGTGTTCAGAGGCAGAGACAGGCTAAAGGTCTTTGGCTTTTAGGTTCTGTTGATGGGTGAGTTCCAGATACTAGCTTTCTCTTGTAGGATATTTCATTTATTTATCTATTAAAAATATTTATTTAGAACACACCATTCATGTGCCAGACCCTGTTCCAGGCACTGGGGATAGGGTGATAAATGAGATCAACAAAAATACCTGCCCACATTAAGCTCCTGTTCTAGGGAAGACAAAAAAGAAAGAAAATACACGTGTCCTTAGTACATTAGAAGGTTCCAAGTACTGTAGAGAAAAATAAAGTAGGTTGGACTCGGTGGCTCATGCCTGTAATCCCAGCACTTTGGGAGGCTGAGGTGGGAGGATTACTTGAGCTCAGGAATTTGAGACCAGCCTGGGCAACATGGCAGATCCTGTCTCTACAAAAATAAATAAATAAATAAATAAATAAATAAATAAATAAATAAATAAATAAAAATAAAATAAAAATTAGCTGGGTATGGTGGCATGCACCTGTAGTCCCAGCCACTGGGGAGGCTGAGGAGGGAGAATTGCTTCAGCCCAGGGGGTGAAGGCTGCAGTAAGCCGAGATCGTGCCATTGCACTCCAGCCTGGGTGACACAGCCAGACCCTGTCTCAAAAAAAACGAAAGAAAGAAAATGAAAAAAAGAAAGCAGAGATGGGGCAAGCAGGGGAAGAGGACTGGTGCTGGGGTCACGGGGGAGGGGCTGGGGATGCACGGGAGGGGCTGGGGATGCAAGTTTCCTGAGTTCTCACAGTTCTCTGCCCCTCTCCTGTCTCATGGCACAAGGGCCCCCTGGGGCTTGCGGTGGTTTTGCACCAAGCTAATATCTTGTTCTTCCCAACAGATGGAGGCCCATTGAGGCTTCTCTGTCCTCCACGGGGAACAGCATTGGCCTAAACCTGCAGACACCATTGCAAAGGGAATTCAGGCAAACCGGCTGGTGAAGAATGATTCCAGCGTGGGGACAGAGGCTGACATTTCTTGCGTGGGTGATTTAATGTTGGGCCTCAATTTTTCACTCCCCCCATAAGAGTATGACATAGCCACAACCTTGCCAGGGCCCGAGGGAGGGTGGATGGACTTATCCATCCCATAGGTGTGGCTCGTGGCTGGGTGACTTGCTTCTGCCAATGAGATTTTCACAGACACGGCAGAAGCAGAAGCCTGGAATGTGTGGCGCTGCCAGGCCTGCCCTCTAAGGCTCTTGATTTTCCCCACGAGATGTGCGTGCCCCAGGGAACGGCGGCTCTGGCTGTGGGATGAGAGGCATGTGGAGCAGGCATGGTTCCCATCCTCAGCCTGGAGTCAAGGCCAGACTAGATCAGCCTAAACCCAGCCACGCCACGGGTACAGCAGTGAAGAGCGAATGCCAACTGTCCATGACAGTGACTTTCAAAGGGGCGTGTCATGTGCCTCATCCCAGCAACAGGGAAGGCATTTCTCTATCAGTCAGTTGGTAAATGATTATTGACAATGTGTGGGAAGGTGGAGTGATTTGAGTAGATTTGGCTTCTATTCTCATGGAGCTTCCTTTCTAGAGGGGAAGGCAGATGATGGATGAATAAATATAAATGATTCTAATAGGTTGGTGCAGCAGTCATTAAAAGTAATGGCAAAAAAAAAAAAACGGGGAGGAGCCGGTGCTGCAGTTCATTAATAGTAATGGCAAAAACCACGATGACTTGTGCACCAACCTAACCCAGTAATCACGGGTGTGCAAATGTGGCGATGGGCAAGTTCCGAGTGCTAGGAGAGCATCTAGCTTCCCGGAGTCAGGAGACGGGGGTTGGCAACCTAACCAAGGTTAAGTCCAAGGGAGGGGGGTGGGCAGGGAGCGATATTTCAGTGGAGACTCCAAGGACGAATGGTATTTAGAGAGTAAACCCCGATAGAGAGGGTTTGTGTCTGGCACAGAGAAGAGCCTGTGCAAAAGCCAGCGGGGCGAGAGGACACCATGTGTTCATCCACCTGAGGGGCGACCAGCAGGCTGGAGCTCAGCGGGTTGAGAGGAGGATGCAGAGCCCGGGAAAGGCACCCTAGGCAGAGGGCACAGCAGGGCAAAGGCCTGGAGTCAGGCCTGAGCCTGTGTGGTTTGAGGAACGGACAGAGGCCTGCCCGGCAGGAAGGGAACAGCACAGGGGAGAGACCTTAGACCAGAGCAGAGGGCAGGGCTGTGCTGGGCACTGTGGGCTGTGGATGGTGCTGGCATTTAAGAGGGGAGACCATAGACCAGGGCAGAGGGCAGGGCCGTGCTGGGCACTTTGGGCTGTGGATGGGAGCTGGCATTTATGCTCAGGTGATGGGAATATGTTAAAAGATTTTAAGGAGGGGAGTAACAGTTGGGATTAATGTGTATTCTGGGAATCTCAACAAAGTAAATTCATAGTTCGAATTTTCATAAGATTTCTGCACAGGCAGAGAGAAATAAGATCGTGTCTACAGCTGTGTGATGATTTTATTTAAAAATATTACTAAGATTTTAAACGTGATTTCAAATGGTGTGTTTCTATTTCACATTGGACATAAGTAGATTGCAAGGCTAATGGAAAGTAGAAAAGTTAACTCACGAACATAAAAGAGATATCGATTTGAAAACAAAACATTTATTCATTTACTTCCGCTGCAGATTTCTTGACTGCTGAATTTCATGAGAAGGGATTGTTCTGTGAGGGTCGTGGAGCTGGAGATCCAGGTGGGAGAGGTGTTCTAGCTTGGGGAGGAGCTGATGTTCCACCTTGAGGGCCCTGCAGCTGCAGACCCGGAGAGGAGCTGATGTTCTAGATTGAGGGTCGTGCAGCTGGAGACCTGGAGAGGAGCTGATGTTCTAGTTTGAGGGTCTTGCAGCTGCAGACCTGGAGAGGACCTGATGTTCTAGTTTGAGGGTCTTGCAGCTGCAGACCTGGAGAGGACCTGATGTTCTAGTTTGAGGGTCTTGCAGCTGCAGACCTGAAGAGGAGCTGATGTTCTACATTGAGGGTCGTGCAGCTGCAGACCTGGAGAGGAGCTGATGTTCTACATTGAGGGGCATGCAGCTGCAGACTCGGGGAGGAGATGTTGTAGTTTGAGGGTCATGCAGTTGAGGACTCGGGGAGGAGCTGATGTTGTTCGCCTTGAGGGTCTTTCAGCTGGAGACTCAGGGAGGAGCTGATAATCTTGATTGAGGGTCATGGAGCTGGAGACCCGGACAGGAGCTGATATTCTACTTAATGGATCTTCCAGCTGCAGATCCAGGGAGGAGCTGATGTTCTAGTTTTAGGTTCTTGCAGCTGCAGACCCGGAGACGAGCTGATGTTCTAGATTGAGGGTCGTGCAGCTGAAGACTCGGGGAGGAGCTGATGTTGTATTTGAGGGTCATGCAGCTGAGGACTCGGGGAGGAGCTGATGTTGTTCGCATTGAGGGTCTTTCAGCTGGAGACTCAGGGAGGAGCTGATAATCTTGATTGAGGGTCATGGAGCTGGAGACCTGGACAGGAGCCGATGTTCTAGTTAGTGGATCTTCCAGCTGCAGACCCACGGAGGAGCTGATCTTCTACGGTTAGGTTCTTATAGCTGCAGACCCGGAGAGGAGCTGATGTTCTAGATTGATGGTCGTGCAGCTGCAGACTCGGGGAGGAGGAGATGTTGTAGTTTGAGGGTCGTGCAGTTGAGGACTCGGGGAGGAGGTGATGTTGTTCACGTTGAGGGTCTTTCAGCTGGAGACTCAGGGAAGAGCTGGTAATCTTGATCGAGGGTCACAGAGCTGCAGACCCGGCAGGAGCTGATGTTCTAGTTAGTGGATCTTCCAGCTGCAGACCCAGGGAGGAGCTGATGTTCTAGTTTGAGGGTCGTGCAGGTTCTAGTTTGAGGGTCGTGCAGCTGGAGACCTGGAGAGGAGCTGATATTCTCGTTTGAGGGTCATGCAGCTGAAGACCCGGGGAGGAGCTGAGGTTCTAGATTGAGGGCCATGCAGCTGCAGACCCGGAGAGGAGCTGATATTCTAGTTTGAGGGTCTTGCAGCTGCAGTTCCGGAGAGGAGCTGATGTTCTAGTTTGAGGGTCGTGCAGCTGCAGACCCAGAGAGGAGCTGATGTTCTAGTTTGAGGGACGTGCAGCTGCAGACCTGGATAGGAGCTGATGTTCTAGATTGAGGGTCAAGCAGCTGAAGACTCGAGGAGGAGCTGAGGTTCTAATTTGGGGGTCGTGCAGCTGAAGATCCAGGGAGGAGCTGAGGTTCTAGATTGAGGGTAGTGCAGCTGCAGACCCGGAGTGGAGCTGATATTCTAGTTTGAGGGTCTTGCAGCTGCAGTTCCGGAGAGGAGCTGATGTTTCTAGTTTGAGGGTCGTGCAGCTGCAGACTCGGAGAGGAGCTGATGTTCTGATTTGAGAATCTTGCAGCTGCAGACCTGGACAGGAGCTGATGTTCTAGATTGAGGGTCGTGCAGCTGAAGACTTGGGGAGGAGCTGAGGTTCTAATTTTGGGGTCATGCAGCTGAAGACCCGGGGAGGAGCTGAGGTTCTAGATTGAGGGTCTTGCAGCTGCAGCTCCAGAGAGGAGCTGATGTTCTAGTTTGAGGGTCATGCAGCTGCAGACTCGGAGAGGAGCTAATGTTCTGATTTGAGAATCTTGCAGCTGCAGACCCGGAGAGGAGCTGATGTTCTAGTTTGAGGGTCGTGCAGCTGGAGACCTGGAGAGGAGCTGATGTTCTAGTTTGAGGGACGTGCAGCTGCAGACCTGGATAGGAGCTGATGTTCTAGGTTGAGGGCCATGCAGCTGAAGACTCGGGGAGGAGCTGAGGTTCTAATTTGGGGGTCATGCAGCTGAAGACCTGGGGAGAAGCTGAGGTTCTAGATTGAGGGTCGTGCAGCTGCAGACCCGGAGAGGAGCTGATGTTCTAGTTTGAGGGTCTTGCAGCTGCAGTTCCAGAGAGGAGCTGATGTTCTAGTTTGAGGGTCATGCAGCTGCAGACTCGGAGAGGAGCTGATGTTCTGATTTGAGAATCTTGCAGCTGCAGACCCGGAGAGGAGCTGATGTTCTAGTTTGAGGGACGTGCAGTTGCAGACCTGGATAGGAGCTGATGTTCTAGATTGAGGGTCATGCAGCTGAAGACTCGGGGAGGAGCTGAGGTTCTAATTTGGGGGTCATGCAGCTGAAGACCCGGGGAGGAGCTGAGGTTCTAGATTGAGGGTCTTGCAGCTGCAGGCCCGGAGTGGAGCTGATATTCTAGTTTGAGGGTCTTGCAGCTGCAGTTCCTGAGAGGAGCTGATGTTCTAGTTTGAGGGTCGTGCAGCTGCAGACTCGGAGAGGAGCTGATGTTCTGATTTGAGAATCTTGCAGCTGCAGACCTGGATAGGAGCTGATGTTCTAGATTGAGGATCGTGCAGCTGAAGTCTCGGGGAGGAGCTGAGGTTCTAATTTTGGAGTCATGCAGCTGAAGACCCGGGGAGGAGCTGATGTTCTAGTTTGAGGGTCATGCTGCTGGAGACCTGGAGAGGAGCTGATGTTCTAGTTTGAGGGTCATGCAGCTGGAGACCTGGAGAGGAGCTGATGTTCTAGTTTGAGGGACATGCAGCTGCAGACCTGGATAGGAGCTGATGTTCTAGATTGAGGGTCATGCAGCTGAAGACCCAGGGAGGAGCTGAGGTTCTAGATTGAGGGTCATGCAGCTGAAGACCCAGGGAGGAGCTGAGGTTCTAGATTGAGGGTCTTGCAGCTGAAGACTCGGGGAGGAGCTTAGGTTCTAGTTTGATGGTCTTGCAGCTGAAAACCCGGGGAGGAGCTGAGGTTCTAGATTGAGGGTCTTGCAGCTGTGGACCTGTAGAGGAGGTGATGTTCTAGTGTGAGGGTCTTGCAACTGCAGACCTGGAGAGGAGCTGATGTTCTCGTTTGAGTATTTTGCAGCTGCAGACCTGGAGAGGAGCTGATGTTCTAGTTTGAGGGTCTTGCAGCTGCTGACCTGGAGAGGATCTGATGTTCTAGTTTGAGGGTCTTGCAGCTGAAGACTTGGGGAGGAGGTGATGTTGTTCGCCTTGAGGGTCTTTCAGTTGGAGACTCAGGGAGGAGCTGATGTTCTAGATTTAGGGTCATGGAACTGGAGACCTGGAGAGAAGGTCATGTTCTAGTTTGAGGGTCTTGCAGCTGCAGACCTGGAGAGGAGCTGATTTTCTAGATTGAGGGTCATGCAGCTGAAGACTCGGGTAGGAGCTGCGGTTCTAGGTTGAGGGTCGTGCAGCAGAAGACTCGGGGAGGAGCTGAATTTCTAGATTGAGAGCCTTACAGCTGCAGACCCGGAGAGGAGCTGATGTTATAGTTTGAGGGCCCTACAGTTGCAGACCCGGAGAGGATCCGATGTTCGAGATTGAGGGTCGTGCAGCTGAAGACTCCGGGAGGAGCTGAGGTTGTAATTTGAGGGTCTTGCAGCTGCAAACTCGGGGAGAAGCTGATGTTCTAGTTTGAGGGCCCTACAGTTGGAGATCTGTACAGGAACTGATGATCTAGTTTGAGGGTCGTGCAGCTGAAGACTCGGGGAGGAGCTCATATTCTAGTTTGAGGGCCCTGCAGCTGGAGATGCAGACAGGAGCTGATGTTGTAATTTGAGGTTGTGCAGCTGAAGATTCAGGGAGGAGCTGCTCATGTATTTTTAGGGTCATGGAGCTGGAAACCCGGAGAGGAGCTGATGTTATAGATTGAGGGTCGTGCAGCTGAAGACTCTGGGAGGAGGTGACGTTCTAATTTGAGGTCCCTACAGCTGGACACCCAGAGAGGAGCTTATGTTCTAGATTGAGGATCATGCTGCAGAAGACTCGGGGAAGAGCTGAGGTTGTAGTTTGAGGGTCGTGCAGCTGGAGAACCAGACAGGAGCGGATGTTCTAGATTGAACATCGTGCAGCTGAAGACTCGGGGAGGAGCTGATGATGTTCACTTTGATGGTCTTTCAGCTGGAGACTCAGGGAGGAGCTGATGTTCTAGATTGAGGGTCATGGAGGTGAAAACCCGGAGAGGAGCTGACGTTGTAGTTTGAGGGTCTTGCAGCTGCAGACCCGGAGAGGAGCTGATGTTCTAGATTGAGCGTCGTGCAGCTGAAGACTTGTGGAGGAGCTGAAGTTGTTTGCGTTGTGGGTCTTTCAGTTGGAGACTCGGAGGAGCTGATGTTCTAGATTTAGGGTCACGGAACTGGAGACCTGGAGGGAAGCTGATGTTGTAGTTTGAGGGTCTTGCAGCTGCAGACCCAGAGAGAAGCTGATGTAGTTTCAGGGTCTTGCAGCTGCAGACCCAGAGAGGAACTGATGTTCTAGATTGAGGGTCGCACAGCTGAAGACTTGGGGAGAAGCTGATGTTCTAACTTGAGGGTTGCGCAGCTGAGGACTCGGGGAGGAGCTGATGTTGACGGCTGTGCAGCTGGAGATCCGGTGGGGAGCTGATGTTCCAGTTTGAGGGCCGTGCACCTGGAGACCCAGGGGGGAACATCAAACTGGAACATCTGCTCCCCGCAGTGCCTCCAGCTGCATGGCTCCCAGACTGGAACATCGGTTCCCACCCGGGTCTCCAGCTGCACGGCCCTCAAACTGCAACATCGGCTACCACTGAGTCTCCAGCTGCATGGCCCTCAAACTGGAACATCAGCTCCCCACCGGGTCTCCAGCTTCACAGCCCTCAAACTGGAACTTCAGCTCCCCACCGGGTATCCAGCTGCACAGCCCTCAGACTGGAACATCAGCTCCCCACCGGGTCTTCAGCTGCACGGCCCTCAAACTGGAACAATTTGAACCTGGCGGGGAGCTGATGTTCCAATTTGAGGGCCATGCAGCTGCAGACCCGGCAGGGAGCTGATGTTCCAGTTGTAGGGCTGTGCAGCTGGAGACCCGGGGGGGAAGCTGATGTTCCAGTTGTAGGGCCATGCTGCTGGAGACCCAGGGGTGGAGCTGATGTTCCAGTTTGAGGGCCGTGCAGTTGATGACCCGGCAGGGAGCTGATGTTCAAGTTTGAGGTCTGTGCAGCTGGAGACCCGCGGGGGAGCTGATGTTCCAGTTTGATGGCCGTGCAGCTGGAGACTCTGCTGGGAGCTGATGTTGCAATTTGAGGGCCATGCAGCTGGAGACCCGGCGGGAAGCTGATGTTCCAGTTTGAGGGCCGTGCAGCTGGTGACCTGGCGGGGAGCTGATGTTCCAGTTTGAGGGCCGTGCACCTGGAGACCCGGCGGGGAGCTGATGTTCCAGTTTGAGGGCCGTGCAGCTGGAGACCCAGCGGGGAGCTGATGTTCCAGTTTGAGGGCCGTGCATCTGGAGACCTGGTGGGGAGCTGATGTTCCAGTTTGAGGGCCGTGCAGCTGGATACCCGGGGTGGAGCTGATGTTCCAGTTTGAGGGCCGTGCATCTGGAGGACCGGTGGGGAGCCAGTGTTGCCGGTTGAGGGCCGTGGAGCTGGAGACCCGGGTGGGTGGGAGCTGA
Organism: Homo sapiens; assembly: GCF_000001405.40. Lineage (NCBI taxonomy): Eukaryota > Metazoa > Chordata > Mammalia > Primates > Hominidae > Homo > Homo sapiens. The sequence goes on along the minus strand of NC_000005.10, from coordinate 1,619,347 downwards.
TGTTCCAGGTTGAGGGCCATGCTGCTGGAGACCTAGCAGGGAGCTGATGTTGCAGTTTGAGGTGGTGCAGCTGGAGACCCAGTAGGGGAACTGATGTTGCAATTTGAGGGCCGTGCAGCTGGAGACCCTGTGGGGAGCTGATGTTCCTGTTTGAGGGCCTAGGAGCTGATGTTCCAGTTTAAGGCCATGCAGCTGGAGACCCGGGGGGGAGCCAGTGTTCCAGTTTGAGGGCTGTGCATCTGGAGACCCGGTGGAGATCTGATGTTGCAGGTTGAGGGCCGTGGAGCTGGAGACCTGGGCGGGGAGCTGATGTTCCAGTTTGAGGGCCATGCAGCTGGATACCTGGCTGGGAGCTGATGTTGCAGTTTGAGGGCTGTGCAGCTGGAGACCTGACGGGAGCTGATGTTCCAGTTTGCAGGCCGTGCATCTGGAGACACGACGGGGAGTTGATGTTCCAGTTTGAGGGCTGTGCATCTGGAGACCCGGTGGGGAGCTGATGTTGCAGGTTGAGGGCCGTGGAGCTGGAGACCTGGGTGGGGAGTTGATGTTCCAGTTTGAGGGCCGTGCATCTGGAGACCCGGTGGGGAGCTGATGTTGCAGGTTGAGGGCCGTGGAGCTGGAGACCTGGGTGGGGAGCTGATGTTCCAGTTCGAGGGCCATGAAGCTGGACACCCGGGGGGAAACTGATGTTGCAGTTTGAGGGCCATGCAGCTGGATACCTGGCTGGGAGCTGATGTTCCAGTTTGAGGGCCGTGCATCTGGAGACCTGGCGGGGAGCTGATGTTCCAGTTTGAGGGCCGTGCAGCTGGAGACCCGGCTGGGAGCTGATGTTTGAGGGCCGTGCATCTGGAGAACCGGTGGGGAGCCAGTGTTGCCGGTTGAGGGTCGTGGAGCTGGAGACCCGGGTGGGTAGGAGCTAATGTTCCAGGTTGAGGTCCGTGCTGCTGGAGACCCAGCAGGGAGCTGATGTTGCAGTTTGAGGTGGTGCAGCTGGAGACCCAGGGGGGAACTGATGTTGCAATTTGAGGGCCGTGCAGCTGGAGACCCTGTGGGGAGCTGATGTTCCTGTTTGAGGGCCTAGGAGCTGATGTTCCAGTTTAAGGCCATGCAGCTGGAGACCCGGTGGGGAGCCAGTGTTCCAGTTTGAGGGCTGTGCATCTGGAGACCCAGTGGGGAGCTAATGTTGCAGGTTGAGGGCCGTGGAGCTGGAGACCTGGGCGGGGAGCTGATGTTCCAGTTTGAAGGCCGTGAAGCTGGAGACCTGGCGGGGAGCTAATGTTGCAGTTTGAGGGCCGTGGAGCTGGAGACCCGGGGGGGAGCTGATGTTGCAGTTTGAGGGCCATGCAGCTGGATACCTGGCTGGGAGCTGATATTGCAGTTTGAGGGCCATGCAGCTGGATACCTGGCTGGGAGCTAATGTTGCAGTTTGAGGGCTGTGCACCTGGAGCCCCGGGGTGGAGCTGATATTCCAGTTTGAGGGCTGTGCAGCTGGAGATCTGATGGGAGCTGATGTTCCAGTTTGCAGGCCGTGCATCTGGAGACCTGGTGGGGAGTTGATGTTCCAGTTTGAGGGCCATGCATCTGGAGACCCGGTGGGGAGCTGATGTTGCAGGTTGAGGGCCGTGGAGCTGGAGACCTGGGCGGGGAGCTGATGTTCCAGTTTGAGGGCCGTGAAGCTGGAGACCCGGCGGGGAACTGATGTTGCAGTTTGAGGGCCATGCAGCTGGATACCCGGCTGGGAGCTGATGTTGCAGTTTGAGGGCTGTGCACCTGGAGCCCCAGGGTGGAGCTGATATTCCAGTTTGAGGGCCGTGCAGCTGGAGATCTGGTGGGGAGCTGATGTTCCAATTTGAGGGCCATGCAGCTGGAGACCCGGCGGGGAGCTCATGTTCCAGTTTGCAGGCCATGCAGCTGGAGACCCAGCGGGGAGCTGATGTTCCAGTTTGAGGGCCGTGCAGCTGGAGATCTGGTGGGGAGCTGATGTTCCAGTTTGAGGGCCCTGCAGCTGGAGACCCGTGGGGATCTGATGTTCCAGTTTGAGGATGGTGCAACTGGAGACCCGGGCGGGAGCTGATGTTCTAGTTTTAGGGCCGTGCAGCTGGAGACCCGGGGAGGAGCTGACGTTCCCGTTCGAGGGCTGTGCAGGTGGAGACCTGGAGAGGAGCTGATGTTGTTCTAATTTGAGTGTGGTGCAGCTGGAGATCCAGGGATGAGATGGTCCTGCAGTTCAAATATGAGGGTCCCGGAGCTGGAATCTGGGTGAGGAGCCAATGCTGCCTCTGATGTCTTAGGTTGTGGAGCTGGAAACTCGTGGAGGAGCTGGTATTGGTGTTTCTAGTTGTGGGTCGTGGTATTTCCAGGGTTTCACAAAGGCCAGATTTTATTTCAGTTACTCAGAAGCGAAAGAAAATGTCTTCTGAAAGAGGTGAACTCAATCATTACCAATAGAAAAAGTATCCACTGTATTCATCTCTTATAGAAACAGAAAAATATAACATTTCCCCCCTTAGAATATAACTTAATGTTCCATTGTATGTAGCTGAACAATAACATCTGGAAACCAGCATGAAACCCTATTATTCACATGTTAAAATGTTGAAACTATGACCAAAATATGAAAACTGCTAGAGCTATCAGAAAGAGACAAGACAAAAACCTTCTTGCATATGTATAAACTAAATGTGACAATCTCAAAAAACTTTTCAACATTATGATTACCTTCCAGTTTAAAAACCTTAATCCTAAATTTAAAAAAAAATCTATACACAAACCACTGATTTGCCCAGACCAAAAGAAAGAAAGAAAGAAAGATCAGCGGTAAGGTAAGCAGGACCCAGAGGAGCTGATATTCACAGTTCTTACATGTACAACTCTTCCAGGAATTATCCATAAAGTACTTTATTTTACAACCTGCTTTTCTTGTAAAACTAAAGGTCCACTTTTTTACATAAAAGTTTTATACGGCGTTAAAACCAGAACTGTACGTAAAATACTGCATCTAAATGTTTCTAAATAATCTTGTTCCATTGGTTCATCGGTGACTTCTGTGGCTTCGTCATCATTTTCCATGGATGATTCTGAAAGAATCTCTCCAGTTTTACTGGAATTGGATCCTACTAATTCTTCTGTTTCACGGCAGTCAGAAGAACCACTACTTTCAGGGCCTTCGTTTTCATTACCTTCGGAATGTAGTAAATCTTTCTCAGCTTGAGACACATCAGATTCCTCCATTTGATTATTTTCCTCAGAAGTCTCTTCATTCACAGTTGAGGCATCAGATTCTTTTTCTTGATTTTTTCTTTCCGGGATCATTTCTCTTGATATCATAAAAGACTCTAAAAATAAGCAAATGTTGTTGTACTTAAATTTTATTTTCAAAATACCTCCACAGTTAAGTTTCATGAATTCTGATGTTCTGTAGTTCAAATCACATCCCCTGAAATTCAGCAACAACTACATACAGGTGGGAGAAAAGCCCAATGTCGGCATTACAAGGAGTTCTATTATGTACAATTCTTTCACGAAAGCAATGAATACAAGAATTTGAGGATCTTCTTACTCCTCCCTTTTACAGATGGTCTCTCAATATATTCTTCTTCCTCTTCATCCTCTTCTTCATCCTCTTCTGTACGTGCTGCCGGGTACAACGGCTTTCTTTGTCTTTATCCTGAGATGAAGGTGATGCTTCTGTTTCTTCTACCATAACCGAAGAAATTTCGCTGCAAGTCGCTTGAATGGCTGTTTCTCTGACTTCGCCTTTTTTGTCAAACGTGAGTCTTTTTACCTCATGCCCCTCAGCTTCCACAGCATCTTCATCTGGATGTTTATTTTTCAGAGGGCTCACTGAGCAAACTTCTGATTCAGATGTCGAAGAGTCACTGTGATTTTTCTCTTCATTTTGCTGCAAATTTACCTCTTTGCTGTCTGTGCTGTCAGGCGACCCATTTGTTGTCATGGGGGCTGACAAAGAAACCTTTGGTCGATTACGTGGCCTGGGTGTCCCAGGCCCATTTATATTAGACCTCTCAGTATAGCTTGGTGAATTTCCAGGAAACATAACACCATTCATTCGATTTAAACTATTGGAATTGTTTTTCTCTGAAGAAGGATAAACACAGCTAACAACCATCACATGCTTTTCTACTCCTCTGAGAAATTTGTCTGTTCCTGTATAGTTTCTCCTTGGATCTGTTAACAATTCAATAGTCGCTGAATAGTAAAAGGGATACGGTTAAATCCAGTGACAGTTTTCAGTATTCTTTCCTTTGTTTCATCAAAGGAAATATATTCGACATTAGGGTTGGGAGGACCTCTTGGCGCAGGAGCTGAAGTTCTGAAATCATCCATCACTTTCTCCAGTTTGAAAATAAAATAGCCTTTAAATTGGGACCACTGAATCTGTTTCTCCAGTCTTGGCTGTATGACAAAGAAACTGATCCAGGACAGGACAAACTTCCTTTTTCCCCTCTTCTCAAAATCTTTCAGCGCCTCCTGGAGCCTCTCGACGTCCATAGCTTCCCGGAGTCCCTCACAGCCTCTGCCTTCCTCCGCGGGTCTCTTGGGGACCAGAATGCCTTCCCTCACCCCCCGACGTCCTCCCACTCCCTCGCACACACTCCCGCATGCAGGCCAAGTGGGGTGGGGGGAACGAAGGGAGCCAGGGGAAGCATGTGAGAGAGTGAGACCAACAGAGCGAGCATCTCCCCAAGCCACTACCACCAACCCTCCAACATGTCGCCTGGCACGTCACCCTAAAAAGTTATTTCTTGGAGAAGCAATGGATGACAGAGATTAATCTGAGAGTTACTATTAGTGGAGAAACTTAGAACTTACCATTTTTCCTGTGAGGTTTCGGCGCTGATACTGCTATTCTGTGAGTTCTGGCAATTGAGTCCGTTCACACAGCCTGGGGATGCAGCAGGTGTCACAGAAGAACCCTGTCCCAGCTGGTCCTGCTCCACTGCCATGATGGTGTGGCCTCTGATCTCTGACCGTGTCTTGAGGGGAGACCAGGCCCTTGATCACAAGCGTATCCATGGTGAGGTTCCGTGGATGGAAGCTCATGGATGTTCCTTCCTGATGTTCATCTGCCACCTTGCTATTGAATGCATCTTGTTTATAACTGCCTTCTAAATGTTGAATAGAAATAAAGCATTTGTACAGTATGGGTAAGGTATAAAGAATATTGACACATTGGACACAGAGGACCTCCACCAAGCTTAGGGAGTAGAATCTCAAGAAACATAACTGTGGATGCTCCCTGGAGGCCCTGCCTGAGTCCCGGGTCCCTTCCCTTCTCCTGCAGAGGGAATCAGTTCCTGCTTTAGTCTTTATTATTCCCACACTTTTCTTCATAGTACGTTTCTTTCACCACGTATCTGCACATCCCTAAAAAATATGCCATTTAGTTTTTGAACTTTCTGTTTTCTTTTTGAGGCAGGGTCTTGCTCTGTTGCCTCGGCTGTAGTTTTGAACTTTGATGTAAGGAAGTTCTCCTGCGTGGCTGCTCCTGCCCTGCATGGCTCTGAGCATCTGCTCTATGTCTATTTCTGTCCTCCATTCTCTCCCTGAGACCCACCCACACTGACGTGGTTCATTTTCATTGCTGCGTGATCTCCCGTCTCCATTCTCTCCCTGAGACCCATCCACACTGACGTGGTTCATTTTCATTGCTGCGTGATCTCCCGTCTCCATTCTCTCCCTGAGACCCACCCACACTGACACGGTTCATTTTCATTGCTGCGTGATCTCCCGTCTCCATTCTCTCCCTGAGACCCACCCACACTGACATGGCTCATTTTCACTGCTGCGTGATCTCCCGTCTCCATTCTCTCCCTGAGACCCACCCACACTGACGTGGTTCATTTTCACTGCTGCGTGATCTCCCGTCTCCATTCTCTCCCTGAGACCCTCCCACACTGACACGGTTCATTTTCATTGCTGCATGATTTCCCATCGTCTGAGGGGAGCATGGGAAATGTCTTCCATCTTCCTGTGGATGAGTGTGTGGCCAGGTTGGGGCCCTGAGGACTGTGTTTTGTTGGGAACGTTCTTGGGCGTTTCTTTTGTACACAAGTGCAAGTTTCTTCTGGTCAGTAGCTTTCAAGTTTTAAAATTTCATCCCAGGTAAGAAATGTAACTTTCCTCATAACCCACAACATACATTCTTTCATATACAAGCATAACAAAATAGATTTCACAACCGTTCTTAGCAGGGCGTGGTGTTCCTGCTTCTCTCCATTCTCCCCAACACTGGCATTGATTGAGTTGTGGGTGGTGGGATTTTTGCCCGTCTGGTGGGTGTCATGTGATATCTCCCCCTGTTAGGCTGAGCCCCTGTTCATGTTTTCATTAGCCATTCCTCCACATTTCCTCTTCTGTGGAGGGCCGGTCAGCTCTTTTGCCCAGTTTCTGTTAAGTTGTTTGAATTTGCAGTTTTCTTGTATTATTCCTATTGTTATGTTTTTGAGACAGAGTCTCACTCTGTTGCCCAGGCTGGAGTGCAGTGGCACGATCTCAGCTCACTGCAACCTCCACCTTCTGGGTTCAAGTGATTCTCCTGCCTCAACCTCCCAAGTAGCTGGGATTACAGGTGCCCGCCACCATGCCCAGCTAATTTTTATATTTTTACCAGAGATGGGGTTTCACCATGTTGTCCAGGCTGGTCTGAAACTCCTGACCTCAGGTGATTCTCCAGCCTCAGCCTCCCAAAGTGCTAGGATTACAGGCGTGAGCCACCATGCCTGGCCTGCCTTTTTCTTTTTCAAAAGGACTCTTTCTAGATTATACCTATTCATTGTGGTGACTATCTGTGTGGCAAAGATGGGTTTGAATCCACCAGGATGAATGTGCAGGGTCTCCTCTCTGGTGGGAGAAGAGACAGAGAGGGATAGAAGGGTACGGAGAATCAGAGCCAGAGGAGGCCGAGTCAGGCGGGGGTGGCAGGCTGCTGTGAGGACTTGGCTCCTTCTCTGAGTTGGGTGGGATTAGCAGGGGATTTAAACAGAGGAACCATGGGATCTCCCTTATGCATTTCTGCCATGGTTGGCTCAGCTGAAGGCACCTGTTGAATAAGACTTGGCCTTGGACACCCAGAGGCCCTTGGTTGAGGGTTTACCTCCTGGCATGGCCACTGACACATCCACGTTTGGCTCCCACACAGCTGGGCGGCCCCGAGACCTGCTCTGCCTGGGCTTCTCCTTGGTGGCATTTCTCAAGTTTGTCCCCTCTCAAGTCTGCACCATCTGGAAAACCAAACACCTCTCTCTCCTACAGGGAAACCCCCATCAGCACCTCCCCCTGACTCACAAAGCATCCCGTCAACATCACAGTCCCGACTTTCCCACATGGACAAGCCCACAGGACCCCCTGATGGACCAGGACAGCGCCAGCACTAAGACATGCCCTGGAACTCACAGGAAGAGCAGATCAAGAAGACGGGAACAGCACAAGGCACTGGGAGCTGCAAACACCCACGATACTGTCAGAGATGGAGAAAGGTATGACAGGAAGAGCAGATCAAGAAGACAGGAACAGCACGAGGCACTGGGAGCTGCAAACGCCCGCGATACTGTCAGAGATGGAGAAAGGTATGACAGGAAGAGCAGATCAAGAAGACGGGAACAGCACGAGGCACTGGGAGCTGCAAACGCCCACGATACTGTCAGAGATGGAGAAAGGTATGGCCATGGCTGACACAAAATGTTACTCAACATTTATCACAGGCCTAAATGGAGAACATGACGCTATAAAACCCTTAGATAAAAACACAGGAAAATTTGTATGGCCTGGGGTTGGGCGAAAAGTTCTTAGACATGACACCAAAAGCATGATTCATAAAAGATTGACAAATTAAACTTAATCATAAATTTAAAATTATAATTCTATAAAGCAATATAAAAATCTAAAGAGAATGAAACACAAACTATGGTCTAGAAAAAAGTATTTGTGAATCACACGTCTCACAACGTACTGGCACGCAGGATATGTGAAGAACCACCAAAACTTAACCATAAGAAAGTAAAAACCCCAGTATTAAAGAGAGGGCAGATATTTGAATGGAGAATCAAAGAAGGTATAAGGAGGGCATATTGCCCGAGAAAGAGGCTCAACATCATAGAGATGCTGGAGAAATGCCAGTCAACAGTACCTCTGCAAATCTATTAAAATGGCTAAAAACAGACAAAAACCACAGGCCGACCCAGGTTCTAGTGATGATGCCGAGGAACTGGGACCCTCATAAGCTGCAGTGGGAATGGGACGGGTCCCGCCATGCTGGAAAGTGGTCCGGGAGTTTCTTATGAAGTTAAGCACATCTTTACCCTGTCATCCAGCAACCCCGCTCCTGAAACGTCCCCCAAGAGAAAACTTAAACATGCATGCACAAACCTGCACACAAGTGTTTAGGCCTCATTCCTCATTGCCAATAACTGGAAGAAAACAAAATGTCCATCGGCAGGAGGAGGCGGGAACCAACGCGGATGCTTCCACACAGGGGGCACCAACCAGCAGTGGAAGGATGCACCCAAATGCCCCAGGTCTCCCAGGCCATATGCCCGGTGAAGGAAGCTAGTTTCGGTGCGCACAGGCCGAGGGATGCCGCCGCATGACATCTTGGAGAAGACAGTGCTACCGTGTTGGGGAGCAGGGCAGTGGTTTCGAGGGGCTATGGGTGGAGGGGCGAATGGAGGAGCTCTCTGGGGCAGTGGTGTGAGCACCTGCACCTCACTGTGGGCTGCTGCGGCTGAGAGGCTGTACAGCAAACACTGGCTTCAGTACACGCAGACTGAAGGTGGAAGGCTTCCGCAAGTCAAAGACAGAGGGTGTCACCTCCATGAAACAAAAACATTAAAAAAAAACTCTTAAAATTAAGAAAAAAACCACAAAAAGTATTTCATAAGCCCGTTGGACTTTGAGTTGACATCATCTACCTGGGAGCATGGAACTGAAACCACAGGCTTGGCAATCCCAGAGGGAGAGAGTGGAGGGTTTAGACCTCCATTGAAGGGCTCAGTACCTGGCTATAGGAAATAACATTTAAAAAGTGGCAGGGTGGAAATAATTTCTGCTGATGAGGTTGCATTTCTCCAGATAACCGGCAGAGTAAATTAAAGCAATATAGTAAAACAATGCACATCTTGATGGAATCTCAGGATCACAAGGTTGTGGTGAAGGAAATTTGAAGATGTCCAGGAAAGAAAGACAAATGAGATGAATCTTGCAGCTGCCCTTCAAGGGGGCATGGGCCGGGTGGCCATGATTCTCCGTGATGTTGCAGGAATTCTGGCTGGGTCCTCAGGAGCCTTTTTTTCTTGTCCACATTCACCTTCGGTGGGTGGTCCCTGGTGGTCATGACCGCACTCAGGGCCCGGGGCCTGCTGAGGCTGCTCTCCCTGTTCCCGGAATGCAGGGGTTTGTTCCAGATCCCGCTGCTCTCCACACAGAAAGCCAATCACTAAGACGATAGTTACTGCCAATGAAGAAGGCGTGCATCAGAAGCTACAGGCCAGGAGATGGGAGGTCAGCTTCAAATCCATCTTCCTGACTGACTATATAGCAGGGAAGAAGTGTGACTGTGTGTAAGGAAAACAGGAATTAGGGAGAGTGAGGAAGAGGAGTTGGTCAGGAGGAGGCAGGTGGCTGGTCAGGCACTCATGATGGGTGAGGGGTTTGGCATCTCACTGTCCAGATGGCGTGATCTGGTGAGTCTCTCTTCCTTCACACTACCCGGGAGGCCTGATGGTCAGTTTCCTAAGAAAGGAACTCAAATAAGACAAATGTCACTTTCTCAAGTTTCAAGACAACAAGGCTCCATTTCTGTGTTATTCAGAGAAACCATGAACATCAGTTCTATGGGACAGTCAGGCCAGTTCAACACCAGATCTGATCTGCCATGACACCTGCTGCTCGGCCCTCAGATAAAGCCCAGAATCCAGTGTCCTCTCCCCCACCCCAGCCTGGCCCCACACCCACACCTCCCCACTTCACCCTGGGCCTCTGCTCTCTCGCCACAGAGGGGTCAGGGAGCTGCTCACGCCCCGCGTGCACCTGGGCACGTGGCATATTTCAGATGCACCTGGTGTCACTGTTTGCACAGACCTAAGTGGGAAGAGATCCAAATGCTTGTTCACTGCAGGTGGATGAGGACATCCCAGTGGATGTCAGTGGAGTCAGCCAGCGCAAGGCGAGTGAGGGACCCCCAGAAACATGAATGGGTCTCAGATAGTGTGTGAGTGGATGAAGCAGCAAAAACACACGCTGCTAATTAATTGATTTATGTCTAGCTCAAAGTAGTCCATATCAAAAAGACTGTTTGGGGCTGCAGGAATTCAGTGGATAATTGCAGGCAACGCAAGGGAAGGTGGACCAGAAAGGTGAGGAGGATGCTCCCTTCGAGGGTGGAGAGAGTAAGACTGGCATTGCACATGGGTGGGGGGGCCCGTCGAGGCCCCTCTTTGCTTCTGAGAGTCTGTTTTCATCGACAGTCTTCTACTAAATGTACATAGCAGCTTTTCAGGGCAAGGGTCACCGGGATTCATCTTTATGCCTCCCCAGCCCGGGAGCCACCACCTCCACCAGACCCATCCACACAGTTGAATCTCATCTCAAGTTCTCTGGTGCCCGACCCCCCACGCACACCGTGCTGGTCTGGGCATCTCACCTGCATCCGCACAAGTGCCTCAGGAGGGTGGAGTGTCTGGTGCTCGGCATTGGAGGCTCAGCCCACACTGTGCCGGGCAGTCGCAGGCCTCCCAGATGAATGAAGCATGAGTGAATCCCGATCCTGTTATCACAGCTTCTCCCTACGCATCCCAGGCAGAATGTTGTGCAAAAACCACACCAGGATTCGTACATGCCAGAGGACTGAACTTCTGCGTGTTGCAGATAATTCATCTTCCTGAATCACTGCGGATCTACCATGGTGGTTAACCACAGAATAAACATAGGGGAGAGCGTAAGCGCTGTCCTAACAGAAACTTATGCTTCTTCCGTTACCCTTTAAAAGTAAAGGGTACTGATTTCATAATTGTGTTTCTCTTGTAAATGAGACTCTCATGGAAAAATCAGCCATGTAGGCGATAGATTTGTATACCTTTAGATTAAAATGTCACTTCGATTATTTCAAGTGTAAAAGTGTTTCAGCTTTTTTGAGGTATAATTGATACTCAAAGAGCTGCACGCATTTCATGTGTGCACTTTGGTGAGACTTGACCTGAGCAAACACCCATGAAACCATCACCAAATCAAAGCAATCGAGGAATTCCACACTTCCTGGGGGCTTCCTTGCGCCTGTGCCCGTGGTGAGAACACAGCACGAGATCTTCCCTCTCAGACAATCGCAAACGGCCCACAAGAAAATGACACCAGGCCTCCTGGTGAACACACACCCTGTGATTTAATTGTTGATCTTTTTAACCTGGGGCTCACATTCTTCATTCAGAATATGGCAAAGACTTTAGAAGTCATTCAAAGTATCAGTAATTTGAAGTCCTTTAATACAAAAAGTATAGAATATGACCTTTTGTCACATAGCAATAGGGAAATGAAAAAAGAAAATCGACATGTTCTTTAATGGCTAGGAAAATATTCTTAAAAAGATATCTCAAGTGCAGGCGAATCTAACAAATGACAAATTTATTTCTTTACATAGACAAATGTACGGTTACATCCATGTAAATAAATGAAGCCATTAAGGGTAGAGTCCCACAGATCACAGCGTCCAGCTCTGCTATCGATATCAGGGAGTAATTTCCAGGCACACAGAACTGACCCAGCATCCAGCTCTGCTCATGATTTCAGGGAGTAATTCCCAGGCACGGGTCCAGCTGGAGAAGCTGGGGGCCCCCATAGCCCCACTGTCCTTCCTGCCTCATGGGGTCTCTGAGAAGTGCCTGGAACATTTCCTCTTGGGCTTTGAATATCATTTCACTTAAACACGACATTTTCCAGGTGCCGTGGACCTGAGCCCAGAAACTTCACGGTACCAGGACCACCCGAGACAGTGGCTCCCCAGGAGTGAGCACCAGGCACTGTCAGGGGTTCTCTCCCCAGCACATTTACAAGGACTTGATGGGTTCTTCTTCCTTCAGAGCAATCCCAGTGGGAAGAAGGAGGGGACGGGAGGCCTGGCAAACGCTCTTCCCCAGCTCCGTTCCAAGCTCTGTGGGGCTCCGGCAGGCCCCATGTCATGTGCAGATGAGGGATTAGGGTTCCGCCCGGCCTCGCTGCTCTCAGGCCCTCATGGGCTCCTCTCCCCACCCCCGTGCAGCCAGCGGACCCTGCCCCCCACCCAGCTGCTCCCCCCTAGCTGCTCCCCCCCAGCTGCTCCCCCCAGCTGCTCCAACTCAGCTGCTCACACCCAGCTGCTCCCCCTCAGCTGCTCCCACCCAGCTACTCCCCCCAGCTGCTCCCCCCTAGCTGCTCCCACCCAGCTGCTCCCACCCAGCTGCTCCCCCCTAGCTGCTCCCACCCAGCTGCTCCCCCCAGCTGCTCCCCCTCAGCTGCTCCCCCCCAGCTACTCCCCCCAGCTGCTCCCACCCAGCTGCTCCCACCCAGCTGTTCCCACCCAGCTGCTCCCACCCAGCTGCTCCCCCCAGCTGTTCTCCCCCAGCTGCTCCCCCCCAGCTGCTCCCACCCAGCTGTTCTCAGGTTTCTCATCCTTCCTGGATGACGCCCTACCTGGGGCACCCGTTCCTGTGGCATCCCCAGTCCTGCACTGCAGCACTCACCCTGTCACCTCCATGGCGAGACCATCTTGGAACCATGATCAGCCCATCGGGTTTCATCCATTATCCTCCTAGCCCATTTTCTGTGCTGATTTCTCATTCCCAAAACATCTTGGAATTACAAGAAATTAACTTTTTTCAAGGTCTCTGTGCTTCTGAAGTAGGTTTGCCTTAATATAACATTGATGTATTTTTAAGGGGCATTTTTAAAGCTGTACTTTAAGAAATAATTTTTATATTCTTTTGAAGGTTTTTTTTTTCTTTAAGATGGAGTCTCACTCTGTCGCCCAGGCTGGAGTGCAATGGCGCAATCTTGGCTCACTGCAACCTCCACCTCCCGGGTTCAAGCAATTCTCCTCCCTCAGCCTCCTGAGTAGCTGGGATTACAGGCATGCACCCCACACCTGGCTAATTTTGTATTTTCAGTAGATACGGGGTTTCACCATGTTGGTCAAGCTGGTCTCAACTCCTGACCTCATGATCCACCCACCTTGGTCTCCCAAAGTGCTGGGATTACAGGCGTGAGCCCCTGCGCCCGGCCGGTATTTTTTTTTTAATCAAATACAGTTGAGGCTCTCTTGGAGATCCCATATTAAAGAGAACTGAGAAAAATCAGACCTCAGAAGCAGGACAGTGCCCTGTGAAGTACATGTCCATTCCCATCACTGTCCTTCTCTCACATGGGCCCAGGGATGTGGGTGATGGTATTTGTTGCCCCTGGTGATGGAGCAGATTTGATCTGCCTATGTGGGAAGGGTTTAACTCAGCGGGTGTGGATTGCTCAAACCCTGCACGTTCCCAGGAGGGGCCCTTGGCTGGCTCCTGGGAGCTGAGCTCCTGCAGTGTTCTGACTGATGAGAGAGACTGGAGCCATGTTGCACTACTTTGCCTGGGTAGTTGACCAACAAGGTGATGGATGGCAAACACCTGCTTTCGCTGTGGGTGGCTGGAACTTCCCTGACTGACCCCCAGGTTCAGGAGAGCCTCCCTGGTCCGCACCACGGCACTAGCTGTCCCAGCTTCTTGCTGGAGGAATCCGGTGCACCCTGTGTGACTCCGCTGGGAGGGACTCTGGAAGCGCCTGGCTTCCCTGGCAGCCCTTTCCCTTGGCTGGTTTACTCTGTACCCTTTCAAGTTGGAGGGTGGTCTCAGGGACCCCCATGCAGTCTTTCGTGCTTTCACCAAAAACTCACCTTGGCAGGGCTTCAGGGGAAGGCTTGGGATTTGGTGACAAGTGACTCCATGGCCTTGGGCAAAGCACAGCATCTACTTAGGTTTTCAGGCGGTTGCCCAGGTATGTCTAGCACCTAATGTAACCGAGGCGTGAAATGCCTGTGCGCCATGGTGCTTCAGCTCGTTATGGGCCGTTAGGCCTTGTGGTGGTTCTCTCTTGGTTTCTGTGGAGAAGCCAGACCCCGCTGTGGTTGGCAAGGAAGGCGAGTGGAGACATCAGGAGTGTCCATCCCTCAGCGGCCCTTTCTGGTGGGGTGGCTGCCTCTCTCTCATCCTTGATTAATCCCGGGACAACCTCTGCTCTCCTGGGCAATCCTTAGAATACTCCGGAAGACCCCAGTATGGCCGTCCGGTTCCTCCTGGGCCCCAGCTCTCAGGAATGCACCATCTGGGCACACTCCATGCGTGCCCGTCCAGATGGCACCTGAGCTTCCCTGTGCCTGTGCTGTGGCATTAACATCTCGCTTGTGTTTTAACCTGTGTTGCTTTGGTTTAAAACTTGTTTGACCGTGTTATTTGCTGAGATGGCCCAGAGAAGCTTCTACTTATGATCAGGACACGTCACAGTGCAGCCTTCACTTGAGGACTTAGGTCTCATCCAGCTCCACACAGTCAGTCCAGGGCCACGGACGCAGAAGACAGAGGAGAAGAAGCTCATGGCATAAAGACAGAGGATTGATTGCCCAGGAGGCTTCCAGGGGCTTTGGCTCCTGGGGCTTCTTGTCAGCGCTGGGTCAGAGCAGGTCACCCTTGTGTGCAGACACTAGGTTGCTGCACACAGCGGTGAAGAATGGGGGAGACCAGATGGAATTGGGTGAGGCAGGGATGCTCCTTGGTGTTTAGAGTTTTCCTCTTTCTTTGCCTTGTGGGTTCTCTGTAGCCCATCTTTGCTTTTTGTAACACTAGTTTTCAGTAATTCCGACCTTTCCGAATACCTCTATGTACATATACCTGTCTACTCTCCTTTCAGATACCTGTAAAGCCTACAGAAAGGTAATCCTGCAGATTATCACTCTATTCAGCTTAACAGATGCTCGTCGAGTGCTGCTGTGTGTGTGGGCCTCAGGTTCAGGTGCACCTGCCTTTGTGGGAAGAGCACAGCTTCCCTGCATAACTGCTGGAGGGTGGGTCGTGGAGTGCTGCTCTGTGTGTGTGTATGCCTCGAGTTCAGGTGCACCTGCCTTTGTGGGGAGAGCACAGCTTCCCTGCATAACTGCTGGAGGGCGGGTCATCGAGTGCTGCTGTGTGTATGGGCCGCGGGTTCAGGTGCACCTGCCTTTGTGGGGAGAGCACCTGCTTTTGTGGGGAGAGCACAGCTTCCCTGCATAACTGCTGGAGGGCGGGTCATCCAGTGCTGCTGTGTGTGTATGCCTCGGGTTCAGGTGCACCTGCCTTTGTGGGAAGAGCACAGCTTCCCTGCAAAACTGCTGGAGGGTGGGATCTTCCCAAGGGGAAGTTGGGAGGTGCTCAGGCAGAGCAAATGGATTTAACTTCTGGGCTGGGAGAACGTGGTACCCCCGTGAAAGTCTCCCTGAGGAAGGAAAGGAAGGAGCTGGAGGGAGGGTGTGTGTGTCTTAGAAGGGGACGCACTTCAGGTGAGAGCGGGCATGGCACTAGGAAGAGCCCCATGAGCCCAGAGTGGTGGCACGTAGAGGCCTAAGGGACCGTGCCAGCAGACCCCACTGCCCGTGCTCCACCAGGAGCCTGACATTGTTCTCTGAGATCAGGGGGCTGTCTCTGTGTGCTGCCCAGGACTGTGGCATTTTTGTGTATATTAAAAAAAAAAAAAACTGTGTGTCTAATACAGATGGGGTATGAGGAGAGCCACTGGTCTCTCCTGACCTTAAAAATATTTTTTTAGTTCATTTTTGGTGAGTATGGAAATTACTGAAGGTACAAATCACTCTGAAGATAGGTTCTTGTGTGTGAAGGTCATCAGTGAATCTTCATCCTCATAGTTGATAAATGGTTGTGAGTACTCAAGGGTATCAGATTCAACGATGAGTCTGAGGATAGTAGAGCTTTCCTATTCAGTTTCAAGGAAAATTGTATAAAGCGCAGACCGTAATTTGTCAGGAATTTTTGAAGTGTGGTGTGATGGATGTCTTCACCGTGCTTTAGGATGATTACTGAGGGAGAATGGAAGGAAGGGGTCTGGTACTTGCACCTTTCAGTAGAATTAGTGTGAATGCCACAGCGACCAAGCTATGCTCAGGTGTCTGCAGGCAGTGGTGGCCTTGATGATGGATTTTCTGAAATGGGAATTCGTGAAGTTCTCTAACAAAACTAAGTGCGAACTTCTCAACTTAGCTGGTGACTGCATCCTTGAAAAATTCCGTGTGTAAAATGATACAGAACCATTTCTTGGTTATCTGTTAAATAAGAGTGCATGTCCAGCCGCGATGACTGTGGACAGCCTTGGAGGTCTGGGAGGCCACAAAGGACTCCCACACACAGCAGGGTGTGAACCCACCAGGCAGTGCTTTGGCCCCCTCCCAGGAGTCATGGCAGCCGACACGTCACCTGGAGTGTCTAGAAAACCACTACCCTAGAGCCCCCACTGCTTTTCCTGGTGCCTCCAGGTATAGATCACAAACTCAGTGTCCCAGAAAGATTTTCCTTTTACTTTAACTCCTGTTGTTGTTTGTTTTCAGGCACGTGGACTCCCTTTAATCCAGTGACTGTCAGGTCGATCATATGTAAGTATCGGCAGACGGACCAACCTGGGCTGCTTTGTATCCGACCCGCTTGGGTACCCGCTTGTGTTTCCTTTGTCTGTGGGTCCGTATCACTTTGCTCCCTTCTGGAATTCCACTTAGATGAGCGTCGGCCCTTTCATCCCTCTCCCCCCGTCTCTGTACCTTTTCACGTCTCTCCGTGTATGTTTGCTCTATTCTTGATTCTGTTTATTTTTAATGTACGGTGTAACCTGTCCTTTCAGTTTCTAATTCTAAAGATGACATATATTTAAAATTTCTAAATTATTAGTTACTTTCACATCTTATCTGGGTGTTTTTGATAGACATTGCTTATTTATTTTTGTGATTCCATTCTTTATTCAAATATTTCATATGATAGTCTTCAGTTTTAAGAACATGCTTTTTTGAAAAGCGCTAGATATTTGTGACGTGGAGTTCCTTGACTGTGTTTGAAGTCCTTGGGAGGGTGGTCTACAGCCAAATATTTTTCCTGCTCAAGCCCACACAGAGTGACCAACTTCCTTGATGCTTCTGTAATTTTTGTTTGTTTTGTGGGTTCATGTGTAGCCTTAATGTGAGGGTCTGCATCATTTCTTTGGGTCCAGGGTCTCCCCAGCTGTATAGGCAGCTGGGTTTTTGTTTGTTTCTTTTAAGAGACAGGGTGTCCCTGTGTTGCCCAGGCCTGGTCTGGAATTCCTGGGCTCACGCAATCCTCCTGCCTCAGCCTCCCAAAAAGTGGGGATTACAGGTGTGCACCCCCATGCCCAGACGGTAGCCGGGGTGTGAGCTGAGGCTCCAGGCGCAGGCAGGTGTTCAGGAGAGTCGTGCTGTGTCTCCATCCCCCGTAGCCAGGTGGAGCTGCAGCTCCAGGGGCAGGCAGGCCTGGGAGGCAGGTGTTGAGGAGAGTCGGGTTTCCATCCCCGCCCCACTTGATTTCTGAAAGGCTTCCTTTGCTGGGAGGTGTGGCCCCCTTCAGGCCTCTTTAATATGGAATCCCGGGTTCAGTTCTGCCTCACAGGGACCATGGCATTGTGTCTCAAGGTTTCCCAGAGCAGCCTGGGGCTCGTTCCCTCACCTCCCATCCATGCATGTGTTTTAGACTTGTGAGGATTCCCTGAGTTCCTTGTGGAGCCCGTGTGTGGTAAGGTGTCTGAGTTGACGATTTTTAAAAAATCTATGCCTTATTTGTGCAATAAAATACACAATGAATAATTAATGCTCATAGTAAAACATGTTAGACCTCGTGAAAGGAAAATCAATCTTGGGGACCCAAAATCACTAAGCTAAAGGGAAAAGTCAAGCTGGGAGCTGCTGAGGGCAAACCTGCCTCCAATTGTATCCAAAGTCACCTGTCTGCTCACCGAGATAAATGCGTATCTGAGTGCCTCATCTGGAGAGGGTAATCAGCAACTCAAAAGAATGAAACCATTTGTCTCTTACCTACCTATGACCTGGAAGCCCCCTGTCTGGCCTTCTCACCTTTCTGACTGACTGAACCAATGCACATCTTTCACATATTGATTGATGCCTCACGTCTCCCTAAAGTGTATAAAACCAAGCTGTGCCCTGACCACCTTGGGCCCATGTCGTCAGGACCTCCTGAGGAGGCATCCCGGGTGCACATCCTCAAACTTGGCAAAATAAACTTTCTAAAAAATCTGAGACCTGTCTCAGATTTTCGGGGTTCACACATGTAGGATGTCAATGTTTATAAAACAGACATTATTCTATCTACTATTACAAATACACTGCCAATTAACCTTAGACTTTCTCAACAAGTAATGTTGATGAGGTACAAATAATATATTTAAACTTAATGTTGCAAGATTTAATATGCCTAGTTTTCAACAGTTTTGACTAACACTAAGAAAAATAAGTAATGAAAACATGAATAAAAGTGTTTACAGGGGGTGCACATGTTTCCTCCAGCCTCTGCTAGGGTATCTTGACCGCATCCTGGCAGATGTCTTGGCTGTGACACTGCACTATCATTTTGCAGATGCTTCCATTGGGGAAAGCTAGGTAGAGGGTACATGGGCTCTCTGTATTGCTGATGACAACTGCATAAGACTTACATGACCCCAAAATAAAATGGTTAAGTAAAAGAAACTGAGTTGGGCCCAGTGAACTCAACCAGTCCCTTTCACCTCTAAAACTATGTTTTCTAGGTCAGGGGAGGAAACAGGAGGTACAGGAACGCTAGAGGGGAGAAAGCACGGAGAGATGGGAAAAGCACGGAGAGAGAGACGGGGAAAGGGCAATCAGGAAGACCGAGAGAAAAGGGGGAAAGCAGAATGACAGAGGAGGTGTGAAGAGAGAGAAGCCCTCTGGAGTGCTGAAATACTGAATATTCTCCCCTGGGAGCTACTCAGGGTAAGAATTTCTCCAGGGACTGCTCTTTCAGGCAAGCACAATTACACACATTTCTATGTTATGTTAAGTAAAAATCTAGTAAATGGGCTGGGCACGGTGGCTCACACCTGTAATCCCAGCACTTTGGGAGGCCGAGGCAGGCAGATCACAAGGTCAGGAGATCGAGACCATCCTGGCCCATATGGTGAAACCCCGCCTCTACTAAAAATACAAAAATTAGCTGGGCGTGGTGGTGGGTGCCTGTAATCCCAGCTACTCGGGAGGCTGAGGCAGGAGAATCACTTGAACCAGAGAGTTGGAGGTTGTAGCAAGCCGAGATCGCGCCACTGCACTCCAGCCTGGCAACAGGGCAAGACTGTCTCAAAAAAAAAAAAAAAATAATAATAATAATAATAATACTAAATGAAGCGAGTGATCAGGACAAAACTAGCCTCTCATCAATCAATCAATAGCGCTTATCAAGTATTCATATGTCTGCCTCTTCTTCTAGACTACACTGAAGGCTGGTTACGCTCTTATGTGCAATAGAACCTCAAACACATCGTAACACACCTTTGGAGAATCCTTACAAGAACACCAAGTTAACAGTTATCTCTGACCACACTACCTCAGCAAAAAACCAGGAAGAAAAAATATTCTTCAACCCTTTTCAGGGACAGAAAGCATCATTTCAAAAGTCCAAGAAGGGAAGGTAAGAATTTCAGAAGTGAAAGTTATCATGAAAGGCTATAAAAGCTTGAGATGAGTCTGAAAAACAAATGGAAAATGAGTCACTTCAGGGCCTCTCCCAGCCTCAAAGCCAATTAATTATTACATTAGTCAGAGTAATTTTAAGCCTTCCAATCCACTCACCCTAGCCACAGGCAACAGTAGCCTCTCCAAGTGTTAAGGGTTTTTTTCCCAAGCCTGCAGGCGGATGAGCTTTTTACATGGCAGCCCCTTAGGATTGGATGTGGACCTGCCCTGTCTTTCACCAAGAAGCAAGCACTGCGCAGATCACTGAATCATAAAAACCACCTGCTCTTACCAGCCTCCTCTTCCTCTACAGCAAAACTTCTGACCTGAGACATCGAAGCAGATAAAAAGCCGCTACACAAAATGTATCGCTACAACTAGAGGGCAGTCTTGCCTTTCTTCCATTCAATTATTCAGTTTCTCATGTTCCTAAGTGCCAGCCCAGAACCATGGAATGTGAAGAAACACAAAACTCACTCCTCTGCATCAGTGAATTGATTGTGTGGTGGGGATGTAAGTCTGCATGTGACTGACAGTTCCCCAAAGTGGTGCCAAGTCAATCTAAACTAGAGAGAATTTCTGGCCAGGCCAAGCAGAGATTTCATGGATGAAGTCTCCCAAAGACTGATTTCCTAAACATTAAACATCACTGGTTTTCCAAAACTGGTTTTCTTTTTTTTTTTTTAACCCTGTTTCTCAGGCTGGAGGGCAAGTGGTGCCATCTCCACTCACTGCAGCCTCGACCTCCCAGGCTCCACTGATCTTCCCACCTCAGCCTCCTGAGTAGCTGGGACTACAGGTGTGCACCGCCACGACTCGCTAATTTTTGTATTTTTTGTAGAGACGGGGTTTTGCTGTGTTGCTCAGGCTGGTCACTCGATCTGCCCACCTGGGTCTCGCAGAGTGCTGGGGTTACAGGTATGAGCCACCACGCCCAGCCCACTGGTTTCCTTTACACCCGTTTTGTTCCCCAGCAGTCCTTATGAGGGCACCTGAAATAAGGAACCTCCTCCCCGACTTGAGAGCAGCAAAGCCTTCAGAGGGAACTAAGTTATTAAAACCCACCCCACACAAAATGCTTCTAAACGCCTTGGCTGACTTAATCCTTGCAGTGTGCTGAGGTTAAGTATGATTATCCATCTCCTGTGAACAGGAAGACTGAGGCTCAGAGCTTAAGTGATTTGCCCACGGTTCACTGCAGGGGATAAAACTCGGCTGTCCCTGGCAGGTCCCAAAGTCACGGCCTTCAGGCTCCCACACCATGCTGCCTCCCTCACCGGGGCTCCACACTCTCAGCCTGGAAAACACTAATTTTAAGAAAACCATGACTTACGAAAAGCAGCCAATCCCAGCATTGGAACCAACAGGGCATAATTCCACCTGCTTCCATCACCACCATCCGCCCTGGAATTAGGCCGGATATTCCAATTTGGGGGATCATTTAGGTTATTCATGGAGATATACCTTGAAGTAAAGAATAAAAACGTTAACTACTTTTATTCAAGAAATTTTTCTTCAGTTTTAACTATGTGCTTGCTGCACAGCACTGAGGCCCTACGGGATTCAAAGAAGAAAAAAACTAGACCAGAGCCGGGCATGGTGGCGGGCACCTGTAGTCCCAGCTACTCGGGAGGCTGAGGCAGGAGAATCGCTTGAACCTGGGAGGTGAAGGTTGCAGTGAGTCGAGGTCGCGCCACTGCACTCCAGCCTGGTGACAGAACGAGACTCCGTCTCAAAAAAAAAGAAAAAGAAAAAGGAAAAAAAAACAAGACCTTAGGTGAAAGCGACTCACAATCTGGTTGGGGAAAGTGGAGAAAACAGACATGTCTTAAGCATCTGAAGTGCAGGTAGAATCAGGTAAGTTCTCTGGTACAAATATATTTAAATGTATGGCTGCTGCGATGGTTAATTTTGTTTGTCAACTTGACGGCATCATGAGGTGCTCAGATACATGGTTAAGCATTATTTCTGGGCGTGTCTGTAAGGGTGTTTTTGGATGAGATTAGCAATTGAACCTTTAAACCAATTTCTTACGTCTCCCTTCTATTTGTTGTGTCTCTGGAGAACCCTCATACAGTTGTATCAAAGATACAGAATCAACTCAATAAAAGTGGGCTCACACCAGACACTTTCATATGAGCTAGGGTTTGAAGAGTGAGCAGCATTTTGACAGGCAGAGAAAGAAGGAAAGGGTCTTCTGATCAGAAGGAAGACTGTGAGGAAGGCAGGGAGGGGTGATGTGGGGAAGGTGCAAACAGTGCTAGAAGCTTCTGAGGCCTCCTCATGGTGGTGATGAATGCAGAGATTACAGAGCTCTCTGCTTCGGGCTCAGCATGCACCCTCCATAGCTAGGCTGGGGGCTAACGTTAGTAAGAATTTACTGATTTACTGAGTACCTACACGAAGTTTCACATTTTCACAAAGTAGAGTCACTTTAAGTTTATTTACATGTGACCTCCACAAATACACACAATTACAAAATAGTCAAGGGATGTATAATAAGCAAGAAATGCAATCCAATTTCTGAAAGCTTTTCATGGGATTTTCAACAAATACTTAATATCTAAAGATAGAAAATTATAAGCAATAAAGATATGACAAAAATATGTCTTGGAGCTTAATACTAAGGGGTTTGTGGTGTGGAGAAAAGCAAGAGAGATCAGATTGTTACTGTGTCTGTGTAGAAAGAAGTAGACATAGGAGACTCCATTTTGTTCTGTACTAAGAAAAATTCTTCTGCCTTGAGATTCTGTTAATCTATAACCTTACCCCCAACCCCGTGCTCTCTGAAACGTGTGCTGTGTCAACTCAGAGTTAAATGGATTAAGGGCGGTGCAAGATGTGCTTTGTTAAACAGATGCTTGAAGGCAGCACTCTCCTTAAGAGTCATCACCACTCCCTAATCTCAAGTACCCAGGGACACAAAAACTGCGGAAGGCCACAGGCACCTCTGCCTAGGAAAGCCAGGTATTGTCCAAGGTTTCTCCCCATGTGATAGTCTGAAATATGGCCTCGTGGGAAGGGAAAGACCTGACCGTCCCCCAGCCCGACACCCGTGAAGGGTCTGTGCTGAGGAGGATTAGTATAAGAGGAAGGCATGCCTCTTGCAGTTGAGACAAGAGGAAGGCATCTGTCTCCTGCCCGTCCCTGGGCAATGGAATGTCTCGGTATAAAACCCGATTGTATGCTCCATCTACTGAGATAGGGAAAAACCGCCTTAGGGCTGGAGGTGGGACCTGCGGGCAGCAATACTGCTTTGTAAAGCATTGAGATGTTTATGTGTATGCATATCTAAAAGCACAGCACTTAATCCTTTACATTGTCTATGATGCAAAGACCTTTGTTCACGTGTTTGTCTGCTGACCCTCTCCCCACTATTGTCTTGTGACCCTGACACATCCCGCTCTCGGAGAAACACCCACGAATGATCAATAAATACTAAGGGAACTCAGAGGCTGGCGGGATCCTCCATATGCTGAACGCTGGTTCCCCGGGTCCCCTTATTTCTTTCTCTATACTTTGTCTCTGTGTCTTTTTCTTTCCTAAGTCTCTCGTTCCACCTTACGAGAAACACCCACAGGTGTGGAGGGGCAACCCACCCCTACATGTGGTAATTATAGAATTAAAAAATTAAGGCCAGGCACGGTGGCTCACGCCTGCAATCACAGCACTTCGGGAGGCTGAGGCAGGTGGATCACCTGAGGTCAGGAGTTTGAAACCAGTCTGGCCAATATGGTGAAACCCTGTCTCTACTAAAAATACAAAAACTAGCTGGGCGTGGTGGCGGGGGCCTGTAGTCCCAGCTACTCGGGAGGCTGAGGCGAGAGAATCTCTTTGTTTTTTGAGGGGCAGTCTTGCTCTGTTGCCCAGGCTGGAGTGCAGTGGCTCGAACTCCGCTCACTGCAAGCTCCACAGGAGAATCTCTTGAACCCTGGAGGCAGAGGTTGCAGTGAGCTGAGATCGCGCCATTGCACTCCAACCTGGGCAACAACAGCAAAACTCTGTCTCAAACAAAACAAAACAAAATTAGGTAATTAACACAGGACTAAAACTGCATAACTTTCAAAAAAAAGTCTAGGAGCTATTACGTTCATTCCCTGCAAGCCAATAAAGGCCACGTCTGGGGCCTACAATCTAAGAAAATAATCCTAAAGTTATGGTCACAAATATGTTCTGTACAGTGTTATTTATTAAGAGCAAAAATGGGAAACAACCCAAATATCAATAAAATGGGACTGAACCCTTGCAAATTTACTAAAATAACTCAAAATTGTTAAACATGCACAAAACGAAGATTTTAATAATTTAAAGTGAAAAGACAGGAAACGTAATTACTAACGATTATTGGTTTATTTTTCATGCCACTTCATTCCACAAAAAGATTTCAGATATCTTACAAAAAGACACACTAGAAATATTAAAATACTATCTGAACCAGAAGCAGAATCAGGGTAAGCTAGCAGAAAGGCGTATGAGCCAAAGGGATCTACGCAGCTTTCAAAGCTGACCACGGCCGTGCGCGGTGGCTCCGCCCGTAATCCCCGCACTTGGAGAGGCCGAGGAGGGAGGATCGCTTGAGGCCAAGAGTTCGAGACCAGCCCGGGCAACACAGCAAGATCCCGCCTCTACAAAAAATTTAAAAATTAGCCGGAAGCCAGAGGCTAGGGACACGGCTGAGGATCGCTCCCTCACCTCACAGGCCGGAGACCGAGGGTCACACCCGCTCACTAGAGGCCAGAGGCCCGTGGCCGCTCCCGCCCGCCTCCGCGGACGAGCGCCGCCCCTCCGACCCCATTCCCTGCGATCTGGACGTTCGGGGCCTTTCGGTCTGGGCGATCCCAGGGAACCACCCACGGGGCTTTAAAAATGTTGGTGCCCAACACCTCCCCGGAATAGGGCCCGCCCTACATCGGTCAGGGAGCGCGGGACCTCCCTATCCCCACAGCGCCACCGTCCGCAGGTGCGCTTTGTGCAGGCGAGGCGCCTCCACTATGGCCCCGCTTGACCCCGTGCGCAGGCGCGGCATCCCACCCGCCGCGGTTCCTGCCCCCCAAAGCTCGACCCCGGTGTGGTGCGCAGGCGTAGTCTGCGCGGGGACTGGCGGGACTGCGCGGAGGCGACTACAGGCATGGCGGTCTGGGTCCTGTCGCGCCTGCTGAGCGCTCCGCGCCTGGCGCTGGCCAAGGCGGTGAGTCCGTGCCGCGGACCGGGGCGGGGCAGGCGGGGGCCGAGGCGGCGGTAGGAGCGGGACGGTCCCCAGCGGGCCCGAGCAGAGCGGGCGCCAGGTCCTTGCGCCCCCTGTCCCGGGATCTGGAAGGGGCTGGGAGAGCCCTGCGCCAGTGCAAGGGGGAGCCGTGGGGCGGACTCGGGGGTCCGGGGAGCTCGGTCCTTAGCAGGTAGTCCGGTGAAGGTCACGACCCCGCGGGCTTGCTGGGCGTCCCCTCCGCCGCCTTGGTCCGGGCCTGGGGTCCAGAGACCTCCCGGGCTGAGGTAGCCCCTCGCCTCAGTGCCTGGCGGGTGGACTTGGGGAGGAGTCGTGTCTGCCCAAGGTCACCAGAGCTCCTTGTTGGGCGAGGTGGGTGGAAGCTGTTACTTTCCCTGTGTAGATGAAGAGGTGAACAGCGAGTGGAAGAGTCTGGAATATCAGTCTCCCCTGCTGATGTTCCTCCACCTGCCGTGCTCCTGGGTCTGAGCCGGAGCACAGGTGGTGAGGGCCCCGGGAACATGGGACACGGGGGACAGTCGCAGATGCTGACATTGGAGGTCCTCTGACCTGCTTGTAACAGCAGGTGCTCAGGGGCAGAGGGGAAACTGGGGGATACCTTCGGAAGCTTCCCTCTGAAGAAGAGTAGCTATGGTCCTTACTTCCCTCTTAGATACGGTCTTTACTTCCCCTTTTTTTTTTTTCTTGGAGGTGGGGTCTCACTCTGTCGCTTCGGGTGGAGAGCAGTGGCGCGATCTCAGCTCACTGCAACCTCTGCCTCCCAAGTTCAAGTGATTTTTCTGTCTCAGCCTCCCTAGTAGCTGGGATTACAGGCACCCGCCATTATGCCCCGCTAATTTTTGTATTTTTAGTAGAGATGGGGTTTCACCATGTTAGCCAGACAGGTCTTGAACCCCTGACCTCAGGTGATCACCAGCCTCAGCCTCCCAAAGTGCTGAGATTACAGGTGTGAGCCACCACGCCGGGCCTACTTCCCTCTCTCTCTGACCTGCAGCACAGACACCCTATTGGGGAAGGTGGGCTGGTGGAGGCATGAGCACCTTGACATTTCACCTGAAATCTTCCTTTCCACAGGTCCTGAGGCACGTGAATGGCCAGGATCAGATTGTGCCCGGCCTGTACGCCTGTGGGGAGGCCGCCTGTGCCTCGGTACATGGTGCCAATCGGCTCGGGGCAAACTCGCTCTTGGACTTGGTTGTCTTTGGTCAGGCATGTGCCCTGAGCATCGAAGAGTCATGCAGGCCTGGTAAGTGTTTTCTTCAGGAGCCAGACTATTTGAGAAGGCGCAGGAAGTTAGAAAGTCTTTTTTCTTTTTTTTGAGAAAGGGTCAGCCCAGGCTGGAGTGCAGTGGCACAGTCATAGCAGCCTCAACCTCCCGGGCTCAAGCAGTCCTCAACACCTCAACCTTCAGAGTCCCAAGTAGCTGGGACTACAGATGTGCACCACCACACCCGGCTAATTTAACAAAAATTTATTTTGTAGAGACAGGGTCTCACAATATTGCCCAGGCTGGTCTTGAACTCCTAGACTCAAACAGTCCTGCCTCAGCTTCCCAAAGTATCGGGATTACAGGCATGAGCCACTGCACCCAGCCAGGTTACAAAGCCTTGATTTCTTACTGGAAATTTGCTTAGTGATCATATAGAGGTAGTCTGGGTTTTTCCCCCAGAAGTGATTAAACTGAGAAATCCAGAAATTATATGGTGGTAATGTTGAGACTAGATAGAGGCTGGTTGGGGATCTTAACAGTTAAGGTGACATTTTTGGGGTTACGTTTTTTTAAAAAATTATTTTGCAGTCGTTATGTTCTGCTTAGAAAAAGCACTATTAGGAAGTTGTTATTTTTACTTGCCTGATAAAAATCACTGATTTGCAATGAAATATCTTAAATAGTTGGCATGAATGAATATGTGACTTCTTGGTACTTAGAAAAGTAATTTAGGCCATTCTAGAAACAAAGTACAGCTAGCCTCTATTAGAGGAGAAGGGATGACTTACAGTGAACAGGATTCCCACCCTTTACGGACAGATTGGATTTCACTTGCTGGTTTTCTTTTCATGATAGCGTCAAATAATGTGCAGTAAAGGAAATACCACGTGTGGGAGTGTGAGTCTTACGTGCACTAAGAACGGGGCAGTTAGCATCGCTCCTAACTCCAGACATCTTCACGGTGGTCATGCAGCCTCGTGTGCTCAGAACAGTGTGAGGTGGATGAGGCACTGGTGGATGTTTGCGTGGCAAGGATGGTGGGACCCCAGGCCCATGTTCTTCCCGTTACCTTTCTCTGGTGTTAACTGTTAGCATCATTTCTGCTGTTTTTATACAACAGGTGCTTTTTGTATGGATTCAAGTGAAATAAAAACTAGCACGGCCGTAACTTATAAACATGCCCCCTTTTGTATCTGTAGTTAGAAAGGTGCAGATAGTATTAAAAGGGTAGCTTACTTCAGACACTCTGTCTCTGGATCTGACCACTGCTCGGGAGGCCAGCACACGCAGAGCTGGCGTCTCATCCCCAGCCGTTGCTGATCATCGGCGAAGGCGGAGTTCAGGTCCATCGTTCCTGACGCCGCAGGTAGTGCTTATCTCACTCCATAGCCCCGCACTTTGTAGCGGTGAGGACCGATATCACTTCTCTCAGAGCAATGTAGAAATTTTGAGCTGCTCTTTCTTTGAAAATGCAAAAAAGAACATTTTGTAAGAATACCCTATACTTTACATCTGAGAAACCGCTCACGCATGCAGCATCTCACGCAGAATGCTGTGGAGTCAGACTCAAAAGGCTGCACGCCTGTGGTTCTGTTGATACGACATTCTGGAAAAGGCACATCTAGGGAAGAAAAGGGATTGCTGGTTGCCAGAGGCTGTTTCCTGATTGTGCTGATACAGACACAACTCTGTGTGTGTCAAAATTTGAAAAACCCTACACTAAAAATGATGAGTTTATTTTACTGTATCTTTATGCTTTAATTTTTAAAAATGAAAAGGAAAGAAAAAATGGTTGTAGCATCACTATTCTCCCCCAAGCCCCCCTGCAAAAAAAAAAAAACACATATATATGTGTATATATATGTGTTTTTTTTTTGTTTTTTTTTTTTTTTTTTTCAGAGATAGTCTCCCTCTGTCGCCCAGGCTGGAGTGCAGTGGTACGATCAGGTGCACGCCACCACACCTGGCTAATTTTTAAAAATGTTTCATTGGGATAGGGTCTCCCTGTGTTGCCCAGGATGGTCTTGAACTCCTGGCCTCAAGAGGTCCTCCTGTCTCAGCCTCCCGAAGTAGTTACATGCGTCTATACATATGTTAAAATTGGTAGAACTGAGGCTGGGTGCGGTGGCTCACGCCTATAATCCCACCGCTTTGGGAGGCCGAGACAGGCAGATTGCTTGAGCTCAGGAGTTTGAGACCAGCTTGGGCAACATGGTGAAACCCCGTCTCTACCAAAAATACAAAAATTAGCTGGGCATGGTGGCTCACACCTATGTAGTCCCAGCTACTTGGGAGGCTGAGGTTGGAGGATTGCTGGAGCCTGGAAGGCAGAGGTTGCAGTGAGCCGAGATCACACCACTGTACTCCAGCCTGGGCAAGAGAGGGAGGAGACACTGTCTCAAAAAAAAGAAAAAGTAAATTGTAGAACTGTCCACCTAAAGAAAAAAGTCAATTTTACTGAATGATCAATTTTTAAAGCATTATTATCAAAAGGAGGAGAAACACCAGCGAGCCTAGAAGCATTTGAGCAGAACCTCAAGAGACCCATAGCCTGGTCCTGTGGAGAGGTGGTGGGCGGGGTGGGGCCTGTTTGACTCCTGCATTTCATACATCCTACCTCCTGCATGTGTTACCTGTTGAAGAAAATATATATAATGTTATAAAAAAAAACTTTAAAGTTTTTTTCAAGACATCTTAGAAACACAAGAGTTGCAAATCTTGGCTGTGCACAGTGGCTCACACATGTGATCCCAGCACTTTGGGAGGCCGAGGCAGGTGGTTCACCTGAGGTCAGGAGTTCGAGACCAGCCTGGCCAACATGGTGAAACCCATCTCTACTGAAAATACAAAAATTAGCCAGGTATGGTGGTGTACTCCTGTAGTCCCAGCTACTCCGGAGGCTGAGGCAGGAGGATTGCTTGAACCAGGAGGTGGACGTTGCAGTGAGCCGAGATGGTGCCACTGCACTCCAGCCTGGGCTACAGAGTCCATCTCAAAAAAAAAAAAATTGCAAATCTTTTGGACAAGAGTCCAAATCAGCAGGTGACTTTCATGCACACAGCGGCCACCTTCCTCCCCTTGATGTGAAGGACAGTGGGGTGGCCGGCCCCTCGGGACCACCATCTGGAAGGTGTCTTTTTTTTCCCTTAGTGGAGTGACACTTATATACACTTAATGTATATACATTTGTATACATTTAATTTTTTTTTTTTAAGACAGAGTCTCACTCTGTTGCCCAGGCTGGAGTGCAGTGGCGTAGTCTCAGCTCACTGCAACCTCCACCTTTCGGGTTCAAGCAGTTCTTGTGCCTCAGCCTCCTGAGTAGCTGGGTTTATAGGCGCGCACCACCATACCCAGATAATTTTTGTGTTTTTAGTAGAAATGAGGTTTTGCCACGTTGGCCAGGCTGCTCTTGAATTCCTGACCTCAAGTGATCCACCTACCTCAGCTTTGTAAAGTGCTGGGATTACAGGCGTGAGCCACCGCACCCGGCCTACATTTAATTTTTTAATTTTAGAGATGATTTCTAGTTTATTCACTCTAAGATCACTTAATGGATATCTACTGTGTGCCAACAATTTTGCCTTTATGTTCTTTAAAATTGGCCCCAACTCAACAGATGGCCTCAGACGTAGGGTGGGCTGGTAGTGTGTTAGCTCAGGAGTCTTACACAGTTTCCAAGCTCCTTGAGTGGCTGTGCTACATGTTTCTGTGTCATTCTAAATCCATTTGGTTTTTTAAAAAAGTTTTCAAAAGTAAAATTCTAGCTTTTTTTTGTTTTAGGAGATAAAGTCCCTCCAATTAAACCAAACGCTGGGGAAGAATCTGTCATGAATCTTGACAAATTGAGATTTGCTGATGGAAGCATAAGAACATGAGAACTGCGACTCAGCATGCAGAAGGTAAGAGCCTGGACTCGCTCTGGAGTGAGCAGGCGGGCTGCATACCTGGCCCTGCACTGGTTTTGTTTTTTTAAAACTAGATCTAGGGGGATGCAGGTGCAGTTTTGTGTGGATGTACTGGGAGGTGGTGGAGTCTGGGCTTTTCATGTACCTGTCACCCAAGTCGTGTGTGTTGTACCCAGTAGGTAATTGTTCAACCCCACCCCTCCCGCTTTTTGGAGCCCCCAGTCTCTGCTAGTCCACTCCATGTGTACTCACCGTTCAGCTCCCATTTCCAAGTGAGAATGTGTGACACTTGACCTTCTGAGTCACTTCACTTAGGATAGTGACCTCCTGATCCATCCTGCAGCCATCTTCTGTGGCTGCAGAAGACATGATTGCATTCTTTTTTTATGGCCGAGTAGTATTTCATGGTATATATGTACCACATTTTCTTCATCCGGTCATCCGTTGATGGGCACTTAGGTTGATTCCATGACTTTGCTGTTGTGACTAGTGCTGCGATAAATACACAAGGCTGCACCAGAATCTGGAGGTAAACAGCGGTAGGACGTACTCCTCACCGTATCAAGAATATGAAAGAGACCAGGAGGCCTGAACTATACAGAAGTGCACTTCTTTTCCACATAGAAGGTCAGCAGACTAGGGCAGAATTAGTGACTGCTTGGCATCCAGGACAGCCTTCTGTGGTTCACTCGTGTGTGCTTGGGTGTGACCTCCGTGACCTGACCGTCGATGGCTGTCATGGATGAGTCACAGCGTGGAGGAGAGGGAACCGCAGGACCGCCGGAGAAGCTCAGTCCCCAGCAGGGCAGCTTTCTCTTAGAGGTTTCCTGGAGTTCAACACAACACTGGTGCTTACATCTCAGGCCCGGATATTGATCATGTCATCATGCCTGGCTTCCAGCAGCTTGGAAATGTCTTTAAGCTGGACCTGTTGCTGGCCCTAAATATACTCGGAAGAGAGGGAGAGTGGGCGGCGGGTGGAAACTGATCTGTGGCCTGTGCGCTGGGAGTCGGTCCAGTAGGACCATCTGTGATGATGGAAATGTTCCGAGTGTTTGCCATCCAGTATGGCAGCCATTAGCCATGGGGCCGTGGAGAACCTGATATATAGTCAGTCTAAGAAACTGAATTCCTCTAATAACAAGGATTCTTGTCCATGAATGAGATCTCTTGTCTACTATTTGCAAGGATTTCTGCATATTTTCTAAAAAGAAGTCTATTGCTTTAGTCCTATTCTGAAAGGCATTTGGTGTTAGACACAAGAGAACAGGTTCCCTGCTCACATTTTCAGAGGCCTGTGCCCTTCAGTCTTCAACTGAGGCTGGGCTTGAGGGAGGCTTTGTGGAACAGTGAGAAGAACAGCATGACTAAGGCACAGAAGGCTGAGTGATGCCCTGCAGTACTTTTGTAGGGTTGAAGGCCAGCTGGGAAAGAAGGAACCATTGCATTAGAGAATGGGAACATGCCTTCAGATACAGAAATGGCAAATCCATGAGATAGTTTGAAGTGAGAATACTAGAAGCATTCCCACCATACAAGTTGCGTCTTGGTGCCTGCTGTATCCCAGGCTCCATGAGATGCTGGAGTCGGCACTGAACAAACAGAGCTTCCTGTACTCATGGAAATGTGTTTCGTTGGGGGAAGGGATTTTTCTGCTGACTCCGGCCATTAATAGTAAGAAGCAAAAAAAGAAATGAGGTAAATTGTTGGGAACAGGGCCCCAAATGTGGCCATAAACTGGCTCAAAACTGGCCATAACAACAAAATCTCTGCAGCACAGTGACATGCTCTTGATGGCCATGATGCCCACACTGGAAGGTTGTCAGTTTACCAGAATGAGGGCAAGGAACACCTGGCCCACCCAGGGCGGAAAACTGCTTAAGGCATTCTTTTTTTTGTTTGTTTGTTTGTTTGTTTGTTTTTCAACTTTTTTTTTTTTAATTGATCATTCTTGGGTGTTTCTCGCAGAGGGGGATTTGGCAGGGTCACAGGACAATAGTGGAGGGAAGGTCAGCAGATAAACAAGTGAACAAAGGTCTCTGGTTTTCCTAGGCAGAGGACCCTGTGGCCTTCCGCAGTGTTTGTGTCCCTGGGTACTTGAGATTAGGGAGTGGTGATGACTCTTAATGAGCATGCTGCCTTCAAGCGTCTGTTTAAAAAAGCACATCTTGCACCGCCCTTAATCCATTTAACCCTGAGTGGACACAGCACATGTTTCAGAGAGCACAGGGTTGGGGATAACGTCACAGATCAACAGGATCCCAAGGCAGAAGAATTTTTCTTAGTACAGAACAAAATGAAAAGTCTCCCATGTCTACCTCTTTCTACACAGACACAGCAACCATCCGATTTCTCAATCTTTTCCCCACCTTTCCCCCCTTTCTATTCCACAAAACCGCCATTGTCATCATGGCCCGTTCTCAATGAGCTGTTGGGTACACCTCCCAGACGGGGTGGTGGCCGGGCAGAGGGGCTCCTCACTTCCCAGTAGGGGCGGCCGGGCAGAGGCGCCCCTCACCTCCCGGACGGGGTGGCTGGCCGGGCGGGGGGCTGACCCCCCCACCTCCCTCCCGGACGGGGCGGCTGGCCGGGCGGGGGGCTGACCCCCCCACCTCCCTCCCGGACGGGGCGGCTGGCCGGGCAGAGGGGCTCGTCACTTCCCAGTAGGGGTGGCCGGGCAGAGGCGCCCCTCACCTCCCGGATGGGGCGGCTGGCTGGGCAGGGGGCTGACCCCCCCCTCCCTCCCGGATGGGGCGGCTGGCCAGGCGGGGGGCTGACCCCCCCTACCTCCCTCCCGGACGGGGCGGCTGGCCGGGCAGAGGGGCTCCTCACTTCCCAGTAGGGGCAGCTGGGCAGAGGCGCCCCTCACCTCCCAGACAGGGCGGCTGGCCGGGCGGGGGGCTGACCCCCCCCACCTCCCTCCTGGACGGGGTGGCTGGCCAGGCAGGGGGCTGACCCTCCCACCTCCCTCCCGGACGGGGTGGCTGCCTGGCGGAGACGCTCCTCACTTCCCAGACGGGGTGGCTGCCGGGCGGAGGGGCTCCTCACTTCTCAGACAGGGCGGCTGCTGGGCGGAGGGGCTCCTCACTTCTCAGACAGGGCGGTTGCCAGGCAGAGGGTCTCCTCACTTCTCCGACGGGGCAGCCGGGCCAAGATGCTCCTCACATCCCGGACGGGGCGACAGGGCAGAGGCGCTCCCCACATCTCAGACAATGGGCGGCCGGGCAGAGACGCTCCTCACTTCCTAGATGGGATGGCGGCCGGGAAGAGGCGCTCCTCACTTCCTAGATGGGATGGCGGCTGGGCAGAGACGCTCCTCACTTTCCAGACTGGGCAGCCAGGCAGAGGGGCTCCTCACATCCCAGACGATGGGCGGCCAGGCAGAGACGCTCCTCACTTCCCAGACGGGGTGGCGGCCGGGCAGAGGCTGCAATCTCGGCACTTTGGGAGGCCAAGGCAGGCCGCTGGGAGGTGGATGTTGCAGCGAGCCGAGATCACGCCACTGCACTCCAGCCTGGGCACCATTGAGCACCGAGTGAAGGAGACTCCATCTGCAATCCCGGCACCTCGGGAGGCCAAGGCTGGCGGATCACTCGCGGCTAGGAGCTGGAGACCAGCCCGGCCAACACAGCGAAACCCCGTCTCCACCCAAAAAACACGAAAACCAGTCAGGCGTGGCGGCGTGTGCCCGCCATCGCAGGCACTCGGCAGGCTGAGGCAGGAGAATCAGGCAGGGAGGCTGCAGTGAGCCGAGATGGCAGCAGTACAGTCCAGCTTTGGCTCGGCATCAGAGGGAGACCGTGGAAAGAGGGGAGAGGGGAGAGCTGTTTGTTTGTTTTAGAGAGGGTCTCTTAAGGCATTCTTAAACCACAAACAATAGCATGAGCGATCTGTGCCTTAAGGACATGCTCTTGCTGCAGATAACTAGCCAGAGCCCATCCCTTTGTTTCCCGTAAGGAATACTTTTAGTAAATCTTATGACTGGCTTGCTCTCAATAAATGTGTGGGTAAATCTCTGTTCAAGGCTCTCAACTCTGAAGGCTGTGAGACCCCTGATTTCCCACTCTACATCCTATATTTCTGTGCGTGTGTCTTTAATTCCTCTAGTGCCGCTGGGTTAGGGTCTCCACAACCGAGCTGGTCTCAGCAAGTGGCGCCCACACATGGGGGCTCGAATCCAGGTCGAAGGGTCACCGGAGCGACAGAAAACTTGGAACTAAGCTGGAGGACACCGAGTACTCTTATGCAGTCCCCATGGTGAGTAAGAAGGGGAGCTCAGAAGCATCAGGGTAACGATGGGACACGTGTGGGCTCTGGTTCTAAGCCGGAGGACACCCAAGTACTCTTACCCAGTCCCCATGGTGTGTAAGAAAGGGAGCTCGGAAGCATCAGGGTAACAATGGGACACGTGTGGGCTCTGGTTCTAAGCTGGAGGACACTGAGTACTCTTACACAGTCCCCATGGTGAGTAAGAAGGGGAGCTCGGAAGCATCAGGGTAACAATGGGACGTGTGGGCTCTGGTTCGTTCCACCTTGGAACCTTTTCACGCTAATAATAAGGGGGAAGGAGAGTATAACGAAGTAACAGAAGAAATAACAGAGCAGGTTTGTTTGCCAACTAAAGCTAAAGCGGCAAAGGAGGGAGAGGTTCATCCCTACCCTTCTGCACCCCCTCCTTATTTTGAAGAAAAAGAGTGGCCTGACCCTCCAGATCTTTCATTTCCAGAGGACAGTGGGCGAAAAGTAGTTGCTCCAGTGACTGTCCGAGCAGCACCTTGAGCGACCCCTCTCAGTTCTATTCAGGTAGGAATTCAGCAAGCTAGATGAGAGGGTGATTTAGAGGCTTGGCAGTTCCCTATTAGAATACACCCCGCAGATCAACAGGGAAATATAGCCACATTTGAGCCTTTTCCCTTTAAATTACTTAAGGAGTTTAAACAGGCTATCAATCAATATGGACCAGGTTCTCATTTCGTAATGGGACTGTTAAAGAATGTTGCTGTTTCCAGTCGGATGATTCCTACTGACGGACACTCTTACTCGAGCTTGTCTAACTCCTGCTCAGTTCTTACAATGTAAAACTTGGTGGGCAGGTGAAGCTTCCATTCAGCCTACTTGCAGCGCCCAGGCCCAACCTCAAATTAATATAACTGCAGACCAACTTTTGGGGGTCAGCGGCTGGGTTGGTTTAGATGCACAAGTGGTCGTGCAGGATGATGCCG
Organism: Homo sapiens; assembly: GCF_000001405.40. Classification (NCBI taxonomy): domain Eukaryota; kingdom Metazoa; phylum Chordata; class Mammalia; order Primates; family Hominidae; genus Homo; species Homo sapiens. The sequence goes on along the minus strand of NC_000005.10, from coordinate 1,584,018 downwards.
TAGAACAGCTTAGAGGAGTGTGCATTAGAGCTTGGGAAAAAATCACTTCAGGTGGAGAACAATACCCTTCCTTTAGTGCAGTAAAACAGGGACCAAAAGAACCGTACGCAGATTTTATAGCTCAGTTACAGGAGTCTCTTAAAAAGGTGATTGCAGATTCGGCTGCTCAGGATATAGTGCTGCAGTTATCAGCTTTCGACAATGCTAATCCCGATTGCCAGGCTGCTCTGTGACCTATCAGAGGGAACGCACACTTAGTTGATTATATCAAGGCCTGTGACGGTATCAGAGGTAATATGCATAAAGCTACTTTGTTGGTACAGGCAATGGCAGGACTGAGAGTGGATAAAGGAAATCCTTTGTTGCCTGGAGCTTGTTTTAACTGTGGGAAGCATGGTCATACTAAACAAGAACGTAGAAAAAATGAGTGAGTCAGGCTGCCAGATAGGGGAAAAAAGAAAACTGCTGAGCCTGAAATATGTCCAAAATGTAAAAAAGGAAAACGTTGGGCTAATCAGTGTCACTCTAAGTTTGATAAAGATGGGAACTCGATTTTGGGAAATGCCATGAGGGGCCCGTCCTGGGTCCCGTTCCAAACCGGAGCGTTTCCGGCTCAGGCCATTCCCTCACCCCTGTACAATGTCTGTTCCCCGCCACAGCCAGTAGTGCCACAGTAGATTTATGCTGCACATTAGCTGTGAGACTTCTGCCTGGGGAACCCCCACCAAAGGTCCCAGCAGGAGTCTGTGGACCCTTGCCAGCGGGGACAATAGGATTACTTTTAGGAAGGTCTAGTTTAAGTTTAAAAGGAGTACAAATACACACAGGAGTCATTGATTCAGATTACAATGGGGAAACTCAAAGTGTTATATCTACTTCTGTTCCCTGGAAAACAGAGCCAAGAGAGCATATAGCACAGCTCCTGATTGTGCCATATGTGGAAATGGGGAAAAGTGAAACTAAACGAACAGGAGGAAGTACAAATATACAAAGCAAAGCAGCTTATTGGGTGAATCAAATTACTGATAAACGTCCTACCTGTGAAATAACTATTCAGGGAAAGAAATTTAAGGTTTGGTAGATGCAGGAGCGGAGATTTCAATCATTTCTCTACAGCACTGGCCATCCGCGTGGCCAATTCAACCTGCTCAATTTAACATAGTTGGAGTTGGTAAAGCCCCTGAAGTATATCAAAGTAGTTATATTTCCATTGTGAAGGGTCCAATGGACAACCTGGGACTATTCAACCAATTATAACTTCTGTACCTATAAATTTATGGGGAAGAGATTTATTACAACAATGGGGAGCACAAGTTCTAATTCCAGAGCAATTATATAGCCCTCAAAGTCAGCATATGATGCATGAAATGGGGTATGTCCCTGGTATGGGACTAGGAAAAAATTTGCAAGGTTTGAAAGAACCACTTCAAGTGGAAAGACAGTTCCTGCCAAGGTTTAGGATATTATTCTTGATGGCAGCCATTGTTAAGCTTCCAGAACCTATACCTTTAAAATGGTTAACATATAAGCCAATTTGGATGGAACAATGGCCGCTGAGTAAAGAGAAACTGGAGGCTTTAGAGGACTTAGTTAATGAACAATTAGAAAAGGGACACATAGCTCCAACATTTTCCCCTTGGAATTCTTCAATTTTCGTAATTAAGAAAAAATCAGGTAAATGGAGAATGTTAACTGACTTAAGAGCCATTAATTCAGTTATACAACCTATGGGGACATTACAGCCAGGATTGCCTTCTCCTGCTATGATTCCAAAAAATTGGCCTTTAATAGTCATAGATTTAAAAGACTGTTTCTTTACTATCCCCTTAGCTGAGCAAGACTGTGAACGGTTTGCATTTACAATTCCTGCAGTAAACAACCTGCAGCCTGCTAAGCGTTTTCATTGGAAAGTGTTGCCACAAGGCACGTTAAACAGTCCAACGATTTGCCGGATTTGTGTAGGGCAAGCAATTGAACCTCCTCGTAAAACATTTTCACTGTGTTACATTATTCATTATATGAATGATATACTTTGTGCTGCCCCTACTCAAGAAATATTACTCCAGTGTTATGATCACTTGCAAAATTCAATTTCTGGTGCTGGTTAAATTATAGCTCCTGACAAAATTCAGATTACTACTCCTTACTCCTACTTGGGAACCTTAGTAAATGACACTACCATTGTGCCACAGAAAGTAGCCATACGTAGGGATCAATTGAAAACATTAAATGACTTTCAAAAATTACTAGGGGACATTAACTGGATACAACCTGCTCTAGGCATTCCTACCTATGCCATGAGTAATCTGTTTTCTATCCTTAGAGGAGATCCTAGTCTCACCAGCCCTCGGTAATTAACAAGAGAAGCTGAGGCAGAGCTGCAGCTAATCGAAAAGCAAGTCCATAAAGCCCAAATAAATAGAATCGATCCAGAGAAGACTCGAGCTGCAGCTGATCGAAAAGCAAGGCCATAAAGCCCAAATAAATAGAAACGATCCAGAGAAGACTCGAGCTGCAGCTGATCGAAAAGCAAGGCCATAAAGCCCAAATAAATAGAAATGATCCAGAGAAGACTCGAGCTGCATCTCATCAAAAAGCAAGGACATAAAGCCCAAATCAATAGAATCGATGCAGAGAAGACTCAAGCTGCAGCTGATCAAAAAGCAAGGCCATAAAGCCCAAATAAATAGAATCGATCCAGAGAAGACTTGAGCTGCAGCTGATCGAAAAGCAAGGCCATAAAGCCCAAATCAATAGAATCGATCCAGAGAAGACTCGAGCTGCAGCTCATTGAAAAGCAAGGCCATAAAGCTCAAATCAATAGAATCGATCCAGAGAAGACTCGAGCTGCAGCTGATCGAAAAACAAGGCCATAAAGCCCAAATAAATAGAATAGATCCAGAGAAGACTCGAGCTGCAGCTGATCAAAAAGCAAGGCCATAAAGCCCAAATAAATGGAATAGATCCAGAGAAGACTCGAGCTGCAGCTGATCGAAAAGCAAGGCCATAAAACTCAAATCAATAGAATAGATGCAGAGAAAACTCGAGCTGCAGCTGATCAAAAAGCAAGGCCATAAAGCCCAAATGAATAGAATTGATCCAGAGAAGACTCGAGCTGCAGCTGATTGAAAAGCAAGGCCATAAAGCCCAAATCAATAGAATAGATCCAGAGAAGACTCGAGATGCAGCTGATCTAAAAGCAAGTCCATAAAGCCCAAATAAATAGAATAGATCCAGAGAAGACTCTAGATTTGCTAATTTTTCCAACTCCACATTCAGCTACTGGTGTTATTGTTCAAGAGCAAGATCTTGTAGAATGGCTTTTTCTTCCACATACTAATTCATGGCCTCTAACTCCTTATTTGGATCAAATTGCTACTATGATAGGAAATGGGAGAACTCGGATTGTTAAATTACATGGATATGATCCTGAAAAAATTGTCCCTCTCACGAAGGCACAAATACAGCAAGATTTTATAAATAGTCTTACTTGGCAAACCCATTTAGCTGACTTTTTGGGTATTCTCGATAATCATTTTCCTAAAATGAAACTGTTTCAATTTTTGAAATTAACTAATTGTATTCTCCCTAAAATAACTAAACCAATTGAACGTGTGGAGAATGTTTTTACAGATGGGTCTAGTAATGGTAAAGCTTCTTACTCTGGCTCGAAAGGTAAAGTTTTCCAGACACCCTATGCTTCAGCTCAAAAAACGGAGCTTGTAGCTGTAATTGAGGTATTGACTGCTTTTAATATGCCTATTAATGTGATTTCTGATTCTTCATATGTGGTTCATTCGACACAATTAATTGAAAATGCTGAGTTACGATTTCATACAGATGAACAACTGATGACTTTATTTATGCAATTGCAAACAGCAGTTAGGAGTAGAATGCACCCTTTTTACATCACTCACATTAGGGCTCATACACCTCTTCCAGGACCTTTGACTGCAGGGAATCAAATGGCTGATCGCCTAGTTGCTACTGCAATATCTAATGCTGGACACTTTCACAATTTAACCCGTGTTAATACCTCTGGTCTCAAACGCAGATACAGCAGTACCTGGAAAGAAGCTAAAGCTATTATCCAGCGATGCCCAACTTGCCAAATGGTACATTCCTCATCTTTTACAGGAGGAGTTAATCCTCGAGGATTGGAACCTAATTCTCAAGCTCTAGCTAAATTTTTCTCTATACGGAATATTAAACACATTACTGATATCCCATATAATTCTGAAGGACAAGCCATAGTGGAAAGAATGAATCTCTCCCTGAAACAGCAGTTGCAGAAGCAAAAGGGGGAAAACAGGTACTACAGGACACCCCATAAGCAATTGAATCGCATTATTAACTTTAAATTTTTTGAGCCTGCCTAAAGGCCGGATCTTATCAGCAGCTGAACAGCATCTACAGAAACCAGCTGCAAAGACAGAAGCAGAACAACTGGTTTGGTGGAGAGACCTGATAACAGAAAGTTGGGAAATAGGTAAAATAATAACTTGGGGTAGAGGTTATGCTTATGTTTCTCCAGGACTGAACCATCAAGACACCTGAAACCTTATCATGAGCGAATGCTGAGGAAGAGATTCCGGGAGGATCCCGAGGACCCCCCCAGTTGCAGCCATGTCAAGACTGATGCTGAGGAGGACCCCAACTGTCACGAGCAACACCCGTCAAACACAGCCATCCACCTGAGGTCAGATCAAGAAGCTGTCACAGATGGCAGAAGAAAACCTGAGGTAAGTGGGACAACCAGTCAAAATGAGTAATTTAATGGTAGCTATGATAGTGGTGATCACCATTGCCATGAGTATTCCTTCAACAAGGGCTGACACAGAGAACAATTATACTTACTGGGCATATTTATCAATCTTGGCTGGCAAGAATGCCTGGATGTAATCACTCTATGACACAGTTACACATGCTTTCTGATCTCAGTATTTACCATGATAAATCTGCTCCTATAATTGAGGCATACCGCCCTCAAAAACCTATCTGTAAACAGGATTGGACCCAGTCAGAGAAAATGAACGTACATGTTTGGGAAGATTGCATTGCAGAACAGGCAGGGGTGCTGGCAACGATTCCTATGGAATCATTATTGATTGATCCCCTACGGGGATGTTTAGCTTGAATTGCACCTCTCAGTCTGTGTGCCACGGCCCCACTATGTTCAGCTGGTCTGAACAAAATGGTCAGATGGTAGAAATGATAAGAAATACGGCAAGAATTCCTATTATCTGGAACCATGGCGGTGTAGTGGCACCTCAACCTCAAATGATATGGCCCTTTGTAGGAGCTAAACATAAGGATTTGTGGAAACTGTTAATAGCTCTTAATAAGATCAAAATTTGGGAAAGAATAAAAAAGCATCGAGAAGGACACTCTACAAACTTGTCTTTGGATATTGCAAAATTGAAAGAACAGATATTTGAAGCATCCCGGCACACCTGACCTTAATGCCAGGAACTGGAGTGCTTGAAGGAGCTGCAGACAGATTAGCAGCTGGTAACCCATTAAAATGGATAAAAACACTTGGAAGCTCTGTGATTTCAATGAAGATTGTGCTTTTAATCTGTGTTGTCTTTGTATAGTCTGCAGATGTGGATCCTGACTCTGCAAGAAGTAGCCCACCATGACAAAGCTGCCTTTGCTTTTATCGCTTTGCAAAACAAAGGGGACATGTTGGGAACAGGCCCCCCAATGTGGCCATAAACTGGCTCCAAAACTGGCCATAAACAAAATCTCTGCAGCACTGTGACATGCTCGTGATGGCCATGACGCCCATGCTGGAAGATTGTCGGTTTACCAGAATGAGGGCAAGGGACACCTGGCCCACCCAGGGTGGAAAACCGTTTAAGGCGTTCTTAAACCACAAACAATAGCATGAGTGATCTGTGCCTTAAGGACATGCTCCTGCTGCAGATAACTAGCCAGAGCCCGTCCCTTTGTTTCCCATAAGGAATACTTTTAGTAAATCTTACCACTGGCTTGCTGTCAATAAATATGTGGGTAAATCTCTGTTCAAGGCTCTCAGCTCTGAAGGCTGTGAGACCCCTGATTTCCCACTTCACATGCTGTATTTCTGTGTGTGTGTCTTTAATTCCTCTAGCACCACTGGGTTAGGGTCTCCACAACCGAGCTGGTCTCAGCAGTAAATATTGAAAAGGAATAGATACAATTGTCATTATTTACAGATAGAATTTCCAAACAATTCCCAGGGAATAAACTGAAAAACTAACAGAAACAAAACAAGAATGTAGTAAGGTGTCTGGGTAAGAGATTTGTATCTAAAAATCAGTAGCTTTGCAATGTGCAAGCAGTAATCTGCTTAGACATCAGTAAATACCTCATTCATATTTTAAACAAAAAATTAAAAATGCCTTGAAATAATGTAACCAGAAATACAAAAAAAAAGGATATGAAAACGTGGCTGCTAATGGACATGAAAGAATGTAATACTAGATTCTGAGATGCAATTTTTTTCATTTGTTCTTCCTGAAAAATCATTAGGTTGATGTGCATTACAGTGTTACGATTATGTATGAGTCTAAGGAAAATCAGATGAAATTTCCAAATTAAACCATGAAGGTGCATTGGTAGAGGAAGAGACAATTAGGGTCAGTGGAGCAAAGCACAGTTAGAGGGAGAAGCAAGGAGGAGGAGGGATCACTGAGGTGGTGCCTGTCTGTCCCACAGGAAGCAAAAGCTGACGCCTACTTCCCAGCATACCTAAGTAAACTTCAGGCCCACTGCATAGCACATGTCTCATCACAGTAAAACTATGAAGGAACTCAGTGTACAAGGAGCTTCTACAAGATAGGCAGAAGACAGTAGCCAGATGGGCCTAGGGCCCCAGCCACCCACGCCCCTCCCTCTCCTTGAAGACCTGTGGCTCCAACACCACCATCACCAGGGCTCTGCTCAGCTCCTCCTAGTGTGTATCACCACAGGGCTGCTGGCTTGTGTCACGTTCACCACCAGACCCCGCGTCAGGAGTCCCGCCAGGGGTGTGGGGAGGCAGCACTGCCTGGTTGGCCGTGGAGCTGTATGGAACATGGTGCCTCACAGGCAGTCTGCTTGGAGTCCTGGACCCTGGCTGTATCCCGCTGGAAAGGATGTGTGTGGGTCTAAGATGTGTATGTAATAGAAACATTTATTTATTCAGAAGCTTTAGTCAAAACTTCATTTTTAAGTTCAGAGTAATAAACTCATAGTCTGAATTTCCTAATTTTTCTGTTTAATTTACTTAACTTTTAAATGAAATGCAAAACAACAGGTCTAAAAATTAAGCAGTTCTTGATATGGCTGCTTCTATGGATTAAAAGTTTACAAATAATATTTTGTAATATCAAAATATTAAATGCAAAATCATGCTGCCGTGTTCCGTGTGGGAAGCGTGTTGCAAGAAGGTTGTGGGAAAATCAGCAAGCTCTACGGAGACCTAAAGCACCTGAAGACGTTCGACCGGGGTCAGCAGACAGTGGGCTCTGTGCACACTGTTGGGCCCTGCCTTCTGCAGGGTGGGCTGGTGTCTGTCCCGTCAGTGCTGACTTAGTTCCGTGCTTGCTGTCTGGATGGGTCCTGGCCCACAGCTATAAAGCCACAACCAGTGACTCCATGGACTAGCAGGCCCAGGCTGACAGCTCGGAGGGCCCATGTGACTGGGTCCCGCCTGCCCCTGATGGAACTTTTTGTGTCCCCAGGAATGGTCTGGAACACGGACCTGGTGGAGACCCTGGAGCTGCAGAACCTGATGCTGTGTGCGCTGCAGACCATCTACGGAGCAGAGGCGCGGAAGGAGTCACGGGGCACGCACGCCAGGGAAGGCTACAAGGTCGGCCTTCTCACCACGCCCACCTGCACCTGCCTTTTCCTCCCGCCTGGTGGGACTCAGCCCCACCCCTGCATTTTCTCTGCATTTTATTTCGTTGCCCCAGAAGTAAATCCAAAAAATCCCTTTTTCCCCCTGGTAACTTTGATCCCTGGGTTCTCGCCATCTTCTGGATCACCGTGACCTTTTCCTTGCTTTGGGTCGGCATCCACTGATGCCAGCAGTGGCATCTCCAAGCCAATGTGCTTTGCTGTTAGAAGGCCAAGGTTAGAAGTGCAGCTAGAGTGGCATGACCAGGAAGTAAATGCCAGTTTATTAAATAACGAGTAAGCCACTGTTTCAAGCCTGCCCTGTGGAGGAAATGCCAGTTTATTAAATAACGAGTAAGCCACCATTTCAAACCTGCCCTGTGGAGGAAATGCCAGTTTATTAACGAGTAAGCCACCGTTTCAGACCTGCCCTGTGGTTTGGAAAAGGTATCATAGAGCCTGCCCTGTGGTTTGATTATAGAGCCTGCCCTGTGGTCACTTGTTCTTCAGATGAACTGATTTTTGTGCAGAGCACACGTGTTGGATTCTGCCTGGTAAGAGTTTTTCCCATATGATAGCAAAAAACAACAGAAAGGGAAGCTTGGGGTGCAAATGCAAGTTCAGGATAAACCACATCAGCAAAAGGACAAAGGCTCCACAAGGCAGGCGCACAGGCTGGTTCAGGACCGTGTGTAGGCGGCTGGTGGCAGCCTTTCCAGTCAGCTGAACATGGTGAATGGGAAAATCATTTTTATTCACCATGAAATTTTACTGATTTACCCTCCACTAGAATATGCTAATGGCTGTGATCACTGCTCAGAACTTGCTCTTGTCTCCTTGTACGTATTAAGAGTTTCCTGCAAAGTATGTGAATCCGTGTTTGCCAGAATACAGAATAATAAATTTATTTTACTTTTTTTTTAAGATGGAGTCTCACTGTCCCCCAGGCTGGAGTGCAGTGGCGGCGATCTCAGCTCGCTGCAACCTCTGCCTCCCAGGTTCAAGTGATTCTCCTGCCTCAGCCTCCCAAGCAGCTGGGATTACAGGCACGCACCACCATGTCTGGCTAATTTTGTATTTTCAGTAGAGACGGGTTTCACCATGTTTGCCGGGCTGGTCTTGAACTCCTGACTTCAAGTGAACCGCCCACCTCGGCCTCCCAAAGTGCTAGGGTTACAGGCATGAGCCACTGTGCCTGGCCAGTGCATAAATTTAGTTGGTGACAGCGAGTTTTAATTAGAATAGAAGCCAGGTGCAGTGCCTCACACCTGTAATCCCAGCATTTGGGAGGCTGAGGCAGGCCGATCACTTGAGCCCCAGAGTTCTAGAACAGCCTGGGCAACATGGTGAAACGTGTCTACAAAAAAATAAAAAATGAGCCAGGCGCGGTGGTAGCGCAGGAAGCTGAGGCAGGAGGATTGATTGAGCCTGGGAAGTCAAGGCTCCGGCAAGCTGTGATCACACCACTGCACTCCAGCCCAGGTGACATAGCCAGACCCTGTCTCAAAAAAAAAATTTTTTTTTAATAAAAACAGGCTGAAAGAAAAGATTGAGGTAGTCTCCCAGCACATGGAGCAAAAAGACAAAGTATTTGATAAACTCTTAGGTACATAAAGGATGCTTAAGGGAACATGCGGACATGGATTACTGTGGACTCACTGCTGGCTGCACACCCCCTGGCCAGCCATGCGGCCTCCGTGGGTTCTGAACATGTTGATGGTGCCAACCTCCTGGGCTGAAGTGGAAATGGAATGAGTTCTAGGGCATCTGTCTCTTAGATCATGTTAATGTCTGCTGTGTTTTTTCTGTATTGCTCTGTTAGAGTAATAAGAAACGTGATGGTGTTTCTGGCCTCAGGTGCAGATTGATGAGTACGATTACTCCAAGCCCATCCAGGGGCAACAGAAGAAGCCCTTTGAGGAGCACTGGAGGAAGCACACCCTGTCCTATGTGGACGTTGGCACTGGGAAGGTCAGTGTGGAGCTCGTTCTCACCACAGCCCAGCACCCACACGGCCCCGCCCAGGCCTGCGGGCTGGCCTTGCTGATGGTGAACAGGGAGGAGCAGGCCAGATTTAAATCAACTCCCGACAGATTTGAGGCACCGCTGAAAAAGGCACTCTGACAGCAGTTGGGCTTTGGGCTGGAAACAGAATCCAGTTCCTGCAGGTGGTTCAGAGGAGCCTTAAGGAAGGGTTGCTCCGTGGTGTGGGTCAGATGGACGTCACTAGGCAGGAGCAAGTGTCCAAGGCCTGGTGGCAGGGGAGGAGATGATTGTAGACCTAGTGAGAAAGTCAGCATCTGTGGGGTGGGGACACAGCCACTACCAGAAACCAGTCCCACGTCAAGGGAGCCCAGAAGAGACGCCTCCCCTCTCCTCCCACGGGCTGGGCCAACTGGAAGCATCTGCAGGGGAGCTGAGGGGATGTGGTGCAGTCTTTAGCATCCCCTGGGCACTGAGCAAGCAGAGAAGGGCAGAAATGGAGGTGGGGTTGGGGTGAGCAGCATCCTGGGAACAGCCAGCCGAGGGTGTGGTAGGGGGTCGCAGCCTTGTTCCACACAAGCACAGTTCACCCGTGTGGCATTTCCGCTGGGCATTAAGATTCAGAAACAATGAAGATAGAAAGCTTTTACCCTTAAACTTTTCATAGCTTGTAAGAGTCGTATAATCACTTAGCTGTGTCTGTGGAAGTTACCTTTGGACTCTCACTATCATCTAGTGTGTCTGTGATTCGGGCAGTAGGTCATTTTCAGGACTTCTCATGAAGGCCATTTCCTGATAGTGTATAGAAATCACACTTCACTCGCTTAGCACAAGTCTATTTTTAATGTTTCCGGGTTCGGGTTTTTTGTTTTGTTTTTGTTTTTCTGAGATAGAGTCTCATCTGTTGCCCAGGCTGAAATGTGGTGGCTTGATCTCGTCTCACTGCAGCCTCAACCTCCCCCAGGCTCAGGTGATCCTCCCACCTCAGCCTCCTGGGCACATGCCACCATGCCTGGCTAATTTTCATATGTTTTGTGGAGATGGGGTTTCTCCACGTTGCCCAGGCTAGTCTTGAACTCCTGCGCTCAAGTGATCCACCTGTCTTGGCCTCTCCAACTGGCATGAACCAACACGCCCAGCCAGTTTCAGTGATTTTTCAAGAAATACATACTCATTTTAGAAAGTACAAAGAGATTGAAATAAGAGCTCACTAACCAGAGACGACCCATTATGGTTTAAATTTCTTTGTATATGTGCCTACCTTTTCCTGTGTGTGTATATTTAATACACAGCTTGAGTATTCCTTCTCTGAAATCCTTGGGACCAGAAGCATTTTGGATTTCAGGCTTGTTCAGACTTTGGAATATTTGCATTATACTTACTGTCTGAGCATCCCTAATTGGAAGATCTGACTCCATAGCACATTTCTTTTGAATGTCATGCTGGTGCTCAGAAAGTTTCAGATTTTAGAGAATTTCAGATTTTTGGATTAGGGATGTTCAACCTATATAAATACTAAACTTTGAAGTAGAAAAACTGGAAGTAGATGGTTTAAACATAAAGTGTCTTGGTATAGACAAGGGTTCTCCCACTGCTCATGACGGGAGCATTATTGTAAAGCACTGAGAATCTGGTACAGTGTCATTTTCGTTGCTCTGTTCCACTCTACGAATCTGCCATCATTTACAGTCCCCTGTTGTGCATGTAGATCATTTTTGAATTTGTTATTGGAAAATACTGCAGCAAATACCTTTAAGTTCACATGCTGTAAATCTACTTTTATAGTTAAAATTTTTCAAAAGGAACACAAGAGATGGTTTTTTGTACATTTTTGTGCTTAACTTACCACTGACTCTTCTTTTCATGGTCACCCTGGGATATAGACCCGTAATCGACAAAACTTTGAACGAGGCTGACTGTGCCACCGTCCCCCCAGCCATTCGCTCCTACTGATGAGACAAGATGCGGTGATGACAGAATCAGCTTTTGTAATTATGTATAATAGCTCATGCATGTGTCCATGTCATAACTGTCTTCATACGCTTCTGCACTCCGGGGAAGAAGGAGTACATTGAAGGGAGATTGGCACCCAGGCTGGGAGCTTGCCAGGAACCCAGTGGCCAGGGAGCGTGGCACTTACCTTTGTCCCTTGCTTCATTCTTGTGAGATGATAAAACTGGGCACAGCTCTTAAATAAAATATAAATGAACAAACTTTCTTTTATTTCCAAATCCATTTAAAATATTTTACTGTTATGACTTTAGTCATATTTGTTGACCTAAAAATCAAATGTAGTAATCTTTGTATTCTGTTACATCAAAATCCAGATATGTTCTTGTAGTTTCTTTTTTTTTTTCTTTTTTTTTTTTTTTTTTTTTGAGACAGGATTGGTGCAGTGGTACAATCTCAGCTCACTGCAGCCTCAGACTCCTGGGCAGCTCAGGTGATCTTCCCAACTCAGCCTTCTGAGTAGTTGGGGCTACAGGTGTGCACCACCACGCCCAGCTAGTTTATTTTGTAATTGTAGGGACAGGGTCTCACTGTGTTGCCTAAGCTGGTCTCAGACTCCTGGGCTCAAGTGATCCTCCCTCCTTGGCCTCCCAAAGTGCTGGAATTATAGGTGTGAACCACCATGCCTGGCTTTGTTGTAGTTTATTTCTAAGTTCAAATTAATGTTGGTGCCTGAGAGCAAATGGAGAAAACGAACATTTCCTCCTTTTTCTTGGCAGATGGTTTACTAGGTGAGTGTGTCCTCGATTATTCAAATCAGGGGTCCCCAATCCCCAGGCCACAGATTGTTACCAGTCCATGGCCTGTTAGGAGCCAGGCCGCACAGTAGGAGGTGAGCAGTGGGCCGGTGAGCTACTGTGTGAACTCCACCCCCTGCCAGAGCATTACTCTGTGAGCTCTGCCCCCTGCAGAGCATTACTGTGTGAGCTCCGCCCTGTCAGAGCATTACTGTGTGTGCTCCGCCCCCTGCCAGAGCATTACTGTGTGAGCTCCGCCTCCCGCCAGAGCATTACTGTGTGAGCTCCGCCTCCCGTCAGAGCATTACTGTGTGAGCTCCGCCCATGCCAGAGCATTACCTTGTGAGCTCCAACCCCTGCCAGAGCATTACTGGGTGAGCTCCACCCCCTGCCAGAGCATTACTGTGTGAATTCCAACCCCTGCCAGAGCATTACTCTCTGAGCTCCGCCCCTGCCAGAGCATTACTCTGAGCTCCGCCCCCTGCAAGAGCATTACTCTGTGGGCTCCGCCTCCTGCCGGAGCATTACTCTGTGAGCTCCGCCTCCAGTCACAGCATTACTGTGAGCTCCGCCCCCTGCCAGAGCATTACTCTGTGAGCTCCGCCTCCAGTCACAGCATTACTGTGAGCTCCGCCTCCTGCCAGAGCATTACTGTGTGAACTCCAACCCCTGCCAGAGCATTACTGGGTGAGCTCCACCCCCTGCCAGAGCATTACTCTGTTAGCTCCACCCCCTGCCAGAGCATTACTCTGTGGGCTCCGCCCCCTGCCAGAGCATTACTCTGTGAGCTCCGCCTCCAGTCACAGCATTACTGTGAGCTCCGCCCCCTGCCAGAGCATTACTCTGTGGGCTCCGCCTCCTGCCAGAGCATTACTCTCTGAGCTCTGCCTCCCACCAGAGCATTACTGTGTGAGCGCCGCCTCCTGTCATATCATTACTGTGTGAGCTCTGCCTCCTGTCACAGCATTACTGTGTGAGCTCCGCCTCCTCTCCAAGCATTAACTGTGTGAGCTCCACCTCCAGTCACAACATTACTGTGTGAGCTCCGCCTCCTGTCCAAGCATTACTGTGTGAGCTCCGCCTCCTGTCCAAGCATTACTGTGTGAGCTCCGCCTCCCGTCAGAGCATTACCGTGTGAGCTCCGCCTCCCGTCAGAGCATTACCGTGTGAGCTCCGCCTCCCGTCACAGCATTACCGTGTGAGCTCCGCCTCCCGTCACAGCATTACCGTGTGAGCTCCGCCTCCCGCCAGAGCATTACCGTGTGAGCTCCGCCTCCCGTCACAGCATTACCGTGTGAGCTCCGCCTCCCGCCAGAGCATTACCGTGTGAGCTCCGCCTCCCGTCACAGCATTACCGTGTGAGCTCCGCCTCCCGCCAGAGCATTACCGTGTGAGCTCCGCCTCCCGTCAGAGCATTACCGTGTGAGCTCCGCCTCCCGCCAGAGCATTACCGTGTGAGCTCCGCCTCCCGTCACAGCATTACCGTGTGAGCTCCGCCTCCCGTCACAGCATTACCGTGTGAGCTCCGCCTCCTGTCCAAGCATTACTGTGTGAGCTCCGCCTCCTGTCAGATCAGTGGTGGCATTAGATTCTCATAGGAGTGGAACCCTGTTGTGAACTGCGCATGCGAAGGATCTAGGTTATGCGCCGCTTATGAGAATCTAATGCTGCTCATCTGAGCTGGAACCGTTTCATCTCCAAACCATCCCCACCATCCCCACACTTGTCCGTGGAAAAAGTGTCTTCCATGAAACCAGTCCCTGGTGCCAACAAGGTTAGGGACCACCAGTTTAAATAACCAAATACTAAAAGAACTGGCATAGAAGTAAATGGGCTGCTGCTTTATTTTTAGACTGTTCTTTTTAGAGAACAATGACAATTATTTCCAAGTTTGTCATTAGAAAATAATATTAGGTTGGTGCAAAAGTAATTGTGGTGTTTGCCATTACTTTCAATGGCAAAAGCCATGATTACTGTTGCACCAACTTAATATGATAAATTTGTTCCTTAAAGTGTATTTTTGGTAAGAAAAATCTTTGCTTTTCTTCTATTAATTTTTTGTTTTTGTCTTGGTAGAGACAGAGTCTTGCCATGCCGGCCAGGCTGGAGTGCAGTGCTGTGATCTCGGCTCACTGCAACCTCCACCTCCCGGGCTCCAGCAATCCTCCCACCTCAGCCTCCCAAGGAGCTGAGACTACAGGTGTGAGCCACCATGCCTGGCTAATTTTTATATTTTTTACAGAGACAGGGTTTCACCATCTTGCCCAGGCTGGTCTCAAACTCCTGGGCTCAAGCAGTCCTCCTGCCTCAGCCTCCCAGAGTATTGGGATTATAGGTGTGAGCCACTGCCAGAAAAACTTTTCCTAAGACAAGGCAGGTTTTACATTATATTTAGATTTTTTTTAATGATGTCTTTTTTGGCAGTGCACAGCCAGAGAACAACACATCACACACAGGAAACAGTTGTGCTCATGTGATGGGGGCCTCAGCACTAGGAAGGAGTGGACTATTGGCACACGCAGCAGCTTGAATAAATCTGAAAGTCACTATGCTGTGTAAGAGAAGCCAAATTTAAAAAGTGCATGCTGTGTACAGAGGGTGTCAAGAATGCCTCCTACGTGACGGAAAGCAGATCCGTGGTTGCCTGCAGACTGGCAGGAGCAGATTCCAAAGGCACAGGAAGAAGCTTGTGGGTAGAATGTGTTCATTACCTTCTGTGCATTATACCATAAAAAAGCTGGTCACAAAAATGCAAACCAAAAACAAAGGTGAAACTAGGATAAGATTTCTCACCTGTGTGATTGGTAAACGTGCAGATGTGCCGTCATGCTTTGTTTATGAAGCTGTGGGATACAAGGACTCTCATACGTCACTGTGGAATGCAGAATATTGCAGCCTCATGGAAGAGGATTTGGCAGCGTCTAACAAAACTACATGGCATTTGCCCTTTGACTCAGCAATTCTAGAATCTGCCTCAAAAAAACTCCAGCAAAGAAATGAAAGGACTTTAGGCACAGAGTTCTTTTCACAGCCTGCATGTGTTTGCAACAAAGTTCTTCACTGTGGCGTTTGTAAATGTGGGGAAAAGAGAGATCAGGCTGGTACTGTGTCTGTGTAGAAAAGGAGGACGTAAGAAACTCCATTTTGATCTGTACCCCGAGCGATTGTTTTGCCCTGAGATGCTGTTAATCTGTAACTTTAGCCCCAGCCTTGAGCTCACAGAAACCTGTGTTGTATGGAATCAAGGTTTCAGGGATCTAGGGCTGTGCAGGACGTGCCTTGTTAAGAAAATGCTTACAGGCAGTACGCTTGGTAAAAGTTATCGCCATTCTCCATTCTCGATAAACCAGGGGCACAATGCACTGCGGAAAGCCGCAGGGACCTCTGCCCAGGAAAGCCGGGTACCATCCAAGGTTTCTCCCCACTGAGATATGGCCTTGTGGGATGGGAAAGACCTGACCATCCACCAGCCCGACACCCGTGAAGGATCTGTGCTGAGTAGGATTAGTAAAAGAGGAAGGCCTCTGTCTCCTGCCTTCCCCTGGGAACGGAATGTCTCAGTATAAAACTGATCGTACATTTGTTCAATTCTGAGATAGGAGAAAAACCACCCTGTGGTGGGAGGCGAGACATGTTGGCCGCAATGCTGCTGTTACTCTTTACTCCACTGAAATGTTTGGGTGGAGAGAAGCATAAATCTGGCCTACGTGCACATCTAGACATAGTACCTTCCCTTGAACTTACTTGTGACACAGATTCCTTTGCTCACATGTTTTCTTGCTGACCTTCTCCCCACTGTCACCCTGTTCTCCTGCCACATTCCTCTTGCTGAGATAGTGAAAATAGTAATCAATAAATACTGAGGGAACTCAGAGACCGGTGCCAGTGCGGGTCCTCTGTATGCTGAGCGCCAGTCCCCTGGGCCCACTTTTCTTTCTCTATACTTTGTCTCTGTGTCTTATTTCTTTTCTCAGTCTCTCATCCCGCCTGATGAGAAATACCCACAGGTGTGGAGGGGCTGGTCCCCTTCATTCTATAGTTATTATAAATGTACAGGAACATCAAAAGGAACTTGTTTGTATAATGTCACAGTACAAGGTACGTAGCCCAGGAAATGACCAATCTGATGGGTGTTATAACCCATCCAAGCCCCCTGCGACCACCGTTTTTAAAATAAAAAACTGGTCCTTTCCTTGGCGATACAAGTAAAATAATAACTAGAAGAGAAGAAAAAGAAATTCCCAAACAAGTAACTTTAAAATTTGATGCTTGTGCAGCCATTAATGGTAACAAGCTAGAATTAAAATGGAGTTCTCTTAACTAGGAAAAGAGCTACACAGTAAAAAATAAATATGTTTGTCATAAGTCAAGGATCTGTGAAAATTGTGCCTATTGGCCATGTGTTATTTAGGCTACTTAAAAAAAGGACAAAAAAGACCCAGTTCACCTTCAAAAAGGGGAAGCCAATCTCTCCTGTGCTGCCGGTCACTGTAACCCACTAGAACTAATAATCTCTAATCCCCTAGACCCCCACTGGAAGAAAGGAGAACATGTAGGCCTGGGGATTGATGGGACAGGGCTAAACCCCCAAGTTGCTATTTTAGTCCGAGGGGAGGTCCACAGGCACTCTCCCAAACCAGTGTTTCAAGCCTTTTATGATGAGCTGAATCAGCCAGCACCAAAGCTTCAGAAAAAGACAGAGCCACACACACCCTGCATCACCCAGGCAGGGAAAATGAGCTGGGCTGTGGGTGCTGGGAAAGCCATGCCTGCAGCCCCCTTCAGAGTCAGGCTGCACTGCACAGGGAGCCTGAGAGAAAGGTGGAGAGGCCTCCTGAGCCCGGCTCTGGGCATCACAACAGCTGGTGCCTTCCAGTCAGGTTTGCACCGCCAGCTACGGGGAGGTGGCTGGCTGACGGTGAGTTGGTGCCCAGGGTTCTTGGTCCCGTCCCACATGGCAAGACACAGACAAGACTGCCCAGCCACACAAGCCAGTGAGTGAGAGGAATTCCCCAAAGTGTGTGTCTGGAGGCCAGGTGGGTCCCTCGACCTGCATCTAAAGCCCTACCCCCCTGCCCCCGACAGCCTCCCCTGAGGTGGGTCCCGGCACACGGTTGCTGCCTCCAGGACAGGGGACATGAGCCCACAGTGTGGGCCGCCCCTGGCCATCCTCCGGGGCTGGCCATGGCCATGGTCGTGGCACCCTGGGGGCCCAGTATGCAGCAGTGGAGGCCACAGTGACAGGAAGTGCCAGGGTGGTCTGGCAGGCGCCCAGGCCTTCCCTGGCTTCAGCCCGTTGTCTGGCCAGTTGCGTTCCCCAGGGGCCACCCGATGCCTCTGGCACTCTCCATGCTGGCTGGGAAGACCAGTGTCGGCCACTTGGCCGTGGGCAGCCTCCTTCTGGCACTAGCACGTGCCCCTCCCTCTGTCCTCGCTCTGCCTGCCACGTCCACTCAGCCACATGGCACCGGGGTGTCTTCACCTGTCCAGCCTCCAAACCTGGTGGGCCTCAAGGGCACAGAGCTCTGCCCACCAGGCTGACATGCCCCTAGGGGGGACTGGACTGGACTCAGGACGGTCCCTGCTCATGGCAACCTTGCTGTCCACCTGGGCTCCTCGGCCTGGGTGAGTCCTTACTGGGGAGAGGGCTCCTCTGCCCTCCAGCTGATGGGTGTGTGCTGGCGGACACAGGTCAGGAAGCAAAAGCAGGAAAACCAGGGAAGGGGCGTGCAGTGTGGAGGCGAAGAGGGGTCCTCCCCTGGCCAGTGTGCGTAGCCAGTTGCACCTCACGTCCCAAGGCCATGCCCAGGAGCAGCCCCCTGCTGTGTGTCCAGGGGGCAGGGCACTGACCCCACTTCACCTTCCCCTTAATCCAGCCGTGACCCTGCTCCACGCCAGGATGCGCTGGGATGGCTCGGGGGCAGCACCCTGCACAGCAGCTCTGGCTCTAAGCTGCACAATCGGATGTCTTGCATAGTCACCGGCTAATCCAGGACAGGCTGGTGAAGGTCACTCGCCTGGGCATGAGTCGCCACCCTGCACCCTGCAGGACAGGTAACTTGGAGAGGGCTCATGTTATCTTATTTAACAAAAACATTGCCCAGAGCATGGTATGATAAAGACCTGGCAGGAATGGAGAGCGCCTCCCACAGAACTTTCACCAGGTGCAGGGAGGCAGGATGCCCATGGGGCGTTTGGGCAGATGCCACAGGGCGATGTTGGGTGGGACCCCCAGCTACCGGCTCCAGGAGGGGTGAGGAGGCCTTGGGCTCCTCTTCCAGGCAGCCCCACTCAGAGCCTTGCACAGAGGGCGGCGCTGCATGGAGGGGCAGCCGGAGCCAGGCCAGGAGCAAGAGGGCCAGAGGGAGGCAAGGTGCAAAGCAAAGCCTGGAAATCCAGACAACACTGGGAACATCCTGCACTCTCTAAGTTCACCAGTGCACAGACCCGCCTGTGGATGGACTCACCCTTGTCCTCTGGGTCCCGCCTGTGCCCAGGACTCCCAGGACCTCGGAGGTATACTCTAGGCATGATCTTCATTACTCTGCAGAACTGTTCACCTTAATTTGCTGGAGGTTGTCTTAAAACATGGCCTCTATCCATCCACATATTTAGCGGAATTGATTAAAATAAACTTAATACTTTCATGTCATCCTTTTAGGGATTTCTTCAAAGGTTTAGATATTTCAAGCACTGTGTTGATTCTATAATTCACCTGCTGGAGAGAGTTGGCTTAAGGGATATTCTGAAATGAACAAACAGCCACAGTCACCTTTGAAGAGCCGCACGTTGCCCGTCCCATCCCAGCTCTGAGCCTCTGCGAGGTTCTCCCCTGCCTGCTGAGCTCCCTCCCCTGTGACACCAGGAGCGGCCCCTCCTCCCCACACTGCAGGGGCCTCCAGATCCCAAGGGGCAGGCCCAACTCCCTGAGAAACTCAGGGACCAGTAGCCACTGTCTCCCTGGGGACAAGGGTTTGTCCAGAAAATGTGGTGGGCAGGATGGGTTGGATCTGAGACAGGCCTCCAGGTGCCGGGGTCACAAGCCAGTCAGCCCCGGCAGCAGGCGGTCACCGCAACATGTCAAGGCTCTTGTGACTTCGAGTGTGGCTCCTGGGAAAGGAACCGAATGGGCTGACTCAGTGTGGCCCCTGGAAAAGGAACCGAATGGGCTGACTCAGTGTGGCCCCTGGAAAAGGAACTGAATGGGCTGACTCATGTCGGAGACGCCTGTCAGCCTCTCTCAACCTCACCCCTCTCTGGGAGGCCAGACACTGTGCCAGGACCCAGAGGGTGGGAAGTCACAGCCCAGAGGATGGGGTTGTGGGGGAAGGTGAGGAGGACATAGGGGAGGTGAGGAGGACAGGGGGAGGTGCGGAGGAGAATCTCGGATGCCGGTGGGCCAGGGTGCCAGTCACCAGGTGAGTGCCTGCAGCTGCCCTGGCTCGTGGCTTCTGTGGCCTGCAGGCTCTGCTGCTTTTTGGCATTGTGAGTGCCGGTAGCCTTGTCCACAGGAGGAGACTGCTTCTGCAGAGCAGGGCCCCCGACGGGCCTTAGCAAAACCCTGAGGACCTTGGACCTGAGGACCCTCCACAAGGAAAGGTGGGGGGCAGGGCTGGCCAGAGGGGCTCTTTGTATAGCTGTTGCTGGGGGTGCTGCTTTACCAGGCCCTCAACTGGGTGTGAGAAGGTGGCTCCTGGGCACAGCTGGGATGGCCATGCTGGGGCCAGCTCCAAGTCCCCTCTGCCTTCAGGGACAGAGGACATGGTGCAGAGGCATGGCCTTGAATCCATGTGGCTTTTCTACAGGCTGTGGGTGAAAACCACCCAAGGATTCTGGGGTGAGCTCCAGACCATGCGCTTCCAGTGAGTGAGGGGAGCAGCAGCAGCGGCCACATCTCAGGAGCCTGTCTAGGGGCTGTCCTCCAGAAAAGCAGAGGCAGAGACATGAGGCAGCAGCCCCCGGAGACCCTCCCGCACGTGGCCAGCCAGCGTGTGGGGCCGCATCAGCCTCCTGACAGGAGGGGTCCCCAATGTGGCATCAGTTCCTGGGCCCTGGAAGCTGCCTGGTGTGGGCTCGCAGCCGCTTGACCAGGCTCAGCCAGGGAGGCATTTCCAGAAAGCTTCCTTCTCGTCCCGAGAGCTGCCTCTGTTCTGTGCTCACCCGGCCTGCGGCTGGCACAGAGTGTGGTTTAGGACCGCTGCTCTAGGGGCTGAGGAGCGTGCAGCCTGCGTGACCAATGGCACGATGCATCCTGCTACCTCCTGAGACCCCTTAAAGCGTGGTGATGGCCGAGCACGTTGAGGCCCTGGAGCGACCCAGCCCATTCCGGGCGAGGAGGCCCAGCTGGAGCTGCTGCGGGGAACTGAACTCCCTGGGAACAAGGAGTCCTGGGGCTGAGGCTGAGCTGAGTGGAGTCTGGAACAGAGAGGAGGATTCAGGACCTCAGTTCAGTGTGAGGGTTTTAATTTTCAAGGGTAAGAGTTTGTGTGTATGAATGCTGCTATGGTCTGAATGGGTCCCCCAAAATCCATGTGTTGGAACCTTAATATCCAGTACAACAGTGTTGGGGGTGGGGCCTTTGGGAGGAGCTTAGGTCATGAGGGCGGAGGGTGGATTAAGGCTGGTGCCTCGATGTGGGACTTCACAGCCCCCAGAACTGTGCAAGAAAACAACCTGTTCTTCATCAGTTACCCAGCAAGAAGCATTTCGTTATAGTAGCACAAACAGATTAACACACATGTATTGCTGGGGTGTGTGTGTGTGCGTTTATAAGTTTGTAGATGTATGGTATTGCGTTGGTGTGTGTCTGTGTTATGAATTTGTATGTATGAGTGTCGATGTGTGTGTGTGTGTGTGTCTATAAGTTTGTAGATGTATGGTATTGCGTTGGTGTGTGTCTGTGTTATGAATTTGTATGTATGTCAGTGTGTGTGTGTGTGTGCGCATTTATAAGTTTGTAGATGTATGGTATTGTGTTGGTGTATGTCTGTGTTATGAATTTGTATGTATGTGTGTGTGTGTGCGTTTATAAGTTTGTAGATGTATGGTATTGCGTTGGTGTGTGTGTTATGAATTTGTATGTATGAGTGTCGATGTGTGTGTGTGTGTGTTTATAAGTTTGTAGATGTATGGTATTGCATTGGTGTGTGTCTGTGTTATGAATTTGTATGTATGAGTGTCGATGTGTGTGTGTGTGTTTATAAGTTTGTAGATGTATGGTATTGCGTTGGTGTGTGTCTGTGTTATGAATTTGTATGTATGAGTGTCGATGTGTGTGTGTGTGTGCGTTTATAAGTTTGTAGATGTATGGTCATGTGTTGGTGTGTGTCTGTTATGAATTTCTACATATGTGTGTGTCGGTGTGTGTGTGTGTGTGAGTGTATGCATGTTTGTATGTTGGTAAATATGTGAGTGTGTGCACGTGTGTATATGTGTTTATTAGTTTATGCATATATGTGTGTTAATCAGTTTGTGTGTGTGTGTGCATGTATGCCACATTCCTTGTGAAAAGAAAGATATTTTCCCAAACACGGAATGACCCAGTGCCCAGCCGTGTTCCTGGAGCCTTGGCCGTTCCACTGTGTGAGCTGTGCTCAGTGAGCCAATGTCATGACCTGGAAAAGCTGCAACCCAAGAAAGGGACCCAGCCCTGCCGTCCCCCAACATGCTGGGTGAGCTGCTGCAAACTCACTGCACAGTCACCCTGGATCCTCTGAAACAAGGACTTTCTGTCCCTGGGACCTCTGTCCCAGGCTCTCTGTGCACCCAGGAACCACCCAGACCACAGGAGCCGAGAGTTGAGGTCGCGTGCACGACACCAGGGAAGATGAGGGGCCTCTCTCACCTCGTCCTCCTCCTCTTCCTCCTCTGCCAGGTCCAGGTCTGTCCTCCGCCTTCCCCTTATCCCCACATCACTGCAACCTCACCCTTCCCTCCACATTCTTATTATCCAAGAGAGCAAGTAAAGAACAGTATTTAGTTGAGTTTATTTTTCACTGAGATAAATTTGCATGTAACAAAACTAAGAATAAATCTAATTAGTGATAATCCATCAAGCAGGCTAAAAGATGTAATCTGGATTAGGGAACATTGTATCTTTGTCTGCATCGTTGAAACAGACGACTTTCATGCATATTTATCAATGAGAAAACGAGGCACCAATGTTTTTGCGATGCCTGCTCTAGTGACTGTACAAGAGTCATTTACAATTAACACAGTTACTGAAAATGGAATGTTTGTGAATGGGATTTCTTTTACATAAATGAAGATGTCTTAAAATCCTGTTACCCTGAAAGTTGACTCACTGAATTCTCATTTCATGGATCCAGGAAAGGCTATCCCAGTGTAGCAGGACGAGCCGCAGACAAAATTCCTCAGACACCAGCTTAAAGAAGGAAGAGGTTTGGCTGGGTGCAGTGGCTCATGTCTGTAATCCCAGCACTTTGGGAGGCTGAGATGGGTGGATCACGAGGTCAGGGCATCAAGACCGTCCTGGCTAACATGGTGAAACCCCCTTTCTACTAAAAATACAAAATAGCTGGGCGTGGTGGTGGGCACCTGTAGTCCCAGCTGCTTGGGAGGCTGAGGCAGGAGAATGATGTGAACCTGGGAGATGGAGCTTGCAGTAAGCCGAGATCATGCCACTGCACTCCAGCCTGGGTGACAGATCAAGACTCTGTCTCAAAAAAAAAAAAAAAGAAGGAAGTGGTTTATTCAGTCGGGAGCATCAGCAGACTTGCGTCTTAGGAGCCGAGCTCCCTGAAAAAGAAATTATTGGCCTTTCTAAAGGCTTACACTCTAAGGGGTCCACGTGAAAGGGTCGTGACAAATCGAGCAAGCGTGGGGAACGTGACTGGGGGCTGCATGCATCAGCTAACAGAACAGAAAGTTTCGCGATGCTTTTTCATACAACGTCTGGAATTTACAGATAACACAAGTAGTTTAGGTCAGGGGTTGATGTTATTATTATTTTTTAATTCCTAGGGCTGGGTGGTGGTGCCAAGGTCATCTAGCTATTTATCTTACTTTTGTTTCTTTCCAACTCTTTGCTTTCTCTCTTTCCTCCTGTCTTGTGAACTAGGCAAGGTGGGCAGCAGGAGTAGTAGTGGTCTCCTTCCTTACTAGGTGGACCCCTTCTGAACTTCAACAGTGGCGACTGGTGGTTTCTGTAATGAAATTTCAATTTGACCCTCATCTGAGAAGAGACAGTATCTGGTAACACAAAGCTCAGGAACTGCACACGATCTCTCACGAAAGCTTATGTCCAGTTTCCATCTGGTGCCAGCCCACTCGAAGGGCAGCTAAATGTCACTAGGCAGGTCCTGCTGGCAATAAGTGTGACATAAGATGCAGATTCAGTGAAGCCAGGCCCATCGTACGACAAAAGCTTGTGAGGGTTGGTTTCTCTGTCAGATTCCAGGTTCATAGATAGGATTCAGTGAAGCCAGGCCCATCGTACGACGAAAGCTTGTGAGGGTTGGTTTCTCTGTCAGATTCCAGATTCATAGATAGAAAAGGAGGGGACATTTATGTCTTCTGCCATTATAAAGAGTCATTCTTATATGTTTTAAAATATTGGCTATGTATATAATTTATAGATCTACATGTAGCTCTGTATAATCAATATTGCATACCTAATATATACTATATAGAGATATTATGTAAGTATTATATAAATTATATAGATCTATGTATTTAAAAATGTAGATCTATAGAGAGCTATACAGGTGTACTTTGTCTTGTGGTGTTTTGCTTGATTTTGCTCCATGGATGTTACTTTTTTTACAAACTGAAGGTTTGTGGCAACCGGCGTGGAGCAATTCCACGGGCGCAGTTTTCCCAGCAGCGTGTGCCACCTTCGTGGCTCTGGGTCACATTTTGGTGATTCTTGCCACAGTTCAAACTTCTTCATTAGTATTATATACGCAGTGGCAATCTGTGATCAGGGATCTTCAATGTTACCGACGTAATTGTTTTGGGTGCTATGAACTGCACCCATATAAGACACAAACTTAATAAATGTTTGGTGTGTTCTAGCTGCCCCTGCAGTCAGCCGTTCCCCCACCTCTCTCCCTCTTCCCAATCATTCCTGTTCCCTGACACACAACAATATTGAAATTGGCCCGGTTACTAAACCTTCCATGGCCTCAGAGTGCTCAAAGGAAGAGCCACGACGCCTCACTTTAAATCAAAACCCAGAAATGATTCAGCTTAGCAAGGAAGGCAGGTTGAAAGCTGCGATAGGCTGAAAGCTAAGCGAGGCCTGCACCAGTGAGACAAGTAATGAAGACAAAGGAAAAGTTCTTAAGGGAGATCACAAGTGCTGTTCTAGAGAGTGCATGAATGATGGGAAGTGAACCCGCCTTGTTGCTAATACAGAGAAAGCTTTTGTTTTCTGGATAGACAGTCAAAACAGCAACACCATTCCCTTAAGCCAAACCCTAGTCCAGAGCAGGGCCCTAACTTTCTTCAATTCTGTGAAGGCTGAGACAGGCGAGGAACCTGCAGAGGAAGAGTGGAAGCTGGCAGAGGTGGGTTCATGAGGTTTAAGGAAAGAAGCCGTCTCCATAACATAAAAACGCAAGGTGACGCGGCAGGTGCTGATGGAGAAGCTGCAGCAAGTTACCTTCCGCGTCCAGAAGATCTGGCTAAGATCACTGATGAAGGTGGTTGCGCTTAACAACAGATTTTCAATGTAGATAGAACAGCCTTCTATTGGAAGAACACCATCTAGGACTTTCCTACCTAGAGAGGCCAAGTCAGTGCCTGGCTTCAAAGCTTCAAAGACAGGCTGACGCTCTTGTTAGGAGCTGGTGCAGTGGTGACTTTCATTGGAAGCCGATGCTTATGGATCATTCTGAACATCCCAGGGCCCCTAAAAACCATGCTCAGTCTACCCTGCCTTGCTCTATAGATGCAACGAGAAAACCTGGATGTCAGCATGTCTGTTTACAGCACGGTTTACTGACTATGTTAAGCCCACTGTTGAGAACTACCGCTCAGAAAAAAAGATTCCTTTCAAAATATTACTGCTCACCGACAATGCACCTGGTCACCCAAGAGCTCTGATAGAAATGAACAAGGAGATGAATCTTGTTTCCATGCCTGCTAACTCAACACCCATTCCACAGCCCAAGGACTCATTTCAACTTTCAAGCCTTATTATTTAAGGAATACATTTTTTAAGGCTGTATCTGCCATAGTTAGTGATTCCTCTGATGGATTTGGGAAAAGTAAATTGTAAACCTTCTGGAAAGGATTCACTATTCTAGATGCCACTAAGAACATTCATGATTCATGGGAGGAGGTCAAAGTGTCAGCATGAACAGGCGTTTGGAAGAGGTTCATTCCAATCCTCATGGATGACTTTCAGGGATTCCAGCCTTCAGTGAAGGAAGTCACTGCAGATGTAATAGGAATAGATGTGAGACCAATTACTGCTAAAATGCCTGGGATATGCTCCTTTCGTCTTAGAAAGTGGCTTGTTCTTGGATGTAGCAATGCACACACTTTGAGACACATTTTCCCATGGCAGCTGGCATTTATTACGCCGATCAGGAGCCATGCTTCAGGCACCAGTGCAGCAACAAGGCAGCGTGCTGGCCAAGCCAACTCCCTCCCACAGCACGGGGCCACTGGCTTCTGTGCCCTTACACTCAGACATGACCACATGACTGCTCCTGCTTGGGAGGATAGGGGGCAAGGATGCCACGCTCCCCGGCGCTCTCTCCCACCCCACCACGCCCCCACTTGTCCACTGAGCCCCCAGCTCTCTCATCCACAGCTGGACGCAGGGACCCAGCCAGACGCTCCAAGAGGTCCCTAGAGGAAGGCAGCATCTCAAGGCAGAGTCAGGCCCTGGGGAGAAACACGCTTTTACCATCCAGGGCCATGGAGCTCCCGGCTGTGAGTGAAACAGCACCTGGCCCTGGTGCACGCACGTGGGGCACGCAGAAACCCACACACAGGGAATTCACCGAATTCTCACCCACGCGGTGGGCTGGGCCCTGCTCACCCCAGGTAAAAAACACATGACCTGAGCTGACAGGGGAGTGTAGTGTGGGCTCCACCTGAGGAGGAGGCGCAAAGGTTTCAGCAATTCAGAGAGGTGGGTGTGCCTGGAAATGCACTGGGAACAACCTCACCCCGAATCAGAGGAACTTCCCCGTTACCAGCCTGGGCCACAGCTCCACACCCGGGCCCTCTGCCGTTTGCCAACTGTAAGTGGCCTCTGCCCACCTGAGCAGTTCATGAGAAACAGGAAAACCATTTCCAGAAACCAGTTTAGAGTCAAACAGTTACCTGAGTTCAGCATTTCAAGAAGTTGGCCCTTCTATGTCACACATTATTATTTTGTATTTATTTATGAAAGCAATGCGTGCTAACCCTACAAAACTGGAAGAGGCATTGAGGGAAAGGAAGAAACTGAAGACCATGGCCACAGGCCTTCCGGGACTTTCCTGCGTGTTCGTGTCTACTCAGGGCTGACGTCGCACAGTTCTGCATCCTTCATTGTCACGTGGTATTTTCTTAAGACAATTCCATGTCATAAAAGTGCATAATTTAAAGCGCTAAATTGTATCATATCGATTCTTCTTCCATTTATTCCGATGCCCCCCCCACGCCCCCCCCCCACCCCGTGGACCTGTTCTCGTGCTGCCAGGGCCTTCACAGCACCGTTCCCTCTGCCGCCGCCGCCATGCGAAGCCCTCCTCACCCTGTAGCCCCACCAGGAGGGAAGCTCCGTCCCTCAGCAGCCAGCACTCCCATGGGGATTCCTGCAGGAGAAACCTGAGGGTAAGGGGCGAGGCGAGCAGGATAGGGCAGGACCAGGCGTCAGGAGGGGGTCCCTGTCAGCCAGTGACCCGCACCCCACTGCTGGCCCTGGGGAGGCCAGGGTGGCCATGGCACCCGCCACTGTCAGTCATTGGCTCTGGGCCACCCACAGTCTGTGCTCGTGACCTCCCAGGCATCTCCCAAAGAGGTACACAGCCTCCTCAACTCGGCAAAGGGGTACAGGCCCAGACAGGGCATCTGGGAGGCACGGCAGCACCTCCACAAGCCCTGTGGACAACGGTGGGCCCCATCTGGCACCGCCCACTCTGCACATGGCACTCAGGAGGCGCTCGGGGCACCTGTGTTCATGGAGCACAGAGCAAAATGGCACTTGCGCGCACGTGGGATTCATGCCCCAGCCCGCTGTCCTCAGCCAATGGGCAGCAAGCTGGAGATACACTCCTTCCTGGAGGCCTCGGGCCAGGGGCTCTGTCGCCAGGCTCTAGATCAGCACTGACCCCTTCCTGGATCATGACCCGGACATGGGGTGGACCTAGGGCCTCGGCTGGGGTTGGAGAGATGATAAGGGAGGCTGTGGCCTGCAAGGTGAGGCCCGCAGGGCTCAGCATTGATCTGGCCTCCCCTCAGATTGCTCCAGTGGCCTCTCTCAGCCTCAAGCTTCTCATCAGTAAAATGGTGCAGAAAACAGGGCTTCATGTCCTGGAGGGTGTGAATTCACCAGGGCCCTAAATCACCCAGACCCCTACTGTGTCCTTGCAGGGACATGGCACTCCTGCGTTTGCTTCATTCCATTAAAGAGAAAAAACACAGACACAGCCACTGGTTGTAGAGCTCGTGGTAAACAACCCACCGCCGGCGCCCCGCTCCACAGCCACCCCACAGCTGCCGTTCTGACGCGCGGCCGCCACTGTGCAGCTCTTTCTGCTGGACGTGGCATCTTCGCCTCCTCCGACATCTAAGAATCCTGGGCCAGCCCTGTGGTTCACCACAAGGAATGCCGTACATTGGGCAACTATGAGCCAGGAAACCACACTCAGAGGAGCTGGACACGGGACATCAAGGGCACTGCTGGCAGTTGAATGGTGTTTGCAGAGGGAGGCAGGGAGACGAGGGCAACCTTGACCCAAGCTCTTGCTCGGATAAACACTTAAGCAACGTTGTCAGGAAGGAATCCATGACTCGATGGTTCAGCAAATATTAGCTCAGCAGGTGGCATTCAGCTGCTGGGGGCAGAGACAGCATTGCATGCAGACACGGCTCCACTCAAGTTGGCCCGCCCTCGTGTGTGAGGAGGGCGCCCGGCCAGCCAGCACCCACCCTGGAGGCTCCCTTGGCAGGTGCAGTCCACCTGGCCCAGCTGCAGACAAGACCCGTGGCTTGGAGGTTCTGGGTGTGTCTCTGTCTCTGTGGGCTGAGGGACATCGTGGAGCCCATCCTCAGCCCCATGGGAGCCTGAGACACTCCCTCCTCACTGCTCACACCAGACCAGGTTCAGAAAGAGACATGAGGCACTGTGCGTTTTGCAGAGTCCACAGGATGAACACAAGGGTTTGGATCCCAGACGTGCCAAATGCCTAAAGGGTGCACTCATTAAAAAACAAAGCTTTGAAGCTGAGGATCATTTCTGCAATGTGGAATAATCCTTGTTTTTAGAAAAGTCAGTTTTCAATTCAATCTGTCTCATAATTGAAAATCTTTATGTAGTGAAGTATCTTGAAGTAAAACAAGCTGCTAACAAGCCACCATCACAACTTAATGAGCGCAGCACAGGGGCACTTCCCGGCACGCGCCTGCCCTCGGCCACACGGCTGGTTTCCACCAGGCTCCCCACATGTTGCCTTCAGGCTGAGCCTCGGAGGCACCCATGTTGGCCGTAGCCTTGTAGAACAGTTAAAATTCATAAATGCACTGGAGTTTTGGGGGACCAAGCCGCTCACCTTGCAGAGAAGGAAGATGAGGTGCTGAACACCCAATGCCTTGATCAAGGACATGCAGTGGCCCCAAACCAGGACCTGTCCCTTGCCCTCGGCTGCCCTGTGCCCTGGTCAGGTGTGGTCAGGCCTGTGGAGTTTCTGTTTGGTAAAGACCTTGCATCAGGCATGTCACCTCCAAGATGTCCCTCCCTTTTACCCTGCCTCTCATTACCAAGCTCAGACACAACTTTACCTGCTTCCAGACACCCAATTAAAACCCATCCACACGTAAAACCTCTTGGGCCATGAGGAGCAGGGTTACACCTGGGGGCACTGGATGTGGGGCATGGCTCTTCCTGTGCCCTGGGCCCCAGGTGCCCCCACAAAGCCCTTGGCTGCCCTTGGGTCCACCCCTCCTCACCCCCAGCACAGCAGTTTCCGGCACTGAGACTTGCGCTCTCACCTGCTGAGACTTTCGGAGCGTTCGTTTGAGCAGCACCTGTGGCCAGTAAGATCCTCGCGTTGAAAGGCCTCCCAGCCTCTGGAGGCCTCCTGGGAGCCGCTGTCCTCATAGGATGTGTCCCCCAGGGGGAAAGGCTCCCCACCCTGCCAGTTCCTCCACCAGCGGGACCAGCAGCACCCATCTGGTCCTCAGCCCGCTGGGCTTCAGATCCCTGCCAGCCCACAGGATTCTCCCAACACCCTGCCCCAAGCCCCACAGAGCCAGGGTCCCCTCACCCTGTGGGCGGCCACTGCAAAGCCATGCAGCCCCTGAGAGCCCACCCTGTCCCCGAGTGGAGTGGGCCGCCTTCCACCCGCACATCAGCACCTGTGACCGTGGCCTGCTGTCACTCTCAGCTGTCCAGGGTTGGGTGCTGGGCACTCAGGCATCTGGTGCCATTGAGGGCAGCGGGTCCCCCTCACCAATAGGGTAGAGAGGAAGGAGGTGATCAGAATAGCCCCTGTGGCTCAGCAGGCCCAGCTTGCAGGCCCACCAGAGCCTTGCAGGACCCCACTTCCCCCATCAATGGGCTGCAGAGGAAACTGCAGGGCTGGGCTTTTCTATCAGAGGACCATCCGGACATCTCAGATTACAGAGCCACAAAGACGGGGAGCTGGCGGGGCAACTCCCCAAAATCCAAAGGAGTGGGGGGCTCTAAGTCACGGCGGCTCTAAGTGGTGAGGGCTCTAGTGGTGGGAGCTCTAAGACTTGGGGTCTCCAAGTCGTGGGGGCTCTAAGTAGTGGGGGCTCTAGTGGTGGGGGCTCTAAGCCGTGGGGTCTCCAAGTCGTGGGGGCTCTAGTGGTGGGGGCTGTAAGTCGTGGGGGTCCTCAGGACCCTCTTTGGCAGAGGAGAGCCCACCTGGGCTAATGCTCACTGTCTGGAAACTAAAGACCAGCTCCGTGCACTTTAGGACGTGAAGAAAAGGCAGAGTGAAGGAGGCTCCTGAGCGTCCTGTAAACTCTTGGAAGTTCCTCCGGGTTCGGGGCGCCTCTTTCCCAAGCCAAGCCCAGCAGTGCTGTCTGCTCCCCCCACCCCTGGGCTGACCTAATGAAAGCCCGCTCTCTCCAGGCGCCCATCTGTGAGTCCGTCGCGGCAGGCCTCGGCGGGGCCCTCTCTGCTCAGAGCTCTTCTGGGTGGAACAGAGGCTTTTTGTTGCACGGGATTTCCAGGGCTGTGCTGGCTTCATGCACCGAGGGGCCTGCTCTATAGGCCACGGCCGCCGGGCCAGCGTCCAGCGGGAACACAAGGGAGCTGTGTGTCGCTGGGTCAGCATCGTGGCCCAGCCCGGCGGGAAAGTGGGGTGGCTGCTACTAAGGCTCTGGCTTGTTTGAATGAGGTTGCTTTTCCCAGAGTAGCTGAAGTGTCAGTCCACGCCGAGAGCTGGTTGCCTGCCAGCATCGTTGCCTTTAGATTTAAAATGAAAATATGACAGAGCCAGAAGCTGGGTAAACTGTTTTCCAACCCTCTCCTTTCACAAAGCCAAATGGAATAATTGAGATCAAATCCAACTCTTCAAAAATGCATTTGCCTGACAACTCTCCATGCCAAGTGTCGGCCTGAAATAATCCCTTCGCTGACGCTCTAAGCCCGGAGAAAGGCTGCCTGTCACAGGGGTGCTGACGCCGCCAGACACAACCGCGCCAATGAACTGAATCCTCACTCTGAAAGCGAAAGGGTTGGCTGCAAACTGAAGCTAAAACCAGATGCCCATCAATGCTGTTAGCAGTAAAATGACTGATGATTAGGCAAATGGTTTTACTTTGAAATGTAAAATGAATTGAAAAAAGCAATATTACAATAAAAATATAAAACCATAATTTGTCAAATAAAACAAAACTAAATGGGTAAAACTTAAAGTCATAATTGAACACTTGTGAAGTATCGTAGCATCTCACCCCTCTCAGTCCCTCTCCCGAGTCCCACCCAGCCTGGCGTGTGAGACCCTGAGGGTCCACCAGGTCACCCAGTTCCCTTTCTGTGCACCATGTCCCCAGGCTCAGCCACACAGGGTTTATCTGCTATTGCTCCTTCTTTCCAAGTGGTGTTTTCTCTGCCGTCTCTACTCCGTCTCTTACGAAGATCCAGAGCCCCCACTGAAAAGCGCTGCCTTCAAAGTCCCCCAGAACCCGTGTCTCTCCTCTCCGGTTGCACAACACAGTTACTGCAGGGCCTCTGAAGTGACCCCCATCCCACTGTCGGGCTTGGGCTGCGCGGTGATGCTGCCAACAGGAGCAGGTGCGGGCAGTCGTGGTCACGCATCCGGCTCGACTGAGTGTTCCGTATACTACTGTACAAAACTCTTATCACTCCTTCCACTTCATTTATCACTTTCCTTGCAGATGGGCATTTTCAGTTTCTCACAATTCCAAAACAAAAATTCTTCTCGAGTGTCAGTCCCTCCAGGGCATATTCCTGCAAGTGTTGTTCCTGAATCTCAGCCTCGCAGCTTCCCTCGCTGAAGATTTGCAAATTGCCTTCCTGAGTAGAGCCTCCAGTCTCTGTATTCAGTGTGACTGCCCAGCAGTCACGGGCTCTAGGCCTGGTCAGACCTGCTCCCTTCCTCAGTCGAGGGGAGAGAGGTGCATCCATCCCCAGCGGGGCACCCGCTGCAGCTCCGGTACCCCAGCCAGCTCCAGGCCGGGTGCCCATTGCAGCTTCGGTACCCCAGCCAGCTCCAGCACGGCAGGTGCCCTGTCTCCGTGGCCCGGTAGGTCTCCTCTCAGCGAGTCTCCTGTTCATGAGCTGTGCCTGTTTTTTGGTGTTTTGCTTTCCTACAGCTACGAGGAACTTCTTCAGTCTGTGGATGCCAATCCTTTTCCAATTTTATTCACTGTAACTACTATTTGGCCAGTTCACAGCTTTTATTTTCCATTGGTTTATGGTGACTTTAACAATGTTGCCTTGTTTCAATTTGCCAATGTTTTTCTCTATGCTTTTAGTTATTAAGAAATCCTTTTCTATCTCAGGCATTAAGAAAATCTCCTAGTTTTTAACTTTAAGATTACACTTTTTACATTTAGTCACTCCTTCTTTTGGGTTTTTATGAACTATGGAATATCAAATATGTATAACATAAAATTTGCCATTTTAGCTGTCTTTGAGTTACCCGTCAGTGGCATTCACGATGTTGTGCAACCATCACCGTTTCTATTTCCAAAGCTCCTTATCACCTGAACAGACTCATTCACTTTCTAACCCGATATTCAGTGGCACTGGCTGAGCATCTCCTAATGGCCGGGCCTTGCCCTCAGGGGGATTGCTGTCTAGCAGGGGAGGCAGACAGACAGGCACAGTGGGCACAGCAAACAAGTGAATGAGAGGGCCTGGGGCTGGGCAAGGGCAGCCTGGATGGCTTTGCAGAGGGAACCTTTGTTCCCCAGGGCAGTGACTGTGCTGCGTGTCCACCCCCAGCTGTGCTCCTCAGCCCCAGTTCTCATGATGTTTGTTCTCCTGGGTGTAGCGATGAGACTCCCGTTCCAGATGGTAAGGAAGAGGCACAAGACGGGGCCGTTGTGCAGACTTCTAAAGAAAGAACTCATGTTATTAAAACTGAGCTCATTGCCTCCACTGACATTTGCGGAGGGATGACCATGCCAGGTACCCACTGAGCCCTCGTCCCTGCCTGCACAGGGCCCATTTCTAGTGCGGACGGAAACAGCCTGATCCCAGGGAAAAGGCAGGGAGCCTACAGGGTGGGGTGGAGGCAGAGCTGGTCTTAGCAAGGACAGCGGGAGTCCACGAGCCTTGAGAACCTTCTGTAGGAGGGGCAGCCCGGGCAAAGGCCCTGGGGCAGGAGCAGAGCAGAGGTCAGAGGTCAAAGCTCCTCTTCAGGAACCGTCATTTTCTGTGTAGCTGCGTTCTCACCTGGGAAGAGGCACACTCAGGTTAAATGCAAGCCCAAGGCCATCTTGAGCCCAAGGGGACAGGATGACTGTTGCCGTAGGTAGGGGTGGAGGACGTGGGACAAAAAGGACAGGGTGCTGGTCACACTCCTGACAGCACTCAGGCCCAGGGGCAGAGGGAGAAAGCCACCCACATGCTCAGTGCCACACGCTGGGCAGGGGCTTCTGACATTCCCATGACCCCACGAAGCAGCTCTTATGCCCCATTTTCCAAATGAGAACACCAAGGACCCACAAAGTCAGCAGCCGGCCTATGGCCACGTGGCTGGAGAGCAGAGGTGCTGGCCTCAGGAAGGCAAGCCCACGGGTCCATGGCTGAGGCCGGCAGGCTCCATCAGCGCCCTGCCCTGCTGCCCTCAAAAACTGTCTCCTCCTGCCTCTGCAGAACACGCCCAGGGCTGTCACCCTTGAAAGCTGTGGGGACTCTAGGAGAAGGTGGCGGCTCCCTGTGATCCGCTCCCACTCTGGTCCACATTTCACAGGGCCTGGGCCTCAGATGACTTCAGGGGTTTTCTTTAAGAAAAATGGTACACAATCACAAATGCTAAATCGATATGAAATGGAAATGAGGAGAGATGGCGGCCGATGGCAGGTGCTTCAAAGCTACATCACCCGGGAGGAAGACTCTGCCTGCAGCTGTCACTGACCTGCCGAGACCTGGCACATCCCACGGCAGCCTGCGTTGGGGCTGAAAACATGTTACGTGCAGTGCAGCTTGAGAGGTGGACCAAAAGGAGAAATGGCCATTGCAAGGATGTTAAGAGTAAAAGTTTGCAAGTCTTCTGCTCACAGATTTTACCGAGTTCCTATCGTAAGGCAGGATTCAGTTCTAAGGAAGGAAGTTATTTCCGGATTCGTCTTCTGAAGAACGCCGGCCCCTCAGCATTAAAGTTGCCGTGTCTCTTTACACTTGGACTTTAAACAAATTAGATGACTCTTTGTTCCAACGGGCAGGCTGTCCGCTTGCGGGCTGCACCGGCCCACCTGTGCAGACAGCCCAACCGTCACTGGCCCACCCGTGCAGGCAGCCCCACCCGGCGTCCTCTCCCCACTGAGCCTGGCCCTGAAAAAGGACCCCTCGGACAGCAGGACAGGCCAGTCCCAGACATGTAAGCTTGCTCAGCAACCTTCTGGGGTGGACCTGTCCCATTTGCAAATGTGGGTTCCTGCACAAGGAGTCCCATTTTCAGATATTTCTCCTTTCTGCCTGCTCAAGGCAACCGTGGCTGCGGAAGACTCCAGGGCAGGATGGTCAGCAGCCTCCCTGCACGCTCAGCTGCTCCTGCTTTAGAAGAACCAGCCCCTCATCAGGATCCCGCCCGTTGGGAAGCCTGCACGGATTCTTCTGTATGCCCATGACACGGGCAGGGTCCGTGCTATAGAGCCCCTCCGCAGTTCTCCAGGGAGACACCTGTAGCCTGCAGTGAGGAGGGCTCTTGAGTGTCATCGCCTGAGGGCACTTTCTGAGAAACAGCGACAATGTAGAAAAACAGGCAACATTGTGCAACGTTTATCAGCCCCTCCGATCACACCTTTATCAACCCCTCCGATCGCGCTGTTTATCTGCCCCTCCGATTGCACCGTTTGGCCATGTGCATCGCTTTCCCACCGTTCTTCTTAAAAAAGGAAAAGAGAACATTTCCGTAGATCTTCTTGCCTGTTACAGATTGATTTGTTGTTGGCTGGTTTTATACATACACGCCTGGGTCCCTGGGGTCTCCGTTAGAGGATCCTGTGCCCCCAACCACCCCAGCTTATTTCCTAGGGTTACAGGTCAGTAAGGTAGTTGGGCCGTTTACCTACTCACTTTTTTCATGAATCTCTTTTGACAGCTACCAAAGAAGAGACAACATCCAGCAGCAGCCACTCCCGCAGGACTCCAGGGAACAAGGATGGAATGAGAATTGAGAAGCAGAGCTGAGCTGTGACTCAAGCACCGGGCTGGCTGCCACACAGCATCCCTGTGACACTCAGATGCCAGCTAACGTGTTCTAATAAAAGTAAGCATCGCTGGCCGGGTGCGGTGGCTCATGCCTGTAATCCCAGCACTTTGGGAGGCTGAGGTGGGTGGGTCACCTGAGGTCAGGAGTTCGAGACCAGCCTGACCAACATGGAGAAACCCCATCTCTACTAAAAATACAAAATTAGATGAGTGTTGTGGCATGCGCCTGTAATCCCAGCTACTAGGGAGGCTGAGGCAGGAGAATCGCTTGAACCCGGGAGGTGGAGGTTGCGGTGAGCTGAGATCGCCCCATTGCACTCCAGCCTGGGCAACAAGAGCGAAAGTCCATCTCAAAAAAAAAAAAAAAAAAGTAAGCATCACCTTGAAAGACATGATACCAACTGCTGAAACATTCTCTGAGTTCATGGTTAATAAGAAAAAGACAGCAGAACACCAGCGCACTTGGTTTCTGGAGAGCACCACTGTCAGGAGGCCGTGTTGACAAGGATGCTGGAGGAGTTCAGCCGCAAGCACCAAGCAGACTCCTGGATGAGAAGAAGCCACAGCTTCAAACCTGATGGGTGGTGAAGAGTACATTCCCTTTGCTGGCACAGTGAGGGAGAAAGACCAGAATTTTGTGTTTAGGTTAGAGGAGACCCACACTTAGGGAGCTAACGATGGCAGTGACTGTTGACTAAGAGCGTTCTACCACGATGCTCTTCCAATAGCCCTGAAGACAGGTCTTCTTATTCACCCCTTTCTATAGAGGAGACGCCAAGGCTTAGAAATGGAAATCCCTTTCCAAAGTTATCACAGTGGTAAAAATAGTACGGGGGTTTGAACCCAGGCCTTTCTAGCTGCAGAGTCCTGGTGCCTGCCCCACACCCTACGGTGTCACTGTCTCCCCAGAGACCCTGAAGGGCAAGGGTAGCCGCAGAGCAGAGTGGACAGCCTCCGGTTCTAGGGCCCGATGTGTGCACATTGATACATTAAAGTCCTGTCAGTGCGCAGATGTGCGAGGGATGTATGTCCGGAGAAACACATGTGCGCTCTGAGCAGTAACAAACCCAGACTGTCAAAATGAAGAACTGAGGACACATCGTTGCTGGGTCCATCTAATTCTGAATCAACTGTGAATATAGAAGAAATAATTTGCTCAAAGAGAAGGTGTTGACTTGTCCAAGACGCAACATGCTGTCTCTTCCTCTAGAAATCAGAAATATTCAAACCCAGAGTTCTACTGAAATACCCTAAATTGGCAGTGCTTTTTTGTGGTAATTTAATCAGTAGCTGAAGCTGAAATTCCCAGCTTTTCACAAAACGCAGTTTGCAATCTAAGATCCAACACTGTAAAAAGTGTGGCTGGTTCTTCACCCCCATAAAATAATCAATGTTTTCCAGCTAACCAGTCACATCGGTCAAACCCTACCTTGATCCGGTGATGGGCCCCTGCCCACCCCAAAATTTCCCGCGTGTTCATGAAAGACGACTAACTCCAGAACGGAACATGACGCACGTGCCGAGACATCAGCATTGAGTAAGCACCCGCTGTGGGCCAGGCCCGGTCTCAGGACAGCTGCGCGCCCTCCAGACTCCACGGTCCTACAGGTAAGTTCCACCTCGCCCCTGCTTTGCAGAGGATGGAAGGTGAGGCAGAAAAGCCGAGTCACTTCCCAAGATCACAGGGCAGAGCCCAGAGCCCTGTCACTCCCTGTGTCACTGCCTTCCTGGGTCACGACGAGTAACTTCCTGAACACAAGGGCCTGACTTGCTGCATTTGTCCCAGCTTAGGGATCATGTTGGCTGCAAATGGGTGTCTAAGACAACCCTTTAAATGTGAACATGGAGAAAAGGAGAATTGCTAAACACATTGCTGGAAAACATCGCCCATATAAACGTCTGTCTAAAAGAGCAACTTAGCCAGAGCAAAATCGTCTGCTAAATCAAAGGCGACTGGCACAACTAAATGGTGTAGAAGCAAATATTTCATTTTCAGCTTAAAGAATATCACTGCAAAAAATATGTTCATTCTGGGTTATCAATGCGTTTTCTAAATGAAGATGACTCTGAAAACATACTGATAAAGTTAAATACATGCCGTTTCAATCCCAACTGACACAAACACTCCAAGGAGTCAAGGACTGCAAACCAATTATGTTTGCAAAATCCTGGCTCAAATGTCCTCCCTCAAACACAAATGTTAATGTCTTACTCAGTATACTAAGAAATATGTCCTCTCTGTTGAGTCTTTAAAATCAAGTGGCTTATGAAATAAACCTCCCATCCAATAAGAGCTCTTGGCCTCATCAACTCATATTGAAAATATGCACAAGGGTTCTGTTCTGACAATCATCTCACTGTCGAAGGGTCAAATCAGGTGATTCTCAGCGTCTGTTACCAGAGACCAGGTGCTTCCACTCAAGATGACTTCCCGGTTTGCTCAAGCAAGAACCACTTAATGAGCAAATGAGCAAACCCTCTGGGCTGCTCCAGCTTAGGTGAGAGTGCACATGTGGGGTGACATAGCTGTGTGCAGAGGAACAGGTGTGCGTGCAGGTGTGAGTGCAGGTGCAGGTGTGTGTATAGATGCAGGTGTGTGTAGGTATGTGTGCAGGTGTGTGCAGAGGTACAGGTGTGCGTGCAGGTGTGAGTGCAGGTGTGGGTGTGTGTACACAGGGGAAAGTGTATAGATGCAGGTGTGTGTGTAGGTATGTGTGCAGGTGTGTGCAGAGGTACAGATGTGCATGCAGGTGGTGTGCAGAGGTACAGGTGTGCATGCAGGTGTGAGTGCAGGTGCAGGTGTGTGTACACACGGGAAAGTGTGTATAGATGCAGGTGTGTGTAGGTATGTGTGCAGGTGTGTGCACAGGTACAGGTGTGTGTGCAGGTGTGAGTGCACAGGGGCAAGTATGTATATAGCTCTAGGTGTGTGTGCACAGGGACGTGTATGTATAGGTGCAGGTGTGTGCAGGTGTGTGCAGAAGTTTGTGTGCAGATGTGTGTGCAAGTGCAGTTGTGTGCTCACTGGGGCAAATTTGTATATAGGTGCAGGTGCATGTAGGTGCATGTGCAGGTGTGTGTGCCAATGCAGGTGTGTGTTCACAGGGCCAAGCATGTGTAGAGGTTCACATGTGTGTGCAGGTGTGTTTGGAGGTGTGTGTGCAGATGCAGGTATGTGCACACAGGGACAAGTGTGTGTATAGGTGCCCGTGTGTGCAGGTGTGTGTGCAGGTGCAGGTGTGTGTTCACAGGGCCAAGTGTGTGTAGAGGTGCAGGTGTGTTTGGAGGTGTGTGTGCAGGTGCAGGTATGTGCACACAGGGACAAGTGTGTGTATAGGTGCAGGTGTGTGCGCAGGTGCAGGTGTGTGTTCACAGGCCAAGTGTGTAGAGGTGCAGGTGTGTTTGGAGGTGTGTGTGCAGGTGTAGGTATGTGCACACAGGGACAAGTGTGTGTATAGGTGCCCGTGTGTGCAGGTGTGTGTGCAGGTGCAGGCCGCACGCAGGAACACTCATGGTTCCACTGGCAACTCATCCACAGTGGCTGCGCCCGCTTACTTCCAGGCATGAGTGGGGAATGCATCACCATCCAACTGAGTGAGAGGCCCTTCTGAGGAGCCAATGCCTGCTCACAGAGAAGGGGGGAGATAGAAGGGGACAGGGAAGGAGGGAAGGAGGGAGAGGGCACCTTCTCACGCATTCAAGCCTCTTCCACGTGGTCCGACTTGGTACACATCCGGCCTGGCCCTGGCCCTGGGGTCTTACAAGACAGGCCTCGGCCAGAGCTGATGATGGGTTTCCCTCCTCCCTCCCTGCTTTTCTCCTGGCCTCTTCCCCCATCCTTCTCAAATGTCCCCTCCTCGAAGATGTCCTGGGACTCCCAGGCAGGAAGGAGCTGCTTCTCCACAAGAGAAGAGGGGAGATAGAAGGGGACAGGCTTCTCCCTGAAGCCTCTGGGCCCACCTATAGCAATGTGAGTCCCAGGCTGCCGCCAGGGCCAGAGCCCTCTGCACCCTGGTTCCTGCCCTGGCATCTATTTAGGACAGTAAAAGGGCTACTTAGATACTAATGAGAGTGAGGATTTATTAAATGAAATCTTTCTACAATAATTTTTTTAATTCTCCAAATGAGTCTCTTTTCTTTCTTTTCTCAGACAATGAATATTATGCAACCAAAATGTCCTGGGAATTCAGAGCCAAAGGCAGCATTCTTAGGAAATGCCTCCCACTCTCCTGCCATGGCATAGAGCTCTGCTGGGCTCTGGACCTGCAGAGAAGGTGAATAAGGTTCTGGGGGTGTCGGATGCCAAGGGGTGACCTGAGGAGGAGATGGGCTTTGGAGTGTGAGGCAGCACCCACGGTCAGCAGACAGCTAGGCACGGGGGCTCAGTGAGGAGGAAGGGCTGAGGCGAGGGTGGGGAGATGGGGCTGGGAGGGCTGGAGTCTTTGGGCACCCCCGAGAGAGCTACAGCTCAGCAGCGTGCAGGAAGGGAGGGCAAAGGGAAGGGAGGGCAAAGGGCCAGGTCAAAATGTCCAGTAGAAAGTGGGATGAGGAACAAAGTTGAGGTTGAGAGGGAGCAGCAAATAAAAGTACTCAGAGGGATTCGAAAGGGTTTTCTAAATCTACTTCAATATGCAAAGATAGATGTCATGGGCCTTGGTTTTGCTTTTCCAGTCCAAGTGTCTCCAGGAGCCTGCAGGTCCATTAGAATCAGCTGTACCTCCAAGTAGCAGAAATGTCCAAAACAATAATCACCTAAATGAGATAGAACTTCATTCCCCCTCCCATTCACTCCCCCCTCCCATTCACTCCCCCCTCCCATTCATTCCCCCTCCCATTCATTCCCGCCTCCCATTCATTCCCCCATCCCATTCATTTCCCCCCATTCATTCCCTGCTCCCATTCATTCCCCCCTCCCATTCATTCTCCCCTCCCATTCATTCCCCTTCCCATTCATTCCCCCTCCCATTCATTCCCCCTCCCATTCATTCCCCCTCCCATTCATTTCCCCCCCCATTCATTCCCCCCCATTCATTCCCCCCATTCATTCCCCCTCCCATTCATTTCCCCCTCCAATTCATTCCCCCCCATTCATTCCCCCCTCCCATTCACTCCCCACTCCTATTCATTCCCCCACCATTCATTCCTCCCTCCCATTCATAAGGCCAGAGGTAGCCAGTCCAGAACTGAGAGGGCCCTTCCAAAGGTCCAGGACCCAGACTCCTTCTCCCCAGTTGCTGCTGGCCTAATTTCCCTTCCTGAAGTTGTTTTATAGGCCAAGATGGATGCTGGAGCTCTAGCCAACACAGCTACCTTCCAGCCAACAGGAAGTTACTCAAGGGCACTTCCCAGAAGCTCCACAATCTTGGGATCATATCCAATGTGCTGCCAGGAATTAGTCACACGACCACACCTAGGCTGGGAATACAGTCTTCACCCTGGGTAGCCACACATCCAGCTAAAACATGCAGGTTGTATCATTAGGAAGGAGGTGAGGCTGGATGCCAGGAGAGGCCGTCAGACTCTGTGGGGCCTGGCCACTGACTCCTCCCCACAGCAAAGTTCCTCCTTTCGAAACTTGCCCTCCTCTCAACCAAAGGAGGTCTCTGTCTTTGCAACTCTGAGAAAAAAAAAAAATATATATATATATATATTTGAGACAGTCTTGCTCTGCTGCCCAGGCTGGAGTGCAATGGTGAGCTCTCGGCTCACTGCAACCTCTGCCTCCCAGGTTCAAGCGATTCTCCTGCCTCATTCTCCTTGAGTAGCTGGGATTACAGGTGTGTGCCACAATGCCTGGCTGATTTTTCCATTTTTAGTAGAGACGGGGGTTTCACCATGTTGGTCAGGCTGGTCTCGAACTCCTGACCTCGTGATCTGCCCGCCTCGGCCTCCCAAAGTTCTGGGATTACAGGCGTGAGCCACTGCGCCCAGCTGAGAAAAATTTTTTTATGCTGAATTCCTTACAAATGACATAAGCGATCATACAATTAGCCATGCTTATGTTTTAGAAAATATAAAATTATACATGATTTTAAAATAGGAGATACACCTTCCTCTTTCAATCAACAGATGCTGGGGCTTGTGGGAGGCCAGGAAAGGAAGAGGCCCTCGTCACAATGCTCCTGAGACGGTGAGGCAGGGGTTTCCCTTACACTCCCTGTTCCCAAGTATGTGAAGATAATTCCACGCAGCATTTTTCAAAGCCAACTGGAACGAGTTACTGTAAGCAGTCTTTCCATAAAAGATCACTCTTTGAGAATACTTGTTTTCATATTTGTGCTATTTTTGACATTTTAGGAAGCAAAATTACATGCAAACATTTGTTCTGCAAACCCAAAGTGTGAAGAAAGATGCATTCAAATACTAAAAAAAGCTGCGTGCCTCTAGATTTCAAAAATCTTTTTAGTTTTCACAAAGACCCACTGACGAGATCATTATTTCAGCTCATGCTTCCCACAGAGTATCATGTATTTAAAGTCAAAGAAAATGGGACAGACACAGCCGCTGAGGGAGATGCTGTGTTCATTACACAAGTTTTGTTTACATCACTTGGGACCCTGTGAGATGCATCTCCATGGAAGCGGTTTCAGCCTGCCAGCTCTGCTGCCAGAATTACTACCGTGGGCTTTGAAGGTTTATCACAATATAGTAAATGAAGTCAGAATTTCTAATAGGATATAAAAACAATGTTAAGTATCTAAATCCTTATTTGATGTCAAATGTACCGTAGTTGAGAAAAATGGTTTCTTCTGGGAACCAAGTGTTATGAACCAGAGCCTCCTTCTAGAAAGTCACCTGCAGAAATGGACGGTCACAGGGCACACTCCACCTGGGACGCTGGATGAGTGCCCAGAAGAAAGACCCCAAAGACTGGGAATGAGGTCACCACCTTCCTTCACTGGTCCTGGCTATGACCCGGGTCAGTCTCTTGTGCCTCAGTTTCCCTGTCTATAAAATGGTCTAACTCACTCACCGAGATGCCTTGGAAACTACTCTATACCAAGCAATGAAACCTTCTCTAAGATGCAGGCAGGATGCGTGGACTCACAAGAGCTGTGCACACAGCAGGGCCCAGGGCTTGTCTGCCAGACTTTTGGGTCAAGACTCAAAGAAGTGGCTGCAGGAACAGCAGGGGCAAGAGCCCACTGGCCAGAGCACAGCAGCCTGGGGGGCAGGGAGGACCCTCAGGAAGGGCAGGGATGAGGCAGAGGGGTCAGGAATGAGGGGCCACAGTGGCAGCCAGGCCCAGAGGCATCTCCCTGCTGGAGAGGTGGGTGCCACTGGTGGCCCCAGTCAAGGAAGCCCCATCCACCCACTTATGTCCGGAAGGATCCCCTGGCCACAGAGAAGAAAAACCAGGGCACAGCCAGGGCCAGCCAGGAAGCCAGAGATTCCCCAGGCAGGAGGTGCTGGCGTGGCGAGGAGGGAATGGGTCCCAGTCGTCTTTATGTTCCGAGCTTTGACTCTGGGGCTTTGCTGACCCTGGAGCCATCACCTCTCCCAGGCCTGGCCAGCACCTAGAGTCAGGAAGCTGCTTACCTGTGAGCACACCTTCCATATTAGTCTGTTCTCATGTGCTGAGAAAGACAGGCCCGAGCCTGGGTAATTTACACAGGAAAGAGGTTTAATGGTTTAAAGAGGTCCACGTGGCTGAGGAGGCCTCACACACGGTGGAAGGCGAAC
Source organism: Homo sapiens (assembly GCF_000001405.40). Lineage (NCBI taxonomy): Eukaryota > Metazoa > Chordata > Mammalia > Primates > Hominidae > Homo > Homo sapiens. Next base: position 1,540,683 of record NC_000005.10, on the reverse strand, counting down.
GAGGAGCAAAATCCTATCTTACATGGCGGCAGGCAAGAGAGTTTGTACAGGCGAACTCCCATTCATAAAACCATCAGATCTCGTGAGACTTATTCACTACCATGAGAACAGTATGGGGGAGGCTGTCCCCATGACTCAGTATCTCCACCTGGCCCCACCCTTGACATGTGGGGATTATTACAATTCAAGGTGGGATTTGGGTGGGGACACAGACAAACCACATCACTTTCCATGTGGAAACCAAACAGGCCAGGGTGCTCTTGCCTCCCGCTCTCCACCTGCCCTGCCCACCCCAGGGCCAGGTATTGGACAGCAGGGGGCAGCTTCTACATGTGCCCTGGAGCCCATGGAACCACAGACTAATCCAGTGAGCCAACCCTAAGCCTGCTTGCCCTGTCCAGCTGAAATGCCTCCTGACGGGTTCTTCCCACATGGCCCCGTGAAGCCCTGTGTGGCCCTGTGTGGCTCTGTGTGGCCCTGTGTGGCCCTGTGTGGCTCTGTGTGGCCCTGTGTGGCTCTGTGTGGCCCTGTGTGACCCTGTGTGGCTCTGTGTGGCCCTGTGTGGCTCTGTGTGACCCCGTGTGGCTCTGTGTGACCCTGTGTGGCCCCGTGTGGCTCTGTGTGGCCCTGTGTGGCCCTGTGTGGCCCTGTGTGACCCTGTGTGGCCCTGTGTGGCCCTGTGTGACCCTGTGTGGCTCTGTGTGACCCTGTGTGGCTCTGTGTGGCCCTGTGTGACCCTGTGTGGCTCTGTGTGGCCCTGTGTGGCCCCGTGTGGCTCTGTGTGGCTCTGTGTGACCCTGTGTGGCCCTGTGTGACCCTGTGTGGCTCTGTGTGACCCTGTGTGGCTCTGTGTGGCCCTGTGTGACCCTGTGTGGCCCTGTGTGGCCCTGTGTGGCTCTGTGTGGCCCTGTGTGGCCCTGTGTGGCTCTGTGTGACCCTGTGTGGCTCTGTGTGGCCTGTGTAACCCTGTGTGGCCCTGTGTGACCCCGTGTGGCCCTGTGTGACCCCATGTGTGACCCTGTGTGACCCTGTGTGGCCCTGTGTGACCCCGTGTGGCCCTGTGTGACCCTGTGTGACCCTGTGTGACCCTGTGTGGCCCCCTATGGCCCTGTGTGGCCCTGTGTAGCTTGTGTGGCCCTGTGTGGCCTGTGTGACTCTGTGACCCCGTGTGACCCTGTGTGACCCCGTGTGACCCCATGTGGCCCTGTGTGGCCTGTGTGGCCATGCGTGGTATGCTGTCCCTCCAGTCCCCCATCTTGGGCACTGTGGGGAAGAAACTCTCTTGTCAGTGGGCATCATCTCCTGACACATTGGCCTTGCCATACCTGAATAATAATAAAACCTACATTTTCAAACAAGGTTGGGCCATGAGGAAATGTAAATGGGAGTGAGGGTGAGAGGCAGAGGCAGGGCAGTCCGAGGGCACCCAGGTCTTGGCTTGAGCAGCCACAGCATGGGCTGCCCTCCCTGGGGTGGTCCCGGGAGCAGGGGATGTAGGCTTGGGAAGGATGATGGGAGTGCAGCCACGGATGCTGTAGATTTGAAATGCCTGTTAGACCCCACTATGTACTGAACTGTGCCCCGCTTACCGCCCCCCTCCCCCACCAATTCCTACGCTGAAATTCTTACCCCTAAGGTGATGCTATTAGAAGGCAGGGACTTTGGGAGGTGATTCGGTGCCTAATCCTTCATGAATAGGATGAGTGTCCTTATAACAGAGACCCAGAGAGCTCCCGCGCCCCTTTCACCACATGAGGACACAGGGAGAAGGCGCCGTATATAAACCAGGATACAGCCTCACCAGACAGCAAATCTACCATGCCTTGAGCTTGGACTTCCAGGCTCTAGAACTGTGAGCAAAAGCGTCTGTTGTTTAAGCCACAAGCCTATGGTGGCTTCTACTTCAGCAGCCTGAGCAGACTAAGACAGACCTCCAAGCGGAAGCATGAAATCACTGCCAGACGTGTGCATCTGAGCTCAGAAGGAGGTCAGACGCGGATGCAGGCGTCACCCATGGGCAAGCAGTGTGTAAGGCACAGGCGTGGTCCAGAGCACACAGGACGAGGGTGTGCAGAGAAGAGAGGGAAGGGGCGTGGAGGGAGCCACATTCAGAGCTGGATGAGGGGGAGCCATCAGCCAAGACAAGGAGGAGAGGCCAGAGCCCAGAGGGAGGGGGAGAGACCGCAGCAGCCTCTCCACCTGAAGTCCGAGGGAGAAAGGCTTTGGCGGCGAGGCCGGCTGTGTGGGCAACATGAGCGCTCAGGTGATGGTGGCGAGGGCCCTGGACCGCCATCAGAACTCCCCAGCGCCACGAGGAGGGAGCCTTAGCTCTGCCCTCCACAGCAAGGAGAAGTAGGTGGCAAAGGGGGCATGGACAGCCAGCAGGGACCACACTTCATCGCTAACATCTGTCATGGATTTTGCCCAAATTGTACGAGATTGGATGGCTGTAGAGTTGGGGAGTGGCCCCACAAAGATGTGTCCAAGTCCTAACTTCTGGTACCTGTGAATGTGACCTTATTTGGAAACAGGGTCTTTGTAGCTGTAATTAGGAGGGGCATCTCGAGATGAGATCATCCTGGATTTAAGGTGGCGTTAAATCCCATGACTGAGGTCCTTATCCGAAAAAGAAGAGGGCAACTGTAGACACAGACACAGGAGAGCAGCCACGCGAACTCGGGTGGCGGGGCGGCGGGAGCTGGGAGAGGCCTGGGTCAGACCGTCCCTTAGAGCCCTCAAGAAACCAGCCCTGCCCACACCTTGATCTCAGACTTCTGACCTCCAGAACTGTGAGACGACATATTTCTGTTGTTTTAAGACCCCCGCTTTGTGGTAATTTGTTACGATAGCCCTAAGCAGCGAGTACACGGGCCAAGGGAAAACTCTGCCATGAGTTCCATGCAAACACGAGCAAACTACAAACTACAGAATCCCCCAACCCTGAGGCTCACTCGGGCAGACCCTGGAACCGCAGCTGTGTCCCTTGAAAGGAGCTCCATCCTGGGGAAAGAGCCATCTTCCGACCCCAGCTCAGAAGAGAAGACTCGAGTCACAGATTTTATTAAATGAGGAGGGCTTTGTGGCAACCTTTTCCGTTTTTTAAATTTCTATCTACAACTGTCATACAGTGAACAAAACCAACAAATTTAGAACCTGGAAGTTTGAGAGGTAGTGCCTGTGGTGGGACGGGCACAGGATTTCGAGGCATAAACCTGGTTTCCAACCTCAGTGCTGTTCCTGGCCTCCTCCGACACCTGGGGGTGTGTTGTGCAACCTGCAGAGATTCAACGTCCTCCTCTGAAAACTGGGATTAACACTTCCTTATGGAGTTAATAAACAAGAAGATAATTCATGTTAAAGTACCCAGGTCACCGCTGATGCTAGAATACTGACACCAGCCCTACCACAAACAGGGCCACAGTGACCAGATGGACCACATCCTTCTTATTTCAGGTACAAAGTAAACGTCTGAGCAAACATTTTCATTTGTAGCCTTTCTGGAAATCAGAAAAAGCCTAAATTGTAGGCAAGTACCCATATTGTTTCCTATTAAATAGTTCATCAGTGTGGATTTTCAACTCAATTTATATGGTAGTTTATCTTAGATGAGAACTAAAAGTGAAAGTGAAAGAGTTACAGTTGATTCCGTTTTTTAAACATTTGTGAAGTGCATTAAGATATCTGGAGAGAGAACAGGCATTTTTAAAAACATAAGTTTGGAGTTTTGCACTTTGGCTGTGTCTGTGTAAGCTGCTACTAGACAAGATCCCTGAGAATTTTTTTTTTTTTTAATGTTTTGATGACCTATCTTGGAGAATGAACAAAAGCTGGCAAATTGGGGATGGGAGGTAAACCTTGTAAGAAGAGATATACACAGGGAACTGTCCCATTTTGTAGCTTTGAGCCAGAGGTTAGAACAGCACAGAGTGGCAAACACTATGACAGAAAATCCACTGAAGGGTAAGGGGGAGCCCTAAAAAGAGAAGAGACATGAAGAGGAACCCCAAATTCTGTACATAAGCTCTATCCATGTCACGTCACTGGTTAACACCAGGATCACCAGGTGTGGAGTGACCCAAAGCAGCTTAGCCAAGGACTGAACTGAACCAAAACAGAGGCTGCCACCCAGGAGACAGAGTTCACATGTGAGTCAGACCCAACCAGACAGCACCAAAGGGAAACCACCAGCATTCACTGCGAGAACGTGCACCCCAGAGGCTCCTACGTCCTACATGAAGAACAGAGAAACGTGACCCAATCTCAAAGAACAGGACAACCAACCAACCTAAGCCCTGAGGCGCCAGTGCGGAGACAGCAGATGTGGGCTGTAAGGCGGCCATTCCAGCTATGCTTAGAGCAAAGAAAACACACTCACAATAAATAAAAAGATGGGACATATTAGCAGAGAAAAAGAAACTACTAAAAAGAACCCAGTGAGAAACTAACATTGAAAAATACAGTATCTGAAAATACAAATGTACCGGGTTGGCTTAACAGCAGAACGGCAATGACAAATGAATTAAAATGGAAGACAGATCATTTGAAATTGCTCAATATAAAGAAGAAAGAGGGAAATTTTTAAAAAAATGAACAGAATCTCAGGAACCTATGGGACAATATCAAAAGGCTTATATATCTGTAATAGGAGCTCCAGAAGAAGAAATGAGAAAAAAAAGTAGCAGAAAAAAAATCCGAAGATATAGTAGCAGGTAAGTCCCCAAGTGTAGTGAAAGATGTACATTTTCAGATTCAAGGATCTCAGAAAACCTACAAGCAGGATACACTCTAAGAAAACCACAATTAGGAAGATTAACATCAAGCTGCCAAAGACCAAAGATCAAGATAAAAAGAGAGCACAGCCAGGTAAAAATGACACATGACACACACAAGACGAAGACTTAAATCACTGCTGATTTCTCACCAGCATTTTTAGATGCCAGAAGACAGGGCAGCAAGATTTTTAAAGGGCGGAATGAAAATAAACTGTCAGCCTAGATTTCTAAAATCATTAAAATATCCTTCCATAGTGAAAGCAAAACAAAGATTTAAAAACTCAGATTTAAAAAACTATTCACGTGCAGCAGACAGGTACTGTAAGGAATGTTAAAGGAAATTCTTCAGGATGAACATATATTATACCTTATGGAAACAGGGAACTTCAGAAAGGAATAAAGAGCTTCAGAAATAGTAAATGAAGTGATTATTAATTTACTATTAATTTCTTTAAAATACATAGGGCTAAGCAAAAATTATTATATTCTCTTATAGGGTAGGTAATCAATGTAGATATAAGGCACATTAAAAGTGTGCTATGAAGAATGGGGGTAAATGGGCTGATAGAAAAAGAATGAAAAATCAAGAAAAAACTATATACTGTCTACAAAAGATCCATATTAAATATAAAGACACAAATAGGTTGATAGTAAATGTACCATGCAAAACTAAGACTAGAGTGAGTTTATTAATATCAGGAAAAAACAGACTTCAAAACGTAGTGTATTACCAGAAATAGAGATATTTCATAATGTTAAAAGGCTCAACTCATCAGAAAGACATAATTAAATATGTGTGTACCTAATAACAGAGCTTCAAATCACCAAAAGCAAAGGTAAAAAGAAAAAAGAATTAGGAGAAGTAAACCATATCGCAATATGAACAACACATCAGTAAAGACAATCAGAGAAAAATATCAGTTAAAAATAGAAGACATGACATCATTATCCACAAGCTTGAGCTAATTGACATTTATAAAACACTACACCTGACAGATGCAGAATATACGTTCTCCACAAGTTCACAAAAATTTTTAAGTACCATTTTCAGTAGCACAAAATGTTAAATATTTAATGATAAATCTGACAAAAGATGGGTAAGATTTACACATTGGAAAATACAAAACATTGTTGAGAGAAATTAAAGAAAGCCTAGATGAACTGAGAGATGTACCATGACAGGGGGTCAAAAGACTCAATATTGTCAAGATGTTATTTCTCCCAAAATTTGTGCGCGGTGCCAACATAATCTCAAAATTGCAGAATTTTTTCTGTAGTAATTGACAAACTGATTCTAAGATTCATATGGAAATCAAAAGGACCTCAAAAAACTGGAACAACTTTCAAAAAGAAAAACTAAGGTTAAGAACTAATGTCACCGGATCTTAAGACATATTATAAAACTACAGTAGTCAAGACTTGCATCCAAATGAATAAATAGGTCAATGCAATGAATAGTCAGCCCAGAAACAGAAGCACACAGATGTGGTCAATCAATTTTTCACCAAGCTGCAAAGGCAATTCAGTGGAGAAGGGATAGTCTTACAACAAATGATATGGAACAATTCTACATCTATAGGTAAAAAAATAAAAATAAAAAACTCGTATCTATACCTCATACCATGTAAAAATTAACTCACAATGGATTATAGACCTAATTATAAAATATAAACTATAAAACTTCTTGAAGAAAACAAGAGAAACTATTCATAACCTTGAATTAAGCAGAGATATTTTTAGATATAACATCAAAAGCATGATTGTTTTTTAAAAAGGTAAATTGAACATAAAAAATTAAAAACTTCTCTTTGAGAAATATTGTTAAAACAATGAAAAAGCAGCCACAGAATGGTACAAAATATTTGCAAATCACTTATCTTATAAAGAAATTGTATTCACAATATATAAAAACTCTCTAGACCCATTAATAATAAAACAAAGAAAAATACTGTAATGAGAAAAATATTTGAACACATCAGGAAGATTTGTGGATGATAAATGAGCACATGCACAGATGTTCTAGGTCATTGTTCAAAGGGAAAGCAAATTAAAATCATAACGAGACGCCACTGCATATGTATTGGAATGCCTAAAACCTAAAAGTCTTACCATACTAAGTGTAGGCAAAAATATGTAAGAACTGAAACTCTCATACACAGTCTGGGTTGGGGGATGTAAAATGGTCCAACCCCTGTGGACAAGAGTTTGAACGTTTCTTTCAAAATGTATCACCCAGCTTCCCACTGATAAGTATTTATCCAACAAAAATGAAAGCCATACATCCATACCAAGACTTGTACTCAAATGCTCACAGCATCTTTATTTGTAATAGTTCCAAACTAGAAACAACCCAAATATTTATCAACAGGAGAATGGATAAACAAATATCCATACAATGGAATACTATTCAGCAATAAAAACAAGTAAATGATTGATAAAAACAAAAAAAAAAGGTGAACCTCAAATAGTTATGCTGAGTGAAATAATTGGAACCAAAGAAGAAACTGTATGATTTTATTTGTATAAAATTTCAGAAAATGCAAACTAACTTACAGCAACAGAAAGTAGAACAGGGGTTGCCTGAGGATGAAATGTGTAGGGGTGGGATGTAGGGATTACAAAAGGGAGTGAAAAAGCTTTTGGGAATAATAACTATGTTTCCTATCTTAAATACAGTGGCAATTTCATAGGGTGTGTGTGTGTGTGTGTGTGTGTGTGTGTACATATATATGTGTGTATATATAAAAACAGCAAAATGTCCACTTTAAATTTATGTGGTTTATTATATATCAATTATAATTCAATAAAGTCATGATAAAAAGGAAATAATGACTATTAGTTTTCTAAATTTTATTAAAAGTATAAACCCATAAATCAAAGAAGCTCAGTGATTTCTCACACACAGGTACATCATAACTGATTTGCAGGAAAACAGTAATAAAGACAAAATTTCAAAAGCAAATAAATATACAAACAAAATAAAAACTTGTTGAGTTAGAATTCTATATTTATCAGGGGAAAAATCCTACAAAACGAAGGTAAAATAAAAAAGTTTTTTATACAGATCAAATCCAAAAGATTAGTTGCAAACAGCTCTGCACTGCAAAAAAATTAGTAAAATTTCTTCAGAAGGCAGAAAAGTGATACAAGAAGGAAACTCAAATCTCAAGAGAGCAATGAAAGTGCTTGAAATGGCAAACATACAGATAAATACAAAAACCTCTTAATTTTTTTAAAATCGCTTGAAAAGACTTTGTTCAAGACAAAAAAATTATATATTGTGGGGCCTACAGCATATATAAGAGTGAAATGTATGAAAGCACTAGCTTAAAGGATGAAAAGGGAAGTGGAAGTGTAATACTGCAAAGGTCTTCAATTATATGTGAAGCAGTGTATTATTTAAAATGTCTTCCAATAATACACATATTAATAGCAGATACTAAAAAGTTAAAACAAAGAGGTATAGCTGATGAGCCAATGGTGGAGATAAAATACTAAATTAATCTAGAAGACTGCAGTTAAAGAGTAAACCAAAAGACCAGATAAGACAACAGAAAACAAATAGCAAGGTTGTATATTTAAATCTAACCATATTAACACATCAAATATGGATGATCTAAACATGCCTATTAAAAGACAAAGATTTTAAGATTAGATAATAAAGCAAGATCCAACTCTATGCTGTATACAAGAAACCTTCTTCAAATATAAAGCCACAGAAAGATTAAAAGGATGGAAAAATATGCCACGCAAACACTAAACATAAGAAATCTGGAGTGACTATGTGAATATCAGACAAAGTGGACTTCAGAACAAGAAATGTTACCAGAGGCTGGGCGCAGTGGCTCACACCTGTAATCCCAGCACTTTGGGAGGCTGAGGCAGGTGGATCACAAGGTCAGGAGTTCAAGATCAGCCTGACCAACATGGTGAAACTCCACCTCTACTAAAAATACAAAAATTAGCTGGGCATGGTGGTGCGCACCTGTAATCCCAGCTACTCGGGAGGCTGAGGCAGGAGAATCACTTGAAGCCAGGAGGTGGAGGTTGCAGTAAGCCGAGATTGTGCCACTGCACTCCAGCCTGGGCGATAGACTGACTCTGTCCCAAAAAAAAAAAGAAAAGAAAAAAAAAAAAAAGAAATGTTACCAGAGTAAAAGAGAGACATAACATAATGATGGAAAGGTTGATTCACCAGGAAGACAGAATAATTTCAAATATATATGTACCTAATAACATAGCTTCAAAATATACGAAGCAAAGACTAACAGTATTGAAAGGTGAAATAAACAAATCCACAATTATAGTTGGTCTTTCAGTCATTCATATAACAGTAACAGAAAAGCACAAAGATACAGGAAGCTTGAACAAAACTATCAACCAATGGAGTCAACTGGCATTCATAGAACACTCCACACAAAAACAAGAGAACCTTTTCTTATAATATACACCTGAACAGTCATAAACACAGACTATAAAAGGATTGAAATCATACAGAGTATGTATTGTGACCACAAATAAGTTATAATAAAAATTAACTGGAAATTCTCCAAATATTTGGAAGTTAACACATAACAAAAAAGCCACAGTAATCAAAGAAGAAACCACATGGGAAAAGAGAAAGTACATTGAAAACTGAAAGAAAATGAAAAATCAGCATGCCACCATTTGTGGAATGTAGATATGGCAGAACTTAGAAGGAAATTTGTGGTATTACATGAGGCAGGTCTAAAATCAATGGTCTATACTTCCTACTTAGGGAAGTAGGAACAGAAGAGCAAATTAAACCTAAAATAAGGAGAGAAAAGAAAATGATAAAGACAGAAATCAACAAAAATAGAAAACAGAAAAATAATAGGAAAAAATCAATGAATTCAAAAGGCAGCTATTTCTAAAGATCAATAACAAAATACACCTCTAGCCAAAGTGATCAAGAAAAAGGAAGAAGACACAAATTACCAATATTATAAACGTGAACAAGGGCTATCAGTCTAGATCCTATAGATATTAAAAGGATAAAAGGGATTATGATAAACAATTTTATGCCAATAAATCAATAACTTAGATAAAACGGACAAATTCCTGGAAATATCTAAATTACTAAAAAAATTTAGGTTTTTAGATGGAAGAAATAGAAAAGATGAATAACACCTATCTAATGAAGCACTCAAATTCATAATCTTTAAATCTTTCTGAAAAAGAAAATTCTCATTCCAGATAGCTTCCCTGATGAACTCTAACAAACATTTAAGGAAGATATAATACCAACCCTACTCACTCTTTACTTAGAAATAGAGAATTTGGAATACTTCCTAACTCATGTTTTAAAGACAGTATTATCCTCATTAGAAATCAGGCAAAGACATTATAAGAAAGGGAAACTACGGCCAATATTTCTTATGAACATAGACACAAACATCTTTAACATAAATTTATCAATTTAAATTCGGTAATAAATCAATCGTGTAGTATGGTTAAGTGAGGCCTATCCAGAAAAACAAGGTTGGTTTAAAATCAGAATATGAACCAATTCAATTCACCATATTCACAGGATTAAGAAGAAAATTTTAAGATAATCTCAATAGACGCGAGCAAGCTTTTTGGCCAAAATGATAAAAACTACTCAGTAAACTAGCAATAGAAGGGAACACCCTCATCCTTTTTCAGGGCATCTGTGAAAACCCACAGCTCATGTCAAGACTGGGCACTGGGTACTAACAATCCCCAAGATTGTTAACAAGACAAGATGCCCAGTCTCAGCACTCTGTCCAACATTCTGTAGAGGATGTCACAGTCAGTGGAACAAGAGGAAATGCAAACAACGAAAGGCATACGTGTTGCTGGTGAAGGAAGAAATAAAGCTCCTTATTTACAGGTATTATGATTGTGAAATGGGGAAAATCCTAAAGAATCTACAAAAAAAGTCACTAGAACTAATAAATGAATTTAGCAAGGTTAATGCCTACAAAGTAAATACATAAAATCAGTTGTAGTTCTATATACGAGCAACACACTTCTGGAAATTGAAATTAAGAAGCAGTATCATTTATAACAGCATCAAAACATGAAATAGGAACAGAATTCGAAAACCTATGTAAGACCTATGCAGTGAAAATTATAAAACATTGCTGAGGGAAATTAAAGAAAACCTAAATAAATGATCTGTATACCATGCTCATGGATGGATAACTCAATATTGCTAAGATGGCAATTTTCCCAAATTGATCAATAGATTCAACACAATCTCATTAAAAATCCCACCAACCTTTTGTTTGTTTGTTCCTGGATACTTCAGTTTCTTGACAAAATGATTCTAAAATTTTGGCTGGGCATGGTGGCTCACACCTGTCATCCCAGCACTTTGGGAGGCCAAGGCGGGCAGATTACCTGAGGTCAGGAGTTCGAGACCAGCCTGGCCAACATGGTGAAACCCCGTCTCTACTAAAAAATATAAAAATTAGCTGGGCGTGCTGGTGCATGCCTGTAGTCCCAGCTACTCCGAAGGCTGAGACAGGAGAATCGCTTGAACTCAGGAGGCGGAGTCTGCAGTGAGCCGAGATCGGGCCACTGCACTCCAGTGCAGTGCAGTCTAATTTCAAGACTAATATAAAGCTTTAGTAATCAGTATAGTGTGATGTTGGCAGTTGCAGATGTACAGATCCATGGAACAAAATACAGAGTCCAGGAATAGACTCAACTATACATATATGGCCACTTAATTTTTTTACAAAGTTGTCAAGGTAGTTCAATGGAGAAAGAATATTCTCTTCAACAAATGGTGCCGAAACAGTTGAATATTCAGACGAAAACATTTGAAACTAAAAAACCTCTGCCTCCACTTTACTTTATGCCGTGTACAAATGTCAACTTGAAATGGAATACAGACCTAAATGGTAAAGCCAAAACTGTAAAACTTCTGAAGTAAGAAAATCTGAATGACCTTGATGCAGGTAAATATTTATAAAAGAGGATACCAAAACCATGATCCCTAAAAGAAAACGCTGATAAATTGGACTTCATCAAAATTTAAAATATCTGCTCTTTGAAAGACACTATCACTGCTTAACAAACCATCTCAGTCTGTAGTGACTGAAAACCACCACAATTTTCTGTTTGTCATGATTGTGGGTTGAATAGGAAGTCCATCCATTGTACATGATGGAGTCCCTCACTCTGGGGCTGTGCACTCCTCATCTGGAACATCCACAGGTCCTCTTGTACCCTGGGGTCTGTCTTCATACAACCTCTACACAAGCAGTAGTGGTTCTCCATATAATCCATACTGTCAAGAGTAATTTTTTTTTTTGAAAGAGAGTCTCGCTCTGTTCTTGCCCAGGCTGGAGTACAGTGGCGTGATCTTGGCTCACTGCAACCTCTGTCTCCCAGGTTCAAGCAATCCTCCTGCCTCAGCCTCCCGGGTAGCTGGGACTACAGGCGTGTGCCACCACACCTGGCTAATTGTCATATTTTTAGTAGAGATGGGGTTTTGCCATGTTGGCCAGGCTGGTCTCGAACTCCTGACCTCAGATGATCCGCCCACCTCGGCGTCCCAAAGTGCTGAGATTACAGGCATGAGCCACCGCGCCCGGCCCAAGAGTAATTTTTGAAACGATTATTACATCACTGCAGAAGTATGAAGCATCAAGGAATTAACAAAAATACAGAATCTTTATGTAGAAAAATTTAAAATGCTATCAAAGGGCATGAAAGAACATCTAAATAAATGGTAGAATAACCATGTTGGTGAAAAATCGTTCTCAAAATTATAAAGTGTCCATGCCACATCATCCATTTAAAAAATTTTTTTTTTGTATTTTCTAGTGCTTTGAAGCCTTGGAGCCTTGGAGCCTTGCTGGCCCTTCGAGGGCCCCTCCCAGGACCAGCCAGCTCTTACTGAAGTAACATTCTTAGGGAACAGGGAGAATGAACAGTAAGAATGAAGTAACATTCTTACTGAAGTACCCTGTACAATTAATGTGATTCAAAAGGAAGCTTCCAGCGGGAATTTTTAGCAATGGGGACAACTGCTTCCAAAATTTGGATGGAAAAATAAAATTCCCTGAATTCCTACTACAATTCTTGGGAAGAAGCGCCAACAGGAAGGAACCCCCTCTACAGTTACTAAGGCAGACGGTTGAAAGGTGTGAGACAGGAGTAAAGGAGTACGCGGACCGGCGGGTGAGACGGGAGTAAAGGAGTACACGGACCAATGGGTGAGATGGGGCAGCCAGAAGGAGCTTCAGGAACCCTTCTTTCTGTTCATGCTGGAAGTGGACCCACAAGTGGGAGTCTGTGATTGATACGTGGTGTTGAGAATATCAGGTCTCCATGCAGAGAAAAAAATCTTCAAATAGAATAAAATGCAACCATGAAAGGCAGAACTGAAAAAAGATGTTAGTAGAAAATGAAGGAGAATATCTTTTTCTATCCTATAGATAACTCTAAAATTCAAAAATTAAACAAACAAAACAAAAATACTCAGCCTTACCAGAACAAGCAGGTACCTTGTGTTCTCAATGCACTTGGAGTATAGGAAACACTTCTCTGTGAGCTTACACTCTTAAAACAGAGACAAAACCAGAGCAAGAAGCCTCAGGGGTGTGGTTACCAGCCCCAGGGAGCTGTGGGGGGCTTCCAGGAGGTTCCTGAGAACCACAGTGGGGGCTCCCTTTGTAGCTAAAGGGCCCTTAGGGTGGTTTTCCCAAAACTAAGTCCTAATGAGAAACTCATGTTTCCCCTGCTAGACAGAGAAAACTGCTTATACCTCCCCACCCAAGACCAACTTCTCTTAGTCAAGCTTCCAGACCCTCCAGGTCTTAAGAACGTTCCATTACATAGCAGAACCAAAGCCTAAGTGTGAAGGCCCAGTGTGGGTGGAGGAATTTCCTTGCTGCTCCTCCACGCTTGCGCTGATTTCCCCATAAGCAGCCCCTCTCCCCCACCCCTCGCAGTCCCCAGGAGAAAACTGACTCCCACACACAAGAGTGCCCCAGCTCCCCACCCCCTGGGCACGTGCCCTGTGGACCATCCAACCCCTTCCAGCTGCAGCAGAGAAGGAGTCCCCGCTCCGGGCCCCAGGCCTTTCCTTCCTCTGAGCGCAGAATCCTTCCAGACTGAGATGGGCCCATGACACCCCCTCTCACAGGGGTTTTCAACGTCTCCTGTGAGGCTGGCCTGTTGCCTTCCACCCAGGAACATGTCCTGGGCCCCTTCCTTGAGCTGCTGCCCTGGATCCCAGCCTCCCGCCAAGCATCCATTTTCCTCCTCCTGCCCATCACGCTTCCTCCTTTCTCAGGTAGCTGGGAAAGAACCTCTGTAACTCCTGCCCACTCCACAGCACCCTGCAGGGTGGTGGTCTCCACCCTTGCTACTACCACTGGCTGGCCTTCCCAGTTCTCTCCTGGCCAGTCCTCCTGGATGGGGCAGTTCCGTGGACTCAGCCCCTCTGGGGACCTCCGCTCCTTGGCCGCTCTCTGGGGCCTTCTTGGGTTCTGCTTGGTGAGGACGAGTGTGCCCCAGTCCTGCCCCCTGCTCTGCACAGCCCTTGGCCCTGTCACACCCACCCTCCCAGCTGTGCCCCCTTGTGTACTGACCCCGGAGCTGGGCCTCTGCGCCTCCTCCACATGGTGCCTGTGACCCAAGGATCCACTGAGCTTCTACACCAAGGCCACGCTGCCCACAGTGGCTCCACCTAAGACCCCTCTGGGAGAGGGACTCCTCTTTCCACCGACCTTGGCTCAAGGACAACCTGCTGACCCTGCTTAGATTGCCGGGCAGTATGAGGTTCTTCCCCCAGCCTCCCCACCTCCTTCCCTGGGTTCCAACTCACTTTGCACTCTGCAGGTTAAAGCAGAAGGAATTTATTCTCTCCCAGTCTGGAGGCCAGAAGCCTGCGATCATGGCACCCTAGGCCTAGGCTCCCTCTGAGAGCACTAGAGAGGACCTGCTCCAGGCCTCTCCAGCTCCTGGGAACTGCTTGCCTGTAGCAGCAGAACCCTGGCCTTCCCATGGAGCTCTCTCTGTGTCTGTCTCTGAGACCGAATCTCCCTCTCTATAGGGACACAAGCCATTTCAGACTAGGGCCCACCCTAATGACTTCCTCTTAACCTGATCATCTGCAAAGACCCTGTTTCCAAATAAGGTCGCGGCCACAGGTGCTGTGGGTTAGGACTTTTGCATCTTCTGGGGACACAGCCATGACTCTCTGGCAGCTCTCCCCATTGAATCTGGCTCTGCACCATCTCCAGCAGGTTTCCCCTCCGCCACACACCGCTTCCTGGCCTGTGCTTCTGGGAGGACCCCACTTTCATGGCTCTCCAAGTCCAGTCCTGAGGCTGCTCTCATCCCAGGACTGGGACACCCTAGGGCCCCTCCTCTCCAGAGCACTCAGGCAGCAGGTGGGGCCGCCTGGATCGCTGGGGTGCAGGTGCTGCCCTGTGGCTGGCAGGCTTTGTGTCCTGGGCTTTCTTGATGATCAGTTCGGTGAGGAGCCTTGGGTGGCCTCGGGTGCTGGGCTCTGGTTTTGGGGATCAGAGCAAGTGGCCACTAAAAGCCCAGGAGGTGGGTGCAACGCTGGTGGCTGGGCCACAGAGCCACCAATGCCCACCAGCACACAGGGCTCACCCCATCCCCGTGGGTGTGGCACTTGGGACAGGTGCTGCTGCTAGGCATGGGCTGGGACTCTTATGGGGCAGGAATATGGGCTGGGACTCTTATGGGGCAGGAATAAGGCCATGCAGCGGGTCTGGCCTGCCGGGGCCTTCTCTGTGCATGATATGTGGATGGCACAGACCCCTGGCCCTCACCCCGGTCTCAGACACAGAAGGGTCTCTGCCAGCCCGCTGCACTATGAGGTCCACAAGGGCGCAGGCAGGGTCATTGGAGGGGTCGGGGCACTCCCTGGCGTCTGCTGAGGATGGGGCCCAGCTGGGGCCAACACAGCAGTGACATCCCCAGGAGCCAGGACCCTGGGGGGTTGGCCAGGTGGCCCAAACCGGCTCTGTCTGGGTGAGGTCCGTTGGCCATGAAGGAACCAACAGGGCCAGCCGGGGTGAGGAAGCCGTGAGCACTGTGACCGAAGGCCTGCGTGAGTTCTGAAATCCAAGCGTGTTCACCCGGAGGCAGGAGCCCATCCTACTCTCGCTCCGGCTAATTATGGGCCCCACCCTGGGGCTCCTCACACGGCTCCTGAGCACCACAAGGGCAATGCCCGAGCCAAAGCAGCTACGGGTGAGAAAGCGCTGGGATCTCATCGCAGCCCCTGCACAACCAGCACGGACAGTCAGGGCCCCTATGTGCGCCTCCTGCCTGGGCCATCCCTGCGGGGCCTGAGGCCTGAGAGGTCCTGAGATCGGAGGGGTCCTGAGGTCTGAGGGGGTCCTGAGGCTTGAGGGGTCCTGAGATCTGAGGGGATCCCGAGGTCTGGGGGGTCCTAAGGTCGAGTGGACCTCAGGCGGGAGTCGCCTGGGCTGAGGCGCGGCTGGAAGAAGCTCCCTCAGCCCGGGGCAGCTTCCAGGGTCGCCGGTGCGAGCTAGGAGCCCAACGAATAAGAAGAATGGCGTGGGGCCTTCGCCGGAACAGCCCGGGGCTCGGCACCCAGGGCCTGGCCCGCCTTGCGCGTAAGCTGGACGCGT
The DNA here is from genome assembly GCF_000001405.40 of Homo sapiens. NCBI lineage: Eukaryota > Metazoa > Chordata > Mammalia > Primates > Hominidae > Homo > Homo sapiens. Next base: position 1,524,278 of record NC_000005.10, on the reverse strand, counting down.
GCCCGCCCCTTCCTCCCTCCCCGCGAGCAGGCGGGCCGAGCGGCGGAAGGGGACGACGTGGCAGCCTCGCGGGCCCGGGGGACCTCCCTTTCTCCTGGCGCAGACCCTGCCGGGGATCCCTGTGCTCCAGTGGCTGCAGGAGGCGCCCCCGGTCCCCAGCGGCCCCGGCCCCCCACAGACCCCAGAGAAACCACCAGGTAGCGGAACTCCGGCTGGTGCCGCCCCTGCCGGCCGGCGGGAGGCGAGGCTTCCAGGGACGCCCCGCCCCGGCCGGCGCTCCCGCTCCGCCCACGTCACCTCCCGCGCCTGCGCGCCCGGCCCGCTCCAGCCGCCGCGCATCCTCGGCCCGCGCCCCGAGACCCGCGCCCAGCTAGCCCCGGCCCCGCTCGGCGCCCCAGGCAGCTCGGCTGCGCTCGCCGCGGGACGGCGCGGCCATGAGGCTGCGGGGATGCGGACCCCGGGCCGCCCCTGCCTCCAGCGCAGGGGCCAGCGACGCTCGGCTGCTGGCGCCCCCGGGGCGGAACCCCTTCGTGCACGAGCTGCGCCTCAGCGCCCTGCAGAAGGCCCAGGTGGGTGCCCAGGGCGCGCGGCCCCGGGAGCCGGCGCGGACGCCAGGGATGCTGGGGCCAGGGAGGCGCGGCCGAGGAGGGGCCGGGGAGGGGGCCTGGGGCGCGGCGCGGCCCTGCGAGCCGCGGCGCCTTCCCTCCCCGCGGCCGCCCCTCAGTTCGCGTCCCCGCCGCCCGCACCCGATGCCTCGGTCTCGGCGCCGGCTTCCCGCCGCCCGCACGCGCATCCTGGTCCCTCAGCGCCTTCCTCGGGGTCCCCGCTTCCCATCCCCGCCCCGCGTTCTGCTCCTCCCCCCAGACCCCTGCACCCTGAACCGGGCCCACAACCCTTTCTCTGCCTCCCAGAGCCCCGACCTCGGCTCCCGCGGGAGGCTGGACCCGCATCGCCGGTCCCCGCGCTCGTCCCTGGTCCGGGCCCCGCCCGCCTTGGCAGGCCCTGCGCGCAGCCCGGGGACTCCGGAGCGGCTTTGCCTGGACGCGGCCCGCGGGCGGGAGGGCACCGCGGCTCTGGGTGAGCCTCGTGTGCGGGGCCTGGTGGTGCCCGGGACAGGGCGCGCGGGCGGTGCGGGTCCCCTGTAGGGTCCCCTGTAGGCGCACGGGTCTCCCTGCTCTGCGGCCGCACGTTGCCTTCTGGGGTGCATGCTTCGCTCCTGTTGTAAGGGATGCTTTCTCGGGGCTGGTCTGACCCGAATCAACTTTATGCAACCTGGGCTGCCACGTGGGAGGGAACGGTTTGCTGAGATCCTGCGATGGGACAGTGGTGAGGGGAGACCCGGGGGCGTCGTGGGGAGGGGGCCGCTCGCTGCAGGAAGCTGCACCGGGGATGTGCTGGCTCAGCCTGGCTTTTCCGGCTACCTGGCTGCCAGCTGGGCTTACAGTTACCTGAGATCCACTCTCAAGAGGACCTTACTTTTGACTCTAGAATAATTCCTAGAAGCAAGCACTGTTTCGGGGCCTATGGGGCTGTCCGGTTTGTAGGGAGCACGCTTCCAATTGTGAGAATAGATTTCCGGGAAGATGGAGATTTGTTAATGCATAAAGTACTTTATCTGAAAGAACCCTGAAGTGAAAAGTTCTTGAGGCCAGTTTGAGCTTGTCATTTTCCCAGGACGCCTGCTTTTGCTCAAAGCCCCTTGATGCGGCTGGTCCTCAGGGTATGGAAGGGGACGGGGAGCAGGAGAGCCCGATGGTGCCGCCCCTCCTGGTGACACACAGGGTGAGGTCGTCCCCAGCCTGGCTCCCAGGCCCTGGCCCCCGTCTCCCTGTGTGTCGGGAGCTGGACTCTGGGGCTGGGGCGGTGCCGGCCCCTCTGCCGCCGCTCTGCCTGGCCCTCTGTCTGCCACACGCTGTCAGCTGCCGTGTGCTGTGCCCCTCAAAGGAGGACTTGGGACACGGTCGCTCATTCTGTGCCCCTCAACCATTCCTCCTCTTCAATCCTCACCCCCACCCAGCCACCAGGCTCTCTCCCTGGTCACTCTCCCTGAGTCACTCCCAGCAGGCTTTCTTCCTCCTGCACTCTGCTGCTCGGAAGCCCTCAGCGGGGACGCCCCCGGATGAAATTCGAACCCCTGCTGTGGTTTCCAGGGCTTCCCCAGCCCTGCTCCTGCCCCAGCTATGGCTGCCTCAGGCATGCTCTCTCTTCCTGCCTTTCCTACTCCCTCCTGGCTCCCTGGGGGGAAACATCAAGCCCCTCCCTGGAGGTCCCCGGAGGCCACTTCGTCATCCCTGTCATAGTTGCAGCCCCCGGTTGAGGTGTGTTCTGTCCAAAAGTGTGCACCCACTGCCCTGGCGAGAAGCAGGGCAGAGACTCTCATGGGTAGGTACAGATGTCAGGGCACTGCCAGAGTGCCCAGAGGGGCCTGCTTTCCTCCCCGAGACCTCAGGGTGCAAGCTGCTCCCAGTGGCTCTTGGGCAGGGGGTCATCGAGAGGCTCCTGGTCCCGAGATTGAAGGCTTTGGGCAGCTGTTCTCCCTTGGGCCGAAGCCAGGCAGAGATCCTGGCTTGAGGTGTTGGGGCCTCTCAGAGAGGGGGCTTGCTTTGTTGCCACTTCAGAGGTTCCATCTGAGGAATTAGGTGTGTTTGTACATCCAGTCGTTTCTGCTGGATGTCTGCAATGTGTGGCTCAAGGGTTTAGTTTGTAAACGTTCTCAAAGTTCTCTGCAGAAACATTTTGCTTTTCACCAAGCATTGCTTTGCAAAGCTTTTACTTTGATGTGATATATTCTTGTAAAGTTTCCACAGAGTGAAATAGCCTGTCTTTCAAGCCAAGAAAGCCTTCTTCCCCAAAGAAAGAAATGGGTCCAGTAGTGGCTGACACACTCAAGAACCCGCAGAAACCCAGCTAAGTTCCCAGTTGAGATAAACCAGTGAGTACCTGCATTTACCTGTGAGCATTTGCCGCCTGGGAGGGGCTGCTGTGTGTCTTCGGATTAGCGCCATGCGGGGACACCTCCTCCTCCAGCCAGCCCATCTGTCATTTAACTACAGATTTAGTGAGGAGCTTAAGTATCTCTTTGGACAGAAAACAGCACATTAAGATCTGAAAAGAGGTATCAAAGCCATCAGGGTCTGTAATACGTGCAATGTTTTAATCCTCTGGCTAAAGCAAGGATATAGATTTAGTAGAGAGCGGTAAATGGTATGGTACAGGATCTTAGTGAGTTCAGCTGAGGTTCTTCATAGTCACACATTCATATATCGTTTTGGAGTCATGAAGTGGTTTCTGTCACCCAGGGTTTTCTCGGTACTTTCCTTGGAATCTGTGGGTATGAGTATTTCCCACTATGGTTCTGATGCGTTTTCCCCATTTCTTTTTTTTTTCTTTTTCTTTTTCTTTTTTTTTTTTTTTTTTTGAGACAGTCTCTCTCTGTCGCCCAGGCTGGAGTGCAGAGGTGCGATATCGGCTCACTACAAGCTCTGCTTCCCGGGTTCACGCCATTCTCCTGCCTCAGCCTCCCGAGTAGCTGGGACTACAGGCGCCCGCCACAATGCCCGGCTAATTTTTTTTTGTATTTTTAGTAGAGATGGGGTCTCACCGTGTTAGCCAGGATGGTCTCGATCTCCTGACCTTGTGATCCTCCCGCCTCGGCCTCCCAAAGTGCTGGGATTACAGGCGTGAACCACCGCGCCCGGCCCATTTTCCCCATTTCTAAAGTCTCTGCTGCTCGGAACCAGAGTTGGCAAGAACTTACATCCTGGAAAGCATAATGCCTTCCTGTGCACCTTGGAGCTGAGTCCTTGGACGGGCGTTGCTGTCTCAGAGTGGAGGAGGCTGCTGGGTGCCCGCCTGCCCACGCTGGCTAATCCACAGAGAGGATTATGATGAGGGTTGAGTCCAGGGACAGATTCTGCCCCTCCCTGCCTGGTGGCCCTGCATAGAATTTACCCAAAAGTGGGCCATCTTTTTCTCCACATTTTTATACAAATACCTGAGTTGTGATTTTTTAAAAAAACTCAGGAGCAGGACTCCGCCCTCTCAGCCTCGCTCCTGAGTCCAGCATGGCCACTGCAGAACAGGAATTCGTGTGCCTGCACACGTTGCCAGGCTCCTCACGTGGATGGCTGTGTTTGCAGTGTGTTCTTGACCCTTGGTGCCCTCCAGGCACACATGCACGGGGATGGGGGTTCCTCAGGCTTCTCTGAGCTGCTCCTGCTGCCCACTGGGTCCCTGGGTGCTGCCTGCCTGGATTCAGTAAGACTGGCTCTTCGCTCAGCCCCATTGCCGGGCAGTGGATGTGGAGGGGTGGGGTGGGCCAAGGAGCCCTGGGCAGTGTACCCGGTGGGAGCACAGGGCAGCCACACCCTGTGGAGGATGTGCAGGAGAGTGCCTGTCCCTTGGGGAGGATGGAGAAGGCCAGGGCTGTACAGGGCCTGCTGTCTCCCTGGATGCCTCAGAGGCCTTGGAGACGGTGCCAGGCCCATGGCCCCCAGCTGCCTTCTGATGACCTGGGTGTGATGGTGCCAACTGTTTTGGCCCAGTAGAGGCCCAAGCGTCATTTTCCCGTGTCCTCGCCTCTGGTCACTGTCATCCTTTGCCCCAGGAAGCACAGGTGAGGACACAGAGGCCCAGCTGCTGTGCCGTCTCCCAGGCAGGGAGGGCAGCGTGGGCTGGCTTAGCATGGATGCCTGCCCTCACCTCACAAGGAGCCCTGACCTTAGGGAACTGGCTTTTTTCTCAAAGTCATCGAGAGCGTTCCTGTAATCCTGTCTAATTTTCCGAATGAATTTTCCGAATGACGCACTCGTGAAACTTAGTTGTGGTTAACTTTGCAAAATGGGAAGGGGGGTTCAAAATCGGAAAAGACTTTACTTTTCATTTTTTATAGCATTCTGTCCTAAAACTTGGGTTTCTAATATGAGTGTGTGTATGAGAATATGTGTGTACACACATGCATACACATATACATAAGTGCATACACAGGCATATACATGCGAGTGTACACAAACATCCACATAAGCATACCCACATACACACAGAAGCTCACGCACATAGTTTTGTTTTACAGCTGACAGCAAAGCACCATCAGTTTCATGCAGAAACCCGTGATTGTGACCCAAAGTTCGTCTTAAACGGACACTGTCTTTGCACTCCTGTTTCATCGTGAGAAAGAGCCCTTTATCTTATATTGTCAGCACGCATCTGTGCCAACTTTTAAAACTCTGCAGCTTCTGGGTCTGTTTCAGGACGCCAGGCTGGCGTGAGCCATGGGAGCTGCTTTCTTCCCCCACTCATGCACCCTGCTCTGCACGCTTCCTGCAGGCACGGTTCCTTTCTCACATCAGCCCAAGTGAGACAACACCTTTCCGTTCCCAGACAGGAGATGACACCCAGGGCGCCTCCTTCACTGCCTGTGGTCGTGGCTCCGGAACTCTAAAGGAGCACATGTTTTTACGCATTTCAGAATGATGCTGGCCTCTTGCCTGGGTCCGGCCCCCTATCGTCATTGGCACTCAGGACTGCTCCTTCCTCCCACTGGAACACAGGGCCATGTGGGTTCTGCTCCTGCCTCTGCTTGCTGTTCACAGCCATGGTCGGTGCTGGCCGCAGCAGGTGCATTTTAAGTTTTTACTGTGGGCCGGGCGCAACGGCTCACGCCTGTAATCCCAGCACTTTGGGAGGCCGAGGCGGGCGGATCATGAGGTCGGGAGATCGAGACCATCCTGGCTAACACGGTGAAACCCCGTCTCTACTAAAAATACAAAAAATTAGACGGGTGTCATGGCAGGTGCCTGCAGTCCCAGCCACCCAGGAGGCTGAGGCAGGAGAATGGCGTGAACCCAGGAGGCGGAGCTTGCAGTGAGCGGAGATCGCACCACTGCACTCCAGCCTGGGCGACAGAGCCGGACTCCGTCTCCAAAAAGAAAAAGATAAAGAAAAAGTTTTTACTGTGCCCGGGACAAGCAACCTGGGGTAAGACATCAGCTCTGTCTTATATTTTTCTCTTTTTTTTCAGCTGTGTTTTTTTTCCGCTTTAAACCACGCATTGCCTTTTCTCTGGAAGGCGTCCAGCCAGTCACCCGGCCCAAGCCCTTCATCCCATGCATGGGGCCACGGTGCATCCCCCACCCTGTGGGACCCAGGGTCAGGAGTGGGTGGGCTCGAGAGAGGCCGCAGGGCCGTGCTCAGAGTGGGGCGAGAACCCTGAGGCGTCCGTCAGCCCTGCGGGTTCACTTCTGCATTAGTCCATGTGAGCCGTCATCAGACTTTGCAAATGCTTCCTCTCTGATGTCCACTTTCTTTAGTAAGAGGAGGCAGGCGGCCCACAGCTGCGTTCAGAATGCATTCCGGATGCGGCTCTCCTGAGCCCTCCGACCTCGTCCCCTTGTCCCCTCGTCCCCCGTGTGGGGAGGCACTGCCAGGGGTGGGGGCTCCTGTCTGGGAACAGCGGCCTTTTCCAAACCTTGATTTTACTCTTGAATTTGACACGTCGCCTCTGTTCCTAGACGAACTGTAGTCTTTAGAAAATGTCAAGCTATGGTCACTACTTGCTTCCATTTTATTTAAATCGTTTCTTCCTAACATTGGCTTTTTTTTTTGCAGTTGAATTATCTATTTCTCGTATAAACATGTTAGGATTTTGTGCCTGAAAAAGTGGCCACTCAGGAGCCCTGCTTCAGGAGCCGGGCACGGGACTCGACTACCACACTTGCTGGGTGTCTGGCCCATGCCCGGTGCCTCCTGTGCCTGCAGGGGCAGAGCGCCCTTGAGTGCTGGGAGGGCCCAGGCAGCGGAGAACGTGGCTCCCTGTCCCACTCCGTCTCACCGCTCTTGTCTGAGAAGGCGCCCTGTGCTGTACTGCTTGGACATGACTGGTTGGGAGTGTCCAAGCTAGGCTTCCACGAGGTCACCTGTCTTGCTAAGCCATGTCCCTGCCTCTGACACAGAGACTGCAGGAGGAGCCCTCCTGACCTTCCTCTTCCTGTTTCCAGGGCCCTCATCCCCACGCGGCCCATGACAAAAGTGCTATGGTTCTCAGGATGGCCAGGAGCCGCGACCGTCCCCTCCAAGTCCTGTGGGCCTCCTGTGGGTGCTGGGGCATGCTTACCATTCCCGGTTACTGTTTCCAGCATTTCCAGTGTAAACCTTTAATCTAGCTGTGAATCATTCTGAAAATGAGCCCAGGAAAAAAGCATGATGCTAGGCTTGTGTTTGGAAATAACATTATTTTCTAATGTGATCACTGTTTGTCCCTGTGAAACCCACGTCATTTTGCAACCCTGGGGGATACTTTTTGCTGTATTAAAACCAATGCATCCCTGGCTTCTCAGCCATGTGCCAGCAGCATGAGCTTAGGTGTGTTAAAGGTGAGGTGCTGTTCTTGAACTTCCAGCACAGTCAGCTCCCAGCTTCCCTCAGTGTGGTCTTTCCTCTGCTGTGACTGGTGGCCCTCTAACCTCATCCCCTGTGCCCTCGTCCCCTGTGTGGGGAGACACTGCTGGGGTGGGGGCTGGTACCTGGGGACAGCAGCCTTTTCCAAACCTTGATTTTACTCTTGAATTTCACACTTCCCTCTTAGAGCCAGAGGAGTGAGTTATTTCCTCTTAAAGATATTTGCCACATACAAGCTTAAAAAAAAAAAAGGAAAGAAAGAAAACAGTTTCTCTCCCAGTTCTAAATGTTTTAAAACCCTTGGGGTAGAACCAAAGCTGGGCCAAGGTACTGGAGGGCAAGGGCCCTGGAGCCAGGGAGGGCTGGTGTCCATGCACAGACAGTGGGGATGCCGCCGGGCTGGGCAGGCGTGGATCAGCATGGAATGCCTGGGCTCCTTAGAGTGGAGTCTGTTTGTTCTCCTAGGCTACCCTGGAGGGGTTAGATCCACCTTTCTGCAGCAGTGAGTCATTGTCTCCATCAGGGAAGAGTCATGGTCACCTGTGTGCCATGTGAATCATCATTGTGACATCCTCCTGGGTCCCATGCATCCATCAAGCTCAGCACATCCCAGGCTAGACCTGTCCTGTCCCTGTGCCAGGCTGTCTGCCCAGTCAGTGGCCCCAGGACCACGTGGCGCCTGTGCCATTGGGGAAGTCTCTGTAAAGAGTGGGCTCTCCTCTCCCTCACCTTAGAGCGATCAGGTCATTTCTGCCTCCCCCACAACTGCCACTGGGCAGTGGCCTCCAGCCCCCAGCAGCCCTCCCTCTGTGTCCACAGCTGCACGTCAGGCTGGTCACCTCTGTACCTCCCTGCACTCAGAGGAGTGGACATACTTGCCAGGGCCCACAGCCCCTGCCCACTCCCATTCTACCCACTGGCTGAGCAGGGGTCAGCCTTGCCTCACAGACGTTACTGGTGGTCCAGGGGCTCCCTGCAGCTGGGGGAAGCAGGATGTCCTGGGTGGAGGGTCTCCCATAGCCAGGGACAGGGCCAGGATGTGCTTGGTGGGCTCCCTGGAGATGGTGGCGCAGACCCAGAATTGTGGGGACAGAGGCACTCCTGCAGCTCGGGGGAGTGGGGGTGAGCCAGGATGTTCCGGGGGGCCCCCTGTATTTGCCCGTAGTGTGGAGCAGGGTGTACAGGGCAGGCCAGGGGCTCCTGCAGCTAAGTGGGTGGGACTTAGGCCAGGATGTTGTGTGTGGGCGGCAGTGGGAGGTGGGGGAGGGTCCCAGTATCTGTAGATAGTGCAGGGCAGGGTATACAGGGCAGGCCAGGGGGTTGGGCCAAGATGTTCTGGGGGGCCCCTGTATCTGCGGGTAGTGTGGGGCAGGGTGTACAGGGCAGGCTGGGGGTGGGACTTGGGCCAGGATGTTCTGGGCTGGCGGGGGAGGTGGGGGACCTTGTATTTGCGGGTAGTGTGGCGCAGGGTGTACAGGGCAGGCTGTGGGCTCCTGCAGCTTTTGAGGGTTTGGGCCAGGATGTGCTGGGGGGCTCCCTGTATCTGCAGCCAGTTCGGAGTAGGAAGGGCCGGGCAGGCTGGGGACTCTTGTAGCAGGATCCCCTGATGCAGGATGTGCTGGGGGGCTCCCTGTATCTGCGGCCAGTTCGGAGTAGGAAGGGCCGGCAGGCTGGGGACTCTTTCTTGTAGCAGGATCCCCTGATGCAGGATGTGCTGGGGGGCTCCCTGTATCTGCGGCCAGTTCGGAGTAGGAAGGGCCAGCAGGCTGGGGACTCTTTCTTGTAGCAGGATCCCCTGATGCAGGATGTGCTGGGGGTGGGGCTCCCACCACAGGGGGCTTGGGAGGTGCTCTCCACCAGGGCCCCACTGGCTTTCTGCAGATGTTTGTTAAACAAATGCAAGCAGCTAGAAATGCCACGGATCCTGAATTTCAGGATTCTTTTTACTCAGACCAGGCGGGAGGTCCGGGGAGATTGGCGTTTCCCTGGGCCACAGCTCCGGAGGGCCTGTCTCAGGGCCTGGGCTGAATGGGAAGCGTGCTGGTATGTGTGAAGGTCCTGTTTTGGCTGGAGGTGGAAGGTGGGGTCCTGGCGGAGCACGCAGGGGGACCTTTTTGTTGGAATGATCCCAGGAGCCTGCTTCTCCTGAGCCCCCCACGATGTATCACTGTCTGCAGCGCCTGCATGGTCCACAGCCCCTGAGGTCCTCGGACACCAACAGAGTGAAATGCTGCTGCAGACCTCGGCCTGGCGGCGTGCCTGGCGGCGTAGGGTGCATTCCCAACCTCGGAATTAAAATGTGCAGAATGTACACCTGGGGGTCAGGGTGTGGGGCGTTTGGTTCACTTGACCACCTGTGGGCCCCGTGTGGACTTTGAGTCCCCCAGTGCGGAGCAGACTCCCAGTGTCCTGGGACACAGCCTGGGGCTCAGGACTGACCTGTCGAAGGAACAGTACTGAAGAAACAGGCTGCCTTTCACCGCGAGCGTTTGGCATGGCTCTGCTCTGTGAAGCTGTGAGGCCCGTGCACCTGCGATGGCCCCTCGTGCTGCTGTGGCTGCAGTGCTGGCATGTGGACCCTGTTTGTTGTTTTTGGATATCGCTCACTGGGCAGATGAGGCTGGGGCCTCCCTGTGCCTGGCCTGTGCCGGGCCCCTTGTGCCCAGCATCTCCTGTGCTTCTCCTCCCCTCGGCCTCGAGGACAAAGCTGGTGCCTCCCAGGAGGGCCCTGGCATCTCCAGCCTCTCCCCAGCCGCTGGTGGTGGGGGTTCTGCTCTCGGGCTGCCCATCTGGCCCCGTTCTCATTGGAGCTTCTCCACGGCTCCTGGGACTCCCACCTCCAGGGCCCGTTTCTGCACGTGGGAGCTTTGCCTTGAAAGCTGCCTTCTGAGGAAATGTAATCGCAGGGTGTCCCGCCCCACGGGTGAGAGCCTGTGGAAATGGAGGAAATGTCATCACAGGGTGTTCCGCCCCACGGGTGAGAGCCTGTGGAAATGGAGGAAATGTAATCACAGGGTGTCCTGCCCCACGGGTGAGAATGTAATCGCAGGGTGTCCCGCCTCACCGGTGAGAGCCTGTGGAAATGGAGGAAATGTAATCACAGGGTGTCCCGCCCCACGGGTGAGAATGTAATCGCAGGGTGTCCCGCCCCACGGGTGAGAGCCTGTGGAAATGGAGGAAATGTAATCGCAGGGTGTCCCGCCCCACGGGTGAGAGCCTGTGGAAATGGAGGAAACATAATCGCAGGGTGTCCTGCCCCACGGGTGAGAGCCTGTGGAAATGGGTCAGGTGTAACCGAGTCCCCGCAGCCTCCAAATAGGAATCTGCAGCTAGTTTCTGCTTTTGAAGCTTAGCCTGTGCCCACAGTGGAACGTGTGCAGCCCAGAAGCTTACACTTCTGAGTTTCTGCTCCCTTCCCTCCTGTATTCTTCTTGCGAGCACCTGCCGTGAGCCAGGCCTTGCAGGAGCTGAGCCCTCGGGGTCACCAGGCAGCAATGGAAGGGCCTCCCAGCCTGCAGCCTGTATTGTGGAATCTCTCCTCTAGAGTGTGGGGCTGCAGGTTGGACATGGGGGACGTCATATGTAGGGACCAGAGGGACAGAACTCTGGCTGGGTGTCCCAAACCCTTCAGGGAAGGGGGATTTGTGCAGAGCTTTGCGGGTGAGGAGGCATGAGGACTGTCTGGGAGAGCATGTGGGCAGGACCCGGAGGCCAGCCTGGGGACCGGAGGAGCGGCTCCGGCACCTGCCTGCCATCGGTCATCTTGAAGCAGGAACTGGGGCATCGGCTGTGATGCTCACATAGCCACCCTGCCTGGGCCCTCCCTCCGTGGGGCTCTGCACTCTCTACTCCTGATTTCTCAGCTGAGCTTGCACCTCCACCCCACGCCCTTTTCCCGCAGGCCCACACCAGGATGCCGGCGCGTGCCATCTTTACACGGGCTGCACCTGTGCCGTCTGAGCCAGGTGGTGCTGCGGTTTCCGTCGGTCTCGTTCTGCCTGCACCTGGACACCATTTGTCCAGAGTGCACATTGCAGGTGCTCAGGAATTGTCTGCAGAATGAGTAAGCGTGTTTTCTTTCACACACCTTTTTACTGGTTACTTTCCAACAGCACCAATGTGTGAGCACCATGCCCTGTGCTGGCATCACGGGTGTGAGCCAGGGTGTCAGGGAACGCTTAGTCCAGACAGCAGAGCCCCCCGATGGGAGGAAGACTCCAGGTGAAGGCGTGGGCCATACATAGCTCAGGGGGCCCGAGGGAGTCAGCCCACAGGGCACAGCCTCATTCCAAAGGTCACAAGGTGTCCAGGAATCTGCATTTGTAGTACACAAGGTTGAAAGTCTGAGATGTGGCCCCCCGTGGGCACTTCAGCAAGCTGTGTCTTCTCCAGTGACTGCAGGGTGCTTGCCCCAGATGTTGGGGGTCTATGGCCCTTGATTCTACGGGAAGCATGGACACTGGGTGCTTCAGGGATAGTGAGAGGGAGGCTCTAGTGTGGGACTGCTCTTGGGCCGGGGCCTTGTGACCCTGTGAGCCTCCGTGGGATGATGATGCAGAGCTGACAGTGACTCCGAAGGCGGGTGTGGCCGGCCCAGCGGCTCCATATCTTCCTGATTGGACATGGGGCATGGAGGGCCTGCCTGTGTGGCACCACCCAGCACATAGCCCCACTGCGACTCACGGGGCCGCACGCCACACAGGAGCTCAGACTACTGTGCCTGCCAAGCCCTGTCCGGGTGGCCGTGGGGCTCACTTTACTGGCGAATGAGCAGGGCTCTAAGTGTGGTACGCCCTCTGCCACCTGCTGTGTCCTGGTGGTGATGTGGGGCTGCCCAGGTGGAGCCTCCTTGCCTGGCCTCAGCAGGACCCAGCCCACCCTCCAGACACCCGCTGAGACCGGGAAGTGATGCTCCTCCCAAGCCACAGAGCTTAGGGACAGCTGGGGCTGCAGCTCAACACAGCCATCCCCAGCCATGAGGCTGCCTCCTTGGGGTTGTTGGCTGAGTGGCAAGCAGGAGGGTGCCACCATCTGGGAGCAGAGGACGATGCACAGCTTTGCTGTGCAGATGCATGAGGCTGCTCGATGGACCTCCCTCCTGGAGGGGCTCGGTTCCTGGCCAACCAAGACTGGAGTGGCCTGATCCCACTCAGGGATTCCCTGGCTGTTCTCTGACCCTGTCTGCAGGAAGCAGCTCTGTGTTCAAGAGAGGAATTCAAGCAGTGTCCTGATGGCAGAGTGAGTGAGGCGTACAGGTGCATCCCCACGTAAGGTGAGCAAGGTGAGCAGATGACATCCCCACGTAGGGTGAGCGAGGTGAGCAGGTGCATCCCCAAGTAGGGTGAGCGAGGTGAGCAGGTGACGTCCCCACGTAGGGTGAGCGAGGTGAGCAGGTGCATCCCCAAGTAGGGTGAGCGAGGTGAGCAGGTGACGTCCCCACGTAGGGTGAGCGAGGTGAGCAGGTGCATCCCCATGTAGGGTGAGCGAGGTGAGCAGGTGATGTCCCCACGTAGGGTGAGCGAGGCGTGCAGGTGGTGTCCCCTGAGGGGTTGGGGCCACGTGGTCTCTGATGCCACGTCTGCTACAGAACCTAGGTAACTGGGACACACAAACAGCGCGCGCCGGGGAGGTCAACCCCGCAGAGCCAACCGTGAGCCCAGGTGCAAGAGAGGAGCTGTGCGGTCGCAGTCGGAGGTGCTGTGTGTGGAGATCCACAGAAAGGCCTGCGTGGGCATGAGCAAGTAACCGCAGTGACTCCCTGGTCTCTTCTTGCTGGGATATGGGGCTTCAGTGCCGTCTTAGGGGCCCAGGGTTTTCTCAGAGCCAGTGCCCCTCAGACGCTGGTGGGGACGCCCCGCAGGAGGAAGGTGTGCTCCCCCATGGCTGTTTCCAGAAAGCAGGACTAACCAGGGCCTGCAGAAGCCATGGGAGACAGCCTCCACCCACGCTGCGGAGAGCGGCCCCTGCTCCAGAGACACTGCACTCCTCCAGGCCCGCCTGCCCTCCAGCAGCGGCCCTTGCTCCAGAGACACCACATGCTCCTCCAGGCCTGCCTGCCCTCCAGGTCATGTTCCAGTGTCCCACAGATGCAGCACCACGGCCCAGGCGGCATTGGTGTCACCCCAGGGTGCTACCTGCATGCTACCATCCAGTCCCAGTGACGACACTGGTGCCAACGGTCCCAGGGCCGTCCCTGTATCCTGGAAGCTGGCTCACAGGGGAGCTGGTTGGGTGTTGATGGGGGTTCCCCAGTCACAGGGTGTCGTGGTTTAGACATGGCCAAGACCAGACTGGCTTTGATCCCATTCAACACCGTGCAGCATCCTCGTAAGACGCCCGTGGACTGGAGTGGGTTGAAAATGGTAAATGGAGTGGTCTAGGAGAATCACTGTGCTGTGGGACTGCGGGGCCGATTTGCAAATCCAAAGGGAATTACTGAACACACTGTCATCTCGCAGGCAAGAGCCTCGGGTAGGTGATGGTGCCGAGGGTTCTGGTGAGGACGGTGGAGTAGAGATGACAGCGGCGGGAGGCGGTACGGCTGGTTGAGGGTTTGCAAAGAAATAGTTCAGTTTTAGAAAAGCTATATTTAATTTTAGATTTGAGTGGGAGAGCGAAGAAGAAACAGCTTTATAGATAGCAGTAAGCACGGGCTGTGGGGGAGAGGGGTTCCTGCGGGGAGGCGCAGATCCTCCTGCAGTCACACGGGGTGGGGGTGAAAAGCTCCAGAGTGTGACCTCACTGAAATCTAAGGTCAGGGAGACAATGGATGTTCACAGGGGTGAGAAAAAGACAAAGAAACCCACCATAAATTTGGCACAAGATGTATATACATTTATATAAATGAGAAAATTACACAAACAGAAATGGGAATACCCAGTAAACATAAAATGTTCCTCCCAATGAAACCGTCCCCGTGATGTGGCCTGCGCTCCTGGCAGCCCATCCCTCCTCCTGCAGGCCTCACCTGGGATCTGTAGCGCCTGGGGTGCGGGCCGTGCCTCGGGCTCCAAAGGTAAGAGTGGTTGTGTGTGCAGAGAGAGCCCACGGCAATGGTTCACGGTGCCACTTTTTCACATTTCCTGTCTGCTTTTAGTATCGTTAACTATGAGAATTCATTGTGGGCGTGATCGCTGATTCCATATTTGAAGGCAGCGTTTGGTTTGGACCAGAAGTCATGTTATATGAATAAAGGTGTTTTGGTGATTGGGGAGACAGAAAAGGAGGGCGTTTCCTGCTGCTGCCTTGCTCGGTTTGTGTCTGTGGGTGCTGGACGGGAGTGGGTGATTCCCGAAGCTCCCTCCAGCTCTCAGATGCCGAGGGCGGGCTGGTGGTGTTTGCTGATGGAAGTGCCGGCTCCGTCCGATGGGATGCCTGAGAGAACTGCTGTGCTTTCAAAAGTTGTTCTTTCTCTAAAAGGAAAAAGCAAAAGAAAATTAGACCTTGGACAGCAGGCGCCTGTGTGTGCTGCCGCTCGCCCTCTCACCGTGGGAGGAGTGCACGTTCTCTCGTGGATTTGCAAGCGCACTGTCGCATATCCTGTGGAGTTGGGATAATTTTTTCCACATAATTAAAGCAGCAATGTTGGGATGCACCTTCAGGAGGGAGCATTCCTGTGAGCTGCCTCCACCGCGCTAACCGTAGAGCTTGGGGTGGCTGGCACTGAGCATCTGCCCCGGCCGCCTGTGCGGGATGACGCGGCCTCGCGGCCTTCGAGTCTCCGGGCGCCATCCTTTGGGCAGCCTCCCCTCCACCCCTGCCTCGTTGCAGGTGCATTGGAGCCCCTTCACTGGCTGGGGCACTGCAGTGTGACATCTCCAACAAGTGGGCTCGGAGGGGCCGCAGCATCCCTGCGCCTGGTGGGCCTCACCGCAGCACCCCTGTCGGGCACCGCGATGGCGTGAGTGCACACGAGAGGGACCACATGTTCTCTGGCAACCTCGTGTCTTTGAGTTCAGCACTGATTGTGAAACGCCGGGTGATGCTGGGGCCTGGGGCTGCTTACGGCCCTGGTGGCCTTGGCAGAGACGAGGGAGGGGTTTGCCAGCTGCCTGAAATCAGAGAGCCTGGGCCTGGGCATTGTGACCACCGGCGCCTTCACTCAGAGACTTCCAGAGAGTTCCAGGCCAACATTTGGATGGCCTTGTTTACATTTAAGCCAAGAGTCATCACTTTTATACTTTTTATCATGGGAAATTTCAAACATATGTCAAGTGTCTTTCTCAGCTCCGGCTTCCATAATAAAGTGCCTCAGATGGGGCTTAAACCACAGACATTGTTGTCTCACCATCCTGGAGGCTGGAGTCCGAGACCGAGGCGCAGCAGGGCTGGTTCCTCCTGAGGCCTCTCCTGGGCTTGCAGATGGTGCCTTCACCCTGTGTCCTCACAGGGCCGTCCCTCCCTGGGTGTCTGTGTCCTCATCTCCTCTTCTTATAAGGACACCAGGCAGGTTGGCTCAGGGCCCCCAGATGATCTCATTTTACCTTCGTCACCTCTCTAACAGCCCCTTCTCCAAATACAGTCACCCTCTGGAGTCCTGGGGGTCAGGACATCAACAGGAATTGGGGAAGGGGGCGCAAAATTCAACCTAGAACACCAAAGCAGTGATAATACAGTGGGCCTGGGACCTGTCCCCCAGCCCGGAGAATGACGGTGTGTGGCCAGGCCGGGGTCACGTGCACTCCCACTGTGCCCGCCCTGCTTGGCGCGGCTGCTGTCACAAAGGACCACAGACGAGGTGCCTCCCGAACAGCAGACACGGACTTCTCACCATTCTGGAGGCTGAAGTCCAAGATGCCGGCAGATTTGGTGTCTGCCAAGGACCCCCTCCGGGTCAATAGATGGCACCTTCTGTGTCCTCGCAAGGTGGAGGGGTGAACGAGCTCCCTCGGGCCTCTGGTGCGTGTGGATCAGGAGGGTCCTCCAGCTCCTCCTTGTTTGCTGCAATGGATTTGGGCTGTGTTTTGTGGAGTTTTGTGTTTTGTGGAGTTCTCTGCATTTTCTGATTGATTGCATCTCCTTGTTGTCATTGGGGCTTTCTGGAAGCTGGTGGTTGCATCTAGACCCAGAGAGGGTCAGTTCCCACTGGTCTGCTGTGCTGCTCCTGCACCAGGCTCGGCATTGGCTGTTGCTGGATCCCTGTCACGTGAGTGTGAGCTGGGTAGGCCTCGAGCCAGCCCTCAGGACATGAGCCTCTGCCAGCTTCCTTGATTTGGGCCGCGCCGTGCTCCTGGGACTGCAGGCGTGAGCGCTCGCGCCCGGCCCCTGCCAGCTTCCCTGATGTGGGCTGCGCCGTGCTGTCCCATCTTCATCTCTGCATTTCCCACCTGTGACCTGGAGCAAGCCCGGCTGAGGAGCCCTGGGCCTTCTGCTGGGAAGTGGTATTTAGCGGCCGCAGTCCGCACCAAAGCTCTCCCTGCATGTGGGCAGGTCACTGCCTGGACGCCTTGGTTTATCGTAGCCAACTTTCAAATAGTTGAAGTAACTCAGCCTCAGACTTCAGACAAAGTTCCTCATTAGGATTATGCTATAAACCCTCACTTATGGCTCACACAGGGTGACCATATTGCTTCCTCCAACTGGCATTTCTCAGGGTGATCAGGGTCCTGTGGTGACAGCCGGCCCACAGCCATCAGCAGCTTGTCTTGGGAGGGCCAGGTTGCAGGTCTCAGCGTCTGCAGGCGTCCACAGTGTCCTCCCCAGTTGGCTGCCGCGTGGAGGCCTGACCTATGGTGACCAGGAGCGTGGTCCGTGTTCTCCTCTCTGAGTCCCTCCCCCTCTCCGCATTCAGCCTCTGGCCACACTGCCTGGAGGCTGCTCCCGCTCCCCACATCTGCCCACCTTGTCCACGCAACAGCCCGCTTATCCCTGTCCACGACTTGCAGTGATGTCTTGGTTCCGCATGCTGCCCCTGCTGCCTCTGGTGAAGGTGCCAAGGGGGCTTCTGTGGAAGCCTCTGAGCCAGGGTGCTGGGCCTTGCTTGGGTGAGGAGAAAAGACACCTGCCCTCTCTGACAGGTGTCCCTGTGGCTGCAGGTCTGTAAACGCACGCTTGCTCTCAGTGGACACTGCAAAGCTGCCGTGGGGAGGAATGGCTGTGCCCGGTGCCTCCACTTTAGCGACCTGAGTCTCCAGCGACGCTGCCTGGGAGACCGCACTGCCAGCCCCCTTTCCTTAGAAGGCCATTGTTCTGGGAGTTTCTGGTCTAGCCAGGATTTTCTAAGAATTTCTTTGCCTACCCAGCACCTCCCTTGGCCACCCCTGCCAGTGCTGAGGGGCTTGGCTGCCGCAGCTGCCCCAGCCAGCTTCTCTCTCTGCAGCTCTGCCATACTGGCATCTCCTGGGGGGCTAGAGTCCATCCAGACCCATCTGCACCAGGGCGTGGGGGCATGAGGAATGGAGGGATCCCAATGGGTGTGCCTGAGGCTGGACGCAGGGGTGGGGCCTGTGGAGACAGGTGGGCAGAAGGTGCGGGGTCATAGAAGCTTCTGGAAGGAGTCACAGCAGTCACCCAAGTCCTGTTCTCCTTGGTGAGGGCTCCCGGCTCCTGTGGGCGGGCCGAGCCTGGCAGAGAAAGAGCGCACAGGCCCAGAGCTGGGTGAGGTGAAGGCAGATCGGTGGAGATGCCCGGGCTCTTCACCAGGAGCACTGCTCCTCCTCCTGCCTGGGGCTCCCAGAGGCCCCCTCTCCAAGCAGTTTTCACAGCACTGCAGAGCAGAGCCACACCCTCCCCATCTGCTGGAGGCCTGGGGAGCTCCTCCCTGGCCATGTTCCCTCTCCACCCTCCCCTCATCAGCCCTGTTTGCCGAGGATCAGCGATTGCAACTGTGGCCCACAGGCCCCTCTCCTTGCTGCTGCTAAGCTCAGAAGTGTGGGCCGCATTCCCTGATGCACCACGAGCAGGCACAAGGGTGCATGGGCTGAGGGTCACATGGTCACGCAGTCTTCTGGGACACCAACAGGAGCAGGTGCACTGACTGGTGGGGAGCGTCACGTGGTCAGGCATTCTTTCCCATAGAGGAAGGAGCTGGTGCAGAGGGTCGCTTGTTCACACAGTCCTCCCCGTGCACGAAGCAGCAGGTGCATGGATGCATGGACGTGTGAGGTGAGGGTCAGGTGGTCATGCAGTCTAACCCATGCACGAAGGAGTAGGTGCAGGAATGTGTAAGTCGAGGCTCAGGTGGTCGCCCAGTCTTCCCTATGTGCGCAGGAGCAGGCGTGGGGGTGCGCGAGCCGAGGGTCACGTGGTCTCACAGTGCATCCCCCCACTGGCTGGCCCAGCGAACCCCATGTGCTAAGGAACCAGCAGCCTGACTACCCTACCCGGCATGCAGGCGGGGCCTCCCCACCCAGGGCTCATTCATGCCCCGTGTTGTTTGGGGATGGGGCGCTGCTCCCCCAGCCCCGGAGCTGTTCCCAGTGGGTGGTCCCATATGGAATGGCCTGGCAGTCGGTGCTGTTTCAGGAACACCATGGGTTACTGTGATTTTATTCCGCACTCTGTGGTGGAAGCAGTGTTGCAGTCGGTGCTGTTTCAGGAACACCGTGGGTTACTGTGATTTTATTCCGCACTCTGTGGTGGAAGCAGTGTTGCAGTCGGTGCTGTTTCAGGAACAGCGTGGGTTACTGTGATTTTATTCCGCACTCTGGTGGAAGCAGTTGTAGTCGGTGCTGTTTCAGGAACACCGTGGGTTACTGTGATTTTATTCCGCACTCTGGTGGAAGCAGTGTTGCAGTCGGTGCTGTTTCAGGAACAGCGTGGGTTACTGTGATTTTATTCCACACCCTGTGGTGGAAGCAGTGTTGCAGTCGGTGCTGTTTCAGGAACAGCGTGGGTTACTGTGATTTTATTCCACACCCTGTGGTGGAAGCAGTGTTGCAGTCGGTGCTGTTTCAGGAACAGCGTGGGTTACTGTGATTTTATTCCACACTCTGGTGGAAGCAGTGTTGTAGCAGAGTTGGCTGCAGCACCAGAGGTGGACTGAAGCAGGCTGTGGGCAGAGGCTGCCGTGGCCCCAGGGTCAGACCGGGGAACTTCCTGAGACTTTCTCTTAGTGCTGGTTATCACACTTCATGGCGTCTGCCCAGGGAGGCAACAAGTTCTAAGAACAATTTATGGGAAGAAGAAACTTACCCAGTAACTTATTGTCGGCTTTTTTTTTTTTTTTTTTGGGACGGAGATTCGCTCTTGTTGCCCAGGCTAGAGCGCAATGGCGCGATCTCAGCTCCCCACAACCTCTGACTCCCGGGTCCAAGTGATTCTCCTGCCTCAGCCTCCAGAGTAGCTGTGATTACAGGCATGCGCCACCACGCCCGGCTACTTTTGTATTTTTAGTAGAGATGGGTTCTCCATGTTGGTCAGGCTGGTCTCGAACTCCCGACCGCAGGCGATCCTCCCACCTTGGCCTCCCAAAGTGCTGGGATTACAGATGTGAGCCACCACGCCCTGCCTAGCTGTCGGCTTTAACAGCAGAGCCAGGCTTGTGCACTGCAGAGTGGCCTCTTCCCAGCCAGTGGCCCTGGAGCCCCGGGACCAGGTGGGCTGAAGGCCGAGGCTACGGTCTCCTCCGCTGCGCTCTCCTCCACTGCAACAAAATATGAAACAGTAACAGTAGATGGGAATGGATGAAATATTTAAAACTAAATTTTACAAATAAAGGAAAAGGCTGCCCCTTAGACTTGTGGGATTAAATCAAGGTGGTCCTTAGGGGGAGCTGTGTTCTAAATGTGACTATCAGGAAATAAGGTATTTCTGAAAATAACAAAGTGGGCTTTTCCCTCAAAAAGTTGAAAAGAATATTTGACTAAATTCAAAGCAGAAGAAAGAGGAACTAATAAGAGCCAAAATTAATATGATTAGGTCACAACAGAGAGAATGAACAAATCTGAGATGGTTCTGTAAGAAGACTGATAAAATAGAAAAATATCTGGCAACGTAGGTTTAGAAGTTTTGGCAGACACAGATAACATTAGAAATGAAACCAGAGAGCAGGCTTGGTGTGAACCCAAGGAGAGTGTGGCGGGCAACTTCACTGTTATCTTAAAGGCAGCTGGGAGGAGACCTTGGTAGCGGGAGGGAAAAATATGCCAAAAGCTTCCAGGAAGAGACTTCCCCATTGACAAAAACAGTGAAGTCAACCCAAAAAAAAAGGGACTCTATAAACAGTAGGGTTGGAAACAGTGAAGCAACGGTCAGGAGCTGCCGGCAGGCATGGGTGCACGCTGGTTTCGTAGGG
Organism: Homo sapiens; assembly: GCF_000001405.40. Classification (NCBI taxonomy): domain Eukaryota; kingdom Metazoa; phylum Chordata; class Mammalia; order Primates; family Hominidae; genus Homo; species Homo sapiens. The sequence continues at coordinate 1,503,649 of NC_000005.10, read as the reverse complement.
CGACTGCACGAGGAAGCCGCTGGGAGGAAGTGACAGGAGCGGACAGGCGCGTCTTACTTAACAGCTGGTGACAGTGGCCAACAGACCTAGCAATTCCTTTTAAAAAACAATCCTAACAGGGAGCTGCACAGCGCTGAAGCTAGCTTTCAGTATTAGAGAGACCGTGGCCGTAAGGCATCATGTTAGTGGCTTCAAGTGGGGTGCAGCACGTGGCTCTCCCCACAGATGCAGGAAGCACCTCTGATAAAGCTCAGCACCCGTTCATGATTTAAAGCAAAACAAAACTCGTGGAGGATGAGGCCTGGGAAGGTTTCTCAGCAGTAAAGAACGTTTGCTGAATGCCAGTAACACGATGTGGAACAGTGACGATCGTCACCAATGGCGGGATAACAGATTTGTGGTTGCTTGGTGCAGCGAGTGTGATGCTGAAGCGGGGACCCAGCTGGGGTGAGGAGCAGCCCCCAGAAGCGGGGAAGGGGAGGCAAATTAGAGGTCGTCATCTCTCGCAAACCAAACATCATCTAGATCTGCGTACCCAACAGGCTGACCTGACCACTGGGCACTGACAGGGTGGAGACACAGGTGGCATAAAGCTGTGAGAGTGAAATGCACACTGCACAATCCAAGACAGCGGGAGAAAATGCAAACTAGCCAGTAGCAACTTCTACGTTGAGTACGTGTCGAAATGGTATTTCAGATATACCGGGCGAAATGAGCTGTATATTAAATTGTCATTCCCTTTAAATGTGGCCACTCGAAAATTTAAAATGACACATGTGGCAGGCATGTTTCTCTTGGGCTATGCTGGTCTCCGTTGAGAACTCAAAAGAATCTAGGGACAAACCAAGGAAACAGAGTGGGAGCGCTCTCATGACAGGCATCAGAAATTAGGGATGGCTGCTGCTTGGGGAGCCAACTGCGATCTGTGTCTCCTGGGTCTTTTCTGTCTCTGCACTAAACCTGCACCTCAGGACTGGTGTTTCCCCTCACCCAAAGCCTCCCGCCCCTCTACACGGAGTCCTGCCCGCCTCCCGGAGGGACCTCCATCCTCAGACCCTGGGCTGCCTGGGATCCCGCAGCCTCGGCCTTCCCTGGCGTGGGGGCCTGCCCTGGCTTGGGGGGCCTTCCTGAGCCCCCATATTGACCTGCGCCCCTGCCCTCCCGCCAGTTCACTCTCCTGCGCCGGGTCTTCCATTGACTGGAAAGTCACACCTTCATTCTGCCGTCTTCTCTGTGGTCTGAGGTCCAACCTTGCAAACTGCAGGCCAGCTACCTCCCCCTGTCACCAACACTGCCTAGGGTGGCGTATGCTTTCTCATGTCCACATAAACGATTTCAGGGGAAACTGCTGAGTGAGGCCTGCGGGGCTGGGGGTGTGTCCTGGGGGGCGGAGCTGCCTGGGGGTGCGTCCTGCGGGGTGGAGCTGCCTGGGGTTGTGTGCTGTGCGTCAGAGTGGCCCTTGAATTTGCAGGAGGAAGCTCCACTGTGTCTTTCCCAAGCCACTCGCATGGCAGCTCCAGTAAGGAGGCAGGAAGCGGGCAGTGGGTGTGGAGCATGTCAGTTAGCACTGGCCAGTGTCCACAGCCATGGTGAGGGCTGGTCGGCATCAGCACCGGTCAGCCTTGGTCAGTGCCGGTCAATGTTGGTCAGCCTTGGTCAGTGCCAGTCAGTGTTGGTCAGCCTTGGTCAGTGCCGGTCAGCCTTGGTCAGTGTCGGTCAGTGTTGGTCAGCCTTGGTCAGCACCGGTCAGCCTTGGTCAGTGCCGGTCAATGTTGGTCAGCCTTGGTCAGTGCCGGTCAGCCTTGGTCAGTGCTGGTCAGTGTTGGTTAGCCTTGGTCAGCGCCGGTCAGCACTGGTCAGCCTCGGTCAGCCTTGGTCAGCCTCGGTCAGTGCTGGTCAGCCTTGGTCAGCTGTGTGCCAGCTGCAGCCCCTCCCCAGCTCTCCACTCTGTGGGGCGCGCTGTCCCCCTGGGCTAGCCTCTGCCGGGTGGGGAGCTGCCTGGTGTCCTACATGGATTCTCTGGATAATGCCCCCCTCTGTCTGCAGGTGGCCCTCATGACACTGACGCTCTTCCCGGTCCGGCTCCTGGTTGCCGCTGCCATGATGCTGCTGGCCTGGCCCCTCGCACTTGTCGCATCCCTGGGCTCTGCGGAGAAGGAACCCGAGCAGCCCCCGGCCCTGTGGAGGAAGTAAGTTGCGCGTGTGCCGTGCTCTCCTCCTGGGGGGGGGTCACGCGGCCAAACAGTGGGAACCCATTCTCACAGTGGGGTTGTGTGTCTCCACCCTAGCCCATCTGTCCTTCCCTTCTGAGCCCAGCGTCCACCAGGGCTGCCCCCTGCCAGTGGGGACTCGGCCACCTCCCCGTTGCCTCTGTCTTCCACGCCTCCGCCACAGTCCTGCTCTGAGGCTTCATTTTCCAGGGGTCTGCAGGATGTGTGGCCATTGTTTCACACCCTTGAGCACAGAGACCCCCCTACACCGTAGCCTTCTCTGCTCCAGAACCTGCTGGGGCTCCCTGTTGCTGACGAAAGTCAGGCTTCTGGACACCCTCTCCTGGCTTTGTGACTGCCAGCCCCCTTACCCCTCCCACCTCAGACCCTCAGCTCTGGCCCTGCCCATGGTGGCCTCCCCCAGACCCTCAGGCTGTGAGTGGACGGCCTCTTGGGCTGCAGTGACAGGGCACCACAGTGACACAGGCCTCCTGCCTAGGGAGGTCCCTGCCTCAGTGGCCCCCATGCAGAGGCAGCTGGACCTGGTGCGGGTGCCGTGGGCCCGGGAGGGGCCATCTTCCAGGTGTGAGAGCAGCAGCAATGAGGGGAACGGCTGCTCGGGGGGCAGGTGGCCACCATGGCATCTCCTGCCAACCTGGTCTTATTAAAATTGGGCTAAGTGGGAACAGGTTGCCGCATCATAAAGGCCCAGTGACTTGACATCAAAATCCCCATTTCTGGCCAGTCTTGGAAAAGCAGAAGCTCCGGCCAGTGGGCCTGCTCCCCAGGGCCAGCAACTGGCTGGAGCCAGGCCCAGCCCTGCCTTCGGACAGGAGGCTCGGGTCCTTCCCCGCCCTCCGAGACTGCATGTCAGCCAACGTTGGCCTGGCCTGCTGCCTGCTGGCACCACCCCTCCAGGGCCGTCTTTCCCTTGCTTTGTGGACCTAAACTCTTCCTGGCTTTTAAGCACGGAATATAAATAAAGCACACCTACCCGATGAGGAATACATCTAAACTAAAGATCCAAAACAGACCACAAAAAATTAAACTAAATCACAATATTTTCTTGTTTCATTTAAATTCCTAAAGCTGTGCTTTCACTGAAAGTATCTGCCATTAGCAAATGAAAATGTTGAGATATCATAAATACTTTGATAAATATTTTCAGTATCTTAAAAGTTACCACGCGTGTCCTATAACCACAGCTCTGACAACCCTTCCATGTGTTGTTAACATCTCTCATCATTCTGGAGGGGCTCCCTGAATCTTTTATTCAGAAACAGGAATATTAGTAGTTAATTGGAGGCTGCTGCCTGACTATAAGTAAAGTTTTACTGGAGCACGGGCACGCCCGCTGGCCTGCGTGATGTTCAGGGCTGCATTGGTGGGGAACCGGGCCAAGTGGTTGGGACAGAGGCCGTGTGGCTGTAGAGCCTAAAGCATTCACTGCCTGGCCTCCGAAAGGTGTAATGGGCACGCCCAGGCCCCTCCTTTCTCTGGAAGGTGTCTGATCTGTGGGCTGTATGTACAGCAAAGTTTTCACGGCCAAGAGGCTGATGGGAGCTGACATCTGCCTGAGCTTCGGTTCTCCTTGATACCCAGGGCCACACTCAGACATGCAGTTAGGTGCAGGGGGAAGACGGCCACTTAGGGTCCCGGGTTTGCCGCACCGTTGCGTGCAGACATGGTGCAGTCATAGGAGAGGGCAGCCTGGGCGTTGGGGGTCCCTCACTCTGGGCCCTGCTGAGTGGGTGGACGTTGAGCAGCTTGCTGGGTAGTGGTGACCTGGGGCAGCCTGGGTTCTTTAGGGGCAACAGGATCATCACGGGCTTTAGTTCTTCATTTAGCCTTTCTAGATTTTTAAAATTCTCTTATGCTTTATCTTGGTTTGTTTTTGAAACGTTTTAACCATAAAATAGGAATTGGGTATCAAATATATAACCAAGCAAAGTAAATCAAGGCCAAATCAAAGTCAGGCTTTCAGTTTTGCTGAGTTGAGAAGCCACAGCTAGAAAGTGGGGGTTCTGTAGTGTGAAGCAGGCTGCAGGTGACCTGGCTGAATGTGGTGCTGTGGGCAGCAATGGCTTCGTGGTGCTTTCCTGGCACCCTTTCTCTTTACTCCCCATGTCCTTGTTGGGCCGAGCTCCCCGCCTCCTCTGTTCTGTCTCAGGAGGCAGGAGCCCCGTGCGAGCACAGGCTCTCACTTTTCAAAATAGATGGCTTGGGGCAATTTTCCGTTTCCCCATGCTAACCCTGGTGGCTTTTCTTGTCTGTGAATAATTGACTTGGCTTCAACAGGCGATAAATGGACCACAACGGACTCTTATTCTAGCAGCTGTACTTCAGAGACGCTTTCATATGTACATCTCATGCACGTGTGAAGTGTCCCGTGACAGTGACACGTTGGGGTTTCTGTCACCTCTGCTTCATGAGATCTTTGGGCATCTGGGTCTGTGGAGACTCACTGTGTATCATTCTGTGTATGTGTGCAGAGAGGGTGTGTATGTGTGTACATATGCGCATGTGAGTGTGCATACATATGTATGTGCATGCACGGGAGTAGGTACACGTGCATAGGCATGTGGTTGCATTACTGTGTGTATGTGAGCCACCAGTGCAAGTATGTATATGAGTGTGTACATGTGTATATGTGTGTGCTGTGTACCTGTGTGTGTTGCATGTGTGTACATGTGAGTGCATGTATATATGTGTGGATGGATGTCTGTATCGTGTGCACATACATGTACGTGTATGACAGTATGTACATGTGTATGAGTGTTGTGTCTCTGTGTACATGTATGTGTGTATATGTGCAAGTGTACGTGTGTACAGGTGTCCACATATGTATGATGTATGTACATATGTGTATGAGAGTATATGTGTGTACATATGTATGAGTGTGTGTGTGCATGTGAGTATATATGAGAGCGATGTCTGTGTATGTGTGTGAATGTGTGCATGTGTGGGAGTATGCACGGATGCTTGTGGGCACTCAAGCTGCCCGTGCTGCCTGGCATTGAATCCCACCCCTGGAGCCCCTGGCGTCTCCTTCAGCAGCACTGATGAAAGCTCCCTTGGTGCACAGTCCTGGGCTTGGCTTGGTGCTTGAAGGGAAACAGAAGAGAGAACAAACCCTGAATTCTGAACTCCCCAAGGGGAAACCTAGTCACAAAAGCACCGTAGTTAGGGACGTAAGGGATCAGGAGGAAACTGAATTTGAAGTAGCAGATTCAGAGTGTACCGCTGAATAATAATTACGTAGTCGGTTTGGGACTTAAGTTGGCTCACGTTATGCACTGCTCTGCAGTTTTGAATAGATTGATGTTGAGTTAAAGCATTTTTGCTGAATGTAAGTTAGTGTCATTCAAACCTTCCTAAAATAAAAATCTTAGGCTTTCAGTGAAAGAATGACACAGTTTCGCAAAAGGCACTATTTTAGGTTACTTTCAACACACACAGTGTTGTAAAAACCGTAGCATCGTTTTGCAAAACCCGACCATCTGGCGCTGAATCCTTGACCACGGGCCAAGTCCTGAGCTGGGCCAGGTCCTCCAGGGGCTGCCCCTTGGCTGACCGGATGGTTCAGATGGATGGTGCCCTTTCCTGAATGCTCTGTGTGGGAACACCTGTTCCCAAGTTTGGGGATGCCATCCCCATGATGACTCTAGGTACTCCCCGTATGTTGGCCTGGAGGTTGGAGCTTGAACTTGAGCATCAAACCACTTTATCTGGTCTCCCAGAAGCCAGCAGCTCCTGCCACCTGCGTCTCAGCCTGGGGCTGCCCCTCCACACCTGCCAGCCCAACACAGCCCTCCCACCAGCCACCCAGGGGCCGTCCCTGACCCAGCTAAGCCAGTCCACGTGGATCACCAGACTTGCCTCCTTGAAGCCCCGCCAGACGTGGCCCCAGGGCCCCTTCCTTTGCCCTACCCCACCGGCCTGGCACCGTAGCCAGCACTCAGGCTGTGTACATGTGTATAGGTCCTCTCCAGGGCCGGCTCCACTCTGCCTCTTGCCTCTGCTCACAGCAGAACATTTGGAACCTGCAGAGCCGGGGCCTGCGCCTGCCCCTCACGCTTAGACGTGTGGGCTTCCCCCACCCACCTCCACATGCCAGCTGGCTTGAGGAGATGCAGGCCTCAGCGGCCTTCCTCCTTTTCCCCCTGCATGTTCTGGGAGATTTCCTCCTCCTCATTTCCCAGTCTTTCCTGTGAGTTGCTTGTCTCCACAGTGACAGTCTTGGTTTCTGAGAGTGTTTTCTTGTTCTTTGATGCTCCTCAGCGCCCTGTTCTTCCAGACTCTCTTGGCGAGCGTGGTGGATGTTTTGCACCCCTCTTCTGATGCCCACCCTTTCTGTCTCCTTGGGGTCAGTCCTCTGCTTCTCTGCCATGCAGCTGCTCTGCTCACACGTCTCAGGATTCTTGGGTGTCGTCCGTGTGAGGGCGGTAGGACGGAGTGGATTTCCTGGGGGTGCTGATGGAGATCCCCGCTCCTGTGTATGCAGATAGATCTGTCTCCTGATTCACATTCCCCTGGGAATGGGCTGCCCAGGCACCTGAGCACCCTGGGCTTGTGCTGGCTCCCTTTGCCTTGGGGTGAGTGGGTGCTGGGTCCCCAACCCCACAGCAAGCGGAGCTTTTCTCTGAGGCTGTCATCCACACCAGCAGTCCGGGTTTTCACATGTGGATAGTTTGGGTATAAAATTCCTCCAAGATCTTTAGAGAAGAGCTGAGGCTGCTTTTTCCCTGCCCCGACACCCAGTACAGTTCCCCTGAGCACCGTCTGTCCCTGCAATTCGATTTCGGGGCTGGCAGGTGTGTTCCTCTAAGGGCCGCCCGGGTTTTAATCCCTTTTTTCCTGCTGTCCTCTCTCCTGCCCCTGAACCTGCCCGAGACTGGCTCCTGTGCCCGCCGCAGCCTCCTCTGCAGCCTCGCTTCTCCCTCCGCCGCTGCCTTGTTTCTTCCATCTTAGGCATCAATTGCTGTCTTTTGGCTTTTGTTTTTGTACTTTTTTTTTTTTTTTGTGGAAAATAACATGTGCACAGAAGAGTACATCTTTATTTTTTAGTTTAGTTTTCTTGAGATGGAGTCTCACTCTGTTGCCCAGGCTGGAGTGCAGTGGCGCAATCTCGGCTCACTGCAACCTCCGCCCCTTGGGTTCAAGCAGTTCTCCTGCCTCAGCCTCCTGAGTGGCTGGGATTACAGACGCCTGCCACCATGCCCAGCTAATTTTTGTATTTTTAGTAGAGACAGGGTTTCACCATGTTGGCCAGGCTGGTCTTGAGCTCCTGACCTCAAGTGATCCACCTGCCTTGGCCTCCCAAAGTGCTGTGATTACAGGCGTGAGCCACCATGCCTGGCCAGAAAAGTACATTTTTAAATATGCAGCTGAACAGGTGGTGAAGAAGTGCACACCTGTGTAATCCCCCCTCCTCTAGACAAGCAGCACCCTGGGTTGGTCCCCAGCATCTCCATGTGTAACTACACCATTGTTTATCATCGCATACACAAAGGCCATTCCAAGGTGGCCCCACGAGAGGAGGCTTTGTGCCCTCCTAGCAACCGCCTTGGCTCAGATCCATGGGGACCCCTGTCCTGGAAGTCTTCTGGGAGGATCATCTGTCCCAGGGCAATGTGAATCCAGTAAGGCTTCAGGCTCTTGTTTCTCTGTGCAGTAGTTTTACCCAGTGTGATGCGCCCACTTAACCCAGTGGCCGAGTGAGCCGTGGCTTCTCATGAGGCTGAATCATGTTCTCTGTGTGCCTGACCTGTGGCTTCTCACACACCGTGGCTGTCTGCTGCGTGTCAATTCCCTGAGGTGTGGAATAACAGCCTAATCTGTAGCCTCATATGAAAGAGAATACACACATTTAAAAGGCTAAATTTGTACCTATTTTAAAAAGAGATAAAGAGTACACAAATTCAGTTAACCTAGGCTGATTTTTACTTTATTTTCCAAATTTATTGGCCATCTAATTTCCTCCAGAAACAGCTCACTGTAATAACACAACGCCTGGTTGTGGGAACCCCGGGCTTCCTGTGGAGATGAGATGGGGAAGTTCGCACGCAGGTCTCAGCTTCCGCCCTCAGCTCTGAGCGCCCCCCCCCCCATATTGCGATATGCGTTTTAGGTGTTTTAATGTTTTTCCCATTTCAAAATGATAGGATGCTGATAAATAAGTTGCTAACATGAAGGTCCGGAGGTCTTCTGGCCTGGGACTTGTGCTGTCTGTGTTCCGGAGTCTCATGTTGTCTTAGCACTGCCTGCCGCGTGGCCCGTGACCACCACACAGGGCCCCGCGGCCTCCTTCGTAGGTGAGAGCGCAGCCAGCGAGGACACAGGCGGAGGCCAGGAAGGCGCGGCGTCTTTTCTTCCCTCAAGCAGATGTCCCAGCGGCGGCGACCACAGGAAGCCCGTGGCCTGGACTGCGCCCTGGAGGGCTCTCCCGTGGGACCGCCCCTGTGCCTCACACAGACTCCGAGACTGCGGACGTGTGCCCGCGTGACGCAGCGCCCTCTTTTGCAGGGTTGTGGACTTCCTGCTGAAGGCCATCATGCGCACCATGTGGTTCGCCGGCGGCTTCCACCGGGTGGCCGTGAAGGGGCGGCAGGCGCTGCCCACCGAGGCGGCCATCCTCACGCTCGCGCCTCACTCGTCCTACTTCGACGCCATCCCTGTGACCATGACGATGTCCTCCATCGTGATGAAGGCAGAGAGCAGAGACATCCCGATCTGGGGAAGTGAGTGAGACACCCCTGCTGGGAGTGAGGGACCCTGCCCTGCTGGGAGTGAGAGATCCCCCTGCTGCTGAGAATAAGAGATTCCCCTCCTGCTGGGAGTGAGGGTCCCCCCTCTGTTGGGAATGAGTGAGACCCCCTCTGTTGCTGGCAATGAGGGACTCCCTGCTGGTTTTTAGGGACCCCCCCTTCTGGGAATGAGAGATCCCTCCCTGCTAGGAATGAGGGACCCCCACTTGCTGGAAATGAGTGAGACCCTCCCTACCGGGAGTGAGGGACCCCCCCCCCACCACGCTGCTGGGAGTGATCGAGCCCCCACCGCCGGGCACATTGGCCTTGTGCCCCATTTTCTGTGTTGGGGTTTCCTGTGTAATTTTCGTTGTTGTAATTGTTATTTTTATTGCTACCTGAGTGCCCTCACTATCATAACAGGCTACAGTGCTTGCTCCAGGTCTGCTTGGCAAGGGTGGCTCACCTTTATCAGATGGCAGTTCTGGAAGTCTTTGGGAGCAGGTCGGCAGGGCTGCCCATGCACCGCGGCTGTGCCGTGAACCAGGGACCTGAGCACCTGGTGCTGCCATGACCCCTCCCCAAAGCCGGGGGCTCACTCCAGCAGAGATTCACCCTCTCGTCATCTGGGGACCAGATGTTCAAAATCAAGGCGTCTCTGGGCCGAAGGCCCTGTGCGGCCCCTTCCTGCCTCTTCCTCCTCTGGGGGCTGCGTCCCTCTGACTCTGCCTCAGTGGTCGACTGGCCTGGCTCCCTCCAAGTGTCTCCTCTATGAGTCTCTTATAAGGACCAGTCATTGGGTGATCCAGGATGCTCTCATCTTGAGATCCTTAACGAGTTACCTCTGTAAAAACCTTTTTCCAAATAAGGCCTCATTCACAGGTTCCAGGGTCAGCATGTGGACCCATCTTTGGGGGCCGCATCCCATGGACCCACTGCTCTGGGAGGACTGTAGGGAGCCCTGCGTGGCCCCTCACCCACCTGTGCGCAGCCCTGACCCACCAGAGCTCTGTCCTCGGTGCTCTTCAGGGCATCTGGGCCCGTTCTGTCCTCGTGCTTCCTTCACAGCCGCCATCAGCACAGCACAGCACGTTCTGGGGCACAGCGGGTCCTGGGTTGGCAGTGGGCGGTGCTGAGGGAAGGAGCTGCTGGGACGAGGGGCGTCGCCTATGGCCGGGGCCCTCACCTGGCCACTCCTGCCGGCTCTGTTTCCATGCAGCACCTAACGTTAGCATTCATATGACAGTTTTCTAGAAAATATCTGGGGGGACACATTCAGTATGGACTGGGTGGGGACACATTCTGTGGTGCTGACCACTGAGGGTGGTGGCCACAGCTGGGATAGGAAGGCTGGAAGTGGGGTGAGGAACCCTGGCATGGCCCATGGGGGATTGGGCCTGCAGCAGCCGGAAGGTGTCCAGACTGTGCCTGCAGCTGGGCAGTTGTGGGTGGCCTGAGTCTGCCTGGGTCAGGCTTGGAAATCGGGGATGGTCCTTGGTGGGACTGGAGGGCTCACTGCACTCGGCTGGCTGGGGAAGCCTGGAGGAGGCTGGACAGGCCGGCACTGGAGGCGAGACTGGACTGCAGGCACCATCCGAGTGATGGCCTTGGCTCTCACACGCAGGTTTCCCCGCTCTGCAAGCTCCACAGGCTCATGGGGCAGCCCCAGCTCCACTCAGCACCCTTTGCATCCTGTGGTTCTGGCATACCCAGGAAACCACATTTGCCCCCCCACTGTGGCAAAGGCCCATGGTCGTTCGTCATCTGCTCAGGGAGGGGGATTGTGGAGCTGTGTGCCCAGGCACCCTCGCAGCTGCAGGGGTCCTTGGACAGGGGGGCTGGCCCACCCAGAGTGAATCTGAGCGTTGGCCGGGCTCTCCCTGTGCCCTTGGTGCCTCCCTGTGGAGATCACCAACACGAAGGAGTGTTTGGTGCGGTGATGCTGGACGTTGTAGTCCTATCTTTCTAGAGGCCCGGGATTCCACCTCTTCCAGATCAACCCAGGTGACCCAGCACTGACCTTCATCTCGGCGCAGCAGGAAGAATGGCCACAGCCATGCTGCTGTGTGCAGGGCCCTCGTGGAGCCCTGCGTGTTTCTTGTCATTTCAGAGATAATCCACGGACCTGCGAGGGAGAGGATAGTGACAAGCTTATCAGAAATTTTCGTTAGAATTCAGACTTAGCAGGAACCACATTTTGCTCCCTGCTGTCCTGGCCTGAAAGGGCCATTGTCCTGGGGCGTGGCTGATGACTCCTCTACTGCGCACCTGGAGCACCCTCTGATTCGGGAGCTCAGAACCATCTCCCCAGGCTCCAGCTCAAAACCATCTCCCCAGGTCCCAGCTCAGAGACGTCTCCCCAGGCCCCAGCTCAGAGACGTCTCCCCAGGCCCCAGCTCAGAGACATCTCCCCAGGCCCCAGCTCAGAGACATCTCCCCAGGCTCCAGCTCAGAGACATCTCCCCTTGTCCCAGCTCAGAGATAATCTTCCCCCATCCCAGCTCAGAGACATCTCCCAGGTTTCCAGCTCAGAGACATCTCCCGTGGTCCCAGCTCAGAGATAATCTCCCCTGGTCCCAGCTCAGAGACATCTCCCTGGTTTCCAGCTCAGAGACATCTCCCATGGTCCCAGCTCAGAGACATCTCCCTGGTTTCCAGCTCAGAGACATCTCCCCTGGTCCCAGCTCAGAGACGTCTCCCAGGTTTCCAGCTCAGAGACATCTCCCCGGTCCCAGCTTGTGGTGACTTCTGGTTCCTTTCGTGGACCCTTTGACAGCTCACAACTTTGTTGAAGAGATGAATGTTGAAAATGTTCAAAATATTTTCATTTTTAGATGTATGAATACCAATGAAAGTGATCAACCAGGTAGATTTTTTCCTTTTCACATTCTTAGTTTCCTTTCAGTGACCTTCATATCCGCACCATCCATTTACAAACCTTGTCAAGGAAAGTTTGAGCCTCAAATGCCCAAAAGACGGCAGAACGCTGTCACCTTCTTGCTGGCAAAATGCGCCAGTCCCAGTGTGGCTGTGCACACGGCGTGGTGACACCCTTCCCTCCTCAGGGCTCCCGGGGAGGAGCTGCATCTCCTTGCTGTCCTCACTGCCCAGTTCTCAGCGTGAAAGGCACACCGGGCAACCCACATGAAGACGCACGGCCCAAGACTTCACTCAGAGTCCTCCCCCTGCACCCCCCACATTTACCCCCGGACCCATCTGAGTGTGAAACGCCCCCACGTCACTGTTCTGTTCTTTGCCGTTATAGACAACTTCTGAAATCTCTACTCTGTTCACAAAACAAACCAGCTGACAGGATTGCGAAGGTGGCAGGGTGGCATCTCCAGACCCCGTGTGCCCCGGGACGACCATGGGACGCTTTGGCCAAAACAGTGGGCACCGAAAGACCACGCAATCAGGGCCATTTCTTTGACGCGTGCGCCATCCTGCGAGACGACTCCGCCATTCTTCCCTTCCGATATCGTCCTTTTTAGCAGAGTTGGGAATAACCAATGAGCAAGGATGAAATAGTACTGGAATCGTGAAAAAGCAAAATGATTCAAGACATAGGAAAGACCACAGAGACCCAACAGACAACCACAGGATAGAAGGAATTTTCTTTTTTTGGCTTCAATTTTCTCGTTCTTGGAGGAGAGAACCTCCAAGAAAGAATAAAAGTCATGAAATGCTACTCCTTACAAGTAATAAAAACGCTAAGAAAAGAAACTGGAAACTGAACTGGGGTGGGGAGGTGGGGCTGACCTGCAGCAGCCTAGGAGCCCGTGGTGGGGTCAGAGACACCTTCAGTTGGCCTGGGGGGCGCCGAGTGTGGATCCTGCTCACCGTCCTCAAAAAGGAAGCTCCACTCAGGGATAGTTTCATTTTAAAGTCTTCAGAGTTTTCTCTTCTAAGAAGTATGTTTCCACGTTCAATCCTCTTGCATAAAGACAGGTGCCGTGGCCACGTTGCCTTGGCTGAGCACCAGCCTTCATGGCGGGGTGTCCCTTGTACCCCAACCCCGCAACTTCCAGGAGGCTGTGGGGTGCCATGGTTAAACTGGGGCTGTGCTACAAAGCACCACAAAGCTGGTGGCTTAGAACAACAGGAGCATATTCTCCCGCCGTCTAAAAGCAGAAGTGCCAGAACAAAGTGCTGGCCGCATTGGGCTCTTCTGAAAGCTCCCTCGGCCCTCCCGGCTCGTGGTGGGGGCTGTGGCCACATCCTCCTATGGCCTCCTTCATCATTGGCCTTCTCTCCCCCTCTTCGTCTCCTCTTCCCATAGGGACCCTCATCTGGGATTTTAGCTTGAGCATCTGCTTTGTCTCCTCTTCCCATAGGGACCCTCATCCGGGACCTTGAGCATCTGCTACCACCTGTTTCGAAATGAGGTCCCATTCCCGGTACCAGGAGTGAGGACTTCAGCTTGTCTTTTAGGGGATGCAGTTCAACCCACAGGGGGAAGGCGGGGTCCAATCTAGGGACCTGGCACCTTCAACCCTGTCCTCTGTGAAGACTGGGTCTAAAGACTTTCTGCTTCCTGGCGGTTGTCTTTCATTGACCTCCGTTCTGTGCTCCGTGTCCTCAGTGGGTGCCATGGACTTGCTGTTTGTTACTTGTGGCACTGAGGCTACAGGGCTTCCTGCTGTCACAGACATGGGAAGCCCGGGTGCTGTTCCCGTTCCCTCAGTCAGGGACTCACAGCCCACCCATGGCACAGCCCCTGGGGCATCTGGAGTCTCCCGCCCCACTGGGCGCCATGCAGCAGCCCCCTCGTTCCTCAGCCCTGCCTGGCGGGAGCCGTGCATTCCACGTGATCCGTCTCCCCTCCTCTCTTCCAGCTCTGATCCAGTATATACGGCCTGTGTTCGTGTCCCGGTCAGACCAGGATTCTCGCAGGAAAACAGTAGAAGAAATCAAGAGACGGGCGCAGTCCAACGGAAAGTGGCCACAGGTAATGCACGTAGCCCTGATTGTGTTTCAGTGGTTTTATTCCGAAAGATGCGAACTTCGCGAGTGGGGAGAAAGAAACTGGGGCCCTTCCTCCGGGGCTGGATTCTGATTCTCTTCTCCTAGTGAGTGCGTGAACTCAGGAGGGTGCTGTCAGGTGCATTTGGTTTCGGTGCCCGAAATTTAAAGTTAAAGTAAAGAAAAACAATTCTCAAATGCATCTCAGCTTCCTGAATCATCTTTTCTGAACTAAGTTCTGACTCAGATAGAGCATTGCTCACCCGCCCTCCTGGTGCAGTGTGATTTTGGAGTTGATGTGTCAGCCTGCTGTGTGTTGGGTGGTTCTAAAAGTCCTGGAGTAAACTTCCTGGTCTGTATGCTGGTTCCCAGGCATTCAGAAGCCCTGAACCCAGCTGTAGGGGCAGCCTGGCTGACATTAGCTTGGACGCTGTTTTTCTTCTTTCCAGCTGAGCCATCATTAGAAGCTGGAAATTTTACAGAACTGTCTGGGATCTGATTGCTCACGAAGCTTTGCAGGGTCTGGCTGGGGGCAGCCCCTTAGAGGGCTGTGACTTCCAGGGTGCCCCAGCTCTGCCCCCACAAGCACAGGCAGTCTCCTCCCCCACCCATTTGGCCTGCCTGGCCCTGGGCTTGCCAGGGTGAGCCCACGCCGGCCCCCCTGAGGTCTGTCTTCCTCACGGGGCCCAGAACTGAAAGCAGCCTGCGGGGCTGGGAGTTTGAGGGCAGTTTTTGCTACTGCAGGCCAGTGTGAGTCAGAGGAATTGAAACCCCGGTGTGGAGGGTGCTGCCTGACTGGGGCTCGGCTCTCCTGCTCATCCAGCCCGTTGCTGGGGTCCCAGCCCTCCTTCGGCTCCATCAGCCAGGCACTGCCATTTGTGGGTCTTTGCTCTCCTCCCCACCTTCTTCCTGATGAGAATGAGTGCTGCCCCCAGGAGGTGCTTATGTTGTGCCAACCGTGGGTTATATTTAGTTGCACCTGGTTCTCACAGTGTCTGAGAGGTGGGCACCGCGACTACCCTGCTTTCCAGGAGCTGTAGTTGAAGAAGACAGATGCTGTTTATGTGTTGATACTGCTGCCACACTTTAATAAAACCAGCAGAGCGGAAATCAGTGTGTGCTTCCATAATGCATTTTAATAATTTACGTACTGAATATGATCCCAGTGTCCAAATTATGTCAGCAGAAAAGAAAATATATTGTGAAGATTGGCTTCTGTAAGTTCTGAATTATAATTATGTACAGTTTAATGCTGATCCTTTTCTTTCTCCCACTTCCAGATAATGATTTTTCCAGAAGGAACTTGTACAA
Source organism: Homo sapiens (assembly GCF_000001405.40). Taxonomy (NCBI): domain Eukaryota; kingdom Metazoa; phylum Chordata; class Mammalia; order Primates; family Hominidae; genus Homo; species Homo sapiens. The sequence continues at coordinate 1,488,420 of NC_000005.10, read as the reverse complement.
ACAGGACCTGCCTAATTACCTTCAAACCTGGTATGTAGTTTTCTTAAATGTTTATTTTTCTCCTAGAGAAAAGGAAAATATTAAAGAGATGTTTTTTAATAATGTGCTGTGCACATAAGAACAGTTTCTGTTTTTATCCTGTGTGCTGGGGTTCTTAGAGGTATTCCTAAGAAAAGTCACAAAATAAATTTGAGAATGTGAGTCAAGGATTATCATGTTTGCAGGAAGATGGAGAAGTTACGGTTTCAGGGCGTTTCCAGTGAGGTGGAGATAGATGTTTGCCTCTGTTTTGAGGTCCAGGCTGGAGGGTCCTGGGTGCAGAAGGGGTCTCACTGCCTTTGAATGGCTCAGGGTACCCTTCTTGGCCTGCAGCTCACGCCCCACACCCGCCTGGGAATCCCAGGTGCAAATCCCTGCGAGCCATCCTCAGATGCCCAGGTCCCCAGGTCCCCAGTTAGACAGTGTTCTTTCTCCCTGGGGAGGGGGGACTCAAATGCGTGTGAACTTGGGTCTCTCCCGCGGCGGTTACCTGGGTCTAGTATTGTGTCTGCACCCCTGACGTGGGAAGTGTGGCAGTGAGCAGGCAGCAGAGTCCACTGTTCTTTTTGCGCTGAGTCTGTTTGGAATTCTGCACACCCTTGGGCGTGTCAGAGGGTCCACCTGGATCCTGTCGTCTCCCTTGGGCTACTTTAGAAAGTAGTGGCTTTCATCAACTGTGTCCATACTGGGGCATGCAGACCTGTTCTCTGTGGTTGGATCAGAGTCACGTGGAAAAGCCAGTTCCTCGCTCACACTGGCACCGGCTGCCGTGCCTCTGGGGCCGCACAACCTGAGTGTCTGGACATTTATGGGAGCTGGGTCGAGAAAGTGTGCAGTCACTCACCTACGTGTGCCGCCGGGGTTTCCGAGCCTGTGGCCATCCTCCTCCAGCTCAGATGCGCGTGCTTTCACCCTCCACCCTCCTTGGTGCAGCAGGCAGATGGCAGGTTTTGCTTCCAGAGGCTTCAAGGTGCAGCTCACTGGAAGGTACTGGGTCTTCCCGTTCCATTGTCTTCACCACGCGTGGTTCTGAGTCATTCTGATCAGAACCAGAGATGCAGAGGGTGGAGGCGGCACGCGGTGACCACGAATCCGTGTGCCCCCACCACACTGGGTCCGTGCCTGGGCGTGGCCTGTGGGCAACCTTGGTGAAGGCCAAAAGTGGGCCGTGTTTCCAAGGCCCCAGGCAGAAGACAGCTGGCAAGTACGTCAGGTCTTGTTCCTTGACAAGGTGTGGGGCTGGGGTCACTGCTGGGCCCTGTCTTCAAGGGCAGGTGTTCCTCGGGAGTGGAGCCTCGTGCCTGCAGGGAGGCCCCTGGGGAGGGCCATCGCCTTGCCCTTTGGAGCTGGCGGCCCTTGTGTAGACGTGAGGAGGGCGTGTGAGCACCTCTCAACGCATATCACGAAACTGAGGGGACTCATGGCGGTGCCCAGTAGGAGCTCACTGTGTGCAGTCCAGGAAGGGCGCTCGCTGTGCCCCAGGTGGGTTCCACGGGGTCTGGGGAGATGACACGGTGGCTTGATCCTTTCCCCGTCTCCATTTCCAGTGGGTCCAGCCATGAGTTCTGCGTGTCACCTGCAGGCCCGGGTTTCCGGCTGCCTCGAGTCACGTGTTCGGAATCTCTCAGGCCCTCATGCGTCTTAGCTGGGTACTTCTTAGTGAGGTTTGGAGCCTCCTGTTTGGAGGTGAAATTGGTGTGTGGTGCGTGATCCTGACGCCTCGTGGTGGAGCCCTCCAGAGCCGTGAGCGTCTCCCGCCTTGAGCCTGACAACAGAGGCACCCACAACCTGCCTGCTGCCTTGGGCTCCAGCTGCCCCAGCTCCATGGCGGCCCACCCACTCAGACCCTCCCTCCACCTTTCATCACATCGCCTGATGTTGGGGTCACGTTGCTGGGGTCACCCGTTTGGGCACCACTGCTGACTCCCCGCCTTCATCCCCGGAGACCTTCCCGCATTGGGCCCAGCCTCCAGCCTCAGGCTCCTGGAGCCTCCAGCAGGGTCCTCCTGGGCCCAGGTGCCTTCTTTCTCCTGAGTGTCTCTTGTCTGTGCTGCACTGTCCACCTGAGTCCCCCTGTTCTGACCCAGGCCAGGGGTGCCGCCTCTGAGGTGGGGGTGATAGAGCTCAGCAGAGCCCTGTGGGGTCTGCTGGATGTGGTGGGTTCCAGCAGGGCTGGGACCCTCAGGGCTCTGCAGGGATTGAGTTGCTCCTGAAACAGGCCCATGTGGGGCCTTCCTCTCCAGTGCCCACACTCACCCTCCTTGTCAGAGGGCACTAGAGCAGGATCGGCTGACTGGGTACCTGGAGACCCCTCCTGGAAGGTCCTGGGCCCACGCCCTCCACATGCCCACACCCCACCTGCCTGCCAGCTCCAAGCTCTCAGAGCAGAACGAAGACAGTGAGAAGGCCCTAGGATGCTGCGTGGGCCCAGCGATGGCACTGACAGCCCGAGGATGCAGAGGCGGGCCTACCAAATGTGGCTGTTGGAAGTGGACGCAGCTCTCACTGGGCCACAGTGGCCTCCCTGCACGGGCTGTGAACAGACATGGATGTGGCTGTCCCTGGCCTCCCTGCACGGGCTGTGAGCAGACATGGATGTGGCTCTCCCCGGCCTCCCTGCACGGGCTGTGAGCAAACATGGATGTGGCTGTCCCTGGGCCGCAGCGGCCTCCCTGCACAGGCTGTGAGCAGATGTGGACACGGCTCTCCCTGGGCCATGGTGGACTGTTTCTTCCTGTGGGGTGGGCTGTGGGGGATGGTCAGGGTGAATAAGGGGTGATGGCCTTCTGGGGGCCTCAGGGGTCCCTGTTGAGCCATCTTCCAGCCTCATTGTTGCAACTAGTGACGTTAGACCCATGCCCAGCACAAGCTATGTGTGAATATGGAGGTTTCTGTGCAGTTTAGAAGCCCGTACCTCCTCCCCTCTGCCTTGTTCCTGCATTCAGAAGCCCTGGGCTCTGACTGCCTCATCTTGGTTTCTCCCAGCCTGGCCCTTGTGCAGCCTGCCTTGGGTGCACAGTGCTGGCGGGGTCTGGGTGCTGCTGACCCTCAGGGGCCCCTGGGAGACTAGGGAGGCCAGAGACCCCTGCAGACTTTCCCACCGGGGTTTCCATGAAGTCACTGACCTTTCAGGCTCATGGGGGGTTTCTGTGCTCTTGGGGACTTTCCTGAGAGGTCCCCAGGGTGTTGAGGTTTCCTTTGATTCTTACTGAGTTTCAGTGATGTCCCCTTGACACATGGTCGGGATGGTCGGCTGAGCTGTAGCAGCAGAGCCATTATCACCCACAGCAGGTCTCGGCACTCCACGCGAGCTCCTGGGCTCGGTCCCAGGCAATGAGGACTATTTCCTCCACACTGCGTGTCTCAGGGGCTGGGACTCGGCTGCCGGGCGTTGGAGCTGGGGCTTGAGCCTGGGTCTGTGCCAGCCCTGCCGTCCTCCGCCTCCCCTGACACAGCCACCCGTCCACCTGGGCACACAGAAGTGCTGGGTGAACTGCATGAGCTTGCTCCCAGGTGCTGCTGAGCCCACAGCAGGAAGGGGGCAACCCAGCCCTGGACACAGGGGAAGCTGCGGCACACGGGCCCAGGGACTTGGGGTGCCAGCTGGACACCAAGGCTGCAGGTGGATGTCCTGCATGAGACGAAAGCTGAGTGGGTTGGGCGGTCAGCTCGAGGTTTCAGCCCTGACACGGGCCTCTGGCCTCAGGCCACCGTGAAGGGAGAATTGGCCCTAGGGACAGATGCTCCTGGCAGCCCTAGGGGCAAGCATGGGCTCCATTCTCCCAGAATTGTGCAGAATCCCGCAGCCAGGACCAACCGCAAATTCCTGACCACATAGTGGCACTCGCTGGCAGCCTGGGAGGAACGCGCTGCCTGGGGATTCACTCGCCTGGCCTCAGGTCGCCAGGCAGGGGAGCCCTTCTCAGACCGCCTGTCCTGTTCTAAAACTTGAGTACTTCTGATGCCTGAGTTTTCCAGTTAAAAAAAAACTCTTTCAATAGAGATTTAAATAGAATTTAAAATAGAAACAATCATCCACAGAGTCCATGGTGCCTTGCTCCAGCCCGCAAGGGCACAACTCCGGCCAGTGAGAAGGCGGAGCGGCTGCTGGGTACAGCCACAATTCCAGTGGGAACGGGGAAGTTCCTGAGCCTCTGCGGCCTGTGGCTCTAGCTGGGCCTCGCTGGGGCTCCTCCTGATTCCTTGGGAGCCCATCAGGTGGCAGCCACTCAGAGAGAGAGGCAGATCCCGGGCAAGTCCTGCTGCAGCTGTGACCAAATCCGCCCGTCCTTGGAGCTGAGCCCCAGGGGCAGGTGAGGGCGGCGGGTGGGGCCCCGAGGCAGGTGTATGTGCTTGGTGAGGGCAGACCCTAACCCCGTCAGGTGGGTGAGCATTGGCCGGTGATGAGGACCCCCACTTCCCACCAACGCCTTCCAGCTGGTGCGCGATGTTACAGCAGAAAGTGTCCCTCCACGGATGTCTTCCAGCTCGTGCGCAATGTTATAATAGCAAGTGTCCCTCCACAGACGCCTTCCAGCTGGTGCGCGATGTTACAGCAGAAAGTGTCCCTCCACGGATGTCTTCCAGCTCGTGCGCAATGTTATAATAGCAAGTGTCCCTCCACAGACGCCTTCCAGCTCGTGCGCGATGTTAAAACAGAAAGTGTTCCTTGGCCGGGGAGCGCCCCTGGCCGATGTTCCTGCCCATCCGTGCTGTGGCGCTGGGTGTTTACGGTCAGGACAGATGTTGAGATAGTCCAGGCATGGAGTGCCCTTGCTGACCAGGAAGGCCTAGACAGAAAAGCTCACTTTTATCCCAAGGGCAGCATGAGAAACGCAGCAGACGCTGTCCTGCGTGGGCTGCCATGGGCAACACCGCTGTTCCTTTCTCGGCAGGTGCATTCATCCCTGGAGCGCCCGTCCAGCCTGTGGTTTTACGATATCCAAATAAACTGGTGAGTTGTGTTTTTTTGGGGTCAGCTTCCAGGGGAATTCTCCGGGAAACGGGAACTGCGAGCTGCCTCTGTGCACCTGTGTCTCTGTCTCTCCACACCCTTTATCTGCGCCACAGCCCACACTTGGCCATGCTGAGTCCATCCGGCCTCAGCGCTGGAGAGGGCAGGACAGGCCCGGGCCCTGGGCTCGGCACGTTCCTGAGTGCGGCCTGTTCTATGCACGTGTCCCTGATCAACCCCATGATTCCACAGTGGTCCCCAGTGTTCCAGAGCCCTGCTTCCATAGCTCCTGACAAAGCTGCCCTTTCCTCTGTGTGCCAAACCTGACATTTTGGAGAGGGAACCCCTCCACCCCACATCACCGGCCAGGGCCCCCAGCAGCTTTCAGTACCCAGTTCATGCTCCAGGAAGTTTAAAAATTAAGAACATTTAAGTTCTGGAAGGCGGAGGCAGCTGGAGAGAAAGGAGGTGACTTTGTCATTTCTGTGGTTTTATCATTTAGTGCCCAGGTTTTGTTTGGTTTAAGAGAATTAAGAAGGTGTTTGGGGTCCAGAGCTCCTGGGGCGAAGGTGGTAGACCCCACCTTTGGGAGAAAGTCTGGACGAGGCCTCAGAGCAGTTCCCCATGGGGCCTTGCCACCTCTGGAGGAGGCTTAGCCTGCCCTGGCTCTGCCCCAGCCCACCACACCACACCCCACCCCACCCCACCCCAGCCTGCCCTGGCCCATCACACCCCACCCCCCTGCCCCACCCTACTCCCCCCATCCCAGCCCACCCCGGCTCTGCCCCACCCCAGCCCACCCCAGCCTGCCCTGGCTCTGCCCCACCCTACCCCACCCCACCCTGCCCTGGCTCTGCCCCACCCTACCCCACCCCACCCTGCCCTGGCTCTGCCCCACCCCACCCCACCCCAGCCCACCCCACCCCACCCCAGCCTGCCCTGGCTCTGCCCCGCCCCACCCCACCCTGACCCAGGCCCTGCTCCATCCCTGCCCCTGGCCGCAGCCCCACCCCCTGGCCCCGCCCCTGCCCATGTCCTGCCTCAGTTTCCACACCTGTAAGGTGGCTGCTGCACCTTCCTCCAGGTGCTCTTGGATGCTCAGAATACTTCCGGTTCCATCGGCCCTCCCCACTTAGGCGACCTTGCCTCACAGGCCTGCCGCCGAGCTCAGGGCATTCATTTGGTGCCAGCTGTGTTCCCCCTTCCACAGCAATGACTCCCGCACGTCCTTGCCCCTTCATGGGCTCCTGGAGCATAAAGACGGCCCAGGTGGACTCAAGGTCCCCACAGCCCACTGGTGCTGGGCTCACTGCAGGTTCCTGGTGGAGCACCCACCTGGGAGAGCACCGAGGAGGGCCTGCCCATCACAGCGAGCTTCCCGTCTATAGCAGTTCCTTTTTGTGATGGCAAAGGAAAGCACTGAAAGAAAACCCCCGTGGGTCAGGACATAGTGGGGCAGAAATACAGGTGACCTCTGGGTGCCAGGGTTCTGGGCCATCCGCCTCAGGGCCTGTCCCGTCCGATGCCTGCCGGGCTTCACTTTGCCCGGAGAGCTGACGGTCAGGTAATAAAATGGAGTCAGGGCCGGTAGTCACACGACTGAAAGACCTCTTCCTTCTTACTGAGGCGTGCGTTTGTCAGCCAGGCTCCTGGCCAAGGGCCCCTTCCTGCCTCCGCTGCGGAAACCATGCCCCAGTGCAACTCCTGTGGGCAAAAAAGTCAACCCGAGGACAACAGACTCCGATCTGTGCAGTCATCTAGATTTTCCACTTTTAAGATTGTTTCATCAGTGTGTTTAAAGCAACACACTATTACTGGATGCACCAAGAAGCACTAGCTTAGCCGTCAGGGGAGCAGAAGGTCCACCCCAGGGTGACGGTGTCTGGGCCTCTGCCGTCACGGCCCCTGCTGTGTGGTCCCTGCCCGGCGGCACTGAGGCTGAAGATGGGACTTCAGAGCACCCGGGGTGGGGGGGCCCTGCACATGCACCGTGGTTGGGGGAACACTCAGAGCAGTTGGAGAGAGCGGTGGGCAGGAGAGGGCCGGGGTCCCGGGTGCACACTGGAATTGGTGTCCCCAGGTCTGTGAGGAAAGCGGAGAGCATGGAGGGAGGGAGGACCCTTTTCCCAGGTTCTAGGGGCTCTGGGAACCTATAAGAGGGGGCTCTGAGTCCTCAGGGACTCTGGGGATCTTGGGGGAACTCTGGGGACCTGTAAGGTGGTGGTTCTCTGGGTCCTTAGAGGCTCTGGGGACCTCAGGCTGGGGGGCTGGTCCGAGTCCTGGATCCTCAGGGACTCTGGGAAGCTGGAGCTCTAGCACCCTCCTCCCTTCCCCCTGGCTGCAGCGCCTCTGTGGGGTGGGAGGTGCAGGGAGAGGCCGGCACACGCAGGTGCTTGGTGCAGGCCCTGGGTGCAGGCCCCATGCTGACTGACCCTGCCTCTTCCTCCCCAGGACACCATCACATGGACGTGGCAAGGACCTGGAGCGTAAGTTGAACGCCGTGTCGTCCTCTTTGTCCTGTTGTTCCATGAACACGTAGGGGCTGCTTGGGGTCTGCTGTGCACGCTAGTTACTTTTGCAGTTGTGAAAGCAGGTGTGGGACAGCCGTTAGGTTCAGCCCATTGTGAAAACTAAACGTACAGATGTGGCCCAGGCCTGACACTCCTGGATTCTGGGGTCTTAAGTTGCACGTCTTCAGTACCAGCAGGAAGGGAACTGTGAGTCTTGCATTCGGCTCTCGAGTTTGCCAGCTCAGTAATTACGATCGTCCACCTGGTGGCCCCTGGTAAGGAAAGTGGAGATTTAGGGGTGTCTGGGGGGACCCCGTCTGCACAGGCACAGAGACTGAGTAGTGCTGGGTGGGAGGCCAGCCCCTGCTGTGAGTCAGTGTCCCTGTCCCCCCAGCAGAGACACCGAAGGTCAGTTATGCAACAATGAACAACCCCACGGAAACGGGAACGAGCCCCAGAGGAGAAGCCCGGGGCCACAGGCTGGTCAGGGCCTCCTGGGTGCTGACGTCTGAGCTGACGTCGGGAGGGCAGAGGGAGCGGGAAAGTCCAAGAGAGAGCAGCTCCATTCCAGGCGTTTGGGAGGATGTGGGTCCGCTGGTGCTTTCAGGTGAAGGTGTTGAGGTCAGCGCTTCCCAGGCTGGCGTGTGGAGGCTCCCAGCTGGGAGCAGAGCTGGGAGGGGGCTCTGGGGGGTATAGGGGTTCTGGGGTCCCGGGGGCCTAGGGCTGGGGCTGGCATGACAGGGCAGAAAGAGGGTTGGGGCACTGGGCTGTCGGAGGCGTGAGTGTGGCCCTGGGAGCAGCTCCAAATGTCTCCCATGTCAACTCCTGCGGCAAAGGCATGGTGATCCTGGTTCTGAGGTTGGGAACTCTGGATCCAGGCTGGAGGGGTGGCATGACTCAGGGCCTGTGCTGCCTGGGGACAGCGAGGAGGGACAGGTGTGGAGGGACAGGTGTGGGCTGTACGAGGTCTCCTGAGCTGGAGAACAAGCAGGAGATGGTGTCTTGCTAGACGAACCAAGGACATAAGCAGGTGTTGAATCGGAAAAGCAGCATTTCCACCCACGGCTGTACGTCACACTGGGGCTCGGGCTGGGTGGGCACGGCACCCCCTCCGTGGGAGCGTTGACTGCCCAGTAGCGCCCTCTGGAGGGCGCGTCTGGAGGTTTCACCCCAGAATTGGGAGTAATTTACTTGTTAACCCGAGTTGTAAATCTGCTCAACATTGTGCAATCTGTTTTTAAGGCTGGAAATCCTGTGGCTCACGCTGTGTCAGTTTCACAACCAAGTGGAAATCGAGGTTCGTATGGATACAGAGTTACACAGCGCTCTTCACAGTGGTTGATGCAGACACGAGCTTACACCAGGATGCCCAGATAAGCCTTGTACAATGTGGCATATCACCTGTCTTGCTTTCCCATCTTTCCGTTTCTCAGGGCTCCTTCGAGGAGCCTCTGGTTGCTTTACCTCAATGACTTTATGTCTCTCTTATGAGTCTGAACCACTTGGATAAGATTTGGGTTTTTGTTTTTTGTTTTTCTGAGACAGCATTTTGTCTTGCTCTGTTGCCCAGGCTGGAGTGTAGCGATGGGCTCACTGCAGCCTCGACCTCCTGGGCCCAAGTGATCTCCCTGCCTCAGCCTCCCACGTAATTGGACCACAGGCACACGCCATGCCTAGCTAATTTTTGTAGAGATGGGTCTCACTTTGTTGCCTAGGCTGGTCTCAAACTCCTGGGCTCAAGCAGTCCTCCCGCCTTGGCCTCCTAAAGTGCGGGGATCACAGGCGTGAACTACCACACCCAGCTGGAAAGGATTTTTTAAACCTACCATTCATTATTATGGGTATTGTAGCTTAAGGACATATGAAGCTGGCCCACATGCAAATAATTATTTGTTTGGCTCTTAGTTTTACTTTACATATTTAATACCGCTGAGTTTGTCATAGCACCATGCTCTGTTTAATACATAGTCAAAGATCCCCCTTCTCAGCCTGACCCAGGTCTCCAGAGTCAAGACCTTGGGCTAAATAGTCACCTCTGTGTAGCCTGCACAATTTTTTCTAAGTCGATGAGGAGTAGTTCTTTTTTTGTTTAAAAGGGGAATTAATATGCACTTCTTGCATCTGGAAATAAAAGATGAGTCACATGCAACTTAAATATTTAATAAAACAATTTGCTGCCTTCCAGTAAATATTGGAGAGCACTACGAAATATACTGATAAGCCCGGCTTTCAGCCCGGCTGTTCACTTCCATAGAGGATAAGCTGCTCTCATTACAGAGGACTGGGCTGAAGGGCCTTGGCCCGGGCCTGAGGGCGGCAGTTCCCCCACCCAGCAGGATTATGTGGCTGGATGGGCAGTGGCCGGGAGGGTGCAGGCCAGGCCTCGAGCACAGAACACAGGGACTGAGCTTGAGCTCCTGAGGGCTCCCTGGTGTTGAATGGCTGTGTTACAGGCCTGGTTTCTAATTTTAAGAGTTGAAAAGAAAGTGAATGGCTGTGCAAAACTGCTCTGTCCTTACTGACGTTGTTCATACAAGATGCAAATGTTGATGCAAGGAACCATGGCAGTTTACGGAAGTTTTAGAAATAACAGCGAGAATTGGGGTTTCAGGATGTTCCTGTATTCTGAAATATTCCGTATTAGAGAAAAGGACATCCAGGGTAGTCTTGTGCCCTTTCCTGCACGGTGTGCAATGTGGGTCATATTCATTTAAAATGCTGTGTAAGTGTCACTCAGGCAAGGACAAATTCACTGGACAATTTCTTTTAGTTTCAAAATGCAAGAGGTGGCAAAACGCTGCCAATAATCTGTTCCAAATGTAGGAATAACGTGCTGCATTATCCCCATTACAAAACTGATGCTGTCAGAAATGGGCGTAAGCCCCTCTGTGAGATCAGGGAGCTGGATGTTCTGATGTAGGCAGCAGGAGCTCCTAGGAGCACTGACGGGGGTGAGTGTAGATCAGAGAGCCAGATGTTCTGATGTAGGCAGCAGGCGCTCCCAGGAGCACTGACGGGGGTGAGTGTAGATCAGAGAGCCAGATGTTCTGATGTAGGCAGCAGGCGCTCCCAGGAGCACTGACGGGGGTGAGTGTAGATCAGAGAGCCAGATGTTCTGATGTAGGCAGCAGGCGCTCCCAGGAGCACTGACGGGGGTGAGTGTAGATCAGAGAGCCAGATGTTCTGATGTAGGCAGCAGGTGCTCCCAGGGAGCACCAATGAGGGTGAGTGTTCAGGTGCACACGTGTGCAGTTCATGCATCATGGGGGTGTGTGTGTGCGTACACACACGTGCACATGACAACTTTGAAGACGGTTCTAATGGGCGTTACTTTGACAGATCTTAATTTTGTCAGCCTCCCAGTTGTCGTTACAGTGGTGTTGCTGAGGTCAGCGTCTTGTGATACTAACGCAGCTTCTCTGTGTGCTCAGTTCCTTCCTGTGTACAGCCCTTCTGAGGAGGAGAAGAGGAACCCCGCGCTGTATGCCAGCAACGTGCGGCGAGTCATGGCCGAGTAAGTGAGCAGCTCCTTCCCCCATCGCCGAGTCAGGGGTGTCTCCCAGAGTGCTGCTCTCTGTATATTTAAAATAGGCAACAGCGTTAGGAAAAGGCATTCTTGCAGAAGTGCGGGAACCAGCTTCATGCATGTTGGTGAAGCGTGCTTGGCCTTGTGCTGTGCGCCCCTTGTTTCCCTCTGATGGCATTTCACCCTCTTTGACGTTGGGAAGATGCATGACTGGTTCTTCCAGACCTGCCTGCAGCCGTTGGTCACCCCAGGTCCTATGTTTCCTGTGCCCTAAATGAGCCAGCGGGGCGCTGGCCTGGGCCAACTTCACATCTGTGCGGCGGCCTCCACGCCTACCTTTGCTCATCTGCCTGTGTGATACTTACCGGTGCCCTTACTCTATCTGGCAGAGTGGAGTGGTGGTTGCACATTTAATCTTGTAAGGTGACTTGTGCTGCTTACACAGTTGTCGTGCATGCAGTTAGGAAGAGGGAATGTCCTCGCTTCCCATGGTCCCAGGTCCCCTGCTTGCATGGCCGGCAGTGCTGTCGGCTCACACGCCCTCCCCCTCTCCCTCCCTCGGTGTCGTCAGCTCACACGCCCTCCCCATCTCCCTCCCTCAGCACCTTCCATCCCTCAGGTCCCATTCCCCCCACACTTGTCCTTGCAACCAGGTCCTCCCACCTGGATTTACCCCCACGTGAATGCCTCCCTAGTGCTTCCTCCTGCAAAGCTCTGTCCAGTGGAGCTAGAGCCTCCCCTCCACCGGGCGGCTGCCAGACCTGAGCTGCAGGAGCCACTTGGAAGCCACATCAGCCTCGGTCCACCGGCCCCACCCCCAGGCTCCTGCTGCAGCAGGTCGGGGCATGGCTGGGAACTCGCCTCTCCAGAGAGCCCAGAGGGGAACACAGCCACGGCCGGGCCCATCAGAGTGTGCCTGGCTCTGACCTCCGAGCCACTTTGTTCACACTCCGCTGACACCCTGAAGATTCAGCTGGGCGGCCCGTTCCCTCACGTTCCCATCCTCTCCCTCCCAAAGCATGTGTCCGAGGGTAGAAATGGGCCCGGCAGTCTCTGTCCCGCAAAGCTCCACTCAACCCCCACCACAGGCAGCTCTGAACAATACAAAAAGCTGAGTAGGCGCCGAGCCAGGGGAATGCATTCCCACCTCCAAGCCCAGCACCTGTGCTCCGGACTGCTGCCAATACTGGCTACTTTTGGGGACTTAGGAGGAAGAGAACAGATTTTACAGCGCTCAAGGAGAGATCGCCTGTGGGCCTCACTGATTATTTTAGAACCCTCCATTTCAAACAGACTCCGAGGAACTTGTACTTTTTTTAGGGTACGAGAGTGCTGCCATTTCCATTGTAGTAATTCAGAATTCTCTTAAAACCCCACTCCAAATTACCGGGAACCATGTTTCATCACATCAGGGCCGTTGGAGGGTCTGCCACCGTCAGCAAAACCCCCCACCAAGGAACATGGGAGGGAGAAGCAGCCTCGGACTCCTGGGCCTGGGCGGGGCCTGTGCAGCCCCACTCGGAGTGGAGATGGGAGGGAGAAGCAGCCTCGGACTCCTGGGCCTGGGCGGGGCCGTGCAGCCCCACTCGGAGTGGAGATGGGAGGGAGAAGCAGCCTCGGACTCCTGGGCCTGGGCGGGGCCGTGCAGCCCCACTCGGGGAGTGGAGTTGATCATGAGCAGAGGGACCCTGGCAGCGCCTCCTCCCGGCTGGTTTCCCACTCCCGTAGTGGGTCCTAGGAGGCAGTGTTGGAAGCACGTTCTCCTCCCCTGCCCGCTGCAAGGATGGTGGCACCCCAGGGTGGCAGAGCGCACACATCCTTCCTCGACCTTGGTTTTCATCTGGGATGGGGCTCGCCTCTGAGTCATTTGGGGTTCTGAGTTGAATGGCACGTGTGCAGTGCTGGCCTGGAGAGAGGTGCCACCCAGGACGGGCCATCAGGAGAGGCCGGGGATGGCCCCAGGTGTGGCTGGCGGAGGTGGGTGGTTCTCCCAGCCAGGGCTCCTGGTCCCTGGCTCACCTGGAGTCACACGTGGCGGGGCCAGGACTGCTGTGAGCTTCACAGGCAGCCGCTCAGTTGGGCCTTGTCCTTTCCTGTGGATAGCCTGAGACTCTCCTGTTCCAAATGATGATGCCTAAGTTTGCCAAGGGGAACTTCAGCGGCTCTCAACTAGGACTAGAGAGGCACCGATTTCTCATCACCTGAGCACACACGGCACGGTCAGAGCAGCTCTGGGAGTGAGGGCACAGCCCGCCTCACTCTGCTTCATCCTGTGCTTCACAGACAGTTGCTTCACGTTTGTGGCAACCCTGTGTTGAGCAAGCCTATTAGCACCGTTTTCCAGCACTGTGAGCTCACTTTGGCGTCTCTGGGTCACATGTTGGTAATTCTCGCACCATGAGCTCACTTCGTGTCTCCACGTCACATGTTGGTAATTCTCACGCTGTTTCAAACTTTTTCACGATTCTCACGTGATGGCAGTCTGTGTCAGTGACCTTTGGTGTGGCTGCCGTCATCGTTTCAGAGCACCCACGAGAGGTGAAGCTGATCGATGAATGTGTGACTGCCCCACCAACTGGCCCTTCCCCTGTCTCACTGCCTCTCCTCAGCCCTCCTCTCCCCTGAGCCATCGGCGGTTATTCTGGTGGGGCGGTGGGAACTGGCTGCCACGAGGCTGGGCTGACGGGGGTGCTGCCCTCCTTGTAGGGCCTTGGGTGTCTCCGTGACTGACTACACGTTCGAGGACTGCCAGCTGGCCCTGGCGGAAGGACAGCTCCGTCTCCCCGCTGACACTTGCCTTTTAGAATTTGCCAGGCTCGTGCGGGGCCTCGGGTGAGTACCTGGTTCTTCTTCCTTGAGCATTAGCTAGAACCCGTGATGCCGAGGTCTGGCGGGGGCTGCCTGGGGTTGCAGGGAGGGGAACTGAGGAGATAATTATTAATTATTCTGGCTTTTTTCAAATATCAACTTAAGCCCACATAGTGTCTTTCAATCCCTTAATGCTGGCATCAGCTGTCTGTGGACGGCGCCCCAGGAGGGCCACCCTGTGTCCTGCCACATCTGCCCTGGGAAGGGAACGGGTCTCAGGGGCACAGGCACCTGGCTTGACACTTGGACAGAACACATCTCGCACCTTCCAATTAGGAGAATGCCTTTTCTTGAAAACTAGCTTGCTGCTACTTCTGTCAATTTTAATATTTTGATGAGTCTTAGAAGTAAATCTGGTGTTAGCATGCCACCATTTTATTGAAAAAGAAAGCTTTCCCTCTTTTTTTGTCTAGGCTAAAACCAGAAAAGCTTGAAAAAGATCTGGACAGATACTCAGAAAGAGCCAGGATGAAGGGAGGAGAGAAGATAGGTATTGCGGAGTTTGCCGCCTCCCTGGAAGTCCCCGTTTCTGACTTGCTGGAAGACATGTTTTCACTGTTCGACGAGGTAGGGCCTGTCGCCTGCGGAGCGGGGTGTCGGCAAAACCTCCTGCTTTTTGAAGCATAAATTGTTCTCATTCTAATATAAATATATTTTCACATGAATTTGAAAGCAGAGAAGGAAAACCACCCATCACCACCCCACCCTATCATTTTGAGGTATTTCCTTCCATGCTTTTAAATACGCGTACACATTTGACGTTTAAATTACCCTTCACTGATGAATGTGCCTGTGGTTTGGGGTTTTTCAGTGTGATTACGGAGTCTAACAATATCAAACTGTGACACCCAGCCTGGGGTCTCCAAGGGACCCCCTGCAGGGTCCCCTGCTCACCAGAGCTGCTCTTTGCAGCGTCAGAGTTTCTAATAACACGCCCGTCCTCTATGATCGGCTTAGAGGCTCCCCGCCAGCCTGTGGGTGTGGGAGGGCTTCCTCCTGGTGCAGCCGCCCACTCCCCTCTGCCCTCCGCACGTCATCCCCAGGTCCTCGTCGTAATTGATGAGGCATCCACGGTCACACCAGGTGGCCCTGAACATGGCGGGCAGCCTCGGGGTTTTAGGAAGGTGCGAGGTGGCACGCAGGGGCGGGACAGGCTGCCACGGCGAGCCACAGGTCAGCCAATCCTGGTCTTTTCTGGGTGTTAGTGTCACAGCATGGACACTTACACTGTGGTCCTGGAGGAGCTGGTGATACGCCAGGGTGTGTGTAGAAGGCTCCTTCAGCCATGACTGTCCCGTGACAGCATGAGATGTCCCGTGTGACAGCACCATATATGTTTTGCACCAACACGGAGCAGCTGCAGTGCAGTCCTGGGTGGAACCCGGGCTGGCAGGAGGCCTCTCTGGCCAGAGAGCAGGTGAGGAGCACTCAGGACAGGGGGAGGACTCTGGCCAGAGAGCAGGAGGAGCAGGAGAGAGGAGAGAGGAGCACCCAGAGGCAAAGGAAGGACTCCCTGGTTGGAGAGAGCAAGAGAAGATGAGGAGCACCCAGGACAGGGGAAGGAGGCTGCCCCGCAAGTATGCAGAGTGTGAACCAAGGATCACAGTGCGTGGCTCAGGGCATTCTCCCACACGCACCAGAGGGGCCCCCAGCCACGGGCCCTCTGCTACAGGGCAGCTGGAAACAGTGTCTCGGATGCGAGTCCTGCCTAGTGTCCGTAAGGGGCCCCCAGCCGCGGGCCCTCTACTACGAGGCAGCTGCAAACAGCGTCTCGGATGCGAGTCCCTCCTGGTGTCCGTGCCACATCTGCAGCTGCGTTTGCACTCAGGCGCTTTACCACAGTGTTGGAATTGAAACGTGAAATGGTGAATACTGGTTTCACAGGCAGCATTCCTGGTTTCACAGGCAGCGTTCCGAGGTAACTTATGACACTGTGCAGTTAATTTTTTATTTTCTGCAATTTCAGATGCACATGATCTTATGAGATAGGAGTATTCTCCATTTACACCCAGGACCTCAGACCCCCAGCCCGAGACCTTCCCAGAGCCAGGGACTTGTAGTCATTTCCACCTGCCAGACACCCAAGCCCCAGTCCCAGTACCCCATGCCTTGCAAGGGGTGTGGCGTAGCACAAAGAAAGCTATCAGTTCCCTCAGAAGACCTTCAGGGACCTGTGTGCGTCTCACCCCTAGCACCTACAGCCTGTGGTTGACACAAGCGTAGAGGGGCAACTACTGGTCAAAGTCCTCCCTCTGCCCCTGGGTGCTCCTCACCCCCAGCTCTCTGAACAGGGAGTCCTCCCTCCGCCCCTGGGTGCTCCTCACCTCGCCTCCTCCTGCTCTGACCAGAGTTCTCCCTCTGCCCTTGGGTGCTCCTCACCTGCTCTCTGGCCAGAGTCCTCCCCCATCCTGGGTGCTCATTATCTCCTGCTCTCTGATCAGGGAGTCCTTCTGCCCCGGGTGCTCCTCACCTCACTTCCTCCTGCTCTCTGACCAGAGCGTCCTCCCTCTGCTCCTGAGTGCTCCTCACCTCCTGCTGCCTGGCCAGAGTCCTCCCCCTGTCCTGGGTGCTCCTCACCTCCTGCTCTCTGGCCAAAATTCTTCCCCTCTCCTGGGTGCTCCTCATCTTCTCTTGCTCTCTCCAGCCAGGGAGTCCTTCCTTTGCCTCTGGGTGCTCCTCACCTCCTGCTCTCTGGCCAGAGTCCTCCCCCTGTCCTGAGTGCTTCTCACTTGCTGTCTGGCCAGAGTCCTCCCCCCTATCCTGTGTGCTCCCCACCTTCTCTTGTTCTCTCCAACCTGGGAGCCCTCCCTCTACCCCTGGATGCTCCTGCTGCTCTCTTCCTGGAACCTCCTCCTGCTCTCTGACCAGGGAGTCCTCCCTCCACTCCTGGTTGCCCTTCATCTCCTGCTGTCTGACCAGAGAGTCTTCCCCCTGTCCAGGGTGCTCCTCACCTCCTCCCGCCCTGACCTGGGAGGTTCTTTCCTGTGGCCTGGGCACACCCTGCAGCCACGTGCAGACTGTCCCCATCGTCATCAGAAGTGCAGACCCTGTCAGCCCCCACCTGTGCCTCTCACCACCCTGCTCACTCACATCAGCATGTCCCTGGAGACTCTGGGTGTGAGGAGTTACTGAGAATGGTCAGCGCGGGGCTGACTGGCTTCCACAGCTGGCCCGGGCTGCTGTTTAGCTCCACGTCACAGCTCCGGGTTCACCTTCTTTCTGCAGGATGAATGGGTTGCCATAAACAGACCAAATTCCTAGAGCCCAGAATCAGCCTTGGTGCTTAGGGGGTATTCTCAAATGCAGGTCTTGGCAGGTGGCAGGCATTGCATCGCGTGTGCTTTGCTGAGGTGCTTCCTGTGGCAGCCTTGTGAACTTTGGGAAGTCACTGTAATGGCCCCAAGAAGTGTACACAGCACAGTGACCTTGGAGAACCCACTTGGTGGAATGTCCTTCCAAGATTCCCTTTTCACATGGGCAGATGTTCCCGAGTGAGAGTGGGACTGGCCTTTAATTAACACCAGCACCCATGGGAAACCCTGGCGTTTCTCCAGTGCCGAAGGCGGCCGAGCTGTGGCTGAGAGCGTCTCTCCCCACAGAGCGGCAGCGGCGAGGTGGACCTGCGAGAGTGTGTGGTTGCCCTGTCTGTCGTCTGCCGGCCGGCCCGGACCCTGGACACCATCCAGCTGGCTTTCAAGGTGAGTGCAGAGTTCACATGGGTTTGACTGGGGGACAGGGCGGTGCAGTCACGTCAGCACCATTGTTCATTTCTCTAGTTCCTTATAATATCAGTTAATTGATCATTTGCCCAACTGCTATTTTTACGTAAGCTTTTTATGCTAGCTGTTGTTTGTAAAATGCCCAGAAAACTCCCAGATTTATTTCTTCCTGGATTAGCAATCCACACTCATCAGAAAGCATGGCTGAGGTTCTTCCTGGGTCCTGGGGCACCTGGGTGGGGCTGGTGGTGTCACACACCATCACACACTACAGGGCACCTAACACAGGGGCCACACACCTTGTCCTCTCTCCCCCTCAGACTGGACTGGTGAAGAAAGCACGGCTTAGGAGCTGCCCACCTCAGCTAACCCCAGGGGCTACAACATGTCAGAGCCCAGTCATCACCACTGGGGGAGTCTGGGGTCCCAGCCCAGCTGCAGACTCCTGGGAAGCCCTCAGGACTTGCCTCACCACAGGGAGTCGCTGCTCCCTGGGGGCTGAGTGGGGTCTGGGTCAGGCCTGGAGGGCGGGAGGCCAGGTAACCCTGAGGGTTTGGCCTGGCCTATTCTGAGGCTCCAGCAGCACCAATGTGGATTTCATCTGGGATAGAGCTGGGCCGGCTTTGCCTGTACAGAGGCACAACTTTACCAAGGCTTCTCACAGGGTGTGACTCACATTAGCCAGACTCTCAAGGGCCTGATGTGTGAGTCAAGAAGCTGCATGTCTCTCACCGCTCCAAGAACTCCCTTCTCTTGCTTCTGATGCCAGCACACCCTCTCCATAGCAACACTGGGGAATGTCCCCACATGAAAAGGTGGCTTGTGGGGGTCTCCCCAGGCAGGATGAACTCGATGACCTCAACATTTGGCAGCTCTGTGTAAGAAAGCCTGACCTCCCTGCCTCCTCCAGGCCTGGGCAGCCTGCCTCCTAGGGCCCCTGATCTGAGCCAGGCCCTGTGGCCCTGCGGCCCCTGCTGGCCCTGCTTTCACTGTGCCCTGTTGTTTTTTTTTTTTTAATTTTTGTGAGATGGAGTCTCGCTCTGTTGTCCAGGCTGGAGTGCAGTGGTGCAATCTTGGCTCACTGCAACCAACCTCTGCCTCCCAGGTTCAAGTGATTCTCGTGCCTCAGCCTCCCAAGTAGCTGGGATTACAGGCTCGTGCCATGAAACCCAGCTAATTTTTGTAATTTTAGAAGAAACAGGGTTTCACCATGTTGGCCAGGCTGGTCTCAAACTCCTGGCCTCAAGTGATCCGCCCACCTCAGCATCCCAAAGTGCTGGGATTACAGGCATGAGCCACCGCCCCCCGTTCTGCTGGCCCCACCAGCCCCTGCTGTAGAGCCACCAAGTATAACCTGGAACGAATGACAGCAGCGGTGGGGGTGGCAGTTGCCTTGTTTCTCAACATGAACAATGGGCTGTGGAGCCCGACCTTCCTCCTGCACAGGCCCCACCTGCAGGTGGGCAGGGTAACTGGCTGTGGTAGGGTTGAGGACGCCCACTGGGGAGGACAGTGTGCACCGGGTCCCTGCTTGGGGTGGGGTATGTGCCACTAGGAGGTCTTTCTCAGGTGAACCAGGCGATGGGTGAGGCCTAGGCTGCCCTACAGTGACCACCTGGGGGCAGGATGGGTGATCACTTCTCACAGGCTTCCAGGCCGCTGATATGGCTGCGTCCCCACGGCGACACCAGGGTCCCGCCTCACCTCCACCCTCAGCAGCTCCGCCCTGACGGCATATGCCCTGCCTTCCTCCCACCTTCTTGCAGGCTGCTTCCCCATGTCCCTTTCTGCAGCCTATACCTTTCATGGTGTCATCATTTCCTGAAGTCATGGCCATTGTGCTTTGCTGCTGCTCTGGGAGCCTGGCACATTTTGGGGGGACTGCATGTAGCAGGAAGGGCTTCCACGGAGCAGTCTCGTGTGAGAGAGCGTGGCAAGTGCACCAGCGTGCTGCTCTTGGGACACAGAGATCCAGGAAGCTGCCCCCCAGGCTGACTGTGGACACAGAACTCCTAGCACCTAGGACCCCAGAGGCACACGCCGGTGCTCAGGACTCCGGATGCGCAGCGCACCGATGTGCTTCATACGCCTTGGGGCCCCTTGTTTTTGTTCTTTTTCGTTATCATTACTGTGTAAAACCTTAAGATGTGGCCCTGGTAAAACTTCCAGCGGCTCAGAGAGTGGACAGTGAGAACCTGAAGTCTGTTGCCTGTGGTAGCCTCAGTCCTACCTCTGCGTTTCCCGTGCAGCATCTACACGAGGCTCCGAGGATGAAAGTCTGCATCTGCAGTTCTCATGTCCAAATGGACACAGATGTCAGGTTGTCCCCTCTGAAGCAGCCTTGCAACCACTAGGGGGCAGGAGGCACTGCTCTCTGGGGGCTGAGTGGGATCCAGGTCGGCCGAGGAGCTGGAGGCCGTGGCCCTGAAGCTTTGACCCGGCCCGTTCTGAGGCTCCAGCAGCACCAACGTGGATTTCGTCTGCAGATGTTTGATTCAGCAAATCTAAAAGCAGGAGAGAAACGTAGACCACAGAAGACAGGGTGGCCGCGTGCGGCAGCGCTGTGGGATGAGGCCCAGGGGAGGGAGAGTGGAGGGTGAGGATGGGGTCTCCAGAGCCTGGAGCAGACCCGGTCCATGGGGTAGAGGCAGAGCCCCGGGAAGAGGGTGTGAACGCGGGGACAGCTTGCCAGGCCGGAAGGCTGGAGGCGTCAGCGTTTCTTCCCTGAGCACCGCAAGGAGGAGCCGGTGGAGGTGAAGGCGCAGCCCCTCCCTGAAGAGAGGCGACGCCCCTCCCAGGCAGCCCACTTCTCGGAGGGTGGAGCAAACGCTCACAAGATCACAGCGCGCTGCAGCAGGAGAAGGGGACTCGGAGTCAGGGCGACGGCCCCGTCGGAGCCCCAGGAACCGTGGACCCCAGGCAGAGAGAGGGCGGCGGGGGATGGTGCAGCCCCAGGCAGAGGACTCGGGGAAGAACCAGGTAGAAGAGCTGGCCCATCTGAGGGAGCCCAGGGGTTGGAGCGGAAGGACACGGGCGGCGTCGGGACCTCAGAGGAAAGCGCTGCCACAGAGCCCGTGGGCCAGGCTCGAGCCTAAAGGGCTGGGGCAGGACCCTGCACCCCACAGGGAGCCGAAGTGTTTCCAAGGAGGTAGAGGGACAAAGGGATGGGCGGGCCCTGATCAAGGGGTCTGGGGGATCTCCAGGGCACAGAGTCTGTGGAGCCAGGGAGGGGAGCGCCGTGGAGTTGTGGGGAGCGGGCGGCAGGCGCCTCGGCACTGGGCCCTGCACAGAGAGGGCCGGAGCCGCCGCTTCCACACCTGGAGCAGGAGGAAGAGAGGAGGCGTCACCTGTGAGGCTCAGGAGAGAGCCCGGGTCCTGGTTCCCGCTCCCCGCTGGAGCCCTCCCGGCCCTCCCAGGTCCTTCTCATTTCTGCTCCTGATCTGCCCTGTCGATTTCTAACCATCAGGGCTTTTTCATGTTATTACTGATGCTTGTGAACACGTCTGCTGTAGCCTGCACTCACGGAGGCAGAGGGCCGTGGGGGAACTCTGCAGCCCAAGCTTGCGCCGCGCTCGCCCGTGGCCCAGGCAGGACCCTTCCGCGGCCTCCCAGTGGCAGCCACAGGTGCTGGTTGGTTTGCTGAGCTATCACGGGTGGGGTGGGCAGCGTCTGAGCCCTTGCCCGAGAAGCATCTGCTGTGTGTCCACGAGGCACCTGGAGGGGGCCAGATCCAAGGCACAGGGCCCTGCTGCATGGCTCCACATGGAAGTTCGAGTCCCCCGTGTCCAGCCGCCGGCCCTGCAGGTGCCCAGCAGCTCTGACAAAGCGGGGCAGGGCCGCTGGGGTGTCCCTGGACAGCGGGGCCTGGTGGGCAGGGGAGGAGGCTGCAAGGTGACACCCAGTTTGCCTTGCAGATGTACGGAGCGCAAGAGGACGGCAGCGTCGGCGAAGGTGACCTGTCCTGCATCCTCAAGACGGCCCTGGGGGTGGCAGAGCTCACCGTGACCGACCTATTCCGAGCCATTGACCAAGAGGAGAAGGGGAAGATCACATTCGGTGAGCCCGCAGGAGTGGGGTCGTCCTCGCGACCCTTGGGCGGGGGCTGGACAGAGTGTGGGGCGAGTCTCCGTGGGAGCCCAGGACAGGAGTGGAGTCCCCGCCATGCCTCCATTCACCAGGCTGCCCTGTGTAACAAAGAAACCCCTGAGAAGGAAGGTTCTGGAGACCTGGCAGCGTTCGTAGGGAGCTTTCCAATCTGATTTGTTTTGGCGATTTATACAACCAAACTCCAAGCCCAGTTCCGAAGCTCTGAGCCTTCCATGGCCTCAGGCTGGGATTCAGGTGCCTGGAGGTGGGGGATACCCGCACCCAGCCCTCGAGGCCACTGGCTGTGGGCTTTGTCACTGCCAGCCGGGGTGTGGCTCACATCCCCCCTCTCCTGGGAGGGGTCTGTCAGGAGAGACGAGGAGGCGGGCGCTGCAGACCCCCGTGCCGCCCAGGGCGACTTCCTCCCGAGAAAAGTCACCTGTCTGTGGACATCTGATGAGGTGACTGGTAACACGGCTGATTCCAGAGCACGAGCTGTCGGTAATGGCGGTTGATATTTTTAAATTGCTGTGCAAAATCCGCAAACCCGAGCCCGGGGCGCCTCCCTCCCCTGCAGTGTGAATGAGCTACGCTGCATCCACCCGAGGCTCCCAGGGCTGCAGGCCCTGGCCTGGCTCATCCCAGTGGATGCCGCAATCCCCACCTGGAAGGGTGGTCTTAGAGCAAACGAGAAGACACGCGAGAGAGCTGCGTGCACAGCGTCTGTGCGGGAGCCGGAGGCGGGAGTGCGGATGTGCGCACTGGTTTCAGTATTGAAAGCATGTATGTGTGCTTAGTTACCGTGTGTGTGCACACGTGTGTGTGCGTGTGCGCCTGTGTGCGTTTGTTTCAGTACTGAAAGTGCACGTGTGTTACCGTGCGTGTGCATACGTGTGTGCACGCATGTGCGTGCTTCTTTTAGTATTGAAAGTGTGCATGTTTACCGTGTGTGCACACGTTTGTGTACACATGTGCATGCTTGTTTCAGTATTGAAAGCGTGCATGTGTGTTGTGTGTGTGCGTGCATGTGCATGCTTGTTTCCATTTTGAAAGCGCACGTGTTTAGTTACCGTGTCTGTGCTCTTGTGCTTGTTTTGTGTGTGTGCGCACGTGTTTAGTACCGTGCGTGTGTGTGCGTGCACTTGTGTGTGTGCATGGGCATGTGTGTTTAGTTGCTGTGTGCGTGTGCTTGTTTTGTGTGTGTGCACACGTGTTTACTGTGTGCGCATGCGCTTGTTTTGTGTGTGCATGCATGTTTAGTTACTGTGTGTACCTGCGCTTGTTTTGTGTGTGTGTGCATGTGTGTAGTTACCATGTGTGCATGCGCATGTGTGTTACCGTGTGTGTTCGTGCACTTGTGCGTGCGCATGTGTGTTTAGTTACTGTGTGCCTGCGCTTGTTTTGTGTGTGCGCGCACATGTGTTTAGTACCGTGCGTGTGTGTGTGTGCATGGGCATGTGTGTTTAGTTGCTGTGTGCGTGTGCTTGTTTTGTGTGTGTGCACGCATGTGTGTTTAGTTACTGTGTGCGCGTGCGCTTGTTTTGTGTGTGTGCATGCATGTTTAGTTACCGCGTGTGCCTGCGCTTGTTTTGTGTGTGTGTGCATGTGTGTGGTTACCATGTGTGCATGCGCATGTGTGTTACCGTGTGTGTGCGTGCACTTGTGCGTGCGCATGTGTGTTTAGTGTGCCTGCGCTTGTTTTGTGTGTGTGCATGTTATTGTGTGCCTGCACTTGTTTTGTATGTGTGCGTGCATGTGTGTAGTTACCATGTGTGTGCATGTGCTTGTTTTGTGTGTGCACGCATGTGTGTTTAGTTAGTGTGTGTGTGCACTTGTTTGTGTGTACACGCATGTGTTTACTGTGTGTGCACACACTTGTGTGTACGTGCATGTGTGATTACCGTGTGTGTGCTTGTTTTGTGTGTGTGCGCGCACGTGTGTTTGGTTACCGTGTGTGTGCTTGTTTTGTGTGTGTGTGTCTGCGTGCATGTGTGTTTACCGTGTGTGCTCTTTGTGTGTGTGCACGCATGTGTTTGTTTACCGTGTGTGTGCGTGCTTTTGTGTGTGTGTGTGTGCACGCATGTGTGGTTACCGTGTGTGTGCTTGTTTTGTGTGTGTGCGCACATGTGTGTTTGGTTACCGTGTGTGTGTGTTTGCATGTGTGCATGCGTGCGCTTGTTTCCATTTTGAAAGTGTGCAATGCTCCTTGGTGTGTTCGGGCTCTTTGATGTTTGTAGTGGGCACCGACCAGCTGCAATTTCCAGTAACAACCATCCCTGGATTTCTCGCCGGGTGGCCCAGGTTCTGAGTGTTTCTGGAGCGGCCTAGCATGACCAGCCCCCTGCACCATCTTTCCAGCCCCACCAGAAGCCTCCATGGCGCCATCAGTAGGAGCCGAGGGCGCTCACATGAGAGCCAGGCACAGCGGCCAGGAAGTGCAGTCCGAGGCTCTGTGAGGACGGCCCCCTGCCTACCGGGTCTCCCAGGGTGGACGAGGGCACCCCCTCAGAGCGCCAGATCACTGTCCAGACACTTGGTCTTGTCCCTGAGCCAGCTTCTCTGGTTACAGTGCCTCAGAAGTGCTAAGTCCCCGGGATATATCTGTCGAATTCAAAACCAGAAGCTTTCTGTAGGGTTTCCCAAAAGCAGGAGTAGCTAGGAGGACACCCAGCCTGCCCCGGTTGTCAGGGTGACTTCGTGCGCTGCAAAGAAAGTAAGCGCAAGTTCTTCTCTCCACCCTGAAAGCATCCGTTTCACAGACGATTCTAACCCTCCCTGGAGGGCGTGAGGTGGACACCCACCAGGGCCGTGGGAAAAGAGCCTCCAAATCCTAGACATTTGCTCGTCCCCATTCCATAACCACAGGTGCCTTTGTCTTTCCAGCTGACTTCCACAGGTTTGCAGAAATGTACCCTGCCTTCGCAGAGGAATACCTGTACCCGGATCAGACACATTTCGAAAGCTGTGCAGAGACCTCACCTGCGCCAATCCCAAACGGCTTCTGTGCCGATTTCAGCCCGGAAAACTCAGACGCTGGGCGGAAGCCTGTTCGCAAGAAGCTGGATTAGGACCCAGGGTTGCGGAGAGACGCGGCCCCTCCCGCGTGGACATCACCGCCATGAGCCTCTTTGCGAGTGACCTCTGGGCTCCGCTCCTCACTCCTGCTGTACAGGCACTGTCTTCAGCCCGAGTTCCAGGGGCCTCGGGGGCTGTTTGTATCTTGTTCCTTTGTGAAGTGTGTTGCAGAACCGACGCTTACTGTGCGAGAATCGGAGGGCGCGCACGCGGATCCCCCGCCTGGCCTGGACCCCGTGGGGTCAGGTTCCCTGCCGGGCGGGGGGCACCGGTGCCGCCCCGTGTTCTCCCACGGGGCCCTGGTTTCGAGTCTCTGTCACAGCCTCTTCCGGCGGCAGCGTGCACCGGGCGGGCCTCCGTGCACACTCAGCACACGCCTGCCACACAGCGTGCGCTTGCGTGTCACTCTGGCACGAAACCTGTCTGCCTCTGTGGATCCACAGCCTGGCAGAGCCGAGCCGTCACCTGATTTTTCAGTGTTTCTACCTGTGTGCTGGAGCTCATGAGTATTTTATAAACTCCATTTAGGTACTTCAGGAAACATGCAGCATTTTTTAAAAAATGAAAATTGTTTTTCTACTTCATTTTTCCTTTTAGAGTCAAAGGATATTTATTTATAGGCCTTTTTTTTTTTAATATAGAATCTGAGGCTGTTTGGGCTTTGACTTAAATTTCCATCAGGCCTCTCTCCAGCAGGTAATCCCTCTCCTTCCGCTGGGTCCCCTGGGGAGGTGTGAACTCAAGGGCCTAGCCCCAAAACACTTTTTCTGCTTTTCTTAATCCTTTTCCAGTCCCCTCTTTTTTTATAAACGTTGGCAGTTTGATGTTTCTGTTTCGGCATAACGTAATCCATTTCACTGTAGCCTAAACTCCAGTCCGAGGTTGGATATTGTTCAAATGAGCAGGGCCCGAGCTGGAAGCGCAAGGCAGCCGCCGCCGTGCCGCTCCTCCCTTGCCCTCAGGCCAGGTCCCTGCTGGAAGCGGCTGCATCTTCCTGTCAGCCCTGGTTTCCATGGTGACTGGCGTCACGCTGCCACCCGAGTATGGCTGACCTTCCTGCAGAGAGAGGAGCCGCAGTCTTTTGCTTGTGGAAGGAGACGCTGGGCTGTGCGGTGCGGAGGGTGATGAGGATGTCTGGTGACAGCCGTGCGGACACCACTCCTCTCTGCAGCACTGCCTCCCAGCGCCAGGGTCGCGGGCACATCCCACTGAGAGCGGGGGTCCTGCCCCATCTTAGAGTCAAAGGCAGAGGGGCTTCCAGGCCCTGGATGGGGTATTTTGGTGTCACCTGAAGTCCCTCTGACATCACCTTGTTTCATCATTTTTTATGACAGAATTAGAAACCCATCCTTCAAGCACAATAATCATCACAGACTTGAGTTTGCTTCCTAAAGCAAAGGCTCCGGGTTTGTTTGGAAAATTTTTTTGATTTCTGAAATGAATTGATTTTTATATTTGGGGCATCTCTATAGAAAGTGACCACCAAGGCCAGTAAGTACGGGAAAAAATGTTTACTAACTTCCTCAGAGATTCGTGATACGCGTTTCTCCACTGACAGACATTTAAAAACAACCTTCAGCTCCGTTTCAATCAATCACCTCGACTTGTTTTTTAGCATGGACACTGCCAGCAGGACAGACAGGGATGGAGTAAACCGAAGTCAATTTCAGGGCTCTTGGCGTGTTGGACACAGAAGAAATCCTAGTGCAGCCTTTGGTAGCTAACAGTCACTGATTTTATAATTGGAGAATGCGTAAAGATTCATTTTTCAAGGAGAAGAGCCTGCAAATGGCCAATGAAGGAGGTAAATAAACTAAGATATTCCGAGGGAAGGGACCCAGGCCACCTCCCTTCCGCAGGTCTGCAGATGAAGGGTTTTTTGAATGAAATGCCACTGTGCATTTTCAGAAAAAAAAATCTCTGATAAACAGACTTTGAATGGATGTTTGTTCCTCCTGATTCTCTTTTCTCTTCGTGGCGACTTAGAGTTGGCGGATATTCGGAACTGTGAATGTACATAGCGTTGAGTTAAACCCCTTGTGTGTGAGACAGGACGCAGCGGGCCCCTGGTGGCCTGGGGGCCAGACCCGTGGGCAGGTGGGGCATGGGCCCTGGCCTGCGGGGACCTGCTGGGGTGTGAGGGCAGAGGGAGGGTTGCCATGAAGGAACTTGGGATTTTCAATGGAATAAGTAAAACATAAAGTCTATACTTGGGAATGATGTTGTTTTGTGTGGTTCTTTATTAGAAAGACAACAACAGGCATTGTGAGAGGAGAGCCAATCCAGATGAGATTTTCTTGGTGTGGTTCTAGCATGTTTGGAAAACACAAGAATTGAAATTCTGTAGAAAAAGCTGTCTTGGTGGCAAAGGGACGCTCCGGAGTGTTCTGGTATTTTGCGGACAGTAGCAGACATCTTACAGAGTTGAAACATGGATGGCTGGCTGCCTGCCTGGTGGGTTGACTTACGTAATTTCTCAATTTTAAGCACATGCACCTTAAGCGTGTTTTGTCAAGCAGAGAGAAAAATGGATCTGGCATTTAGTCCTACTGAGTCAGTAAAAGGTTTGGAACTAGAGGTAAAAGACCGAGCTCACCTGTTACACTCTCCAAAACTGCACGTGAAGAATCAAGATTGTGTCTCCACCAGCGTCAAGGATGGAAGAAAAACTTAAGGAGAAAAGCCTGCAAATGGCCAATCTGCAGGTGTTTCTCCTTTTTAATACTTTGAAAAACGAAGTTTCAAAGTTCACCATCCACCACCACTCATTTCCCTGTGTACAATTATGGGGGATACTGGGAGGGTGAAAAATGAATCGTTACGTTGTTCAGGAAGGTAAGTCTCAGACATGGGCTACCAGGGAGCTGTGCAGTCTGACCTCACTCAGTGAGAGAGAATGTGCACCAAAATGACATTATTTCAAGCAACAGCAATTTTTACTTCTTCATGCTTGTATGCATCTGCCATTTTTAATACATGAATACTGCCGTTGAAATTGATTGAATATGTCCAAGTTTTCAAGTAAAGCAAGGGTTAAAACAAAAACTAGATCTGCACATCTCACATCAGCACTGGATGGGGCAGCTGCTGCTAAGATGCGGCTGGTGTGAGACCGAGAAGGAGGAGCGTCTGGCTCCAGGTGCCGGCTGTGGGCAGGGTGGCCGTGCCCGGCGGGTGCACCCAGGGAGGTGCACAGCAGGGTAACTCGTGTGGTTTGCAGCACACGTGTTTGTCATCGAACATGCCTCTGCTTCTGTGTGTTCAGTTCTCCACTCAGCATTGGAGCCAGGAGAAATGAAGGTGGGACCCTCAGGAAAAAGCAAACCCACCCCCGGTGTTCACGCAAGAGTTGACACAGCTGCACCTGCTGCTGCCGTATGCTGATCCTAACCAGAAGCTGGCTGGGAGGAGAGGCCCCCTGGGCCATGAAGCAGAGCTCGGGAATGTGAGAAGTGGGGCTGAGGGCAAACGGGGTAGTGAAGGACCAGCACTGCCCACCCATAGCTGCTCTGTGTCCACAAGTAAGTCACACACTCAGACATCTTCCAACACAGTGCTGTACTCACACCACCCAACACAGGTGCTTTTACCTTCCCCAGAAACAGTAGAGACCCATGAGTCTTCCTCGCCACTAATGGTTTCTCTGGTACAGCCACAAACCCATCTGGACATTCTCTGACATGAAAAACTTAAGTTTCAAAGTTCACCATCTACCACCACTAATATTCCCTGTGTAAAATAGTGGGGATGCTGAGAAGTGGGAAAAGGAGTAATCAATTAACAAATGACTTGCATGCTCCCAGGCTCACGTGCACACACACATATGCACAACACGTTCACATCCACACATGCTCACACAATGATACACACATGCTCACATGCACTCATGCTGAGGCTTACACATGTACACACATGCTCACATGCACTCATGCTGAGGCTTACACATGTACACATGCTCACATGCACTCATGCTGAGGCTTACACGTACACACATGCTCACATGCACTCATGCTGAGGCTTACACATGTACACATGCTCACATACACTCATGCTGAGGCTTACACATGTACACACATGCTCACATGCACTCATGCTGAGGCTTACACATGTACACATGCTCACATGCACTCATGCTGAGGCTTACACATGTACACACATGCTAACATGCACTCATGCTGAGGCTTATGCATGTACACACATGCTAACATGCACTCATGCTGAGGCTCACATGCACTCATGCTGAGGCTTACACGTACACACGTGCTCACATGCACTCATGCTGAGGCTTACACATGTACACACATGCTCACATGCACTCATGCTGAGGCTTACACATGTACACACGCTCACATGCACTCATGCTGAGGCTCACATGCACTCATGCTGAGGCTTACACATGTACACATGCTCACATGCACTCATGCTGAGGCTTACATATGTACACACATGCTCACATGCACTCATGCTGAGGCTTACACATGTACACATGCTCACATGCACTCATGCTGAGGCTTACATGTACACACATGCTCACATGCACTCATGCTGAGGCTTACACATGTACACACATGCTCACATGCACTCATGCTGAGGCTTACACATGTACACACGCTCACATGCACTCACGCTGAGGCTCACATGCACTCATGCTGAGGCTTACACATGTACACATGCTCACATGCACTCATGCTGAGGCTTACATATGTACACACATGCTCACATGCACTCATGCTGAGGCTTACACATGTACACATGCTCACATGCACTCATGCTGAGGCTTACATGTACACACATGCTCACATGCACTCATGCTGAGGCTTACACATGTACACACATGCTCATGAGCACATTCACATGCACGTCTTCATAGACACATTCACATGCATGCACATGCTCACACTAATGCACACACACTTATATGCTCCCACACATGCTCACACACACACAGCAAGCAAAGAGGACAGCCTGCATGCCCGGTACTGTCCTCATGCTGTGGCTAGCTGTGAGGCTGTGATCAGCAGCTACACCTTCCTTCTTCCACTACCCATTCCACGTTTTCTTGACCCTAAGCAGTACTTTGGATGGTCAGGGTTCTTTACCCAGTGAGAGGACTCAAATTTTCATTCCAGTGTGTCTGATGCAGTTGTCGTCTTGCCTTTATTAGTCACAATATTAGTCGTGAAAGCCCTGAGAAGTACCTAGAGAATCCACTGAGCTCCAAGATAGCCCTTTCATTGGGGTTAGCCATCCCCACCAAGACAGCATGCTTTTCTTGAACTATTAGCTAAGTGGCATGAGCAGCCCCAAATAGCTGATGACCGTCTGAACTTTCAGTGCAGCAGATGGATCACTGAGGTCCCAGGTAAGAGCATTCCAGCCTTGGGAACTAGGACCTTGAAAGCAAAAGAGCCCAATGTCACAGACGAGAAAAGCAAAAATATGTGAATGGGTTTATCAGCCCACCTGGGATCATTGATGCTGCGGTAACAAATGTAAACCAATAAAATGTCAGGGTCAGCTAAACAGATGTGGTCCTCGCCCGTCTCTCCCAGGCAGGTCAGCTGCAGCTCTGCTCCATGTCACCATCTGCATCCAGCCCAGCACAGCAGCCCCTCCTGGGACTCAGCCAGTCAGATGGCTTTGGGAAGAGGTGACAAGCAAGCCTGCCTAGATGCTATATCTGCTGCACAGACGCAGAATACAGCAGGCCCACTCCTGGTTCATTGGCCACAGTAAGCCATGTGGTCACAGCTGAATTCAACAGCCAGAGACGTACAGTCCTGCAAGGGAGCCCCTCAAAGGAGGTGAAGGATCTTCTGAACAGCAGCACCAGCCACCCTGCAGTAAGTGTTGGATGTGGTGGTGAGCAGGGCCAGTCCTAATTCCACCCATTGACATTACAGACATTATTCTGGCTATGAAATGGTGCCATGTCTTGGTCCACAGTTCGAGGCACTATGTCATCCATCAGGATGGCAGTCCAATGTTCTAGGGCACTGCCTCCCCATGGGCAGCACACCTAAAGCTTCAAGAAGTCATCCTCATGCTTAATCAGACTCGCCACCTCTGGGTGATGGGAAACGTAGGGATTCCAAGTGTGTACCTGTTCCCATGCTGCCTTTGCTGTAAAGTAAATTCCTTAACAATGCCATAGGAGGTGGGCAATAGTGAATAAGCCATTCATCAAGCCCACAGATGGTGCTGTCAGAAACACTGACAGCAAAGACATATCCATATCTGGAATAAGGGAAACTGAAACCAAGAGATACTCCCCTCAATGATGGAAGAGTCCAGTGTGATCAACCTGCCTCCAGGGGGCTGGCTAGTCCCTTTCCCAGGAATGGTACCTGGGGCTAAGTATGGGACCCTGCTTCCGACATGTTGGGAGTCCAGTGATAACTGCATCAGCCTAGGCTATTGTTGATGGGTCAGCTCTTTGTTATTGATCCACACTCATCTCCATCCCTATTTCCAGTGCCAGTTTGTGAATGGTTCTACTAGGTAAACACTGGGTTGGCTGGGAAAGAGACAGGCTGACATCCACTGCCTGTGTCATACCCTGGCAGAGACTATAGTAAATTAGACCCGACAAGAGAAAATATTAGTGAACCTGAAAATACAGCTATGTGTGATCCCAGTGATGTACAGGGAGAAACAGACAGAAATGAAGCACAAGTGGGCATGGAATAATGCCACAAGGCCCATCACATGTGATTGGAGCCCTAGAAAAGGAGGAGGACAGGACAGAAAAATTATTTGATGAAATAATGGCCAGAATTTTTTTCCAAATCTATAAACTAAGATACCCAAGAAGCTCAATAAGCACCCAGCAGAAAAAATACAATAAAAACACAGCAAGACACACATCACAAACTGCTGAAAGCCACTGAAAAGGAGAAAAATCTTAAAAGCAGCTGGAGAAAAACAACATACTATCAAGGAACAGAGATAAGAATGAAAGCCAACTTCTCTTCAGAAACTATGCAACCCAGACGTCAAGGAACAGAGATAAGAACGACAGCCGACTTCTCTGCAGAAACTATGCAACCCAGACGTCAAGGAACAGAGATAAGAACGACAGCCGACTTCTCTGCAGAAACTATGCAACCCAGACGTCAAGGAACAGAGATAAGAACGACAGCCGACTTCTCTGCAGAAACTATGCAACCCAGACGTCAAGGAACAGAGATAAGAACGACAGCCGACTTCTCTGCAGAAACTATGCAACCCAGACGTCAAGGAACAGAGATAAGAACGACAGCCGACTTCTCTGCAGAAACTATGCAACCCAGACGTCAAGGAACAGAGATAAGAACGACAGCCGACTTCTCTGCAGAAACTATGCAATCCAGATGACTGATGACATCTTCAAAGAGACTAAAGACGAATGCGGCCACCCTGGAATTCTATGCTAAAATAAACATCTTTTAAAAATCAAGGCATAATAGAAACATTTTGAAATCAGCAAAAGCTGAGATAATTCACTGCCAGTAGTTCATAATGACCAACAATGTTCAGAGTTCTACAGGCAGAAATAAGAGAATACCATGCAGAAATTTGGCATTTGAAGGTAGATTGTGGTAAGTTAAAAATACACATAGTGGCCAGGCATGGTGGCTCACGCCTGTAATCCCAGCACTTTGGGAGCCTGAAGTGGGTGGATCATCTGAGGTCAGGAGACCTTGTGGCCAACATGGTAAAACCCCATCTCTACTAAAAGTATGAAAATTAGCTGGGCATGATGGTGGGTACCTGTAATCCCAGCTACTTGAGAGGCTGACGTGGGAGAATCTCTTGAACCCTGGAGGTGGAGGTTGCAGTGAGCTGATATGGTGCCATTGCATTCCAGCCTGAGGTGACCGAGCAAAACTTCATCTAAAAAAAAAATACACATAGTAAGACCCCCTCCCATAGAAAACAGAACCAAAGAAGTATAACTAATATAAATGTAAATTTTACCCAAACTAAGAAGGAAGGTGGGAGGGAAAGAACAAAGGACAGAGAATAGAGATAGATAACAAATAGCAAAACGGTAAATTTAAATCCAATCATATTAGTAGTTACATTAAACATAGACTAAAAACTCCTAAATGACATTTGTTGGACTAAATAAAAAATAAAATACCTAACTATATGCTGTTTAAATATAGATTGAAAGTAGAAGAATAGACTGGGCACAGTGGCTCCTGCCTATAATCCCAGCACTTTGGGAGGCCGAGGCAGGTAGATCATTTGAGGTCAGGAGGTCAAGACCAGCCTGTCCAACATGGTGAAACCCCATCTCTAGTAAAAATGCAAAAAAATTAGCTGGGCGTGGTGGCACATGCCTGTAGTCCCAGCTACTTGGGAGGCTAAGGCAGGAGAATCACGTGAACCCTGGAGGCAGAGGTTGCAGTGAGCTGAGATTGCGCCACTGCACTCCAGCCTGGGTGACACAGCAAGACTCTGTCTCATAAAAAAACAAAACAAAAAGGTAAGAAAGTAAAAGAATAGGAAATATATTTATAACATGCAAACAGAAGCTTAAGAAAGTTTATTTGGCAAGATTGTCATACTAAGTGTACTTTAGAGACTAGGAGAATTAGCAGAGTTAAAGACAGACATTTCATGATGATAAAAGTTCAATTCAATTGGAAGACACAATGTTTAAAAGTGCATGTATCTAATCACATAGCTTAAATATATTAAGCATCAATGACAGGATTTAAAGGAGAAATAAATCTGCAAACATAGTTGGAGATTTTAACATAGATCTCTTAGTAACTGATATAACTATCAGGGAAAAATGTAGTTACATAGAAAAACAGCTCTATTCACCAAATGATGTGCCATTTCAAGTGCACATGAAGCAGTTGACAAAATAGACCATGTGCTTGACCACAGATAAATTTCAAGATGTTTAAATCACACAGAGTATGTTCTCTCATCTAAATGAAGCTAAATGTCATGAATTCTGCCCATATTCCCCAGGGCAGAACTGAGCTACTTGGCCGAGAAGCTACAAGAGTAACTGGAAAACATTTGCTGAGGAAGGACAACAGAAACAGCAATACTGATGAGGAGGCCACTGTCTGTCATGTGACACTGTCAAGGGCTGGCTAGGTGCAGATTAACTCCCTTAAATGTAAGAAAAGTGAATGGGGGCCAGACGCAGTGGCTCATGCCTGTAATCCCAACACTTTGGGAGGCTGAGGCATGTAGATCACCTAAGGTTAGGAGTTCCAGACCAGTGTGGCCATCACAGTGAAACCCTGTCTCTACTAAGAATATGAAAATTAGCTGGGTGTGGTGGTGCACGCCTGTAATCCCAGGTACTCTGGAGGCTGAGGCAAGAGAATTGCCTGAACCCAGGAAGCAGAAGTTGCAGAGAGCTGAGATCGCACCACTGCACTCCAGCCTGGGCAACAGAGTGAGACTCCATCTCAAAGAAAAGAAAAGAAAAAGAAAAGTGAATGGGTCCACAATTTTTGCTTCCAGTCAAAATGGAAGAGTAGAGACTGGATTTACCCTCCGTTGGGAAACATGGTCATTAGGCAGGAAACTAAGATGGGCTTTGCCCCAGCAGGGAAGAAGCATCAGCCCTGAGCAAAGCACTGCTCTGGTCCTCCTGGGCAGAGCTTAAAAGCAAAACCTGAAAGAATGACCAAACTACAACAGGGACCTTACCAGTGGCCAAAGACAAACTTCCAGAATATTCACATTAGTACAGTGTTATCCACAAACCAACAGGGTTAAATTCACAATGCTGGGCATCCACTGGAAATTAGCACAATGCAAAAAGGTGGGAAAATGTGACCTACAGTCAATAGAAACAGACCCAGAGATGACTCAAATGATAGAATTAGAGAGGCATTGACAATCATAACTGTTACCTCATTCCAAGAGCTAGCCAAAGGCGAGACTGAATATGTTTAATAGAGACATGACAGATATTTTTTAAAAGACACGAATCCAAATTCTAGAGATGAAAACCACAATGTCTCAGATGCAAAATGCACTGGTTGAGAGGAGGGGTGGATTCAACATCTCAGAAGAAAAGGATACATGAACTTGAAGACATAGATGGCAGTGCAAACTGTTCAAAATGAAATAAAGAAAAAAGACAAAAAAATGAACCAAGCATCAGAGAACTGTGGGACTTCAAGCCACCTAATATGCAAGCCATAGGAATCCTCAAAACAGATCATGTCTAAACAATGTCATTTTATGATAGCATCAGTTCACCAAAAGGACAAATGTTTATGTACCTAATAACATAGCTTCATAATGAATTCGGCAAAAACTGATAGAACTGCAAGGAGACATAGAGCAGTTCACACAATTATACTTGGAGATTTCAATACCTCTTTCCCAATAGTTGATAGAACAGATACACAGAAACTTTTAAGGATACAGAAGACTTCAAAAACAGTACGAACTAACATGACCTATTTGATATTTATACAATAATTCATCCAATAATAGCAGAGTGCACATTCTTTTCAAATGCATGTGAAAAGCTTACCAAGATCGACCACAGTCCAGACCATAAAATTCCCTTTAGGGATTCAGGTCATGTAAAGCAAGTTCTCCAACAAAGAGGCAAATAAATTTGATACCAAAATGAAAAATACATTTGGCAAAAAATAAAGAAGCATATCCAGACAATCTTCTAATATTTGGAAACTAATCACATATCTAAATAACAATGGGTCAAAGAGGACATCAAAAGGGAAATCAGAAAATATTTTGAACTGAATGAAAACAAAACAACATATCAAACCTTTTGGAATTTGGCTAAATCAGAACTTAGAAGAAAATCTAGACATGAAGCCTGCCTCAGAAAGGAATAATGATGAAAAATTGATGGCAGCCTCCACCCGAAGAAATCCCATGCGGGACTTTGGAAGAAATTGAAAAGTTGATTCCAAAATTCATATGAAAAAGCACAGGACCGAGAATATGCAAAACAACTTTGAAAATGAACAAAGTTGTCTGACTTACATTACCTGATTTAAAAATGTATTACAAAAGGACCATAATGAAGATAGTGCCATTTTAATCTCCTCAGGCTGCCACAACAAAATACACCAGATTTGGGGGCTTAACAGCAGACATTTGTTTCTCACAGTTCTGGAGACTGGAAATCCAACATCAAGGCAGCTGATTCAGTTCCTGGTGAGGCCTCTCTTCCTGGCTTGCAGATGGCCGCCTTCTTACTCTATCTTCACATGGCAGAAAGTAAAATGGAGAGAGCTTCCTCTTCTTATAAGGCCACAGTCCTCCTGGGTTATGACCCCACCCTTACAATTTAATTTAACCTAATCACCTCCTAAAGTCCCTATCTCCAGATAAAGTCACCTTGCGGGGGTTATGGCTTTAACCTATGAATTTGGGGGTAAACAATTCAGTCCACAGCAAGTGTGGTATTAGCATCAAAATGGATTAACAGATCATAAAACAGGGAGCCCAGAAATAAACCCACACACATACATACAACTGACTTTTCAACAAAGGTGCAAAAGCAACTCAGCAGAACACTGAACAACTGGCTCTTCGGAGGTAAAGTGGTGAACTTCAATTGGTGTCTTACACCAAGCTAGTTTAAAAATGCATTCTATGTGTAAATATGCAATCTATAATTTTAAAAAGTTTAGAGGAAAACTTAGGAGAAAATCTTGATGATCATGAATTTGGTAAAGATTTCTTAAATACAACACTAAAAGCAGGATTTGTGAAAGAAAAATGGATAAATTAGACTTCATCAAAATTAATAACTCTTCTCTGAAAGAATCTATTAAGAGAATGAAAAGACAGTCCAAGACTGGGAAAAATATTTGCAAAGTACCCATCTGATAAGGGACTGGTATCCAGAATAGTAAAGAACTCTCAAAGCTCAATTAAACAACCCAAAGGTGCAAAAGATTTGAACAGACACTTAACACGAAGTGGCACTGATGCAGCTAACACATGAGAAATTGTTCAAAGATCACGCTCATTAGAGCAGTATAGGAGATATTACTGTAAACATATTAGGATGTCTAAAATTTAAAAGACTGACCATACTAAGTATTCATTAGAATATGAAGTAACTAAAATTATCATACACTGTTCATGGAAATATAAAATGATACAACTACTTTGCAAAAGAATTTAACAGTTTTTAAAAAAATAGTTAAACATATATCTACCAAATGACCCAGCCATTCCACAACTAAGTACTTCTTACCTACCCCAAAGTAATGAGAGCCTATGTTCAAAGACTTGCACACAAATGTTCATAGTAGCTTTATTTGTAACAGCCAGATGTCCATCAATAGGCAGATGGAAAAGCCAAGTACATCATATCCCATATCCACACAATGGATACTACAAATAACTAAAAGGGAATTAACTGCCGATGCAATGATGTGGATTCTTCTCAAATATGCTGAATGCAAAAGAACAGACCCAGAAAACAGTACTTACTGTATAATTCTATTTATATAAAATTCTATTAAAAACACATTGTTCTGTAATCATAGAAAACAAATCATTCCAGCATTTTGGGAGGCCAAGGCGAGCTTATCACTTGAGGTTGGGAGTTCAAGACCAGCCTGGCCAACATAGTGAAACCCTGTTTCTACTAAAAATACAAAAATTAGCTGGGTGTGGTGGCGGGCATCTGTAATCCCAGCTACTTGGGAGGCTGAGGCAGGAGAATTGCTTGAACTGAGGAGGCAAAGGCTGCAGTGAGCTGAGATCGTGCCACTGCACTCCAGCCTAGGTGACAGAGTGAGACTCCGTCTCACAAAAAGAAAAAAAAAAAGAGCAAATCAGTGGTTGCCTGGGGATGGGAAGAGGTAAAGAGACACAGACAGAGGGAAGTCAGCGAGGGAGGAGCACCGCCATCATCTTCTGTGTGATCGCGTTGCCATGACCCCATCAGTCACTCACCAAATCGTACACTTGGAATATTGCATATCCATTACACCTCAGCAAGGCTGTTTTTAAAAAGACACAAATGCCGAGATAATTACAGAAAAAAAGTCCAATTAGTTTTGTTAGGATGGTGGAATCATGAAAGGCATCTCCTAGGTCCTCCAATGTTGTTCTTTTTCAAGATTCTTTTGGCTACTCTAGGTCACCCACATCTCCAAACACATTTTAGAACCAGCTGGTTAATTTCTTCAAAAAAGCAAGTTAGAATTTTGATTGAGATTGCATTGAATCTGTATGTCAATTTATGAAGAACTGACATCTCATTAATATTGAGCCTTTCAGTCATAAACATACACACTCCTCTGCTTGTCTAGACTTTCAAAAGTTTCTCACAGCAATGGATTCTAGGTTTTCGGTGCACAAGTCTCGGATACGGTTTATCCCCAAGCATTTTGTTTCGGATGCTATTGTAAGTGAAATTATTTTAGGTTTTATTTTAGAATTGTTTGCTGCCAGTACATAGAAATACAATTGGTTTTCATCAGATCCCATGGCCTTGCTAAATTCATTTATAAATTCTAGTAGTTTTTTTTGTAAATTCCTCAAGATTTTCTACAAACATGAAATCTACCAAGAAAAATCTTGTCATCAATATTTCAATTTTTTTGAAGCCTCCTGCTCTGTAGCCAGACCATTCGCCACTGCCTATGACTACATTTAGGGCCATCCTCTGGCCATCCCTCCTTGGCTAGATGATGAACCTGATGCATGGTTTGAATATGTGCCCACTGGGAAGCTTTCTTTCACTGGTCTTTCACAGAAGGCCATGATGACACAGCCTTTCACTTTCTGGTGGGGGCAGTGTGCTGTGTATAGACACATGTAATCCAGGCCCCAACGCATGCATTTTCTCCGTTCAATGTCATAAGAAACTCTCATGTAGCCAGAGGTCTGGGTTAAGGAAGCGGTCTCCATGCAGCAAGAGTGGGTGCTTGTTCATGGAACTTACCGCGCCTTCCAGACCTGCTCAAGCCTTGTGTCGTAAACATTCCACCTGAGGACGGCAGGATGCTGTCTACACAACCTCTGTGGGTCCGATAACAAATAGCTTCTGCTGGGCCGCTCAGCTTCTATGGTAACAGAGCTCCCTGAGTTTCTGCTATGGCTCAGGGCTGCTCTTACTCAAAAGGAGAGGACGTATTTTCAGGAGAGCGTTCAGCTCTTATTCAACTGTTATTTTCTGCGCTGCCTACAACATCTCCGTCTGCCACAGACCCTCCAATTCCCACTGGTTCTGCCAGATCAGTGTTCTCAAAGTGTGGTTCCTGGGCCAGCAGTGTCAGTGTCACCTGAGAACTTTCTAGAAACGCAGGTCCTCAGGTCCCACCTCAGACCTACTGAACCTGCGTCTCTAAGGATGGAGCGAGGTGATCTGTGCCTCCTATGCATGTAAAGGTTTATGTAGGTGACTGTGATGCCAGCTAAAGTCGGAGAACAACACCAGATTGTGTGGCCTCCTGGGGCAGCAGTTTGCCCATCCAGACCAGCAGCAGAATCTTTCTTACTCTGGGCCCTACTCAAAACCAAACGCTTTATGAAGAACACAAAACAGGCCAGAGAAGCATCCCCGAGTGTCTTGCACCTCACCTTGCAAACCGGAAGAGCCTCACCAGGTATGATACTTCTTTCTTAGTGGTAGTCTTGCTTGCCAGAGACAGCGTGTTTTCTTTCATTTTGGATATATATTTTGACCAATCAGACCAATGGACCCACAGAAAGTTCACCAAGGTGGCAGGTTTTGAAAATGTGTTATTTTCTCTTTCAATTTTTAGCAAGCACGTGTCTTACCAAGGCATCTTGGCATTTTTCATTTTTTGCTCCCCAGGTTGATTCAGCCTGATGTCATCAGTGTGGCAGACCACTGTGACATGCTGTGCAGTGGCAAGACCATCAAGATGTCTGTGACTAAAACCAGCAGTGAGCCGGAAAATGATACAGCTCTGAGAGAAGACATTGGAAGTGTACTGCTGTCCCTGCCATGCGAGAGGAAACTATCTTCCTCCTGAGGTGGCCCCCGGGGAGGGCACAGGGGTGCAGCAGTGAGCAGGGCCTCCTGCCTGGAGCCAGCGCCTTCCATCATTCTCAGAACCTGGACAGACAAGGTCTGGGATCTGACCTCCCACACCCCTGGACAAAAGCCACTCCTGCCTACTGGTCCCCTCACCCTTGCCCTCCCCAAGCCCCCTACCCCCAGGGCCTTCCCAGCACCAGTGAGAGGTCAGGGTCTTTAAAGTCTGAGCTGGGCTCCCTGGGACTTCCTCTGAAAGCACACAGGACACCCTCAATATAGTAAATACGCAGGCAGGTAAATGACTGTCATCTCACTGCCACTGTCCTTGTCCCCTCTCAGATACAGCACTCATGGGGGGAGCATCCACGCTGTCTTCCAAATCAGGCGAGACACGGCGCAACATCCAGCACTGAGGGCCTCCCAGGAGGCAGCACCCAAGGAGGGGGGGACCCGTGGGGCAAGGTTGCTTTGGAGACAGCAGTCAGTGGCCAGGGGCTCCTTGTGGGCTCTGCAGCTGCGGTCCCAGCCAGTGGGGAGAGGTGCCGAGCATGGGCAGGAAGTGCAGAGGCAGGGGGGCTCCACCTGCCTGCACCCAACGCCCTGAGCCCACAGCAGCCATAGCAGCAACCACAATGATAATAAAGCCGACTTGGCATTTAGGGCAAAGTTCCAAGCATGCAAAGGTCGGCCGTTTGATCAGGTCTGATCAGCTCATAACCACACTGCTTCTACCTGCACAGTTCACGGAGCATTCCTGTTGTGGGAGGATGGAGACCCATGGGTCTGGCAGCTGCGCTTTCTCTGTGTCATCCATGAGCCCAACTCCCGCAGTTAGTTTGTTCTTAGAGCACCCAAAGCTCCTTTATCCTAATTCATGTGGTTGGAAGTCGGGGTTGAGGCAGGGGTGGAGGAATGCTCTTTGTCTTGGCAGAGTGCAGGTTACATGCGTGTGATCACTCAGTGGCCCCTCCTGAGTGTGGCAGGTGCATTCTCTGTGTGCTACTGGTCAGTAAGGATGTGGCTGCCTGGATCTGTGTGACCTCTAGTCCCTGCACCTTCCTGCCTGTACCCTGTTAGCTTTGGGTCACAATTCTGCGCTCCTGCAGCGCTTGCAATCCCTTCCCAAACGCTGTTTGCCTGTGTGTTGTTTTGTTTCGAGACAGGGTCTCATCCTGTGGCCCATGGCGCAATCTCAGCTCACTACAACCTCCACCTCCCAGCTTCAAGCTATTCTCCCACCTCTGCCTCCCCAGTAGCTGGGACTACAGGTGTGGGCCACCATGCCTGGCTAATTTTTTTTTTCAAAGTCAGGGTTTTGCCATGTGGCCCAGGCTGGTCTCAAACTCCTGGCCTCAAGAGATCCTCCTTCCTCGGCCTCCCAGAGTGCTGGGATTACAAGCGTGAGCCCTCACTCCTGGCCTGTGTATTTTTAATATACCTGAACATCCATTCTCTCTGTGTGTTTTATTTAACAGCCTCCCTTAGTCACCTGCAAAGTCTTTTCCTTGGGAGACTGTTTCCTCAACCCTGCTGCTCTGGGGCCAAGCCCTGGCTCACTCCTTTTTATTGAAACCTGTGCCATGGAGATAATAGGGGTAGAGAGATCCCTTCTGTGGCAGCCACTGACACACTACAGCTTCGAGGTGGCACATCCCCCTCTCCTGAAGTCCCCTCACCTCCCTGGCGATGAAGTCCCACCCCTGATGGGAGGTGGTGTCAGGAGGCCTTCAGGTGGTCAGGCCAGGAGGGCTCCACCCTGAGGAATGGGACCAGTGCCCTCATAAAACAGACCCCGGAGAGCTCTCCCCAGCCCCTAGCGTGGGGAGATACAGGGAGAGAACTGTCTGCAACCCCGAAGCGGCCCTCACCAGACACAGAGTCGGCCAGGCCTTGGCCTCGGGACACCGGAACCGTTAGAACTGAAGGCTTCTGTGTGAGCCCCCAGGCTGTGGAGTTTTTTGTCATGGCAGCCCCAGGGGGTCACTAGGCTCCCACTTGATTCCAACTCAGCGTGAAGTCACAGCCCTGAGTGCCTTCTGCCTGGGTGCCAGCCCCGGAGCCGGGGAGCGGGGGAGCGGGGGGCGGGGAGGGGAGTGGTGGTGTGCGGGGAGTGCGGGGCGGGCGCAGGGGGTGGGGCACCGCGCTGCGGGCGGGTACTGCGGAGTCAGGCACCAAGGGTCCCTGCCTCCCTCACTGCTGAGCGCGGGCTGCAGGCTGGAATGGCTGGAGAGCCCCAGGGCTCGCCTGGACGCCCAGGGCAGGGTGCTCACGGGAGCATCGAGGGTACACGGGGAGGAACGCCGGGGTTCGGGCGACCC
This sequence comes from Homo sapiens, assembly GCF_000001405.40. NCBI lineage: Eukaryota > Metazoa > Chordata > Mammalia > Primates > Hominidae > Homo > Homo sapiens. The sequence goes on along the minus strand of NC_000005.10, from coordinate 1,446,354 downwards.
TAGGGGCGACGCACAGAGCTGGGCGCGGCCACTCACCTCGGTGCCTTCTAAGGACCTGGACATCCTGGGCCTTGGCGGCCTGGGGGCTCCATTCCTCCGCGCGCTGAATGGAAGAAATCCCGCCCGGGCATCTCGGAAGGAAAGCCTCGGAGTCCATTCGGCCCTGGAGCCGGATACCAACCGCCAGGGCTTTCCAGGCCCGTCCCGGGAAATGGTTTTCTTAGGCGAGTGCGAGGCGGGCCCCTCGGTTCCGATGCAGGCGCACTAGATGCCGGCAAGGCGGGGACTAGGCCTAGGGGACCTCGGTCGCCTCGAGGTCGCGGAGACCCCAAGGCCACGGAAGGACCCGCGTCTCCGCAGCCCGCACGCCGGGAAGCGTGCAGAGTCCTCGGCGGGGTCCCGAGCCCGCTGGTCAGAGCGTGGAGCGGCGGGGTGGGAGGGACGTGGTCCCCAGAGCGCGGGGCCACCGTAGGGGCCCCTGATGGGGAGGGAGGGAAGGGTCGGCCCGACGGGGTCCCAGCAGTTCCCCGCGCGCAGCCGCTCGGCTCCCTCCCCGTCCAGCTGGGAGCCGCCAGCCCTGGGCGTCCGAAGATAGCGGGTGCCCGGGGCAGCCCCCAGGGGTGCGGGCGAGGGCGCAGGGCGGCCCAGACAGTTCCCGCGTGGAAGGCGCCCGTCTAGATCCGCGACGTCTCGGACCCCCAGGCCCCCGCACCCCGTGTCCGAGGCTCCGGGACGCGCAGGACAGTGGAGCCGTGGCCGCCGCTTGCTCCCAGCCATCTGCGTCCGGGAGGCGGGGGCGGGGGCGCGGCCCGGGGAGGTGAGGAGGAGGAGCCAGGACGCGAGGGCGACCCCGTCGGCGGGAGGGCGGGGCGGGGCGGACCCTGTCTACTGGATAAGAGCCCGAGGCCGAGGCTGAGACCGCCCAGCGCTGCGGAGCGGGAGGGGAGGCTTCGCGGAACGCTCTCGGCGCCAGGACTCGCGTGCAAAGCCCAGGCCCGGGCGGCCAGGTGAGGCCAGCGTCGCTCGCGGCATCGGGGCGCCCCGCTCCTTCCGCAGACCCCGAAGTGGGGCGCAGGGGCGGGGGCCGGGGACCGGGCACAGTCTGGGGTCCCCGCGTCCCGCAGACCGCGCCGTCTCCAAAGTCGCCAACAGTCGCGGGTGCCGAGCGCCCCCCGATAGCGCCACATGGGACCCTGAGGCCGTCCGAGGCGCGAGGAGGGTGCAGGGCTGCCCCTGGCCCCGCTCCAGGCTCAGAACCGGGTGGGCACCTGGTGCAGTCACCGGCTTAGGGGACGCGTGGGTGTCTATGGCTGTGACTCGGGGGTCCTGGTTTCTTCTCGTGGAACTTAACCCTACTAGGGGTGCGGCGCATCCCAGATCCGATCGGAGTGGGTTTTGTACACCGCCGCTCCATCTCGCGGGGGCTTTGTCTGTGTTGGGGGTGGTGGCGGGCGCGGGCTGCGCGCTGGTGCTCTGGGCAGGGCGGGGAGGCCGGGCGAGGACTCGCCAGGCAGCGCCGCTTCTTGTTCTGGGCGCGGTGAGGAAGGACGCTTTCTAACGGGCCACATTTTGCTGTGTAGACCCAAAACTCGCCTCTGAGGCCCCGCGTTCAGGAGCGGGGTCAGGTGGCCCCAGGGCGGCGGCGGCTTGCCGGAGACTCGCGAGCTCCGCACCCGACGCCCTCTCCCAACGCGGCCTCCTGCTCGCGCCGCGGAACCCCTTCGTCGGGTGTTTTACCCACCGGAGGGGTCGTGCCGGTTGAGGTTGTCACCGGGTGCGTGGCATAGCTCGTGATAGCTCATGGGTGAGGTTTTGTGCAAACTTGGATGCAGGGAAAGTTGCCTGTTAGAGCCTCCACCTGCGACCTGCTTCAGTCGTTGTGTGTGTGTGCGCACCTGTGTGAGTGTGAGTGTGTATGTGTGTAAGTGTATGTGCTCGCCTGTGTGTGTGTGAGTGTGTATGTGTGTTTGTGAGTCTGTGTGTGTCTGTGTGTCTGTGTGTGCGTGCGCTCGACTGAAACACGCTGCTGCTGGATCCAAATGACAGAAGTCGCCCTGGCTGGGGCGGTGTAGACGCTCCTGCTCTCCTGCTCAGCGTTGCAGGGGGGTTTATGTAGCCGTTTGGACAGGATTTCCCGGGTTACCCTGCTGGCCCAGGAGCTAGTTCCCGCGATGAAGCCCTGTCCATCCTCCGCCCAGCTCTCTCACGCGGGGTGGTGCCACCTGCCCTAGGTGGATGTGGCTTGTACAGACACTTTTTGAGGAAGCAGTTGTGATGGTTATGTCTAAACTCTCTTTACAGTGGCTGATTTTGCTTATATAAATTTTGCTCTTTATTACTGAGTATAAACAATACAAGCCCAGGCTTGGTGGCTCATGCCTGTCATCTCAGCACTTTGGGAGGCTGAGGCAGGAGGATCGCTTGAGACCAGGAGTTCAAAACCAGCCTTGGCAACAATAGTCAGACCCTGTCTCTACAAAAAAACAACAACAACAACAAAAAAACACACACAAAAATAACTTAGCCGGTGCTGTGGTGCACACCTGTAGTCTCAGCTGCTCAGGAGGCTGAGGTGCAAGGATCACTTGAACCTAGGAGGTTGAGGCAGTGAGTTGTAATCACAACTGTATTCCATCCTGGGTGACAGAGCGAGACCTCATGTTAAAAAAGAAAAAAAAAAGAAAAAAGAATACAGATGAACAGTCATGAAGACATTATTGAATGCTCTTAGAAGATTGTAAAATTGCTCTCTGGAAGTGTGGGGGAAGGTGGAAGTGATATCCATGCATTGTTAGTAGAAAGCCACGCTAGAGCTCACACAGCCTTGCACTTTGATAGGAGTGGGGAGGGGTGCAGGGGAAGGAGGAGCAAACCAGAGTGTCTGTCTTGAGGCCTCCATGGGCCAGTGCCCCAGCCCTGTGGTGAGGGCTGGCACTTCCCAGCTCCCGTGCCCCAGCTGTACCATCTCAGGCGCTGAGAACGCACCCATCCCTTCCCAGAGGAATGCCCGTGAATGCCTCGGGGCTCTGCCCTCCGCACCAGGTATGTCCCTAGCCCTGGCTGCTGAATTGTTGCGTTCCTGTTGTGTGTTTATTTTTCATATTGGCTGAAGACCAAGAGGGAAGAAGCACAGAATTCCTCAACTCCCAGTGTGCCCATGAGTAAGAGCAAATGCTCCGTGGGACTCATGTCTTCCGTGGTGGCCCCGGCTAAGGAGCCCAATGCCGTGGGCCCGAAGGAGGTGGAGCTCATCCTTGTCAAGGAGCAGAACGGAGTGCAGCTCACCAGCTCCACCCTCACCAACCCGCGGCAGAGCCCCGTGGAGGCCCAGGATCGGGAGACCTGGGGCAAGAAGATCGACTTTCTCCTGTCCGTCATTGGCTTTGCTGTGGACCTGGCCAACGTCTGGCGGTTCCCCTACCTGTGCTACAAAAATGGTGGCGGTAAGTCCCATCTCAGCCTCCCTGAGCATGCTGGCCGGGCGGGGGTCGTAGGGGCAGCCGGGGCCAAGGCACGTACGGAAACGAGATGAAGCTGTTCCCATGCGTGAAGACGGAGCTCCCTGTGAGAGCTCACGGCCGGTGCAGATCCTCCCAGAGGATGTCACAAAACCATTGAGCAGGACTCGGAGCTGCCTTGTCCCACGCCTGCATTTCAGAGTTTAGGAAAGGGAGGCCCGCGAAGAAGCTGGGGGGTGGGGGGCGGCAGACGGGGCAGCTTGGCTCTGCCTCCTGTTTCCAGAGGCTATCTTCGCTTTGGAAAGAAAATTCTCAAAGGTCCAAAGAACAGCCTGCGGCTGACTTTGGCAGCCTTTGCAAAGCATGTGGAGGCCCTGGAGCCTGGAGTGGCAGAGGAGGCCCCTGGAAAGTGACTGTGTCCCCTGCACCCTCCAGAACCCAGCCACAGAGCCAGAAAGCGAAGATCGAGGCAGGGCCACCGGGGACGTCCAAGAACATTGGTGATCCCTTCCCAGGAGCCTCTTTGGGCCTCCCAGCCTCCCTGCCTGGCCTCCCTCATTGGCCTCTATGCTAGGTCTGGGAAGGGAGGCCTGGGGAAGAATCTGGGGGGAAGCCTCACAGGATGCCTGCGAGGAGGCTGGCATTTTTATGCCCATCTTGAAGAGGGGAAGACAGAGGCCTCAGCAGGTACAGGAAGTTGCCCAAAGACAGAGCTGAGGGGCCCCATGCCTCCCCCTCCCCTTCCCCAGGAGAGAGAGTGGCAAAGCTCTCCCTCACTCCAGTCAGACCAGGGGAGCAGAGGGAATTTAGGAGGTTGAGACCAGGGTTCCCTGGGCTTTGTGCTGGGGGTGGGGGAGGTGCAGGTTTCAGAGGAACTAGGCCTTACCCTGGAGGGGCTCCCAGCACCTGGGGCAGCAAAGACCCTCAGCCACAGTCAATAGGGGCAGCCTCTGAGGGCCCCAGAAGCTGGGGACAGGACGGCAGGGCCCACTCAGCTCAGGGGCAGAGTTGGGGGGTCACAGATTCACAACTCAAGAGGCAAAGAGGATCAGGGCAAAGTGGGGGGACGCAGGCCAGGGAAGGGCACCCCGAACCACCACGGGGAAGGATAGTACCTAGAGCACCGCTGAGCATGGGCAGGGCCTCCCTGTGCTGCTCTTGGGTTTGACTTCATGGCTCGAGGTGCGCAATGACAAGGGGATCCAGGAGGGACGTGTCAGGCACTGACAGCAGTGGAGGGCGGGCTTCGGGACTCATCTACCCTAGCCTGGGACTTCCCGTTGGAGAGTGGGGTGAAACGGTCGGGCCAGGACATGGATGGTTGACTGGGGTAGCCGCCCAAGCTCCCACGAGGAGAGATGGGCCCTTCCGAGGCCCCAAACTAAAGGTGCTTTTCTGCCCCACAGGTGCCTTCCTGGTCCCCTACCTGCTCTTCATGGTCATTGCTGGGATGCCACTTTTCTACATGGAGCTGGCCCTCGGCCAGTTCAACAGGGAAGGGGCCGCTGGTGTCTGGAAGATCTGCCCCATACTGAAAGGTAATATGCGGGTGCCTCCCTTCACCCTGGCGCAGCGCGGATCATGGTGGTGACGCTGGAGCTTTCAAAGCAAGCCAGCCGCATCATGGGCATCCAGCCCTGCTTTGCTAAGACACAGGCATGGCACACGCCACTTGAACTTGGGTCCCACCTTAAAGATCTGCAGTGACAAGGACTGGATAGTTCATTCCCTTGCTCTAGGTGAGGGTCCTGCAATTCATTTGTGGTGTTACTTTGTCAAGATGCTAAAATGTAGTTAAGATAAAACACATGTCTATCTATGGATCTGCCATCTACCTATCATCCATCGGTCCATCCGTCAATCATCTGTTATCTATCTATCCATTATCTATCTTTATTATTGGTCTTTATATCAATCATTCACCCATCTATCTACCTATCTACCTAATCCATCCATCTATCATCATCATCTATCTGTATCTGTTTCCTGTGGCTGCTGTAACAAATGACACAAACTGGGAGGCTTAAAAGGCACACGTTTATTGTCTCACAGCTCTGGAGGCTGGAAGTCCAAGATCAAGGTGTCTGTAGGGTTGATTTCTTCTGAGGCTGTGAGGAAGCATCTGTTCTAGCCTCTCTCCTTGTCTCAGAGATTGTCTTCTCCCTGTGCCTCTTTATACTTCTTGCTTCTATGCATATCTCTGTAACCAAATTCCCCGTTTTTATGAGGCCAGAAGTCCTGTTGGATTAGGGACACCCTAATGACCTCACTTTAACTTGATCACCTCTGTAAAGACCTTGTCTCTAAATAAAGTCACATTCTGAGGTTTGCGGGGTTAGAACTTCAACAGATGAACTTGGGGGAGGGACACATCCCACAATTCTATCTATCTATTATCTGTCAATCATCTATTCACCCGTCTGTCATCTACCCATTCATCCATCTATTTTCTTTTGATCCATCCACCTATCAATCCATTCATCCACCCATCCAGTCATCCATCCATTCATCTATCTATGGATCTATCATCCATCCATCCATCCATCCATCCATTATCTATTGATCCATCCATCTACCTATCGATCCATCTATCTATCCATCCATCCATTCATTCATCCATTCATCTATCTATGGATCTATCCATCCATCCATCTTCTATCTATTCATCTATCCATTCATCCATCTGTTATCCATTGTTCCATCCATCCATCCATTCATCTATGTATGGATTAATCCATCCATCCACCTATCGACCTATCCACCTATCTACTAGCTATTGATCCATCTAGTTGTCACTGAACCTTTCCGGCTGCTGATGTCCTGCTCTGGCACCATGAAATGGACACACCTCGTGTTGAGTGCAGGTGGCCTGCCCAGCACCAAGCCCTCTCCCAGCATTTCTGACTCCATCTTCATGAGACCCTGGGAAGGGCACACACTAGGTCTCTGTGTTGGAGATGCAGATGCTGAGGACCAGAGGGCCGGGGTCGTTCCCCCTGGTGTCCCCATCAGAGCAGAGTGGGATTTGATCCCAGACGTTTCTGACTCCCCAATCCCTGCACGCAGGTCACACTTGCCCAGTGGGCCAAAGCCACCTCTCAGGGGCTGGTGGTTCAGGGAGGATTCAGGCATTTACTCAGAGGCACCACTCAGAAAATTGGCATTAAGAAAATGACTACTAGAAGGTCAGCCTCTGGATACTCATAGAAGTTCTGGAAAAGCTGTGTGTTTAGAAGACAGCCGAGCCCAGCACGGCCCCAGGACGCATTACCAATGGGTCAGGGGTGGGCCTTCAGAGGCGAGCCGCTGACCTCCCTTAGGAGAGGGAACAGATGGCATTTCACAGCTGCTGAGGTCAGGCTCCAGGAGGAGAAGTCAGTCTCGCAGCCGTGGAAATGCTGAGACTGGACAGGTGTGATGGTTCTTCCCAGGCACGAGACTCATTCGTTCTTAATGGGCTGCTTAGTGAATCTTATGACTTCAGTAATTTCTTCCTGGGCTCCACATTCACTGGACTGCACTGAAATGGAGCTACAAAAAGAGGCCTCCCTCCCCACCCCCACCCCCACCCCCACCCCACACACATCTTCAGAGTGAGAGACAGATGCTTTGGGCATGCACTGGTGCCAGACGACCCCTTGGCGGGATCTGCAGGTAGAAGTCAAACCGTACAAGAATTGCTCAGAACATGCCTCCGTCCCCGTCGTCAGGTCCCTGATATCAGGTCCCCAATGGAAGAATGCAGCAGCCAACGGAAGACCCAGGCCTGTTGTTACAGACAGACAGGGGCGCGTGTCAAATCCGGCGTTGCAGTGAACCCAGGCTAACAGTTCAAGACACACGCGTTACCTGTGTCCTGCCTGGCCCTGGCCAGCGGCACGGACGTGTTTCAGAGAGGAGTGCTGCCTCTGAGCCTGCAGTCGTAAGCGATGCTGAGCTTGCACCGTGGTCCGTGTTGGAGAGTATCTGAGGGCTCAGAGCCTTGGGATGCTGAGTCAGAGATGAAGCCGGCCCACTGGGGTAGGGGAAACTGAGGAAAGATGACATTGTGCTCTGGCACAGGCTGCAGCGACATCCAACTGTGCTTTGCTGGATTTTCAAGAGCCACCCTGGAGTCTGTCACAAGTGTCTTACAAGGCACAGCCCTGTGCCCCACTCCCGCCAGTGAGCCTGGTGTTGGAGCAAGTTAAATCACCTCTTCACGTGCAGGATTCAGGTGAGGAGGGCAGGAGAAAAAGGGACCTGTAGGTCCGCAGATAAGAGCTCATTTCCTTCCGTCTGTCACACAGAAAGGATGTTCACCAACAAAGCTGCCGTTGTGGGTCTTCATGGTGTAGTCCATAAAATGTCAAGAAGCAATTTCTAAGAATTTCAGAGCACCAACTCAACTTGGGCTAGTAGAGAACCTCTGACTTCCATCAGCGTGAGCAGTGGCACCTCGTTCTGAAGAAATGCAGCCGGCGGATGTGGGCATATCATCGTGTTCTCCACAATGCGCAGCCGGGGTAAGCTGGGCAGTCGTCTCCTCTGTGTCACAGACCCTGTGCCCACAATCCCGCATTCCATGCCGCCAGCTTCGTTCTGAAGACTAGTCCCAGAGGAGGGCTGCAAAGTGTGGCCGCAGGAAGGAAGGCTCGTGGCCCTGCGGGCGGATCTTTGGAAGAGCTTGTTCACACTCACCTAGTCCTGGTGAGGAAGGAAAATTGCAAATCACAGAAAGTGAACTGTTCGACCCACGAAGGGATAGATGAATCAGTGCAAGAAAGCTGGACTTCTTTTTAGAGACGAGACACCTTGAGTTGTTGAATCTCAGTAACGCTGCAGGTTCCGGTGCCAGCGTCCCGTTTGTTCTGCCTACCTGTCAAGCGCAGGATGCCAGTTTAGAGGAGACTGACATTGCTTATGAAATCAGATGTACACCATGCACCCCCGGCACCCTGATACATGTGCCTTTGTCCTTTTTAAAAATCTGGTTAATAAAAATGCATACGTTTTCATGTCTCATTGAATAGAAGTGCCACGTGGTAAATTAAGACATCAGCTAAAGTGCCCACAACAATCATTGTGGAGCTAAAAGGCCATCCAGCCCTGAGCAGGTGGCAATTCCATGGGGGAATGAAGCCAGCTCTCCAGGAAGCCTGGTTGTTCCTGGCCCTTCCCCTCCTGCAGACCTGCGAGCTGCTCCCTGCTCCTAACTGGGAGCCAAGATCCACCCTTGAAAGCCAGAGGGCGGAGTTCATGGTGAGGCCCAGCTGCTCAGCAGCCATGACTCACGTGCATTTCCCGTAGTCTCACCAGAGCAGCTTGGGATGGGCACCACAGCCAGAGGGGCCTCTGGGGCCTTCAGCCCCGCAGTGCACCCCAGGGTCCTGAGAGGTGGGTCTTTAAAACTCTCCGTCTCCTCCCTTCCCCTCGCTCTCTTTCCCTCTCCCTGTGTCTCTTTCTGTCTCTCTCCCTCCTTTCCTCTCTGTGTCTCTCCTGTTCTGTCTCTTCTCCTCTCTGTCTCTCTCCTGTTCTGTCTCTTCTCCTCTCTGTCTCTCGGGTACATGCACACACAGCAAGCACATACTAAAGACACCCAGACTGACACAGAGAGGCGTCCTCTCCCCTCTTTCTTTTCTTTTCTTTTCTTTTTTTTTTTTTTTGTGAGACGGAATCTCGCTCTGTCACCAGGCTGGAGTGCAAAGGCGCGATCTTGGCTCACTGTCACCTGCGCGTCCCGGGTTCAAGCGATTCTCCTGCCCCAGCCTCCCGAGTAGCTGGGGCTACAGGTGCGTGCCACCACGCCCCGCTAATTTTTTGTATTTTTAGTAGAGACGGGGTTTCATCGTGTTAGCCAGGATGGTCTCGATTGCCTGACCTCATGATCCGCCTGCCTTGGCCTCCCAAAGTGCTGGGATTACAGGAGTGAGCCACCGTGCCCGGCCCTCTCCCGTCTTTCTTCCAAAGACCTGCTTGATGCCTCCTGTGAGGTATGGAGGGGCTGCTCCACCAGAGGCTTCCTCCAGCGGGATCCGTGCATGCGTTGACAACACCCTCTCCTGAAGCCAGCTCTCGTGGGTGCCCTGGGGTGTACTGGTGTTCAGGGGTGGGGCAGGGTGGCCGTGCTCTGGTGGGCGAAGCACCATTTGCAGGCACGACCCTCAGCCAGCTTCTGTTTGTCAGGTTTCGGTTTCATTGCCAAGGGCAACCCCATTTTACAGACGCCCTGGAAACCCCACCATTCGATTGTATTGAATATAAAATATTTTATAGTCAGTCATATTTTAGTGTGATTTCTCAAACACAAAACAAACTACACACAAGGTTAATATAAAGAAAAAGATACTAAGCAAAAATAAATTTAAGGAAATGGGCCTTAAAAGCTATGCTTGAAATTCACACTTAGCGCCGAGCTTCCTGGGAGTCAGACAGGAGGGAAGGGAAGCGCCATGTTCTCATGAATGTTTTCCCTGGAAACGCGAGCAGGGACTTTGCCTGCCACCTCCTTGGGGAGACAGTCTCCCGTGTCACTAAATGGTGTTTAAGAAATGTGTCAGGTGAAGCTTCATCTGGAGCCCACAGTGATGTCATGAGCAGAGATCACTAGAAGGTTCTGTAGCCAACAGGGTAGTGGGTTTCCTGCGTCTGGGCCTTCGGTGAGCTTGAGGAGCTCGTGGTGAAGTTGGCTGGTTGGTGAGGGGCTACACGTCAGTGGCCCAGGTCACGGGCTCTGCCTTCCTGAAGGGCAGGGCTTGGAGCAACCGAATGCCTGGCCAGTGCTGACAGTGGCCACTACCGTTCAAGGGAGCCATTTCCTCACCCAGGTGCCCAGGGAAGCATCCAGGAGGGGACTGGCCACCACCGTTCAAGGGAGCCATTTCCTCACCCAGGTGCCCAGGGAAGCATCCAGGAGGGGACTGGCCACCACTGTTCAAGGGAGCCATTTCCTCACCGAGGTGCCCAGGGAAGCATCCAGGAGGGGACTGGCCACCACCGTTCAAGGCTGTTTCCTCACCCAGGTGCCCAGGGAAGCATCCAGGAGGGGACTGGCCACCACCGTTCAAGGGAGCCATTTCCTCACCCAGGTGCCCAGGGAAGCATCCAGGAGGGGACTGGCCACCACCGTTCAAGGGAGCCATTTCCTCACCCAGGTGCCCAGGGAAGCATCCAGGAGGGGACTGGCCACCACTGTTCAAGGGAGCCATTTCCTCACCCAGGTGCCCAGGGAAGCATCCTCAACCAGGAGGGGTCCTCTTGGTAAGGGGGACTCTGGTGTGGGGGCTGCACTGTCCCATGGATCAGAGCAGGCCCATTTGCTCTGGGAGCCGCATCAGCCAGTGTGGCCAGTGGTGATGTCATGCACAGTGGCCATGGTGATGTCATGCTCCCATGGTGGCCCTGCCAATCTGTGGTGCAGGGCAGGAAACAAAAGCAGTGGCTCTGGAAGGACCCAGGGTACACTCAGCCCTTCCTTCGGACTCTGGATTGGGATCCACTCTGGTGTTGTTTGATCAAGGACTTCCCAGGGTTTCAAGCTAAGGACTTGATACAGAAAGTTTTAACCTTGAAAAATTTTCAAATTGGGCATCCATTGTCAGTTACCACCATGGAAAACCCTCCACAGTGCTCTCTGGAAACAATGTGGCTCACCGACAGTGTGGCTCCCAACCTGGCTGCCTGGGTGAGTTCACTGTGGATCACAACCCAGCCTCTCTCCTAAGGGACTCCGGACAGACGGTAATATAGAATTATTTAATATGGACCAGATCCACGTGGGAGAAGGCCTTCCAAAGGCAATCCGTGACAGACTGCAATACAGAATTATTTAATATGGACCAGATCCATATGGGAGAAGGCTTTTCAAAGGCAATCCATGACAGACTGCAATACAGAATTATTTAATATGGACCAGATCCACATAGGAGAAGACCTTCCAAAGGCAGCAGCTTGGCTTTCATCGTCACCACTACTGAGCATGCTTTCCAAGGGGGATTACCCGCACTCCTGATCTTAGATTTGTTTAAAACAAAGTTTTGAGTCTTCTTTTTGCTTTCAAGGTAGGAAGAGAACTTTACTGAGGTGCCCTGAGCATGAGAACAGCTTCTCCTAAGGATTGAGACTATAAAAAGCAACCCAGGCCACCCCCTGCAAAAGTCACCTTGAAGGTATGCTCCTACCCCGGCCATGAACAGGCAAGACGGCATGGTGCCTACTGGGTTTTAATAAAGTAAATCAAAGTTGTACCCAAACTAATCATGTCAGTAAACTGAGAAGAAATGTGGAAATGAAAAAAATTCTTCCTGGAGCTTAGTAAAGTGAACCCCAGTAGCAAGAACGTGATGGTGCCCATCCAGCAGTGAACAAGGAGGAAGTCATCTGACCACCAGGCCCATCTGCCCACCAGTCAGGCTGACACCACTCCAAAGACTGCTGACCACTGAGTTCTGTTCCAGTTTACCAGGAGACCCCATAAATGATGGATCCCAAATTCCAGGTCTGTGATCCTGGAAAGGACACTCTAAAAGACCGTGGATGGCATTGCATGGCCATGGATGGCCCTGGCTGGTCCTTGATGGTCTTGCATGGCCCTGGAAGGCCTCGGAAGGTCAAACATGGCTCTGAGTAGTCCTTCATAGTCATGCAAGGCTCTGGGTGGCCCAAGGAAGCCCTGGATGATCTTACCTGCCCTGGGTGGACCCTGGTGGTCTTACGTGGCCCTGGGTGATTCTAGGAAACCCTGGATGGTCATGCATGGGTAGTGTGACCTTGGATGGCTCCACATGGCTGTAAATGAGCTCAGATGACTCTTCTGAGTAGTCTTGCAGGAGAGGCATGAGCAGCTATAGATGGCCACAGATGGCCATAGATGGCTATGGATGGCTCTGGATGGCCATGGGTGGCTGTGGATGGCCATGGGTGGCCGTAGATAGTTATGGGCAAATGCAGATGGCTGTGGATGGCTGTGGATGTCTGTAGATGGCTGTGGATGGTTTTGAATGGCAATGGATTGTTGTGGATGGCCGGGTGGATGTGGGAGGTTGTGGACAGCCATGGATGACTATGGATGGCTGTGGATGGATGTGGATGGTTGTGGTTGGGTGTGGATGGTTGTGGATGGTTGTGGATGGATGGATGGTTGTGGATGGCCGTGGATGGATGTGGGTGGCCATGAATGGTTGTGGATGGCTATGGATGACCATGGATAGTTGTGGATGTCTGTAGATGGCTGTGGATGGTTGTGAATGACAGTGGATTGTTGTGGATGGCCAGGGGTGGATGTGGATGGCCATGGATGACTGTGGATGGCTGTGGATGGATGGATGGTTGTGGATGGCTGCGGATGGATGTGGATGGCCGTGGATGGCCATGAATGGTTGAGGATGGCTATAGCTGACCGTGGATAGTTGTGGATGAATGGAGATGGCTGTGGATGGCCATGGATGGCCCTTTGCGACTCAAAGTGGCCCTGGATTAGCCTGGGTGGCCATATGTGGTCCTGGGTGCCCTCCATAGTCCTGAATGAGCCTGGTGGCTGTGGATGGCTGTCAAGGACCCCAGGTGTCCCTTAGTGACTATTGGCAGTCTTGATGGCTCTGGGAGACACTGGGTGTTCCTGGGTAACCCTAGACGACCTTTGATGGCCCTATTTGCATGGGCTCCCTAGGTAGCCCTGGGTGCTTCTGGGTGGCCGTGGATGATTCTGATGGTTTCACATGGGCCTGATAGCCCTGGTTAACCATGAGTTGGGTTGCCCTGGGTCACCCAGAGTACCCCCTAGATGGCCTCAATGATCCTGGATGACTCTTATGGATCCTGAGTGGCTGTGGTGGGGATGGATGACCATATGTGGCTGGGGGTGACCTTGGTGTCCCTGGGGGTCTCTGGGTGCATAAGGGTGGCCCTGGATACTCGCCATAGCTCTGGGTGACCTTGCTGGCTCTGGATGTCTCTCAGAGACACCCTGAAAGTCCTTGTGTAGGAGTGCATGGTTTTGGGGAGTGGGCAGCTTCTTCTCTGTGGTCACAGTGTGAAATCTGGTCTCAGGCCTTTCACGGGCCTTCCCTGCATGTTTGAAGATGCTGTCTGGCATCAGGGCTGTCCAGGAGTTGTGGGCTCAGGGTAATGTCTCCCGTGAGGGGAGGTGGAAGGGACACGTTGCTGATGGTGGCTCTGTGCTCCACCTGCGTGGGCTCCATGGCCTCCCCCTTCCCGCTAGGTGTGGGCTTCACGGTCATCCTCATCTCACTGTATGTCGGCTTCTTCTACAACGTCATCATCGCCTGGGCGCTGCACTATCTCTTCTCCTCCTTCACCACGGAGCTCCCCTGGATCCACTGCAACAACTCCTGGAACAGCCCCAACTGCTCGGATGCCCATCCTGGTGACTCCAGTGGAGACAGCTCGGGCCTCAACGACACTTTTGGGACCACACCTGCTGCCGAGTACTTTGAGTAAGTGGGAGTCGGGTCCTCGGGAACGGGAGAGATGGCGCAGCCAGGTCCCCCATGGTAGCCCCTTGGTTGGACACCAGCCCTTGCTGACTCCCAGGGTGCGGGGAGGGGGAATCTGTTCCTGCACTCCATCCCTTTAGTGCTCTGGAGGGGCACATTTCTGAATCACTGTGGTGGTCTCCAGGAGCTCAGCAAAGCTCCTGTAGGGCGAGCCCTCAGCAAGGATGGGGCACTGAGCAGCTCCCTTGGCTGCTCCCAGCGGCAGCTCAGGGTGGGAGGGGGCTGATGGGGAACACAGCAGACCCTGTGCAGAAGGTGGGCAAGCTCCAGTCTCTGGGAGCTGCAGTGGCGCCTCTGGAGTGAGTCAGCCCCATGTCTGGGCTCCCTTCCTCCCTACCCTTCCTCTGTGCATAGCATGGGGCCGAACTGCCTCACTCCGGCCCTTGCCCTCTCCAGAAAAGATAACTTTCTGGGTGTCACTGCGCAAGAAGTCTCTGGCTTCAGTAGGCAGCCCCTGTCTCCAGGGTGACCCAGCCGTCCGCTTTTCACAAGACTTTGTTTTGTTGTTTACCTGCATGGCTTTATTTCTGTCTCTGGGCCTCTTTCCACCTCCCATGCCAGCGTATCCCATGTCCAGCAGCCTCCTGGGTCTCTGTCTCCTTCTCCCTTTGCCCTGGCCAGGCCTGACCTGCACAGTCCTCCCCAGCCAGGCCAGTTCCTCACTGCCCACCCCAGCCAGGCCCAACCCTCACTGTCCACCCCAGCCAGGCACAAACCACAAAGTCCACCCCAGCCAGGCCCCTCGCTCACTGTCCACCTCGGCCAGGCCCACCCCACACCGTCCACCCCGGCCAGGCCCGCCCCTCATGGTCCACCCCGGCCAGGCCCACCCCTCACCGTCCACCCCGGCCAGACCCAACCCACACTGTCTACCCTGGTCAGGCCCATCCCTCACTATCCACCCCGGCCAGGCCTGATCCTCACTGTCCATCCCAGCCAGGCCCAACCCATACAGTCCACCCCGACCAGCCCCAACCCGCACAGTCCACCCCATCCAGGCCCGTCCCTCACTGTCCACCCAGGCCAGGCCCGCCCCTCACCATCCACCTGCAGCACCTGCTTTCCTGGACCCCGATGTCTCCGATGAAGTCCTTTTGGGCCCCGTGCCAGCTCCTGCTGGCCCTCCCTCGTCACCAATGGCCTGGCCCAGCCTGGAAGGGTCGTTACTGACACCCAGGGGTTCCCTGTTTCCCCTGGACCCCTCCCGGAATCTGGATCTGGCGGGTGCCATCCACATCTTCCTGCCCTCGCCAGCCGGGCCTGGGGCCTCGTGCCGGGTCGCCGTTCTGACAGGCGGACTCTTCGACTCAGCCGTCATTTTGGAGAGGAGGAGAGGACGTTTGCGCGATTCTCCCCAGATCCAGTGTTTCCCGTCAGCCAGGGCGCTCCTGTTTGGGGGGCTCGCTTGCCTGGTTAGACGCATCTTATTCACGTTTATATGCCAAAATGAGTCCACTTCAAGGTAGGAAAAGGAACTTTGACCAGTAAGACTAATTCCAGTTTTAACAGCCAGTAGGTGCCTTTGCAAAATTTGTTTTGAGTCAGAAAACAGGGAGCTTGAAAGCAAATGAAGCATCTCATGTTAAGTTTGTACAAGTCACGGTGAGCAGAGAAGCCCCCACCTCGCCTCTGCTGGGGGAGGATCATCCCCGAGAACTTTGGTCTTGGTCTGCAAGGGCACCTTCGGGGCGCACAGCCTCCCAGAGAGATGCTTTCTATATCTGAAAACCGTATCAACAGACATCACTGAGGTCTTTTCCTGCAAGGAAGGGACCTTCGCCCTCTCCTGGGGGTCTTGTCAGAGATGGCTGAGATGGAGCCTTCGGGCAGGCCGGAGGGTGTGGCTTGGAGAAAGTAGGGCTGATGCTGCCGGAAAGGGACCAGTTCTCATGGTGGGCAGGCGTTCGGTCTCTCAAACTGCTCTGCACTCAGATATTCAGAACCCAAGTGCTTGGTTCTAGAATTCCTCCTCGGGCATGGAAGCATATTGCCGGGACTGGCCTTGGAGGTGAGGAGCCGGGGCGGAGGCAGGTTTTGGGGGGCCACCCGGCGTTTTTCTTAGAGCATGAGGAAGACCATGGGTCGCGTGGGGTGAGCGTTGTGTGGGCCTTTCTTGTGGTTTGGGAGTGGACAAGAGTGACGAACTCTGAGGAGGACGGTGCCACGATGGGAGAGAGTGGCCCACCAAGTACCCAGCAGGAGGAGAGAGAGTCCAGGCTGGGGCGCCAGGAAGACGCTCATGGGAGGAGGGCTGGTTTCAGAAGGTGGGGCAGGCGGGAGAGAAGATGCACCCGGGATGAGTCCTGGTTGTTTGCCTGAAGACACTTGGACGAGCATCGCCATAGGAAGCGCAGCTGCAGGCAAGGTCGTGGGAGAGTCTGGGCAGGACTCTCGTGGGTGACAGGCAAGCGGGAAATGATAAAATTGTCCAAATAATGCACAGTCACACCATTTGTCCAAGTAGATTTTAACATTCTCGAGGGAGAAAACTCCCATTGCGTGTGGATGGCCTGTTCACACCTACATTTCCCTAATTAAACACCCTATGAACACCCCAGGCCTGGGCTGCATGTGCTCTTGCTGTGTGCCCAGCTCTCAGGGTTAGCATGTGATCAAAGAGAGGGGACAGCAGGAGAAAGTGGGGGGCACACAGAGCCAGGGGCAGTGGCCGCAGAGGTGCCACCAGGGCAAGAGCCTGAGAGTTCCCGGTACCCAACGCCCTGTTAAAGCTGCCAAGTGCTGCCATGTGGGGACTGCCTTCCTTTTGTTTGGGCAGTGTGGGAAATGTTGACTCATTGAAGTGATGTTCAGATAACAGAATTGGAGAGGAAAACTTAGTGTAGTGATTAGTCCAGTGATTCGTTGTTAAGAATGCTAGAAGGAAAGAACACGTGTTATTATTTTAAACGATCAGACTAGCGAAGTCTATTTGGAAGTTCTCAGTCTGGAAGGAAGGAAGGAAACAGAAAGGTGCCCAGCCCTTCACTCAGAAGCCCTGTCCGCACTGGCACGTGGTACACTTTAGCTGGCGGCAGCTCAAGAGCAGACGTGGGGAGTTGGAGAAGGTTTAAGATCAATTCACAAATGATTAATGACCCAAGGCACTGAGGTGCTTGGCACTCCTCCCACACCTTCTGAAGGTGATTTTCCCACCAGTGGGACTGAGGTTCCCCTGAAACAGGCCCCAGTGACTCTTGGGGAGCAGGGAGGACAGTCATAACGTACTCAGGTCTGCCAGGGGTGTTCTGGATTTCAAACCTGCTTTATAAAGCAGATCACTGGACAAAGGATGTCGGGTTCCTGCCAGCGCATGTAATCAGGGAGTGGATGTCTCACTGTGAAAGGCCATAAAGGCCAGAGTGGCTGTGATGTGTGACAGTGCAGCTCTTTGTCCTAGATAATGGGCATGCCTGACTTTGTCAGTAAACACAAAAGGGATTGAGTTTCCTACACAATGTACGAAACATGACGTGTCATAAATTTGACAACTAAGATGTTAGCAAGAGTAGATCTGAAAGGGCTTTATCGTGCGTTTTTACTACAGGTCCTCAGGAAGTAACCGTGAGGCCTGGGTGAGACGCTGGCCATGTCTTCTGGGCCCTAAGTCAGAAAAGACTGCTGAGCTGCCCCACTAATGGTGCTTCCTCCATGTGCCATGAATGCCGTGTGCAGTGCTGGCTCCTACACCCAGTGTTCCTCAGGGTTGGCAAATGAAACGTATCCTGTGGGAGTTGCTGGCACCCCTGGCCCCCAGGGGTCCCAGCCAGCCTTCCTGCATTGCCACTTCCTTCTTGGGCAGCAGCCCACCCACCAGAGGGAGGTGGCAGAAATGGTTCCTGGAGAGAAATAAAAGGAACCCTTCCTTGTAGGAACCTGGAGATTATTGATTGGCTGCATCCCACACATTTGATATGCTGTGTTTTCATTTCAAAACCCCAACACAGGACCACATAACTGTGACCAGTTTACAGTTTCCCCACTTCCATAAATACTTATCGACACTGCCTAATATAAATTATAAAGTTATAAATTAAAGCTATTAATTTGCCTCAAATGGACTGCATTAGCTGCATCCCACAAAGTTTGATATGCTGTGTTTTCATTTCATTCAGTTCAAAGTATTCCCTAATCTTTCTTTTGATTTCTATTTGACTAACAGGGCATTTTTAGAAGTTTGTTGTTTAATTTGAAATATTTGGAAGTTTGCTAGGTATTTTTGTTATTGATTTCTAATTTAATTCTGTTTTGGCAAGATGATATGCTTATACATCTTTAATATTTTAAAATATATTGAGACTTGTTTATGACCTACTAGATGGTTTACACTGGTGAATGTTCCACATGCACCTAGAAAGAATATGTATTCTGCTGTCTTTGGTTGGAAAGTTGCATAAATGTCAGAGAGGTTATGTTAGGTCACTGTGTTTTTCAGGTTTTCTACATCCTTACTGGTTTTCTGTCCACTTGCTCTATCAGTTACTGAGAAAGGGGTACTGAAATCTCAACTGTAACTGTAGATTTGTCTATTTCTTTTCACTTCTATCAGTATTTGCTTCATTCACATATTTTGAAACTCTGCTATGAAGTGCATACATGTTTATTATTATTAGTCTTTGAATTGACCGCTTTACCATTTGAACTATCCTTCTGGGTTAGATTTCTCATTCTGAAGTCTACTTTGTCTGATAGTAATATGGCCACCCCAACTTTCGTATCATTACTGTTTGTGTGGTATTATCTTTTCCAGCCTTTTATTTTTAAACTATATGTGTCATTATATATAAAATGGATTTATTGTAGACACCATCGAGTTGGTTGTGCTTTTTATCCAATATGGCAATCTCTGTTTTTTAATTAGAGTTTCCATTCAATAATTGTCAGCATGGCTGGCTTTAAGTCTTTCATTGTGCTAATTTTTTGCCCCCTCTCTTCTTTGTTTCTTGTTTCCTCTATTTATTCCCTGTTTTGAATTAATTTTTTAGGCTTTCATTTTATCAACACTATTAGCTAATAAACTATAGCTTTCTGTTTTCATTTCTTCGTGGATTTTATAGGGTTTACAACACTGACCTTCAAGTGACATGATACCGTTTCACAGAGCAGAAGGGCCTACAACAGTAGACTTCTGTTTTCCTCACATCCTTTGTGCAATTGTTGTCATAGATTTTTTCTACAATATGTATCAACTCCATGATACCTTGCTGTTATTTCTGCTTTAAGCATTTACATTTTAAATAAATCTAACAAAGAAATGTTTTATATTTACCTGCATAGGCACCATCTCTAGTGCTGTCCGGTCCTGTATGTAGATTGGGGTTTCCATTTAAGACCATCTTCCTTCCATCTAAAGAATTTCCTTTAACATTTCTCATAGCGTAGACTTGCTGGCAGTGATTCAGCTTGGGCTTTACACAAAAGTATTTTGCCTTCTTGGGGGGCTATTGTGGTAAGCTATACATAGCATTGCTTTTACCACCTTAGCCATTTTTCAGTGCACAGTTCAGTGGCATTAGGTACAATCACATGTTGTGCAACCATCACCATCATCCATTGGAACTTTCTCCTCCTCCAAAGCTGAAATTTTGTCCCCATTAAATACTAAGTCCCCATCCTCCCTCACTGCAGCCCCTGGCAGCTACCATTCTACTTTCTGTCTCTGTGAATTTGTCTACTCTAGGTCCCTCCTCTGAGTAGAATCACTTATTTTTTTGTGACTGCCTTATTTTCCTTAGCATATGTCTTCAAGGTTTATTGAAGAATTTCAGAACCAGAATTTCATTCCTTTTTAAGGCCAAATAATATTTCAATTCCATTGTATGGATATATCATGTTTTGTTTATCCATTTATCTTTTTCCTTTTTAGAGACAGGATCTCACTCTGTTGTCCAGGCTGGAGTGTGCAGTGGTATGATCACGGCTCACTGCAGGCTTGACCTTCTGGGCTCAAGCAATCCTCCTGCCTCAGACTCCCAAGTAGCTGGGACTACAGGTATGTGACACCACATCCAGCTAATTTTTTAAAATTTTTTGTAAAGTGGGGTCTTGCCATGTTGCCCAGGCCTGTCTTAAACTCCTGGGCTCAAGTAATCCTCCCGCCTCAGCTTCCCAGAGCACTGCAATTACAAATGTAAGCCACCACACCTGGCCAGATCTATTTATCTTTTGATGGACATTTGGGTTGCTTCCACATTTTGGCTACTGTAAAAACATGCTGCTATGAACCTCAATATTGAGTACCTACTTTTGAGTAGATACCCAGAAGTTGAATTGCTGGAGCTATGTGATAATTCTGTGTTTAATTTTTTGAGGAACCACCACACTGTTTCCCACAGTGGATGCAAATCGGAACAAGGGTTCTGATTTCCCCACATCCTTGACAACACTTACTTTCTGCTTGTTTGTTTTGATCATAGCCATCCTAATGGGTGTGAAGTGGTCTGTCATTGTATTTTTGATTTGTATTTCCTTAATGATTAGTGACTGTTGGGCATCTCTTCATGTGTTTATTGGCCATTTGTATACCATCTTTGGAGCAATGTCTATTCAAGTCCTTTGCCCATTTTTGAATTGGGCTGTCAGTTTTTTTGTTGTTGAGTTTTAGGAGTTCTTTACATATTTTAGATATTATTCTCTTTTCAGATTAATAGGTGATTTGCGAATATTTTCTCTCATTCTGTAGTTTTCCTTTTTACTCTGTTGATAGCATCCTTCAGTGCACAAAAGTTTTAAATTTTGATGAAGTCTAATTCATCTTTTGTGTCATATCTAAGAAACCATTGCCAAGTCCAAGATTGTGAAAATTTACCCTATGTTCTCTTCCAAGAGTTTTATGGTTTTAGCCCTTATATTTGGCTCTTTTATCCATTTTGGGTTAATTTTTCTATATCATGTGAAGTAGCTGTTCACTGATTTTCCTCTGGTTGTAGATCACATTTCTTGCTTCTTGTCATGTCTAGTAATTTTTTATTAGATGCTAGACTTGGTGAGTTTTATACTAATGGGTATTTAGCTCTTGTCGTCTTTGTTTAGAGAGTGTTAGATTTGTTCTAATAGGAAGTTAACGTGCTTTGGCACAATTTTATCCTTTGGAAGCTTGTTTCACCACCTCACTGCCTTGGCTCCCTCTTGGTAAAACGGGGTGAGAGGGCTGCTGTGAGGTCATCACAATGATGCATGGGAGGCCTGAGCATGCCTGGATCACCACCAGTGGCTCCACTGTCACCCAATTGAATCATGGCCAGGAATTCACCAGGAAAAAGAGCCCAGTAGAAATTGGGAGGTGCTGTGTCTTTTCCACGCCTGGTGAACATCCTGGGCCAACACTTTTCTGGTCCTCCCAACTATTATGGCTTATGAAACACCTGCACGTAGGCCTGCACTTATGCCCCTTCCCGGATGTCCTTTGATGGTCTCGCCTGCCCTGCCCTCAGAAGCATGGACATGCTGGGAGACGCACAGCTTTCCCCTGCTCCTGGCATGGCTGGTTCCCATGCTGTGGTCAGCTCTGGGGACCCCTCTTCTCAGGTTGACAGCACTCAGGAGTGTCCGGTTCTCTAAATTGTCTGTGGGTTTTCAAATAACCTCAAAGCACAGTGACTTTCTAATCTCGAGAAGGGGCTCGACCCAGTGTGTCAAGGTGCTGCGTCTGAAGTTGCTTTCATGTTTAATGCTGAGCCAGCTGTGTGTGCTGTGGACGCAACCTTGTGAGAAGGCCCTGAGTGGGGCAGCGCACTTTCCCTGGGCCTCCCCCTCTGGTCCAGGAGGGCCTGTGCCATGTATGGGCATTGACTGAGTTTGCCTTTTCTCCAGGCACCTGGGCAAGGGGAGAGGGTGTGCTGTCTGGTCTGGGTGTATAATTCATGCACGTGTGTGTGTGAGGCACTGAGGCTGCCAAGGCGTGGGCGGGTGGCATGCTGGGGTCAGTGACACCATGGGCAGTGAGGGAGGAGTGGTCCGGGCTGCACAAAGTTGCTGGGAGGCCTCAGAAGCTCTCAGTGATGAGACCTTGCTGGGGGAGCAGAACGACGGGGACTGGCCAGCAGGGGCAGAGCCTGGTGTGTGGCAGGAGGAGTGAGAAGAAGGCCCTGGGAGTCCCCACTGCCCCAGGAAGGGCAGGCGTGACCTCCACCAGCTCAGACAACTTTCCCTGCACAGTGCGGGTGACGGATAGCCTCTTGACTGAGCGGCTTGCCCTTGGAGAAGAGCAGAGAATGGTGGCGATGGTTTCAGTGGTGCAGCCATCTGCCCACCCGGCCAACCTGGGGCCTGTGCCAACCTGGGGCCTCTGCCTGGGCGCCCTCCAGGATAGGACGGAGGCACTGTCCAGCGCTTTCAGGGCTCGTGGGGCCTTCCCTGTTGGCAACAGCCAGGGTGTCTGGAGTTTGAAGAGCCGAATTCCTGGGACATGGCCCTGGAATGCCTTGCAGCTGGTGGAAAGCTCCCCAAGGCTGCATTCGGCCGGGCTCCACCATGGGTGTCAGGTTTTATCTCCTGGGGACCTCAGTGGACCCACAACAGAAGCAAACCTGGGCAGTGGGAGCTCCTTTCATAACGCGGCTTCTGTCTGTCACAGCTCCTGACTCTACGGTGGCAGCGGCACGGCTGTTACAGTTGTCTTGGCCCCAAGTCACAGTCTGCAGTGGTGACGCAGCTGACTGCATGTAGCCTGGTGCATGTTCTCCCACAGAGAGTGTCACCAGGATGGAATGAGTTCCCACAGACAGGGGGCCCAGGACCTGTGCCTGGGGCAAGGAGCACAGCCGATGGTCAGCTCCATCCCTCACCCTCTGTTCTGCCCTTTCTGAGGGATCCTTCAAAAAACAGTGGAACTGCGAGTGATTCCTGCTGGAGCAGAGTCATCCACTGAATCTGTTCCTTGTGGAATCCTCATAGCAGCAGGGGCTGTGAGCAGGTGTCGTGAGCCATCCCCTCAGAAAACAGTGCTGGCTGGTGCCTGTGTGCCTGGCATTATTGCTAGAGTTTGCTCGGCCTCATCCCTGGAGAGGGACCCTGGGGCTGTCTTGTGGGCAGCAGTGGGTACCCAGCAGCGTGGGCAGCACTGTGGGCAGCGGTGGGTACCCAGCACCATGGGCAGCACTGGGCAGCGGTGGGTACCCAGCACCGTGGGCAGCACTGTGGGCAGCA
The DNA here is from genome assembly GCF_000001405.40 of Homo sapiens. Taxonomy (NCBI): domain Eukaryota; kingdom Metazoa; phylum Chordata; class Mammalia; order Primates; family Hominidae; genus Homo; species Homo sapiens. The sequence goes on along the minus strand of NC_000005.10, from coordinate 1,423,259 downwards.
GTGGGTACCCAGCACCATGGGCAGCACCGTGGGCAGCGGTGGGTACCCAGCACCATGGGCAGCACTGGGCAGCAGTGGGTACCCAGCAGCGTGGGCAGCACTGTGGGCAGCGGTGGGCACCTAGCACCGTGGGCAGCACTGGGCAGCAGTGGGTACCCAGCAGCGTGGGCAGCACTGTGGGCAGTGGTGGGTACCCAGCACCTTGGGCAGTACTGTGGGCAGTGGTGGGTACCCAGCACCTTGGGCAGCACTGGGCAGCAGTGGGTACCCAGCAGCGTGGGCAGCACTGTGGGCAGCGGTGGGCACCCAGCAGCGTGGGCAGCACTGTGGGCAGCGGTGGGTACCCAGCACCATGGGCAGCACTGTGGGCAGCGGTGGGCACCCAGCACCATGGGCAGCACTGGGCAGCAGTGGGCACCCAGCAGCGTGGGCAGCACTGTGGGCAGCGGTGGGTACCCAGCACCGTGGGCAGCACTGTGGGCAGCGGTGGGCACCCAGCACCTTGGGCAGCACTGGGCAGCGGTGGGCACCCAGCACCGTGGGCAGCACTGTGGGCAGTGGTGGGCACCCAGCACCATGGGCAGCACTGGGCAGCGGTGGGTACCCAGCACCATGGGCAGCACTGGGCAGCGGTGGGCACCCAGCACCATGGGCAGCACTGGGCAGCGGTGGGTACCCAGCAGCGTGGGCAGCACTGTGGGCAGCGGTGGGCACCCAGCAGCGTGGGCAGCACTGTGGGCAGCGGTGGGCACCCAGCAGCGTGGGCAGCACTGTGGGCAGCGGTGGGCACCCAGCAGCGTGGGCAGCACTGTGGGCAGCGGTGGGTACCCAGCAGCGTGGGCAGCACCGTGGGCAGCGGTGGGCACCCAGCACCTTGGGCAGCACTGGGCAGTGGTGGGCACCCAGCATTGCTCAGCAACTTCCTTTTGGTTTCTGTGGCTCCTTTTCTTCAAAGACCCAAGGTGCCCTCCGCCTCCGCAGCTCCAGTGAGCAGGGGTGCCAAGGGCAGATGGTGAGGCAGGGCTTCCTGGGCCTCCCACGTGCTCCACGGGTTTCAAGGGCGGCCCTGACACCTCTGCCAGGGCCTGTGGGCCAGACCTCCCTGGAAGGCATCTCTTGTCCATCAGACTGGATGCTTTCTGCCCTGCTGAGATGGGGAGGGCAGGTCCCCGGACAAGCTCAGCCGTCCAGTTCCAGGTGGGTTGACAGCCACCCACAGAGTCCCCCGCTGACTCCCCTCTGCAGACGTGGCGTGCTGCACCTCCACCAGAGCCATGGCATCGACGACCTGGGGCCTCCGCGGTGGCAGCTCACAGCCTGCCTGGTGCTGGTCATCGTGCTGCTCTACTTCAGCCTCTGGAAGGGCGTGAAGACCTCAGGGAAGGTGAGGCTCGGGGGTCACCAATTGGGCCTGTAGACATGGGGCCACCAAGTGGACATGTGGCCGTGGCTGGACAGGAGGTGCACGTGTGGCCTCAGTTGGGTTTTGTGCTACCAATGTGGCCATGGCCAGGTTGGGGTGGACACATGGCCATGGTTGAGTTTGGGAGACTCATATGGCCATAATCAGGTTGGGAGTGTACACGTGGCCATGATTGAGGGTACACCTGTGGCTGTGCCGGGTTGGCTTGGGTAGACGCGCGGCCATGGGTGGGTGGGGGGACACGTGGCCGTGGCTGGGCTGGGCGGACACACGGCACAGTTGGGTTTTGGGTCCACGTGTGGCTGTGTTTGGGGAAGGGCCTCAGGAGGGAAGCACTCACAGCAGTGTTTCTGGCAGGAAGGCACACACAAGATGATTTTTTTGTTGATAAAAATACTTTGGGAGGCTGAGACGGGCAGATCACCTGAGGTCAGGGGTTCAAGAACAGCCTGGCCAACATGATGAAACCCCATCTCTACTAAAAATACGAAATTAGCCAGGCACGGTGGCACGTGCCTATAATCCCAGCTACGTGGGAGGCTGAGGCAGGAGAATTGCTTGAACCCAGGAGGCGGAGGTTGCAGTGAGCCAAGATCATGCCACTGCACTCCAGCCTGGGCAAAAAGAGCAAAACTCCATCTCAAAAAAAAAAAAAAAACTTTGGTTGTTATATGGGCCAAAACCAGTTTTGACCAAGATACGACTCCTCCCTTGGAAAAGTGCGTGTAGTATGGCACCAGCCACGGGAGCCTCCCGCAGGGACACAGCCCAGAGCAGCCCTTCATCGTGCCACAGTGCCGTTCACCAGTGTGAATCCACTCACGTCCCACGCATCAGAAAACCCCCATCAGCCACTCCCAGCTACTCTGGCGGACCGAATGCAGAAAAGGAATGTGCTTTCCCTGCCAAGTTGTTCTTCCCTTTCCATCCCTGGGGAGGGTGTGCAGGACAGAAAGTGTCTGACCTTCTCACTCCAAGGAGCATTTGCTGAGCTGGCGTCCCAGGAAATGTTTGGGAATTGGGCCTCCCAATCAGAGGACAAGCCGTCAGGGCAACCCGGTGCCCTTGTGCCAGTGTCTGCTCCCACCAAGGGCCCTGCCTGTGCAGCCTGGTGACACTGTCCTCTCCTGCAGGTGGTATGGATCACAGCCACCATGCCATACGTGGTCCTCACTGCCCTGCTCCTGCGTGGGGTCACCCTCCCTGGAGCCATAGACGGCATCAGAGCATACCTGAGCGTTGACTTCTACCGGCTCTGCGAGGCGTCTGTGAGTACAGTCTGCTCACTGCTTCACAGTCCACAGGGGCTCTGGCATTCCCAGGTTTCCATATGCATTGCCTGCCAGGGCTGAGAGGTGTCAGAGTTGCAGACACCAGGGTTCTTTCCTCGGGAAGCCAAATCCCAAGTACCTGTGATACAGCACGAGTCATCTAAATCAAATTACATCAGAAACTCCATCTAGACTCAGGCTGCAGCTTTGGTCAGCAAAAGAAGACATAATTCAGGGTTAAAATATTTGGAGAAAGCCTCCCGGAGAGAGGAGACTCAGCTGGGCCATGGGGGATGGGACCCTTGTCCAGAAAGGGAGGAGAAAGGGCTGCACCCTTCCTGGCAAACAGGCCCAGAAACAGAAGCAGCTGTTGGCGGAAGGCTGGCATGACAAAAATGGCAGCTCCCTTGGGGCATCGTTGGAAATCAGGTGGACTAAGTGGGGGAGGTGGCAGGCCCCAAAGCCGCCCAGGGGCATCCATGTTGCTGTGGGAGGACAATGCAGCAAGAGGGGAAGGGCCATCTCAGCTGGGGTATGAGGCAGGAGGCCGTTGAGAGGTGCTGCCCTGTGTGGGTGGGCCGGTGGAGCCAGGTCTGGGGGTCATGAGGCAAGTGTAAACCCAAGGCAGAAGTGGGAAGGAAGGGGAGAAGGGATGGGCGGGCATGGCTGCAAGCCTCCCAGGAAGCCCCAGGGAGGCAGCAGCTGACAGGTGCAGTGAGAGAGGGCACCTGGACATGGCACCTATGAGGCTGCAAAGCAGTTGGGTGGGGGTGGGGGTGGAAGTGTGCCTGCAGCACTGAAGGGGAAGCCCTGTGGAGACAGGAGCCATGGGTGCAGCAGGCGTGTGGCCCACGGGAGCCAAGGAAGAGAGAGGAGGACAACCAGGGCAGCAAAATCAGCTGTGGCCGGGGGCCCACAAGTGCAGAGCTGGAGCCAGACAAACCATGAAGTCAGCAGGGCGTCTGGACCCCAGAAAGGCCAAAATGAAGCCAAGGGGTGTGTTTGCAGGACCATGGCATGTTACAGAATCAAAGAAAAATACCACAAGGACAACGTAGAGCCTAGTGCTCCAGCTAGGAAGAATAGGCAGCCCCAGGAGGAGGCAAAACAAACACCAGTGCATGTGAAAAGATGCTCACTGGAGAACAAATTACAAAGATGAGATGTCAGAAATTAGGTGGAGACAGTGAATAGATTGGATGGATGGATGGATGGATGGATGGATGGATGGATGGATGGATGAATGCTAGGTAAGTAGGTGGATAGGATGGATGGATGATAGGTGGGTAGATAGAATGGATAGATAGGATGGGTGGATGGAAGGCTGGCTGGCTGGATGTATGGATAATGGATGGGTGGATGGAGGAATGGATGATAGGTAGGTAGCTGGATAGTATGGATGGATGGATGATGGATGGATGGATGGATGGATGAATGGATGATGCATGGGTGAATGGGTGGATGAATGATAGGTAGCTAGATAGGATGGACAGATGGATAATGGATGGATGATGGATGGGATGGATGGGTGGATGGATGATGGGTGGATTGCTGGATGATGGATGGCTGGGTGGATGGATGAATGATAGGTAGGTAGCTGGATAGCATGGATGGATGGATGGATGGATGATGAATGGATGATGGATGGGTGAATGGGTGGATGAATGATAGGTAGGTAGCTAGATAGGATGGATGGATGGATGGATAATGGATGGATGACGGGTGGGTGGATGGATGATGGGTGGATTGCTGGATGATGGATGTTTGGGTGGATGGATGAATGATAGGTAGGTAGCTGGACAGCATGGATGGATGGATGGATGATGGATGGGTGGGTGGATGGATGGATGGATGGATGATGGGTGGATTGGTGGATGATGGACAGATGGGTGGATGGATGAATGATAGGTAGCTGGATAGCATGGATGGATGGATCGATGATGGATGGGTGGATGGATGGATGATGGATGGGTGGATGGATGGATGATAGGTAGGTAGATAGGATGGATATACAATAGGATGGATGGAGATAGATACATACACACACATGTACTTCATATATTCATAGATGATAGACAGTTGATAGATTATAGAGATGACAGATAGATGATAGATTGGTGATGGATTGATAGATGACAGTGATAGATGATAGATAGATAGATGATTGATTGATAGATAATAGATGATGGATTGATGTATAGTGAAGAGAAATCAGGAAAGAAATGGAAGGAAAGGACAATTGCAGGTCCTGGAGTGAAAGTGCATGAGGTGAGGCCCAGGGAGGCAGCCATGGGCACTGGCTCTGGTGTGGCACTGGGCAGAGGCCTGAGCTGCACACACAGATCAGGGTGAGGAGGAGGCAGGCGCTCCCCTGTGACACCTGATCCAGCCTGCAGCTACCTGGCCAGGCAGGTGGCTGATGACCAGCATGGGAGCCACATCAGGGTATGAGCCTCTCCACCCACTGCCCACCCAGCCACTCTCGGCTTGGCTCCTCCCCTCATGCTGAAACACTGGCCACCTGCAGAGTCCTGACTGCGGGGCCTGGCCATCTGCCTCCAAACACACTGTCCCAGGAACTGGGGTTGCCTTGAGGCTCTGACATGCTGCCCAAAGGACAGAGGGCCCCGCCCCCTCTGCAGCACCCAGTTCCCTTGCTCAGTCAAGCTCAGGCAAGCTTGACCTGGGACCTGGGATGCCCTGAGACCCACCTGGCCTCCCCAGCAGGAGCATCTGGTGTCTCTGCCTCAGCATCCTGGCCCACAGGCCTGTACCATGGGCTCCAGGGACTTGCAGGAACAGCCCTAACTGACCAGTCCCTCAAATGCCTCCAAGGGGGGGTTGGCTGCTCCTTCTCCCCCATCCAAGGCCCAGGGAAGGGCAAGGTGGGCATCTGAGTCACTGAATGGTCTCCGCAGTGCCCTCACCTTAGCAGGTTGTGGCTGACTTTTTAAAATACCACAATGGTCCAATCGTGGACCCACCCACCTTTCCTTTCACGTCCAGAGTTGTGGGTGCCATCCACCGAGTTGGGCAGGCACAGCACCAGTGTCTAAGCTGCAGGTGGGCTCCTGGCCATGCCCAGGTGCCACTGTGCACCTGTACTGCTCATGTTTTGGGAAGGATACAAAGCAGGCATTGCTGGTGTGCGTCCAATCAGGACACCATCATCATGTAGCATGTGGATGGGTCCATGCCTTTCTGAGGGTTATCAGGGTGCTGCCATCATGCAGCATGTGGATGATCCATGCTGTTCTGAGGGTTGTCAGGGCGCCACCATCATGTAGCCTCAGGATGAGTTTATGTTGTTCTGAGGGTTATCAGGGTGCCGCCATCATGCAGCTTGTGGATGATCCATGATGTTCTGAGGGTTATCAGGAAGCCGCCATCATGTAGCCTGTGGTTGAGTCTGTGCTGTTCTGAGGGTTTCAGGGCACTGCCATCATGCAGCAGGGCGCACATGGGATGGGGGGACACACTCAGGGGGTTGTGAAGCTGGACCCTGATCAAGGGAGGATGGAGACCCCGCTAGGGCTGGTGTGAGTGTGGATAAGTCCATGCTGTTCTGAGGGTTATCAGGGCGCCGCGGTCATGTTGTGTGTGGATGAGTTCATGACTTTCTGAGGGTTATCAGGGTGCCACCATTATGCAGCATGTGGATGAATCTGTGCTGTTCCGAGGGTTGTTAGGACGCTGCGGTCATGTCATGTGTGGATGAGGCCGTGCTGTTCCGAGGGCTATTAGGACGCTGCGGTCATGTTGTGTGTGGATGAGTCCGTGCTCTTCTGAGGGCTATTAGGACGCTGCGGTCATGTTGTGTGTGGATGAGTCCGTGCTGTTCCGAGGGCTATTAGGACGCTGCGGTCATGCCGTGTGTGGATGAGTCCGTGCTGTTCTGAGGGCTATTAGGACGCTGAGGTCATGCTGTGTGTGGGTGAGTCCGTGCTGTTCTAAGGGTTATTAGGACACTGTGGTCATGTTTTGTGTAGATGAGGCCGTGCTGTTCCGAGGGTTATTAGGATGCTGTGGTCATGCCGTGTGTGGATGAGTCCATGCTGTTCTGAGGGCTATGGAGCAGGGCACCTCTGGTTCTGTGGAATCGCTGCCTTGATACTCCATGGGGAATCCCAGATCAATGAACACAGACAGCCCCCTGCTTCTCAGGCTCTTCCAGGCCGCTGGCCCGGGAGGGTTCACTTCCTGAGGCTGCATCTTCCACCAGTCGTCTGCTGCCATTTACTTCTTGAGGATGGTGTTGAGTTTAGAGGCCTCAGTGTGGGGCTGGGACAGGAAGGGTGCTCAGGTCCTTTGCCTGTGGCCTGCGTTCTCCTGGGACAGCCTCTCACCGCCCTCTGGCTCTGCAGGTTTGGATTGACGCGGCCACCCAGGTGTGCTTCTCCCTGGGCGTGGGGTTCGGGGTGCTGATCGCCTTCTCCAGCTACAACAAGTTCACCAACAACTGCTACAGGTGAGCCCCTAGCAGGGCCAGGCAGGGGCCTCATCAATACTAGGGAGAGGTCGCTGACTTCCAGAAATAGGGTGTCCCTGGATGAGAACAGGGCGGATCCACTGAACCCGCAAACCTGTGAGCTGCGTGGCCTTTCAGACAGAAGCGACAGCGAGGCAGCTCCCAACACGATTTTGATTTCAACTTTAAAGAAGGCACTGAAGCCAGTGGGTGTGTCGCCTCCTGGGAGGGACCTGCCTAGGTTTGACCTGCGGCCAGATTCCCCACTGAGGGCCCCAAGTGGCAAGGCCAGCCCCTCCCTCCACAAGGACACACCCTCTTCCCTCACACCAGCCCCGGGGGGTCTCTGTCCTCCCTCGCTCAGGGTCCAGCTTCACAACCCCCTGAGTGTGTCCCCCCATCCCATATGCACCCCGTGTTACTTACTGGCAGGCACCTGAAGCCCCGTGCCGGACCCCAAATCCTTCTAAAAACAGAAACAGAATTTTATCCGGGATCTGCTTGCTTTGACCTTTATGGACTTGTGCTTACTTTCTTTCACATCATGAGGCTAGAAACACGGTAAAAATACAAGGACAGTGTGTGCAGCAGAATGGCCAGGCAGACCACAAGCAGGCTTCACTGAGAGTGGGCGCTGGAAGGCAGGTCCTGAGGCAGCGCCTGCCCGCAGCCCACCTGCGTCCACCTGGGTCCAGGTGCTCTGCAGATGAAGTGTGTGGTCCTTCCACCCCAGTGACAGGCCACACAGGAACCCAGGAGGAGGACGCTGGTGCCCTGACCGACCCCAGGACCCTCCCTCTTCGTCCTCGGCTTGCCTCCAGCTCTCTGGTTTCTCAGCCCTCAGAGTGGGGCCCCCAGGCCCGCAGCACCAGCGCCCTTGGGAGTTCATGGGAAACACAGCCCCCGAGACCCCATGAGACCCGCCCAGTCAGGATCTGCATCTTAGCGAGGTCCCCGGGAGGTGTGTGCTCCTAGAGCTTCTGGAAGATCTGCCCTGGGTGAGGTGTCCACAGCAAGACTCGCGGGGCACAGGGGTGGCCGTCTGTTCTGCCCACCCTGAGCCTTGATGGCTGAGCCTTGAGCAGCTCAGCTAGGGGACCAAGGTGGCCCAAGGACAGCTCTGCCAGGCTGCTAAGGAGCTGGCCGTGCTCACTGGGAAAAGTAGCCCCTCCGAAGACCTCCCGCCCCCTTCCCCAGACACAGTAAATTAAGAATAATGACTGGAAAATTGCAGCTGCTGCAGCTCAGCTGGTTCCTGAGACGGCGTGTCTTGTTCTTACAGGGACGCGATTGTCACCACCTCCATCAACTCCCTGACGAGCTTCTCCTCCGGCTTCGTCGTCTTCTCCTTCCTGGGGTACATGGCACAGAAGCACAGTGTGCCCATCGGGGACGTGGCCAAGGACGGTGAGCCCCTCCTGCTGCACCTGGGCCTGCTCCGTGTAGCACCAGCGCCGAGCTCTCAGCAAAGCCTTTTTCCTTGTGAAAGAGGAAGGAGACGCATGGGCCCTGAGCGACTTCAGTGAGAGTTGCTGCCTCACTCTTGAAGGATGGTGGTACACATCCCAGTACAGACCTGCCCCCACCCAGCGCCTTCCCCGCCCTGACCCTCCAGGCCCCCCACCCAGCGCCTTCCCCGCCCTGCCCCTCCCGGCCCCCCACCCAGTGCCTTCTCCGCCCTGCCCCTCCAGGCCCCCCCACCCAGTGCCTTTCCTGCCTTGTGCCTCTCGGGGCCTCCACCCTGGGCTGGGGAACCTCAAGCCCAAATGCAGCTGAGCAGCATAGTTGGTGCCTCAGTCCCTCGACTGCTCCCTGCAGATGCCACATGAGGCTGCCCCACCAGGGTCTGGCGTAGATGCTGTCACTGAGGGCCCTCTAGATGTTTGCTTGCCACGCGGTGTGGGAACATGCAGCTCAGGGAAGGGGAGGAATGAGCTGTTCCAGCAACACCTGGAGGCAGGCTGGGATGCCGCAAACATCAGCTTGGCCACAGAGCAGCCGGGAGATCCCTGGGGCCTCCAGCACAGGGTGTCCCTGCCCGCTCCCCAGGCCGACGCATGACGCTGAGTGTCCCTGCACGCCTGGAGTTGTCTCCGAGAGGGTGGGGAGGGGTCCAGGTCTCGGGCAGGCACAGGTGAGTGGTGGGGGGAGGCCTTGGCCACAGCAAGAAGTGTGCCAGGCAGGATGGAGCCGGCAGGACGGGCACAGATGCAGGGGCTGAGAGTGGGCCCAGGCACTTGGGGCCACGTGCCTGGCTCCGGTGCTTGCAGTGGAAAGCTGTGGCGTTGGCAGCCCTAACTTGGGCCAACCGAGAGCTCCAGGGAGTCCCAAGGCTTCTCGGTCTCTGTCAGCCAGCAGAGCCCCCGCCTGCCTCCCGGCCTGCTCTGCCACATGGATGTGGAGGAGGCCCTTTCGCTCCAGACACGGGCCTGGGTTGGGTGGGCTCCCATGCTGCGTCCCCATCCTTGCTTCCTCTGGACTGTCTTCTCCGGGGGTGGGGTGGGGGCACTACATTTGTGAGGAATGATTGTGCTCAGAAAAGCCCCTGTCCCGTGTGGGTGTTGTTGCTGACTGATCTCTGCCTGGGTGTTGAGGCTCAGTGAAGGCGGGGAGCGACAAGCACCAAGCGGGGGCAGCCTTGACCGCACCTGAGTCTCACAGAGTGGGGCACTAGGACCCTCGCACCGCAGGTAGGAACACGCTCAGAGACCTGAAAGGGCCCACTCCATGCTTGCAACAGAAAGCCAGGGTCGGGGCTGGAGCCACAGCTCAGAGGTGGGCCTCCTAAGCCCATGTTCTTTCCACTAGGAAAAAAAATTCAGTCAAAGCGGGAGAAAGGGAACATCTGCAAATAAATGCAGAGCAGTGAAATTTACTCGGTGCCGCATTTATGCCTTTTCTTCATTCTTTTTGCCCTTTATTATGATAACGAGCATAGTTTGCAAAAACCTCTATTAACCCCTGAAAATAAAGTTGAATGTTCTTCTGTGCATTTCATGACAAGCAAAGTAAATGTCATTTACAGCCTTAATTCTCAAGAAAATAGGGTGAAATGTTAACTTAGGTACAGAAACGAAGGCACGGGTGTTGACATTACATTCCCTGAGCTGATGAATATCTTCCCAGGCTCCTGGCTGGTACCATCTAAGCCCCGGAACATCTCAGGCGAGCCTGCCTCCCCCACCCCACGCGGAGGCTGTCCCCATCCACCAGGGTATCTGGGAGCTGCGAGAGCCCAGGTCTGACCCCGCTGCTTGGCTGATAGTGAGGCCCCTGAAAGACCTTTAGGAACGGCCCCTGGCTCTGGCCTTTGATTATTTAAAAGGCCAGGCGCAGGCCTATTCCTGCAGGCTAGGGCCAGACACGTGCCTGCTGAGGACAGGGGACTCTGTTGCAGGCAGATTGGGCTTGGGAGATGGTGCCAGCCAGTGGAGGATGCAAGGCTTCTGAACTGGTCAAAGGTCAATTGCCTATGGGACTGGTTTTTACTTTGGGGTCATCAGAGACCAAACTGCGTTGACTTTTGGTCGCCTGCCTGCCACACTCTCGTCCCCTCCACCTCCATCCGAGTCTGCCTGCTGGTAGCAGGAAGCACGTGTCGTTTCCCGAGAGAGCTGTGGGGGAACACCTCCTCCGCCTTTGCCATGCCGCCCTCAGCCTGGCGTGCCCCTCGCTTGCAGGGATAGCAAGGTAGCAGGTTTGTCTCTTATCTCCGAAGCCACCATCTGGGCCCCTGTATCCATCAGGATGTGCTGCTCCTCTGAGCCCTCAGGGCCCCAGCTGACAGGAGCCTGTCTCAATATGGCCTGCGGGACCCCGTGGCAGGGGAGGTGGTGAAGGAGCCACACACTCCTCTACCAAGCTTCACTCGCAGGGACCCGCTCACTGTGGGTTCACAGCACATTGGCCAAGTGCAGCCACGTCTAACCTCACGGGAGGGTGGGAGGACCTCAGCTTCCTCATGTGCCTGGAAGGCGGAGGTCAGGAATGTATCCCTAAATGTTTTGCTAATTTTAGAAATTAGGCTACTAAATAGTGTGGACGTGTGTGATTTGTGTGTGTTTGTGTATGTTTGTGCATGCACGTGCATGTTTCTGTTTGTGTGCGTGCATGTGGATGTGTTCTTGCATGTATGAGTTTGAATGCACAAATGAGTGTTCGTGCATGTGCGCGCATGTGTCTGTGTGTGTATATTGCATGGTATGTGTGTCTGAGTGTGTATGTTGCATGGTATGTGTGTCTGAGTGTGTATGTTGCATGGTATGTGTGTCTGAGTGTGTATGTTGCATGGTATGTGTGTCTGAGTGTGTATGTTGCATGGTATGTGTGTCTGAGTGTGTATGTTGCATGGTATGTGCAGGAAAAACTAACTCGAAGGACATTAGCAGATGTCCCTGGGATGAAGGGCAGGACCAGCCTGGAAGCCCCTCCTGCTCCTCCTTGTTTCTGCCCCTTCCTTCCCCAAGCACCCCCATAGCCCAAAAGGACCCAGGTAATTTGGAGGAGCCCCATTGCTGGGTGGTGGGCATGAACCAAAGCCCTCTGATCAGTTCTGGGTTTCCGCTTTCCTGAGTCCCAGGCCTGGTCTGCTGGACATATAGAAGGGGGCTTTTCAGCAGAGCCGCACCAGCCCTAGTCTCTACAGGCCTGTGGCAGGCCATGCTTCTCGGGGCGGGGTGGGGCAGGATGGGCGGGAGAGCACAGCGTGGGCTCTGTGGCAAGCAGGGCGGGTTCTGTTTCAGGGCCAGGGCTGATCTTCATCATCTACCCGGAAGCCATCGCCACGCTCCCTCTGTCCTCAGCCTGGGCCGTGGTCTTCTTCATCATGCTGCTCACCCTGGGTATCGACAGCGCCGTGAGTAACCCGCACCGCCCGGCCCTGTCCTCGGCAGTTGGGTTCCTTCCACCCGAGGGGGCCCTGCCCTCCCAGGGCTAGGCAAGATCCCTGGGCTCACGTACGGCCCCCAGACCTCCTGTCCTTGACTTGGGCGAGCCCCGTGATTATTTGGGAGACCTTTCTCGGGGCTGGAGTGAGTGGTGACTGGAGTTTACCTTTCCCTTTATCCCCCTACTCTGGGGTACCTGTGTGCCCTGCCCTGAGCCACCTACAGATCCTGGAAATGTGCACACACATGCACACACACACATACACGCACACACATACACACATACACGAACACACACATTCACACCACCATGCACATGCATGCACACACATACACACATGCACACACGCACACATACATGAACACACACGAACACACACATGCACACACGCATGCACACACACATACACACAGACATGCATGCACGTGTAGCAGGGCCCCAGCCACCAAAGACTTGGCTCCGGACACCAGAGTGGTGGGGCCTTGGAGGGCACACAGCAGGTCCTTCATATCTCGTGGCTTTCCCTGGAAGCCTCAGCTACCCCATGAGGAATGAGGAGGGCAACAGAAGTTCCTGGCACCTACCAATCCCAGGCCTGGCCCTGAATGCTTTGTGTGTGGCCCCTGCACCTCCAGCTGCTGGGGGTGGCGGGTCCAGCCCTTGATCGGCCCTGGGCCTGCTGGACTTTCTCAGGCTCCTTCTTCCCTGTCAGCTGCTTGGGACCAAAGAACCCAGAATCCCTTGCCTTATAAACGCTGGTCATGCACCCGGCCCCCCACTCATATCCTATCCACCTCGTCCACGGCTCCTGGGTTGACCACAGGCCTCATGTTCCTGACATGAGAGCATGAAGAGGGGTCTGGACCGAGCAAGGTGAAGAAGGTCACTAAGCAGGAGTCAGGTGCCTGGACGGTGTCCCACAGGAGGATGCCAGGAGTCAGGAGGCTCCGTCGGGAAGGCGTAGCCAATGACAAGGCCAGGTGCAGCTGAAAGCTTTGTGTGGGGGACGCATCTTGCTCAGGAAAATCTGGCCAAGCTGAGCCCGTGCAGCAGCAGTGGACAGGGTGGCATTGTTTTAGCCATGCCGCATCTTACCCACCCAGAGACATCGAAGAGGCTGCAAACCCCCTACCGTGGATACAGTGGTCCCTCTGGGTCCTCTCTCCTGCGGTCGTGCCGCCATAGAAGCCCTCGCCAACAGCTGTCCTCACTACCAGGCATCCTGCACCCTGGACGGCCATGTGGCCCCTGTTCCGTGTCCATCCCCGGGTGTGCGTCCACTGGGTGACAAGTAGGTCTTGGCCCAGGCTGCGGTCAGGAGCGCCGCCAGCCTGCAGCCCGACCCTGTGCTCTGTGTGCAGATGGGTGGTATGGAGTCAGTGATCACCGGGCTCATCGATGAGTTCCAGCTGCTGCACAGACACCGTGAGCTCTTCACGCTCTTCATCGTCCTGGCGACCTTCCTCCTGTCCCTGTTCTGCGTCACCAACGTACGTACCATCGCCGGCTTCGCCTTCTCCTGGTCATGTCTCCTTAGCACGTGGCACGGGGCGCCCTGGCTGGGACTGTCAGGCCAGACAGAACCGCAGCACTTCCAGGGAGCTGCGAACCCACCCACCCCAGAAAATGACTCGTAGCAGTGCACAGGGTAACTGCACATCCAGAGCTTGGTCCCAGAGTCACTTCAGCACCTGGACAGCTCCCCCAGAAGCACCCCAGGCTGAAGCTGCCTCCTTCTAGGGTTTGGGGACTGGGGGACGCTGGGGGTGTGGTGGCAGAGCCTATCTATGTGGGAGGGGGAGCCCAGGCCACTCCCTCTCCAAGGGAGGCACTGCCAAGTTCCGCATTCGGTTGCTTCCATTTCTAATTGCACATGAAGCCCTAGGAAGGGAAAGGAGAGGTCATTTTTATTTTTATTTTTTGTAATACACGTGGCCCTAAGAAGCTGCATGTGGGTTGAATTTTAGGGACTCAAACCAGAGTTTTGCAGTGAGTGAAACAATTTGTGTGCACAGTGAATCCCCAGGCTGGGTTTACCTCTGGGGAAAGCCCTTCTGTAGGTCCACAGGCTCCCCTCTCTTCCAGGGTGGCATCTACGTCTTCACGCTCCTGGACCATTTTGCAGCCGGCACGTCCATCCTCTTTGGAGTGCTCATCGAAGCCATCGGAGTGGCCTGGTTCTATGGTGAGTCCGGGGGAAGGCAGCCAAGCCGGCACCCTCTTGTTTGGTGGCTGTGCCACTCCCCTTCTGAAAAAGGCTCCGTGAGGAAACACCTTTCAGCTGCAGGAAGCCTGGGTTGTGGTCATCACAGCTCCGCAGAGGGGAGAGGCTTGGCACTGGTCCCTTTGATGGGATCAGTGAGGTGCTTAGCTTGGATGGCAGCCAGAAGAGGCACACTGTGGTCAGAGGTGTTCACAGCGGCTGGGCGTCTTCTGCCTCCTCCACGCTAGAGGCACCGGTGAGCCCATCCCACCCAGGGGAACACAATCAGATCCATGCTGGGGTTTCAGCAGGGATGTGACATGGTGCCTTTCAAAGGTGCCGTCATCGCCTTCCCTGCTGACCAGAGCTCCAGAGCAGTCGGGACCTGATGATCAGCGGGCGGCGCTCGAACGGGGTGCAGCTCCTGGCCCATTGTGCTGCCCCAGCTGTGTCCTGGGACTTCCACCAGTGGTTTAAACAGCAACAGAAAACCCAGCCTGGAGCCAGGGCTGCCCTTTCCCCACATGCTGACCTGGCCAAGTCACCTCGACTCCCCTTAGTTCTCTCTTCTGTAAAATGGGCAGGAGTGCCAGCTCCGCTTACCTGGCCAGCTCACTTCCAGGGAAGTGGCGAGGCCGAGCCAGGGCATCTCGCCATGAATGTGTGGTCCGGGCGCGGTGACTCACGCCTGTAATCCCAGCACTTTGGGAGGCCGAGGTGGGCAGATCACGAGATCAAGAGATCAAGACCATCCTGGCCAACATGGTAAAACCCCATCTTTACTAAAAAAAAAAAAAAAAAAAATTAGCCGGGTGTGGTGGCACAAGGCTATAATCCCAGCTAGTCAGGAGGCTGTAGATTTTCTGAAGACACTGATGGTATACTTACGATGGAATATGATTCAGCTTGAACCCGGAAGGCGGAGGTTGCAGTCACCCGAGATTGCACCACTGCACTCCAGCCTGGGCAACAGAGTGAGACTCCGTCTCAAAAAAGAAAAAAAAAAATGTGTGGATCCGGCTGAAAGCTGAATGTCTGTGGTGCTGCGTGAGCCCCGGTTTTGGAGGACGCCCAGCTCACCTGCAAACAAGGGGGTCATTTTCTCTGCCTCAGAGCCATGGAATTTATAGCCAGATAAACGCCCTGACTTTGAGACAAATAGGACAAATAGCTCCTATTCTGAGAACATTGTTTTCAGTGTTGCTCTACAGAAAACGGAAATATCAACCTCGTACTTTCACGGGTGTCTGGAATCAATACTTTGTCTATCACTTTCATTGTCATCTTCCCTGAACAAAACATAGACCTTCACAGAGGAAGGGAGAAAGTGCCTTGAATTGCCATGGCCTCCGGAACCACGGGAGATGGGGAGAAGCCGGCCCTGGCGACCTGCACCTCAGAAGACCGAGATCTGTGTTATTTTTCCAAAGAGAAATCCACGCCCCTCTCATCTAAATGAAACAAAACCTGTGCTCTAATAAGATGTGCCGGAATACGCCGGGCTTCCAGCACGCTGCGGTCCTGTAGGTCTTGGAGCTGATGACTCCTGCTCCGGCAGGGGCCCTGGGACCTGCTGGTGGGAGGCAGGGTCTGGGGGCCGAGGGGCCTTGGGGACGCCCCTCTTGGCTTCTTCCGGCCTCACCTCTCTGCATCCCCGCTGCCTCCCACGTCCATCTCTCATGTTCAGAGCTCGGATGCCGGGTGGGTGTGAAGAGGGGATTCTGTGTGGAGGCTTCTTTCTGATGGGACACGGGACAACCGCAAGACTTGCCCCAAATCTCAGCAGATCAGCCGCGGTCACACGAGTCACAGACCAGGCCAGATGTGGGGGGAGAAACCACTCTTAAGGTCTTAGGGTCAGTTCCTAGAAGAAGTTAGATAATACCAGTGAAAGAAAAATATGCATTTCTAAAGTGGACTGCTGGTACTTGCTTTTGGGGAGAAAAAATGTTTATTATGTTTCTAGAAATAGCTTTTCTGAAGACACAGTGACGGTATACTCATGACGGAATATGATTCGGCCTTAAAACAAAAGGGAATGCTGATGTGGGCCGCAGCTTAGGTGGCCTCAGGGACACTCTACAGGGAGTAAACCAGTTGCAGAGGCCCCGTGCCACGTGACTCCACTGACGGGAGGTTCCCACAGGAGTCACATTCATTGAGACAAAAAGCAGATGGTGCTGGGGCCTGGCGGGGGTTGGGGGTCGGGAGGAGTTGGCGTTTCATGAGGGCAGAATTTCATTTTGGAGGATGGAGTTCTGAAGATGGACGGTGGTGACGGTTACACAGTATGTGAATGTATTGATACATTATGAACTCTACACGTAAAAATGGCTAAAATGGTAAGTTTTATGTTATGTGTATTTTACCATAATCTTTTTAAGTGAACAAGAAGTACCAGCAGCAGAGGGAGACAGGGAGAGCCATGGGATGGGGAGGAGGACCCGAGGGGCTGTTGCCGGGGCGCGGGGAGCACCCACCGGGGCACGGCTCTTCCTGGTGCATCTCCAGGGTGGAGCAGGCACGTGGGCTCCCACCCGTCAGCGAGGCACCCAGTGGGCTGGGGTGTGGCCTGGCCTCCTCTGCAGGAGGCTGGGTGCAGCCGAAGCCTGGGGCCGGTAGGTGGGGCCCTTGGGAGTCAGCGAGGACCCCCACACGTGTCCAGCATCGGGGGAATGCGCTGCCCTGATGGACACTGATGCCACCTCTTCTCCCTCAGGTGTTGGGCAGTTCAGCGACGACATCCAGCAGATGACCGGGCAGCGGCCCAGCCTGTACTGGCGGCTGTGCTGGAAGCTGGTCAGCCCCTGCTTTCTCCTGGTAAGGGACCTCGGGCCACCTGCCCTTCCCCCGTCTGCCCACTGCCCCCACTCTGGCACCTGCCCCGAGGTCCAGCGCCCGCATGTGGGTTGTCACTGTGGCTGGAGTCAGGGGCCTCAAGACTCGGCCCAGAAGGACAGGCTGATCCCTGAACTCATCTATAGTCTCCTTAAGGTGGCTTCCACCCTCCCCTCTAGACCCACCGAAAAAACCTCACATGGTCTTGGACCCCTGTCACAGTCCGTTGTGAGTCCTGCACTTGGGCCGCGCCTCTGTGTTGGGAGGGGAAGCTGGAGGTGAGTCGGGCTGTCCACTCACCTCTGCCTGTGAGGATCAAGGTCGAAGTTAGAGCTTCCGGGGCAGTGGGGACAAAGGATGCCGAGTGCTGGATGAGAGCAGCAGGGGCCTCGGCCCTGTCCCGTTGCTCACGCAAGCCTCCCTCTGGCTCAGCAGCATCACTGTGTCCAGTAGGCACTTGCTTCTGTCATCCGCCACCGAGTCAGGGCCCACCGGGCAAGGCCGTCGGACGCTGGTGTTTGTAAATAGAGTTTTGTTGGAAGGTGGCCGCACACTTTCATTAGGGATTGCCTGCAGTGCTTCCCCCACTGAACCACAGAGGCCTGGAGGCTCACAAAGCAAAGCTGTGCTGCCTGATCTGGGCAGGCAACCTAAGAGCTGTCCAAGTCTAAGCAGAGTGTCCCGTGAGCTGCTCACGTAGAGAAGCACCTCCCGAGTCCAGCAGGCACGAGGTGGGGACTGGAACAGGGCAGGGGACTCAGGCCGCACCCTCTCATGGACCAAGGGCTGGTCCCGGAGTCAGCAGGGCCCGCGTGCGTGGAGACCCCTCGTCACCTGCACACAGCAGGTGGGACAGCCCCGTAGTTGCCAGCAGAGGGGTTCCGGGGTACAGGAAAGAGATGAGAGACAGGCCCTATCCCGGAGGAGCTCAACATAGTGTGAGAGAACCTGCCCGGCATCTTGTAGAAATTCCACCGTGTCTGAGCTCCAGGCCGCGTGGTGTGGCTGCACGTAAGTGTTCCAAGTCCAGTTAACTGCGCTTGTGAAGGCTCCCGTTGAAGGTTCCTGGATTCATGGGGCGGGCTTTTAATAGCACACAGACTACATGGCTGTTCAGAGGGGAAAGTGAGGAAGCCCTCCCAGAAAGTCAGCCTCCTGCCCACCTCCCGCTCTCCCCCGCCATTAGTTGAAACTGAGCTGTTTTGCATGAGGACGTTGGCTCCCCTTGAGGGGGTGTCTCCTCTTAACACCCAGAGGGCTGACCTCGATCTTAGGAGATAAAATGTTCTACTGATCTTAGACTAAATCTTCGAACTTCATACAGAAACACACTTCGTAGACTTTTAGATAAAACTACAAACTATACGAAACAGGACTTCATTTTGCCAAGTTGAGAGAAACATGACAATTTCATTGCTCTATGTCATTTTGTATTTAATATGACAGCACAATTCCTATGAAGTTCTGATTTCAGCAGAAACATAACGTCTGTGTTATCATCTGTTTCTTCAGGCTGCGGCATAGTCCCCTGCCCTCTGGCGTGTGCTAACCTCTGGTCGTAAGGGGTGTACACGCCCCAGTCTCGTTCAGATGACTCTGTGGCAGATGATGCCACAGCACTGCTAAAGGGAAATTATGCCGGAGCAAAGGCAACTTACATGGGCAGACTGTGGCCTGGGGAGGCATAGTTCTTTCTAAGAAAGGTGGTATCTAGCAAGAAGTTGAACAATAACAGAGAGCACATTACAGCAATACCTCCATGTCAGATAGGCAAGCCCGACATGTCCAGGGATGCACGCGTGGCTCTTTAAAGCATGCTCAGGGCTCTCTGTGCAGCCAAGGCAGCCGCCCCTGATCCCAGATGCTGCAGGCCACTGGCTTTGCTCGCCAAAGTGCTGCTCACCCTGGCTCTGGTCACGTGACAGACACAACCCCAGCCCCCATCCCAGTCCTCCGCTAGCCGGCTCCAAACCTACAAGTGGCCCGAAGTAGCGCATGAAGAAGATGCTGAGACTGGCATGAGACACGCGTCCAACATGCTTTTCAGGTGGAAGGCTTGGATGTTTTAACTTTTCTGAAATTGAGGAAAAGTGGACAATTGGGAAAAAATTGCATTTTAAGCTACATCATAAACCATATCTATCAGAGCTTCACTTGTGTCCTTGGGAAGGACCCAGGTACACAGAACACATATGTAGGCGTGCAGTACACATGTGGGTGCACAGAACACATTCAGGTGTGAGGTGCATATGTAGGCACATGGAGGATCTTTTTAGATGGTGGTGCATGTTTGTGGAGTGGATGAACAAATGCATGAGCTGCCTCAGGAGAAGCCTCTGGAGAGTGGGAAGCTTCCCCTCCAAGTGGCATCCACCCCACCCTCTGTTACCTTTGTGGTGGTGGTTCTGAGACAGGTCTGTGACTTTATCAGATTTGCTTCTAGAATGAGTAGAGATACGGAGCTCAGATGGCCCTAGGGTGGTCCCGCATGGGTCACAGTTGTGTCTTCAGGCCATGGATGATCATAGATTCAGTGTACTGGGTGGTGGTCAGTTTTGTTTTTGTTGTGATTTCAAGCAAGGAATAGAACAAGGTGGGATACAGCAGGAAGGGATGGGATGGGATGAGATGGGATGGGATAGAGCCGGATGTGATGTAATAGAACAGGATGGGATGGAATAGAACATGATGGGATGGGATGGGAGGGGAGGGGTGGAGAGGGGATAGAACAGGATGGGATGGGAGGGGAAGGGAGGAGAGGGGATGGAACAGGATGGGAGGGGAGGGGAGGGGACAGAACAGGATGGGAGGGGAGGGGAGGAGAGGTGATGGAACAGGATGGGATGGGAGGGGAGGGGAGGGGAGAGAACAGGATAGGACAGGACAGGCTAGATCATGCTTCAGGAGGACATGGCTTGCCCGGGATGCCCAGCTGCCATGTCTGCAGGCCTGGCCGGGGTCTGCACCTGCACAGCTGTGGGGGCTGAGAGACGCTCTGCCATGAAGTGCCTGCCCGCTCCCTGCTTTGTCCTGGCACCGCCGGCTGAGAGCTGCCTGACCTCCGTATCTGCTGGTTGCAGTTCGTGGTCGTGGTCAGCATTGTGACCTTCAGACCCCCCCACTACGGAGCCTACATCTTCCCCGACTGGGCCAACGCGCTGGGCTGGGTCATCGCCACATCCTCCATGGCCATGGTGCCCATCTATGCGGCCTACAAGTTCTGCAGCCTGCCTGGGTCCTTTCGAGAGGTGGGTATTTGGACGGGGCGCCTTCACCCGAGTGTGAGGCCACCAGAAAGGCTCCGTGGGTGTCCATGGCCCCAGTCCTCACCTGCCTGGGTCATCTGTGACCAAGAGGAGGAGACTGGAGGTGGCCACCACAACACTGTGTGTGTGTGTGCGTGTGTGTGTCCACCTGCACGCCCGGGCCCATGGGTGTGCGTCCATATGTGTATTCATGTGTGTGTCTTTAAGTATGTCCACATGTCTGTGTGTGTCTGTGTGTGCATGTGTCTGTGTGTGCTTGTGCCTGTGTGTACATCCACTGTATCTCTGTGTCTGTATGTGCTGTCTCCGTGTGCACGTGTGTGTGGGCCTGGGTCTGTGCTCACATTCGTGTCCAAGTGTTTGTGTGTACTGAGTGCATGCATGCCTACACACTATGGTATGTGGTGTGGTGGACACAGAAGCCATCTGAGGGCGGTAGAATCAGGGGTGATCTAGGTCCCCCCAGGGCCGAGCCCAACTTTGGCTGAACAGGGGCAGCTGGAGCCCCAGGCAGTGGAGGAAGCTTTGCGGAGTCACTGATATGCATCTCCTTTCTTCTGCTTGGTTTTGCCGCCTTTGTGTAGAAGAAAGGCAGGTGGACCAGTCACAGGGCCCTGTTTAACACCCTGGCTCTGTGGTTCCAGGAAGAGACAAGGACACTCCCTCCTTGGAAGAGGGTCGCCCTCACCTGAGATCCCACCACTGGGAACTCCCGGAAGCTGCTTCCTCAAATCCCAGCCTTTCTCAGAAAGAAGTCGCTTGGCCCTGGGCATCAAAACCCCAGAGCAGCACCAGCTGTGTTCAAGGATTCCACCTTAGGGCCACACGGTGTCCCCTGGGCTCAGACATGTGGCAGATGCTCTCAGGCTGGCACTGAGCCAGTCTCTCCAGCAGCCTGGCCAGGCCAAGGCCCAGTGCAGGCAAAGCACAGTGTGTGGCTGGGGGCTTCTGTGGAGTGGGAGGAGCTCTGGGGCTGCCATGGCCCCAGGAAAGCTGATGGCACCCTGCTGTGGACAGTCCCTCTCAGACCCCCACGGGCTGACCTGCCAGGACCCAGCACAGGGGAAGAGCAGGCAGCCGGGCAGTCTCTGCAGGGAGAGAGCTCCTCTGGGAGGCTGGATGGACGTGGGAGGCGGGGCCCAGGTCAGCGCAGAGCTGGAGGATGCCTACAGCCCGGCGGACCTGAACAGCCAGCGCCCTTACCCCTCGCATGGCCAAACTCTGAACGTAAGCCAAGTAAAACCTCAGCAGCTGAGCCAGGTACAAGTGGAATTGTGGTGATGACGTGGGGTGGGGCCACGCACAGGGGTCCCTGTGAGAGGTCACCTGGCCTCAGAGATCCAGATACAGGCATCCAGGCCCGAGAGGGTGAGCTCCTGAAGATGCTGCCTGCTCTGGGAGGACTTGGTGCTGTCCAGGCCCCAGGAGCTGCCGCAGCGGGCAGTGGAAGGAAGGCACGTTCAGCGTTCACTCTCCCAAGAGCTGCAGGTGACAAAAAGCAAGTGCTCCCGGAATATGTCAGCTGCAGGTGGCCCCGAGGCAGCCCACCTGGGTGTGGGCACTTTCTTACTCAGAGCCCAGCACACGTGGTAGCTTAGACTCAAGAGCCATCTCCAGGACCACGTTTTATTTTCAAGCGAGTGCTCAAATGCTGATGTTCTGCTCTGCGCTAGACTTTAAGGGGACCGTCAGGATGTTGGCTTCGGGCCTGACTGGCTGTCTGGTCGGCATGGGCACTGGCAGTGTAAGTCAGTGGTGGGCGCTGGTGATATGGATGCCAGCGGGTGGGCATTGGCAGGTGAGGAGGGCTGGTGGTGAGGGTGCTGGTAGGTGAGGGTCCTGGCAGTGTGAGTCAGTGGTGGGTGCTGGCAGTGGGTACTGGTCTGCACTGACCCCTGCACTCTCTTTCTCTTTCAGAAACTGGCCTACGCCATTGCACCCGAGAAGGACCGTGAGCTGGTGGACAGAGGGGAGGTGCGCCAGTTCACGGTGAGGTCGAGGTCCCTGCTGGGCCTCTCTCGGGGGAATTCAGAATGATCCCAAGCTCAGTGTTCTTAGCCCCCAGGGGGCTCCGAGGCTGGTGTAGATGGTGCTCATTTACTCAGCCAGCATGTGCTCTATGAGGACAGGCAGCCAGTGGTGGCAGGTGACAGTGGAGACGTGTGCCCGGGACGGGGGGCACATGACGCAGGGGCCCTGGGAGGTGCGGCTGCACAGACGCCTGAGGAAAGCATGGTCCCTGCAAAGACCTGGGCATGTCCCAGACCACGGGAGCAGTGCCCTGTGGGGCCAGCTGAGCCAGGTTAAGGACCAGCAAGGGACCACCACCCCCCGCCTCACGGGGGCACAAGGGACAGTGCCAGGAGGGGAGGCCTGGGCCTGGCCATGGGAAGCCACAGGGAGCCCTGGAGGGGCTGGGAGAGGCCTGGGAGCCTGGGGCTGGCTTCGAGTGAGAGGATGGTCACGCCAGGTGTTTCCTGCACCCTGGGAGCCATCCAGCTGTGTGCGAACATGTTCATGACATGCCGTGGAGCAGGTGCATTCCCGGGGGCACACAGTAAACACTTGACGTGTTTTTACTCCCACAACCCTAAGAGGCAGCCCAGCACTCTCTCTACACCAGGGTCCCTGAGACCCAGAGAGGCCCCGGAATGTGCCCAAGATCACAGAGCTGGCCAGCAGGAGAGGAGCCTGGGCTGTGCCCTGGGCCTGTGGCACTGTCCTCCTCCACCCCAGAGTGGCCTCAGCCCCGACCTGATTCCATACACTAATGTCAGCCTAATGCCGACAGCAGAGTCCAATGCACAGCAAAAGGGAGAGAAGGCCATAGTGTGGAGGGCACCGCGGCCCCACCTCGGACCTGCCTCTTCCCTCTGGCCACCTCTCTGTGGCTGGTTCTCGTAAACAGTCCTCCCAGCAGGGGTCTCATGAGCTCATGCCTGAGGAGCCCAGCATGGACCTGCACATGGGGCAGGAGCAAGGATACAGGCAGAGGGAGGGGGCTCTGCGTGCCTGGGAGGTGGGTGGTGACGTCAGGCAGAACAAGACGCTGAGCAGGGAACAGGCCGGGAGGCAGTGGGGAGAAGCCGCCTCTGAGCACACATCTGCACAGCTTGTTCCTCCTACCTGCAAGTCAGGTTCTGGTGTGGGCTCTGCCTCCCTCCGTTGGCACCCTTTCCTCTGTCCTCCCAGTGACTTGCCTGCTCCAAACACAGGAGGCGTGTCCAGGCATCCCATCCCATCCATCCAGAGGATGCCAGCCCCTCCCCACTGGGCCTCCGGTCCTGCTCCACCAGAGCCTCTCTCCTCTGAGAGTCCTATACCTGGGGGTCTTACACTTTGTACAGGATCTTGCTAGTCTTCTCAAATATCCAACTTTGACTTCATGTGAGATTCTTGCTGTGCTTCCTGTCACATTAATCTCAGCTCCTGTATTTATCATTTCTTCCTCTCTTTTTCTTGGATCTACTCTGTTGTAGTTTTGCTAACTTTTTAATTTGGACTTTAGGTTATTAATTTGCATCCTTCGTTCTTTTCTAATGTAAGCACTCAAGGCTATGAATTTCCCTCAAAATACTCCATGTGCTACATTCCGTATTTTTTTCATAGTATTTTTCTTTATCTTTTAGTTCTAAGTATATTTTAATTTCCATTGTGACTTTGTCAACTCATAACTTGCTTAAAAGTCTGCTTTTAAATTGCCAAATATATGGGGATGTTTTACTCATCTTTTTGTTTTTAATTTCCAAATTAATTTCATTGTTCTCAAACACATATGATACCTATTATTTAAAATGTATTGAGACTTCTTTAGGGCCTTATACCTGATCAACTTTGATAAACGTTGCACATCTTTTAGATGAATGTGCTATTCTCTAATTGTCAATACACAGTTCTGCTTCTGTCCATTTGAGTAGGGTTATATATTATGTTACCCACATTGTCTACACTTTGTCAACTTTAGGGGTGCTTGACCATGAGTAATTGAGAGATGCCTGTGGCATATTCTTCCTCGATAGTATATTTGTTTGCTGTTCCCCTCAGTTCTATCAGGTTTTGCTCTCTGTAGTCTGAGGCTGTTTTCTGAGGTTGATCCATGTCCAGAATGATCATCTCTTCCTGGTGACATGAACCCATCTTCACTCCCTAATGATGCTTTTGGTCTTAAAGTCTGACTTGTCTGGGACAAATATAGTTGCACCAAGGTGTCTTTTGAGTTTGCCTGAAATATCTTTTGCAATCTGTTAACTTTCAACTTTGCAGTAACCTTAAGATTTAAGTGTCTTTTGCAAACCCAGCATACACCTAGAATTTTTTACGCTGACAGTTGGACAGGTTAATCCATTTACATTTGTTGTGATTATTGATATATTTGAACTTGATTCTACTATCTTTCTATTCCATTTGTCCCATTTTTAGTGTTTTTCTCCTTTATTGCCTTTTTATAGATTGATTTTTCTTGGTTCACTCATTTTTATTATTCCGTTTATTTCTCTCTACTTGCTTAGAACTTACATACTTTATTCTTTTTTTTTTTTTTTTTGAGGTGGAGTCTTGCTCTGTCACCCAGGCTGGAGTGCAGTGGCATGATCTCTGCTCACTGCAACCTCCACCTCCCAGGTTCAAGCAATTGTCCTGCCTCAGCCTCTCAAGTGGCTGGGATTACAGGTGCCCAGCACCACACCTGGATAATTTTTGTGTTTTTAGTAGAGACAGGGTTTGACCATGTTGGCCAGGCTGGTCTCGAACTCCTGATCTCAAGTGATCTGCCCACCTCTGCCTCCCAGAGTGCTGGGATTACAGCCGTAAGCCACTGTGCCCGGACTTATTCTATTCCTTTAATAGCTACTCTTGAGGTTGTACCATACATATTTCACTTAAACTCTACAGAGAAACCATATTTTAACCCCATCCCATTATAAGGACTTAAATCTTCCTCCTACTGATGAACATGCTATGATTGTTCAAATCTATTTCTCTCTTTTTAACCCACAAATTAGACACTGTCATTGTTCTTGTTCCTGTTATTATTTTGTACGGACTCATCATGTTCCTTGGACTAATGTGCATGCTTGGTGTTTGTTGGTTCCCATACTTTTGTTATAGACTTCTTTTCTTCTAGGACCATTTTCTTGCTTTTCAAAAAGCATCCTTCAGACATTCCTTTGAGGAGGTCTCTTGCTAACCTCCCTCACTATTGGTGTGTGGGAACATCTTTATGCTGCTCTCATTCACGAAAGCACTGTTGTGGGCTCAGGGCTCTAGGCTGACAGGGACTATCTCTGCGTTTTGGAGGCAGCAGTGTTCCGTGGCTGTGCTGAGATGTGTGGCCTGTGAGCCTGCTCTGTGGTGGGCTCTGTCCTCACCCCTGCACTCGGCCGAGTTTCTTCTGCTTTCGGTGTCTCGGGTTCACTGCGGAGTGTCGGGACCTGGGTTTCTTTTTTGTTTGTTTGTTTGTTTGTTTGTTTGTTTTGAGACGGAGTCTCGCTCTGTAGCCCAGGCTGGAGTGCAGTGGCGCAATCTCGGCTCACTGCAAGCTCCGCCTCCCGGGTTCGCGCCATTCTCCTGCCTCAGCCTCCCGAGTAGCTGGGACTGCAGGCACCCACCACCGTTAATTTGGTTTCTTTTTATTTTTCCTCTCTGGATATGTTTTGTGGCCAGATCTGTGGATTCACAAATCTTGTCATTCTGTGAATTTTGCAGCCACACACTGAAAGATTGCCTTCTGCCTTTCTGTGTTTTCCATTATGAGGCTCTGGTGTGTCCACTTTGCCCCAGGTCCTCCAGGTCTCTTACCTCACTTAGATTTTGTTTTCATTTGAATCTTAGGTGCACAGTTGAGTAACGCATCTTATCATTAATCCACATGTGGCCATTTTTAAATTATTAATTTGTCACCGTAACAAACAGACCCTTGTGAGCCCACAGCAGGAAAACTAGGCACTGTGGAAACTGCCTGCCCCTCACCCATTCTGTATCTGCGTCTAGCTTGATCTTTCCCTTGCCCTTCTTACAATTTCATTTGTTGCATCTCTAGATATTTCTAGCTTCCTAAAAAGTGTATTATTTGGCTTCAGCATTTGGTGTAGCCCTAACCAACCCCTACTGAAGCAAGACCTTATGCACACCCCATGCAGATCCCCGAGAATCATGACATTCTCCTGGCTGGGGGAACAGGCACCGTGCCCAGCCCTGTGTGGGCATCAGAGGTGGTTCCCTCTGGTCCTGTCGGCGGATCTCTCCCCAGCCTCCTCATTCACAGCGGGATGTGCTCGTCTGAACCCTCAGCAGGGGTCCTGGGCCATTGTCCCGGGTCTTCTCTCTGTGTGGCCACCTCCTCTCTGGCGCTCTGGCCTGCAAACTGCAGCCACCTCCGTTTCCCTCGCTCTCCTTTCCAGCGTCTCAGCTCAGGGAGTCCACCAGGCTGCACCCTCCCTGTGCTGCAATCTAGAAACTCCCTCGAGGCAGCGAGCAGGGTGGCAGGGGGGCCTCCTTGTTGGCTTCCCTCAGGGACCACTGACCCTTACGGTCTGGTGTCCATGGTCTGGAAGGTCATCGGCACGTGTGTTTTGTTTATTTGGGGCTTGTTTCGGACAGTAGGGTAAATTCGATCCCTATTATTCCATCTAGGTCAGAAATGTTTGTATCCATAGCTACGTTTCACCTACCGTGACTGGTCCCTGACCGTCCGTCACGTGAACAAACCACAGCTCAGCTATGGACGCTCCGCATTCCACTGCCCTGCCCCTGGTCTGCAGCCCAGCCATTCTCTTTTCTACTTCATCTCTGGAAGCTGCGTGTGCTCTGCTGTTTCTTGTGAAATTCTCATCACTGTGATGTGCGTGTGTCACTTTTCTGAGAGTCCCCTATGTGGCCATCCTGTAATCTGTTGCAACAGCTCTGGTCCTTTGGGGTCAAATTGAGGTCTGGTTTCTGGGGACTCACTTAGAGTGGGCTGCTGTCTTCTGTTTCTAGTCTTTATTTTACATTTATGGCTTGATCTTAATCTGTGGGAATCTGGGAGCCCCCAAGCACACCTCCCTCCAGAGGGGACCTTCTGCTTCTGTCAGCGGGCAGGACAGAGAACTGCTTCACCCTGGGGGGAACAGGACTCACAGCTGAAGTCCCAAGCATGGCTTCTTCATCGCTGGCCTGAAGTGGGGCTGCCACCCAGAGCCTCTGCTCTAGGGCTCTGGCCGCTGGGCCACCCGTGGCTGTGGGTCCTGGCCGGGCTCCCTGACCCCAGCTTCCTTCACTGAGCCCCGAGCTGCACCTGGATGCTGCCTGTGCCGGCATCAGCTGTGGCTGCTCCAGGCCCCCGGTAGACCCCTGGCCTGCAGTGTGATCCCACCCTGGCTGAGGAGGTCCCTGCAGGCTCTTGGTGGAGTGGCCAGAGGAGCCTGTGGTGTGGCCAGTGGTAGCTTCAGTGGCTTTCCATGGCCGGCGTGGTTTTGTCAGAAGCAAGCCCCGCATGCCCCTGTTTGGAAATGTTTATGAAGCACACTTCTTGCCATTTAGTGCTATCGAGGGGCTTTGACGCTCACAAACAGGCTGAACTAACAGCTGCATAATAGCAGGCGATGACATTTGCTGGTGGTGTAAATAGCTGCTCTTGTCTATCTCATCAGTCCCTGAGCAGTCAGTACACGCTGCACTTGCGCCCGCGCGGGTCGCAGAGAGCAAGATGGAGCTGCAGAGGTAGCGTGTCACTCAGATGGAGCATCTGAGGCCCCCAGGAAGGTGGAGGGACGTGGGGGAGAGGTGACATCACCACGTCACACCCAAGTCGCTGGGGTACAATCTGGAACCAGCCCCGGACTGAGGGTGCCCGGCATCTCTCAGACTCAGCATCTGATCAATACGCCCCAGAGGCCACCATGGCCACCACGCCAACCACAGTCTCGCGGCTTTTTAAAAAATCAAGTAATGATTGATTTGTAGGAGTTTGAGTGAGGCATCGGATCCCCGGCACCTGTCAAGGGTGTGTTGGTCCAGGCCCCCAGTGAGCCTCCCCTTCTCCCAGGGCACATGGCCAGGAGGCTGCAAACTGTCTGCTCACTGCCTTCAGCTGCTCTTAGCCACCTTCAGCTGCTCTTAAATGGGGCATCGCCCCAGGGTTTCTGACTAAACCTGTTTTCTTTCCAGCTCCGCCACTGGCTCAAGGTGTAGAGGGAGCAGAGACGAAGACCCCAGGAAGTCATCCTGCAATGGGAGAGACACGAACAAACCAAGGAAATCTAAGTTTCGAGAGAAAGGAGGGCAACTTCTACTCTTCAACCTCTACTGAAAACACAAACAACAAAGCAGAAGACTCCTCTCTTCTGACTGTTTACACCTTTCCGTGCCGGGAGCGCACCTCGCCGTGTCTTGTGTTGCTGTAATAACGACGTAGATCTGTGCAGCGAGGTCCACCCCGTTGTTGTCCCTGCAGGGCAGAAAAACGTCTAACTTCATGCTGTCTGTGTGAGGCTCCCTCCCTCCCTGCTCCCTGCTCCCGGCTCTGAGGCTGCCCCAGGGGCACTGTGTTCTCAGGCGGGGATCACGATCCTTGTAGACGCACCTGCTGAGAATCCCCGTGCTCACAGTAGCTTCCTAGACCATTTACTTTGCCCATATTAAAAAGCCAAGTGTCCTGCTTGGTTTAGCTGTGCAGAAGGTGAAATGGAGGAAACCACAAATTCATGCAAAGTCCTTTCCCGATGCGTGGCTCCCAGCAGAGGCCGTAAATTGAGCGTTCAGTTGACACATTGCACACACAGTCTGTTCAGAGGCATTGGAGGATGGGGGTCCTGGTATGTCTCACCAGGAAATTCTGTTTATGTTCTTGCAGCAGAGAGAAATAAAACTCCTTGAAACCAGCTCAGGCTACTGCCACTCAGGCAGCCTGTGGGTCCTTGCGGTGTAGGGAACGGCCTGAGAGGAGCGTGTCCTATCCCCGGACGCATGCAGGGCCCCCACAGGAGCGTGTCCTATCCCCGGACGCATGCAGGGCCCCCACAGGAGCATGTCCTATCCCTGGACGCATGCAGGGCCCCCACAGGAGCGTGTACTACCCCAGAACGCATGCAGGGCCCCCACAGGAGCGTGTACTACCCCAGGACGCATGCAGGGCCCCCACTGGAGCGTGTACTACCCCAGGACGCATGCAGGGCCCCCACAGGAGCGTGTCCTATCCCCGGACCGGACGCATGCAGGGCCCCCACAGGAGCGTGTACTACCCCAGGACGCATGCAGGGCCCCCACAGGAGCGTGTACTACCCCAGGATGCATGCAGGGCCCCCACAGGAGCGTGTACTACCCCAGGACGCATGCAGGGCCCCCATGCAGGCAGCCTGCAGACCACACTCTGCCTGGCCTTGAGCCGTGACCTCCAGGAAGGGACCCCACTGGAATTTTATTTCTCTCAGGTGCGTGCCACATCAATAACAACAGTTTTTATGTTTGCGAATGGCTTTTTAAAATCATATTTACCTGTGAATCAAAACAAATTCAAGAATGCAGTATCCGCGAGCCTGCTTGCTGATATTGCAGTTTTTGTTTACAAGAATAATTAGCAATACTGAGTGAAGGATGTTGGCCAAAAGCTGCTTTCCATGGCACACTGCCCTCTGCCACTGACAGGAAAGTGGATGCCATAGTTTGAATTCATGCCTCAAGTCGGTGGGCCTGCCTACGTGCTGCCCGAGGGCAGGGGCCGTGCAGGGCCAGTCATGGCTGTCCCCTGCAAGTGGACGTGGGCTCCAGGGACTGGAGTGTAATGCTCGGTGGGAGCCGTCAGCCTGTGAACTGCCAGGCAGCTGCAGTTAGCACAGAGGATGGCTTCCCCATTGCCTTCTGGGGAGGGACACAGAGGACGGCTTCCCCATCGCCTTCTGGCCGCTGCAGTCAGCACAGAGAGCGGCTTCCCCATTGCCTTCTGGGGAGGGACACAGAGGACAGCTTCCCCATCGCCTTCTGGCTGCTGCAGTCAGCACAGAGAGCGGCTTCCCCATCGCCTTCTGGGGAGGGGCTCCGTGTAGCAACCCAGGTGTTGTCCGTGTCTGTTGACCAATCTCTATTCAGCATCGTGTGGGTCCCTAAGCACAATAAAAGACATCCACAATGGAAAAACTGCCTCAGCCTCCTTGTCTCGTTTCCGCTGGGCCCCATCCATTTACACAGGCCCAGCTCACCTGCTCACACCCCGAGGTCAGCTTCTGCCCCACCCCAGCCCACCCACAGCAAAGCTTCCTCACCTGATGCCTCTTGGCCCATCTCTCCTTCCGGCCTCCCCTAAAGCCTAGACGTTAGAGATAACACATCCACTACGCTCCCATGCAGGTGTGCTGGGTGTGACCTGTCGCCCTCCCCAGGCTCCCACGCAGGTGTGCTGGGTGTGACCTGTCCCCCCTCCCCAGGCTCCCACGCAGGTGTGCTGGGTGTGACCTGTCCCCCTCCCCAGGCTCCCACGCAGGTGTGCTGGGTGTGATCTGTTTCCCCTTCCCTGGGCTCCCACACAGTGTTGGGTGCAGTGGTGACCCTCACCCACGTCTGCACTCCTGCAGGGTCCCCTGTGGCAGGTTGTGGCACCTTATGTCGTGCCCACTTGCTCAGGCTGGACCTCCGTGCCATCCTGCACCGCTCTCCCCCAGCCCCTCACCTGCCTTTCAGCATTCTTGTGGGCTCCCCACATGTCCAGACTCCAACCACACTGCCTGACCACTGCCACTGCCCAACCCAAGAGCCTCTTCCAAGCCCCATCCCAGATCTTGGTGGGTCCTGGTCCTCAGTCCAAGCATCTTTCGTCGCTCTGTGGCCTAAAGGATTCTTCTAGATACCAACAGATCAGGCCACAGCCCAAGGAAACCCCAGGGTTATCCTGGTGCTTGGAGTAAATGCCAATGCCCTCAGCATGACCTGTGATAGGATGGCAGCACCCCTTCCAGGCAGTGACCTGTGATAAGACAAGCGTCACTCCCGCCAGCCCCACCTGCAGCCCTGCCCCGAACTGCCTGAGGGCACACCCCACACCGAGGGCTTTGTGCCTGGCAGCACATGGGGACACTGCTACTGCTGCATCGTAGCACGTGGCTGCGTGTGGACAGGAAGGACGCTCGCACCTTTCAGCTGGGTCAGTGAACTCTGTGGCAGGAAAAGTGCTGGGCTGCCTACAAGGGCTGAACCTGCCTGCAGCCTAACTAGTGCCTCCCACCGTCCCCATCGTCACATAGGATGTCCCTTACCCTCAGGGGTGGCTACACCCCGCCTGCTACAGGTGCCGCCCTAACAGCTCACACCTGGAGCCCCCAGGTGTGATCCCTGCTGACCACTCAGGTCTGGGGTCCAGGCAGATACTGTGTGGGTGGCCATAAGTCACTATGTGGGCTGAGACTTGAAGGACTCCGACAGCCTCATGGGCGACTGTATTAAGCCCCAGCAATCGGAGAGGTGGGCTCCGGGGCTGGGTGGGTCTCCTCTGCCAGGTGGGTCTCCTCTGCCTGTGGTCCCAGCAGCTCGGCAGCAGGGGCCGGCCCAGATGGCCGTTGGTCACAGAGACAGCTGGGCTTTGCTGAGTGCGTCGTGGTCCAGCCTAGGCCCATGCCACTGAAGCCTTTCTCAGAGGTGTGGGGTCTGCAGGGACCGGTCACATGTGAGCCCAGGATCAGGGCATTGGGGGAAGAACCAGCTGAGGACATTCCCCAGCCCCAAAACAAAGGCACGGCAGTCCTCGAGCAGGGAGGAGTGAGGAGCCACATGTGGGATCCCGCCTCTCTGGCGTGTGAGCTGTGGATGGCATCTGGTACCAGCCCCATGCCCGCTGGCCGCTGGCGAGCTTGCAGGCTCTGCAGGCAACCGGAACAGCATACTGCAGGTGCACACGGGGTCCTCGTGCCGAGTGATTTACTCAGGGAGTGCCTGAGGGAGCAGGTGAGGGAGGGGCACTTACACCCTGAATGTAGAAGGAACTCCACAAGTCCATAGGGAAGAGGCAGACACCCCATCAGAAAAGTGGACAGAGACCTTGAATGACTGCCAGCAAGGGAAAGTGCCCAAGTGGCCAACAAACCTATGAAAAGAGGCCCAACCTCACCAGTTGTCATGGAAATGCAGTCAGCCACCACGTAATGTGGCAGCACACCCATCACAGCAGCTGGGCTTTGGAAAGTCTGAGCCCCTGTGTGGCTGCGTGTGGACAGGAAGGACACTCGCAGCTTTCAGGTGGGTGAGTGAACTCCATGGCAGGAAAACGACAAGGGCTGAACCTGCCTGCAGCCTTACTGCTGCTCCTACCCTCCCCATTGTCACATAGGATGCCCCTTACCCTTGGGGGTGGCCACCACCCCCGCTGCAGTTGCCGCCCTAACAGCTCACACCTGGAGCCCCCAGGGCCTGCCTTGGGCAGCTGGGCCCTCGTCCAGGGGCCCCTGGGATTGAAGCCTGTGCCAGGGTGGCCCAGGGCCAGACCCTGACCACCTTGAGGTCAAAGCCCCCATCCTGACCTGCAGTCTGATATATGTCCAGAGTCCCCGTTAGGACCACTGGACCCCACCTGAAACCATGTCTGCTCCGGCCTCTCCCTTCCCTTGGCCTGTTTCCCGCTCTCTCCTGGTTTTCTCCTGTGAGTCCCAGTGATTCAGGAGCACAACAATCTCCACTCAAGAGTCTGCAGGATTCCAGCCTAAGGGAGACAATCACAAGCCCCACAGTTCTCTCTGTGTGCCTGACAGAGACACATGGAGAGGCGTGTGCAGTGGCCATAAAAGCCGAGACTGGGAGCAGCAGAAAGGCCAGCACTGAGTGGACGCTCACGGCAGGAAGGGCCCGTGAGCTGCGGCACTGGCTGGTGGGGCGGTGGGAAAGGTCGAACTGTATCCCCTGAGAAGGCTGAAGTCCTGACTCCTTATGTGAAAATAAGGTTGTTGCAGATGCGATTAGATAAGACGAGGTCATACCTGAGTAGGGTGGGCCCTAAATCCAATATGACAGGGACTCTATAAGAGGAGAGGAGAGACACTGAGACCCTGAATCCAACACCACTGGTGTCCTGGGAAGGGGAAAAGAGACACAGTGAAACAGAGACCAGGACAGGACCTCTGTGTGACTACGGAGGCAGACATCAAGAGATGCACCTGCAAACCAAGACTCACAGAGGGCTGCCAGCCATCACCAGGGGCTGGAGACACACACATGGAACAGATGCTGCCCCAGAGCCTCCAGCAGGAACCAACCCTGGCAACACTGTGACTTCAAACTTCTGGCCTCCAGAGCGGTGAGACCATAAACTTCTGTTGTTTCAAGTGCCCCGTTTGTGGTGGGCGTCCCCAGGGCATTAGAGAAAGCAGGTCCATCCTGCCTGGGCCTTTGGGTACCTGAGACATTCCCGGCCCTTGGGATGCCTTCCCAGGCTTCACTCTCCTTCCCATCCTGTACTTCCTCTTGTTCCCTCATCTGGAACTACCTTCTTTCTGTTCTCACCATGAACTTTCCAACCTTAACCCACTAGCTCCTATGCCATGTCAGCTTCCCATAGACATCACCACTGAAAGTCTGTTCCCACTCCAGCTTCTGGGTTCTGGCCCTTGGCCAGTGTTCCTTGAAACCCCCATTCTCCCCAGGTCTTCCCTAGCAGGTGTTCTGTTGAAGGCAGATGGCCCATTGTCTCTTGTCCCAGCAGGAACTGAGTTAGTCTCACTCGCTTCTGCCAGTGTTTTGAACAGGCCTGGTACATGGAAGGCAGTGGCATTTAATATGTTTACAGATGGATGAATGAATGGGTGGGTGAAGGGGCGGGTGGATGGATAAATGGGTGGATAGATAAGGGATGAATGGATAGATGGAAGGCTGGATGGATGGACAGAAGAAGGGAGGGATGGATGAAAGGAGAGAGAGAAAAGGGTGAGAGAGAGAGAAAGGGATAAATAGATTGATGAATGCACAGGTGGGTTAATGGATGAGTGGTGGATGGTTGGATGAATAAATGGATGAGTGGATAGTTGGATAGATGGATGAGTAAATGAATGGATGTATTGATGGACAAAAGAAAGAAGAAAGGGAGATAGGGAGGGAGGGTGAGAGGGAAAGGGGGTGTGTAGATGGCTGGGTGGATGGATGGTTGATTACGGTTGGGTGGATGGATATATGGATAGTTAGATGGATGGGCAGGCAGATGATGGCTGGATGAATAGATGCATGGATGGGTGGATAGATGAATGGGTAGGTGAGTGGATGGGTTGATGATGGATGGATGGATAGACGGGTGGGTGGGTATGTGATGGATGGATGAATGAATAGGTGGTGTGTGGGTGGATGGGTTGATGTGGGGAGTGAGTAGGTTATGGATGGATGGATGGATGGACAAGTGGATTTGTGGATGGATGAATGGATGGATGGATGGATGGGTAGATGGGTGAATGGATGTGTGGGTAGGTTATGGACGGTTGGAGGGATGGATAGATAGATGGATGAACGGATGAATGGATGGATAGATGGATGCATGGATGGATGGATGCTTGGGTGGATGGACAGATGGATGTGTGGATGGATGGATGCATGGAAGCATGGGTGGATGGATAGATGGATGGAGGAATGGATGAGTGGATGGGTAGGTGGAGGGATAGATAGATGTGCAGATGGATGGGTGGAAGGTCCTGGATGACATGTACAAGTCTGCCATTCTGGTCCAATCTCAAATTCCCCTACAGGGCTGACTGTGTGGATGCTGTATTTAGTACTTGCTCTCCAAGGAGGGTTGGGCTGTTTAATACAAATGAAATGTTAATTTCAAAATGTCTGAAGAAGTCTTTTCTTCTGACACTGTTTGTGCAGAACCCAAGCTCCCTGGGAGGGATGAGCCCGCAGAGCCCGCTTTGGTGCTGGACTCCCTGGGAGGGATAAGCCCTCAGAGCCCGCTTTGGTGCTGGATGGGAGGCTCACCCCTCCGCACCCTGCCCTTTACCATGGGATTTGTGCTGTTCGTCAAGTGACCTTTAGACACATGGCCTGGGTTTTTGAAGCCTGAAAAAACTATACAATTTTTCCTTTGAGAGAAGCATTTTAATAAAGGTTCGGCAACAGCGAAATACGTGGCTGAAAGGGTAAACGGATTCCTCTATGTTTGGCTTTTTTTGGTTTTCACTCCACAATCCTCCTTTAATCTCTGTAGATTCATTTGACTGGCCCAAAGGTCACAGCCTCTACCTGTTTCCTGAAGTCTGACAACAGAAAAAAAGCCACCTTTTTTGAAACACAATTCATCAGCAAATCCTACATTCCCTGGCGCCTCGCCTGCTCTCCTTCTCCTGAGGATGCACCAGATCACAAACACAGCTGGCCCTGGCGCCACAGCCAGGACCCATGATTCAGCAGGACAGAGCCAAGGATACTCATGCCCTACTGACAGATGGGTGTCCCACAAACCAACT
This sequence comes from Homo sapiens, assembly GCF_000001405.40. Taxonomy (NCBI): domain Eukaryota; kingdom Metazoa; phylum Chordata; class Mammalia; order Primates; family Hominidae; genus Homo; species Homo sapiens. The sequence goes on along the minus strand of NC_000005.10, from coordinate 1,387,502 downwards.
GCCACTGTGCCGGTGCCTGACTTGGGGAGCTGGGGGAAAGCAGAAATGGAACCGACGGTCACACCCTGGCCTCCTCCTCCCCTCACCCCAGCCTGTCACTTAAGTGAACCAGGGCCATGGGGAGCTAGGTGTGGCCTGACCTGCAGCCCCCAGCTGCTCTCTGCAGCCAAGAGTGAGAACCGCGGCACCAGCCATGACCCACAGCTGTCAGCATCCCCACAGAGGATGGGAACCTCCGAGAACCACCCTCCTGGCAGAGAGGGCCAAGGGCGGTTCTGTGAGACCTGTGTCTCAGGTGTGTGTGTGAGAGAGAGGCAGGCAGACAGACAGACAGAAGGGCAAGGGCGGTTCTGTGAGACCTGTGTCTCAGATGTGTGTGGGAGAGAGGCAGGCAGACATTCAGACAGGGAGAGGAGGAGAGAGACAGAAAGAGACTCAGCAAAGCAGAGAGAACTTAGATCAGGGTCAAAGACTTCTGACGGCCCTCCCCTAGTCAGGGTGGTCGGCCATCCCGGTCTGCCCCGGACTGAGGGGTTTCCTGGATTCAGGATTTCTGGGGACCAGTGGTCGCCCCTGTCCTTAGTACTGGCCAGCCCTGCTCTGCTGAGTTGGGGAGAGCAGCCCCAGGCAAGGAGGTCTGAGGAAGGGGTATGGAGCGCGAGATGGGGGTGGCAGAGGGGAGATCACAGGAGAGCAGGTGGGGCAGGCTCAGACCAGCTCCCCATGTGTCGGGGTGCAGGAGGGGCAGCAGTGGCCGTGCACAGCGGGAGGGCGGTGTTTGGGGTGGACTGAAGGTGCCGAGCTCCAGCCCCGCTGTGTGGGACGCACTCAGCCTTTAAGGTGCTGCACCTGCACTTGCGCAGCAAGGAGCGAGCGTCACAGAAGCCAGTGCAGCCGGCCAGGGAGGACAGGGCAGAAAGCCACGAGGACAGGACCTGCGGGCAGCTGGCGGAGCCAGGCCAGACCAGACGCTGCCGGCTTTGAAGAGCGGCTCGGCCGCGGCCACGCGCGCCCGGCGTCAACGGGGCGTCTGACGTTTTCCTTTGTTTTCTTTTGTTCGAGAAGCCGGAAGTTTAGACTTTTACATTTGGGTAAAACGCTCCAGTGTTTGGGTGTCGGTGGCTGCGTCGCTGCGTCAGTCAGTCACTCGGTGGCAACAGCAGCAGCAGAGGCGCCCACCTGGCTGAGCAGAGAGACACGGTACTCACGGCGGGTGTGGGGGGCACAAGGCGCTCACAGAGGCCCCAGAGAACCGGCTCAGAGGCCAGCAGGGCAGAAGGGGGAGTCAGCCGGGTGAGCAGCTCTGCGCCCCGCCGGCCCCCACACCGACCACAGCAGAGGAGACCGGCGGCCTCACTCCCCGCGCCGGCCCCAGAGCCCCGCCCGTGCAGGTGCAGTAGGGCCCGGGGCACAGGCGCGGGGGAGCCGGCAGGGATGGCTGCGCCCAGCCAACGGCAGCAGGACCACGAACACCCCACTGCACCCCGTTCCATGAGGGCAGCTTCCTGTGAGCCAGACACGGCCCTGTCCAAGGGATCCTACCGCCCCGGCCCAGGCCACGCCCCAAGGAACGCCCTGTGGGTGGTGCTGAGCGGCACAGTCCCCAGGCCCCGCGGCCGGCCCTGCATTCGCTCTCTCGTGCCTTCCCTGGGGGAAACGCCCAGCCTGGCAGCACAGAACCTTTAGTTACACAGGCCTGAGTTTGAGGTCCGGGGAATGGGAAAGTGAAACGTGATCGCTGAACCTGCGTCTCCCATGTTCACACTATGTCCAGCAGTGAAAGTCCATCGAGCCTCCGACCCAAGCAACAGGCATTCTTCTACCCTTCCCCTGGCTGGCCTCCCTTCCCACCTCACAACGCTCACATGAATAAAGCGTGTCCCTCATGCCACTAGAAGAGCTCAGCCTGGGCCACAGCCCCCTCTTGGTGGCCCTGGAGAGGCCTCCTCTCCAAGAACACCAGCCCACCATGGTCCTCTGAGGACGCAGGGCCAGACACCAAGCGGGCAGGTGGCACGGAAAGAAAATATCGCAAGCTCTGTTCGCCTAAAAATATCGCTCTTCTAAGGTGAATGCAGAAGAATTTTCATGTATATGACTGACCTTCACAAATCCAGCCAGCATTAGCCCATCAAGCACTGAACACATTTATCTAGAATTTAAACAATTTTACTTATTCTGCAAGCTGAGATCCTCTTTACTTAAAACTGTTTGTCATATAGATGAAGGGACCCGTCAGACAGAACATTTTATTTGGTTAAAAATTGGATGGCATACATATTTACACAGTATTAGTGGGACAGAAATGACCGTTTTGAAGTATGCCCTCAGCCATGGCTGCTGGCCATGGGCTCCAGCCGGCCACGCCCTGCAGGTCCCCATCGTTAAGCTCATCCTGGTTCAGAATCAAAGGTTAATATTTAAGTGGCTTTTCAATTTGTGTATTCAAAGATAGTATTATGACCTGTAAGCTACAGAAACATTCTCATATCCTTTAAGCCTTGTTCACACAGAGAAACTGTATCTAAAATTCTAAAAAGTTCTATTAATCACAATGGTAATTTTTAAAGCTTAGAAAGAAGAGGAAAAGACATCACCTGTAGGTCTGTTACCCAGAAACGGCCAACACCCCACCGGTGCCCTGAGTTCATCCCGTGCCCATGCCGAGGCCTGGTTTGCTCCGGGTCCTGTCGCCAGGACACTGGACACTGCAGCTGGGCAGCTGCAGACCCTCCCTGTACTTTCTCCACCCAGGGTCGGGCATCGGGGTTGTGGAGGGACAGGCAGATGGGAGAGGGCAGGGGTGAGACTCAGGGCTGGGCCCTGGGTTAGAATCTCTGGCTCCCTCACTTTTTGGCAAGGGTCCAGGCACCTGTGCCTCAGTTTACTCATCTGTGCAGAGAGCAGTCATCGCGCCCAGCACAGAAGGCTGTTGAAAGGATTGGACAAGTTAAATGATGGAAATGGCTCAGATGTTTATGCACCAGTGCCACAGATGTCCCAGATCCATGTAACTATCAGTCTAATGCTACCGTTACCACTCTTAAAAGTATTTCAGATAATGAAATAAAACAGACTTTCCAGATTCTGACATGATGTAAAAAGGCATCCGTAGGGATCACTGACCTGAGGTTTCTGGAGATGAGCCTGGCCCTGCCATGACACAGGTGGGGTCATGATGCAGAGGACAGCCACCTGCAGCTGCCACCACCTGACAGGATACAGGACAGTCACCCCCACCTGTCACCACCACGGAGGACAGAGGGGACAGCCACCCCCACCTGTCACCACTTGAGAGGACACAGGACAGCCACCCCCACCTGTCACCACCTGACAGGACACAGAGGGCTTCTGGGAACCACTTGTGTTGTCTGTGTGTCCAAAGGGCGTGAAAGGACAGCCCAGTGACTGTTGCCTGCACAGAAATGATGCCCTTGAGACCGGAGGCCCAGGACACCTGCCCCTGATGGGCTCAGCGCTGATGGGCTCAGCGCTGATGGGCTCAGCGCTGGGCTTGAGAGCAGGAGTGTGTCCTGCTTCTGCATGTGTGTTCTGAGCAGAGTCCCTTTCCTGCGTGGCTGCCAGGACACTCAAAGCCACTGCTGAGCTCAGGTTCAGTGATGGAGTGGAGCTGTCGTTTCCTCCTGTGTGGTAGCCATACTCCCAAGGCCCCCCACCTCCTGTTGGTGACACCCTTGTTTGGTGTCCCGGCGATAACCATATTCTAACCCACAGAACACAGCAAAGTGGAGTGGAGGAATGTGATTGTGTTACACAGGATTGCAATGCCCATTTCTTTGGAACCTGGCCCTCCCCTGTGGCTTTGAGGAAGCACATGGCTGGGCCGGGGAGCCCCAGGTGACACGAACAGCAGGTGGCCTCTGGAAGCTCACGCAGCCTCTGACCAGCAAGGAAGTGAAGTCCCGAGTCCACAGCAGCAGGGCCCGGGATCCTGCCAATATCCCAAGGAGCAGAACCCAGGTGGACCCTGGCCCACGGGAGCCTTGAGTGAGACGGTAGCGGTCTGACGTCCGCGCTGCACTGGTGAGGCCTGAGCAGGGGACCCCGGAAACCCGGAGGGAGATGTGGACTCTGTTCAGCCGTTTGGCTCATGGCTGGCATTGCCATACGCGGGAGGCACTCGCTTCTCTGCCATTTTTATTTTGTATTTTCTTGTTAGCAGCCCTGGGAGGGGCCTGGCACAAAATATGCCTCAAACACTGTGGAGAGAATGAAGGAGGGTGAGCAGGGGGTTGGGGGGGGGTGCTCAGGAACCCCTGGGGAAATGAGGTGTGGTATGTAAAAGCAAACATTTATTATTTGTAATAAAAACATTCACTGTTTTCTGTGTGTGTTTATTTGTTTGTTTTGAGACAGAGTCTCACCCCATCGCCCAGGCTACAGTGCAATGTCGCCATCTTGGCTCACTACAACCTCCTGGGATCAAGCGATTCTCCTGCCTCAGCCTCCCGAGTAGCTGGGATTACAGGCGCCCGCCACCACACCCAGCTAATTTTTGTATTTTTATTTGTTTTTCTTTTTTGTTTTTGAGATGGAGTCTCACTCTGTTGCCCAAGCTGGAGTGCAGTGGCGCCATCTTGGCTCACCGCAACCTCCACCTCCCAGGTTCAAGCAATTCTTCTGCCTCAGCCTCCCGAGTAGCTTTGTATTTTTAATAGAGAGAGGGTTTCACCATGTTGGCCCGGCTGGTCTCAAACTCCTGACCTCAAGTGATCTGCCCGCCTCAGCCTCCCAAAGTGCTGGGATTACAGGTGAGCCACTGCGCCCAGCCAAGACTCACTATGACATGGAACTTCTTCCATTTGTTTTCGCGTTTTGGGCTCTGAAATACTTACTGGTAGTGCGTGATCACCGCAGTGCCTTCCCTAAACGGGGAGCCGTGCCCACGACACAGGTCCCCCAACACACCAATGTGCCCCCACCCCTCCAGCCTCAACAGGCTTTCCCAGGCCTCTGCATGACCGGGGTGCTGGAGGTACATCCTGGGAGGTCCTTACCCAGGGACTGAGGTGTGAACGCATGAAAACGCAGCCTCCCTGCCTTGCACGGGCAGCTCAGAGCCATAACTCGTCCCCCAGAGCACCTCTCGGCCCGTCGCCACCCACGGGGCACTTCCTGAGAGCAGAGCCTGCTCTGCCACCTCCCTCTGAGGCCTCCCTGCTACTGTCGGAGACCACCACCCTCCCAGGCCTCCCTGCTACTGTCGGAGACCACCACCCTCCCAGGCCTCCCTGCTACTGTCGGAGACCACCACCCTCCCAGGCCTCCCTGCTACTCTCGGAGACCACCATCCTCCCAGGCCTCCCGGCTACTCTTGGAGACCACCTCCCTCCGAGGCCTCCCTTCTACTCTCAGAGACCGCTTCCCTCATTAGCTCTGCGGAAGCAAGCCCTCTTCCCGGGACCACGGTGGCTGCAGTACGGGTAAGTGGGTGCCGCACTGGCTTTTTCTGGAACCACACGATCAAGAGGGTTTGGCTACCGAAATGCCTAGAAAGCTTCAGGACCAGGCGCTCTCCTGAAAAGCTATTTGGTCAAGTGAGTGGTTTAGGTGGGCATGCGTGTATATGTGGGCGTGTGTGGGTGTGTGTCCATGAAAGTGGCCATGTCTGTGTGCGTGTGTGCATGTAAGAGTGCCTGAGTGGGTGAGTGTTGACCATGTGCATACGTGGGTGTGTGCAGGTATGTACGGTGTGTGCACATGTGGGTGTGGGCATGCATGTGTATGGGTGTGTGCACAGGTGTGTGGGTGTGCGTGTGGGGGTGTGCATGCAGGTATGATGTGTGTGCACAGGTGAGTGTGCAAGCGTGTGCAGGTATGCATGGGTGTGAGGTGTGCACGTGTGTGTGGGTATGTGCCTGTGTGTGGATGTGCATGGGTGTGTGCCGGCATGCATGGGTGTGGGGTGTGCACAGACAGGTGTGTGCATGGGTGTGCATGTGTATGGGCACGTGCACGTGTGTGGGTGTCCATGTAGGGGTGAGCATGTGTGTATGGATGTACGTGTGCACAGGTGGGTGTGCAAGTGTGTGTGGGTGTGCACAGTGCAGGGGTGTGTGGGTGTAGGTGTGCACATGCCTGATGGTGGACAGGAACCTCAGGTTCCTTCCTACTGCTCTTTCTGGCCCCACTAGTGGATCCGGAGTAGAAACCAGCCAGAGAGAAGCGCACAGGGGAAGCACAGCCATCACTTAGCAAAATCACTTAGTGAAATCTGGGGGAAAATGAGAGTGGGCTGAAGGCAAAATCAGTGTGCTCTTTCAGCTGGAGAACATAGCAATCAGGGGAATAGGGGCATGGAACAGCCCAGAAACTGGATACACAGAGCTGCGCAGCCGTCATATGCCCCAGGAGGAGGAGGGCGGCGGGTGTGTTCACGCACCACGTGCAGCCCTGGCTGCTCTGCTGCTGGAGTCCATTCGGGCTGCTGTGACAACACGCCTAAGCCTGAGCCACTTGTCAACAACAGACATTTATTGCTCACAGTCCTGGAGGCTGCAAGTCCAAGACCAGGGTGCTGGCGGATGTGGCGTCCCATGAGGCAGCCCTCTGCTTCCAAGACGGCGCCTCTTGACAAGGCTCAGGGTGGACAGAGCGAGGGAGCTCCCTGGAGCCTCTTCTACCCGGGCCACTCATGCCATTCGTGAGAGCACAGCCCTCGTGATCTACTCACCTCCCAAAGGTCCCACCTGTTAACACCATCACATTGGGTATTAGGTTCCAACCTATCAATTTTGGGGGCCACTAACACTCAGGCTACAGAAACTACTAATGCATCTTGGGATATTGTGAAACTGAAAGGTGACAACGTGCCAGCAGCCCTCGCTGGCTCTCGGCGCTTCCTGGGCCTCCGTGTCGGCTCTGGCCGTGCTTGAGGAGCCCTTCGGCCTGCCGCTGCGCTGTGGGGCCCCTCTCTGGGGCTGGCCGAGGCTGGAGCCAGCTCCCTCTGCTGGCGGAGAGGCGCGGGCGGGAGCGGGGGCTGAGCGCAGCGCTCGCGGGCGGCGCGGGTTCCGGGTGGGTGCAGGCTTGGCTGGCCCGCCGACGCCTGCTGGGCTTGATCTGGGGATGAGCTCCCTCTGGGCTGCCGGAGTGCCCAGGGTAGATGCTGCAAAGTTCTAAAGGGAGTGCTACTGAGAGGTGAGGCCGGCTGGGCTTCTGGCTCCGGTGGTGACTTGGAGAACTTTTCTGTCTACCTAAAGGATTGTAAACACACCAATCAGCACTCTGTAGCCAGCTAAAGGTTTGTAAATGCACCAATGAGCACCCTGTCCAAATGGACCAATCAGCTCTCTGTAAAATGGACCAATCAGCTCTCTGTAAAATGGACCAATCAGTTCTCCGTAAAATGGACCAGTCAGCAGGATGTGGGTGGGGTCAGATAAGGGAATAAAAGCAGGCTGCGGGAGCCAGCGGTGGCAACCTGTTAGGGTCTGCTTTTGTCCTCTGGGAGCTTTCCTTGTTTGGTTTTCGTAGTAAATCTTACTGCTGCTCAGTGTTTGTGTCTGTGCTGCGTTTGTGAGCTGCAACGCTCACGGTAAAGGTCTACAGCTTCACTCCCGAAGCCAGCGAGACTGTAAATCCACTGGGAGGGGCAAAGAACTCTGGACGTGCTGCATTTTTAGGAGCTGTGACACTCACCGCGGAGGTTTGCAGTTTCACTCCTGAAATCAGTGTAGACCACGAACGCACCAGAAGGAACAAACTCCAGACACACCGTTTTTAGGTAACCGTAACATGTACCGCGAGGGTCTGCGGCTTCATTCTTGAAGACGAGACTAAGAACCCACCAACTTCTGGACACAAAACCACCCCAAAAAGTGAGTTTCTAAAGGAGAAGCTAAAAATAAAGACCACGAAAGTGTTGCCCATGGTGATAGCTCCAGACGTCCGGAGACGGTGTTCAGCGCTGCTGCAGGAGAGGTATGTGGGCAGAGTGGGGAACCGCATTCCTCCATGGAGGCTGCTCTGGAGGGCTGGTGCCTGCATCGGGGTTGCATTCAGCCCCTAACAAAGCTGTAGGCAGCCGCTCCGTGTGGTGCGGGGGAAGCCGGTGCAGGCATTACTCCTACAGCGTTCTGTGGTTTCTTCTCGGGAGTGATACAACCCACTGTCTCCACTGTAAGGTTTAGTTAATGCTGGGTGACAGTCTGATCTCACGTAGCCAGGTACAGATAAAGTACAACACACTCCTTAGTCTCCTTCCTTTCCTGTCCGCCAGGTGCCCACAGGGGGCCTGCACTTCAACTCCTGAGCAGCTGGGCTCCCACCCCTAGCCTGAGCCCTGCTGTTTCCTGCTCTCTGCCCTGTATCCTTGTCAGAGCCTCAGCTCTCTCCCTGTGCTGAGTTGGCGCAGGTGAGACGGAGGGACCAACGCCTGGCCCTTAACGTCAGTGCCTAGTGCACACTTACCCAGTGTGTGCGTGGCCTACCAGCGGTACCCAGCCATGGGGCGGCAGGAATCCCTCTCTGCCTGCAGTCCTGCCACCCTGGTCTTCTGCCTCCCCAGGGAGTTTCCACTTTGCGGAGAAGTGGGGGCCAGAGAGATGGGGGGAGTTAGTGGAGGGAACAGGGAGACAGACCCTTCCCTTCATGGTCCTCAAAGGTACAGGCGCTGGTGGGCTTACCTTATTATGGAGGCTGCAGCTTTTGTGTTCCTTCCAGGACCACAGAAATATACCACACACCCCCCAAAGTAAATAAGTGATTAAAATCAACCGGGATGGGGGCTTGAAGCCGAAATGGAATATAAGCAGTAACAGGTGAACCTCATCGAAGGGAGTGGGGAAAAGAAAACCTACCGCATGCTTTGGAAGACAGTATCATGGGCTGTAAGACAAAAAGAATGGCGTGCAGACACTGTGCCCTAGTTTGTGAAGCTGTTTTGCACAGCAACCTGGGTTAGCAATTATGAGATTACTTTGTGTGTGCTCCAGACTTGAGCAAGCAAGCATATTGTGGGTAATTAGAGCCGGATACATAATTTGCGGGACCTGGTGCGAAATGAGATTGCAGGGCCCTTGCTCAAAACTCATTAAGAACTTAAGGATGGCGACAGCAGAGCTTTAAACTCTGAGCAGGAGGCCCTGTCTGGCCGCTCAGGTCACCTTCCAGCGGCCGCGCTGTGGGTGACGAGCCTCGCTGCTGGAGAAGGGAGCTACCAGTAAGGAGCATGGGAGGCTGGGAGGGGAGGCGGCAGTAGGAGCTTGTAGTTTCAGCACGGAAGTGTCGGTAGACGGCTGGGTAGACGGGTGTGAGCCTGGCATGGGCCCGTGTGTTCTCACCGAGGCTTTAGCTGTGTCCACTGGGGGACCTCGGAGCAGGGACACCCTACAGCCATGGGCACCCCCAGAGCCGGATCTCGGGCACTAACATCTTTCTCCAGGTCAGGCACTGGGGCCCCCAGATAGCACTGAGGCAGGGAGGGTTCCCGGGTGAACATGGAGTGGTCCCACAAAGTAAGGTAGAGCGCCCAAAGGGCAGCGGGGGGGGGGTGGTCAGTAAGGCAGAGCGCTCAGAGGGCAGCGGGGGGGGCCAAAAGGATGCAGGACCAATCTACACGGCTCCAGAGCCAAACCTGGGATAATCGGAGCAAAACAATACATAAGTATACCAATGGGCCAGGTGCAGTGGCACGTGCCTGTGATCCCAGCACTTTGGGAGGCTGAGGCAGGTAGATGGCTTGAGTCCCGGAGTTCTAGACCAGCCTGGACACATGGTGTGAAACCTTGCCTCTACAGGAGATAAAAAATCAGCTAGGCATGGTGGTGCATGCCTGTGGTCCCAGCTACTCAGCAGGCTGAGGTGGGAGGATCATCTGAACCCAGGAGGCAGAGGTTGCAGTGAGCTGAGATCATGCTGCTGCACTCCAGTCTGGGTGACAGAGCGAGACCCTGTCTCAAAAAAGAAAATTATAGTAATAGTTCATAACTCATAAGGCTAAATGCCCACAAGTCCATACATAAATGCATAGATAAATAAGGGGGAAGAGGGTGAAATGCTCGTCTCCTCCGAATTGCAGTTAATGTAGAAGGAACGATGGTAACAGAGAATGGCCATTTGGCAAACAACACAGGAATCATCGAGGGATGTTGCGATTAGTAGGCAAAATTAGGATGAGAAATGGGATATTTCTTGGCCTCAAACTATCTCCCGACAAGATAATTAAAGGGAAAATGTAACTTTGTGGCAGAGAGCCCTGGCAGATACCCCTGCTCCCAGCAACCGAGCTTAACACGCCAGTAACAGGCCCAGATCATAGGTCTCCTGATGAGATGCCCTGAAGTCAGCCTGGCATAGCTTCTGTGGGTCCTGCCCAGAGGATATGTCCTAAATGCAGTCATGAGAAGCAGCTGTGTGCTGGGCAATGGCCCCACACTCCAAGCTGTCCCCACTGGGAGGCAGCCAGGGAGAATGACAACCAAATGCAATGTGTGGTCCTGGACTGGGCTGTGGGCCAGAAAGACACTGGGATGGGGCCTGTAGATAGTTAATAGTATTGCATTTCAAATAATTTTTTAAAAACAGTATTGCGTTGGTGTTAATTTCCTAATTTTGAACATTGCACCATGGTTCTATGTGAGATAACTTCTAGGGAAACTACTTACAGGATATGCTGGAATTCTTTGCACTGTTTTTGTTTTTTGGTAACTTTTTTCATGACTGAAATCATTTCAAAGTGACTATTTAGAAATTAAAAATGAAAACAAGATGATCTTTTATCCTCAGAGAATATCCTTCTAAGTATAAACAGTGTGAGTGCTGTGCTCACAAGTCACCTGAAGGCTGGGCGCGGTGACTCACGCTTGTAATCCCAGCACTTCGGGAGGCCAAGGCGGGCGGGTCACCTGAGGTCAGGAGTTGAAGACCAGCCTGACCAACGTGGTGAAACCCCATCTCTACTAAAAATGCAGAAATTATTCCAGCATGGTATCCCAGCTACTCAGGAGGCTGAAACAGAATTGCTGGAACCCGGGAGGTGGAGGTTGCAGTGAGCCGAGACCACGTCACTGCACTCCAGCCTGGGCAACAGAGCGAGACACTTTTTTTGTTTTGTTTTGAGACAGTTACTTGAAATAATTTCACTTGTGTGGTTGCATCACCAGCACTGTGATACGTAGTTGTCCTGTGGCAAACGGTGCCCTCCAAACACATGTCCGCCCACAACTTCAGAATGTGAACTTGTTTGGAAACAGGCTCTTTGCAGATGCAATGAGTTAAAGTGAAGTCATTCTGGATTAGGGCGGGCCCTAAATCCTGTAGCTGATGTCTTATGAGAAGACATCAGACAGACCAGCACAGAGGAAGAGCCCCACGCTGAGAGGGAGCAGACTGGAGGGATGCAGCCAACAGCCAGGGCACACCCAGGGCCACCAGCAGCCACTGTGTGGGAGAAGGGGGTGGAAGGAGCCCACTCTGCCTGCACGTCACTGTCACACTGTGGCCTCTGAGACGGCAGGTGCCTGTTGTCCTGAGCCATGTGGTGTGCAGCACCTTGTTATGGCAGCCACAGGAGACCAACATCACCATCCAGCTCACGTCTCCACTTTAGAGTTCACCTTCTTCCTTTCGATGGCGAGGACGGCATTCTGCAGACGTGGAAGACTTACACCCTCGGAAGCCAAAACCACAAAGCAGGATTCCTTCGGAGAGGTCTAGCTGCTGTACAGATAACTGCTTTATTAGATTTTACGTTCCTTCCCACCCAACCTTCATTTCCCCCATGATCAGACCAACGGTAAGGCAGCCTCACCCTTTCTGCCCCTTTGTCCTTTAATGCAGGAAAGATGAACCCTAAAATTGGGGTTTTGCCGGGAGGGTTCTTGACTTCACCCAGGAAAGAGTTTGAGGGCAAGCTGGAGGTGTTAGCTGCTCCTTGTGGAGCGGGGTTGACTCACAGGCAGTGTGCCCAGAGTCCACAGTGTATGGGCTGTTGGCAACTGTATTTATACCCACTTCTTTTACATGCAGATTAAGTAGAGATCAATGCAAATTGAGGGGTGGGTTATTTAGAATTGTCTAGAAAAGAAGTGACAACTTCTGGGTCGTTGCAATGAAAAAAGGTGGTAACTTCCAGGTCATTGCCATGGCATTTGCAAACCATCATGGCCCTGGTGGGAGGGTCTTATGCCAATGAGCAATGATGGCAGCCAGGGATCACCCTCCTCGCCGTCCCCTGATTCCTGTCTCCACTTCATCCCATCCAGCCCAGATCCTGTTTTGGTCAGTGGGTCAGTGACCAGAAAACAAGTCCTGCCACCTTCCTACCTCATCCCCTCTCTTCAGAGATGAGATCCTTCCCCTTAATCTTAAGGGGGTGCAGAAGGGCAGGGTCTGTCTTCTGGGATTGCTTCCTGCTGTGTTCATGGGCATAGGTCCTGTGTAAGGTTAGAGGAGGGAAAATCTCTGATCTAAGGGCCCCAGAGGCCAGACACTTTCATTCTCCAGGTCAGAGGATAGGATGGGTTGAAGCCTGTACCAGTGTTGTCTTTGTGTGGAATTGTTGCAATCTACAGGACTCGAGCTTTGCTAGGAACCAAAAGTTAGTAATGATAAGATAGTTATTAAAGGTCCTGGGAAAGGTCCTTTGCCTTTCCTACAGCCCACATGGTTGCCAACAGCCCATATGCCGTGGACTCTGGGCACACTGCCTGTGAGTCAGCCCGGCTCCACAGGGAGCAACTAACACCGCCAGCTTGCCCTGTAACTCGTTCCTGGGTGAAGCCAAGAACCCTCCTGGCTAAACCCCAATTTTAGGGCTCATCTTTCCTGCATCAAAGGAAGATGAGGCTGCTTTACCGTTGGTCTGATCATGGGGGAAATGAAGGTTGGGTGGGAAGAAACCCAAAATCCAATAAGGGAGCCAAAAGTTAGTAATGATGAGATGTCATTAAAGGCCCTGAGAAAGGTCAAAACCAGGCAAGAAGAATCGGTATGGCTGATGACTGCACGTGCTCCTCGCCATGTGATTTGTGTATTTGCAAAACAACAGCTTTACACCTTCCAGGGGCTCACAGGTGAAGGGCATGCTGTCCTCCCCTCATGCCTGCAGGGACGCAGAAGACGCAGGTTTAACCCTGGACAGGTGTACCCAGCGAGTGACTTCCTGCAGTTTAACAGCAGTGGGACACAACAGCTGAACCTCTGGGACACCAACCCAAGCAGTTTTTGTTTGTTTTGTGGGACAGGGTTTCGCACTCTCGCCCAGGCTGGAGTGCAGTGGTGTGATCACAGCTCACTGCAGCCTTGACTTCCTGGTCTCAAGTGATCTTCTCACCTCAGCCTCCCAAGTGGCTGGGACTGCAGATGTGCGCCACACCCACACTACATTTTTTTTAAAAAGTGGTGTGTGGTGTTTTTTTTTGTTGTTTTTTTTTTGTAGAGATGGGTTTTTGCCATGTTGCCCAGGCTGGTTGTGAACTCCTAGGCTCAAGTGATCCACCTGCCTTGGCCTCCCAAAGTGCTGGGATTACAGGCGTGAGCCACCGCACTCAGCCCAAAGAAGTTTTAGAAGAAGCTGGTTATAGCATTAAAAGCAAAAATTCTCATAACTTAATAAATCAATACCTTAAGAAAACCCAGTTCCAATACATAGATCATTCCCTAGAAAGTCTACCACAAACCATTTTTCTTTAATCAGCAGGGTGCAGTGGCTCATGCCTGTAATCCTAGCACTTTTAGGAGGCCAAGGCGGGCAGATCACAAGGCCAGGAGTTCGAGACCAGCCTGGCCAATATGGTGCAACCCTGTCTCCACTAAAAATACAAAAATTAGCCAGGCGTGGTGGTGGGCACCTGTAGTCCCAGCTACTCAGGAGGCTGAGGCAGGAGAATCACTTGAACCCGGGAGGCAGAGGTTGCAGTGAGCCTAGATCATGCCACTGCACTGCAGCCTGGGTGACAGAGTGAGACTCTGTCTCCAAAAAAAAAAAAAAAAATTTCTTTAATCACAGCAGGCTTAATTGCACACAAAACTACTCTCAGAAGTTCCCCTTCACAAACCCCATTACAACCCACACAGACCACCCATGACATGCCTGGACTCTCTGACCTGTCCTACACCTCCCTCACAACCAGTCTCTTTATTCTGGGACCAGAGATCCTTTCTCATACAAAGTCAGTCTTTCTTGGCCGGGCGCAGTGGCTCACGCCTGTAATCCCAACACTTTGGGAGGCCGGGGTGGGTGGATCACCTGAGGTCAGGAGTTTGAGACCAGCCTGGCCAACATGGTGAAACCCCGTCTCCACTAAAAATACAAAAATTGGCCAGGCATGGTGGCGGGCACCTGTAAGTCAGTCTTCATACCCCTCCTGAAAAAAAAAATGTATGTATGTATAACTCCCCACTTCTCTCTTTTCTACTCGTACTGGTTCCCTCATATTTTGAGCCCCTCATTTAATACTTTCTGGACAAAAGTTATTCTTTTCCCAATAATGTATCTTCCCTAGCACATTTTATATACAGGTAGGAAGCAAGAAATCTTCAACTGCCCAACAGACATTAGCATCCTGTAGATGAGAAGCATTCTACAGTTTCAAGATTTTTAAGCCATACAAAACTCACTACCTAAAGCCATTTTAACCATTCCAAAACCTATGAACATCTGGTTTACCTAGGTAAAAATTAAATTTTAGAAGACACAACATTCCCTTCAAACTAACATGTTTAGACTTATTTGTTTAATTTATGAGCACTCTTATTTATAAGCCAATGTGATAGCATGCTAGTCACAACACATATCATGCAAATGAAGTGACCTGTACAAGACAGCTGGACCCAAATTATTTATAAAATTGGGACCTGTTTACCTGACCAAATTTTATTTGCCCTGATAAGTATGAAAGACAAGGGGAAGTGGAGAAAGATTCTGTAGGAAAGGGGGGTGGTGGTGAATTATATGGCTCAGTGTGAAACCTTGCAGTCCCTGAGCCACCAGAGAGCTCACCCAGCAGCGGAGACACCAAAGAAAAATGTTGAAGTGGCCACTTGTCAGCCTGCAGGAAGCCATCCACCAGGCCAAGGGTCTGAGGCCCCCAGTACACTTACTTGAGCAGAACACCTCATTGGGGTCAGGAGATAGAGACCATCCTTGCTAATATGGTGAAACCCTGTCTCTACTAAAAATACAAAATATTAGCCAGGCGTGGTGGCGCACACCTGTAGTCCCAGCTACTTGGAAGGCTGAGGCAGGAGAATCGCTTGAACCCAGGAGATGGAGGTTGCAGCGAGCCAAGATTGCACCACTGCACTCC
The DNA here is from genome assembly GCF_000001405.40 of Homo sapiens. Taxonomy (NCBI): domain Eukaryota; kingdom Metazoa; phylum Chordata; class Mammalia; order Primates; family Hominidae; genus Homo; species Homo sapiens. The sequence goes on along the minus strand of NC_000005.10, from coordinate 1,372,233 downwards.
AGCCTGGGTGATGGAGCGAGACAATCTCAAAAAACAAAAAACACCTCATTGGGACTAGCAGAAGGTTAACTCTAGTATTGACAGGCAGCTTTTATCTTTCTCACCAGGGAGGGTTAGGACATTCTCATTGCCAATGGCCCTTTTGCTTATGGTAGGCACACTGATTCTGACCCAGGGGCCAGCAAGTCAAGAGCTCTTGTCTGGGCATGTCAGATGCCAATCTTAAAACACACTCTCAGGATGGGTAAGGCTGAGGGGCAAGGCACTGACAGCAACTGTTAGCAATTGTACATTTTGGCTATTTATCTTGCTTTTAATTCTACCTCTTGCCCTGTTCGTATTGTTGCAAACTTTAAAGGGCATGTTTAGGAGTTGGCTCATAGGGGTTTCAGGTCCCGTTTCTGCTTTCTGTAGCTTCCTCTTCATGTCGGAGGCAGGTTCAGGGATAAAATGTATACCCAGGAGACCTTGCCCTTCTGGGGAGTTGGGGCCTGCGTCAATACGTTTCCCGAGTACCTCAACCAAACTACCTTGAAACAGTGTGATTTTCATCCTTCCATGAGTTATTTCTCTAACCTTGTCATAACTGACTGGCTTAATCTCACACGTCTCCCTCTGCCTCTCCCTCATGTCACAGCAAGTGAGCAACAATGCTTGTAAGTCATGACAAGTGAAAGAGCATGGTAGACTTGATTCTTCCATAAAACCCCGGATTATCTGAAAACCGGCCACGTGCCTCCTTGCATGAAGCCAAGTCAGACATAGAAAATGGCACCTGCACTCCAAGTGCCCCCATTTCCGTCAGCTGCCTCTTGCCACAGACACAAGTTTGACTTGAAGGGCTGATATGGGGCCCTGCTTCTGGGGGTGCCCGTTGGACCTGCTTTCTTGGCAGTTGGGGGTATAGGCTGGGGCTAGTTGGATAAGGGGGGTGGGGGCCTGATGGCCCTGGGTGGAATCCTGCGCTGGCTGAACACCCCCTCAGAATTGGGGAACTGAGGAGGGTCCAAGGAGGGCACAGGCCTTCTAGGGGGAGCAGCTATGAGGGGTTCCCTTAGATGTGCCTTCCTGGTGCCTGGAAGTAACATGAGCCAGTAAAGGGCCATAAAAGCCTGTACATACGGGACCTCCTCCCACTTTTCTTCTTTTTTATGGAATAAGTCCAATTGTGAAATAGCATTATAATGTGTAGAACCATGTTTAGACCAGTTCTCTTGATTTTCTAATTTTTGTGTTGGACCCAAATGGTCTTGCAATAGAAAATGAATTTCTTTAAGCCGAATTTCATCTATTACATATTCTATACATCAAAGATGAAATTAACAACCCTTCGCTTACCATCAAAACTACAGGACACTGATGATACTGATGCTATGAATATGCAGATTATGAAGACTTAAATTTTGACTCTTCCATACTCAACAGATCTAAAGCCGGGAAAGCTATTGATTACTATAAGCTATGATGAAGTTGACAATTGAGTAGTCTTCCCTATAGAAATATCAATTCATATACTGATTTCGTCAGAAGACGTTTTACGTTCATGAGCCGTACCGTCACCGGGCCTGAAAACAGATGCAATTCCAGAACATCGAAACCAAGCAACCTTAATGTCTACACCACCAGGCTCTTACCACGACCAGTGCTCAGAAATCTGCAGGTCTAACCACAGCTTTATGCCAATTGTTCTTGGGCTAGAACTAGTACCCTGAAGAACATCAAACACTGGCCAGCATAAAAGACACTCCAGCTGCAAGTGTTCTGGGATGCTCATCATCATCCTTACGTCTAGCAAGGATTTCTACTGGGCACAGGCATTTTTCTAAGTCTAGCAAGAGCAGAAGCAGCTGGACCTTTGCTGTCATCCCCTTTCAGATTCCCATGTCCTGCAGAGAAGGAATAAGTCAAGGTAGCAAGTCATTAAAAAAGTGCTGGCAAACAAAATATGACAAAACAACTATTTTTACTAAGCAAAGCGTAGAAGGAAAAGTGTAGATAAAGTGACAATAAGAAAATGCTGTTTCAGAAAATAACTTTCGGTACGAAACCAGAAAAGGCAAGGCCAAGATTCCCCTAGGGTGGCCTCTAACGCCACAATCCTAGAGGGAATACCAGTGCCAAAAACTCTGGAGCGTCTGGGGGTGGCCTACAATCCCAAATGCCAAAAACCCAGAGCAGTCGAGTATCAGCCAACAAGGGTCCCCACACCAATGTCGAAAACCCCAGAGCATCTAGCTGGTGGCCCACAGTGAACCCCAAAGGCCAAGCTGGGGCCACAGAACAACATGACCCTGCTGTCCTAGGGTCAGCACAACAGGGGACCTCCCACAACCAAGTGTCCTTCCTTAAGTAACTGCCCAAGTAGAGTTAGCAGGGAGCCAAAGCAAAAATTGCAGATGAAACGTACATTTCAAAGCAGAAATTAAAATGGCCAACAGGCAATGAAATGGCATTAGAGGAGAAAGGATCGAGAGAAGGAATGACAAGGATGTGGCTGGTCAGGTGTGCTACGGGGACTTCAAACTGACCATCTAGCCAGAGGCCTAATTTCCTGGCTCATATTGGCAGGGGTGGGCAGAGGGGAGGACACTCACCCAACCACAGGGGCCAAAATGGTGCTGATCATTCTCCACCTTAATCCCTAGGTAAAGGTCTCCTCCCAGGGTTTCCCCAGCTTGGGCAGGCTCAGCTGCTGTGAGGAGACTGGCACATGGACCGGTGACCTGCCAGCCAGGGCAGGGGTCCCATGCGTGGTGGTGGCACTGTGGCCACTCCCCCAACCACTTGGCTCTGCTGCCTACCAGGAAAGATGACGGCTCTGAAGAGAGCCTTTGGCTGAGGTTACAGCTCCGCTGCACTAGCCGCTCTATGACTTTGATTTTCTTTGATCGCTGCAGAGCCAATCGCCATCTCTGATTGCTGCTTCTTCCCATCTCACCAGTCACTGTGTAGCCAGTCACCAGACGGCTGGTTGCCGTCTTGCTACCTCTCCACCGTCCAGCCTTCTTGTCAATTGCCACCTCACCACTTCTTTTGAGAGATGGCAGTTGTCCTACCCACTGTGGACCATCACCTCTCTGCTGTCTCACCACCCCTCCACCCACCACTGCCATCCCCACTGTTTCATCTTCATGGCTGCCAGGTGATGCAGGCCAAAACTGGGGCTTAGCCCAGGAGATTTCTTGGCTTTGCCCAGGAAAGAATTCAAGGGCAATCCGGCAGTGTTAGGCAGCAAACTTTTATTGACCAGCACTGTTCCTTGCAGAGTGGGGCTGACTCATAGGCAGTGTGCCCAGAGTCCACAGCATATGGGTTGTTGGCAACTGTATTTATACCCACTTCTACCCGCTTTCAATTACGTGCAACTTAAGGGACAGGTCAATGCAAATTAAGGGGCAGGTTATATAGAACTTTCTAGGAAAGGGGTGATAACTTCCAGGTCATTGCCATAAAAAGCAGTGGTAATTTCCGTAAACTGTCATGGCATTTGTAAACTGTCATGGCACTGGTAGGCATGTCTTAGGCTAGTGACCAACAAGGGCAGCCAGGTTTTGCCCTCTTACCATCTGCTGGTCTTTGCCAGCTTCTCCACTTCACCTCATCTGGACCGGGTCCGGCTTTGGTCAGCAAGGCTGTGACCAAGAAATAAGCCCCACCGCTCTCCCGCCTCCCTTGCACTTAGAACGCCACCTCTGGAAGATAACTGCCTATCAGCACAGAGATACCTTTTTTATTCTTCTTTACAGATGCATTTTGTGGGTGTGTCTCAGTTATTTATTAAACCTTCTGCTCTTTGATATTTGGGTGTTTCCAAACCTTTGCCACTACATGTGATGCCACAGTGAACAGCATGGAGCACTTGCTGCGTGTCTGGCCATCTCAGGGACAGATGTCACATTTGTTGCTGTAGCTGGGTAAGTGGGAGGCCCTCCAACAAAAGCCACCTCCCCTCCCAGGCAGCAGTGCCCCATGAGCCGCCCATCTCCTTGGGGATGCAGAGGCGCTGTTGGAAGTCTGCCTCTCGGACTATCTGATGGGTGGGAAATGGCGTGCAGAGGACCTGGGGTGTGGTGCACTTTTACTGTAAGTGAGGCTGAGTGTGTCTTCACAGGGGAGAGCCCATTGCCTTTCTTTTTCTGCCCATTGCCTTTCTTTTTCTGCCCATTTTTCCAACAGATAATTGGGTTTTTGCCTTGATTTTTAGGAGCTTGTTATAGTTTGCAGAGCTTGATCCTTTGTGCGATAAGTTGGAAGCATTTTCTCATGTGCTATGGCTTTCATTTCCCCATGTGCTACACCTTTGATTTTCTTCATGGGCTTTTGTTCATGCAAAAATGTGTATTTTTTGGTTTTTTGTTTTGTTTTGTTTTTTTTGTTTTTTGGTTTTTTTTTTTGAGACGGAGTTTCGCTCTTGTTGCCCAGGCTGGAGTGCAATGGCACCATCTTGGCTCACCACAACTTCTGCCTCTTGGGTTCAAACAATTCTCCTGCCTCAGCCTCCCGAGTAGCTGGGATTACAGGCATGCGCCACCACGCCCAGCTAATTTTTATATTTTTAGTAGAGACGGGGTTTCACCATGTTGGCCAGGCTGGTCTTGAACTCCCACCTCAGGTGATCCACCCTCCTTGGCCTCCCAAAGTGCTGGTATTAACAGGCGTGAGCCACTGTGCCCAGCCTGTATATTTCATTTTTAATGTTTTATTTTTTAGAGCAGTTTTAGGTTCACAGTAAAATTAAGACGAAGGTACAGAGATTTCCTATAGCCCCCCTCCCCAACTACAGCCTCCCCAAGATGAACTTCCCCACCAGAGGTGCATGTGTTACAGCTGATTCTCCTGCACTGACCCCTGTCGTCATCACCCAGCGCCTGAAGCCTACATTCAGGCTCAGTCTCGGTGCTGTACTCTCTAAGGGTTTGGACAAATATCTAACGGCACGTGTCTACAATTATAGCATCACATAGAGGAGTTTCACTGCCCTAAAAATCCTCTATGCTCCTCTTGTTCAACCTTCCCTCCCCCCAGCCTCTGACAACCACTGATCTATTTAACATCTCCATGGTTTTGCCGTTTCCCAAATGTCCTAGAGTTGGAACCCCACAGGGTGTAGCCTTTTCACATTGGCCACTTTCACTCAGTGATAAGTATTTAAGTTCTTTCCCTGCCTTTTCATAGTTTGGGAGCTCATTTCCTTTTAGTGCTGAGTCCACTGTCTGGATGTGCCACAGCTTGCTTACCCATTCACCTACTGAAGGGCATCTCGGTTGCTTCCAGGTTTTGAAACTTATGAATAAAACTGCTATAAACACCCATGTACAGGTTTTGTGCGGACAGAAGTTTTCAGTCCCTTTGGGTGTATACCGAGGAATATGATTACTGGACCGTACGGTGAGATCATGTCTAGTTTTGTGAGAAACTGCCAAACTGTCTTCCACAGCGGCGGCCCCATTTTGCATTCCCACCAGCGATGAACAAGAGTTCCTGCTGTTCCGCATCCTTGTCAGCATTTGATGTTGCCAGTCCCTGGGTTTTGGCCATGCTAGTAGGTGTGTGTGGTGTCTCAGTGTTGGTGTAATTTGCATTTCTCCGATGATGCGTGACGCTGAACATTCTCACACACGTATTGCCATGTGCAGAACTTCTTCGGTGAGATTTACGTTCCAGTATTTTGCTCACTTTTAAAATCTATTGTCCATTTGTTATTGTTGAGTTTTAAGAGTTTTTTGCATATTTTCAGTACTGTCCTCTATCAGATAAGTCTTTTGCAAGTATTTTCTCCCAGTCTGTGGCTTGTCTTCTCTTGACAGAGTCTCTTGCAGAGCAGAAGTTTCTCACATTAATGAAGTCCAACTTATCCATTATTTCTCTCATGGATCATGCCTTTTAGATCCAACAGGCATGTTGAATGTTGAATCTAAAACGTCATCTCATGCCCAAGGCCATCTGGGTTTTATTCTATGTTATCTTCTAGGAGCGTTATAGTTTTGTGTTTTACATTGAGGTCTGATCCATTTTGAGTTCGTTTTTGTGAAGGGTGGGAAGTCTGTGTCTGGATTTGCTTTCCTGCACATGGGTGTCCTGTTGTCCCAGCACCATTTGTTGAAAAGACTCTTTGTCCCATGGAATTGGCTTTGCTCCTCTGACTGCATCCACATGGGTCTGTTTCTGGGTTCTGCACTCTGCCCCCTTACCCGCCCCCTACCCACCCCCCGCTTATCCGCCCCACCTGCCCCCTTATCCGCCCCCTACCCGCCCCCTTATCCACCCCCTACCTGCCCCCTCCTCCATCTTTCATTCACCACCCTGCTTTGATTAGTGCAGCTTCATCAGGAGCCTAGGAGCCGGGCAGCATGAGTCCCGTGACTTTGTTCTTCAATTTTGTGTTGGTTGTGCTGGGTCTTTCCTCTCTCTATGTAAACTTCAGAATCATTTCTCAATAGCCACAAAATAACTTGCTAGGATTTTGATTGAGTATACACACACACACACACACACACGCGCGCACACACACACACACATATTTGAGATGCTCCTGGAGTGCAGTGATGCGATCTCGGCTTACTGCAACCTCCACCTCCCGGATTCATGCAATTCTCCTGCCTCAGCCTCGCTAGTAGCTGGGGTTACAGGCGTGTGCCACCAGGCCTGGCTAATTTTTGTATTTTTAGTAGAGATACGGTTTCACAATGTTGGCCAGGCTGGTCTCAATCTGCTGACCTCAGGTGATCCTCCTGCCCCGGCCTCCCAAAATGCTGGGATTATAGGTGTGAGCCACCGTGCCAGACCTGAGTATACATTATTTTAAGTGATAAATTTTGGCAATCTTGTATTTGTTCTTCTAAATTATAAGATATGGTTAGAAAGCCTTTTCCTCTCCTGTGACATCCTGCAGCTGTGTTTTCAGCCAGACCTTACTTCCTTCTCGCATGAAGATCTCTGGTCTTTGGGGATTATTCTGGTGTGGAAAATAAGCTAAAGGTTAAGTTGTATCTTTTAGTTTTCTTTTATTTTTTTTCGAGATAGTCTTGCTCTGTCACTCAGGCTGGAGTGCAGTGGCACGATCTCAGCTCACTGCAACCTCCGCTTCCCAGGTTCAAGCAATTCTCCTGCCTCAGCCTCCCAAGTAGCTAGGATTGCAGGCACCCGCCACCACACCCGGCTAATTTTTGTATTTTTAGTAGAAATGGGGTTTCACTGTGTTGGCCAGGATGGTCTCAAACTCCTGGCCTCGTGATCTGCCCACCTCAGCTCCCAAAGTGCTGGGATTACAGGCATGAGCCACCACGCCTGGCCACTTTTGTATTTTTAGTAGATGTATGGGTTTCGCCACATTGACCAGGCTGGTCTCGAATTCTTGACCTCGTGATCTGCCCTCCTCGGCCTCCCAAAGTGCTGGGATTACAGGTGTGAGCCACTGTGCCTGGCCAGTTGTATCATTTTCTATGTGGCTATCCAACTGTCCCAAAAACTTATTGTCAAAAGTCCGTCTTTTTCCACCTCATTGTATACCTAATCTCTACATATATTTGGTTCTATTTGTAGACTTTATCTTCTATTCCGTTGGTCTGCCTATCTAGAAAGCAAAATTTCAAATACTGAGACCGATAGATGAAGATGCTTTCGCTTCTTCCCTGTTTCATCCAGTTGGGGACTAAGTGTCCTTCGGTTTGGACTGTGCAGCTCGGGTCACCTTCTCTGTGGAACAGCAAGTGAAGAAAGAGGCGCAGAGCCCTGTGTTCCAAACCCTGGAGACAATTGAGAAAGTGGGAACCCATTATTCCCCAAGCCCAGCCAGCAAACCTCACCGATGAAACAGATAAGCACTTCCTGCAGGTGGGGCCGACACTGGCCAGGACACAGCCCTCTCTCTCACAGCAGTGTTCCAGGTTGTTTGTGCACAAAATTTCACAAAGGTCAGAGCTCGTCTCTCCAAACCGATGAGCTTTGCGGTTAACCTGAATTCACTGAACTGGGATTTATTATTATTATTCTATTTTACCTCTAACAGAAGTTTAAGGTTCGTGTAAGTTTCGTTCCTCTCTGATTGTAGGGGAGACGCCCAGAGCGCCATTTGGAGGAGAGAACCTGGCATCCTTTCCTTACCTTGATTTCAGGTACCCAGCTCCTAGCAAATGTGTCTTCCTCCCAGGGTTCTTTGGGGTAAAGAATTTGGTGAGAAGGAGCTGAATGTTATGGCTGCGTTTCTCAGCCACTTGCTCGGAGCCAAGCATCCTCTCACCCTTTCTTTCAACTGGTAGCCAGAAAATACGGGTTGAGCATCAGGGATTCTCAACCGTGTCAAGCTCCAGCCCTGCCTGTTGTGACAGACGTTTCCTGATGCCTGTTGCTCTCTGGAATGAAGGTCATGGGCAGTATTACCCACACAGCCATTCAAAATCAGTCGGCTTCGTGACCTGTTGTGAAAGGATGGCGATTGCCGTGCCAGCACGTGACATGGACTCGGATGCCTGCGCACACAGGTGCACCTTCCAGAAGGTGAGGTCAGCCCGAGCGCCCACCGCCATGTGAGTGCGCTGCTGCAGTGACCAGTTGCTGGAATGTTCTGAACAGAGCCCAGTGCCACCCACTTTGATGTGCGCTATTGTTAGATCTCCGGAAAAATCAGAGTGCATTAAATTCCTGCAAAAATTCTGTGTGTCTGTCTCTACGTAAATGAGCTAGGGCTTTGCTCAGCCTCCTCCCTGCATCTGGCAAGAGGAGAAGCAACTTTTAATTCATGTACTTGAGGGCAGCCAGCACCCAGCACCACACCACAGCAGCCCCTGGGGAGGGCAGCACCCAACACAGCACAACCCTAATTCGTGTACTTCAGGGTAGGCAGCACCCAACACACCACAGCCCTTCCCAGCCAGCGGGACAACCACCGAGAGCCCCGAGAACTCCCACAGCAGCCCCAGGGAGGGCAGTGCAGGGCCGTGCATGCAGGGAGGAGGGAAGAACCAGGAGCAGCCCAGGCTGCCTGGACCCCAGCAGATGAGTCCACTGGTCCACAGAGCGCTCACTGCATGGCCCAAACTGCTGCTTTTTTTTTCTTTTGAGACAGAGTCTTGCTCTGTCGCCCAGGCTGGAGTGCAGTGGCGTGATCTCGGCTCACTTGCAACCTCCACCTCCACAGTTCCAGTGACTCTCCTGCCTCAGCCTTCCGAGTAGCTGGGACTACAGGCACCCGCCACCATGCCTGGCTAATTTTTGTATTTTTAGTAGAGACAGGGTTTCCCCCGTGTTGACCAGGCTGGTCTCAAACTCCTGACTTCAGGTGATTCGCCCTCCTCAGCCTCCCGAAGTGCTGGGATTACAGGTGTGAGCCACTGCGCCTGGCCAAACTGCTTCTTTTACTTTCATTTCCCTATGGAGAGCCAACGCCAGTCACTTTCCGTGGAAACCTGATTTTGGCTCTTGTTGCTGAACTAGAAAGAGGATGGCCGTGTGGACTCCTCCGGAGCTTTCTCAGCCTCGCTCACATTACCCTCCTCACCATAAGGACTAGAATTATTGCAAAAGCTGGAGCCACGCACTTAAGAATAGGGAATGAAAACTCGCTTTTTTTGTGGATAAAGGAAAGCTGTTCCTCGATTCACGACACGGCTGACAACAAGCGTGTGGGTTTTGCACACCAGCCAATTCTCCGGGTCTCTGCAGACACCACCCGAGTGTCCTGCAATTTAATTCAGCTCCAACACTGCCCGGCGCTAGCGCAGATCCGGAAGGTTGAAAGCTTTGCCCGTGAGGCTGCCCCCACTCAGCCAGTCACAAGCATCGTGTCCCCAGGCCACCCACATGTCTGTCCAACGTGGCTGCAAATGGGCCCACCATCCCCTCCTTAAATTCAGTAATTTGCTGGGATGGCTCGTGGAAGTCAGGGAAACACTTTGCTTACCGTTACTGCTTTCTTGGAGAAGATATTGTGAAGAATACGCAGGAACATCCAGATGTGGAGGTGCCTGGGGCGAGGGCTGGTGGGGTCCCGGGCACAGGACATTCCATTGTCCCCATGGACTTGGGGTGTGCCCCCTCCCACACGCGGACGTGTTCACCAACTCTGAAGCTCTCCAAATCCCATGGGCGAGGGTTTCTGATGGAGGTGTCATGTGGACACAATTGGTGACATCACTGGTGATTTTTCGTTGGCCTCCATCTCCAACCCCTGGCCCCAGAGATTGAGAAATGGGGCTGAAAGTTTCAGCCTTCAATCACACGGCTGGTTCCCCTAGCAACCAGCACCACCCTCAAGCTATCTAGGGGCCTACCAAGAGTCCCCTCATAGCATAAGCTCAGGAGAGGTTGAAAGGGGCTTGTTATGAATTCTCACCTCCTACCATGCAGGACATTCCAAGAAGCACTGTGTCAGGAACTGGGGACAAAATAGAATAAATATATATATATTTTTTGAGACGGGGTGTTGCTCTGTTGCACAGGCTGGAGTGCAATGGTGCGATCTCAGCTCACTACAACTTCTGCCGCCCAGGTTCAAGCAATTCTCCTGCTTCAGCTTTCGGAGTAGTTGGGATTACAGGCGCGTGCCACCATGCTCAGCTGATTTTATTATTTTTTAGTAGAGACGGGGTATCACCATGTTGGCCAGGCTGGTCTCAAACTCCTGGCCTCAAGTGATCCACCCATCTCGGCCTCCCAAAGTGCTGGGATTACAGGCGTGAGCCACTAGGCTAATCCTGAATGTACATTTTCTACTGTCACAGCAGATATTCCCAGCATCCCCCTCCAACTTCCCACCCCTGAACCCAGCCCCACCATGAGTCCCAGCCTGCAGAAGACCCCACACCAGCCTCAGTCCCAACCCAAGACAGCCTCCAGCCCCTGAGTGTCCCCTCCAGTGTGCCCCCTGGAACCCGCAGACCTGCCCTCCACCCCAGCCCTGTGTCCTCTCCAGCTTTCTCTTCTCTGACAGGGCGACCCACCAGCAGCCACACCCCGAGGCTTTTTTCTTAAAAAACCCCACCCCCCAATGAGCCCACTGCACATCTCATTGATGCTGACAGCTACCTGCATCGTCCACGCCACAGCCCACTCCTCCTGTGGCTTAGCACCTGCATTGGACACCATTAACCACACCCTCCTCCTGCCCTCTGCCCTCAAAACCCCTAGGGCTCCCCAGCTTCTGGTCCCCCAATCCCTGCGTGTGGATGTCTGGGACACTCAGTAGCCTGGGTGCCCCTGGGACCTTGGAGAGTGCAAAGGTAGCTGGGGCTGTGCTCCACCCGGCCAGAAGAGTCAGGGTGTCCCCAGGACCATGAGGGGCCCCTGCAGGGACCCCTTGGCCACCATCTCACCCCATCTGTCCAAAGCTGGTACCTTTGGAAAACTCACACCCCTCATGCTCTGAAGCAGGAGCTGGGTGTTCACTGGAGGGACCCCGCCGGGAATCCTTTGAGTGACCAGGGCCTGAGAAAGGAGGAGCCTCAGGCTGTGATCACCCCGAGAGCCACTGTCAGGGCCCGTGTGGACCAGCAGCCACATGAGGGTGAGACCCCAGAAGAAGGGTCCCTCCATCTGGCCCACTCAGGGCACTGTGCAAAGTGAAAATGTGGAGTGCCTCATTAAAAAGCAGGGGAAAGTGCTGTGCAAGGTAGTAAAATATACAACTTCTTCTTTTTTATCAGAGTCTTGCTCTGTCGCCCAGGCTGGACTGCAATGTCACCATCTCAGCTCACCGCAACTTCTCCCTCCTGGGTTCAAGCGATTCTCCTGCCTCAGCCTCCCAGGTAGCTGGGACTACAGGCATGAGCCACCAAGCCCAGCTAATTTTAGTATTTTTAGTAGAAACGGGGTTTCGCCATGTTGGCCAGGCTGGTCTTGAACTCCTGACCTCAGGTGATCTGCCCGCCTTGGCCTCTCAAAGTGCTGGGATTACAGGCATGAGCCACCGTGCCCGGCCTAGCTTTTTCTTTTTCCACAGTTTCTCAACTTATTTTTTAGTTGCTATTTTATGTCATTCTAAGTAAAGAAATTCTGAAAATTAGAATCATTAGCATGGATCTGCCATTCATATATTGTCTAGTTTTATTTTTTTTACTTTAAATTTTATAAGAAATGAGTTTTAAGAAATGATGAATATAAGATAAATCAAAACCACAGTGAGTTATTAAACCCATTTTCTGTATTCAAACACTAAAATTCCGAAGGTGGAATATCATCCAGTGTGAGACATCATAGCCCGGCCCGTATGTACGCAGCACACAGAGCTGTGCCCGCGCTCATCTGTGAATTGCTCATTTACATGTCACTGATACAAAACCTGCAAGGGAACTTCTCAGTTCTCCTCTTCCCAATACATCGTCACCTATTTTTAAGGAACTTCAGGGATATGAAGAAAATACATTGAAGTGGGCTTCTGCTAAGGGCTCTCCGTGTTTTGCTCTGACGGATTACACACTACATCTTGAGAAAAACTTGCAGCTCATTTCCAGCTAAGACGGCAGAAAACTCTAGATTTTTGCCAATGTGACATTGTCCGGTTTTAAATGCAAAAAAGAAAGCATGGAACTCATCCGGAAGGTGAAATCTCAGTTTCTGTTTCACAGTTCGCACATGCACCTGTCCTCAGGGACCCCCAGAAAGGAGGAGAGGTCCCACAAAACCAGCACAGTGGCTGCTTTTATGCCACCTCCCAGTCACCACGTTCCATCAGCACCGCACCTTCCACAGGACCGCCTGAGGAGGAAGGACGGGGGCCCGGTCGCTGGCGTTTCCTCCCACTGGAAGCTGCTCGGCTTGAAGGGAAGGCGAGGCTGGGGCTGCAGCTCCTCACCCCGTCCTGGCTGCGACCAGCCCTGTGGTCGCCGTGAGCCTTGCTTATGTGCTCTGTTCAGGTTCTGAGCGGCGATGGGCTCGGAGGGCGCCCGTGGCTTGCTCTTGCAGGGGCTCCATGCCCATCCTATCTTGCTTGAAAAACATAAGCTTAGTGATAAAATTGGTAAGAATTTCAAGACGGCGACCCTGGAGCCGTGAACCCGAAGTGACCCTTACCCTCCCCAGGCACAGCGGGGCACCCGGGGGCAGGCAGGGTGGTCCTGGAGGCCATTCTGGGAGGGGCCAGTGCCTCGGCCTTGATGCCCATGCTATCCCCTCTCCACGCGTCCTCACCTATCCCCGAGAGCTGAGCGACCGCCAGGAGCCAGCCTGCACCCCTGCCACAAGGCCTGGCCCTGCTCCTGGCACTGCGGGCTGGAGTTGCCCATGGGGCTGCTCAGTGCACAGCTCCTGCACCACGCGGGCATGGGTCCTCGTCCCCATGGGAGGGCGGTGCTGATGCCCAGTTCATGCCCCGGCCTGTGCAGATGCAGGGCACAGCCCAGCTCCTGCATGGGGTGCTGGGTCCCCTACGTGTGACCCCGTGGTTGGGGGCTTGCAGCCCTTCCTGCCACCTGCTGGCCTCTCCACGGCCACGTGCTTCCTTCCCACTCCCTGGGTGGCACAGGTGTGGCGTGGCCTGTGTCCTCCAATGTCAGGGGGCACATGCACAGCCCCCAAGGGTGGCTCCCAGCCTTGCTCTCCCACCCTCTTCCCCCTCAGGTGGGGCTGGGAGTCTCAGGACAACAACATCTCCTCCCCATGGCCCTCCTCGTCGGCACCACCGGGCCCTTGCACACACTTGCCAGGGTGGGCCGAGCAGGCAGTTCAGTGGGTGGTCCTGAGCCCTGGCCCCAGCCCAGGCATCTGGCAAAACCCTTCCTGGCCTCGGCTCCTCATCTGTGCAGTGGGCATGACCATCGCTCCACCTCGGGCAGTCGTGGGCATGGAACTGAGTTAATCCACCAGCGGGGCTCAGGATGGCACCCACTTAGGTCCATTGGTTTCTTTTACATCATCTGACGCCGTCTCTTGTCAAGCGCTTGGGCCACATCTCTGTGACATGGGGCTTCCTGCCACTGGCATGCACCTAGGAGCACTTCAGGCCCTGTCTGCACCCGCACCCCATGTCCCAGGAGCCCAGGGTCCCCCAGTAGCCTGGTCCGCTTGGCCCACAGGGGAGCTGCCTTGCTCTGGGAGGGCTCTGTGTCCCGCTTTGTAATCGTACATCACAGCTGTCACCATTGCAGTGGTCAAGGGGGCAGTGACAGCAACAGTCAGGCCAGGGGCTGAACTCCGGGCACCCGTCGGCACAGAGCGAGGGGAAGCTGGATGAAGCAGCGGGCGCGGCCGTGGGGAACCGACTTCTTCTGCCAGGAAAAGGGCTATTTCCATAAGCTGCTGGCTGTCAAAAGGCATTTAGCTCCCCCTGTGTTCCAGAGAACATAATCTATTATTTGTTCAAAAGTAGGTTTCCTGAGGTAACTACAAAACCCCCAATATTGATGCTAAGTCACATGGAGAGCTGTGGGAGGCTGGCCTGGCTTTTTGTAAGATAATAGCAGGGCTTGTGTGCTCTCTGCTGAAACCTGCCATCCCATCCATTTCCTCCTGGGAAACTGGGCCATCGATGAGGGTGACAGCCCTGCCAGCCAGCGACATCCTCCTATGCTCAGTGCCCAGGCAGCACGGTCAAAGGATGAAAATATGAGTGCTGGAGAGCCCTCTCCTCCCCGCAGTGCCTGCCACCCATCCCTTCCTCCTTCAGACACTGGCCCCCAGTAAGGACAAGAGCAGCACGATGCCCCTCCCTACAGCCATGCCCAGGTGGGGACCCCGTGGGCGGAGTCCAAGTCCTCCCTCTTCCCGCCTCCCTCCGATCACTTCCGGCCCTCATTACCCCCTTGACCCTCATTCCCATGAAGCTCACAAGGGCAGAGCCTGTGCTGACCCTTGGGGAAGACTCGAAGTGAGATTGGAGGGCTGTGGAGGACAATGGGCTGTGATGGGTGGGACTGTGCCTGCCTCCAAGTTTAAATGTTCAAGTCCTGACCCCCAGGACCTCAGAATGTGACGGTATTTGGAGATGGGGTCTTTACAGAAAGGATTTCAGTTAAATGAGATCAAGAGGGTGGGCCCGTTGTGACTGGTGTCCTTGTAAGAACAGGAGATCAGGAGGCGGACACGCAGAGAGGGGCGACCCGGTGAGGACTCAGGGAGAAGACGGTGTCTGGAAGCCAAGGAGAGGCCTCAGGAGGAAGTAGCCCTGCCACACCTGGATCTGGGACCGCCAGCCTCATGGACTGTACTTTGAGCAATAAATGTCCTGTCTAAGCCCCAGCCTGCGGTCGTCAGAGGCGCTGGAACCAGAGCGACTCCACCTCGAGTGAGGGCTGGAAAACGAGGCTAGGACTTGCTAGGCTCCACTCCCAGAGAGTCGGGCATTCCCAGCCTCTAGACGTTTAGAGATAAAGGAACAAATAAATAATGTTTACTAAACAGACCCAGACTTGGGAGTCCAGATACCCCGATATCCAGAGAACAAAGGCATTCCTAATTTTGCCTTAAAGATAAATGATATTGATTCTTGCAAAATATACTAATTAAGAAAATTAATTCTTTATCATCAACGCTCGTAGCAGAGCACATCTCCCCGTATACACCAGGATTGTACCCCAGGTGGGCGCCTTTCTCCTCTTAGTTTCGGGAATGCCCTGCTCTGTCTGTGGAGCAGCCGTCCTTTCGCCACTTTACTCTCTTAATAAACTCACTTCCACATGGGACTGCGGACTCCCCCTGAATTCTATCTTGTGCGAGATCCAAGAACCCTCTCTTGGGTTCTGGATCAGGACCGCTTTGCTGTAACACGGTGCTGCTCCGTGGCCACGTGAGCCGACGGATGCAGAGACCGACGGCGGGCTCTTCGTTACCCTGGCCCGCCCAGGCTCCCACGGCCCCCAGCCCTTCTGTTCTCGTGCTCTGATGGTGGCGCCGTGTGGCCTGCCCTGCGCGCTAGGCACTGCTCAGCTGCTCTGTGGGTGGGTCGTGGGCACTTGCTGACACTCTACAGGGAGGGGCCTTCCTGGAGTCATGAGACAGGACACTGAGAGCAGCCGCCTTGTCTGGAGACTGAGTCCCGTGTCAGGGACAAGCAGTGACTGCCTCCCTGACCTCTGCTTCCTCCACGCTGGCAACAAAGGCGGGAAGCAGGAGGCCGGCCTGACACCAAGAAGCAGATGGCAGGGGCCATGTTTCATCCCAATGCCCAGGAGCTGTTCCTGCGAATTCTGCTTGTACGTAGGTGATGCCCAAACTGCATTGTCCACACTTCCCCAAGCCTACAAATTCACTTCGTAGGATTTTATTTTTACTGAATGAATCCTACAGGGCTTGTCTCCCAAGTGCTGAGATGAACAGATGGTGGTTGCTGTCATCCCTGGAGCTCACACATCCCCCAAGGGCACCACAGCTCCTGCTGTAAATAAGCCCGTTGTTTTCTTTTTTCTTTTTTTTTTTGAGATGGAGTCTCTCTCTCTCTTGCCCAGGCTGGAGTGCAGTGGCACGATCTCGGCTCACTGCAACTTCCACATTCCAGGTTCAGGCAATTCTCCTGCCTCAGTCTCCTGAGTAGCTGGGATTACAGGCGCCTACCATCACGCCCGGCTAATTTTTTGTATTTTTAGTAGAGACGGGGTTTCACCATGCTGGCCAGGCTGGTCTTGAACTCCTGACCTCAGGTGTTACACCCGCCTTGGCCTCCTAAAGTGCTGGGATTACAGGTATGAGCCACCACACCAAGCCAAGCCTGTTAGTTTTCATGATCCGAGAATTAGAAATGAAAACACTGAGTTACAACATCTCTCCTAACAGGTTGGCAAAACTCCACAAGGTCACCAGCACACCTTGATGGGGAGGCTGCAGGGAAACACACAACCTCATGCTTTGCTGCTGGGATGCAAACAGCACAGCCCCTGCGGGAAGAAGCTCAGAGATGCCCGGAAAGACCTGTGTGCATTCACAACTGCATCCTTCAATTCCACTTCTAAGCAGCTACCTTAAAGTCACAAAATATCAGAAAATGGATGTTCAAGGTCATTCAACGTAACCCTGCTTTTAATACCTACAGACTTTTTTTTTAACCAAAGGATATATCCTGGCAAAATATATTATGTATATATATAACTAAATGGAACCTCTGAGATGAAAAATACCTTTGAAATGAAAAATTCATAATATGAGCTTAGCAGCAGTTTGAAAACTGCAGAAAAATACCAGTGAACTTGAATACAAGCATTAGAAAGTATTCAAACCTAAGCACGGAGACGGGAGAAAAGTTTCAACATAAACAGAACCTCACTGACATTGAAACAGCATCAAGCAGCTCATATACATATAACTGGAGTCCCAAAAGGAAGAGGCAGGCAGAGAAATATTTGAAGAAACCTTCACTGCAACATTTTCAGACTTGAATCTCACAGATTGATAAGCTCAGTAAGCCCCAAGCAGGACAGACAAGGCAAAAGCGCCAGACAAATACACACAAAACACAAAGAAACACAGAAGAACAGCTGCCAATCTGTCATCAGAAGCAATGCAAGTCAGAAGACAGTGGACTGAACGATGTGATTTAACATGACAGAAGAAAAAGTGCCCATCAACCTAGAGAATTAGTGAAAATATCTTTCAAAAAACGAGGGCAAATTAAGGATATTTCCATACAAATGACAATTGGTAGAATCCATTTTCAGTAGATCTGCATAACACAAAATGCTAAAGGAAGTTATTGAGGCTAAAGGGTATATATCAGCTGTATTTCACGTGACAGTGAAATGTATGACAATAAAGAAAGGAATAGAACAGAAATGGAACGTTACTGTTTAAAGTCATTAAAATCCACATGAAGGGTTATAATATCTGGAAGTAGACTAGCTTAAGTTTAAGCTGCAAATTGACAATTGTAGAAAAAAACACTGAACAAGTAAAGCAAAAAGATCTAGCTGAAAAGCCAATAAGAAGACATATTTGAATCCAAAAAAGATAAATTTATAATTCTAAAAGCAGGAAGAAAAAAGAGGAAAAAGAACAAAGAATGAATAGGACAAATAAGAAAACATTGATAATTAAATTTAAATGATGTAACACTCTAATTAAATGGCAGAGATTGTTGATTGAAATACAGAACTAACTCTAAGCCGCCTACAAGAAACCCGTTTTAAATATAAATACACAGATAGGTTAAGGCCAAGCATGGTGGCTCATGCCTGTAATCTCAGCACTTTGGGAGGCTGAGGTGGGAGGATTGCTTGAGTCCAGGAGTTCAAGACCAGCCTGGGAAACAGGGTGGAACTCCATCTCTATAAGAAATACAAATATTGCCTGGGTGTGGTGGTGAACCCCTGTGGTCCCAGCTACTTGGGAGGCTGAGGTGGGAGGATTGCTTGAGCCTGGGAGGGTGACGCTGCAGTGAGCCAAGATGGCACCACTGCACTCCAGTCCAGCCTGGGTGATAGAGCAAAACCCTGTCTCAAAATTTTACTTAAAAAAAAGAAAATAGGCTGGGCGTGGTGGCTCACACCTATAATCCCAGCACTTTGGGAGGCCAAGGCAGGTGGATCACCTGAGGTCAGGAGTTCGAGACCACCCTGGCCAACATGGTGAAAACCTGACTTTACTAAAACTACAAAATTAGCTGGGCATGGTGGCAGGTGCCTATAATCCCAGCTACTCGGGAGGCTGAGGCAGGAGAATCACTTGAACCTAAGAGGCACAGGTTGCAGTGAGAGTTAGATAGTGCCATTGCACTCCAGCCTGGGTGACAAGAGCAAAACTCCATCTCAAAAAAAAATGTGTAGATAGACAGATAGATACATATGTATATTTAAAACACAGGTAGGTTAAAAGTTAAAGGAGAGAAAAGGGCATGCCAGGGAAGCGCTGTCAAAAGAAAGCTGAAGTAGTTATGTTGACACGACACAAAGCAGATGTCAGAACAAAGAACATCACCAGGGATAAACAAAGACAACAGGGTCAAGACATCAAGAGGACACAATGACCCCAAATGAGTATGCTCCTACTAACAGAAATTCAAAACACATACAGCAAAATTCAAAAACTCTTATCACTGAAACATGATTACGTTGGGTGTAGTAAAAATGTTCAACTTTTCTCTTTGAAAGTCACCAGAAGGAGAGTGGTGTTGGCAACAGGGCTGACTAGAACTGTCTGGCGCTCATCCCCTCCTCCCCACAAAGAAGGATCAAGGCAACAAGTTGACAGTGACAATTTGACTGGAGCGTCGAAGGCAGAGTGCTGGACTGCAGCAGAGGCCGGAGACACCCCTGTGGTGCTCGGAAGCCCAGGTGGCGTCTGCTGCCCAGTCTTCCTCACCCACCAGTTTGACCTAGAAGCAAAGAGGGACTTCCAGTGGCAAGGAAAAGGTAAGCAGATCTCCACCAGCTGCCACTGCTACAGCAAATGCTGGCAGTCCTTGCTGCAGGAGAACCCACAGTCCTTGCAAGCCCTGAGCCCAGTTGGGAGCACTGCAGGGAATTCTCACAGCAGTGTTCCCCCGATTAGGAGCAAAAGGTGTGCACCTCCCACCCCACACCCATGCCATGAGCCAAGCTGCTATTGCATCTGGAGGGGCTCTGCCCTGGGGCCAGTAGCACCTGCACCTCTCCAGCACTGGGGCTCCACTTTCATGCCACCAAGCCCACATGGGCAGCTGAACACCACAACCCCAGCTGCATAGAGCTTGGGCCCAGGCTTAGCTGTGACTCTGGTCCTGCACAGCAGGGAAACCCATCCCCACCGCAGCTCTTCCAGCTGTCTGCTCCTCCCACCTGCAGCAAACCCACCCTTGAGCCAAACAGCTGCAGGTCTCCCCACATAGGCCCCACCAGCCTCCAAGCAACTGACAGCAGGAGCTCAGGGCCTGAAAATCAGCCCCACGGCACCCCCACCTGCAGGTACGCCCCTGGCCTGCCCAATGGCTCTGTGCCTCCAATAAGGGCCTAAGAAAAAGTCCCACAGGCTGCCCCTGGCAATATACAAAAATCAGTAGCATTTCTATACACAAACAAAAACCTAGCTGAAAAAGAGATCAAGAAGGCAATCCTATTTCCAATAGCAACAAATAATATAAAATACCTAGGGATAAATTTAACAAAAGAGGTGAAAGACCTCTACAAGGAAAACTACAAAAAACTGACGCAAGAAACTGAAGAGGATATGAACAAATGAGAAGACATCTCATGCTCAAGGATTGGAAGAACTAATATTGTTAAAACGACTGTGCTACCCAAGGTAATCTACACATTTAAGGCAATGCCTATCAAAATACCAATGGCATTCTTTTTAGAAAAAGAAATAATATTAAAATTTGTATGGAACCACAAAAGACCCCAAACAGCCAAAGCCATCCTGAACAAAAAGAACAAAGCTGGAGGCATCACACTCCCAGACTCAAAATACACTACAAAGCTACAGTAACCAAAACAGCATGGAACTGGCATAAAAACAGACACACAGACCAATGGAACAGAACAGAGGGCCCAGAAATTAATCCGCTTTCTACAGCCGACTGATTTCCAACAAAGGTGCTAAGCACACTCACTGTGGAAAGGACAGATTCTTCAATAAATGGTGCTGGGCAGTGGCTTACACCTATTACAGCTACTTGAGAGGTGGGAGGATTGCTTGTGCCCAGGAGTTCAAGACCAGCCTGGGCAACACAGCAAGACCCCGTCTCTACAAAAAGTTTAAAAATTAGCCAAGTGTAGTGGTGTGTGCCTGTAGTTTCAGTTACTTGGGAGGCTGAGGTGGGAGGATTGCCCGAGCTCAGGAGTTTGAGGCTGCAGTGAGCTATGAGCCACTGCCCTCCAGCCTGGATGACGGTGCGAGACCCTGTCTCTAAAAAAAAATTTCTACTCTAGTGCTTACAGCAGACCAATTCATAGTGACTGAAAATGGGGACATCCTACCGCCTATCGACTGCCCATCAGCATCTGGGTGGCTAGCCCAGCTGTGGTGCATTCACACCAAGGAATGCCACTTGGCAATTAAAAGGAACTACTGTTATGTGGAACAATGATGAGTTTCACAAACACTGTGCCAAGTAAAAGAAGCCAGATACAAAAGACTGAGTGATTCCATCCATGTAAATTTCTAGAACAGATGCATCCACAATGACAGAAAACAGTCTGGCTGCAAAGGGGCAAGAAGGAAGTTTTGGTTTTTGTTTGGAGTCAGGGTCTGACTGTCACCCAGGCTGGAGTGCAGTGGTGAGATTGTGGCTTACTGCAGCCTCCACCTCCCAGGCTCAAGCAATCCTCTTACCTCAGCCTCCCAAGTAGCTGGGATCACAGGCATGTACCACCATGCCCAGCTAATTTCTTCTATTTTTGTAGAGATGGGGCATCACTATGTTGCCCAGGCTGGTCTTGAACTCCTGGGCTCAAGTAATCCTCTCGCCTTGACCTCCCAAAGTGCTGGGATTACAGGCATGAGCTACAGCACCTGGCTGTTTTTAAGTAATGGAAATGTTCTATATCTCCGTTGTAACAGGATTTGCATGGGTGAAGACATTTGTCAAAACTCATAGAATTGCACACTTAGAATGGGTTTTCTTTATATAAATTATTCATCAGAAAATTAAAAGGGAAAAAAGGCTAGGGGTAACAACAAAAATACCCTTTTAGATGAATATAAAATAATCCTTAGAGAACCATCGTCTCCTTATCCTTGGCAAGCATCCCCTCAGGGAGAGCTGCTGTTCTCTTTCCACCCCTCTGATGTCAGCCCCAGTTCCTGGGAGCCCAGATCCACAGCGTTGTCAGCCTAAGAGAGAGGTTCTCTAGAAGAATAGATGTTAGCTTGAGAACAGAACATTACAAGGAGAGTACACACGCCATAGTAAACCATATGCCTATTCAGGGAGGTCAAGGAAGACAAAGGTCTTTAAAGGAAAAGCGAGCAGGATCACAGTGGTTTTGAGATAATTCTCCTTGGCTACAAACATCAATAACAAAGGTCATTCCAGTCTGAGGTTGGACAGGCAATTGCTGGGCAGTTGTCCTTGCAGAAATATTTTTTGTGTAAGGGTGTGATGGCCTCTGTGCCGGGCTGTGGTTTTTGTAGTCCTTTCTGGTATCAGGCATGCAAGCATAAGTGTCCTCTCTTCGTGGCCTTCCCCACCAACTCTTTGTCAGGGCTTTCTTAACATTAGTGACTCCATTTTGATTCTGACAACTTTCACAGCATGTATTTAGAGCAGCCGCTAGGTGTTCATCCACAGAGGTGGCCGTGAGCAGTTCCTGGGATCATAACAAGAGTCCATTCTGCTTGGGGCTTACCACAAATGAAGTAAAGACAGGCCCTTGGGGAAAGGTTGGGCAGACTGAGCCCCACATGAGCGGGGCAGGAGATGGGCCCGCGCCCCAACAGAAATGTCAGGTGATCATCAGGTGATGGTCAAGCTGTTGTTAAACTGTCTAAAATAATTATTGGTTGCAGCTGGTGCCAGAGAAAGGCAGGCTCCCAATAGATAGAAAACACCTAAAGCTGATGATGAGCCACTTCCCGATAAGATCCCAGGAGTTGGCACAGGTGGGAATTGAACAATGAGAACACTTGGACACAGTGCGGGCAACATCACACACCAGGGCCTGTCGTGGGGTGGGAAGGATAGCATTAGGAGAAATACCTAATGTAAATGACGAGTTAATGGATGCAGCAAACCAACATGGCACATGCATACCTATGTAACAAACCTGCACGTTGTGTACATGTACCCTAGAACTTAAATTAAAAAATTTAAAAAAAATCTCAGGAGTTGGTGAGTGAGGTCAAGCATGCACACTACGAGGCAAAGTGGCAAAGTTTAACCAGCGTGTGACCTTCCCCTAGGAACTGGTAAGGGAAGACTGCCTCAAGAGGGCACCGCACAACTCCAGTAAGCACACTGTGCACGCGGCCCTCCCAAGTGTCGGCAGGCCACTGCGCATGCGGACAGCCCACCCCAAGGGAAGAATCAGGGGAGAAGGGACGCAGCCCCCAGAAGCATGCCAAGATATAAACCCCAAGTCAAAGGTCAAAACCGTGTACTTGCTCTCTCAAGATGCCCACCTGGCCCTCCTCCAAGTGTACTTTATTTCCTTTCGTTCCTGCTCTAACACTTTTTTAATAAACTTTCACTCTTGCTCTGAAACTTACCTCAGTCTCTGACCCTGCCTTGTGCCCCCTGGATGAATTATTTCCTCTGAGGAGGCAAAAGCTAAGTTGCTGCAGACTTATATGGATTTGCTGCTGCTGACACCAGGAGGTGGCGTTCTGGGCTCCCTGTGGCCCTGGAGAGTAGCAGCCTCCCCTCTTTCTCCAGGAGCCCACCCCCCCCACTAGGAAAGGGCAGCAGGCACTCAGCTCGTTACAGCCCATGCCATCGATACCTGTGTGTGCATGAGCCCCAGTCTCACCCAGGGCCCTAGGAATGAGCCACGGCCTCCCTCTGGCACGAACGGTTAGCCTTTGGGAAACCCTCAACAGATGCCCACATTCAACTGGCAAGATTCTCAAACACCGGCCCACAAGCCAGCACCTGGAGGGCTGCTCATGCACATGGTGGCACTTATCAATAACTTTTCAGTGATGGAAAAATCTTATCAATAACTTTTCGATGATGGAAAGATGTTCTTGGGTGGGCTAGGAAGTCCTGTAAGAGCTGTGTCCTTGCAAGAGGAGAGCCAGCAGCCAGGCACGGTGTGACACCTTGGGCCTAGATGTCCCTGCCCCTGACCTGCTAGAAAGCTGACTGGTCTGCCACAGAACGCTTCTGCTTTGCCTCCAGGAAAAGGCCTTGTTATCTGCGAACTCCCAGAGGCACCCATCGCAGGATACCCAGCTTTGCCTGAGGGCTCTTGTCCCTGCTTTCCTATAAATATCTGCACCTGGGACAGAATTTAATCCAGATCAAAACTCAGTCTGAGACTTGCTTTCCTAGAACTACAACCCCAGGGGCAGGTAGCGTGGGCAGAGACAGAGTCCCACCTCGCCCTGCCGACACAACATCTGTTGAATGAGACCAAATGTGGGTTTGTGGCCCTTCATCCATAAATCCTGCAGATGTGCCAGGCCCGGTGGCTCACGCCTGTAATCCCAGCACTTTGGGAGGCCGAGGCGGGCGGATCACAAGGTCAGGAGATCGAGACCATCCTGGCTAACACGGTGAAACCCCGTCTCTACTAAAAATACAAAAAATTAGCTGGGCGTCGTGGCGGGCGCCTGTGGTCCCAGTTACTCTGGAGGCTGAGGCACGAGAATGGCGTGAACCCAGGAGGCGGAGCTTGCAGCGAGCTGAGATCGCACCACTCCACTCCAGCCTGGGCAACAGAGCGAGACTCTGTCTCAAAAAAAAAAAAAAAAAAAAAAAAATCCTGCAGATGTTAGAATGCGCGGAAGAGAGAGAAACCCAAAGTGTGAATGAATACAGAGAGGCAGGAGATCCAACACCTTCCTCCCCAGGAAAGCCCGGGCACGAGGTCCCCGAGCTGAGCTGAGCCTGGGGGCTGGCTCCAGTCTCAGGACCGCCCACAGCCCTCACAGCAGGGTGTGTCCACATTCAGATGCCCTCCTCTCTCCCTCCATCCCCCTCCCAAGGCTGCATCGGCAGCTGTGGCCTCATAGGGAGAGGTGTGGTTTGGGGGTGATTTCCTATTTCCTTCGTGTCTGACCACTGCCCGAGGGCCTCACAAAGGAACCGAATCTTTTGGAGCCTGCATTTCCTGTCATCCTGAGTGGCCTTTGGAGTCCTCAATGTATAAGGACAGCAAGGGCCAGCTGTTCATGTTAGCTTTCTGGAACATTCCAGGCACTCCATGTACTAACAGGTTCCTTGCCAGAGGGCCCTCAAATGATGGAATTGATAAAAGCATTATAAAATGTTGATAAATTCTCTAACCATAGACGTGGAGCTCAGTGAGTACGAATGCAAGATGTGACTCCCCCAGGCCTAGAAAGAAAGCCTTAGCTTCAGAGACGTGGGTAACCTTGGCTCTCTACGGGAGTGAGGCCAACAAGGCCAGCAGAACAGGGTCAAGCAGCTCCTGTTGCCCAAGCAGCCACAGCCGCCTGGCCTTCACTGCATCCAGCTGTGCAGTGGCAGAGAGGATGCTGCGTGGGGACAGCAGGAGGAGAGGCCTTCAAGACCCAGGCCAGCTAAGCCTGGGGAGATAGAAGCAGCCACCACGCTGGGGGAGTGTGGACGCAGGAGTTTGAGGAGTTCTGCGGGGTGCTGAATGGGGTCCTCCTCTGGCGCTTTCTTGAGGGAGTTCTGCAATGATCCACATTCTTTCCAGGGACTTTCTTTCAAGTGCTGTCATATGCTGCCGCGGCTTGCCGGCAGCCCAGCCTCAGGCGGTCGGAGTCGGAAGGCGACAGATGCAGGGCTCCCTTTCCTCATCGGTTCTCTCAACAGGGCAGGGGGACGGCCATGAGTGGGCAAATGTGTCCAGACCACTGAAGAACCTCTCATCTGCTCAGCTGGAGAGGCCCTTCCTGTCTCTGTGATCTTTCCCAAGATGGCCAATGTCCTGTACCACCGGCCACCCCTTCCGTTGGTCACTGTGGATGACACTAGGGGTGGACACTGACCAAGGAGGCACCAACCTGATTCCAGCTCCTAGAGCTGGCCAGGTGCCTGACAGGAAAATGAGGCATCTGAAGAACACGGAGAGATGGGGGTAGGGTGGTAGGGAGGGAGGGAGATGAAGCCACACCCCAGAGCTCCTGGGTTTGCAGCTCCTTCCCGAGGCCTGGCTAGGTCCCTGCCTCGGTCCCTGCCTCTGGATGCCGTGAGACAATCCACCCTGGAGAGCCTACCAGTCCCCTTATGTTTGACAGCTGGAGTTGGAATTTGCCTCCCGCAGACCACAGGTCTACAGCCTTCATTCACGTGTCGCACAGACTGTGGCAGGACCAGCACCCGCTGCTGGTGTGGGACGCCTGGCCCTGTAGGGGACCCCAAGAGTGGCTGGAGAGCAGGGCGTGATGCCTCTTGGGCCACCCTGCAAAGGGCTCACGAGCCTCCTGAGGAGGATGCATTTGATCAGGGTAACAGGAGTCAGCAGAGGGCTTTCCAAGGACAGGTTTGCCAAGAAGCGAGAACAGACTGAGGGGGGAACGATAGAGGCACTGGGTGTAGTCAGACACCACTGCAATGGTAGCCGAAAACCGCGCCGTGAGAAGACTCTGTGGGGAGGGTAACTAGGTGCATGAGAGTGAGAGGAGCGAAAAAAGCCTCGGATGGCTCCGAAGCTCCTGGCCCAGCTTCCAGGGGTTGGTGGCCCAGGACCGCCCCTGCACGCGGCCTCGGGTGCCTGCTCCAGGCAGACCTGCTTCTCTGGCCCATTCTCGGCACCAATCACTGTCCCATCCGCCCGTCAGCCAAGTCCTCTGAGTTCTTCCCGGAGCCCAGCACCCTGATGCAATTGTCCCTGCTCTGAAAACCCTCAGCAATCTATTGGGTCTTCAGTAGCATCTACTCTTTCTAGAAATGTCGAACAAGGTTTTTCGATTGTGCTGCACGTGTGGCAGACACAGAAACGGAAACGACCTTCCAGAGAACTGGCCAAAGGACGGGAGCTGCTCCAGTAACTGAAGGGCACAGACTGAGCGCTTCTGATGGAGTCGGGGAGGTCGCCGGCCCATCCACCGGCTGCCCGAGGGCCTCCCACTGACCTCCCCCGGCCGCCCTCCGAGGGGCCTCTGCTGACCTCGCCGTGCTGGGCACGCTCGGCTTTAGCGGGAAGCTGGGGGTCAGGTTCAAGGCTGTGAGGAGCCACTTCAGCCCGGGAATCTGAATTTTTTCTTCAAAAGCGCCTGTCCCCACAATGGGTTTGTACTGGGGAAAAAACCCACACACGGGATGAGGTGCCCGGCTTCTGTGAGGGTTCTGAGCACTTCGTTTTTCTTCCCTTTAGATTCTGACAACTGTGGACTAAAAGGGTTGCAGGCCCAGTGCCGGAATTCCAGTATCACCTTCCACCAGGCTCCTCACACGTCGACATGGCCCCCACTTGGTGGTCTGGCAGGCGTCGGCGGTTGGGGACGGCGCCCCGGGGACCCCGCGGCCCTAGCCTTCCCCGGCGCCCCGCGAACGCCCTCCGCGGCCCCAGCAGCTGAGCGCCTGGGTCCCTGAGAGGCACCCCAGGAGGGCGGCGCGGGCGGGTAACGTCACACACGCGCCGCATCCTGGATGCGCGTGCGCGGCAGCGGCCGAGACTCCGTTTCCCAGGGAGCCGCGCGGCGCGTCCACTTCCGGCAGGCGGCGGGGCCCGGAAGCGGCGCGCGGGGCCGGCGAATCCCGCGGCGCCAGGTGGGAGCGGGGCCGGAGCATGCGGGGCGGCCGGCGGTCTGCGGCGCGCGGCGCATTCGTTCCCCCGCGGCGGTGGCGGTGGCGCGCGGCGGCTCTCCAGTGAGCGGCGGAGCCCGGAGCGGCGGGCTGGGCGCCGGGCGGGCGGGGCTCGCGGCTGAGAGGCGGGCGGGCCGGGGGCGCCGGGCGCGGGGCCGCCATGTGGAGCGGCCGCAGCTCCTTCACCAGCTTGGTGGTGGGCGTGTTCGTGGTCTACGTGGTGCACACCTGCTGGGTCATGTACGGCATCGTCTACACCCGCCCGTGCTCCGGCGACGCCAACTGCATCCAGCCCTACCTGGCGCGGCGGCCCAAGCTGCAGGTGAGCGTCCGCGGGGCCGGGGGCCGGGCGGGTTGGGGTGGGGGCCTCTCCTCCAGGCCCCAGACGTCGCCTTCCCGTCCCAGTTCGGAGCTGTGGCCGCGCGAGTCGAGATGGAACCTTTCCTGGTTCCCCAGCGGCCAGGTCTTCCGCCCTCCAGCTGGCCGTGGGATTTGAGTGCGTCCTGCCAGGGCCTGGCCGAGCTGACTCTCGACGCCCCCTCCTTTCCAGCTGAGCGTGTACACCACGACGAGGTCCCACCTGGGTGCTGAGAACAACATCGACCTGGTCTTGAATGTGGAAGACTTTGATGTGGAGTCCAAATTTGAAAGGTATGGGCGTAGGACAAAATGCCAGTGAAAGGGAAAACATTACTCATGTTCAGATTGTTTAAAAGTTAGCTTTCTGTACATAACATGTTTATTTTAGAGAACTAGTCTTACCGAATGTCTTGAAGTGGTAGAATATCCTAACTGGAGGCCTATGCGTGGCCTGTAAACATTCAGCCTGGAAGGTGACAGGTGATGAATGTCGTTTAAGAAGTAGTTCTCAGCAGAGTGTGATGGCAGTGGGATGTCCTGGACGGGGAGGCTCCGAAGGAGCAGGGGCCACGCTTGGTGAACCAGTGGAGAGCAGACAACTCTGCAGTTTCACTACCGGGGACCAACTTGTCTTTTCCTGGTGGAAGTAGTTCGCTTAAGTTACTTGTGAGGGAAAAGAGATGAGGATAGAGGAAGCAATTTTGTAGAAAATCATAAATAAGTGACATGTGACGTTAGAATAGATCAATGTCCAAATATGTAGAGTATCTTAAAAATTACATCTGACATGGCCTAATTTTTTTTAATTGAATAAGTATACTTTTAAATATGATTTGCTTCTCACAAGTCAACCATTTCCCTTCATTGCCTGGGAGGTATCTGAGGAGAGAATAATGAAAGTTTGAGACTCATGCTGGACTCCACGCCCTCTAGGCAGCCAGTCCCTGGGGGTAGCTGGAGGCGCTGGCAAGCCGGTTTCTGCCTGGCCTCTTTAGGCCTGTGACCTCAAGCCAGTTCCTGCCCTCTCTCTGCCTCCATGAAGGGGAGGCCAGAAGTGCTGGTGACCAAGCTGCCCGCTCGGTTGTAGCTGCCCACACCTTTCAAAAATGCTCAGGATTCATCTGCACTGGGTTTAATTTCCCAGACATGAATACTGCCTCTTCCGTGCCGGGCCGTGTACCAGTTACCAAGGACAGCTAGTGAGGTTTTCCATTTGACCTGGCACAGTGTCAGCCTGGAGGAAGTGGGGAGAATGAGCACTCTTAACACAGCTCCGCCTCAAGTGTCTCCAAGTGCACATTCCACCAGAAATACACAGCCCTGCACCCTCTGCCTGAAGAGAGACACTTAAGATGTCCTGGTGGAGACATACTCTTTCCTGGGTAGTGAGGAGCCATAGATGCCTTTGTGTTTTTCATTACAACTTTGGCCGTAAGATTTTTTTTTTTTTTTGAGATAGAGTCTTGCTCTGTTGCCAGGCTGGAGTGCAGTGGCGTGATCTCTGCTCACTGCAACCTCCGGTTCCCGGGTTCAAGGGATTCTCCTGCCTTAGCCTCCAAAGTAGCTGAGACTACAGGCACCCGCCACCACGCCTGGCTAATTTTTTTATTTTTAGTAGAGACAGGGTTTCACCATGTTGGCTGGGCTGGTCTGAAACTCCTGACCTCGTGATCTGCCCGGCTCGGCCTCCCAAGGTGCTGGGATTACAGGCGTGAGCCGCCGCACCCGGCCAACCGTAAGATTTTTAAGGAGAGGCCGGGCACAGTGACTCATGCCTATAATCCCAGCAGTTTGGGAGGCCAAGGCGGGAGGATCACTTGAGCCCAGCAGTTCAAGACCAGCCTAGGCAATGTGACAAAACCCCATCTCTACAACAGTTTTCAAAGTTAGCCAGGCATGGTGGCACGCCCACCTGTAGTCCCAGCTACTCGGGAGACTGAGGCGGGAGGTCACTTGAGCTCAGGAGGTTGAGGATGCAGTGAGCTGTGATTGCACCCCTACACTTTCAGCCTGGTGACAGCGAGACCTTGTCTCAAAAAAGAGACTTTTAAAGAGGAAGAAGAACTCATGTAACCGTAAACAGGTGGAATGCGAGGTTTTTCCATGGGGCTGTAGTATGGACGTCGGGCCCTGGTGTGCGGGTGAAGAGCCAGGCACCTGGTCCGAGGCCTACAGTTGTAGCAGCTCGCCGGGCCTTTCCTCAGCTCGTGCTGGATGCCACACAGTCAGGACTGACAGCCTTGAAAGTCAGTCCTTTGTGGCTGATCATCTTTTTATCCTTAAAACTACAACACCCAAAAAAACTACCCACATTAAATTTCTGAGGTTCCAGTAGTGTGGGCCGAGGCACCTGGAGCCCTCGTGGCTGCTGCCCTTCCCTTCTGTCGCTTCGGAGTTGGGTGATTCAGTGTGTGTGGTCAGCTGGTACCCTGGCCAGGCCCAGAAGCTGCTTTCCATCTGGCTGCTTCAGCCTTGTGGCCTCAGGTGGGTTATTGACCTCTCAGCCTCCTGAGATGGAGGCAGGAAGTGCGGGCCGTTTTGCTTTCGGCTGTAGGCGCCCACACCTGTGCCGAGTTCTCAGGACGCGCACGCGTGCGCGTGCACACACACACACACACACACACACACACACGACTCGTAAAGCCCTGGGCAGGTGGGTTTCATTTTTAGTACTTCTGAGCTAAAATTAGTTTATTGAAGCAGCTTTATAAAGGTATTTGAATAGGTTCTAGAGACCCAGAATATAATATGTATGTAGTGGAAATGATTGTTCTGTTTCAGGACAGTTAATGTTTCTGTACCAAAGAAAACGAGAAACAATGGGACGCTGTATGCCTACATCTTCCTCCATCACGCTGGGGTCCTGCCGTGGCACGACGGGAAGCAGGTGCACCTGGTCAGTCCTCTGACCACCTACATGGTCCCCAAGCCAGAAGAAATCAACCTGCTCACCGGGGAGTCTGATACACAGGTGAGGGTCTTCATGGGTTACTGATAACAGGCTGTGCCTCTCCGTCAGAACGGACATGTCTTTCTCCACACAGGTGGGCGATGTCTAGGGCTCCAGTGACTTTGTTGGGAGTAAAGCCAAAAGCCATTGGAATGTTACTGGCGTGCATTTCTGACTTTCAGCTGAATCATATCCATGAGTTTGCAGACAAGTTTTATCTAAAATTAGGGACAGTTGAAGTGATCGCTGGCATTCTCGATGCAGAGTCCCTCGGGGAATGGGCCCTCTCAGTCTCTGGGGGCACCTACTGCACCTGGTGGGATGGAGCGCTGGTCCTGCAGAGCTGGCCTGCAGCTTCTCACCAGGAGCTCTGGGGATGAGAGCTGGGCTCATTCTGCATTCTGTGTAGGACTGGGCTATTCCTAGATGTTTATTCTAAGAATGTAATTGGAGATCATGGAAAAGGTAGAGGTACAAGTTGTAGTTTGTACATCTGTAGAAAGGTGTATGCGCAAATAAAAACTGGAAGTCACTTAAGTGATCATGAATACAGGCCAAGGATAAAGCAAGGGAATTCTGACACCCACCTTTGTGTTGAGTGGAAGGTGAGATAATTTACAAAACAAGGCCGGGCGCAGTGGCTCATGCCTGTAATCCCAGCACTTTGGGAGGCTGAGGCAGGTGGATCACCTGCAGTCAGGAGTTCGAGACTAGCCTGGCCAACATGGTGAAACCCCGTCTCTACTAAAAATACAAAAATTAGCTGGATGTGGTGGCACGCGCCTGTAATCCCAGCTACTCAGGAGGCTGAGGGAGGAGAATCGTTTGAACCCGTGAGGTGAGATGATGCCACTGCATTCCAGCCTGGGCGACAGAGGGAGACTCTGCCTCAGAAAAATTTACAAAACAAGAAAGATGGCAGCTTTCCAGGAAGAGGCTGTGAAATTGTTCCAGACAGAGAGAAAGAGAGGTCTCTCGGAGTTGATGGGGTTTTGAAAGCCCTACCAACACCTGCTCCTGCCTCTCCCCAGTTTGCATCTGTCTCCTTAGGAACATCCCTCACCTGCCCCTCTCCGTGTCCCCTCATCTGGGGCCCCCATCCCTCCTCTCCAGTGTCCTGAAAAGTGGGTGGGGTGATGGGCATGTAGCATGTAGCGCAGGAAGCCTCCCTTGCAGGTAGCAAATGTGAGGAGGTGTGGAAAACCGTTTGTAATGTAAATTATCGCTAAACTGCATCTTTAGGTAGGAAATGGGTGAGGCGATAGTGCTTCCTAGGATGTATCAGATCTGAGCCGAGCTAAGATTTCCCTGTCAGTCCATGTCCTGTTTAACTTCATGTAAGAGCCGTGTGTAATCCTCAGTATGTCTCCTTTAGGCAGCCCCACATGCTTGGTTTTAGAAGCTGACTCCCTCTCAGTCTCCTTACAGCCACAGGGCTGTGTGAGCCCTGGACTTGCACAGTCTTCTGCCAAGGTCAGGGGGCTCTCACCCTCTCAACTTCTGAGAAGTGGGCCCACTTAGTTTGAGGACCTCAAAAAAGGAATTGGTGAAGTCCGTGACCACATGTTGCAAAGCAGCACCCCCTGGCTTCCGTGGAGATAAGGATGGGGGGCTGTTTGGCGAGAGTCTGGCGGAATTGGCAGCTGTGGGGCCGCTGTGCCCTCTCTGCTGGGCTCTCCCCCGGTTGTGCCTGTGCGTGGCCATCTGTTCACAGGTTAGGGTGCCGACCCTGCTGTCCGGGCGCGGTTTTTCCATGTGCGTGGCCATCTGTTCACAGGTTAGGGCGCTGACCCTGCTGTCCCGGGCACAGTTTGCCCGTCTGTGTGGCCATCTGTTCACAGGTTAGGGCGCTGACCCTGCTGTCCCGAGCACAGTTTGCCCGTCTGTGTGGCCGTTCTCTTCACAGGTTAGGGTGCTGACCCTGCTGTCCGGGCGCGGTTTTTCCATGTGCGTGGCCATCTGTTCACAGGTTAGGGCGCTGACTCTGCTGTCCCGGGCACAGTTTGCCCATCTGTGTGGCCATCTGTTCACAGGTTAGGGCGCTGACCCTGCTGTCCCGAGCACAGTTTGCCCGTCTGTGTGGCCGTTCTCTTCACAGGTTAGGGTGCCGACCCTGCTGTCCGGGCGCGGTTTTTCCATGTGCGTGGCCATCTGTTCACAGGTTAGGGCGCTGACCCTGCTGTCCCGGGCACAGTTTGCCCGTCTGTGTGGCCATCTGTTCACAGGTTAGGGCGCTGACCCTGCTGTCCCGGGCACAGTTTGCCCGTCTGTGTGGCCGTTCTCTTCACAGGTTAGGGTGCTGACCCTGCTGTCCGGGTGCGGTTTTTCCATGTGCGTGGCCATCTGTTCACAGGTTAGGGCGCTGACCCTGCTGTCCCGGGCACAGTTTGCCAGTCTGTGTGGCCATCTGTTCACAGGTTAGGGCACTGACCCTGCTGTCCCGGGCACAGTTTGCCCGTCTGTGTGGCCGTTCTCTTCACAGGTTAGGGTGCTGACCCTGCTGTCCCGGGCACAGTTTGCCCGTCTGTGTGGCCATCTCTTCACAGGTTAGGGGGCTGACCCTGCTGTCCCGGGCACAGTTTGCCTGTCTGTGTGGCCGTTCTGTTCGCAGGTTAGGGGGCTGACCCTGCTGTCCTGGGCATGGTTTTCTGTCCCAGCATTGGCCTCTGTTTTCCTCACTTAACAGCAGATCGAGGCGGAGAAGAAGCCGACGAGTGCCCTGGATGAGCCAGTGTCCCACTGGCGACCGCGGCTGGCGCTGAACGTGATGGCGGACAACTTTGTCTTTGACGGGTCCTCCCTGCCTGCCGATGTGCATCGGTACATGAAGATGTAAGTGGGGCCCCAGAGCTGGAGCGCCGGGGGGAGGGTGCTGGGACCCTGGCTGGCCAGAACTCGCCAGCAGGTCACTCCTGCACCGTGGAGTCCCCTCTGTGGGGAGGCACTTGCTGCCCGGGCCTCCCAGCTCTTTCCCACTTCCTCATTGAGGTTGTGCTGCTACCACAGGGCTGGAAGGGGGGAGAAAGGAATTCAAGCTGGAGCATCCTGCCCTTTGCTCCTGGCTGGCGAAGGCTTCCATGGAGAGAAAACGGAAGGCGCTGATGGGAACGGGTTGCTTTGCTCCCCTTGTGATTTTTTAACTTGGCTTATTTAGATTTACTTAAAAGTTAATCTTTAGATTATTTAGTATCACTTGCCATCAGTTAAATACAATTATTGGAATTCACGTGTTTGGCCACCTGAGCTCACCTCGTCTCTCCCATGTGTTGGGGATCCCCCCCCCAACTCCTGCGCCACAGCTCCGCCTCCCAGGTGGCTGCAGGTGACTCGCCCTTCCAAGTGTAGTGGCCACATCCTGGGATTGCTCCGTGTCAGTGCATCCTGGGATTGCTCCGTGTCAGTGCGCAGAGGGCCCTGGGTTCTGCTGTACGGCCGTGTCCCTGTAATTCCCCCGCTCCTAGTGGCCGTGGAGGCATTTTCCCACCTGTGGCCATCACTTCCTGGGGAGCGGGTCTCACAAGCGTGCATATGTTGTCAGGCTCTCTGCTTCCGTTTGGGGAGGCTGTGCCCTGGGGTCATTGTGACTGAGAAGCAGTTGAGGGTGGTGCTGGGGGCACTTCTCTGGGGTAAACCCAGTGTCTGGATGTGTTCATTCATTGAAAGGTAAAAGCCTTGGTGCTGACTTTGGAAAGTTGTGCTTTAATCCCAGGATCCAGCTGGGGAAAACCGTGCATTACCTGCCCATCCTGTTCATCGACCAGCTCAGCAACCGCGTGAAGGACCTGATGGTGAGTGACACCTCTGCCCGCTGGTTGTGCAGCTGGCGAGACACTGACCCCAAGACTGGCCCCGCAGCCCCTGCACCCTAATGGACCGGGCCATTGCTGACATTTGACACGGTGCTTTTACCCGTGCTGGGAAGCACTGCCTTCGAGTGTGCGAGGGTTGTGACAGGGGGGCCCTGGTGGTGTGCTGGGTTTGCCGTTGGCTGGCTGCGGGGTCCTGCTGAGCCTCTGGACTGTCACTGGTGAAAGGCCCCTGGAAGATTGTTTATGCAGCGCATAGAGGGCAGCGCTTAGAGAGCAGGCACATGAGCACCGTGTGAAACAGCGTCTGCGTGTGAGCTCCTGGTGTGCCATGTAGATTAATTCACAGTATCCTGAGCAAACTCCTGCTTTCCCCACCAGGGCTGGTCCTGCACAGGCGGCCAGAGGAGCGGGTGACAGCCCTTCCTCGGAGCTGGAGCCCCCGGGGTGGCCCCTGGCAAGGCGGAAGGCCTTTGCGAATAGAAGTGGCTGCTCTCTGGGCTCTGGCGCCCTGTGATTACGGGCAGTGACAGCGCCTGCTCTCCCATAGTTGCTTTGAGAGGAGATGAAATGTGGCCAACCTTTGGCCAGTATTGAGACTCACAGAAGCAGTTAATATTTAATGTCTCTTACTGCACATGAGGCACTGTGCTAAGCACTTTGTGAATCTTTCCGTAATTGTGGTGCTGGGAGCTGTGGCGTTGTTTCACGGATGAGGTTATTTGGGGTTCAGAGGTGAACGCTCAGCTGGGGCCCTGCAGGATCGCTGCCCTGCCCTGCCTCCCTGCAAGCCATCACTGTCACTCCGGATCACCCACTAGGAGCCGGCCACTTCCACTTAAGGCTCTCGGCACCTCTGACCTCTGAGGCGGGCCCTTTCCCCTTTTTTGTTGAAGAGGAAACAGTCCTGGGGAGAGCAGAGGGCTTGCTAGCGGGGGGGTGCAGCTGGGAAACGGAGAAGCGAGCACCTGGCTGCTTTGATCTCTGCCCAGGCCCTGCTGCCTCCTCCTGACTGCGGCTCTCAGAACAGTCCCCCTGTACTGCTGTTCCCTCAGACCCCTTGCAGTCCCTAACATACTGCCTCCTTCACTTCTGGGGTCACTGATTGCTCCTATACAACCTGCAGGCTGGGGGCTGCACAGGCAGTGGCTGGCGAGCAGGTCTGGCGCTGCAGCCTATCCCTGAGTAGTTTCTCTGTCGGCCCCTGCAATTCCAACCTCTTTCTCTGTTTGCTGGAGTTTGCTGGTGTGCTGCTGACAAACCTCAGGACAGCAAGTTCTGCTAAAATGCCCCATACAGAGCTGTGTGAGCTGTGGCACCAGCTCGTGGTCACCTCTTGTGAAGCCTCATGCCGCTGACTCCTTGCAGGCATTCAGGAGATGGTGGACAGGGGCAGGCAGCTGCAGAAGGCTGCCCTGTGTGTCTGTCTGCAGATCTGTCTTGTTAGAGGCCCGGGGCAGGCTTTGCGGCGCAGCTGTGCCAGTGGTGGCCTGCGTTCCAGTGGTTATGGAGACACGTGTGCCGACAGCAGCTTTTCCCCCAAATCACAGTCTCTCTCATGTGTCGCTGTTGCTGTGTCTCACTTGGGGCCAGATTCGAGAGGTGCTGTCTTGAGAGAGGAAGCAGGCAGCTGGGATGCAGCAGGTGCAGGAAGTCGGCACCTTCTGTGGCTGGGCCCAGCACTGCCAGATGGAGGAGGCAGTGACACCCTTCGGACACGCTTGGCAGCTCGAGGGGTGCCTGGAGGCCACCATCCATGTGCACTGATGCCACTTGGCTACGTGGGGCGCCCTGACAGCCGCTCTCAGGGCAACCTGGCACCTGCTGGTTGTGGCTCTGATTCCACCACACCCTGACACCAGCAGTGCCCGCCATAGCAGAGCAGGTGGATTAGAGCACAGCCCTCGCTGGATGTTCCAGCACGTGGAGGGTGGCGGGTCAGGGCTTGAGGCAGGGCAGGTGGATTAGAGCACAGCCCTCGCTGGATGTTCCAGAACGTGGAGGGTGGTGCTCACCGGGTGTGGTCACTGCCCACGTGCTGTAGGGTGTGGGCTCGCGCTTGTGAACCCGTTCCTCACCCTCCTACCTCGGCACCCTGGGACCTGGCCCACAGCCTGTGTGCGTGAGGCCCCGGCAGGCTGCAGGACTAAGCTCGTGGTTCTGAGACCTACACATCCACCCTACTGCCCCTGCTAGCTTTGCGTTCCAGAAGCTTTCTGTTGTCCCCACGGCCACCCCCTGCTCTGTGCTTTAGGCCCTGAGGCACTTTGCCCATGTGC
Source organism: Homo sapiens (assembly GCF_000001405.40). Taxonomy (NCBI): domain Eukaryota; kingdom Metazoa; phylum Chordata; class Mammalia; order Primates; family Hominidae; genus Homo; species Homo sapiens. Next base: position 1,335,606 of record NC_000005.10, on the reverse strand, counting down.
TGCAGGGCTGTGCTTGTCCCGTGGTCTCCAACTCTTAGGACAGGCCAGGGCTCTGCAGGCCAAGCTCAGCGCCGTATGCTGCGCCATGGAGTCCTAGCAGCTGGGTGGCAAGCACCACCTCCGGGGCACCAGGACTTGTGCGGCTTAAAATTGAAGGGGCACGTGCAGCAAAACAGACCAGGCACTGCTAGCGCTGCTGAGCTCACGGGGTCCTGGTGGGGGTGGGAACCTCCCTGTGCTGGAACGCAGCACGCTGGGGCCTGAGGCCTGTGGTGACAGAAGGAGGGACCGGGGGATGCTTGCTGGGCCCAGTCATGGCTGACCTGGGGCCACACAGGGATGGGAAGGGGGATGGCAGGGTTGGCGAGGGCTGCCAGGCAGCTGGGTGCAAGGGTATGAGGGCAGGGCCCTCAGTGTGGCTTTCTTCATCAGGTCATAAACCGCTCCACCACCGAGCTGCCCCTCACCGTGTCCTACGACAAGGTCTCACTGGGGCGGCTGCGCTTCTGGATCCACATGCAGGACGCCGTGTACTCCCTGCAGCAGTTCGGTATGTGCCGCACACGGCCGGCGCCTGGGTGAGGCCGCCCTGGAGCCCCTCGGGCATCCAAGTGCGAATCCTGACACAGGCCGGGGCCTCCTCGCCTCCTGCTGCAGATCCTTGCACAGACGTTGAATCAGAGGCTAGCAGCGCCTGCCTCACTTCTCTCCTTGGAGATGACCTGGTTGATTGTCTGGAAATTGGCTTTATTAAGAACATAATATGTGAAATGCCATGAGTTTGGTCAAATGAACCTTAACTGTTGATGAGATTTATTTTTATTGTTTGTTTGTTTGTTTGTTTGTTTGTTTTGAGACAGAGTCTCGCTCTGTTGCCCAGGCTGGAGTGCAGTGGCACAATCTCTGGTTACTGCAGCCTCCGCCCCCCGGATTCAAGCGATTCTCGTTCCTCAGTCCCCCCAGTAGCTAGGATTACAGGCGCGTGCCCCCACGCCCAGCTAATTTTTGTATTTTTAGTAGAGATGGAGTTTCACCATGTTTACCAGGCTGGTCTTGAACTCCTGACTTCAAGTGATCTGCCTGCCTGAGATTCCCAAAGTGCTGGGTTTACAGGCATGAGCCACTGCGCCCGGCCTAAATTTTTATATTGAAAACTGTATTTGTAATGTTAGGTAAGATTGACATTGCCTGTTTTATATTGTATGTTTTTTTTTCCTTGACAGGGTTTTCAGAGAAAGATGCTGATGAGGTGAAAGGAATTTTTGTAGATACCAACTTATACTTCCTGGCGCTGACCTTCTTTGTCGCAGCGTTCCATGTGAGTCATCCACCGGGGGGCTTGCCGCAGGCACTTGGGGGGCTCCCTGGGCCCCGGGCCTCCTGCAGGGGTCCTGGACCTGGGGTTTGTGGGCGCCGTCCAGCCCTGTGGCCCTCAAGTGTCCACTCCCATCACTCAGCAGCCAGCACGCCTGACACCAGGCGACCATTGTCCCAGTGGGCGGTTTCTCCCAGTTCTGAAAAGGGAGGGACCATAAAGCTCCGTCCACAGCCTTGGCGACTTGGGCTGTGCTGGCTTTGGGGGCGGTTTTGAAAAGGATCCAGGGTACTCTGAGCAGTGTCCACACCAATGAGATGAATAGGTGCAGGCATCTCACTCTCCCCTGCCCAGGCCCCGACCCCATGCAGAGCCAGGGGCGGAGCTGGGCAGCCTCTAGCAGAAAGTAGTTCTCTTGTATAAATTCTAACACACTGATTTTTAAATGTAAAAAGTCAGTCCTGTGTGTATACAGTAGTTCCCCCTTACCCGATGTGTATACAGTAGTCCCCCCTTATCCTCATCCGGTGTGTATACAGTAGTCCCCCCTTATCCTCATCCGGTGTGTATACAGTAGTCCCCCCTTATCCTCTTGCGGTGTGTCTACAGTAGTCCCCCCTTATCCTCAGCCGGTGTGTATACAGTAGTCCCCCTTATCCTCATCTGGTGTGTATACAATAGTCCCTCATCCTCATCCCGTGTGTATACAGTAGTCTCCCCTTATCCTCATCCGGTGTGTATACAGTAGTCCCCCCTTATCCTCATCTGGTGTGTATACAGTAGTCCCCCCTTATCCTCATCTGGTGTGTATACAATAGTCCCCCCTTATCCTCATCCAATGTGTATACAGTAGTCCCCCCTTATCCTCATCCCGTGTGTGTATACAGTAGTCCCCCCTTATCCTCATCTGGTGTGTATACAGTAGTCCCCCCTTATCCTCATGTGGTGTGTATACAATAGTCCCTCATCCTCATCCCGTGTGTATACAGTAGTCTCCCCTTATCCTCATCTGGTGTGTATACAGTAGTCCCCCCTTATCTGGTGTGTATACAGTAGTCCCCCCTTATCCGGTGTGTCTACAGTAGTCCCCCCTTATCCTCATCCGGTGTGTATACAGTAGTCCCCCCTTATCCTCATCCGGTGTGTATACAGTAGTCCCCCCTTATCCGGTGTGTCTACAGTAGTCCCCCCTTATCCTCATCCGGTGTGTATACAGTAGTCCCCCCTTATCCTCATCCGGTGTGTATACAGTAGTCCCCCCTTATCCGGTGTGTCTACAGTATTCCCCCCTTATCCTCATCCCGTGTGTATACAGTAGTCCCCCCTTGTTCTCATCCAGTGTATATACAGTAGTCCGCCCCTTATCCTCATCTGGTGTTATACAGTAGTCCCTCATCCTCAGGGGGTGTGTTCAAAGACCCTCATTGGATGTCTGAATATGTGTATCAAATAACGTAATGAATGAATATATGTATTATGTAATGGTTTTGATAAAGTTCAATTTATAAGTTAAGCACAGTAAGAGATTACCCACAATAACTGGTAACAGAAACAGGACAGGACAGTGTGATAAAGTTACGTGGGTGTGGTCTCACTCTCAGAATATCTGTCTCATCGCACTGCTCCGTGCTAACCGAAACCATGGACAGTAAACCATGGGTAAAGCAAGGCTGCTGTGCTCTTACTGTTGTTCGTGGAGCTGAGCTGCTAGGGAGAGCCATCCTTGTGGCTGTTAGGCTGGCCTGTGGTTAGGCGGCACCCAGGAGTGCGGCCGGCACTGGTTCTGAGTGCCTGGGAGTTTGGCTGCCAGTCAAGCTAAAACTTTCCAAAGCCGTACTAGAGAATTAAACGATTTTTATTAAAAGGTCAGTGTCTCTAAGGATGAGATCATGCATGGTTAGGTTTTTTTAAGTTTTTTTTGGAGACAGGTCTCAGTACGTTGCCCAGGCTGGTCTCAAACCCCTGGGCTTAGGTGGTCCTTTGGCCTTGGCCTTGCAGTAGCTGGGATCACAGGCATGGGCCACCATGCCCAGCCCTTGCGTTTTTAGCACAGTTGAGAGATGAGGCTGCCCTGAGTGGGCACAACCCGAGAGCAGGGGTGCCCAGCCAGGCCCATGATCCAGGGGAATCCAGAGCCTCCAATTGCCTGGGGGCCTTTCCAGCAGTTCAAGTCAAAGGTACGTATTATTTCAGAAGTGCCCCTGCAAAGCCCGCCTGGGCACTCTAGGTTCTGACATGGCAGGCCAGGCGCGTAGAGGCATGGGTCCCGAGTGTAGACACTTATCCTGATGCATCCTGAGGCTGAGTACACCTGCAGTCTCACGGTCACACACGAAGCCTCTATCTCTGTCTCACAGGAGATGGAAACAGCAGGAGATGTGAGTTGCTGTCGTGTGTGTTCTCTCTAGCTTCTCTTTGATTTCCTGGCCTTTAAAAATGACATCAGTTTCTGGAAGAAGAAGAAGAGCATGATCGGCATGTCCACCAAGGCAGGTAGGCCCCCCGAGCGTGGCCCTGCTCAGATACTCTGCCCCAGGGAGCTCACTGGAGCCTGCGGTAGAGGGCTGCCTGCCTCACTGCTGGCTGCAGACACAGCCCCGGGTGTGTGCTTGGCTCTTGAGAAGCCTCTGAGACCAGGCACCGTAAAGCCCAGGGAGCCGTTGCGGCAATTGTGGTGGGACCATCAGAGGCTGCACGGCTCAGGGCCTCCAGCGGCTGCACAGCTCAGGGCCTGGCTGCGGACTCTGGCGTGCATGGGGTCTGGGTCTGGGCTGTGGAGAGTGAGATGCATGGACCTCTCGAGCCTTCCCGGCTGCTCATGGGCGCTGAGCAGGGCTGGGGCCTCACATCCCCTGTCTTGGTTCCCTCGCCCCGTCCTCCCGCCGGTGTTCCTTCCCCGACCAGCGCAGGCCTGGGCGTGTGGGGCCTGCCAGGTGATGGCAGTTAATAGGCCCGTGGTGCTGTGCCCAGCAGTGACAGGCAGTGTGCAGCTGTTAGGTAGGGCAGTCAGGGACCCCTGAGGCCAGGCAGCCCAGGCAGGAGGCCTGCCAAGATCTGGGACCAGTGTTCCTGGCCAAGGGTGCCTGCCGTGGTTTAAGGGGCCCAAGTGAGTGAGGGGTCCTCCTGACCTTGCAGGGGTGGAGGTTGTCACAGTGGGGTGGGGAGCGGCGGTCTGGACAGGGGCGAGTGGTTGATGGGTGTGAGGACGAGGAGTGGGTGTGTCCTGTTGGTTAGGAGTGAGGAGCATTTGGCTCCAGTATCAGACCCGAACAAGTTGTTTTTCTCGCATGGAAAAGACGCCCAAGCAGGTGGCCCTGGCTGCCTGGGGGCCGTGCCGTGTTCTGCGTTGTTGTCTCCTAACCCTAATGCCTTTCCTGGCGTCCTGGGTTGGAGTGGCCAGCAGACAGTGGCTGTGGCCTTGACCACTGTTTGTCCTGTGGCTCCATGGATCTGCTTCCCCTGCTTGCCCTCAGGGCTTGCAGGAGGAGGAAGACGTGTTGAATAAGCTGGAGTGGTTCTTAAGGTACAGCTGGGGAGGAAACAAATCCAGACTTGAAAAGCCACGCACTTATCACAGAACTGGCATAAGACACGCCCGGAAGCAAAGCTGTGCTGGCCCCGTCATCCGACCTCTGCCCACGTTCCATGCTCATTTGCAAGTGTGGCTCAGACACGTGTTTGTGGAGCTGGTGTGGGGCCAGCTGTTCAGTTCAGCAGCCTTCCAAACACTTTCCTAGCTGCTGAATGCTTCATTGTTCTTTTTAAACGGGGTGACGTGGACTGGGGAGTACCTGAAGCTTCTTGGGCGTGGTGGGTTGGGATGGGGGACTGGGGGTATGTGTGTGACTTGGGGAACACAGGTGGGGTCTGCCCTGCACCCCCTCCCAGCCCGACCATCCTGTCCCCAGTGCTCTGGCGCTGCTTCAGCACCGTGGTCATCTTTCTGTTCCTGCTGGACGAGCAGACGAGCCTGCTGGTGCTGGTCCCGGCGGGTGTTGGAGCCGCCATTGAGGTGAGTTCCGGGCAGTGACCTGAACTGTCTGAGGTCCATGTGCCTCCACGCACTCAGGAAAGGCTTTCAGCCCCGGGACCTGAGACCTTCTGTGGAAGCCTGTGTGCTTGTTCCCGATGGCCTCAGTGTTCTGGAAGCTGTAGGATGGCAGGCAGTGGGTGTAAAGGCTTTGAACAAGTGGAGAGCAAGGAAATGCGTGTTCGGGTGGTATCAGCTCATGAGGCTCTGTCCACCAAGCAGTGGTGAGTCCTGAGGCCCTGTCCACCAAGCAGATAGTCCTGAGGCTCTGTCCACCAAGCAGTGGTGAGTCCTGAGGCCCTGTCCACCAAGCAGAGAGTCCTGAGGCCCTGTCCACCAAGCAGAGAGTCCTGAGGCTCTGTCCACCAAGCAGAGAGTCCTGAGGCTCTGTCCACCAAGCAGAGAGTCCTGAGGCCCTGTCCACCAAGCAGAGAGTCCTGAGGCCCTGTCCACCAAGCAGAGAGTCCTGAGGCTCTGTCCACCAGGCAGAGAGTCCTGAGGCCCTGTCCACCAGGCAGAGAGTCCTGAGGCTCTGTCCACCAAGCAGAGAGTCCTGAGGCCCTGTCCACCAGGCAGAGAGTCCTGAGGCCCTGTCCACCAGGCAGAGAGTCCTGAGGCCCTGTCCACCAGGCAGAGAGTCCTGAGGCCCTGTCCACCAGGCAGAGAGTCCTGAGGCCCTGTCCACCAAGCAGAGAGTCCTGAGGCCCTGTCCACCAAGCAGAGAGTCCTGAGGCTCTGTCCACCAAGCAGAGAGTCCTGAGGCTCTGTCCACCAAGCAGAGAGTCCTGAGGCCCTGTCCACCAAGCAGTGGTGAGTCCTGAGGCCCTGTCCACCAAGCAGAGGCCTGAGGCCCTGTCCACCAAACAGAGTGTTTTCATGTGCTTGAGAAATCCCACCATGTGCAAAGCAGAGGTGTAAACCGTGGGGCCTTGAGAGGCTCGTGCTGTGGCTGGAGATCTGAGCACAGCGGCCAGGTAGGCACTGACGGAAATCACTCGGTGCCCTGTGGTCCAGCCTTGGTTGTTCCGGAGCTCAGAAAAGCCGGCCAAAAGGGAGCCTCGTGGGGCAAGACCAGCTCAGGAGCAAACCCTTGAGGGGGGCGATGGCCTTCAGGGTGAGAGGGCCCAGGCTTAAGCCTAGCTCCTCACTGAGCTCTGTGCCACACCGGCAGGAGCCGGAGTCTGAGGTCTCTGCAGTTGGTGGCCCACCTGTGGGTGGGGGCCTCTGCGGCCGTCATGCCTGTAGAGGAGGAGCTGGATGCAATGTCTCTGTAGAGGAGGAGCTGTATGAAATGTGTCTGTAGAGGAGGAGCTGGATGGAATGTCCCTGTAGAGGAGGAGCTGGATGAAATGTGTCTGTAGAGGAGGAGCTGGATGGAATGTGTCTGTAGAGGAGGAGCTGGATGAAATGTGTCTGTAGAGGAGGAGCTGGATGCAATGTGTCTGTAGAGCAGGAGCTGGATGAAATGTGTCTGTAGAGGAGGATCTGGATGGAGTGTCCCTGTAGAGGAGGAGCTGGATGAAATGTGTCTGTAGAGGAGGAGCTGGATGGAATGTGTCTATAGAGGAGGAGCTGGATGAAATGTGTCTGTAGACAAGGAGCTGGAAGAAAACTGTCTGTAGAGGAGGAGCTGGATGAAGTGTGTCTGTAGAGGAGGAGCTGGATGAAATCTGTCTGTAGAGGAGGAGCTGGATGAAATGTGTCCGTAGAGGAGGAGCTGGATGAAATGTGTCTGCAGAGGAGGAGCTGGATGAAATGTGTCTGTAGAGGAGGAGCTGGATGGAATGTGTCTGCAGAGGAGGAGCTGGATGAAATGTGTCTGTAGAGGAGGAGCTGGATGGAATGTGTCTGTAGAGGAGGAGCTGGAAGAAATGTCCCTGTAGAGGAGGAGCTGGATGAAATGTGTCCGTAGAGGAGGAGCTGGATGAAATGTGTCCGTAGAGGAGTAGCTGGATGAAATGTATCCTGTAGAGGAGGAGCTGGATGGAATGTATCCTGTAGAGGAGGAGCTGGATGGAATGTGTCTGCAGAGGAGGAGCTGGATGAAATGTGTCTGTAGAGGAGGAGCTGGATGGAATGTGTCTGTAGAGGAGGAGCTGGATGGAATGTGTCTGTAGAGGAGGAGCTGGATGGAATGTGTCTGTAGAGGAGGAGCTGGATGGAATGTGTCTGTAGAGGAGGAGCTGGATGGAATGTGTCTGTAGAGGAGGAGCTGGATGGAATGTGTCTGTAGAGGAGGAGCTGGATGGAATGTGTCCGTAGAGGAGGAGCTGGATGGAATGTGTCTGTAGAGGAGGAGCTGGATGGAATGTGTCTGTCGAGGAGGAGCTGGATGGAATGTGTCTGTAGAGGAGGAGCTGGATGGAATGTCCCTGTAGAGGAGGAGCTGGATGAAATGTGTCTGTAGAGGAGGAGCTGGATGGAATGTGTCTGTAGAGGAGGAGCTGGATGGAATGTGTCTGTAGAGGAGGAGCTGGGTGGAATGTCCCTGTAGAGGAGGAGCTGGGTGGAATGTCCCTGTAGAGGAGGAGCTGGATGAAATGTCCCTGTAGAGGAGGAGCAGGATGAAATGTGTCTGTAGAGGAGGAGCTGGATGAAATGTGTCTGTAGAGGAGGAGCTGGGTGGAATGTGTCTGTAGAGGAGGAGCTGGATGAAATGTGTCTGTAGAGGAGGAGCTGGATGGAATGTCCCTGTAGAGCAGGAGCTGGATGGAATGTCCCTGTAGAGGAGGAGCTGGATGGAATGTCCCTGTAGAGGAGGAGCTGGATGAAATGTCCCTGTAGAGGAGGAGCTGGATGGAATGTCCCTGTAGAGGAGGAGCTGGATGAAATATGTCTGTAGAGGAGGAGCTGGATGGAATGTGCCTGTAGAGGAGGAGCTGGATGGAATGTGCCTGTAGAGGAGGAGCTGGATGGAATGTGTCTGTAGAGGAGGAGCTGGATGGAATGTGTCTGTAGAGGAGGAGCTGGATGAAATGTCCCTGTAGAGGAGGAGCTGGATGGAATGTGTCTGTCGAGGAGGAGCTGGATGAAATGTGTCTGTAGAGGAGGAGCTGGATGGAATGTGTCTGTAGAGGAGGAGCTGGATGGAATGTGCCTGTAGAGGAGGAGCTGGATGAAATGTGTCTGTAGAGGAGGAGCTGGATGGAATGTGTCTGTCGAGGAGGAGCTGGGTGGAATGTCCCTGTCGAGGAGGAGCTGGGTGGAATGTCCCTGTAGAGGAGGAGCTGGGTGGAATGTCCCTGTAGAGGAGGAGCTGGATGAAATGTCCCTGTGGAGGAGGAGCTGGATGGAATGTGTCCGTAGAGGAGGAGCTGGATGAAATGTGTCCGTAGAGGAGGAGCTGGATGAAATGTGTCCGTAGAGGAGGAGCTGGATGAAATGTGTCTGTCGAGGAGGAGCTGGATGAAATGTGTCTGTCGAGGAGGAGCTGGATGAAATGTCCCTGTAGGGGAGGAGCTGGATGAAATGTCCCTGTAGAGGAGGAGCTGGATGGATTGTCCCTGTAGAGGAGGAGCTGGATGAAATGTCCCCGTAGAGGAGGAGCTGGATGGAATGTCCCCGTAGAGGAGGAGCTGGATGGAATGTCCCCGTAGAGGAGGAGCTGGATGAAATGTGTCTGTAGAGGAGGAGCTGGATGAAATGTGTCTGTAGAGGAGGAGCTGGATGAAATGTGTCTGTAGAGGAGGAGCTGGATGGAATGTGTCTAGAGGAGGAGCTGGATGAAATGTGTCGGTAGAGGAGGAGCTGGATGGAATGTCCCTGTAGAGGAGGAGCTGGATGAAATGTGTCTGTGGAGGAGGAGCTGGATGAAATGAAATGTGTCTGTCGAGGAGGAGCTGGATGAAATGTGTCTGTAGAGGAGGAGCTGGATGAAATGTGTCTGTAGAGGAGGAGCTGCATGGAATGTGTCTGTAGAGGAGGAGCTGGATGGAATGTCCCTGTAGAGGAGGAGCTGGATGAAATGACGCTGGAGCTCCACAGGCAGGGTCCCTCCATAGGTACGAGTCACAGTGCCGTGCCCGGCTCTGGCACCCGTCCTGAGCTCCGTGGGTGATGCCTTCCAAGCATTTAGCCATGAGGTGGCGGCTCTCAGAGCGGTCCCAAAACTGGCTCCAGGGCTGCCCGAGTGGCAGGCAGAAGTAGGTGGGGGCTTATTTGGGTGCAGGCAGAGTGGCGTAAAGAACTGCCCTCACATGCTGTTTTTGTTGTCCGCTGGGCGGTGGCTGTGCAGCCCACCTGACCAGGTACGCCTGCCGTGTGTGGGTTAGAGGCCCAGGTCCAGCCTCCAGCGCTCTGGCCTGAGCTGTGGGAGGGACAGGAAGAGGACAGTGGGCTGCGCGGGGCCATGGGCAGCAGGTCCTACCCGTTACTGTCTGGGTCGTTCATTCGTGGCTCCTGGCCTTCGAATATTAAAGGAACTATTTCCTGATTTCTCCCCTCAGCTGTGGAAAGTGAAGAAGGCATTGAAGATGACTATTTTTTGGAGAGGCCTGATGCCCGAATTTCAGGTAGGATTTAGTTGTAATGGCTGAACCCCAAGCCTCTCTGAAGAGTGTGATTTTGCCCCCTGTGCAAAGAGTAAGATGGCCATCTGCAGATGAGTCACTGCGGGCCTCTGTCAGGGGAGCCTCCGTGGTGGAGGCAGCACTGGTTTCTGATCGCAGCCACTCTCTTCGCCTGAGGATTCCCCGGTCATATACCTAGTTCTGACCGTCTTCAGTGCAGACGGCAGCACTTCTGGGCCTGAGCCGGCCTCTGGGAGGAAGGATGCTGGCTGGCCAGCACGTGTGCTTCGTTTTGGCACCTTGTCCAGAGGCGCTCCCGAGGCTGGTGCTGACTGGGGTCCGTACAGTCCTGGCAGTCCTGAAGTGAGTGAGCCCCTGCCCTGAGCTGGTGGCTGCCCCAGTGCCTGGGCGCCCATAAGGCCCCTAGGCAGATGAGGGCTGGGGCAGAGCTGGAGTTGAATCTCAGTGCCCACGGATGGACCTTGATTGAGGCGGGGCCCTCAGCAGTCACAGGCTGAGATTTTCCATGCTGTGGGCAGGGGGGTCAGGAAGCCCAGCACACGCAGCGCAGCCACTGTGTTCCACCTTGCCCCATGGCTCCCGGCCGGCTGGTTCGGAGCAGTGTTGGCTGTGCCTGTGTGCTCTGCAGTGTTCTCACTGAAGCGGTGGCACTGAAAACTGAGCCACCTGAGCAAGGAACAGCAGTGAGGCCGCGTTGCCCCCATCAGGCTTGTGGGACCCAGGGCCAGGGTGAGGCGGGAAGGATCCATGCGGATCCCCGTCCTCTGGGTCCTCTCCTCGCCTGGTAGGGACCTGAGCGCCCTCTGTAGTGAGGCCTGGGTCAGCTCTGCAGCCATATGTGACGCCCCTTAGTCACAGCTCAGCTGTGCTCAGATCCTCCCTGAGTCTATTAATATCACTGTGTTGAATTTCACAACAGTTTGGCACTTACAGCGAATCTGAGAGGAAAACCGAGGAGTACGATACTCAGGTAAGTCACTTGTGATTCAGGGCACGTGCATGCCAGGCAAATCCAACACCCTCAAAGACGGGTCTTTTACTGTCATTGCTCAGTGCGGAAGTCTCCTTGGAGTACGGGTCAGCCCGCCTTGAGCAGGGATCCCAAGAGTGAACACATAAAACCCAAATTTCTTACTGGGAAGGGCGGGGGCTCGCAGAGACTCATTTCCCAGTCCTTACAGGCACAGCCTGCCTGTGTCACCGTATAGTAGGGATATTTTCATCGTTTGTAAGTCACATTCGCCAGGCAGCTGACGCAGGCCATGGTGTCTGCTGTGGTTGCTGGGAACGCACTTGCCGTCACCAAGGCCATAATGGCCGCGGCCGCACAGTGGCCTGGAGGAATGGCCCCAGCAGCACAGGGCGTCACCTTTCCCCATTGCTGTTGGGGGAGCTGGAATTCTCAGTTCCAGTTAATAGAACATTTCTGCACAGATGATTTTAGTTTGGTTTAATCTTCACCAGCTTATATCCAACTTGCATGGCGTTGTAAAGCTGAAATCAGAATGGATACAGCTGGCGATGTAACTACATTACTTAGTAGGCAGTTTTTTCCGGTTTCTTTCCATTATGTTTATTGATCTGTTGTGGGTTGGTTGGTTTTGACCAACCAGAATTGATCTATTATTGTTAACTAGCGCCTGTAGTTACACCCGGGCTCTGGCGTGTGCGGTGCCTCCTGGGGCTGTGGCGAGTGTGCGATGCCCTGCCTGTGCCCCTCACGCCGCCCCCTGCAGAGCAGCCCTGCCACCCTGAGCGCTGTAGCTCGTTCTGTCTGTCCCTGTCGGGGTGAGCTCCATGCAGTGTGTTTACAGAGGCTTGGCGTTTGGGCCTCTAACTGGAAGCCATCTTTGTTCCCTGCAGGCCATGAAGTACTTGTCATACCTGCTGTACCCTCTCTGTGTCGGGGGTGCTGTCTATTCACTCCTGAATATCAAATATAAGAGGTAGGAGGCCGCACACGCTTCCCCTGCTGCGTCTTTCCCCTGAGAAAGCCATTTGGATGACTGAGCCAGAGCGGGGTGCGACTGGAGGGCAAACTCGGGGCCGGGGCACTTGGGCCAGCGCCTGGGAGGGGTCCTGCCCCTGCAGCTGCACACGGTGGGCTCTGGGCCTCAGTGTCCCCCTGGTAAGGTGTAGCTGAGAGGACTGACTCCAGCCACCAGGCTTCATGGGAGGCTTGGGCCTGAGCTGAGAGGGGTCCTGGAGCCCCTGGCCTCTGCTGCCCGTGTGGGGTGCTGGCCCTGAGCTGAGAGGGTTCCCGGAGCCCCCGGCCTCTGCTGCCTGGGTGGGGTGTTGGCCCTGAGCCGAGAGGGGTCCTGGAGCCTCCAGCCTCTGCTGCCCGGGTGGGGTGCTGGCCCTGAGCCAAGAGGGATCCCGGAGCCCCCAGCCTCTGTTGCCCAGGTGGGCTGCTGGCCCTGAGCCAAGAGGGATCCCGGAGCCTCCAGCCTCTGCTGCCCAGGTGGGGTGCTGGCCCTGAGCTGAGGGGTTCCTGGAGTGCCCGGCCTCTGCTGCCCGGGCAGGGTGCTGGCCCTGAGCTGAGAGGGGTCCTGGAGCCCCTGGCCTCTGCTGCCCAGGTGGGGTGCTGGCCCTGAGCTGAGGGGTTCCTGGAGTGCCCGGCCTCTGCTGCCCGGCCGGGGGTGCTCAGCGCTATCTCCAGCTTGAGAACCAGGCTCAGCACTGCTGCTCTTGGCTGCCGAGCTGCCGTGAGAGCATCTGGGTATTTTCAGAGGATTTTTAATGAAAGAATTATTTTTCATCAATTTAATACAGATATTAAGCTATGCGAGAAATAGGACTTCTCCTTTTTTTTCCGTTTCAGCTGGTACTCCTGGTTAATCAACAGCTTCGTCAACGGTGAGTCCATGTGCTTCCCTGCTTCAGTACTAGTGTTTCCAGCAGGCAGCGATTTAATTGTTCTTGCATTGAAACCCAGTGTGGCAAGCCCCCCTGTGATTTGAGGCTAATCCCTCCCCACCCTGTTCTGGCACATGTGCGGTGCCCAGGGCTCCCCCCAGGCTGTGAGCAGATAAAGCCCTGCGTGGCTTCACAACAGTGACTGGTTCTGAGAAACAGGTCCTTGTACAAGCGACAGGGAGTGCTCACACCAGATGTGGCAGCCCCTCCACGCCAGGCTGTGTGGTGCAGCCGCCTGGTATATGTGTCCATCGCTGATGAAAACAGCATTGTGTGGTGCATGACTGTTGTCTGTTTTCTTCATGGAAACAAGGAAACCTAAGCATTAAAACAACACCATCCACGTCTGGTTCCTTAGAGCAAATGGAAGCACCAGGCTCTGGTGCACGGCGCGCCCCCTCCTGCAGATGCAGTGTGGGGACCCTGCAGGGCCCTGTGCTCGGGGCCACATGTCCTGGGAGGCCCGCCTGCCCCAGGTGGCACCTTCAGCTGCATGGGCTGCTGTGTCCATCCCCCAGCCCCACCAGACCAGCCCTGATCGCAGCTTTGTGGTCTCTTTGGGAAGTGGTCCCGTGAGCATTAAGGGCGAGGGCCTGTCTGGTGCAGAGCAGGTGGGTCCCGCACTGCCGTCCTCCCTGGTAGGAGTCCCACACCTGACCCCTGGGGCAGGACCTTGTGGGTCAGGAGGCCGTGTCCTCATAGCCCCAGGGTGCTCCAGTGCTCTCACTGACTTGACCCCGTGGGCAGCAGTTACACTGATTAATAAATAGAAGAGCTTTGCTCTCCAAAGTTGTCGTAGACTCTTGATAAACTTACCAGCCAGAAAGCTGCTTCACACCATGATGGACTCTGAAGTTGTCTGGATAGCAGACCTTGTTTTCTGCCCACTATGCATAGACGTGGCAGCTCGGCCCTCCACACCTCGTGAGTGCCGTCTGTGCGTAGATGTGGCAGCCCGGCCCTCCGCACCTCGTGAGTGCTGTCTGTCTTTCTGCAGGGGTCTATGCCTTTGGTTTCCTCTTCATGCTGCCCCAGCTCTTTGTGAACTACAAGGTAAGGCGGTGTGTGCTGCCCGCGGCCCGGCCCCCGTCTCCTGTGCTGCCCACAGCTGACCTGGGCCTGTCTCTCCTGTTTCAGTTGAAGTCAGTGGCACATCTGCCCTGGAAGGCCTTCACCTACAAGGTGAGTGTGACAGCCGGTGAGGAATCCCTTCTCACTGAGCAGAGCGTGAGCAAGGGCGTCTTCCAGCCAACAGCATTACTGGGGCCATCTCTGCCCAGAGTGCATCTGCACCTGTCCCTTTCATTGAAGAATATTGAGGAGGCTCCTTTAAAAAAAAAAGCGAAGAGCTATAGAGTAACTTCAGACCCTGAAAGACTGGGGTGGTTCTCTCACTTGTCACAGATTTGGTTTTCTTTTTCTTTTTTAGTGTTTATGTTTCTTCTTAGCACATGTGTCAAGACACAGACCCCCTGTGGCTCAGTAACCGGTGCCTGGGGACAACGGATTCAGGCCTCCCAGGCAGGAATGGAAGCCCCCATGGGCCGTGGCCATTCCCCGCTGGCAGAGCTGTGGAGGCCCCCTTGGCTCCGTGTGGGATTAGAAGTGCCTCGGCATTGCAGGCGGAGCTGAGTTAATGGGACATGATTTGCACTTTTCTGAAGTCAATTACAAGCTCCCAGAGGAAAGGGCAATGCTCAGGTGGCTCTGCCCTTGGCTCTCCCCTTGGCTGTGGTCTCGGGCGGCTCTAACCTTGGCTCTGGTCTCAGGTGGCTCTGCCCTTGGCTCTGTCTCGGGCGGCTCCAGCCTTGGCTCTGGTTTCAGGCCATTCTCTTTGGGTTCCCCGATGTGGGAGCCTGGGCAAGACCCGCAGTGTGTCGGGTGCCAGCAGCTGTGGGGAGCCCATGAGGGAACAGAGCTCCGTATCTCCACTTGCCGGCTTTCTGCTCTTTTTGTTGTTGCTGTGAGGAGTTCCAGTTAGTTCCAAGCATCTGCCAAAAGCCGTTGGCTTGGTTAGGTTACCAAAAACAGTAGGATTCCAGCCCCAGCAACTGGGGTTCACCCTCCTCCCGTCTGGCCCTGCAGGCTTTCAACACCTTCATTGATGACGTCTTTGCCTTCATCATCACCATGCCCACGTCTCACCGGCTGGCCTGCTTCCGGGACGACGTGGTGTTTCTGGTCTACCTGTACCAGCGGTGGTGAGTGCGGCTGCGTATGCTCGGCCGTTGCTCCGTCTCAGCGGCGTGGCTGCTGCTGAACGGAATGACGGCTTTCACCGCACCCTGCGCCTGTTTATCCATTTGAGGGAAAAGATAATTTGCAGGTGGTGGTTTTTCCTGTCTTGCCTAAACTTGGGTTCCAGTTGCCCATGATATGTCCTGGCAAGAAACTGTTCCAGCTCTGTCTCCTCACTGTGCTTTAGAAATGCTCGTTTCTATGTGAATTATTGATGAGCCACTGAAAGCAAATGTCTCTCCTTAAGCGATTTATTTACCTATTCACAGTCATTGCTATTGAGCAGAACAGAGACCGTAGCATGGCTAATCCATACTTGGCGCTAGCCTCGAAGTGTCCAGCCAGCAGTGTGGACCTGCAGGGCACAATGTCACTGGGGAGCTCACTCACCTCAGCATTGGCCGCACCCCTTAAACCAGCCACCAGGGCCTCTGAAGACTGCATTGCGTGGACCTCTCAGCTTGGCCTTCAGGTTGAAGGCTGACGGCTGAGGAAAAGGCTTTGTGGAATTTTCTAAAGGCAGAGGTTCAGGCCCCACCCCGGGCCTCGGAATTTTCCAAATGCAGAGGCTCAGGCCCCACCCTGGGCCTCCCGCTTCCCTCCAGGGCTGACATCTGCCCTCTCAGTCAGCAAAACCTCCCTCCAGCTCTGCTGTGCCAGGGTAGGAGCCAGGGATCTGGGGCTCCCCTCGGGAGGGTTGCATCTGGACCACTGCAAGCACTGCCCTCACCTCCAGTGCCGGCCCCAGGGCCTTGTCCAGGGGTCGAAGGAGTGTGTGTCACCCCCAAGACCTGCTGCCAAGTGTCTCAGAGCCTCCTGGCTGTGTCCTTTCTCTGGCCCTCAAGGTCCCTTTTCCCATCTCCCTCCCCCGACCAGGAGGCCACCTCACACACCACGGCTGTGACACTTCCCTGTGCCCTTCCCTCAGGGCCTGGGGCCATCCTACTAGTGCAGGAGAGGGATCCTCTTCCCCCAGGCCGTCCTGGCGGGTCCTGCCTAGGTCCGGGGTGCCGGCCCTTGGGGAGCGCAGTGCTCCCGTCCCCGCCCTGTCTCCACACTCAACCTCGCCAGGTGTTCAGAGCCTCTGTCCCAGCCAGCATGAGGCTGGCATGGTTCTGCCTGGTTTAACTCTTTGTTCGGGTGCAGTTGGCACATCCACACAGTGGCTCATGGCCGCCCTTGCCCAGCTCTCCAGGCCTGGCCGCCGGCTGCCCCCCCCCACCCTGTTGCTGTCTCGTGCAGCCCCTGCACGGGAGCTCCAGCTTGTGTCAGCGGGAAGGGCTATTTCACCATAAGCAACACTCACACTCACACGGGGCTTGGTTCCTGTCCCCCGTTCACCATTCTCAGATCCCCCAGCTGGCCGCCTGCCCCCTGCAGAGCCTGAGGTTGTCCAAGCCACGGAGCCCCGGACGCTGCTGCGCCTGGTGTGGTTGTCTCAACTGTGAGCCCTTCAAGTGGCTCCCAAGTCCTCGCAGGTGGCCCGGGGCGTGCCTGAAACTGTGCTGTACTCAGGCTCTGTGTTAATGGCTCCAGACCTGCAAACGGTGTTTGGCCAGGATCACAGGGCCCTTGGTGGGCAGCAGGTCTGTTTTTAAGCTGAAACCCTGTACTTCTGTTCGCGGCCGTGTAGAGCTGCCCCTTATGCCACAGCTTCCTCATCCATACGTAGGGGTGATGTTGGCAAGGCCTCCGGGGCGCTCAGGATCAAAGGCGGCGGCAGTGTCCTGCCAAGTGTTCACAGCTGATGAGACGTGGTCCCTGAACACAGCGGTTCCTGTTCTGATCACTCGAGTCTCCGTGATGCCACCGTTCCCAGAAGGCAGCCCGTGCAGCCTCCGGGTCCCCCCTTCAGCCATGGCAGCCCGTGCAGCCTCCGGGTCGTCCCTTCGGCCAAGCTTCCCTTTCCTTGAGAGCAGCACGCTGGCCTGGCCATGCAGAACAAAACACAACTCAGAAATCCCTCCTCAGCCCTCGGCAGTAAAACTTCTGAGGATTCGACTTTTTAGTTAATTTGCTCACTGTGGCAGCTCACTGGAAAATAAATCGAGGATGCCAAGTCCTCCTCTTAGAAAAATAGCCCCTGCAGTGGGGTTTGCTGATGTGCTCATTTGTGTCATTGCAGGCTTTATCCTGTGGATAAACGCAGAGTGAACGAGTTTGGGGAGTCCTACGAGGAGAAGGCCACGCGGGCGCCCCACACGGACTGAAGGCCGCCCGGGCTGCCGCCAGCCAAGTGCAACTTGAATTGTCAATGAGTATTTTTGGAAGCATTTGGAGGAATTCCTAGACATTGCGTTTTCTGTGTTGCCAAAATCCCTTCGGACATTTCTCAGACATCTCCCAAGTTCCCATCACGTCAGATTTGGAGCTGGTAGCGCTTACGATGCCCCCACGTGTGAACATCTGTCTTGGTCACAGAGCTGGGTGCTGCCGGTCACCTTGAGCTGTGGTGGCTCCCGGCACACGAGTGTCCGGGGTTCGGCCATGTCCTCACGCGGGCAGGGGTGGGAGCCCTCACAGGCAAGGGGGCTGTTGGATTTCCATTTCAGGTGGTTTTCTAAGTGCTCCTTATGTGAATTTCAAACACGTATGGAATTCATTCCGCATGGACTCTGGGATCAAAGGCTCTTTCCTCTTTTGTTTGAGAGTTGGTTGTTTTAAAGCTTAATGTATGTTTCTATTTTAAAATAAATTTTTCTGGCTGTGGCATTTTTCTTGACCTGGTATAATGAAAGTATTTCGGATATTTGAGTTTAACCCTTTTCCAGAAAGTAATACATGATATGGATTTATTTATGCATTAAAAGAGCAAATTTAAAGAGCCCTTTGCAAGCCTTTGAGTCATGAGTGTTCTTAGATACGTAGCATCTTAGTTGTTTAAGACTAAACTATTGTACAGAGCCATGACCCATCAGGTCAAGCTTATCTTGCCCTAGGTTGAGGCAGAGAGAGAGAAATGGAATAGAAAGATGGGTGGAGAACTGCTGGACTCGGTGTGTAGTGAAGTTTAATGTTTGTTGAAGTTAGTTTTTGTGGGGTTTGTTGTTCTCAGCTCACAGCAGCCTCCACCTCCCATGTTCACACAATCTTCTTGCCTCAGCCTCCTGAGTAGCTGCGACTACAAGTGTGCACCACCACATCCAGCTTTTTTGTATTAATATTTTTAGTAGAGATGTGGTTTTGCCATGTTGTCCAGGCTGGTCTCGAACTCCTGATCTCAAGTGATCACCCGCCTTGGCCTTTTGAAGTGCTGGGAGTACAGGCATGAGCCACCACACCTGGCCTCTAAATATATAATCTTTTTTTATTCCTGGTCATTTCCTTGCTCTAAGTCTCCTTTGCCAATAACAGCTTTCATCCTCTTGTGTTTCTGGAACAGGCTCCCCTCTCATGGGCCTGGCTTCCTTGCAGCTGAGGGGCTTTGGGAGCCCTGCTCAGAGCCCCAAGCCTGCAGGCCTGTTCCATGTGTCTCCACGTAAATGGACGAGACACACCATTCCAGGATGCTCATTCAGGCTGAGAACCAAATCCAGATGCTCTCAGTCCATTCGCAGATGACAGTGAAGTTTCTGTACACTCTGCTTTCTTCTGGATCAGATAAATCTTTTATAATTAAGGTGTTGTAAACTTCACTCGATTTGAGAGGAATGCACTGGGGCTTCAAGTTGTCATCTTTCAGTTTTATTCATTAAAATACGAAGATACCAGATGAGTTGGCACAGGAAAACAAATACGAATACACGGCCTGTACTGTGTTACTTAGTCGTGTGTTGTAAGTGGGGTCTGGAAGGGTGGCTGGGAGAGCGGGTGAACTGCCGGTTCCAGATGGGACGCACAGCACCTTAAGGGGCCTGGGGGGGCACACGGGAGGCGGCTCCAGAGGCAGGGCAGATAGTGGGGGCCCGCAGGCAAGTCAGCAGTGGGGGAAAGACAGCAGAAGGCGTGAGGGTCTTCATTGGTGTATGTGAAGGTCACGAGGTCACACGGCCCTGCCCATCACAGGTGCGTCGGTCTGCGGGGAAGTTGAGGCATCAGGGAACAGGAAGTTTTAAACGTTTACAATGGATCTTACCCACACAGGCCGTGCCTTTGCCTGCGGTGTCAGATTACTAGGGCGGGGTGCGGTGGAGGGTGTCCCTTCCACACCTGTGGTTTTATTTGTCTTTGGGGGAGGGGAGCCTTGCTTTATAAAACACAACTGGCTGTGTTCTGTAAGGCTTCACCCAGCACATCCTGTTGGCAGCAGCTAAGCACACAAACGGGAAAGGAGTATCGCCCAACTCCACCGATGAACTCAAAGTGCCTGGCTTTGCCTGGGGGATGCTGGCAAGGTTAGGTGCGGTTCCCAGCGTTTCTTCTGCCTCCTGGGGCACATCCCGCGGTGGGTCAGCGCCTGCGGCCGGCTGCTGCAGAAATAGCGTCATTCGGCCCCTGCATCAGCAGCCAAAGCCGGGCCTAACTGTCAGGAGCTCCGTGGATAGCTTTGCTGCTCTCGCTTTTCAGTTTCAGTATCAAAAATAGTTGCTACAAGAACTGATTTTTGTCATAGCACCTGCTCTTCCATTTGGGCTGGCGTGCTGAGCAAAGGTGGGTGCAGGCGCCTCATCAGCCTGACAGCAGAGTCAGCTTAACCTGAGTTTTCAGGAAGCACCGTGGCAGGCCCCCAAAAGGGGCAGATGTCCACCGTGCACTGCGTCTGCTTCTGCAGTCGGCCCTCCAGTGCCGTTTTCTTTCACCTGCAAAGGGCCTTAATGCGTGAACCAGCTGCTGGTGACTGTTAGTCTTGCTCTGTTTAAACAGTAGCAAGTTGCAGAGTGTTCCTTTGAAGACACCGCAAGTCACGTGTGTCAGTTACTCCTGAGAGGTTTCTGGGGCGCCTGCCTCTCCTTTCTTTAAGATGAGCAGAGGTTTAAAAAAAAATGAGTTTGGGGAATGAGCCTTGAAAGTCCTTCCAGCTTCAGGACCGGCACTTGCTCTGACAGTCTGACTTCTGCCCTGTGGGCCGGCGCTCCTGCAAATGGGCAGTGTTTCAAGAGAGGACTGAGCCTCATGCAGATCCATCTCATGGGAACCCTGAAGCTTCACTGACCAACAGAGGCTCCACCTGGGCGACTTGAAACATGCTTAAAGGGTTTATCTGTCATTCATCCCGATGAGTTTAGTTCTGTTTTCCTCTTGGATTTCATTGATATTTCTGCATACCATCAAAGCCCTGTCTTATGATTGATCATGAGGTGGGACTTAGAAATGCGCTAAGTACCTGTGGATTTTAGACTGTGTCAAAGCCCTCGAAGCTGAAACAGAGGACTGACAAGGTGAGGGCCCGGGGTCCCCCACGGTGGAACTGCAGTGTCCTGATCGCAGCTGGTGGGCTCCGTACCTGGGCAGGATGGGCTCTACTGGAGCAGCCAGTGTCCAGAAGGAGCTTCTGTCTCTACCCCTTGGCACTGGCCACTCATTTTATAGAAGAGATTTTCTTTAGACCAGAGTTTATTAGAAAGCCAAGGAAAATGAGAACACGTCCCCCTGTGAAGTACCTGCCACACATAGCCCTGTTGAAGCCAGTTTGGTGGCTGTTGGGTCTTTGGCAACGAGATCAGTCTGTTGGCCTCGGCCCCGGTAAGCCCCACAGGCCAGGGGTCTGGAGGAAGGATGGGGTGCAGCCTGCGATAGGTGAGGCTACGGAACCCTGACGAAGCAGGGGCTGTGTTCGAGGAGTGATCCATGCGGAGGAGGGAAACCAGGAGGAGGTCTTGGCGTATACCACACTGCTTACCCCTTTCCTGAAGCAGGCACAGGACCCAAGGGGGTGTGGCGCCCTGTGGCCCACCATGCTTTCAGAGCAGCAGCCTCTGCAGAGACACTGGTCCCAGAAAAGCCACCGCCTGAGTGTCCCCCAGCCACGGCCACCATCCCCACAGCTTTCATGCTTCAAGCAGCATATTTGTTCTCTGATGGTTCTGGAGGCCAGGAGTCCAGACCAGACCTCCCTGCGCGGCCACTGGGGTGTGGGCAGGCCCTGCCCTCCAGGGGCTCCAGGTGCTCCGTTCCTCGTGCTCTCCACCTCGAGAGCTGTGCTCCTTGCATTCCCGGGCTTGTGGCCTTCTTCGCCTCACCCTAACCTTTGCCTCCGTGGTCATATCCCTGATTCTCACCCCGACCCTCTGTGGTTACATCAGTCCCAGACGATTACCCAGCATCATCTCCCATCCAAGATCCAAGTGTGATGGTGGCCACCGAGTCCACTCTGGCACGTGGGATCACATCCGCGGTTCTGGGGCTGAACCGGGATGTCTGGGGGGACATGCCCACCTCCCCCTCATCCTGCCATTTCCCTTGTTGAACCTTCAGTGTGATGTCCCAGTGGCTTCTGTCCTGCTGGCTGGACTCAGCTGGTGCACTGAGAGGCAGACACTTTTTTTTTTTTTTTTTTTTTGAGACGGAGTCTCGTTCTGTCACCCAGGCTGGCACTGCAACCTCTGCCACCCGGGTTCAAGCGATTCTCCTGCCTCAGCCTCTCGAGTAGCTGGGGTTACAGACATCTGCCACCACGCCCGGCTCATTTTTGTATTTTTAGTAGAGATGGGGTTTCACTATGTTGCCAGGCTGGTATTGAACTCCTGACCTCACGTGATCTGCCCGCCTTGGCCTCCCAACGTGCTGGGATTACAGGCATGAGTTGCTGCACCAGGCCGGCAGGCACTTTTAAAAAACTTGTTGCTATACAATTTCCACACAGTGTCATGGCAGATGCACCCCGTGCAGCTCAACAAGCCCTGCATGCTTCCAGACTCCAGCACCAAGCACCCGAGTCAGGCTACAGACAGACCCCGGCCCCACGGGGCCCTCTCAGTGGAAACCAGGCGGGTGAACCCAGCCCATGGGTCACCGGGTCCAAGTCCCACACATGAACAGTCATGCTGGGAGCTCTGGTACCCAGGTTCTCGGGCTGGGCTCTGTCTGGCGTCCATCTGTGTTGTCGCAAGCGGTGCTCATTGTGACTTTCTTCCATGTGGCATTCCATGGCACGAACCGGGGCCGTTACGGATCAAATCATGCACGTGGCTGTGCCTGCCTTTGGGCACAGACCCAGGGGGGACATGGCTGTTGTGGTGCATGTGTGCTGAGCTCCAGTACATGTCACCCGTGTTCTAAGGGGTCTGTGCCACTCTGGCTGTGCACTGTGGCATGTGAGCCCCATGGCATCACCCCTTCTCCAGCACACAATGCTGCTGTCTAATTTTAGCCACTCTGGTGGGTGTGTAGTGGAGCCTTTTCGCGGTTTAAATGTGCATTTCCCTGCTGACTAGCGGCGTTGAAAACCCTTTGTATCCTCACCAACCCTCTGGGTGGCTTCTCTTTGTGTTTTCTGTTTCCTGTTCCCTCCAATCACACCTTGCAGAGCTGATTGTGCAGGGCTGGCTCACTGAAGCTGCCGTGGCCACGGACGGTGAGGCTGAGACCATTTCCTCCTGTCTGTTGTCTAAAATCATCCCCTAAGGCATTTGTGGATGCAACTGATGAAACCGCCTAAGTCTGCGGTTTCCTTTGTGGGATATTTTTTTCACTACTGTTTTAATTTTTGTAACTTCTGTGATAATAATACCATGCAGATTTTCTATTTCCCCTTGATGTTTTATTATATTTTGTTTAAAGAATTTGTCCGTTTGACCTAAAATGACAACTGTCTTTTTTTTTTTTTTCAAGACAAGGTCTAACTCTGTTGTCCAGGCTGGAGTGCAGTGGTGCAATCTCAGCTCACTGCAGTCTCAACCTCCCTGGGCACAGGCGATCCTCCCACCTCAGCCTCCTGAGTAGCTGGGACTACAGGCACACCTGGCTAATTTTTGTATTTTTAGTAGAGGCGGTTTCACCATATTGGCCAGGGTGGTCTTGAACTCCTGACCTCAATTGATCTGTCCACCTCAGCTCCCCAAATTGCTGGGATTACAGGCCTGAGCCACCATGCCCAGCCAATTTTTGTATTTTTTTGTAGCAATGGGGTCTTGCCATGTTGCTTAGGCTAATCTCAAACTCCTGGGCTCAAGCAATCCACCACCCACCTCGGCCTCCCAAAGTGCTAGGACTACAGGTGTGCACCACTGCGCCTGGCCCAAATATCAACTGCCTTGGCATGACATTGGCATAGCACTGTCTTGATTTACGTGACACCTGTGGCAACGTCTGCTTCTCCACCCCTGTGTGAGCTTGTGGGGGCGGCCACAACAAAGCACTGTGGCTGGCAGCTTCAATAGCAGACATTGGCCAACTCAGTTCTGGAGGCCACGGTCCCAGATCAGGTGTGGGCAGGACTGGCTCCCTCTGAGGCTGCGAGGGATGCTCTGTGTCAGCCTCTCCTTGGCTTGTACATGGCCGTCTTCTCCCTGTGTCCTCACATCATCTTCCCTTGATGCCCGTCTGTCTCTGTGTCCAGATTTCTCCTTCTTATAAGGACACCAGTCACTGGCTTAGGGCCACCCTAATGACCCCATCTTAACTAATCACACGTGCAAATATTCTATTTCCAAATAAGGGCACATTCTGAAGTTCTGGGGGTTAGGACTTTAACACGTAGATTTTGGGGAGGACACAGTACAATCCGTAACAACTTCTTATGAGATCAGAGGTGGGACTTGGACCCCAGACCCAATTGAGGACTAGCTGAAACACAGCCAGGGCGGAAGCGGCTTTCCATGAGACACACCCACCAGTGTTTACCATTGCCGTGGCAACCCCCAGGCGTTACCACCCACTTCCATGGCAATGACCCCACTACACAACGGTTACTACCCCTTCCCTAGAAATTTCTGCATAAACCGCCCCTTAGTCTACATGTAATTAAAAGTGGGTACAAACCTGACTGCAGACCTGCCCTGAGCTGCTGCTCTCAGCACACCACCTATGAGGAGCCCTGCCTGGCAGGAGCAGCCCCGGGGCTGTCACAACACCTGTGGGGAGCCCTGCCCTGGACGCATTGACTTCGGGAGCCCTGCCCTCAGCGCGCCGCCTGTGGGGAGCCCTGCCCCACGGGAGCAGTCCTGGGGCTGTCACACTGCCTGACCTGTAACCCTGCTGCTTCCATACAGCTGTTTCCTTCCACCCTACTGAGGCAGGAGAATAGGGTCTGGAGGCAGGGAACCTAAGGCTGATTCACGCTGACTTCCTAGAACGAAATCAAAAGGAAAACCCCAACTTTCCATGCCCAAGTTACCAAAGAACCAGAAGCTATTCCCTTTGCAATACCTCCCCCTTTTTTCTGAGTGGCAGATGAAAAATTGAAAGTACCTCTGATGAGTCCCCTCCTGCAACCAATCAGACTGGTCGTGGGCCAAGTCTTCATTTGTATGGGAATATAATGCTGTAACTTCAATTCAGCCTCTGATTGTTCGCTTCCCACAACCAAGCCAACCAACTGTGGGTCACTACTTCATTTACATAGGGCATACACCAAGTAACCAATGGGAAACCTCTAGAGGGTATTTAAACCCCCAAGATTCTGTACCTGGGCTCTTGGGCCACTTGCTTGAGCCCACTCCCACTCTGTGGAGTGTACTTTTGTTTTAATAAATCTGTGCTTTTTTTTTTCATTGCTTTGTGGATTTTGTCCAATTCTTAGTTCAAAACACCAAGAACCTGGACAACCTCCACTGGTAACACTACCACTGGCTCATCCTTGAGTGAAGCCAAGAACCCTCACCTGCTAAGCCCCACTTTGGGGCTTGCGTGTCCTGCATCACTTACATAGTTACTTGTATCTTTATTTTTCTGGAATGACCTGTTTTTGTCATTTTCATTATTATTAGTTTTTCTTAGAAGAGTAAATGTTAAATGTTTAGCTTTGCTGATTGTTGATATTTTGTTTTCTCCTTCACTAATTTCTGCTCAGATCCATTACTTGTTTCTTTGTACATTCATTGGTCTATTTTCATATTTCATTTCATACCTTTAGAGCTGGTTAATGAGCTCATTAATCTTTAGCCTTGTTCTAGGAACTTTCACTTCTGGACAAAATGAAGCAACAGGAACGGGATTCGTCCTCCCATTTGACATGACAACACAACCAACAATAGACTAGACAAAATGTATGAAATCACAGCCCTAAAGATCCTGAAGCTCAGCCAAGGAAAGAAGGTGAACCTCAAAAGGCAGGAGCCAAATGCGGCAAGCCTACAATCGCTTACCTGGGAAGACTGTCCGGGCAATGGTGCCCACCTGAGGCTGGACCTGGTCGTCTCCCTGGGGCGAGGAGATGGAGCTGGAGACCAGGGAGGCCAAGGTGGCTGAGGTCTGAGAAAGCACTGGAGGAGTGAACTGTGTGGAAACTGGGCTTCAGGATATGTGGCTGATGGCTGGTCGGCATGTGTGTCAGAAAAAGGACTGGATTACAGGAAAAGGTCCAAATAAGAACAACCCAATAGGATTGGAAGGAATGGTGTTCCCACAGCAATAGTGCCGGTTCTAATTAGCCAGAGCAGAAAAGCTTCTAATTCACCAGGTTTTTTTGTTGTTATTTGTTTTGTTTTGTTTTTGTTTTTGTTCGTTTGTTTTTGAGACAAGGTCTTACTCTATTGCTAAGGCTGGAGTGCAGTGGCGCGATCTTGACTCACTGCAATGTCTTCCTCCCGGGTTCAAGCAATTCTCCTGCCTCAACCTCCTGAGTAGCTGGGAGTACAGGTGCATGCTACCATGCCTGGCTAATTTTTGTATTTTTAGTAGAGACAGGGTTTCACCATGTTGACCAGGCTGGTCTCAAACTCTTGGCCTCAAGTGATCCACCCATCTCAGCCTCCCAAAGTGCTGGGATTACAGGCATGAGCCACCGCCCCCAGCCCTAATTCACCAGGTATTGACTGGAGTACTCAGTAGAGCCTGGCCTCAGAGACAGGGTCTCACTGTCACCAAGGCTGGAGTACAGGGGTGCGACCTTGGCTTACCGCAGCTATGACCTTCCCAGGCACAGGTGATCCTCTCACCTCAGCCTCCCAAGTAGCTGGGACCACAGGCACATGCCACCCCATGTGGCTAATTTTTATATTTTTTGTAGAGACAGAGTTGCACCATGTTGCCCAGGCTGGTCTCAAACTCCTGGGCTCAAGTGATCCTGATCCACCTACCTCAGCCTCCCAAAGTGATGGGACTACAGGCGTGAGCCACCACGCCCAGCCCAAACGTCAATTATCTTGGCATGATGACTCTTTGGAGTACTCCAGTCAATACCGTGTGAGTTAGAAAAGCTCAATTCACAAGGTATTGACTGGCGTATTCAGAAGAGTCTGGCCTCAGTAGCGGAGAAAAAACCTTCCTCGTGGATCAACCCCTGCCCTGGTCCCACTTACTGGAGCCCAAGCACAGGATTCAGAAGGATCGAGTTTTTCCAAGGAATGTAACTGTTTCCCAGGAAAAAACTAAACAATATTTTTAGGAACACAAAAATATACATCACCAAACAAGATGAAACGCACACTGCGTGCATCCATATTACCAGGCATGCGAGGAAGCAAGGAAACAATTCCTGCAATGGGAAGAAAACCACCCAGAGCTTACCGGGGAGCGACAGACATGACAGAATTAGTAGAAAAGGACATTAAACCCGTTGATCACCTTTATTCCGCGTGTTCAAGTCGCTAGAGGAAAGATTAAGATGTTAAGGCAGAGACATGGAAGATAGCAAAAGATCCTTGTCAAACATCTACAGACAAAAAGTGTAATGTCTGAGAAGAAAAATACATTGGATTAGATCAATGGAAGATGAGGCATTGCCGAAGAAAAGATTAATGGATTTGAACACACAGCAACAGAAACTACATGAAGTGAAACACAGGAAAAAAAAGATAAAGAAACGAAAAGAAAAGGGCATCAGTGAGCTTCAGCAGAAGTTCCATCGGCCTTACATATGTGTAAGCAGAGGCCCTGTAGGAGCAGAGGCAGGGGGAAAATACTTTAAGAAATAATGTCTAAAAGTTTTTCAAATATGAGGAAAAACATAAAACCACAGATCCAAGAAGCTCAACAAAACAAAGCACAAGAAACAGGAAGAAATTAAAAGTTATATCACAGTCAAATTGCTGAAAACCAGCAACAAAGAGAATATCTTAAGAGTATCAGAGGAAAAGAGATTAATGACAGGCCAAGAAACAACGAAAACAATACAGATTTCTTGTAGGAAACACAAGACAAAAGACATTTTTTAAAACCAAAAGGAAAAAAAATGCTACATTAAAATGTTTTTTACCCACTGAAAGTATATTTCAAAACATATTTTAGGCCAGGCTTGGTGGCTCACACCTGTAATCCCAGCACTTTGGGAGGCCAAGGTGGGTGGATCGCTTAAGGTCAGGAGTTCGAGACCAGCCTGGCCAATATAGCGAAACCCCATCTGTACTAAAAACACAAAAATTAGCTGGGTGTGGTGACACATGCCTGTAATCCCAGGTACTCAGGAGGCTAAGGCAGGAGAATTGCTTGAACTGGGAGGCAGAGGTGGTGAGCCAAGATTGCACCAGTGCACTCCAGCCTTGGTGACAGAGTGAAACTCCATCTCAAAAACAAACAAACAAAATACATATACATAAATATATATGCACATATATATACATATATAAATATATATACACATATATAAATCTATATACATATATACATATATACACATATATAAATCTATATACATATATATACATATATAATATATTTACATATATAAATATATACATATATAAATATACATATATAAATACATATATAAATATACATATATAAATATATACATATATAAATATACATATATAAATACATATATAAATATACATATATAAATATATACATATATAAATATACATATATAAATATATACATATATAAATATACATATATACATATATAAATATACATATACATATATAAATATATATACACATATATAAATATACATATATAAATATACATATATAAATATATACATATATAAATATACATATATAAATATATATACATATATAAATATATAAATATACAAGTATATACAAATATATACATATATAAACATATATACGTATATACATGTATATACGTATATACGTATATACATGTATATACGTACGTATATACATGTATATACGTATATACGTATATACATGTATATACGTATATACGTATATACATGTATATACGTATATACGTATATATATAAATGTATATACGTATATACGTATATATATAAATGTATATACGTATATACATATATATATAAATATATAAAAAAACTTTTGGCTGGGCACCTTTCCAAATCTCATGGCACATATAAGTCTCATGGTAACCTCAAATAAAAAAACATATAACAGATACACCAAAAATAAAAACCAATAAATTAAATCATGCCACCAGAAGAAATTACCTTCACTAAAAGGAACACAGGAAGGAAAGAAAGAAGGAAGAGAAGACCATGAAACAACCAGAAAACAAACAACAAAACAGCAGGAGTAATTCCTGACTTATCAATAATAATGCTGGGTGTAAATGGACTAAACTCTCCAATCAAAAGACATAGAGTGGCTGAATGGACGAAAAAAACAAGACTCAATAATCTGTTGCCTACAAGAATATACTTCACCTATAAAGGGACACATAGACTGAAAATAAAAGGAAGGAAAAATATTCTATGCAAATGGAAACCAAAAAAAGAACAGAACTAGCTACACTTATATCAGACAAAATAGATTTCAAGACAAAAAGTACAAAAAGAGACAAAGTAATTATATAATAATAAAGCAAAAAGATATAACAATTGTGAATTTATATGCGCCCAACACTGGGACACCCAGATATATACAGCAAATATTATTAGAACTAAGGAGAGAGAGAGATCCCCATACAATAATAGCTGGAGACTTCACCCCGCTTTTAGCATTGGACAGATCATCCAGACAGAAAATCAACCAAAAAATTGGACTTAATCTATAATATAGAACAAATGTACCTAATTGATGTTTACAAGACATTTCATCCAGTAGTTGCAGAATATGCATTTTTTCCTCAGCATATGGATCATTCTCAAGGATAGACCATATATTAGGCCACAGAACAAGCCATTAAAAATTCAAAAAAATTGAGCCAGGCATGATGGCTTATGCTTGTAATTACAGCACTTTGGGGAGGGTGAGGTGGGAGGATCTCTTGAGTACAGGAGTTTGAGACCAGCCTGGGCAAAATAGTGAGACCCTGTCTCTACAAACTTTTTTTTTTAATTAGCCAGGCATAGTGGTGTGTGCCTGTAGTCCCAGCTACTTAGGAGGCTGAAGTGGGAGGATCACTTGAGCCCAAGAGTTCAAGGCTACGGTGAGCCATGATTGCAACACCACACACCAGCCTTGGTGACAGAATGAGACCCTGTCTCAAAAAAAAAAAAAAAAATTGAAATAATATAAAGCATCTTCTCTGGCCACAGTGGAACAAAACCAGAAATCAACAACAAGAGGAATTTTGAAAACTATACAAACACATGAAAATTAAACAATATACTTCTGAATAACCAGTGAGTCAATGAAGAAATTAAAAAGGAAATTGAAAAATTTATTTAAGCAAATGATAACGGAAACATAACCTCTCAAAACCCACGGTATACAGCAAAAGCAGTGCTAAGAAGGAAGTTTATAGCTATAAGCAGCTACATCAAAAAAGTAGAAAAGCCAGGCGCAGTGGCTCATGCCTGTAATCCCAGCACTTTGGGAGGCCAAGGCGGGCAGATCGCCTGAGGTCAGGAGTTCGAGACCAGCCTGACCAACACAGAGAAACCTTGTCGCTACTAAAAATACAAAATTAGCTGGGCATGGTGGCACATGCCTGTAATCCCAGCTACTCGGGAGGCTGAGGCAGGATAACCGCTTGAACCCAGGAGGTGGAGGTTGCGGTGAGCCGGGATTGCGCCATTGGACTCCAGCCTGGGTAACAAGAGTGAAACCCTGTCTCAAGAAAAAAAAAAAAGTAGAAAAACTTAAAAATACAACCTAATGATGCACCTTAAAGAACTAGAAAAGCAAGAGCAAACTAAACCTAAAATTGGTAAAAGAAAAGAAATAATAAAGATCAGAGCAGAAATAAATGAAACTGAAAGATAACAATACAAAAGATCAACAAAATTAAAAGTTGGTTTTTTGAAAAGATAAACAAAATTGACAAACCTTTGCCCAGACTAAGAAAAAAGGAAAGAAGACCTAAATAAATAAAGTCAGAGATGAAAAAAGAGACATTACAACTGATACCACAGAAATTCAAAGGATCACTAGAGGCTACTATGAGCAACTGTACACTAATAAATTGAAAAACCTAGAAAAAATAGATAAATTCCTAGATGCATACAACCTACCAAGATTGAACCATGAAGAAATCCAAAGCCCAAACAGACCAATAACAATAATGGGATTAAAGCCATAATAAAAA
This sequence comes from Homo sapiens, assembly GCF_000001405.40. Taxonomy (NCBI): domain Eukaryota; kingdom Metazoa; phylum Chordata; class Mammalia; order Primates; family Hominidae; genus Homo; species Homo sapiens. The sequence continues at coordinate 1,305,140 of NC_000005.10, read as the reverse complement.
GTCTCCTAGCAAAGAGAAGCCCAGGACCCAATGGCTTCCCTGCTGGATTTTACCAATCATTTAAAGAAGAATGAATTCCAATCCTACTCAAACTATTCTGAAAAATAGAGGAAAGAATACTTCCAAACTCATTCTACATGGCCAGTATTACCCTGATTCCAAAACCAGACAAAAACACATCAAAAACAAACAAACAAAAAAACAGAAAGAAAGAAAACTACAGGCCAATATCCCTGATGAATACTGATACAAAAATCCTCAACAAAACACTAGCAAACCAAATTAAACAACACCTTCGAAAGATCATTCATTGTGATCAAGTGGGATTTATTCCAGGGATGGAAGGATGGTTCAACATATGCAAATCAATCAATGTGATACATCATCCCAACAAAATGAAGTACAAAAACTATATGATTATTTCACTTTATGCAGAAAAAGCATTTGATAAAATTCTGCACCCTTCATGATAAAAACCCTCAAAAAACCAGGTATACAAGAAACATACAGGCCAGGCACAGTGGCTCACACCTGCGATCCCAGCACTCTGGGAGGCCAAGGTGGGATGATTGCTTGGGCCCAGGAGTTTGAGACTAGCCTGGGCAACAAAATGAGACCTGGTCTACAAAAAACTTTTTTAAAAAATTAGCCAGGCATGATGGCATATGCCTGTAGTCCCAGCTAGTCTGGAGGCTGAGGTGGGAGAATCACTTAAGCCTAGGAGGTCGAGGCTGCAGTGAGCCATGAACATGTCACTGTACTCCAGCCTAGACAACAGAACAAGACCCCACTGAATAAGAAGAAGGAGAAGGAGAAGGGAGAAGGGAGGGAGAAGGGAGGAGGAGGAGAAGGAGGAGGTGGAGGAGAAGTGGAAGGGGAAGGGGAAGGGAAAGAGGAAGAAGAAGAAACATATTTCAACATAATAAAAGCCCTATATGACAGACCGAGGTAGTATTATGAGGAAAAACTGAAAGCCTTTCCTCTAAGATCTGGAAAATGACAAGGGCCCACTTTCACCACTGTGATTCAACATAGTACTAGAAGTCCTAGCTAGAGCAATCAGATAAGAGAAAGAAATAAAAGGCATCCAAACTGGAAAGGAAGAAGTCAAATTATCCTGTTTGCAGATGATATGATCTTATATCTGGAAAAGACTTAAGACACCACTAAAAAACTATTAGAGCTGAAATTTGGTACAGCAGGATACAAAATCAATGTACAAAAATCAGTAGTATTTCTATATTCCAACAGCAAACAATCTGAAAAAGAAACCAAAAAAGCAGCTACAAATAAAATTAAACAGCTAGGAATTAACCAAAGAAGTGAAAGATCTCTACAATGAAAACTATAAAATATTGATAAAAGAAATTGAAGAGGGCACAAAAAAAGAAAAGATATTCCATGTTCATAGATTGGAAGAATAAATACTGTTAAAATGTCCATACTACCCAAAGCAATTTACAAATTCAATGCAATCCCTATTAAAATACTAATGACGTTCTTCACAGAAATAGAAGAAACAATTCTAAGATTTGTACAGAACCACAAAAGACCCAGAATAGCCAAAGCTATCCTGACCAAAAAGAACAAAACTGGAAGCATCACATTACCTGACTTCAAATTATACTACAAAGCTATAGTAACCCAAACTACATGGTACTGGCATAAAAACAGATGAGACATGGACCAGAGGAACAGAATAGAGAATCCAGAAACAAATCCATGCATCTACAGTGAACTCATTTTTGACAAAGGTGCCAAGAACATACTTTGGGGAAAAGATAATCTCTTCAATAAATGGTGCTGGAGGAACTGGATATCCATATGCAAAATAACAATACTAGAACTCTGTCTCTCACCATATACAAAAGCAAATCAAAATGGATGAAAGGCTTAAATCTAAAACCTCAAACTTTGCAACTACTAAAAGAAAACACCGGAGAAACTCTCCAGGACATTGGAGTGGGCAAAGACTTCTTGAGTAATTCCCTGCAGGCACAGGCAACCAAAGCAAAAACAGACAAATGGGATCATATCAAGTTAAAAAGCTTCTGCCCAGCAAAGGAAACAATCAACAAAGAGAAGAGACAACCCACAGAATGGGAGAATATATTTGCAAACTATTCATCTAACAAGGAATTAATAACCAGTATATATAAGGAGCTCAAACTACTCTATAAGAAAAACACCTAATAAGCTGATTTTCAAAAATAAGCAAAAGATCTGGGTAGACATTTCTCAAAATAAGTCATACAAATGGCAAACAGGCATCTGAAAATGTGCTCAACACCACTGATCATCAGAGAAATGCAAATCAAAACTACTATGAGAGATCATCTCACCCCAGTTAAAATGGCTTTTATTCAAAAGACAGGCAATAACAAATGCCAGTGAGGATGTGGATAAAAGGAAACCCTTGGACACTGTTGGTGGGAATGGAAATTGCTACCACTATGGAGAACAGTTTGAAAGTTCCTCAAAAAACTAAAAATAAAGCTACCATACAGCAATCCCATTGCTAGGTATATACTCCAAAAAAGGGAATCAGTGTATCAACAAGCTATCTCCACTCCCACATTTACTGCAGCACTGTTCATAGCAGCCAAGGTTTGGAAGCAACCTCAGTGTCCATCAACAGACGAATGGAAAAAGAAAATGTGGTGCACATACACAATGGAGTACTACGCAGCCATAAAAAAGAATGAGATCCTGTCAGTTGCAACAGCATGGGGGGCACTGGTCAGTATGTTAAGTGAAATAAGCCAGGCACAGAAAGACAAACTTTTCATGTTCTCCCTTACTTGTGGGAGCAAAAATTAAAACAATTGACATAGAAATAGAGGAGAATGGTGGTTCTAGAGGGGTGGGGGACAGGGTGACTAGAGTCAACAATAATTTATTGTATGTTTTAAAATAACTAAAAGAGTATAATTGGGTTGTTTGTAACACAAAGAAAGGATAAATGCTTGAAGGTGACAGATACCCCATTTACCCTGATGTGATTATTACACATTGTATGCCTGTATCAAAATATCTCATGTATGCTATAGATATAAACCCTACTATATTAAAAATTAAAATTTTAATGGCCAGGCACGGTGGCTCATGTCCATAATCCCAGCACTTTGGGAGGCCGAGGCGGTGGATCACCTGAGGTCAGGAGTTTGAAACCAGTCTGGCCACCATGATGAAACCCTGTCTCTACTAAAGATACAAAAATTAGCCAGGCGTGGTGGCACATACCTGTAGTCCCAACTACTCAGGAGGCTGAGACAGGAGAATTGCTTGAACCTGGGAGGCGGAGGTTGCAGTGAGCCGAGATCATGCCACTGCACTGCAGCCTGGGTGACAGAGCAAGACTCCATCTCAAAACAAAAACAAAAAAAAGAAGATTAAAATTGTAATTTTTATGTACCGTATAAATATATACTCTACTATATTAGAAGTTAAAAATTAAAACAATTATAAAAGGTAATTAACCACTTAATCTAAAATAAGAACAATGTATGTGGGGTTTCTAGCTTCTGAAGAAGTAAAAGTTATGGCCACGATGGCAGAAATGTGAGGAGGGAACAGTGGAAGTTACTGTTGTTAGACGCTCATACTCTCTGTAAGTGACTTAATTTTAACCAAAGACAGGCTGGGAGAAGTTAAAGAGGCATTCTATAAGCCCTAAAACAACTGCTAATAATGGTGAAAGGTAATCTCTATTAATTACCAATAATTACAGATATCTCTAAAATCGAGCTGCAGAATTGGCACGTCTGATCACACCGTCCTCTCATTCACGGTGCTTTTTTTCTTGTGTGCTTGGAGATTTTCGATTGTGTGTTCGTGTTTGGTTAAACTTAATCTGTATGAATCCTGAAACGAAAAATGGTGGTGATTTCCTCCAGAAGAATTAGAGTACCTGGCAGGAAGCAGGTGGCTCTGTGGACCTGAGCCACTTCAATCTTCAAGGGTCTCTGGCCAAGACCCAGGTGCAAGGCAGAGGCCTGATGACCCGAGGACAGGAAAGCTCGGATGGGAAGGGGCGATGAGAAGCCTGCCTCGTTGGTGAGCAGCGCATGAAGTGCCCTTATTTACGCTTTGCAAAGATTGCTCTGGATACCATCTGGAAAAGGCGGCCAGCGGGAATGCAAGGAGTCAGAAGCCTCCTGCTCAAACCCAGGCCAGCAGCTATGGCGCCCACCCGGGCGTGTGCCAGAGGGAGAGGAGTCAAGGCACCTCGAAGTATGGCTTAAATCTTTTTTTCACCTGAAGCAGTGACCAAGGTGTATTCTGAGGGAAGCTTGAGTTAGGTGCCTTCTTTAAAACAGAAAGTCATGGAAGCACCCTTCTCAAGGGAAAACCAGACGCCCGCTCTGCGGTCATTTACCTCTTTCCTCTCTCCCTCTCTTGCCCTCGCGGTTTCTGATCGGGACAGAGTGACCCCCGTGGAGCTTCTCCGAGCCCGTGCTGAGGACCCTCTTGCAAAGGGCTCCACAGACCCCCGCCCTGGAGAGAGGAGTCTGAGCCTGGCTTAATAACAAACTGGGATGTGGCTGGGGGCGGACAGCGACGGCGGGATTCAAAGACTTAATTCCATGAGTAAATTCAACCTTTCCACATCCGAATGGATTTGGATTTTATCTTAATATTTTCTTAAATTTCATCAAATAACATTCAGGAGTGCAGAAATCCAAAGGCGTAAAACAGGAACTGAGCTATGTTTGCCAAGGTCCAAGGACTTAATAACCATGTTCAGAGGGATTTTTCGCCCTAAGTACTTTTTATTGGTTTTCATAAGGTGGCTTAGGGTGCAAGGGAAAGTACACGAGGAGAGGACTGGGCGGCAGGGCTATGAGCACGGCAAGGCCACCGGGGAGAGAGTCCCCGGCCTGGGAGGCTGAGGCTGACAGCAGGACCACTGACCGTCCTCCCTGGGAGCTGCCACATTGGGCAACGCGAAGGCGGCCACGCTGCGTGTGACTCAGGACCCCATACCGGCTTCCTGGGCCCACCCACACTAACCCAGGAAGTCACGGAGCTCTGAACCCGTGGAAACGAACATGACCCTTGCCTGCCTGCTTCCCTGGGTGGGTCAAGGGTAATGAAGTGGTGTGCAGGAAATGGCCATGTAAATTACACGACTCTGCTGATGGGGACCGTTCCTTCCATCATTATTCATCTTCACCCCCAAGGATTGAATGATTCCAGCAACTTCTTCGGGTGTGACAAGCCATGACAACACTCAGTACAAACACCACTCTTTTACTAGGCCCACAGAGCACGGCCCACACCCCTGATATATTAAGAGTCCAGGAGAGATGAGGCTGCTTTCAGCCACCAGGCTGGGGTGACAACAGCGGCTGAACAGTCTGTTCCTCTAGACTAGTAGACCCTGGCAGGCACTCCCCCAGATTCTAGGGCCTGGTTGCTGCTTCCCGAGGGCGCCATCTGCCCTGGAGACTCAGCCTGGGGTGCCACACTGAGGCCAGCCCTGTCTCCACACCCTCCACCTCCAGGCCTCAGCTTCTCCAGCAGCTTCCTAAACCCTGGGTGGGCCGTGTTCCAGCGCTACTGTCTCACCTGTCCCACTGTGTCTTGTCTCAGCGACGTAGCTCGCACGGTTCCTCCTCACATGGGGTGTCTGTCTCCTTCCCCAACACTCACATGCGTTGAAGGGAGGAGATTCTGCGCCTCCCAGACTGGCTCCTCTGAGCCTGAACCTGGCTCGTGGCCCCCGATGCAGGTTCCTGGCGTCCGGCTGCACGCTGACCTCCATTTCCAGGCGCTCCCCGTCTCCTGTCATCTGCCGGGGCCTGCCGGTGTGTTCTTCTGTTTCTGTGCTCCTTTCCACGTCCAGCTGCGTGTGTCTCTGCCCGCTAGGGTCTGGGGGTTTTTATAGGCATAGGACGGGGGCGTGGTGGGCCAGGGCGCTCTTGGGAAATGCAACATTTGGGTGTGAAAGTAGGAGTGCCTGTCCTCACCTAGGTCCACGGGCACAGGCCTGGGGATGGAGCCCCCGCCAGGGACCCGCCCTTCTCTGCCCAGCACTTTTCTGCCCCCCTCCCTCTGGAACACAGAGTGGCAGTTTCCACAAGCACTAAGCATCCTCTTCCCAAAAGACCCAGCATTGGCACCCCTGGACATTTGCCCCACAGCCCTGGGAATTCACGTGACTACGCACATCATGTACACACTCCCGTCCACGACCGACCCCCGCTGTTTTATTTTAATAGCTACAAAGCAGGGAAATCCCTGCTAAAATGTCCTTTAACAAACTGGTTAAACAAACGGGTCCATCCGCACGGTGGACAGTTCCTCACAGTGAAGAGGAACATGCCGTTTATAAAGCCTGCAGGCATCTCAAGGGAATTACGCTGAGTCAAAACTGCCACCTCCATGGGATACGTACGCAACATGCTCAAAAAGAAAGAATTTCACCCCATGGCAGGGGAGTGGTTAGGGGGGTTAAGGACGGTGGGGGCGGCAGCTGGGGGCTACTGCACGCACCTTTTACTAAAGCCAGTTTCCTGGTTCTGATGGTATTGGCTCAGTTATGGGAGACTAACCATAGGGGAGTGGGGATGGGGGAACCCGGAGGCTGTGCCATCTTTGCCATGCCCGAGTGTCCTGGGCAGGATAATGCTCTAGAGATGCCCACGTCCTGATTCCCCCAAACCTGTGGACAGAACCCGCCCGGCCCCAGGGCCTTTGCAGGTGTGATCTCCGTGAGGACCCTGAGGTCTGGGATCCTTCGGGACTACCTGCAGGCCCGAAAAGTAATCCAGGGGTTCTGGGAAGAGGCGGGCAGGAGGGTCAGAGGGGGGCAGCCTCAGGACGATGGAGGCAGTCAGTCTGAGGCTGAAAAGGGAGGGAGGGCCTCGAGCCCAGGCCTGCAAGCGCCTCCAGAAGCTGGAAAAAGCGGGGAAGGGACCCTCCACGGAGCCTGCAGCAGGAAGGCACGGCTGGCCCTTAGCCCACCAGGGCCCATCGTGGACCTCCGGCCTCCGTGCCATAGGAGGGCACTCGCGCTGCCCTTCTAGCATGAAGTGTGTGGGGATTTGCAGAAGCAACAGGAAACCCATGCACTGTGAATCTAGGATTATTTCAAAACAAAGGTTTACAGAAACATCCAAGGACAGGGCTGAAGTGCCTCCGGGCAAGGGCAGGGCAGGCACGAGTGATTTTATTTAGCTATTTTATTTTATTTACTTACTTTCTGAGACAGAGTTATGCTCTTGTTGCCCAGGCTGGAGTGCAGCGGCATGATCTTGGCTCACTGCAACCTCCGTCTCCTGGGTTCAAGCAATTCTCGTGCCTCAGCCTCCCAAGTAGCTGGGATTTCAGGCATGCACCACCACACCCGGCTAATTTTGTATTTTTAGTAGAGATGGGCTTTCACCATGTTGGTCAGGCTGATCTCAAAATCCTGACCTCAGGTGATCCGCCCACCTCAGCCTCCCAAAGTGCTGGGATTACAGGCATGAGCCACTGCACCTGGCCTATTTAACCATTTTAAAACTTCCCTGGGCTCAAGTCACACCCACTGGTAAGGAGTTCATGGAGTTCAATTTCCCCTTTACTCAGGAGTTACCCTCCTTTGATATTTTCTGTAATTCTTCGTAGACTGGGGATACACCGTCTCTTGACATATTCACAGTTTCTGTGACCACCTGTTATCCCATGGGACCCACTGCAGGGGCAGCTGGGAGGCTGCAGGCTTCAGGTCCCAGTGGGGTTGCCATCTGCCAGTAGAAACCTGATGTAGAATCAGGGCGCGAGTGTGGACACTGTCCTGAATCTCAATGTCTCAGTGTGTGCTGAAACATGTAGAAATTAAAGTCCATCCCTCCTACTCTACTGGGATTGAGCCCCTTCCCTATCCCCCCCCAGGGGCAGAGGAGTTCCTCTCACTCCTGTGGAGGAAGGAATGATACTTTGTTATTTTTCACTGCTGGTACTGAATCCACTGTTTCATTTGTTGGTTTGTTTGTTTTGTTTTGAGAGGCAGTTTCACTCTTGTTGCTCAGGCTGGAGGGAGTGCAATGGCGCGATCTTGGCTTACTGCAGCCTCTGCCTCCCAGGTTCAAGTGATTCTCCTGCTTCCGCCTCCCATTTGGCTGGGATTACAGGCACCCGCCACCATGCCCAGCTAATTTTTTGTATTTTTAGTAGAGACGGGGGTGGGGGTGGGGTTCACCATGTTGGCCAGGCTGGTCTCGAACTTCTGACCTCAGATGATCCACCTGCCTCTGCCTCCTAAAGTGCTGGGATTACAGGTGTGAGCCACCATGCCCAGCTCAGAATTTACTCTGTTTAGAAACATCTGGGTCTGAGGTAGGAAGCTCACCCCACTCAAGTGTTGTGGTGTTTTAAGCCAATGATAGAATTTTTTTATTGTTGTTAGAACACTCTTGATGTTTTACACTGTGATGACTAAGACATCATCAGCTTTTCAAAGACACACTAACTGCACCCATAATACTGGGGTGTCTTCTGGGTATCAGCGATCTTCATTGAATGCCGGGAGGCGTTTCCTCGCCATGCACATGGTGTTAATTACTCCAGCATAATCTTCTGCTTCCATTTCTTCTCTTCCCTCTTTTAAAATTGTGTTTTCTATGTTGGCTTCTCTGCAGAGAACCAGTGTAAGCTACAACTTAACTTTTGTTGGAACAAATTTTCCAAACCGCCCCTTTGCCCTAGTGGCAGAGACAATTCACAAACACAGCCCTTTAAAAAGGCTTAGGGATCACTAAGGGGATTTCTAGAAGAGCGACCTGTAATCCTAAGTATTTACAAGACGAGGCTAACCTCCAGCGAGCGTGACAGCCCAGGGAGGGTGCGAGGCCTGTTCAAATGCTAGCTCCATAAATAAAGCAATTTCCTCCGGCAGTTTCTGAAAGTAGGAAAGGTTACATTTAAGGTTGCGTTTGTTAGCATTTCAGTGTTTGCCGACCTCAGCTACAGCATCCCTGCAAGGCCTCGGGAGACCCAGAAGTTTCTCGCCCCTTAGATCCAAACTTGAGCAACCCGGAGTCTGGATTCCTGGGAAGTCCTCAGCTGTCCTGCGGTTGTGCCGGGGCCCCAGGTCTGGAGGGGACCAGTGGCCGTGTGGCTTCTACTGCTGGGCTGGAAGTCGGGCCTCCTAGCTCTGCAGTCCGAGGCTTGGAGCCAGGTGCCTGGACCCCGAGGTTGCCCTCCACCCTGTGCGGGCGGGATGTGACCAGATGTTGGCCTCATCTGCCAGACAGAGTGCCGGGGCCCAGGGTCAAGGCCGTTGTGGCTGGTGTGAGGCGCCCGGTGCGCGGCCAGCAGGAGCGCCTGGCTCCATTTCCCACCCTTTCTCGACGGGACCGCCCCGGTGGGTGATTAACAGATTTGGGGTGGTTTGCTCATGGTGGGGACCCCTCGCCGCCTGAGAACCTGCAAAGAGAAATGACGGGCCTGTGTCAAGGAGCCCAAGTCGCGGGGAAGTGTTGCAGGGAGGCACTCCGGGAGGTCCCGCGTGCCCGTCCAGGGAGCAATGCGTCCTCGGGTTCGTCCCCAGCCGCGTCTACGCGCCTCCGTCCTCCCCTTCACGTCCGGCATTCGTGGTGCCCGGAGCCCGACGCCCCGCGTCCGGACCTGGAGGCAGCCCTGGGTCTCCGGATCAGGCCAGCGGCCAAAGGGTCGCCGCACGCACCTGTTCCCAGGGCCTCCACATCATGGCCCCTCCCTCGGGTTACCCCACAGCCTAGGCCGATTCGACCTCTCTCCGCTGGGGCCCTCGCTGGCGTCCCTGCACCCTGGGAGCGCGAGCGGCGCGCGGGCGGGGAAGCGCGGCCCAGACCCCCGGGTCCGCCCGGAGCAGCTGCGCTGTCGGGGCCAGGCCGGGCTCCCAGTGGATTCGCGGGCACAGACGCCCAGGACCGCGCTTCCCACGTGGCGGAGGGACTGGGGACCCGGGCACCCGTCCTGCCCCTTCACCTTCCAGCTCCGCCTCCTCCGCGCGGACCCCGCCCCGTCCCGACCCCTCCCGGGTCCCCGGCCCAGCCCCCTCCGGGCCCTCCCAGCCCCTCCCCTTCCTTTCCGCGGCCCCGCCCTCTCCTCGCGGCGCGAGTTTCAGGCAGCGCTGCGTCCTGCTGCGCACGTGGGAAGCCCTGGCCCCGGCCACCCCCGCGATGCCGCGCGCTCCCCGCTGCCGAGCCGTGCGCTCCCTGCTGCGCAGCCACTACCGCGAGGTGCTGCCGCTGGCCACGTTCGTGCGGCGCCTGGGGCCCCAGGGCTGGCGGCTGGTGCAGCGCGGGGACCCGGCGGCTTTCCGCGCGCTGGTGGCCCAGTGCCTGGTGTGCGTGCCCTGGGACGCACGGCCGCCCCCCGCCGCCCCCTCCTTCCGCCAGGTGGGCCTCCCCGGGGTCGGCGTCCGGCTGGGGTTGAGGGCGGCCGGGGGGAACCAGCGACATGCGGAGAGCAGCGCAGGCGACTCAGGGCGCTTCCCCCGCAGGTGTCCTGCCTGAAGGAGCTGGTGGCCCGAGTGCTGCAGAGGCTGTGCGAGCGCGGCGCGAAGAACGTGCTGGCCTTCGGCTTCGCGCTGCTGGACGGGGCCCGCGGGGGCCCCCCCGAGGCCTTCACCACCAGCGTGCGCAGCTACCTGCCCAACACGGTGACCGACGCACTGCGGGGGAGCGGGGCGTGGGGGCTGCTGCTGCGCCGCGTGGGCGACGACGTGCTGGTTCACCTGCTGGCACGCTGCGCGCTCTTTGTGCTGGTGGCTCCCAGCTGCGCCTACCAGGTGTGCGGGCCGCCGCTGTACCAGCTCGGCGCTGCCACTCAGGCCCGGCCCCCGCCACACGCTAGTGGACCCCGAAGGCGTCTGGGATGCGAACGGGCCTGGAACCATAGCGTCAGGGAGGCCGGGGTCCCCCTGGGCCTGCCAGCCCCGGGTGCGAGGAGGCGCGGGGGCAGTGCCAGCCGAAGTCTGCCGTTGCCCAAGAGGCCCAGGCGTGGCGCTGCCCCTGAGCCGGAGCGGACGCCCGTTGGGCAGGGGTCCTGGGCCCACCCGGGCAGGACGCGTGGACCGAGTGACCGTGGTTTCTGTGTGGTGTCACCTGCCAGACCCGCCGAAGAAGCCACCTCTTTGGAGGGTGCGCTCTCTGGCACGCGCCACTCCCACCCATCCGTGGGCCGCCAGCACCACGCGGGCCCCCCATCCACATCGCGGCCACCACGTCCCTGGGACACGCCTTGTCCCCCGGTGTACGCCGAGACCAAGCACTTCCTCTACTCCTCAGGCGACAAGGAGCAGCTGCGGCCCTCCTTCCTACTCAGCTCTCTGAGGCCCAGCCTGACTGGCGCTCGGAGGCTCGTGGAGACCATCTTTCTGGGTTCCAGGCCCTGGATGCCAGGGACTCCCCGCAGGTTGCCCCGCCTGCCCCAGCGCTACTGGCAAATGCGGCCCCTGTTTCTGGAGCTGCTTGGGAACCACGCGCAGTGCCCCTACGGGGTGCTCCTCAAGACGCACTGCCCGCTGCGAGCTGCGGTCACCCCAGCAGCCGGTGTCTGTGCCCGGGAGAAGCCCCAGGGCTCTGTGGCGGCCCCCGAGGAGGAGGACACAGACCCCCGTCGCCTGGTGCAGCTGCTCCGCCAGCACAGCAGCCCCTGGCAGGTGTACGGCTTCGTGCGGGCCTGCCTGCGCCGGCTGGTGCCCCCAGGCCTCTGGGGCTCCAGGCACAACGAACGCCGCTTCCTCAGGAACACCAAGAAGTTCATCTCCCTGGGGAAGCATGCCAAGCTCTCGCTGCAGGAGCTGACGTGGAAGATGAGCGTGCGGGACTGCGCTTGGCTGCGCAGGAGCCCAGGTGAGGAGGTGGTGGCCGTCGAGGGCCCAGGCCCCAGAGCTGAATGCAGTAGGGGCTCAGAAAAGGGGGCAGGCAGAGCCCTGGTCCTCCTGTCTCCATCGTCACGTGGGCACACGTGGCTTTTCGCTCAGGACGTCGAGTGGACACGGTGATCTCTGCCTCTGCTCTCCCTCCTGTCCAGTTTGCATAAACTTACGAGGTTCACCTTCACGTTTTGATGGACACGCGGTTTCCAGGCGCCGAGGCCAGAGCAGTGAACAGAGGAGGCTGGGCGCGGCAGTGGAGCCGGGTTGCCGGCAATGGGGAGAAGTGTCTGGAAGCACAGACGCTCTGGCGAGGGTGCCTGCAGGTTACCTATAATCCTCTTCGCAATTTCAAGGGTGGGAATGAGAGGTGGGGACGAGAACCCCCTCTTCCTGGGGGTGGGAGGTAAGGGTTTTGCAGGTGCACGTGGTCAGCCAATATGCAGGTTTGTGTTTAAGATTTAATTGTGTGTTGACGGCCAGGTGCGGTGGCTCACGCCGGTAATCCCAGCACTTTGGGAAGCTGAGGCAGGTGGATCACCTGAGGTCAGGAGTTTGAGACCAGCCTGACCAACATGGTGAAACCCTATCTGTACTAAAAATACAAAAATTAGCTGGGCATGGTGGTGTGTGCCTGTAATCCCAGCTACTTGGGAGGCTGAGGCAGGAGAATCACTTGAACCCAGGAGGCGGAGGCTGCAGTGAGCTGAGATTGTGCCATTGTACTCCAGCCTGGGCGACAAGAGTGAAACTCTGTCTTTAAAAAAAAAAAGTGTTCGTTGATTGTGCCAGGACAGGGTAGAGGGAGGGAGATAAGACTGTTCTCCAGCACAGATCCTGGTCCCATCTTTAGGTATGAAGAGGGCCACATGGGAGCAGAGGACAGCAGATGGCTCCACCTGCTGAGGAAGGGACAGTGTTTGTGGGTGTTCAGGGGATGGTGCTGCTGGGCCCTGCCGTGTCCCCACCCTGTTTTTCTGGATTTGATGTTGAGGAACCTCCGCTCCAGCCCCCTTTTGGCTCCCAGTGCTCCCAGGCCCTACCGTGGCAGCTAGAAGAAGTCCCGATTTCACCCCCTCCCCACAAACTCCCAAGACATGTAAGACTTCCGGCCATGCAGACAAGGAGGGTGACCTTCTTGGGGCTCTTTTTTTTCTTTTTTTCTTTTTATGGTGGCAAAAGTCATATAACATGAGATTGGCACTCCTAACACCGTTTTCTGTGTACAGTGCAGAATTGCTAACTCGGCGGTGTTTACAGCAGGTTGCTTGAAATGCTGCGTCTTGCGTGACTGGAAGTCCCTACCCATCGAACGGCAGCTGCCTCACACCTGCTGCGGCTCAGGTGGACCACGCCGAGTCAGATAAGCGTCATGCAACCCAGTTTTGCTTTTTGTGCTCCAGCTTCCTTCGTTGAGGAGAGTTTGAGTTCTCTGATCAGGACTCTGCCTGTCATTGCTGTTCTCTGACTTCAGATGAGGTCACAATCTGCCCCTGGCTTATGCAGGGAGTGAGGCGTGGTCCCCGGGTGTCCCTGTCACGTGCAGGGTGAGTGAGGCGTTGCCCCCAGGTGTCCCTGTCACGTGTAGGGTGAGTGAGGCGCGGCCCCCGGGTGTCCCTGTCCCGTGCAGCGTGATTGAGGTGTGGCCCCCGGGTGTCCCTGTCCCGTGCAGGGTGAGTGAGGCACTGTCCCCGGGTGTCCCTGTCACGTGCAGGGTGAGTGAGGCGCGGTCCCCGGGTGTCCCTGTCACGTGTAGGGTGAGTGAGGCACTGTCCCCGGGTGTCCCTCTCAGGTGTAGGGTGAGTGAGGCGCCGTCCCCGGGTGTCCCTGTCACGTGTAGGGTGAGTGAGGCGTGGTCCCCGGGTGTCCCTGTCCCGTGCAGGGTGAGTGAGGCGCTGTCCCCGGGTGTCCCTGTCACGTGCAGGGTGAGTGAGGCGCGGTCCCCGGGTGTCCCTGTCACGTGTAGGGTGAGTGAGGCACCGTCCCTGGGTGTCCCTCCCAGGTGTAGGGTGAGTGAGGCGCTGTCCCCGGGTGTCCCTCTCAGGTGTAGGGTGAGTGAGGCGCGGCCCCAGGTGTCCCTGTCACGTGTAGGGTGAGTGAGGCACCGTCCCTGGGTGTCCCTCCCAGGTATAGGGTGAGTGAGGCACTGTCCCCGGGTGTCCCTGTCACGTGCAGGGTGAGTGAGGCGCGGTCCCCAGGTGTCCCTGTCACGTGTAGGGTGAGTGAGGCACTGTCCCCGGGTGTCCCTGTCCCGTGCAGGGTGAGTGAGGCGCGGTCCCCAGGTGTCCCTGTCCCGTGCAGGGTGAGTGAGGCGCCGTCCCCGGGTGTCCCTGTCACGTGCAGGGTGAGTGAGGCACGGCCCCCGGGTGTCCCTGTCACGTGCAGGGTGAGTGAGGCGCGGCCCCCGGGTGTCCCTGTCACGTGCAGGGTGAGTGAGGCGCGGCCCCCGGGTGTCCCTGTCACGTGCAGGGTGAGTGAGGCGCGGTCCCCGGGTGTCCCTGTCACGTGCAGGGTGAGTGAGGCGCGGTCCCCGGGTGTCCCTGTCACGTGCAGGGTGAGTGAGGCGCGGTCCCCGGGTGTCCCTGTCACGTGCAGGGTGAGTGAGGCACGGTCCCCGGGTGTCCCTGTCCCGTGTAGGGTGAGTGAGGCACTGTCCCCGGGTGTCCCTGTCACGTTCAGGGTGAGTGAGGCGCGGTCCCCGGGTGTCCCTGTCACGTGTAGGGTGAGTGAGGCACCGTCCCCGGGTGTCCCTGTCACGTGCAGGGTGAGTGAGGCGCTGTCCCCGGGTGTCCCTGTCACGTGCAGGGTGATTGACGCGAGGCCCCCGGGTGTCCCTGTCACGTGCAGGGTGAGTGAGGCGCCGTCCCCGCGTGTCCCTGTCACGTGCAGGGTGAGTGAGGCGCCGTCCCCGGGTGTCCCTGTCACGTGTAGGGTGAGTGAGGTGCCGTCCCCGGGTGTCCCTGTCACGTGTAGGGTGAGTGAGGCGCCGTCCCCGGGTGTCCCTGTCACGTTCAGGGTGAGTGAGGCACGGCCCCCGGGTGTCCCTGTCACGTGTAGGGTGAGTGAGGCGCGGTCCCCGGGTGTCACTGTCACGTGTAGGGTGAGTGAGGCACTGTCCCCGGGTGTCCCTGTCACGTGTAGGGTGAGTGAGGCGCGGCCCCCGGGTGTCCCTGTCACGTGCAGGGTGAGTGAGGCGCGGCCCCCGGGTGTCCCTGTCACGTGTAGGGTGAGTGAGGCGCGGCCCCCGGGTGTCCCTGTCACGTGCAGGGTGAGTGAGGCGCGGCCCCCGGGTGTCCCTGTCACGTGCAGGGTGAGTGAGGCGCGGCCCCCGGGTGTCCCTGTCACGTGCAGGGTGAGTGAGGCACGGCCCCCGGGTGTCCCTGTCACGTGCAGGGTGAGTGAGGCGCGGCCCCCGGGTGTCCCTGTCACTTGCAGGGTGAGTGAGGCACTGTCCCCGGGTGTCCCTGTCACGTTCAGGGTGAGTGAGGCGCGGTCCCCGGGTGTCCCTGTCACGTGTAGGGTGAATGAGGCACTGTCCCCGGGTGTCCCTGTCACGTGCAGGGTGAGTGAGGCGCCGTCCCCGGGTGTCCCTGTCACGTGCAGGGTGATTGACGCGAGGCCCCCGGGTGTCCCTGTCACGTGCAGGGTGAGTGAGGCGCCGTCCCCGCGTGTCCCTGTCACGTGCAGGGTGAGTGAGGCGCCGTCCCCGGGTGTCCCTGTCACGTGTAGGGTGAGTGAGGCGCCGTCCCCGGGTGTCCCTGTCACGTGTAGGGTGAGTGAGGCGCCGTCCCCGGGTGTCCCTGTCACGTGTAGGGTGAGTGAGGCGCCGTCCCCGGGTGTCCCTGTCACGTGTAGGGTGAGTGAGGCGCCGTCCCCGGGTGTCCCTGTCACGTGCAGGGTGAGTGAGGCCCCGTCCCCGGGTGTCCCTGTCACGTGTAGGGTGAGTGAGGCACTGTCCCCGGGTGTCTCTGTCACGTGTAGGGTGAGTGAGGCGCCGTCCCTGGGTGTCCCTCTCAGGTGTAGGGTGAGTGAGGCGCCATCCCCGGGTGTCCCTGTCACGTGTAGGGTGAGTGAGGCGCCGTCCCCGGGTGTCCCTGTCACGTGTAGGGTGAGTGAGTTGCGGCCCCCGGGTGTCCCTCTCAGGTGCAGGGTGAGTGAGGCGCTGTCCCTGGGTGTCCCTGTCTCGTGTAGGGTGAGTGAGGCTCTGTCCCCAGGTGTCCTTGGCGTTTGCTCACTTGAGCTTGCTCCTGAATGTTTGCTCTTTCTATAGCCACAGCTGCGCCGGTTGCCCATTGCCTGGGTAGATGGTGCAGGCGCAGTGCTGGTCCCCAAGCCTATCTTTTCTGATGCTCGGCTCTTCTTGGTCACCTCTCCGTTCCATTTTGCTACGGGGACACGGGACTGCAGGCTCTCGCCTCCCGCGTGCCAGGCACTGCAGCCACAGCTTCAGGTCCGCTTGCCTCTGTTGGGCCTGGCTTGCTCACCACGTGCCCGCCACATGCATGCTGCCAATACTCCTCTCCCAGCTTGTCTCATGCCGAGGCTGGACTCTGGGCTGCCTGTGTCTGCTGCCACGTGTTGCTGGAGACATCCCAGAAAGGGTTCTCTGTGCCCTGAAGGAAAGCAAGTCACCCCAGCCCCCTCACTTGTCCTGTTTTCTCCCAAGCTGCCCCTCTGCTTGGCCCCCTTGGGTGGGTGGCAACGCTTGTCACCTTATTCTGGGCACCTGCCGCTCATTGCTTAGGCTGGGCTCTGCCTCCAGTCGCCCCCTCACATGGATTGACGTCCAGCCACAGGTTGGAGTGTCTCTGTCTGTCTCCTGCTCTGAGACCCACGTGGAGGGCCGGTGTCTCCGCCAGCCTTCGTCAGACTTCCCTCTTGGGTCTTAGTTTTGAATTTCACTGATTTACCTCTGACGTTTCTATCTCTCCATTGTATGCTTTTTCTTGGTTTATTCTTTCATTCCTTTTCTAGCTTCTTAGTTTAGTCATGCCTTTCCCTCTAAGTGCTGCCTTACCTGCACCCTGTGTTTTGATGTGAAGTAATCTCAACATCAGCCACTTTCAAGTGTTCTTAAAATACTTCAAAGTGTTAATACTTCTTTTAAGTATTCTTATTCTGTGATTTTTTTCTTTGTGCACGCTGTGTTTTGACGTGAAATCATTTTGATATCAGTGACTTTTAAGTATTCTTTAGCTTATTCTGTGATTTCTTTGAGCAGTGAGTTATTTGAACACTGTTTATGTTCAAGATATGTAGAGTATCAAGATACGTAGAGTATTTTAAGTTATCATTTTATTATTGATTTCTAACTCAGTTGTGTAGTGGTCTGTATAATACCAATTATTTGAAGTTTGCGGAGCCTTGCTTTGTGATCTAGTGTGTGCATGGTTTCCAGAACTGTCCATTGTAAATTTGACATCCTGTCAATAGTGGGCATGCATGTTCACTATATCCAGCTTATTAAGGTCCAGTGCAAAGCTTCTGTCTCCTTCTAGATGCATGAAATTCCAAGAAGGAGGCCATAGTCCCTCACCTGGGGGATGGGTCTGTTCATTTCTTCTCGTTTGGTAGCATTTATGTGAGGCATTGTTAGGTGCATGCACGTGGTAGAATTTTTATCTTCCTGATGAGTGAATCTTTTGGAGACTTCTATGTCTCTAGTAATCTAGTAATTCTTTTTTTAAATTGCTCTTAGTACTGCCACACTGGGCTTCTTTTGATTAGTATTTTCCTGCTGTGTCTGTTTTCTGCCTTTAATTTATATATATATATATATATTTTTTTTTTTTGAGACAGAGTCTTGGTCTGTCGCCCAGGGTGAGTGCAGTGGTGTGATCACAGGTCAGTGTAACTTTTACCTTCTGGCCTGAGCCGTCCTCTCACCTCAGCCTCCTGAATAGCTGGAACTGCAGACACGCACCGCTACACCTGGCTAATTTTTAAATTTTTTCTGGAGACAGGGTCTTGCTGTGTTGCCCAGGCTGGTCTCAAACTCTTGGACTCAAGGGATCCATCTACCTCGGCTTCCCAAAGTGCTGAATTACAGGCATGAGCCACCATGTCTGGCCTAATTTTCAACACTTTTATATTCTTATAGTGTGGGTATGTCCTGTTAACAGCATGTAGGTGAATTTCCAATCCAGTCTGACAGTCGTTGTTTAACTGGATAACCTGATTTATTTTCATTTTTTTGTCACTAGAGACCCGCCTGGTGCACTCTGATTCTCCACTTGCCTGTTGCATGTCCTCGTTCCCTTGTTTCTCACCACCTCTTGGGTTGCCATGTGCGTTTCCTGCCGAGTGTGTGTTGATCCTCTCGTTGCCTCCTGGTCACTGGGCATTTGCTTTTATTTCTCTTTGCTTAGTGTTACCCCCTGATCTTTTTATTGTCGTTGTTTGCTTTTGTTTATTGAGACAGTCTCACTCTGTCACCCAGGCTGGAGTGTAATGGCACAATCTCGGCTCACTGCAACCTCTGCCTCCTCGGTTCAAGCAGTTCTCATTCCTCAACCTCATGAGTAGCTGGGATTACAGGCGCCCACCACCACGCCTGGCTAATTTTTGTATTTTTAGTAGAGATAGGCTTTCACCATGTTGGCCAGGCTGGTCTCAAACTCCTGACCTCAAGTGATCTGCCCGCCTTGGCCTCCCACAGTGCTGGGATTACAGGTGCAAGCCACCGTGCCCGGCATACCTTGATCTTTTAAAATGAAGTCTGAAACATTGCTACCCTTGTCCTGAGCAATAAGACCCTTAGTGTATTTTAGCTCTGGCCACCCCCCAGCCTGTGTGCTGTTTTCCCTGCTGACTTAGTTCTATCTCAGGCATCTTGACACCCCCACAAGCTAAGCATTATTAATATTGTTTTCCGTGTTGAGTGTTTCTGTAGCTTTGCCCCCGCCCTGCTTTTCCTCCTTTGTTCCCCGTCTGTCTTCTGTCTCAGGCCCGCCGTCTGGGGTCCCCTTCCTTGTCCTTTGCGTGGTTCTTCTGTCTTGTTATTGCTGGTAAACCCCAGCTTTACCTGTGCTGGCCTCCATGGCATCTAGCGACGTCCGGGGACCTCTGCTTATGATGCACAGATGAAGATGTGGAGACTCACGAGGAGGGCGGTCATCTTGGCCCGTGAGTGTCTGGAGCACCACGTGGCCAGCGTTCCTTAGCCAGTGAGTGACAGCAACGTCCGCTCGGCCTGGGTTCAGCCTGGAAAACCCCAGGCATGTCGGGGTCTGGTGGCTCCGCGGTGTCGAGTTTGAAATCGCGCAAACCTGCGGTGTGGCGCCAGCTCTGACGGTGCTGCCTGGCGGGGGAGTGTCTGCTTCCTCCCTTCTGCTTGGGAACCAGGACAAAGGATGAGGCTCCGAGCCGTTGTCGCCCAACAGGAGCATGACGTGAGCCATGTGGATAATTTTAAAATTTCTAGGCTGGGCGCGGTGGCTCACGCCTGTAATCCCAGCACTTTGGGAGGCCAAGGCGGGTGGATCACGAGGTCAGGAGGTCGAGACCATCCTGGCCAACATGATGAAACCCCATCTGTACTAAAAACACAAAAATTAGCTGGGCGTGGTGGCGGGTGCCTGTAATCCCAGCTACTCGGGAGGCTGAGGCAGGAGAATTGCTTGAACCTGGGAGTTGGAAGTTGCAGTGAGCCGACATTGCACCACTGCACTCCAGCCTGGCAACACAGCGAGACTCTGTCTCAAAAAAAAAAAAAAAAAAAAAAATTCTAGTAGCCACATTAAAAAAGTAAAAAAGAAAAGGTGAAATTAATGTAATAATAGATTTTACTGAAGCCCAGCATGTCCACACCTCATCATTTTAGGGTGTTATTGGTGGGAGCATCACTCACAGGACATTTGACATTTTTTGAGCTTTGTCTGCGGGATCCCGTGTGTAGGTCCCGTGCGTGGCCATCTCGGCCTGGACCTGCTGGGCTTCCCATGGCCATGGCTGTTGTACCAGATGGTGCAGGTCCGGGATGAGGTCGCCAGGCCCTCAGTGAGCTGGATGTGCAGTGTCCGGATGGTGCACGTCTGGGATGAGGTCGCCAGGCCCTGCTGTGAGCTGGATGTGTGGTGTCTGGATGGTGCAGGTCAGGGGTGAGGTCTCCAGGCCCTCGGTGAGCTGGAGGTATGGAGTCCGGATGATGCAGGTCCGGGGTGAGGTCGCCAGGCCCTGCTGTGAGCTGGATGTGTGGTGTCTGGATGGTGCAGGTCAGGGGTGAGGTCTCCAGGCCCTCGGTGAGCTGGAGGTATGGAGTCCGGATGATGCAGGTCCGGGGTGAGGTCGCCAGGCCCTGCTGTGAGCTGGATGTGTGGTGTCTGGATGGTGCAGGTCTGGGGTGAGGTCACCAGGCCCTGCGGTGAGCTGGGTGTGCGGTGTCTGGATGGTGCAGGTCTGGAGTGAGGTCGCCAGACGGTGCCAGACCGTGCGGTGAGCTGGATATGCGGTGTCCGGATGGTGCAGGTCTGGGGTGAGGTTGCCAGGCCCTGCTGTGAGTTGGATGTGGGGTGTCCGGATGCTGCAGGTCCGGTGTGAGGTCACCAGGCCCTGCTGTGAGCTGGATGTGTGGTGTCTGGATGGTGCAGGTCTGGGGTGAGGTCGCCAGGCCCTGCTGTGAGCTGGATGTGTGGTGTCTGGATGGTGCAGGTCTGGAGTGAGGTCGCCAGGCCCTCGGTGAGCTGGATGTGCAGTGTCCAGATGGTGCAGGTCCGGGGTGAGGTCGCCAGACCCTGCGGTGAGCTGGATGTGCGGTGTCTGGATGGTGCAGGTCTGGAGTGAGGTCGCCAGGCCCTCGGTGAGCTGGATGTATGGAGTCCGGATGGTGCCGGTCCGGGGTGAGGTCGCCAGACCCTGCTGTGAGCTGGATATGCGGTGTCCGGATGGTGCAGGTCAGGGGTGAGGTCTCCAGGCCCTCGGTGAGCTGGAGGTATGGAGTCCGGATGATGCAGGTCCGGGGTGAGGTCGCCAGGCCCTGCTGTGAGCTGGATGTGCGGCGTCTGGATGGTGCAGGTCTGGGGTGTGGTCGCCAGGCCCTCGGTGAGCTGGAGGTATGGAGTCCGGATGATGCAGGTCCGGGGTGAGGTCGCCAGGCCCTGCTGTGAGCTGGATGTGCGGCGTCTGGATGGTGCAGGTCTGGGGTGTGGTCGCCAGGCCCTCGGTGAGCTGGAGGTATGGAGTCCGGATGATGCAGGTCCGGGGTGAGGTTGCCAGGCCCTGCTGTGAGCTGGATGTGCTGTATCCGGATGGTGCAGGTCCGGGGTGAGGTCGCCAGGCCCTGCTGTGAGCTGGATGTGCTGTATCCGGATGGTGCAGGTCTGGGGTGAGGTCACCAGGCCCTGCGGTGAGCTGGTTGTGCAGTGTCCGGTTGCTGCAGGTCCGGGGTGAGTTCGCCAGGCCCTCGGTGAGCTGGATGTGCGGTGTCCCCGTGTCCGGATGGTGCAGGTCCAGGGTGAGGTCGCTAGGCCCTTGGTGGGCTGGATGTGCCGTGTCCGGATGGTGCAGGTCTGGGGTGAGGTCGCCAGGCCTTTGGTGAGCTGGATGTGCGGTGTCTGCATGGTGCATGTCTGGGGTGAGGTCGCCAGGCCCTTGGTGGGCTGGATGTGTGGTGTCCGGATGGTGCAGGTCCGGCGTGAGGTCGCCAGGCCCTGCTGTGAGCTGGATGTGCGGTGTCTGGATGGTGCAGGTCCGGGGTGAGGTAGCCAAGGCCTTCGGTGAGCTGGATGTGGGGTGTCCGGATGGTGCAGGTCCGGGGTGAGGTCGCCAGGCCCTGCGGTTAGCTGGATATGCGGTGTCCGGATGGTGCAGGTCCGGGGTGAGGTCACCAGGCCCTGCGGTTAGCTGGATGTGCGGTGTCTGGATGGTGCAGGTCCGGGGTGAGGTCGCCAGGCCCTGCTGTGAGCTGGATGTGCTGTATCCAGATGGTGCAGGTCCGGGGTGAGGTCGCCAGGCCCTGCAGTGAGCTGGATGTGCTGTATCCGGATGGTGCAGGTCTGGCGTGAGGTCGCCAGGCCCTGCGGTTAGCTGGATATGCGGTGTCGGATGGTGCAGGTCCGGGGTGAGGTCACCAGGCCCTGCGGTTAGCTGGATGTGTGGTGTCCGGATGGTGCAGGTCTGGGGTGAGGTCGCCAGGCCCTGCTGTGAGCTGGATGTGCTGTATCCGGATGGTGCAGGTCCGGGGTGAGGTCGCCAGGCCCTGCGGTGAGCTGGATGTGCTGTATCCGGATGGTGCAGGTCTGGCGTGAGGTCGCCAGGCCCTGCGGTGAGCTGGATGTGCAGTGTACGGATGGTGCAGGTCCGGAGTGAGGTCGCCAGGCCCTGCGGTGGGCTGTATGTGTGTTGTCTGGATGGTGCAGGTCCGGGGTGAGTTCGCCAGGCCCTGCGGTGAGCTGGATGTGTGGTGTCTGGATGCTGCAGGTCCGGGGTGAGTTCGCCAGGCCCTCGGTGAGCTGGATATGCGGTGTCCCCGTGTCCGAATGGTGCAGGTCCAGGGTGAGGTCGCCAGGCCCTTGGTGGGCTGGATGTGCCGTGTCCGGATGGTGCAGGTCTGGGGTGAGGTCGCCAGGCCCTTGGTGAGCTGGATGTGCGGTGTCCGGATGGTGCAGGTCCGGGGTGAGGTCACCAGGCCCTCGGTGATCTGGATGTGGCATGTCCTTCTCGTTTAAGGGGTTGGCTGTGTTCCGGCCGCAGAGCACCGTCTGCGTGAGGAGATCCTGGCCAAGTTCCTGCACTGGCTGATGAGTGTGTACGTCGTCGAGCTGCTCAGGTCTTTCTTTTATGTCACGGAGACCACGTTTCAAAAGAACAGGCTCTTTTTCTACCGGAAGAGTGTCTGGAGCAAGTTGCAAAGCATTGGAATCAGGTACTGTATCCCCACGCCAGGCCTCTGCTTCTCGAAGTCCTGGAACACCAGCCCGGCCTCAGCATGCGCCTGTCTCCACTTGCCTGTGCTTCCCTGGCTGTGCAGCTCTGGGCTGGGAGCCAGGGGCCCCGTCACAGGCCTGGTCCAAGTGGATTCTGTGCAAGGCTCTGACTGCCTGGAGCTCACGTTCTCTTACTTGTAAAATCAGGAGTTTGTGCCAAGTGGTCTCTAGGGTTTGTAAAGCAGAAGGGATTTAAATTAGATGGAAACACTACCACTAGCCTCCTTGCCTTTCCCTGGGATGTGGGTCTGATTCTCTCTCTCTTTTTTTTTTCTTTTTTGAGATGGAGTCTCACTCTGTTGCCCAGGCTGGAGTGCAGTGGCATAATCTTGGCTCACTGCAACCTCCACCTCCTGGGTTTAAGCGATTCACCAGCCTCAGCCTCCTAAGTAGCTGGGATTACAGGCACCTGCCACCACGCCTGGCTAATTTTTGTACTTTTAGGAGAGACGGGGTTTCACCATGTTGGCCAGGCTGGTCTCGAACTCATGACCTCAGGTGATCCACCCACCTTGGCCTCCCAAAGTGCTGGGTTTACAGGCTAAGCCACCGTGCCCAGCCCCCGATTCTCTTTTAATTCATGCTGTTCTGTATGAATCTTCAATCTATTGGATTTAGGTCATGAGAGGATAAAATCCCACCCACTTGGCGACTCACTGCAGGGAGCACCTGTGCAGGGAGCACCTGGGGATAGGAGAGTTCCACCATGAGCTAACTTCTAGGTGGCTGCATTTGAATGGCTGTGAGATTTTGTCTGCAATGTTCGGCTGATGAGAGTGTGAGATTGTGACAGATTCAAGCTGGATTTGCATCAGTGAGGGACGGGAGCGCTGGTCTGGGAGATGCCAGCCTGGCTGAGCCCAGGCCATGGTATTAGCTTCTCCGTGTCCCGCCCAGGCTGACTGTGGAGGGCTTTAGTCAGAAGATCAGGGCTTCCCCAGCTCCCCTGCACACTCGAGTCCCTGGGGGGCCTTGTGACACCCCATGCCCCAAATCAGGATGTCTGCAGAGGGAGCTGGCAGCAGACCTCGTCAGAGGTAACACAGCCTCTGGGCTGGGGACCCCGACGTGGTGCTGGGGCCATTTCCTTGCATCTGGGGGAGGGTCAGGGCTTTCCCTGTGGGAACAAGTTAATACACAATGCACCTTACTTAGACTTTACACGTATTTAATGGTGTGCGACCCAACATGGTCATTTGACCAGTATTTTGGAAAGAATTTAATTGGGGTGACCGGAAGGAGCAGACAGACGTGGTGGTCCCCAAGATGCTCCTTGTCACTACTGGGACTGTTGTTCTGCCTGGGGGGCCTTGGAGGCCCCTCCTCCCTGGACAGGGTACCGTGCCTTTTCTACTCTGCTGGGCCTGCGGCCTGCGGTCAGGGCACCAGCTCCGGAGCACCCGCGGCCCCAGTGTCCACGGAGTGCCAGGCTGTCAGCCACAGATGCCCAGGTCCAGGTGTGGCCGCTCCAGCCCCCGTGCCCCCATGGGTGGTTTTGGGGGAAAAGGCCAAAGGGCAGAGGTGTCAGGAGACTGGTGGGCTCATGAGAGCTGATTCTGCTCCTTGGCTGAGCTGCCCTGAGCAGCCTCTCCCGCCCTCTCCATCTGAAGGGATGTGGCTCTTTCTACCTGGGGGTCCTGCCTGGGGCCAGCCTTGGGCTACCCCAGTGGCTGTACCAGAGGGACAGGCATCCTGTGTGGAGGGGCATGGGTTCACGTGGCCCCAGATGCAGCCTGGGACCAGGCTCCCTGGTGCTGATGGTGGGACAGTCACCCTGGGGGTTGACCGCCGGACTGGGCGTCCCCAGGGTTGACTATAGGACCAGGTGTCCAGGTGCCCTGCAAGTAGAGGGGCTCTCAGAGGCGTCTGGCTGGCATGGGTGGACGTGGCCCCGGGCATGGCCTTCAGCGTGTGCTGCCGTGGGTGCCCTGAGCCCTCACTGAGTCGGTGGGGGCTTGTGGCTTCCCGTGAGCTTCCCCCTAGTCTGTTGTCTGGCTGAGCAAGCCTCCTGAGGGGCTCTCTATTGCAGACAGCACTTGAAGAGGGTGCAGCTGCGGGAGCTGTCGGAAGCAGAGGTCAGGCAGCATCGGGAAGCCAGGCCCGCCCTGCTGACGTCCAGACTCCGCTTCATCCCCAAGCCTGACGGGCTGCGGCCGATTGTGAACATGGACTACGTCGTGGGAGCCAGAACGTTCCGCAGAGAAAAGAGGGTGGCTGTGCTTTGGTTTAACTTCCTTTTTAAACAGAAGTGCGTTTGAGCCCCACATTTGGTATCAGCTTAGATGAAGGGCCCGGAGGAGGGGCCACGGGACACAGCCAGGGCCATGGCACGGCGCCAACCCATTTGTGCGCACAGTGAGGTGGCCGAGGTGCCGGTGCCTCCAGAAAAGCAGCGTGGGGGTGTAGGGGGAGCTCCTGGGGCAGGGACAGGCTCTGAGGACCACAAGAAGCAGCCGGGCCAGGGCCTGGATGCAGCACGGCCCGAGGTCCTGGATCCGTGTCCTGCTGTGGTGCGCAGCCTCCGTGCGCTTCCGCTTACGGGGCCCGGGGACCAGGCCACGACTGCCAGGAGCCCACCGGGCTCTGAGGATCCTGGACCTTGCCCCACGGCTCCTGCACCCCACCCCTGTGGCTGCGGTGGCTGCGGTGACCCCGTCATCTGAGGAGAGTGTGGGGTGAGGTGGACAGAGGTGTGGCATGAGGATCCCGTGTGCAACACACATGCGGCCAGGAACCCGTTTCAAACAGGGTCTGAGGAAGCTGGGAGGGGTTCTAGGTCCCGGGTCTGGGTGGCTGGGGACACTGGGGAGGGGCTGCTTCTCCCCTGGGTCCCTATGGTGGGGTGGGCACTTGGCCGGATCCACTTTCCTGACTGTCTCCCATGCTGTCCCCGCCAGGCCGAGCGTCTCACCTCGAGGGTGAAGGCACTGTTCAGCGTGCTCAACTACGAGCGGGCGCGGCGCCCCGGCCTCCTGGGCGCCTCTGTGCTGGGCCTGGACGATATCCACAGGGCCTGGCGCACCTTCGTGCTGCGTGTGCGGGCCCAGGACCCGCCGCCTGAGCTGTACTTTGTCAAGGTGGGTGCCGGGGACCCCCGTGAGCAGCCCTGCTGGACCTTGGGAGTGGCTGCCTGATTGGCACCTCATGTTGGGTGGAGGAGGTACTCCTGGGTGGGCCGCAGGGAGTGCAGGTGACCCTGTCACTGTTGAGGACACACCTGGCACCTAGGGTGGAGGCCTTCAGCCTTTCCTGCAGCACATGGGGCCGACTGTGCACCCTGACTGCCCGGGCTCCTATTCCCAAGGAGGGTCCCACTGGATTCCAGTTTCCGTCAGAGAAGGAACCGCAACGGCTCAGCCACCAGGCCCCGGTGCCTTGCACCCCAGTCCTGAGCCAGGGGTCTCCTGTCCTGAGGCTCAGAGAGGGGACACAGCCCGCCCTGCCCTTGGGGTCTGGAGTGGTGGGGGTCAGAGAGAGAGTGGGGGACACCGCCAGGCCAGGCCCTGAGGGCAGAGGTGATGTCTGAGTTTCTGCGTGGCCACTGTCAGTCTCCTCGCCTCCACTCACACAGGTGGATGTGACGGGCGCGTACGACACCATCCCCCAGGACAGGCTCACGGAGGTCATCGCCAGCATCATCAAACCCCAGAACACGTACTGCGTGCGTCGGTATGCCGTGGTCCAGAAGGCCGCCCATGGGCACGTCCGCAAGGCCTTCAAGAGCCACGTAAGGTTCACGTGTGATAGTCGTGTCCAGGATGTGTGTCTCTGGGATATGAATGTGTCTAGAATGCAGTCGTGTCTGTGATGCGTTTCTGTGGTGGAGGTACTTCCATGATTTACACATCTGTGATATGCGTGTGTGGCACGTGTGTGTCGTGGTGCATGTATCTGTGGCGTGCATATTTGTGGTGTGTGTGTGTGTGGCACGTGTGTGTCCATGGTGTGTGTGCCTGTGGTGTGCATGTGTGTGTGTCTGTGACACGTGCATGTTCATGCTGTGTGCTGCATGTCTGTGATGTGCCTATTTGTGGTGTGTGTGTGTGCATGTGTCCGTGACATATGCGTGTCTATGGCATGGGTGTGTGTGGCCCCTTGGCCTTACTCCTTCCTCCTCCAGGCATGGTCCGCACCATTGTCCTCACGCTCTCGGGTGCTGGTTTGGGGAGCTCCACATTCAGGGTCCTCACTTCTAGCATGGGTGCCCCTGTCCTGTCACAGGGCTGGGCCTTGGAGACTGTAAGCCAGGTTTGAGAGGAGAGTAGGGATGCTGGTGGTACCTTCCTGGACCCCTGGCACCCCCAGGACCCCAGTCTGGCCTATGCCGGCTCCATGAGATATAGGAAGGCTGATTCAGGCCTCGCTCCCCGGGACACACTCCTCCCAGAGCGGCCGGGGGCCTTGGGGCTCGGCAGGGGTGAAAGGGGCCCTGGGCTTGGGTTCCCACCCAGTGGTCATGAGCACGCTGGAGGGGTAAGCCCTCAAAGTCGTGCCAGGCCGGGGTGCAGAGGTGAAGAAGTATCCCTGGAGCTTCGGTCTGGGGAGAGGCACATGTGGAAACCCACAAGGACCTCTTTCTCTGACTTCTTGAGCTATCGCAGCTACTTGCAAATCTCAGCAGAATTTTACCCTCATGGAAAGCTGATGGCCACCACCTGTGCCCAGGTGTAGAAAGTCACTAGAGCCCAGGAGACCCCCCCGTCCCCACCGCCCACCTGTGCCCGGGTGTAGAAAGTCACCAGAGCCCAGGAGACCCCCCCCCACATCCCCGCTGCAGCGGAAGCTACCGCCCCCACCGTGACCCTCGTTCCGACCTCGACCTCCATGGTCTCCCTCTCCCGGTCTCCATGTGAGTGAGATCAGGCAGGAGGTGGGTTTTGGGGTTCGAGCCTCAGCTATGCTGAACGCCTCAGCTGTGCGTTCTGTCCATGAATGGCATCCGTTGTGGAACTCGCCACGTGGATGTATCCTTCCCGCTGCTGTGGAGGCTCCTGGGTGCGGACTGCACGGCTGCGCCTGCTGTGAGCCTGCTGGGTTCTGGGAGTGTCCCAGGGGTCAGAGGCCCTCGCCTCTGGGTGAATTCCAGGGGTGGGGTTGCTGGGTCACAGACGTGCTTTAGGGATGTTGTGGGAGTTTCCAGGGGGGTGACAGTGACACCCCGGCTGGCTGCTTGTGAGGGCGATGCCTCCGGTGGCCGCTGGCCTGAAGGTGTCGAAGCCGCCTCGTGGGATTGTGCAGGGGGCTCTCTTGATGCCCACGTGCCCACAGTGTTCCCGTGCTGGCCGCCCCGGGGCTCTTGCGGGAGGTGGCTGTCCGTCCTGCCCCGCTCTGTATGGGGCGCCTGCCTGCCATCATCGGCTTGCAGGAGCTCTTTGTGTGTTCTGCTGCAAGTGTGGCATCACATGCGTGCACTGTGAATCTCTGTGCCGTGTGTGTCTTGCTTTTGTGCTCTCAAGTCAAGCCTTTTGAGGACTGGAAGATTGTACTTCTATCGCAGTCCACTAACACAGTCCAGTAACGCAGTCCACTTTATCAGCTGTTTGTGGCTAAAGCTGTTTGTGTTCTCTGCAGGAACTCAAGGTATTGAGGTTGTGGTGACGTTGCTTCTGCGCCTCCTTTTAGAACAGTCTTTACTGTGTCAGCTTGCAAACCTGGGTGGGGATTGGTGGAATTGGTTTTCATGTGTGGGGTAGGTGGGGATCTGTGGGATTGGTTTTCATGTGTGGTGTAGGTGGAGATCTGTGAATTGGTTTTCATCCGTGGGGTAGGTGGGGATCTGTGGGATTGGTTTTTATGTGTGGGGTAGGTGGGATTGGTTTTCATGTGCGGGGTAGGTGGGGATCTGTGGGATTGGTTTTCTTGTGTGGGGTAGGTGGGGATCTGTGGGATTGGTTTTTATGTGTGGGGTAGGTGGGGATATGTGAATTGGTTTTCATCCGTGGGGTAGGTGGGGATCTGTGGGATTGGTTTTTATGCGTGGGGTAGGTGGGGATCTGTGAATTGGTTTTCATCCGTGGGGTAGGTGGGGATCTGTGGGATTGGTTTTCATGTGTGGGATAGGTGGGGATCTGTGGAGTTGGTTTTCATGTGTGGTGTAGGTGGAGATCTGTGAATTGGTTTTCATCCGTGGGGTAGGTGGGGATCTGTGGGATTGGTTTCTATGTGTGGGGTAGGTGGGGACCTGTGGGATTGGTTTTTATGTGTGGGGTAGGTGGGGATCTGTGAATTGGTTTTCATCCGTGGGGTAGGTGGGGATCTGTGGGATTGGTTTTCATGTGTGGGGTAGGTGGGGATCTGTGGGATTGGTTTTCATGTGTGGGGTAGGTGGGGATCTGTGGGATTGGTTTTCATGTGTGGGGTAGGTGGGGATCTGTGGAGTTGGTTTTTATGTGTGGGGGTAGGTGGGGATCTGTGGAGTTGGTTTTCATGTGTAGGGTAGGTGGAGATCTGTGGGATTGGTTTTCATGTGTGGGGTAGGTGGGGATCTGTGGGATTGGTTTTCATGTGTGGGGTAGGTGGGGATCTGTGGGATTGGTTTTCATGTGTGGGGTAGGTGGGGATCTGTGGAGTTGGTTTTCATGTGTGGGGTAGGTGGAGATCTGTGGGATTGGTTTTCATGTGTGGGATAGGTGGGGATCTGTGGGATTGGTTTTTATGAGTGGGGTAACACAGAGTTCAAGGCGAGCTTTCTTCCTGTAGTGGGTCTGCAGGTGCTCCAACAGCTTTATTGAGGAGACCATATCTTCCTTTGAACTATGGTCGGGTTTATAGTAAGTCAGGGGTGTGGAGGCCTCCCCTGGGCTCCCTGTTCTGTTTCTTCCACTCTGGGGTCGTGTGGTGCCTGCTGTGGTGTGTGGCCGGTGGGCAGGGCTTCCAGGCCTCCTTGTGTTCATTGGCCTGGATGTGGCCCTGGCTACGCTCCGTCCTTGGAATTCCCCTGCGAGTTGGAGGCTTGCTTTCTTTCTTTTTTTCTTTCTTTTTTTTTTTTTTTGATAACAGAGTCTCGCTCTTTTTTGCCCAGGCTGGAGTGGTTTGGCGTGATCTTGGCTCACTGCAACCTGTGCTTCCTGAGTTCAAGCAATTCTCTTGCCTCAGCCTCCCAAGTAGCTGGAATTATAGGCGCCCACCACCATGCTGACTAATTTTTGTAATTTTAGTAGAGACGAGGTTTCTCCATGTTGGCCAGGCTGGTCTCGAACTCCTGACCTCAGGTGATCCTCCCACCTCGGCCTCCCAAAGTGCTGGGATGACAGGTGTGAACCGCCGCGCCCGGCCGAGACTCGCTTCCTGCAGCTTCCGTGAGATCTGCAGCGATAGCTGCCTGCAGCCTTGGTGCTGACAACCTCCGTTTTCCTTCTCCAGGTCTCGCTAGGGGTCTTTCCATTTCATGACTCTCTTCACAGAAGAGTTTCACGTGTGCTGATTTCCCGGCTGTTTCCTGCGTAATTGGTGTCTGCTGTTTATCGATGGCCTCCTTCCATTTCCTTTAGGCTTTGTTTATTGTTGTTTTTCCGGCTCCTTGAAGGAAAAGTTTCGATTATGGATGTTTGAACTTTCTTTTCTAAACAAGCATCTGAAGTTGCCGTTTTCCCTCTAAAGCAGGGATCCCGAGGCCCCTGGCTGTGGAGTGGCACCGGTCTGGGGCCTGTTAGGAACCCGGCGCACAGCGGGAGGCTAGGTGGGGTGTGGGGAGCCAGCGTTCCCGCCTGAGCCCCGCCCCTCTCAGATCAGCAGTGGCATGCGGTGCTCAGAGGCGCACACACCCTACTGAGAACTGTGCGTGAGAGGGGTCTAGATTCTGTGCTCCTTATGGGAATCTAATGCCTGATGATCTGAGGTGGAACCGTTTGCTCCCAAAACCATCCCCTTCCCCACTGCTGTCCTGTGGAAAAATCGTCTTCCACGAAACCAGTCCCTGGTACCACAATGGTTGGGGACCCTGTGCTAAAGACCTGCTTCAGCAGCCTCTCGTCAGTGTTGATATATTGGCTTTTCTGTGTTGAGTCCAGAATAATTACGGATTTCTGTGATGCTTTCCGCCGACCTCAGACCCATGGGCTATTTGTGGGCGTGTTGCCTGCTCCTGGGTTGGGAAGGGTGCAGGCCCCATGTACCTTCCTGTTACTGCCTTCCAGGTTGGTTCTCAGGGTTGAATCGTACTCGATGTGGTTTTAGCCCACGGCCCTGCCGCCAGCTCCTGGGGGCTGGGGAACATGCTGAAGCACAGAGTCACCGTGCGCGTCTTTTGATGCCTCACAAGCTCGAGGCCTCCTGTGTCCGTGTTAGTGTGTGTCACGTGCCTGCTCACATCCTGTCTTGGGGACGCAGGGGCTTAGCAGGTCCCGTAGTAAATGACAAGCGTCCTGGGGGAGTCTGCAGAATAGGAGGTGGGGGTGCCGGTCTCTCTCCCGCGTCTTCAGACTCTTCTCCTGCCTGTGCTGTGGCTGCACCTGCATCCCTGCAATCCCTCCAGCACTGGGCTGGAGAGGCCCGGGAGCTCGAGTGCCACTTGTGCCACGTGACTGTGGATGGCAGTCGGTCACGGGGGTCTGATGTGTGGTGACTGTGGATGGCGGTTGGTCACAGGGGTCTGATGTGTGGTGACTGTGGATGGCGGTCGTGGGGTCTGATGTGGTGACTGTGGATGGCGGTCGTGGGGTCTGATGTGGTGACTGTGGATGGCGGTCGTGGGGTCTGATGTGTGGTGACTGTGGATGGCGGTTGGTCCCGGGGGTCTGATGTGTGGTGACTGTGGATGGCGGTCGTGGGGTCTGATGTGGTGACTGTGGATGGCGGTCGTGGGGTCTGATGTGGTGACTGTGGATGGCGGTCGTGGGGTCTGATGTGTGGTGACTGTGGATGGCGGTTGGTCCCGGGGGTCTGATGTGTGGTGACTGTGGATGGCGATCGGTCACAGGGGTCTGATGTGTGGTGACTGTGGATGGCGGTCGTGGGGTCTGATGTGTGGTGACTGTGGATGGCGGTCGTGGGGTCTGATGTGGTGACTGTGGATGGCGGTCGTGGGGTCTGATGTGTGGTGACTGTGGATGGCGGTCGTGGGGTCTGATGTGGTGACTGTGGATGGCGGTCGTGGGGTCTGATGTGTGGTGACTGTGGATGGCGGTCGTGGGGTCTGATGTGTGGTGACTGTGGATGGCGGTCGTGGGGTCTGATGTGTGGTGACTGTGGATGGCGGTCGTGGGGTCTGATGTGGTGACTGTGGATGGCGGTCGTGGGGTCTGATGTGTGGTGACTGTGGATGGCGGTTGTGGGGTCTGATGTGTGGTGACTGTGGATGGTGATCGGTCACAGGGGTCTGATGTGTGGTGACTGTGGATGGCGGTCGTGGGGTCTGATGTGTGGTGACTGTGGATGGCGGTTGGTCCCGGGGGTCTGATGTGTGGTGACTGGATGGCGATCGGTCACAGGGGTCTGATGTGTGGTGACTGTGGATGGCGGTCGTGGGGTCTGATGTGTGGTGACTGTGGATGGCGGTCGTGGGGTCTGATGTGGTGACTGTGGATGGCGGTCGTGGGGTCTGATGTGTGGTGACTGTGGATGGCGGTCGTGGGGTCTGATGTGGTGACTGTGGATGGCGGTCGTGGGGTCTGATGTGTGGTGACTGTGGATGGCGGTCGTGGGGTCTGATGTGTGGTGACTGTGGATGGCGGTCGTGGGGTCTGATGTGTGGTGACTGTGGATGGCGGTCGTGGGGTCTGATGTGTGGTGACTGTGGATGGCGGTCGTGGGGTCTGATGTGGTGACTGTGGATGGCGGTCGTAGGGTCTGATGTGGTGACTGTGGATGGCGGTCGTGGGGTCTGATGTGGTGACTGTGGATGGTGATCGGTCACAGGGGTCTGATGTGTGGTAGCTGCAGGTGGAGTCCCAGGTGTGTCTGTAGCTACTTTGCGTCCTCGGCCCCCCGGCCCCCGTTTCCCAAACAGAAGCTTCCCAGGCGCTCTCTGGGCTTCATCCCGCCATCGGGCTTGGCCGCAGGTCCACACGTCCTGATCGGAAGAAACAAGTGCCCAGCTCTGGCCGGGGCAGGCCACATTTGTGGCTCATGCCCTCTCCTCTGCCGGCAGGTCTCTACCTTGACAGACCTCCAGCCGTACATGCGACAGTTCGTGGCTCACCTGCAGGAGACCAGCCCGCTGAGGGATGCCGTCGTCATCGAGCAGGTCTGGGCACTGCCCTGCAGGGTTGGGCACGGACTCCCAGCAGTGGGTCCTCCCCTGGGCAATCACTGGGCTCATGACCGGACAGACTGTTGGCCCTGGGGGGCAGTGGGGGGAATGAGCTGTGATGGGGGCATGATGAGCTGTGTGCCTTGGCGAAATCTGAGCTGGGCCATGCCAGGCTGCGACAGCTGCTGCATTCAGGCACCTGCTCACGTTTGACTGCGCGGCCTCTCTCCAGTTCCGCAGTGCCTTTGTTCATGATTTGCTAAATGTCTTCTCTGCCAGTTTTGATCTTGAGGCCAAAGGAAAGGTGTCCCCCTCCTTTAGGAGGGCAGGCCATGTTTGAGCCGTGTCCTGCCCAGCTGGCCCCTCAGTGCTGGGTCTGAGGCCAAAGGAAACGTGTCCCCCTTCTTAGGAGGACGGGCCGTGTTTGAGCCACGCCCCGCTGAGCGGGCCTCTCAGTGCTGGGTCTGTCCACGTGGCCCTGTGGCCCTTTGCAGATGTGGTCTGTCCACGTGGCCCTGTGGCTCTTTGCAGATGCCTGTTAGCACTTGCTCGGCTCTAGGGGACAGTCGTGTCCACCGCATGAGGCTCAGAGACCTCTGGGCGAATTTCCTTGGCTCCCAGGGTGGGGGTGGAGGTGGCCTGGGCTGCTGGGACCCAGACCCTGTGCCCGGCAGCTGGGCAGCAACTCCTGGATCACATATGCCATCCGGGCCACGGTGGGCTGTGTGGGTGTGAGCCCAGCTGGACCCACAGGTGGCCCAGAGGAGACATTCTGTGTCACACACTCTGCCTAAGCCCATGTGTGTCTGCAGAGACTCGGCCCGGCCAGCCCACGATGGCCCTGCATTCCAGCCCAGCCCCGCACTTCATCACAAACACTGACCCCAAAAGGGACGGAGGGTCTTGGCCACGTGGTCCTGCCTGTCTCAGCACCCACCGGCTCACTCCCATGTGTCTCCCGTCTGCTTTCGCAGAGCTCCTCCCTGAATGAGGCCAGCAGTGGCCTCTTCGACGTCTTCCTACGCTTCATGTGCCACCACGCCGTGCGCATCAGGGGCAAGTGAGTCAGGTGGCCAGGTGCCATTGCCCTGCGGGTGGCTGGGCGGGCTGGCAGGGCTTCTGCTCACCTCTCTCCTGCCCCTTCCCCACTGCCCTTCTGCCCGGGGCCACCAGAGTCTCCTTTTCTGGCCCCCGCCCCCTCCGGCTCCTGGGCTGCAGGCTCCCGAGGCCCCGGAAACATGGCTCGGCTTGCGGCAGCCGGAGCGGAGCAGGTGCCACACGAGGCCTGGAAATGGCAAGCGGGGTGTGGAGTTGCTCCTGCGTGGAGGACGAGGGGCGGGGGGTGTGTCTGGGTCAGGTGTGCGCCGAGCGTTTGAGCCTGCAGCTTGTCAGCTCCAAGTTACTACTGACGCTGGACACCCGGCTCTCACACGCTTGTATCTCTCTCTCCCGATACAAAAGGATTTTATCCGATTCTCATTCCTGTCCCTGTCGTGTGACCCCCGCGAGGGCGCGGGCTCTTCTCTCTGTGACTAGATTTCCCATCTGGAAAGTGCGGGGTTGACCGTGTAGTTTGCTCCTCTCGGGGGGCCTGTGGTGGCCATGGGGCAGGCGGCCTGGGAGAGCTGCCGTCACACAGCCACTGGGTGAGCCACACTCACGGTGGTAGAGCCACAGTGCCTGGTGCCACATCACGTCCTCTGGATTTTAAGTAAAACCACACACCTCCCGGCAGGCATCTGCCTGCGACCCTGTGTGTGCCTGGGGAGAGTGGTAGCACGGAGGAAATTCGTGCACACTCAAGGTCATCAGCAAGGTCATCCGCAGTCAGGTGGAACGTGGAGGCCTCTCTCTGGGATCGTCTCCAGCGGATAAAGGACTGTGCACAGCTTCGGAAGCTTTTATTTAAAAATATAACTATTAATTATTGCATTATAAGTAATCACTAATGGTATCAGCAATTATAATATTTATTAAAGTATAATTAGAAATATTAAGTAGTACACACGTTCTGGAAAAACACAAATTGCACATGGCAGCAGAGTGAATTTTGGCCGAGGGACACGTGTGCACATGTGTGTAAGCGGCCCCCAGGCCCACAGAATTCGCTGACAAAGTCACCTCCCCAGAGAAGCCACCACGGGCCTCCTTCGTGGTCGTGAATTTTATTAAGATGGATCAAGTCACGTACCGTCCACGTGTGGCAGGGCTTTGGGGAATGTGAGGTGATGACTGCGTCCTCATGCCCTGACAGACAGGAGGTGACTGTGTCTGTCCTGTCCCTAGGACACGGACAGGCCCGAAGCTCTAGTCCCCATCGTGGTCCAGTTTGGCCTCTGAATAAAAACGTCTTCAAAACCTGTTGCCCCAAAAACTAAGAACAGAGAGAGTTTCCCATCCCATGTGCTCACAGGGGCGTATCTGCTTGCGTTGACTCGCTGGGCTGGCCGGACTCCTAGAGTTGGTGCGTGTGCTTCTGTGCAAAAAGTGCAGTCCTCTTGCCCATCACTGTGATATCTGCACCAGCAAGGAAAGCCTCTTTTCTTTTCTTTCTTTTTTTTTTTTTGAGACGGAACGTCACTGTTGTCTGCCTGGGCTTGAGTGCAGTGGCGCGATCTCAACTCACTGCAACCTCCGCCTCCCGGGTTCCAGCATTTCTCCTGCCTCAGCCTCCCGAGCAGCTGAGATTACAGGCACCCACCCCCTGCGCCTGGCTAATTTTTGTATTTTTAGTAGAGAGGGGTTTTTGCCATGTTGGCCAGGCTGGTCTCGAACTCCTGACCTCAGGTGATCCACCCACCTCGGCCTCCCAAAGTGCTGGGATTACAGGTGTGAGCCATCACGCCCAGCCGGAAAGCCTCTTTTTAAGGTGACCACCTATAGCGCTTCCCGAAAATAACAGGTCTTGTTTTTGCAGTAGGCTGCAAGCGTCTCTTAGCAACAGGAGTGGCGTCCTGTGGGCTCTGGGGATGGCTGAGGGTCGCGTGGCAGCCATGCCTTCTGTGTGCACCTTTAGGTTCCACGGGGCTATTCTGCTCTCACTGTTTGTCTGAAAACGCACCCTTGGCATCCTTGTTTGGAGAGTTTCTGCTTCTCGTTGGTCATGCTGAAACTAGGGGCAAGGTTGTATCCGTTGGCGCGCAGCGGCTACATGTAGGGTCATGAGTCTTTCACCGTGGACAAATTCCTTGAAAAAAAAAAAAGGAGTCCGGTTAAGCATTCATTCCGGGTCAAGTGTCTGGTTCTGTGAATAAACTCTAAGATTTAAGAAACCTTAATGAAAGAAAACCTTGATGATTCAGAGCAAGGATGTGGTCACACCTGTGGCTGGATCTGTTTCAGCCGCCCCAGTGCATGGTGAGAGTGGGGAGCAGGGATTGTTTGTTCAGAGGTCTCATCTGGTATGTTTCTGAGGTGTTTGCCGGCTGAATGGTAGACGTGTCGTTTGTGTGTATGAGGTTCTGTGTCTGTGTGTGGCTCGGTTTGAGTGTACGCATGTCCAGCACATGCCCTGCCCGTCTCTCACCTGTGTCTTCCCGCCCCAGGTCCTACGTCCAGTGCCAGGGGATCCCGCAGGGCTCCATCCTCTCCACGCTGCTCTGCAGCCTGTGCTACGGCGACATGGAGAACAAGCTGTTTGCGGGGATTCGGCGGGACGGGTGAGGCCTCCTCTTCCCCAGGGGGGCTTGGGTGGGGGTTGATTTGCTTTTGATGCATTCAGTGTTAATATTCCTGGTGCTCTGGAGACCATGACTGCTCTGTCTTGAGGAACCAGACAAGGTTGCAGCCCCTTCTTGGTATGAAGCCGCACGGGAGGGGTTGCACAGCCTGAGGACTGCGGGCTCCACGCAGGCTCTGTCCAGCGGCCATGTCCAGAGGCCTCAGGGCTCAGCAGGCGGGAGGGCCGCTGCCCTGCATGATGAGCATGTGAATTCAACACCGAGGAAGCACACCAGCTTCTGTCACGTCACCCAGGTTCCGTTAGGGTCCTTGGGGAGATGGGGCTGGTGCAGCCTGAGGCCCCACATCTCCCAGCAGGCCCTCGACAGGTGGCCTGGACTGGGCGCCTCTTCAGCCCATTGCCCATCCCACTTGCATGGGGTCTACACCCAAGGACGCACACACCTAAATATCGTGCCAACCTAATGTGGTTCAACTCAGCTGGCTTTTATTGACAGCAGTTACTTTTTTTTTTTTAATACTTTAAGTTCTAGGGTACATGTGCACGACGTGCAGGTTAGTTACATATGTATACATGTGCCATGTTGGTGTGCTGCACCCATTAACTCATCATTTACATTAGGTATATCTCCTAATGCTATCCCTCCCCACTCCCCCCATCCCATGACAGGCCCTGGTGTGTGATGTTCCCCACCCTGTGTCCAAGTGTTCTCATTGTTCAGTTCCCACCTGTGAGTGAGAACATGTGGTGTTTGGTTTTCTTTCCTTGCAATAGTTTGCTCAGAGTGATGGTTTCCAGCTTCGTCCATGTCCCTACAAAGGACATGAACTCATCCTTTTTTATGACTGCATAGTATTCCGTGGTGTATATGTGCCACATTTTCTTAATCCAGTCTATCATCGATGGACATTTGGGTTGGTTGCAAGTCTTTGCTACTGTGAATAGT
This sequence comes from Homo sapiens, assembly GCF_000001405.40. Taxonomy (NCBI): domain Eukaryota; kingdom Metazoa; phylum Chordata; class Mammalia; order Primates; family Hominidae; genus Homo; species Homo sapiens. The sequence goes on along the minus strand of NC_000005.10, from coordinate 1,267,550 downwards.
GCCGCAATAAACATACGTGTGCATGTGTCTTTATAGCAGCATGATTTATAATCCTTTGGGTATATACCCAGTAATGGGATGGCTGGGTCAAATGGTATTTCTAGTTCTAGATCCTTGAGGAATCACCACACTGTCTTCCACAATGGTTGAACTAGTTTACACTCCCACCAACAGTGTAAAAGTGTTCTGGTGCTGGAGAGGATGTGGACAGCAGTTATTTTTTTATGAAAATAGTATCACTGAACAAGCAGACAGTTAGTGAAGGATGCGTCAGGAAGCCTGCAGGCCACACAGCCATTTCTCTCGAAGACTCCGGGTTTTTCCTGTGCATCTTTTGAAACTCTAGCTCCAATTATAGCATGTACAGTGGATCAAGGTTCTTCTTCATTAAGGTTCAAGTTCTAGATTGAAATAAGTTTATGTAACAGAAACAAAAATTTCTTGTACACACAACTTGCTCTGGGATTTGGAGGAAAGTGTCCTCGAGCTGGCGGCACACTGGTCAGCCCTCTGGGACAGGATACCTCTGGCCCATGGTCATGGGGCGCTGGGCTTGGGCCTGAGGGTCACACAGTGCACCATGCCCAGCTTCCTGTGGATAGGATCTGGGTCTCGGATCATGCTGAGGACCACAGCTGCCATGCTGGTAAAGGGCACCACGTGGCTCAGAGGGGGCGAGGTTCCCAGCCCCAGCTTTCTTACCGTCTTCAGTTATTTTTCCCTAAGAGTCTGAGAAGTGGGGCCGCGCCTGATGGCCTTCGTTCGTCTTCAGCTGGCACAGAATTGCACAAGCTGATGGTAAACACTGAGTACTTATAATGAATGAGGAATTGCTGTAGCAGTTAACTGTAGAGAGCTCGTCTGTTGGAAAGAAATTTAAGTTTTTCATTTAACCGCTTTGGAGAATGTTACTTTATTTATGGCTGTGTAAATTGTTTGACATTCAGTCCCTCGTAGACAGATACTACGTAAAAAGTGTAAAGTTAACCTTGCTGTGTATTTTCCCTTATTTTAGGCTGCTCCTGCGTTTGGTGGATGATTTCTTGTTGGTGACACCTCACCTCACCCACGCGAAAACCTTCCTCAGGTGAGGCCCGTGCCGTGTGTCTGTGGGGACCTCCACAGCCTGTGGGCTTTGCAGTTGAGCCCCCCGTGTCCTGCCCCTGGCACCGCAGCGTTGTCTCTGCCAAGTCCTCTCTCTCTGCCGGTGCTGGATCCGCAAGAGCAGAGGCGCTTGGCCGTGCACCCAGGCCTGGGGGCGCAGGGGCACCTTCGGGAGGGAGTGGGTACCGTGCAGGCCCTGGTCCTGCAGAGACGCACCCAGGTTACACACGTGGTGAGTGCAGGCGGTGACCTGGCTCCTGCTGCTCTTTGGAAAGTCAAGAGTGGCGGCTCCTGGGGCCCCAGTGAGACCCCCAGGAGCTGTGCACAGGGCCTGCAGGGCCGAGGCGGCAGCCTCCTCCCCAGGGTGCACCTGAGCCTGCGGAGAGCAGGAGCTGCTGAGTGAGCTGGCCCACAGCGTTCGCTGCGGTCACGTTCCTGCGTGGGGTTGTTTGGGATCGGTGGGAGAATTTGGATTTGCTGAGTGCTGCTGTCTTGAACCACGGAGATGGCTAGGAGTGGGTTTCAGAGTTGATTTTTGTGAATCAAACTAAAATCAGGCACAGGGGACCTGGCCTCAGCACAGGGGATTGTCCAATGTGGTCCCCCTCAAGGGCGCCCCACAGAGCCGGTGGGCTTGTTTTAAAGTGCGATTTGACGAGGGACGAGAAACCTTGAAAGCTGTAAAGGGAACCCTCAGAAAATGTGGCCGCCAGGGGTGGTTTCAGGTGCTTTGCTGGGCTGTGTTTGTGAAAACCCATTTGGACCCGCCCTCCAAGTCCACCCTCCAGGTCCACCCTCCAGGGCCGCCCTGGGCTGGGGGTATGCCTGGCGTTCCTTGTGCCGCAGCCCGGAGCACAGCAGGCTGTGCACATTTAAATCCACTAAGATTCACTCGGGGGGAGCCCAGGTCCCAAGCAACTGAGGGCTCAGGAGTCCTGAGGCTGCTGAGGGGACAGAGCAGACGGGGAACGCTGCTTCTGTGTGGCAAGTTCCTGAGGGTGCTGGCCAGGGAGGTGGCTCAGAGTGTATGTTGGGGTCCCACCGGGGGCAGAACTCTGTCTCTGATGAGTCGGCAGCCATGTAACAGGAAGGGGTGGCCACAGGGAGCTGGGAATGCACCAGGGGAGCTGCGCAGCTGGCCGAGGTCCCAGGGCCAGGCCACAGGAAGGGCAGGGGGACGCCCGGGGCCACAGCAGAGGCCGCAGGAAGGGAAGGGGATGCCCAGGCCAGAGCAGAGGCTACCGGGCACAGGGGGGCTCCCTGAGCTGGGTGAGCGAGGCTCATGACTCGGCGAGGGAACCTCCTTGACGTGAAGCTGACGACTGGTGTTGCCCAGCTCACAGCCCAGCCAGGTCCCGCGCCTGAGCAGGAACTCAGAACCCTCCCCTTTGTCTAAAGCACAGCAGATGCCTTCAGGGCATCTAGGAGAAAACAGGCAAAGTCGTTGAGAAACGTCTTAAAAGAAGGTGGGATGGTGGCAATTTCTTGTCCAGATTTTAGTCTGCCCCGGACCACAGATGAGTCTATAACGGGATTGTGGTGTTGCCATGGGGACACATGAGATGGACCATCACAGAGGCCACTGGGGCTGCACCTCCCATCTGAGTCCTGGCTGTCCCGGGTCCAGGCCAGGTTCTTGCATGCTCACCTACCTGTCCTGCCCGGGAGACAGGGAAAGCACCCCGAAGTCTGGAGCAGGGCTGGGTCCAGGCTCCTCAGAGCTCCTGCCAGGCCCAGCACCCTGCTCCAAATCACCACTTCTCTGGGGTTTTCCAAAGCATTTAACAAGGGTGTCAGGTTACCTCCTGGGTGACGGCCCCGCATCCTGGGGCTGACATTGCCCCTCTGCCTTAGGACCCTGGTCCGAGGTGTCCCTGAGTATGGCTGCGTGGTGAACTTGCGGAAGACAGTGGTGAACTTCCCTGTAGAAGACGAGGCCCTGGGTGGCACGGCTTTTGTTCAGATGCCGGCCCACGGCCTATTCCCCTGGTGCGGCCTGCTGCTGGATACCCGGACCCTGGAGGTGCAGAGCGACTACTCCAGGTGAGCGCACCTGGCCGGAAGTGGAGCCTGTGCCCGGCTGGGGCAGGTGCTGCTGCAGGGCCGTTGCGTCCACCTCTGCTTCCGTGTGGGGCAGGCGACTGCCAATCCCAAAGGGTCAGAGGCCACAGGGTGCCCCTCGTCCCATCTGGGGCTGAGCAGAAATGCATCTTTCTGTGGGAGTGAGGGTGCTCACAACGGGAGCAGTTTTCTGTGCTATTTTGGTAAAAGGAAATGGTGCACCAGACCTGGGTGCACTGAGGTGTCTTCAGAAAGCAGTCTGGATCCGAACCCAAGACGCCCGGGCCCTGCTGGGCGTGAGTCTCTCCAAACCCGAAACACAGGGGCCCTGCTGGGCATGAGTCCCTCTGAACCCGAGACCCTGGGGCCCTGCTGGGCGTGAGTCTCTCCGAACCCAGAGACTTCAGGGCCCTTTTGGGCGTGAGTCTCTCCGCTGTGAGCCCCACACTCCAAGGCTCATCCACAGTCTACAGGATGCCATGAGTTCATGATCACGTGTGACCCATCAGGGGACAGGGCCATGGTGTGGGGGGGGTCTCTACAAAATTCTGGGGTCTTGTTTCCCCAGAGCCCGAGAGCTCAAGGCCCCGTCTCAGGCTCAGACACAAATGAATTGAAGATGGACACAGATGCAGAAATCTGTGCTGTTTCTTTTATGAATAAAAAGTATCAACATTCCAGGCAGGGCAAGGTGGCTCACACCTATAATCCCAGCACTTTGGGAGGCCGAGGTGGGTGGATCACTTGAGGCCAGGAGTTTGAGGCCAACCTAACCAACATAGTGAAATTCCATTTCTACTTAAAAAATACAAAAATTAGCCTGGCCTGGTGGCACACGCCTGTAGTCCCCGCTATGCGGGAGGCTGAGGCAGGAGAATCATTTGAACCCAGGAGGCAGAGGTTGCAGTGAGCCGAGATCACACCACTGCACTCCAGCCTGGGCAACAGAGTGAGACTTCATCTTAAAAAAAAAAAAAAAAGTATCAGCATTCCAAAACCATAGTGGACAGGTGTTTTTTTATTCTGTCCTTCGATAATATTTACTGGTGCTGTGCTAGAGGCCGGAACTGGGGGTGCCTTCCTCTGAAAGGCACACCTTCATGGGAAGAGAAATAAGTGGTGGATGGTTGTTAAACCAGAGGTTTAAACTGGGGTCCTGTCGTTCTGAGTTAACAGTCCAGATCTGGACTTTGCCTCTTTCCAGAATGCTCCCTGGGGTTTGCTTCATGGGGGAGCAGCAGGTGTGGACACCCTCGTGATGGGGGAGCAGCAGGTGCAGACGCCCTCATGATGGGGGAGTGGCAGGTGCAGACACCCTTGTGCATGGTGCCCAGCATGTCCCTGTTGCAGCTCCCTCCCCACAAGGATGCCGGTCTCCTGTGCTCCCCACAGTCCCTGCTTCCCTCTCACAGCCTTACCTGGTCCTGGCCTCCACTGGCTTTGTCTGCATGATTTCCACATTTCCTGGGCTCCCAGCACCTCTTCGCCTCTCCCAGGCACCTCTGCAGTGCTGGCCATACCAGTCAGCTGTGAACTGTCCACTGCTTATTTTGCTCCCCATGAAATGTATTTTTTAGGACAGGCACCCCTGGTTCCAGCCTCTGGCACAGCATCAGTGAATGTTATTGAAGGACAAAGGACAGACAAACAAATCAGGAAAATGGGTTCTCTCTAAACACATTGCAAAGCCACAGAGGCTAGTGCAGGATGGGTGGGCATCAGGTCATCAGATGTGGGTCCAATGCCAGAATATTCTGTGCTCCCAAAGGCCACTTGGTCAGAGTGTGTGCTTGCAGAGGTGGCTCTAAAAGCTCAGCAGTGGAGGCAGTGGTTCGCCATACTCAGGGTGAACTCACATCCTCTGTGTCTGAAGTATACAGCAGAGGCTTGAAGGGCATCTGGGAGAAGAAAACAGGCAAAATGATTAAGAAAAGTGAAAAAGGAAAAGTGGTAAGATGGGAATTTTCTTGTCCAGATTTTAGTCTCCCAAACCACAGCTCAGATGGTAGAATGTGGTCAGAACTGATGGACAGAACAATAGAACAAAACGGAAGCCCTATCTCTCAGAAACGTGTGTTAATGTGGTATGTGGCACAGCTGATGGAAAAGAGAGTGTGTGTGTAATTTTTTTTTCTGAGAAAACTGACTGGAAGCAAATAAGTTGTGTCTTTACAGCATATACCAGAGCAGATTCTAGGTAGAAGAGGAGACACATGCAAACAACACCAGCAACAGAAATAAAACAAAAGACTCAAAGGGAAGGGAGGTGAACGTTCCCTGGTTTGGTGTTGGGGAAGGACACACAGGGAGGCGGATGAAACCAGTGAGGCAACGGGCATTGCTTTCACTGCAGAGAAACTCAGCTTGCCTGAGCCACAGTGAAAATGGCCATTCCCTGGAGCGTTTGTGCACGTGATTTATTTAAGGCGCCCTGTGAGGTCCTGCACATTCATCCTCTCACTTTGTTCTCCTAACCACCTGAGAGGTAGAGGAGGAAAGGCTCCAGGGGAGCAGCCGCCCTTGGTCACCCAGCTGGCAAAGGGCATGCATGATTGCAGCCTGGCCTCCTGCTCCGGGGCCCTTGCTCTGCCCGAGGACCCCACACAAGTCAGACCCATAGGCTCAGGGTGAGCCGGAGCCCAAGGTCGTGTTGGGGATGGCTGTGAAAGAAGAAATGGACGTCTGATGCACACTTGGGAAGGTCCTACCAGCAGCGTCAAAGAAATGCATGTGAAACTGACAGCGAGACCCATCCCTCAAAGAAACGCACGTGAAACTGATGGCGAGACCTGTCCCCATCCCTCATGCTGGCTCCTTTTCTGGGCTTGCCAAGAGCCAGCATCAGGTTGAGGCAAGCTGGAAAGACTTTTCTGGAAAGCAGCTTGTTTGCATGGAAGTCCTCACAATGTCCTGTGTCTTCCCAGTAATTCCACTTCTGAAGTGACCAGACATTATCACGGGTCTTATTTACCATTTCCAGTGTTCCAGGCAGGGGGACTTGCCACAGCAAGTCACGAACCTGCCCAAATACAGGGCTAAGGAGATATTATGCATCACAAAACTTGCTCTGCCATTAAACATTTTTCAAAGAATTTTTGAAGAATGTTTAATGGCACAAAACGTTTATTTCAATGTAGCAGTGTTCAAAGCTGGATGTAAAAGAACACACCCCAGGAGCCTGCCGTGGATGTCATGTGTGTTCATCTTTGGACATGGACATACATGGGCAGTGAGTGGTGGTGAGGCCCTGGAGGACATCGGTGGGATGCCTCCATCCTGCCCCTCTGGAGACACCATGTGTGCCACGTGCACTCACTGGAGCCCTGTTTAGCTGGTGCCACCTGGCTCTTCCATCCCTGAGATTCAAACACAGTGAGATTCCCCACGCCCAACTCAGTGTTCTCCCACAAAAAACCTGAGTCACACCTGTGTTCACTCGAGGGACGCCCGGGAGCCAGGGCTCCACAGTTTATTATGTGTTTTTGGCTGAGTTATGTGCAGATCTCATCAGGGCAGATGATGAGTGCACAAACACGGCCGTGCGAGGTTTGGATACACTCAACATCACTAGCCAGGTCCTGGTGGAGTTTGGTCATGCAGAGTCTGGATGGCATGTAGCATTTGGAGTCCATGGAGTGAGCACCCAGCCCCCTCGGGCTGCAGCGCATGCCCCAGGCAGGACAAGGAAGCGGGAGGAAGGCAGGAGGCTCTTTGGAGCAAGCTTTGCAGGAGGGGGCTGGGTGTGGGGCAGGCACCTGTGTCTGACATTCCCCCCTGTGTCTCAGCTATGCCCGGACCTCCATCAGAGCCAGTCTCACCTTCAACCGCGGCTTCAAGGCTGGGAGGAACATGCGTCGCAAACTCTTTGGGGTCTTGCGGCTGAAGTGTCACAGCCTGTTTCTGGATTTGCAGGTGAGCAGGCTGATGGTCAGCACAGAGTTCAGAGTTCAGGAGGTGTGTGCGCAAGTATGTGTGTGTGTGTGTGCGCGCGTGCCTGCAAGGCTGATGGTGACTGGCTGCACGTAAGAGTGCACATGTACGCATATACACGTGAGCACATACATGTGTGCATGTGTGTACATGAAGGCATGGCAGTGTGTGCACAGGTGTGCAAGGGCACAAGTGTGTGCACATGCGAATGCACACCTGACATGCATGTGTGTTCGTGCACAGTCGTGTGGGCATTCACGTGAGGTGCATGCGTGTGGGTGTGCAGTGTGAGTAGCATGTGTGCACATAACATGTATTGAGGGGTCCTCGTGTTCACCCCGCTAGGTCCTCAGCACCAGTGCCACTCCTTACAGGATGAGACGGGGTCCCAGGCCTTGGTGGGCTGAGGCTCTGAAGCTGCAGCCCTGAGGGCATTGTCCCATCTGGGCATCCGC